>NC_000003.12:181205574-182455574 GCF_000001405.40 Homo sapiens
TACTCCAGCCTGGGTAACAGAGCAAGACTCTATCTCAAAAAAAAAAAAAAAAAAAAAAAAAAAAAAAAAAAAAATTCAAAACTACATTAACTCAAAAATTTTCATCCCTGCCCCCTCCAAACTTTTTTTCTATTTTTCCCTCATAGAAACAAGTTTCTATTAGTTTTGATTTATTCTTTCATTATTTCTTCTTGAAAATCTAAGCAGAATTGTATATTTACATTAATATTCCTCTTCACTTTTCTTGCAAAAAAAAATCCTCTATACCTTGTAGTTATTATTGGTGTTTTTTTTTTGTTTTTGTTTTTGTTTTTGTCTTTTTTGAGACGGAGTTTTGCTCTTGTGCCCAGATTGGGTGTAATTGGCATGATCTCGGCTCACTGCAACCTCTGCCTCCCAGTCTCAAGCGATTCTCCTGCCTCAGCTTCCCGAGTAGCTGGGGTTACAGGCATCTGCTACCACGCCCAACTAATTTTTGTATTTTTAGTAGAGACGGGGGTTTCACCAGGTTGGCCAGGCTGGTCTTGAACTCCTGACCTCAGGTGATCTGCCCGCCTTGGGCTCCCAAAGTGCTGGGATTACAGGCGTGAGCCTCCACGCCTGGCCAGTTGTTGTTTTTAACTTGACAATACATCTTGGAGATTACTCCTTATTAGTATGCAGAGATCTTGCTCATTCCTTTTTACAGTTGCATAGCACTCCACTATGATGATATCATAGTTTCTTCAGCCAGTTCCCATTCATGGACATTTGAGTTCTTTCCAATCTTTTGCTATTATACATAGTGCTACAATAAATACCTTTGTGCACAATCACTTCATATTTTTCTTGTTTATCTTTGGGGTATATTCCAAAAAGTAGGTTTGGGATAGATGCCAAAGGTCAAAGGTACAGGAAAATTCCCTCCATGTGGAACTGTACCATTTTGCATTTTCATCAGTATTGCTTGTTTCTTTCCTGCACTTGTGGTAGAGAATGTTCTCCAGCTTCTGATTTAGGACAGACCCTCTCAAATGGGGACAATTATTGTGGACTCCCAGTGTTGACTTAAGTGATTTTAATTATTATATTACTTACATATGAGAAAACATAAAATTATATATAAGTTCTTTATGCTTATAGTTTTTATGAAAGTATACAACTAAAGCAAATATACAGATTAACTATAAATAAACTAGAATCCCAATACAATTTGTGTTAACAACATTAATATAATAAATGATGTTATTTTTCTGAAATGAAATGGCCACTTAGAATGTGAATATGGTATTGATTCTTGTAACACATTTTTTTAAACATTGAGTATGCATATGCGCAATATTATGTGCCAGGTGTATTGGTCAAGATCCTTTGAGTTACAGGAACAGAAGAACTAGCTCAGCAAGAAAACAACAACAACAACAACAACAACACCTTTTTGTACTGTTTTGGATCACAAACACATAATTGGGAAGGTGAAACCATAAATTAAGAAATGAATGAACTCAGGGGTTACAATTATTTCATTTGAATTCTCTACCTCTGCCCCTGGTTTTATCCATACAGCTTTATTCTCAGACGGACTTTCTCTCTCTCTTTATCCAACTATTAGCAAAGATGTCCCATGGGTAGCTCCAAGACAATAGCATCTTTACAGGTCAAGGTCATCCCAGAAATATAAACCCCCCTTGTTCCCTCCCAAATCCATAAGCCCTGACCAAAAATGACACTGATTGGCTTGGTTGGATCATATGTCCTCCTTTGAACCAATCACTGAATCCTCTTATTAGCCAGCTTGGGTCATTTGCCCAACTTACTGGGAAGAAAGGTAGCTCTCTTAATTTTCAGCCCTACCAAAAATCCCAAAAGAAAGGCCTACAAGACAGATAAAGACTGACAGATACCCATGCCATTGTGAAATTACTCAAATTTTCCACTACTTTTCTCTACTGAAACTATTGGAAAAGCCTGGATGTAGTACATGATTGTGTGACTTGTCCTTCATGTGATAAAATTTCATCATCCACACATTAAACCTACTTCAGTTCTTTTTTTTTCAGTGGGACTATACCATTGGAAGTAGAATTACTTGAAAAAAACATAGTCACTGAAATGACATGATAGTTCTCAGTTCTAAAGTGTTATTCAGAATACACTTACGTGATTTTAATTTGAACTGTCATAACAATGAGAACCCAAGATTAAAATATTCTTAGATAAAAGATCCAGAAACCACCCACCTCCAATTTGTGCAGATGCCGTTTGAGGATTAACTCTTTAAAGCATGGAGAAAAATTGAATACTTTCATTAATGTAGTTTTCTAATGATTTGTGTGATTTTTAATGTGCTGATAAATTTAATATCAAATTGATATGTTGTTGGTATTTTACCTACAATTTATAAAAGCAAATACATATAAAATAAAAACAAATATAAACATACATCTGTATAGCAAGTGCAACACTTGTATGCTCAAGAGCTTCAGCTTAATTGAGTTTACTTAAACCATTAAGCAGAGTTTTCTGAACTTTCTTCTCTGTATGGTGAGAAACCCAGGGTCTCTCTGAATATCTCTTAGGATTCTCAGGAGTGAGGGGTACTGTTTTCTGTATCTTACTTCTGCTTCCTTTATCCTGCAATGTGGGATTAATTGGGAGTGGAGATTAAAGATTAGAGAAATCTGCTTTACTGCCTGGAAAATTCAATCCCAGGAACTGAGAAAGAAATTTGGAGATATTCTTAACTATTTTGAAGGTGTGTGGATAAAATTTATGTGGAGACCTAAAAAAATTATCTTTTTATTTTAAAAAATTTTAACTGGTGCTAAGCAAAATATATATATTTAACCATCTCTTTTTTTAAAAGTTCATTTTACCCACTTGTCTTACTTTATTCATTCTGCTATAACAAAGTACTATAAACTGGGTGGCTTATAAACAAATAAATTTATTTCTCAGTTTTGGACGCTTAGAAGTCCAAGATCAATAGACAGGTATGTGGCACACTCCTGTAATTCCAGCTACTCTGGAGGCTGAGGTGGGAGGATCACTTGAACCCAGGAAGCAGAGGTTACAGTGAGCTGAGATGGTGCCACTGCCCTCAGGCCTGGGCGACAGAGCAAGATCAAGTTGCCAGTAGATTCAGTATCAGGTAAGGGCCTATTTCCTTGTTCATAGTTGGTGCTTTCTTGCCATGTCCTTACATGGTAGAAGAGGCAAACAAGTTTCCTCTGGCTTATTTTATAATGACACGAATCCCATTCATGAGGGCTCTGCCCTCACGACCTAATCACCTCGAAAAAAGGCCCTACTGCCTAATACCATCGCACTAGGGATTAGATTTCAACATATGAATTTTGGGGGAACACAGACATTTGAACCATAGTACCACTTCAGGATGCAATGGACAGAGATGAAAAAAAGTTACTGATTTTGCTCAGCTACAGAAGTTATGGAACTGGCATCACTTTATTAATTCAGGAAGTGCTTCTCATGTAACTGACCTTAGTCTACCTCTATTGGCCAAAGTTTCCTCATATATAAGAAGGGTATGTGGAGTATCATCTCTACAAATCATTGGCAGCTTTACTGGTTAATAAAGACACAGTCTTTAGAGCTGAAGGAATGAGAAAATGGATTAATATGGAGGTTAACTTAAGATAGAGAACATTTATTCCCTTATGAATTTTGACTTTTAAGAAAAGACAGCTTCCTCCCAGAAGAACAGATATGGTGAAATGGTAAAAGATGGAAAACCAGCTATGTAGCAGGTATAAAGACATGAGTCCCTTTGTTCTGAAGCATCAAGTCTCTACCTAATGCTAGAAGGAATTTTTAGAGAAATGGAGGCATAGCTACAAATGAAGTGGAAAGAAACCCTATGTATTTGCTTTATAAAGAAACTGTGACTTTGAGGACAGTTTTTACATTTAGGAAAAAAAATTTAAGTGGGAAAAAGTGTCACCAACAGCACACAAACCATACTGAAATGATTGTGAAAAGTCTGAAGTGACTGAACTCAAGAATATGAAGATCTCAAGATACTTCTTTGCAAATATGTCCCTTGTAGATGACAAGTCCCTTGTAGATGACAAGTCCCTTGTAGATACCAAATCTTGGGGTAAAATCAGCTTTGTGAAAGACTCACTTCCATGTAAATGTTTGCACCTTCTCAATGGGCTAGAATTTTATTGGTGAATGTTATTAATGGTAATGGGACATAGGTACACAAATCCTTTTCTGTGTCACTGGGAGATGGGAACTCTTAGTATGCAAAGTCTCTGCTGAAATCAAAGGGAATTTGCATAAGATCCACATTGGTTGCTTAACGCATAGTGTAGCTGGCATCCAGTGCATGCTAAAGGACAACATAAAAACCTCAAACACAAAATGGCTCTGTGCATTAATGCTGCTTAGGAAAGTGCTAGCTATTAAATATTTTCACCAGTATTAAGTATCTTGATATTTATTCTTAAGTAAGATTTTGAAAAATACTTATCATCACACTGCAGTTGATATGCAAATTTTAAAGCAACATTTCAGAAAGAAGCAAAATAATGCCACCAAACTGTTTATAAATTCTTCCATTTAAAAATAGTTTGCATCATATAAAAGTTAACTCCAATTCTCTCATACCAGTTAAACAATTATTTCATCAAATGGAATTGAATCTTAGTTTCTCAGTTTGCACAGAGAAGAAAATTCAAAAGAAGAATCAGAAATTAAATTGAAGTTTAGGCAATGCATTTTTAGGCAAAAATAATAGTAATATATGGCTGATATTTTCAAAGCTTGGCTTTTATTTTAAATTTTAAATTTATTTTTATTTTAAAGCTTCAACAGTGTTTTCCAGCAGGTGTCACTGTAGGCAAATATAAAATGACAAATACATCGTTTCTACAGCTTGCGGCCAATGGTTCCTTGAGAAAAAGATTTATATTCAGACTTCTCAATTATGATTTTGTTTCTGGTGTTGTCATTGTTGTTAATATTAGTCTCCTAGCATAATTTTCTGTTCCTATTGATGCATTCACAATGCAGTAACACTACCCAGTTGAATGAACAGAAGCAGTAGTATGCACTATGAAGTTCCACCCAGTTTGGGGGTAGAACTTTTACCATTTATAGAAGAGAATCCTAGAATCTTGAAATGCCTATCTAATTAAGATATATTTTAATTCTGAAGCCTCTGGCGGATTTTTCCTAATAGTCTTAATTAGTAATTTCTGATTTTTATGGTTGCTATATAAACTTTGTTAACGAAAAAACTCTAAAGTTTCATCAGGAAGGAAAAGCTTTAAAAGTATTCGGCAAAAACAGTTATCATTAGTCTGGGATGGGTATATGAAAGGAAGGAAGGACGTAATAATGTTACTGGTTACCTTGAAATTATACTTCAATGGTTGGGTTAGAATTGAATTCATATTATTCAGCCTGCAAAGGATGTCTCATTAGTTCCCAGAGAAACCATTTCTGAACATATTATCTCAAGGAAATCCAGAGAATCCATTATTTCTCTTTGCCCCCTTCTTTTTAATATGCACAGCACAGAGATAGGGAAGCAGAATGATAAGGTACTAGCAGGAGAATTTTCCAGGAGTTATTTTGCTGATTTCAAAGTCTTCCTGTTTCCTGGTATCCGTAAGCATCTTGGCATATTGTTCAGAGCTCCTAAAGAAGTGTTCGGTCTGCATCTACAGGCTAGACTTGGCTGCTGACGATTTGACATGTGCAGACAGATTTTTAAAAAAACGTATACAAGAGAAACTGGTTTAAAATACCCTTCTCATCTCATGCCCAATACAAAGACCCACATGACTGAAAAAATGTTTTATACACTTGATTCTTAGGAGAAGAAAGTTGTATTCCATGCATCCAAGCAGGTAAGCAAAAATATTACTTTCTCCATTTTATAATCAACTCACAAACTCTCAGGGAAATTGCTGGTTCCTGTGACTACAGTTCTGAATCCCAAAATAGGATCCACATCTCCTGACTCACTTCTTTCCCCTAGAACACATCGCCTAAAATAGGCGCGTTTTTTAGAATCCAAAAACATGTTTTCCTTTTAATAATGTCAGCGTTTACTGAGCCCCAACTCTATATCTGGACTATGCTAAGTACTTTATACGCGTTTCTCTCAATTCATTTTCTTCTTGCTCTCCTTTCCTATGATGTAGGTACTATCATTCGTTTTATACTCACACAGGAATAGATTCAAAGAGAACAACTTGCATGGGATACTGCAGCCAGGAAGGACAGAGAAGAGGCCTGGATTTGGGTCTTTCCAAATCCAAAAGGCTTTGTTCTTAACCAGTATACTCCCACAGCAAATATGATACATTATTTAGGAGAATAACAAACTATCCTTGGGAAGTTACACAAAAGAAACCAAGGCACTTTTCCTGTATTCTGTATGCTTTAGGTTAGAACCAGCCTCATCCTGTCCAAGGTGTTTCAGCTATAGCCCTGTATGGTACCGGCTGTGTTCAGAATAATGCCTGCAATTCCTGATGGCATTTCCCTGATTTCACTTATTATATCTATAGATTTAAGGTAAGATTCTTAACAAAATCAAAGGCTCTTCTGGGAAAAGACAATAACTAGAAACTCTGAGCATTGTAAATCTCACAGCCTATTGCATTTTAAGAAAGTGTAGTAAATATAATGAAAGAACTTCAAAGAACTACTCACAGTTCAGTTTGCACCATGTTAGAATATTTCCATTTGAGGCCCTTTGGAAAGGCATTTGGACTGTAACTTTAGTAATTGCAATGAAGTTAAGAGTTTACAGTGGATTTAAAGTCAGAGAGTCTTGGATTAAAATCTTTGCTGTGTCACTTTCCTGAACCTCAGTTTTCTCATCTCTAAAATGGTGGCTAATGTAAAAATAGCAGCAGCAATGAGTCAGTGGTTGTTAGGCACTAAGCAATGTTCTAAGTGCTTTACAGTCATGTCTTTCTTTATGCTCATAGAGCTCTTTACACAATGCATGGCACATATTAGAAAGCCAATTTGTTTGCTTGTTTCGTTTTGTTTTTGAAATGAGGACAGGGACTCTGACAAATTCATCTTTAACATTATAAGGGAAACTAAGAATCTGTCTTAAAACTAGGAGTCTGTGTTAAGGAATCACTGGATATTTGGATTTTATTTTCTCATTTTCCTATTAGTTCATTAATTCTCACTTAATTGCATGCTTTTGTGTCCTATCATGACCAGGAACTTGTTTTCCTGTCCACCTTCTTGTTTTCAGGAACCTGTTTTTCAGGAACCTGTTTTCTTGTCCACCTTCTTGTTTTCCCACGTTATTTCCTTCAAAAACCTCATGGCCTCTCTTCTCCTGGGTCCCAGGCACTGGAGGGTGGGACTTGCTGCCTGTAGGTGCAACCTGAACCCAGTACTCCTACACCAGGGTTAGGAGTTAGTGCTTCTGGTAGGAATAAAGTTACGTTCAAGCATGCATGTACACATGCACGCACACACACCCACACAAGTTAAATCATATATATGAGTTATAGTAAAATCATTTAAATGAATTTACAAGTTTATGTAAAATATCAAACTTTTCAAAAGATAATGATTTATGGTGTCAAAGGTAACGTGCTCGTTGAAGAATACTGGGAAAATAGAGAATATATTTAGAGAGAAATCATAATCTCAGTAACAGAAAGAGTAAGTAACATTGTATTCTTTCTTTCTAAATATGCTTAACTTAATTCATGTGATTTTGTATCTTTTAAAAATATGCTTTTCTGCTATAGATTGACATTGAAAGAAAAAAGACATTTAAGTTTCTTGTGATTCACAATAGTAAAACATGGCACTCTTACTTGACAAAGGAGAAGCCACTGCAGAAAGTGATTTTAGTCCAAAATCGTGTTTCTAACAATATTTGAATAGAACAGTTATGCAACTGCCTCTCCTAGAGTGTATTAGACAAGTCAAGAGGCTCTTGCAGCCACTGAAGAGATACTGAGGGCTGGGCGAATGTGGAAGCCACTTGGACCAAGAGAAGGTGGTGTGCTGGGCTGAGTGGGGGATTCCTACCACCTGGGACTTGCAGGGTGGTGGTCAGGAATGGGTATAGTATAGCCACAGCCTGTGTGCTGGAGAACAAAAAGCATGAAGCAATAACTCTGTAAGAGTAGTTACCCTTTGAAAATAAGTGGATACAATGAGCTCAAGCTCAATAGAAGAGTTAAGGTAACAAACATGCTTGCTCTCTGATATTAGGAGGTTTTTAAAGGCTACAGATGTTAAGACTTCCCTGAAGCCTTGAAACCCTTGGGTAAACACAACAGAAAGATGTGGGTGTGCTGGAGCCTGTGGTTATTTGATGCTGGAACCCAAGGTGTGACGTGTTTAAGGCCTTAACTTCAGAATAAAATGGAAAACTGAAGTTAAAGTGGACTAATAATGGCTGAGGTTTAATGGTAATACTGAATTTAAATTTCTTTCAACTTTGCCCTAAGTTACGTATGTATGTCTCTTTCCTCTGCTTTGTGTGCCCTCCAATTACCTTTCCACACAGCACACAAAATGATCTTGTAAAGAAGTAAATCAAGTCTCATCACTTGCCTGCTTAAAGTTTTCCTAAATGGCCTCCTGGATGTGGCTGCTATGACCCTCCTTTCATCATCCTCAGCTTCAGTGACCTTCCTGAACCTCTACTGGGCTGCTCCAACCTCAATTCTGCCTCTCCAACCCCTTCCTCTGGTTGATGTCAGTTCTCAGCTTGGTGTCACTGCATCCTGGAAAAAGACAGACACAAGCCCCCAAAAAGATAGATGCACAGTGTTCATTTAAAAAGAGAATGAGTTTTCCCAGATCTCCAGGTACTTGCAGTGGTCTATGTGGCCAGGCAAATATTTATGATAATTTACACACAAACATATATATAGGTACACACAGACACAGACACACACACACACAACACAATATCATTTCCAGGAGTGTAAAGACATTTGATCTTTAGAATGACTTAAAACGAAAACTAGATGAGCATATGTGTGAGGCTGAAAGTAGTTGTGAGTTGCAGGTAGATAGCTGAGGTTAGATCAGCAGCATATTTACATAGTATTAAAATTAGTAGAGGAGATACTGGTAAGGAAGAAAAAGCAGTACGGAGTTTGTAGAGACATTTGCTGCAAGATTTTAATGTGAATCTCAGTAAGCATGACTCCTCGGAGGAAAATGCCTGAGAGGATATCCCATTTATTCGTTCGTTTCCTTCAACCATATATCTTCCTTCATACTAAAAAAAAAAAAAAAATTAAAACAGCTTTTGACTTTCCCAGAACTGGCTTTAAGCATAAATTCTTTTCCTAAAGAAAAAATTAGGAAAGATCGGTATTGGAAACATCTGGGTAACCATTCAGAGAGCCCTGTGCTGTAGTGGACCCATCCATCCTTCATCCTTCCATCCATCATTGGCCTAAAATATATTAAATACCAGCTAAATTCCAGATGCTATGTTAAGGACTGGGCATTCCAGGACAAATATTCTTTCCCATTGTGGGGGATGAGCTTAAGCTATGAAACAGTCTCATGTTATAAAATAATGATTGGATTGAGAAGGAAGACAGGAAAGAAACCCTTCCCTTCTTCCTTGGGTACTCTTTTCCTCACCTTGTCTGTGAAAACAAAAAGCAAGTCTCTAATGTGAGAGGTTTCCACTTGGCTCTAAGTACAGCACCCAAATTAAAGTCAGAGTTCAATAACAGTTTATTAAATGAATAAATGAACATACAAATTACTATATCCCAAAGCCTTCAGGGATCCAAATTTGAGAATATAATAATGACATTTTCTTCTACAAAGTCAAAATATAATCAATGAAATAATCTTTTCAGAAGGGAGCAGAGGGTAAGTGTCAAGTTGAGAAGAACTTCCATGATTAGCTTTCTTCCCAACTCAGACCATCTAATCTTTTTCTGCTAAGGGTCACCCAGGGCCACCTCTGTTGTGCCTTCTCCTGAACTCATCCTGTCCCCTGCCACTTGTCATACTTCATCCCAACCCTCAATCCTCAGCCAGTTTTGTCTCAGTCCTGAACTTCAGAACACTCTCCCTCTTCCTGGGCCTTCCCCTCTCATGCTCCTCTTTCCACCTTCATTTACTGGCTAAGAAACTCGCACACTACAGCTTCTGCACAGCAGATTTCAAGTTAAGGCCTCCTCATAATGAGGAATGATGATGTGATGTGGGCGACTCAAGGGACTACTATACTTCACAATATAAGGGAACTCCTTGCTGTGGGCTTTTATCCACATCTGTATTTACCCACTCCTTCTCAGAAACCTGTGTCTATAGGAAACAATCTATAAAACTAATCACTGCTGAGGTGCAGCTGATTGATAATGACTTAACTTTCCCTAGGCAAATTAGCCTTTTAAAGTGGGCTCATAGAAAAACAATGCCTCAGTGCACTCTTGTGGTAGAACGTGGGGTTTTGTAGCAGGCTGCTGAGGAGGATCTATTTGAGCTGTGGTTTTTCCTGATGATGATCTTCGATCAAGAGCAGGCAAAAAAGACTGCTTACATCTGAGCCTGCAGAACATTGACTCCATCTATGCATTTATTCCTCACCCTTGCATAGAGTTCCTATTATGTACCAATACTGTATTAGGCTTATAACGAGGAGGAAAAACAGCTCTACCTCAAAGAGCTAAGAGTCTAGTTGGTATATAGACGTACAAGTGGATCAGTATGACATAACATTTTAAGTGGAATGATAAAGATGCACATAAAGTATTGGAAGAACATCTGAGCTGTGGACAGGGGACATAGGGCTAGGTAGTAGATGGACAAAATGGCAGGTAAGGTCCTGAAACCACCCATGCTTAACTTATGATAGGATCAGAGAACTTAAGACCTGTCAGATGACTGTAACAGGCTGAAGTCAGAAAAACAGAGCCCACAGCAGGCAGTTCAACAGAAATAATTTAATATGGAGAGGTAGTTCCAAAGCTATTGGAAGAGTCTAAAGAACGAACAGGGGACAGGAAGGAAACCCAGAAATTAGCAACAGTAGGAAGCTGGTAGGAAGCTGCTAATACCCCTGAAGCTGGAGGGACAAAGGGTAGAGCTAGTGTTGGAAAGCCCAGAAGACAGGACTGCCTGATGGGAGCTGGAACCACAGAGGGACATAGCTACTGCCAAAGATACACTGGAAGAGAGAGACAGGAAGATGTTCCCTAGTTTGTTCTTTTCTTTTCTTTTCTTTTCTTTCGAGTCTTGCTCTGTCACCCAGGCTGGAGTGCAGTGGCATGATCTCGGCTCACTGAAAGCTCTGCCTCCCTAGTTCCCGCCATTCTCCTGCCTCAGGCTGGAGTGCAGTGGCACGATCTCGGCTCACTGAAAGCTCCACCTCCCTAGTTCCCGCCATTCTCCTGCCTCAGTCTCCCGAGTAGCCGGGACTACAGGAGCCCCCCCACCACGCCCGGCTACCCTAGTTTGTTTTCTGTCTGCTCTTGAATCACTTTTCACTGTCTCTCATTGGCCAAGATGGCCGCAGGCCATATAGCAAGAGTGTCTGGGATACAAGTAGAGCAAGGATGGTATGTGGGGTTGGATCTGGGGGCAAATAGACACATTACCGGCACAGTCATCTTAGTTGTCTTATGTCACCTGTGACAGCCGTCATTTGCTCAAAGTTGTCCTGTTTGTTTTGAGTAGAACCAAGTCTGGAACTTGGGTAAGGTGAGAAGCAGTGATTAAAGTAGAATTTATGGGGGCACTGTTATGTTCCAGAACACATGCTAGGCTTCTCACAAGTATTATGTCATTTAATTCTTCAAATATCTGTTTACGGTGGCTTTCTGACTCTCTGTTCAGTTTGTTCTCAAAGCCAAATAATCTAACATTAAAAGAGAAAAAGAAAAAATAATGTTATCTTTGTGCTGTAAAATATTTATGGAAAAATACTTAGGTGAAGGCTAAGGAATCTTGTGGTATGGTTTAGTATCTATTCCAACTTCATTCTGCATTAGACTTCACATAGGATAGGCCTAAGGATGCTAAGTAAGTAGATTCCAACATGTGGCTGAGAATCCCTGGGGTCTGCACATGCACACTTATACTTTGACTTGAGATTTGGGGCTGTGCTCTGTCTTCACAGCAGTATTCTGCTACTTTTCATATGTATGCCATTGCTAATGGGAAAAATACACATTTATTTAAAATCATGAGGAAATTCAGAGTAGCTTTTTGTAATTTTGCACACTCTCAATTAATGGATAAAATATATGTGATCGCTGTCATGTGGTGATCTGATGAATTTTGAGAGCTGGAAAAGGACCCTTCATACTTGGAAAAGTAGGAAAATCATACTGTGAAACTACTACCATGGGAAAGTAGGATATTATAGGAAGAGCTAGCCCAATTAATGACAGCTACCATTTGTTAAGTGTCCTGGTGCTATGCGTGGTTAAATCATTAATTCTCACATCAACCCTATAGGTGAGCCATATTATTATTAAGATTCCTGTTTTACAGATGAGAAAACAGGCACAGAAGAATTAAGTGTGGCCTAAGGTCTTTGAACCTGTGGTAAGTGGTAGAGCCAGGATTTGAACCTAGCCAATTTGCTTCTAAGCTTCACATTTTTAACCACTGCTTGTTCTCCTTCCAATTTTTTAAAATCTCCTCTCCTATGTGTTAAATCACATCAAGCTAAAAAAGAAAATTGACAAAAGGGTATAAGGAAGATGATTACAGACCCATAAAATCCATTGGCAGTAAACTATTAATACAAATTTACAGGAATTTTACTATATTTAAAAATACCATTTTAATTTTGGTATCTTTAGATGATAAATAAAATGTTCATATATATTTCTTCTCATTTTCAAACTCATAATAATTATGTAATTTTCTTCACCTTAGTAGAGCAAACTGTTAATAAATTGAGTGGTTAGTGCTTAAAGACTGTTAAAAACCACTTCAAATAACATGCCAATCTCATCTTTACAGTAATACCAGGTTGTTAATTAGCTGAACTACCCAAATACAGAGATTATAGTTAAAATGGTTTTGAGTGGGTGGTGATAATGATGCACTGCCTGTTTTACAACATGCTCCATGCCATGCACTTCAACTCCCATTTTTTAAAATAAAAATTTCCAACACTATTTTTCACCCTTTTCTTAAGAGAGAGATTCCACTGAAAAATAAAGTTCTTGCTAATTAAATATTTCCATAAACAATGGATCTCGTATCAATGGGGAAATATGTAAGAATGAACTATTCAAAGAAGGGAATTTTTCTCTGCTTGAGTACACAAGAGGAAAATGTCATTCCTGTTGAACGTTTTGGAAATGCCACTTTTAGAAAACTTTAAAATACCATGATGGTTGATTTTTTTAAAATAGTTTCTATTTGGAAAAAAAAAGTCACTTTCACGTTTCAGTAGCAGCTACTCTTGTATAATCTTCAGCACCATTAAAGAGATCTCTAGTCTTAATGTCATTGCTTTTTTTCTAGAGAAAGACCTATGGTCATTTTGCTGGGGTTGGGGGAGGAGGGGCAAGGATTAATGGTCTTTATTGTTTCTTCGTTTCCAGTGGCAGTGCCTTTCATCAGGGCTGTCTTGAACAGCCACATCATGTTCATTTCATTCTATAGCCAAACAGCGTTTGTTCAACAAACACTTCTTGAGTGTTTCCAATGGTCCAGGCCTTGGGCAAATCTGGGGATATTTTCATTAGTAAGAAATAGGTCCTGGCCTGAAGGAGCTACCAGTCAAGGAGAGAAGTCTGATATGTAAATGTAAAATTACAATCAATGTGTTTATCATTGTAAAAGACATCCCACATAGAGAGCTGTGGGAACAGAGGCAAAGACCATGATCTATGCCTTTGTTGGGGAAGGAATGGAAAACAGCAGGGTACAGTTGGCCAGGAGAAGTTTTGCGAAGGTTGAGCATCTGGAATGGTGGGGAGGGTCTGTCAGGGGTGTGGGGAAGAGCACTTCAGTTGGAAGGAAAGGCATAAAGTCAAATGGAGGTACTCAAGAATTGGACAGGCTTGAATTTGAGTTATAGACCGGTAACTCCTGTACCATGCAATCTGAGCAAACTCCTTATCCTCACATAATAAAATGGGGACAGTAATCCACATTGTGCAGCATTGCAGGGAGGATTAAAAATAATGTACTTAATGTGTCTGGTCCCGTGCTAAGCACCGACCATCGCAGGGAGGGCTTCTCCTCTTCCTCAAGGTGGTTCCTGTAACAGCTTCAATGTCACCACCTGACCACCATTTTTAAAGCCACCTCTCACTGCAGCATGTTCTTTATTTGGTTACATAATGGTGGCCAGTTTCCTCCAGTAAAATGCAAGTTCTATGAGGGCAGGATTTGTCTTGTTAACAGCTATATCTCCAGGGCCTGAACAGTGCCTGGCACATAGTGGGTGCTTAATAAATATTATTATTGTCACTAATGTTATAATGGTGTGAAAAGACAAGGTGATTTATAGAAATTATGTGGCTGTACTTTGGAGTTCATTGGAGGAGATGAAGCTGCAGAGGAACACTCAAGATTGTAAGAAGCTAAAGAGTCTGAATTTTATCTGGCAGGTGCTTCAGTAGGTTTTTGAATAAGAAGCAAAATTTACCTTGTCAGTAGACACTATGAAGAGAAAGTCAGCAGGTTCTTGGTACTGTTATGTAAGGGATGCTAAAGGCTCACCTATTCTGACTTTGAGGAAATTCTCTTTCTAATTTGTCTCCTCTATTGCTTTATCTGAAGGAATTGAAGTTCTCTGTATTTGGGAGTCACACAAACATTCTATTCCAGACAAACATTACTCACTCTCTTCATTAAAAAAGAAGAATCTTAATTATTTAGGTAAGCAGATCCTTGCAAAGTTAATTGTTTCATGTAGGATCAGAGAGTACTGGAGCTAGACCCACTTTAATTTCGTGGAGAAGGAATGGAGGTCCTTACAGATGGTTATAGAACCACCGATTCTCCAGTCTGTGTTTCTTCCACCGTGCTTCACTGTCTTTCCTTCCTGGAAATGTTTTGTCTGCCTGTCTGTCTTACTGTAAACCTTCTGGTAGGGCTGTCATTCAAAAGCCTATTGCTCTAGATACAGTGATTTTTTTCAGGGATGGGCATTTGACCCAAGCAGTCATCCCTGGAGTGGATCCATGGGTGCCCATAGAATTACCTACATGTTTCAAGTTAAATGCTATTAATTAAATGAATGGGTTTAACAGGCTGTATTTATGTTTTGCCAAATGAAATTGCAACACAGCAATTCACATGGTGGGAATCTTCCAACTTCATGATAAAATACCTTCCTGAAAACCTGGGACACTGTAGAACAGAAAGCGTGAGCTATTTGGTTATTTGCTGGATGATGTTAAGTAGCAAAAAGGATGGTAAAGACATTAATACAGTAAAATATGTGTGTTTTGCAATACTAAATGAATATGGTCAAGAAATGACACCCCACCTTTCAAGTTTATCTCAGCAAGATTTATGCTCAATGTTTCCTATGGATGCCAAAAAGTTTTACAATTATACTAAAAAGATAAAATATTACTTTGCCTAAGCAATTTTGCCTAAAATTGTAACTCAGAGTGCTTTGAGAACATGAATATTTTTCCTTTATAAATATTTTTGTGTTCTTTATTAACATATAGTTAATCTCACACCATAACCACATGTATAGATGTTTATACTATATAGAGAATATGAGCATTTCATAAGCATTTTATGCCATGCTTTTCTTTTCCATTGGATACTATAGTACACATTAGTACCCAAGAGGTTCATTTCTTCTTCTTGGGCTGAATGGCCCATTTATCCGTGGTGAAGTGAGTTTTTTACACACATATTGTAGAATCATAGACTCCAGTGCCTTGCCAAAGGCTCTGTGCCAGGTGCTACATCTATAAAGAAGATTAAGATGCCATCTTTGCCTTCAAGTAGTTCACATTCCAGTGACCAAAGTAGTTCACAGTCCACTAACCAAGTTATTAGTGCAGAGATTGTATTTCTGTGGGGACAGGCACTGCATATGTATTCAAGGAACACTTGCCCATACAAATCCATATAAATATAGAGTCTACTAATAACTAGGAAACTGTTGGGAGATTTAGTGTACTACTCACCTTTTCTGCATTTTGAGGTGCTCATCAGTGGAGTACATACACGAAGATCCATAGCCACACAAGAAGTGAACTTTATTGCTAGAGGTTGATGCCCTGTAACTTCCCAAACATAATGTTTCCAGTAAGTTTTGTCCTAGAAGCTGGCTTAGGCTTGAGACTGAACTTGGGCTTCCCTCCCATCCAGTGGAAAGAGCCAGGCTCACAAAAATCCTGATTCACTTGTCAATATGTGGTAAAGAGATAAAAGGTAGCCCTGTTCTGTTGTTTTTCATGTAGAGAGATAAGAAGCACAATCAGGCTCTCCATACCCAGATGGGGGAAGTGAAAAGAGGGGCAGGTACACACTTAATACCTCAGCCCAGCAACCAAAACCACTAGGAAAATGTATTCTGATGAATGTTGCATTTACAACCTTGATAGTTACCCCAAAGTTAGGCCTTATAGACCTTAGGGTCTATGATAATCATTATTTTACACCTTTAATTTTTTCTTCTTTAATATAATATGTCTCAGAATAATCCTTGTTGAAAATCCATCCTTTATGAGCAATGCAGATGGCACAAGATGGACGAACCAGGAATGTTTTCTGTAAAAACTCCTGAAAAAGAAAAGAAAGGGGTCTCCTCCTCCTTTGTGGGTTGAGACAAATGTGAGATGAGGAAGAAGGATGCGGCATTCAGGGTCGACTGAGTTCCAGCAAGGGTCCAGAGGTAGAAGAGAGCAAATCATGTTTATTGTGTGTCCGAAACTTTAACGTTCAAGGGCCGAACAAGGAGAGAGAAAAGAAGCTAGAAATAAAGCTGGAGTGGTGACACAGAGTGGTAGGGAATCCCCTTACTCCCGTACTCCCTAAATTTAGCTTTTATGCTGAAAGCTGTGGCCTGTCCTTGAAAATCTGGAAGCAAGAGAGTGACAGGATTAGGTTGGAATTTTAGCAAAAGCACTTCAGTGTGAAGTGGAGAAAGATTAGAAGGGACTCGTTATGGGTTGAATTGTATTCCCTTTCAAAAGAGATGGTTGAATTCCTAATCCCCAGTACCTCAGAATGTGACCCTCTTTGGAAATAGGGTCACTGCAGATATAATTTATGATGAGTTTTTACTGGAGTAAAGTGGGCCCCTAAGCCAATATGGCTGGTGTCCTTATTTTTAAAAAAGTGACTTGTTCACAGAGATAGACACACATAAAGGGAAGATGATGTGAAGAGACACAGGGAGAAGACAGCCATCTACAAGCCAAGGAGAGGGGCCTGGACTCTCCCCTCAGAGCTGTCAGGAGCAACTCACCCTGTTGACCTATTGATTTTGAACTTTCAGCCTGCAGAACTGTGAGACAATACATTTCTGTTGTTGAAGCCATCCAGTTTGTGGTATTTTGTTATGCAGCCATGGGAAAGTAACACAGACTCCAAGATTGAAGACCGAGTAAGAGGACTGACGAAGGCCTGAATTAAGATGGAATGAAAAGAAAGCTCTTGAAAGATATTTAAGAAGTAGAATCGATAGAATTTGGTGATTAATCAGGATGTGTGGAGTTAACATAGTGAGTAAGATAGACCTACATTTCAGTCCTGGCTCTATTCCTGCTTAATGATGTCAACTTAAACCATTTATCTTCTGTGTGCTTTAGTTTTTTTCATCTCTAGAATAGAGGTCATAATAGTTTCTCTGATGGTTAATTTTATGTGTTAACTTGACTGGGCTAAGGGATGCCCAGATAGGTAGCAAAACATTTCTGGGTGTGTCTGCGAGGGTGTTTCCAGAAGAGATTAGCATGTGAATCAGTAGACTGAGTACAGAAGATCACCCTCACCGATATGAGTGGGCATCATCCAATCTGTTGAGGGCCCAGATAGAACAAAAGGCGGAGGAAGGACAAATTACCTCTCATTGTTAACCTTTTCCTGCCCTCAGACATCAGAGTTCTTGGTTTTAGGCCCTTCAGTCACTGGGACTTCCCTCAGTGGCTTCCCTGGTTCTCAGGTGTTTGGGTTCAGACTGTGTTATACCATCAGCTTTCCTGGTTCTCCAGCTTGCATAATCATGTCAACTAATTTTCATAATAATATCTCTTTCTTAGATAGTTAGATATAGACATATACTGGTTCTGTTTCTCTGGAAAACACGAATACAGTTTCCATCTCATTGAGTTGTTGTGCCAGACAAGAGAATGAATGTTAAAATCTTATTACACTGGTATAATAAATACTTCACATAGTAATATTGATAAATATAATAAATACTCAATACTTTTAAAAAATGTTTATTTCAATAGTTTTTGGGGAACAGGTGGTTTTTGGTCACATGGAAAAGCTCTTTAGTGGTGATTTCTGAGATTTTGGTGTACCTGTCACCCAAGCAGTATACACTGTGCCCAATGTGTAGTCTTTTATCCCTCACCCCGCTCCCAACCTTCCCCCAAGTCCCCAAAGTCCATTGTGTCATGCTTATGCCTTTGCATTCTTATAGTTTAGCTCCCACTTATACTTATAAGTAAGAACATACAATATTTGGTTTTCCATTCCTGAGTTACTTCACTTAGAATAATGGTCTCCAACTCCATCCAGGTTGCTGCAAATGCCATTATTTCATTCCTTTTTATGGCTGAGTAGTATTCCATGGTGTATATATACCACATTTTCTTTATCCACTCAGTTGATGGGCATTTAGCTTGGATCCATACTTTTGCAATTGCAAATTGTACTACTATAATAAACATGCATGTGCAAGTGTCTTTTTAATATAATGACTTCTTTTCCTTTGGGTAGATACCCGATAGGGAGATTGCTGGATTGAATGGTAGATCTACTTTTAGTTCTTTAAGAAATCTTCGTATTGTTTTCCACGGTGGTTGTACTCGTTTATATTCCCACCAGCAGTGTAAAAGTGTTTCCTTTTCACCACATCCACGCCAACATCTCTTATTTTTTTTTTTTATTTTTAAATTGTGGCCATTCTTGCAGGATTAACGTGGTATCTCATTGTGGTTTTAATTTGCATTTCTCTGATAGTTAGTGATGTTGAGCATCCTTTTATATGATTGTTGGCAATTTGTATATCTTCTTTTGAGAACTGTCTATTCATGTCCTTAGCCCACTTTTTGATGTGGTTATTCGTTCTTTTCTTGCTGTTTTATTTGAGTTCCTTGTAGATTCTGGATGTTAGTCCTTAGTTGGATGCATAGTTTGTGAATATTTTCTGTCACTCTGTGGGTTGTCTGTATACTCTGCTGAATATTTCTTTTGCTTCGCAGAAGCCTTTTAGTTGAATTAGGTCCCATCTAGTTGTTTTTGTTTTTGTTGCATTTGCTTTTGGGTTCTTAGTCATGAATTCTTTGCCTAAGGCAATGTCTAGAAGATTTTTTCCAATGTTATTTTCTAAAATTTTTATGGTTTCAGATCTTAGATTTAAGTCATTGATCTATCTTGAGTTGATTTTTGTACAAGGTGAGAGACAAGGATCAAGTTTTATTTTTCTGCATGTGACTTGCCAGTAATCCCAGCACCATTTGTTGAATAGGGTGTCCTTTTCCCACTTTATATTTTTGTATGCTTTATTAAAGATTAGTTGGCTATAAGTATTTGGCTTTATTTCCGCATTCTCAATTCTGTTCCTTGACTATGTTTATACCAGTACCATGCCATTTTGGTAACTATAGCCCCTTGTATAGCTTGATGTCAGGTAATACAATGCCTCCGGATTTGTTCCTTTTGCTTACTATTGCTTTGGCTCTACAGGCTCTTTTTTGGCTTTGTATGAATTTCAGGGTTGTTTTTTCTAGTTCTGTGAAGAATGATGGTGGTATTTTGATGGGAATTGCATTAAATTTATGGATTGTTTTTGGCAGTATGGTCGTTTTCTCAATATTGATTCTACGCATTCATGAGCATGAAACATGTTTCCATTTTTTTGTGTCAGCTATGATTTCTTTAAGCAGTGTTTTGTGATTTTCCTTGTACAGATCTTTCGCCTCCTTGGTTAAGTATGTTCCTAAGTTTTTTTTTTTTCAGCTGTCATAAAAGGGATTGAACTCTTGATTTTATTCCCAGCTTGGTTGTTGGTGTACAGCAGTGTTACTGATTTGTGTACATTGATTTTATATCCTGAAACTTTACTGAATTCATTTATTATATCTAGGAGCTTTTTGGATGAGTGTTTAGGATTTTCTAGGTGTATAGTCATATCATCGGTGAACAGTGACAGTTTGAGTTCCTGTTTTCCAATTTGGATGCCCTTTGTTTCTTTCTCTTGTCTAATTGTTCTGGCTAAAACTTCTAGTACTATGTTGAATAGAAGTGTATGCTTTCCCCCTGAGAACTGGAATAAGACAAGGATGCTCATCTTCCCACTTTTCCCTATTCAGTGTGATATTGGCTGTGGGTTTGTCATATATGGCTTTTATTACTATGAGATATGTCTCTTCAATGCCATTTTTCTGAGGCTTTTAATCATAAAGGGATGCTGGATTTTGTCAAATGCTTTTTCTGCATCTATTGAGATTATGTGATTTTTGTGTTTAATTTTCTTTATGTGATGTATAACATTTATTGACGTGCATATGTTAAACCATCCCTGGTATGAAACCCACTTGATCATAATGTATTATCTTTTTGATAAACTTTCATTGAGGATTTTTGCGTCTATTTTCTATGTTTATCAGAGACATTGGTCTGTAGTTTTCTTTTTTGTTATGTTCTTTCCTGGTTTTGGTATTAGGGTGATACGGGCTTCATAGAATGATTTGGGGAGGATTCCCTGTTTCTCTGTCTTCTGGAGTAGTTGTCAATAGGATTGGTACCAATTCTTCTTTAAAGGTCTGATAGAATTCAGCTGTGAATCCATCTGGCCTTGGACATTTTTTCGTTGGCAATTTTTAAATTACTGTTTCAGTCTTGCTACTTGTTATTGGTCTGTTCAGAGTTTATTTCTTCCTGATTTAATCCAGAAGGGTTGTATATTTCCAAGAATTTATCCATTTCCTCTAGGTTTTCTAGATTATGGATGTAAAGGTGTTCATAGTAGTTTTGAATGATCTTTTGTATTTCTGAAGTATTGGTTGTAATATCTCCCGTTTGGTTCTTATTGAGCTTATTTGTATCTTCTCTCTTCTTTTCTTGGTTGATCTCGCTAATAGTCTATCAATTTTGTTTATCTTTTTGAAAAACCAACTTGTTGTTTCATCTTTCGTATTTTTTGTTTGTTTGTTTCAATTTTATTTAGTTCTGCTCTGATCTTTGTTATTTCTTTTCTTCTGCTGGGTTTGTGTTTGGTTTGTTCTTGTTTCTCTAGTTCCTTGAGGTGTGACATTAGTTTGTCTATTTGTGCTTTTCCAGACTTTTTGATATAGGGATTTAATGCTGTGAACTTGCCTCTTAGCATGGCTTTTGCTGTATCCCAGAGGTTTTGATAAGTTGTGTCACTATTATTGTTCAGTTCAAAGAATTTTTAAATTTCCATCTTGATTTCCTTGTTAGCCCAAAGACCATTAAAGAGCAGGTTATTTAATTTCCATGCATTTGTACAGTTTTGAGGGTTCCTTTTGGAGTTAATTTCCAGTTTTATTCCATTGTGGTCTGAGTTGATACTTGATATCATTTCGATTTTCTTAAATTTATTGAGACTTGTTTTGTGGTCTATCATGTGGTCTCTCATGGAGGATGTTCTGTGTGCTGATGAAAAGAATGTATATTCTGCAGTTATTGGGTAGAATGTTCTGTAAATATCTATTAAGTCCATTTGTTCTAGGGTATAGTATAAATCCATTGTATCTTTGTTGACTTTTTGCCTTGATGACTTGTCTAGTGCTGTCAGTGTAGTATTGAAATCCCCACTATTATTGTATTGCTGTCTATCTCATTTCTTAGGTCTAGTAGTAATTCTTCTATGACTTTGGGAGCTCCAGTGTTAAGTACATATATATTTGGGACTGTGATGTTTTCCTGTTGGACTAGTCCTTTTATCATTATATAATGTCCTTCTTTGTCTTTTTTTGATGTTGTTACTTTAAAGTCTTTTTTGTCTGATATAAGAATGGCTACTCCTGCTTGCTTTTGGTTTCCATTTGCATGGAATATCTTTTTTCCACCCTTTTACCTTAAGTTTATGTGAGTTCTTATGTGTTAGGTGAGTCTCTTGAATACAGCAGGTACTTGGTTGGTGTACTTTTATCCGTGCTGCCAATCTGTATCTTTTAAGCGGAGCATTTAGGCCATTTGCGTTCAATGTTAGTAGTGAGATATGAGGTACTGTTCTATTCCTCATGTTGTTGCTTAAATACCTTTTTTTTCCATTATGTTATTGTTTTAGATGACCTGTGTGATTTGTGCTTTAGGGAGGTTCTATTTTGGTGAATTTTGAGGTTTTTGTTTCAAGATTTAGTACTTCTTTTAGCAGTTCTTGTAGTGCTGGGTTAGTAGTGCCAAATTCTCTCAGCATTTGTTTGTCTGAAAAAGACTTTATTTCTCCTTCATTTATGAAGCTTAGTTTTTGCTGGATACAAAATAAATTCTTAGCTAACAATTAGTTTGTTTAAGGAGGCTAAAGATAGGACCCCAATCTCTTCTGTCTTGTAGGATTTCTGCTGAGATGTCAGCTGTTAAACTGATAGGTTTTCCTTTATAGGTTGCTGATGCTTTTGTCTCACAGCTCTTAAGATTCTTTCCTTTGTCTTGACTTTAGATAACCTGATGACTGTGTGCCTATGGTGATGATCTTTTTGCAATGAATTTCACAAAATTCATCAAGGAGTTCTTTGAGTTTCTCGTATTGGCATATCCAGATCTCTAGCAAGGCCAAAGAAGTTTTCCTCATTTTTTGCCTCAAATAAGTTTTCCAAACTTTTAGATTACTCTTCTTCCTCAGGAATATGAATTATTATGCTTAGGTTTGGCTATTTAACATAATCCCAAATTTCTTGGAGGCTTTTTAAGTTTTTTTCTTTGTCTTATTGGGTTAATTTGAAAGGCTTGTCTTTGAGCTCCGGAATTCTTCCTTCTACTTATTCTAGTCCATTGTTGAAACTTTCCACTGCATTTTGTATTTCCCTAAGTGTGTCTTTCATTTTCAGAAATTGTGATTGTTTTTTCTTTGTATCTATTTCTCTGGAAACATTTTCATCCATATCCTGAATTGTTTCATTTCTTTAAGTTGGTTTTCATGTTTCTCTGGTATCTCCTTGAGTAGCTTAATAATCAACATTCTGAATTCTTTAGCTGACAATTCAGAGTTTTCTTCTTGGTTTGGATCCATTGTTGGGGAGCTAGTGTGATCCTTTTGGGGGGTGTTATAGAATCCTGTTTTTTTCATATTACCAGAATTAATTTTCTGGGTCCTTCTCATTTGGGTAGAGTATTTCTTCAAATTGTTCTTGAATTTATTTTTTATTAGACTGTTTTTTTTTAAATTTAAATTTCTTTTCCCCTGCTCTTAAGGATCAGATTTTAGTATTTATTTTAGTCTAATTTGATTTATTGGTGCTGTAGAGGTGAAGACTCTATATGAGCTCCTTAGTTATAGAGAGTCTTTGTCTGCTGGCTTTCCCCCTTGCTAGTTGTAGTAGTTATATTCTTGGTGTGTGGGTGAGTTCACTGTTCCCTATGGAGTTGGAATGGCAGGGATCTCTTGAAGCTTATCTTGTTCTCTAGTAGTGCATATTTTATTTAATTTTTTCCTAGTGTTTTATTTACTGAGTTGATGAGTCAGTCTTCATGCCAATAGGGGAGGTAACCCTGGGTAGGCACCAGTTGTGTCTAAGGCAGATGGGTAGCTGTAATACCCAATAGTGGGCTGAGGCCTTGGCCTTGATGAGGGTGGGTGGGGGAGCTCTCAATTAGATGTGCTGAGGTTTTATCTAGGTGAAGAGTGGGAGCTACCTCAGCTCCCCTGCCAGGCCAGCAGGAAAGCTATTCACCTCACAGCCTCACTCCCATCCTAGTATTTCAGCTATTCAGATCAGACAGGCACTTTTCATCTACAGGGATGTTGATGTTCCAAGTAGGGAAGAATTGTTACTCTGCCTCTCATGCAGGCCTGAATCTTGGGGGTGCTCTTCCTGTGGGGCTGCATTCACCCTGAATTTTTCCAGAAAGGCTACCTATAGGTGCCTCCATGCTGCATTCCTGTGGGGGCAGCCCCAGCTGTGTCTACAGTGGAGTGCCAGGGGGAACAAGGACCCCTTTTCCAAGGCCTTTCATGATCACAGCGGCAGCCTGCCTGTTGGGGTAGAGGTGCAGACTTCCCCTACTATGCCCAGCACTGCGATTGTATCTCTGCTGTGAGAAACTACCCTCCAGTGGAAAGATCTGGTTCTCAAGGCCTGCTGTTCAGATTCTTTTGTCCCACAGGGTGATCCCTTGATGTGGTGCTCTCCCACTTCCCCTAGGGATGGGGCTCCCTGAGAGCTAGACTGCAGTGATTGTTGTTGCTCTTATAGGTCTAGCCATCCAGTGGGGCTACCAGGCTCCAGGCTGCTGCTGGGGAATGTCTGAAAGAGTCCAGTGATGTGATCGTTCTTCAGATCTCCCAGCTGTGGATACCAGCACCTACTCTGGTTGAGGTGTCAGGGGAGTGATGAGATTCCTTGGGTATAGATAGTTTAGTGTGCTGGCTTTCCTGAGTGCTGGTTATGCTAGCAGTGAAGTTGTCACGTGGACAGACTCAGGACCTCTGGTTAGCCAGGACGTTGCAGGCAGTGGAATTAACTGTTGTTTTCTCCTTCCCAGGAGCAAGGTTATTCTGTCATGAGTTGCCGTAATGTCCTGAGTTGGTTGGCCTCCAGCCAGGAGGTGGCGCTTGCAAGACAGCACCAGCTATGGTAGTAGCAGTGGGATTTGAGCTTGCCCTAAGTTGACCAGGGGAAGTATTCTGCTTCTTAAGCAATGGGCGGGACCATAAAGCTCCCAAGACTTTATGTCTTTTGTGTTCAGCCACCAGAGTGGGTAGAGAAAGACCACCAGCTGGGGGCAGGGCTAGGTGGGTCTGAGCTCAGACTCTCCTTGGGGGATTGGCGGTGGGTGGTTCTCCAGCCAATGGGGTTATGTTCAAGAGGGGATTATGCTGCCCCTGCTTAGCAGTATTGTTCACCAGGGAAGTGGGGAATAGCCAGTAGCCAAAGGCCTCACCCAATTCCCACACCATTGATGAGGCTGGTGTGGCTCCTGCAGTCCCCGGCTAACAGTGCCAGGTTTGGATTCAGGCAGCCTGCACATAGAGCCCAGACCTGTACCAGGCCCATATTGTTTTGTTTTAAATAAAATATCTGGATTACATTAAAAGAATTGAGAATAATTCATAATTCTTACCTGGCCAGGTAGGGTATGTTATTATTCAGTGAGAGGAGAAATATTGGAGATAAATGAATTTGGGTGTCAGGATGATACATTTGGTATATTAAAAATATACAAGCAAATTATATGTTACTAAAAATACACTGCCTTACCTTTAAGGTCAGCTTTCATAAAGTTCAAGTTGTATATTTTTAAATTAACAAAAAGTTATATATTATCCATTAAAGGTAATCTCATATGGAAAATGAAATGATCACCATCATGTTTCTAGGTTATTAGGGAAAAATAATGACAAAAATCATATTTGTTTAAAATCTTTTAAAAAAATTTATATTGATTGAATTGACTGTTACATTGAAGACAGAAATATTGACTTTTGACAACTTGACCAACAATTAGTTCTTAATTAACCTGAAGTTGTCAACTTATGATCACTCTCTCTTGGATGAATGATCTCAGGCAATCTATAACAGAGAAATTGAGTCATCTGACAGAAATTATCTTTGGCAAGGTTTTAGTCCTAGGGTTACCAGATGGAATACAGGACATCCATTTAAATTTGAATTTCAGATAAACAGTTAACACTTCTCAAGGATAAATATGCCTCAAATATTGCACGGGACATATTTATACTAAAAAAAAAGTGTTTTTTTTTTTTCCTGCGATTCAAACTTAACTGGTGTCCTGCATTTGTATTTGTTAAATCTGTCAATCCTATCTCAGTTTCCTTTGATGGAATGTACCTCTGTGCTAATATTTAAAAATAGGTTACATTTGTGCTCGCTTCGGCAGCACATATACTAAAATTGGAACGATACAGAGAAGATTAGCATGGCCCCTGCGCAAGGATGACACGCAAATTCGTGAAGCGTTCCATATTTTTTAATTGAAAATCATTAAAAAAAATAGGTTACATTCATAATCATCCTGATTTGAGATATATTTTGCCTAAAACTTGGTCTACATGATTTCTCAAAATCCTTTCTTGAGCCCAAGGATTTGCAATTCATAATTTAGTGAAGAACATACAAAGAAGGACATTATTAGTAAATGCTTTGCTAAAAGCAATGCACTATTTAACAGTACAAAGAAGTCGAAAGGGTCAATCACATATGCAGTGTCTCAGAGTGATATTTTCATAAGACTTTATTTAACACACTAATTTCCACAGGTGGAACTTTGTTTTCTCCCTATCGATGGGAAGATTAGTAAAACAAAATGAGTGTACCTGCTTGTTTCATGAAGATGACAAACCTCTTTGATGTGTTTACCTTTGTATAATGTTTTCATATACCATTTATATAATTATACCCTAAGAAATAAAATCACTAGGTATTTTAAAAATTATTAGAATCATGGTGACATTTTAAATGAATAGGGGATGAAATGAGATGGGCTAAATACCATGTGATTTCAATTTAGACTTTAAATATATCCATGGGGTCCCCATAGCTTTCTTTCCAATGGTCTATTCCCATGCCTTTCGAATTTCAAAAGAAGATATCATGGGACCATCTGCCTCAGTCTTGAGCACTCACAACCAAATAATGGCACACATAAGAAACCTGGAAAGTTTTACTTGTAAACCTAGGCCTGGTTTGGTTTGCTGCAGAAATTACAATGGTTAGTTTGTGATTGTTCACTTAAAATTAATCAGATCTTTTCTTATAAAGAATATTACTTTGACTTTTCAAAATGACTTATCTTCTTACTTTCTGTGACTTTCCATAAGGCTTATGAAGTAGTCATGCAGAAAGAAGAGAACTGTACTTCTAATTTCCCCAAATATCTACTTACATATTTTAAAATGGGTATGAATAATTAAAAGGCCTTTGGTAAATTAGAAACACAAATAAATTGAACTTCACTTCTAAGGAGAACAAAGCAGTAATAGTAATTCCCAGCTCACAAATTCTTTGAGAAATTCGAGATGATCTATTTATAAAATTCTAACATATTTGGGGGGAAAAAAGGCAACAGAAGGATTTGTCCACACCGTTTTCTCATTGGCCCATGATCACAGAGCTGTTCAGACCTGTCTTGTCACCTCCAGAGGACACCTACGGGAAAACCTTTCCTTTGTCTTCAGCAAATGGACTTCTCTTGCTCTTTCTTCTTTTTGTTCTTTACCTGTGAGAAGATAGAAGAGATGGATGAAGGGATAGATTCACCACATGAACCACAAGCTTTTACTTTATGAAACAATACTCTAAGGCATGGTTATGGAAGCTTAATGAGCATAGGGATCTTTGAAAGCATTTAGGCGGAGTACCTAACCAATGCTGTAAATCAGAAAAGACTTCTCAAAAGATGTGAGTTCCAAGTTGTGAACAAAAGGGTGAGTAGGAGTTACTGGTGAGGACAGTATTCCAGGTGGAAGTAAGAGTATGTGGGAAGACCTGAGAAGTAATAGAGCTTGATTAGCTAGAGAGTTGAAATGAATTAACTTGCCAACCAGAGTTCTAGGCCAGATCAAGAAAAGTTTTATAAACCATGAAAGAAGAAGATTTTATCCTGAAGGCTTTGCTGAAGAACCAGTCATGGGTTTAATGTCATGGAGGACATAATAAGATTCACACTTGCAAAAAGATACCTTTGATTTCAATGTGGAGAATGAACTTGAGGGGCACAAATAAAAGCCATAAGAGCTGTTATTAAGCTTTTCCAGTAATCAGGGGAGGTGATGGTGACCTGAACCAGAAAATTTGGTTGTAGGAATGGAGGACACTGAATAGGTTCAATAAATATGTAAATGGAAGAGTTGACCAGACTCGATTGATGGGTTGTGGAGAATGAAATGTGGGAGGTTGTAGAATAGTTTCCAAGTTCTGGTTTGGGAGACTGAATAAACAATGATATGATAAAAAGTAGAACATGAATTTGTGGCAGAATTAAGCAAGAGATAATGGGTTCGGTTTTGGGCATATTGTAGGCCCTATGGATACTGAATTAATTTATGTGATTAACAGATATTTGTGGAGTACTAATTACAATGCCAGACCACGTGGGTAAAGGTTGCAAGGGTAGAGGAGTGAATAAATTTATTTAAAATCTATAGTGTAGTGGGGGAGATAAGCAATAAATAGATAATAAATACAATAAATATAGACAGTCATGTGCCACTCAATAATGGGAATATATTCTGAGAAATACATCATTAGATGATTTTGTCATTATCCGAACATCATATAGTGTAGTTACAAAAACCTAGATAGTATAGCCTACTACACACCTAGGCTATGTGGTATAGCCTATTGCTCCTATTTGTAACACAATGATATTTGTGTATCTAAACATAGAAAAGGTATAGTAAAAATACTGTATTGTAATCTTATGGGAACACCATTGTATGTGTGGTCTATTGTTGACCAAAACGTTGTTATGAGGTGCATGACTGTATATGTGATGGAGAGGTACGGGATTGGAGATCAGGCTAGCAGTCATCAATCTGAGTAGAATTTTGCTAACTGCAGAGTGGTGTCTTTAAAGAGAAATAGGAGTAAAGGAACTAAAAGTGACTTTTGTTGAAGTTCAAAGTCAACATTTTAGCCCCCCTGAAATGTGTACTTGGATGTAATGACTATGTTTGGAAAGAAGAAGTCTTTTCTGGAATTGAGGGCATCAGATGATAAAGACAGTCCTGTCAAGCTTGAGAGCAGGGCTGTGTTCCTGTTTGGTAGGGCCCTGGTGTACGTATTAACAGAGCATCCTTAAATGTCAATGTTCACAAACACAAATGAAGTAGATAATGATGGTTAGTCAATGACTTGTGTTAGTAAATTAAAGCCTTCACTATTGTCTTTCAAGTCGACAAACATTTATTGACTGCCTATTATGAGCAAGGTCCTATGCTTTCTGTTAGGAATGCACAAATGAAAAGCATACCTCCACCACAAATTCACGCTCTGGTAGCAAGATGGGCATTTTATAACTAATTACAATATAAGTCAAACTAGAAAGTGCT
This sequence comes from Homo sapiens, assembly GCF_000001405.40. Classification (NCBI taxonomy): domain Eukaryota; kingdom Metazoa; phylum Chordata; class Mammalia; order Primates; family Hominidae; genus Homo; species Homo sapiens. The sequence continues at coordinate 181,234,925 of NC_000003.12, forward strand.
AGGATGGCTGTATCAAATTTTATTAATTTCCATTGGAGACCAAAGGAATCAGTGAATTTTTGGAGAAAAGTCAACTGGTTCTATGCTTCATAAAGTGTGGTAATTTATTTAACCATTCAAATGGCTAACAATATTCTAGGAGGCAGTGCACATTATTCAAAAAATATTTTTATTAGAAACCTCCATTGGGGACATACCAATTAATTCTATATGATTTGTGGCTAGGCAAATTTTCCTTTGGGGATCAGACTCTGGGTCCTTCACCTGGTGTTTGTTGTCACTGGAGATTCCAGCAGTCTGTCTTTCAGGCATTTTTCATTGAAGTGGGTATGAGTATTAGTATAATTGGAAGCTTCAGAGTTCCCTGAAAGTTAAAGGATAGTCTGGCTTTAATTCGTAGCCATTTCTCTTTTTTCTTTTTTTAACTAGTTAGTTCAAATTCTACCCATGCTTAAGGACATCACACTTCCAAACAATGGCCTTCTCCCAAGTTAGGTCAAGGCCCACTGCTAGATGCTATTATAGTACTATGTGGCCTTCTTTACAGCACTGATGTCAGTTGTAACTTTACTCTGTGTGTGATTGTTCAGGTCTTCATTCAGTCACTTCATTCAGTTAACTAATGCCAGTTGGCTTTCAAGTTAACAGAGCAGAAGCCATATATCTGTTAATTTTTTTCATTGCCCCAGCTTTTAGCCCAGTGCTTGGCACTGAACCGGTAAACGAACTCCTGCCTGAAGTTTTTGCTTCCTTCTTGTGCTAACTCTTGCAGGGGGTGATAAGTGGGAGAAGGTGGGCAGGGGGTAGATGATGCTGGTGAAATTAAGTTGCTAACCACTCCTTCATTTAGTGTCCTAAACTTATTTCACTGAAGTTTCAAAATATGCTCCTCCACCATTCTGTTAGGGAACAAGCCTGGATCAAGTTATTCAGATAATTTATAATTGTGTAAATTGTAGTCAACTTCCTCATTCAACATTTGCCTTTCCAAGCTGAAGAGGCTAACATTTCAATATGCCTCAAATAGCAGCACTCTACCCCCCATGTTAGTTGCTATTTCCTTTGTTGCTTGTGGTTTCTCTGGCTTCATGTTATTATTTGAGACGTGGTGACTATAATCTCATGTGGCATTCAAAGAGTATATACATTGGAAATTTATACAATGCTAATCTCACTGAGTTTCTAATATTCTGCTGCATACATTTACATTTTCTTCATGTTTTAACCCAAAAGACAATTCAGTCAGTTTCCTTAGAGAACTAACAATGACTTCCAGGTGTGTGTCTTCCCTGCCTGAAGCTGATAGCTCAGAGCCATTCATTGTATACCTATGCTATTTATCATAAAATATGTTAGCTTGTACTTACTGAGTTGAAGTCTAGTTATTACATTTCTAGTGACTTATACAAATGGTAAGATTTTCATACCTATATATTACCTTTCCTCTTAGCTACAAATCTGAAGCTTTAATATGGAATAAGTTTGAGCTTTCTGAACATTTATAAATGTGTTAAATATGATTGGCTTCAGTGAAGATTCACAAATAACTTTGGAGGCAACTACACATTTATTCTTATTCTGAATAAAGATGTTTCCTGATATAAGTTTACCCATGATAAAACTGCTTTATGATATAACACTGTTCTGTGGGGATTTCTGTCTTCATGTTCAAGAGTAGGCCGATATGCAGCCAGCATGCACCAGTATAGCCGTGCTGATGGCTTTTTACAGATAGTGTTCATTTTGATTAGTTGAAGCTTCAGTTCTGATTGCTTGAAGCCAAAATATATTAAATATTTTGAATATTTAAAGTGATCAAAAAATCATTAAATGACATCAGAACCACATTAGCTCTTTGTTTCAAGCTATTGAGTTTTACTTCTCCTAGCTAGGTAGAACACTAATCTATAAAATAGGCTGAAGTAAAACCACAAGTGTAAAATAGAGGATCTGGATTACCTTAAACTATAATCAAGAACTAACTGTGTTTTTATAGGTCTGACTTCAAGTCAGTGCATCTGAGGCTGCTGGGAACTGAAAGTTCTTTGACTCTTTTAGGTAATTGGAGGACTTTTTTTTTTTTTTTTTTTTTTTGGTCTCAGAGAAAAGGAGTAGACTTGATAATGTACTTCCCCTTATTTCCTTATAAAATAACAGACTTATGATATATTCTTGCCACTCTGGTCAAAATATACCAAAGTTACCTGAAAAATCTGATGATAAGTTTGATTTCCCTATAGGGTTGGGCTATTGCTGCAGAACTTGTGCTTGAGGTGGGATGGTTTTCTATTTTTCAGTATTTAATTGGAGTCATGTTGACACATGATAAGAAGAAGGGAATATGTCCTTAGACTATCACAGAAACCATGAAAACATGGTTTGTCCTCAGCATTGCACAATATACGTAACAAATCTCTACACCCTGATTCTAAAATAAAAGTTGAAAAAAAGTAAAATTGCTATGAAAAAAGGAAGTATGTTCATATGGAAATTCCACTGTTCATTTTTGAATTCTATAAACTATTAGTACAAAGAAATTCAGCTTGAATTGACTTCAAGAAATTGAGACTTAGCCAGTTGTTTCTTGGTGGTTTTGCTTAATTATGTAAAATTTTCCTCAAGCTAGTCCCTCATGTTTCCCATGGTCTGGGCACCAGTTCTAGAAAGAATCTGAGAATGAAGATTTCAATAGGTGTGGAAATGTCTTGGTATTTTTTGTAGTTATTTTCTAGCTTGATGGCTAATTGGTAGGGATGTTGTAGACAAATCCTTGCTCTTCAAAGTCTGATGCATGGATCAGCAATATTGATATCACCTGGGAATTTTTTTTAGAAAAGTGGACTTTCAGGCTCCTGCCCTAGACAGACTCAGACAGACTCAGTTAGAACTGACATTTTAATGTAATGCAGAGGTGACTCATGTATACATTAAAGTCTGAGAAGCTTTTGTGGATATCTAATTCCCATGGAGTCAAGAAGGAGCCCTGGCAGGTCTACATTACTTCTATTTTTTATTTTTCTTTTCTCTCTTTATCCCACAAGAAAGTATCTGTAAGTACTAAATGACTTTTAAAATCCTGTACTTTAAGTTTCTACATTACACTATGAAGTTTCCTGCCTTCAACTGTATGTTATTTGGATCTTTCAACGTACAACTAGATGGAAGATGATAGATGGTAAATTCTTAGTGAAGGAGACTTTGAGGTGACAATTTAATTTTCTTTCACTTTTGTGGTTCTTCATCATATAGTGGGTACTCTCATGATTCTTGACATTAGTTTTGATTATGGCCTTTAGAAAACACAAGCGTGGATTTGAAAGCCCTGTGAGGAAAATCTTGAACTTGAGTTAGCATTTTTGGGACTTGAAGTCATTAGCATTCACCTGCTCCTACCAGTTTCATAATTTAACTTGGGAGATAACTTATAATGTAATCTCAAAGAAAGGAAAAGTTTTCTGAATTAGACATCCTGGCTCTGTTGACATAAAAATATAATTATACTTCTACAAAATTAGTCAACAGATTTTTTTCTACAGTGAGAGTAGTTCTTCAAATGTTTATTTTATTTAGCTATAAGCAGTTCTTGTTCCATATTTAAAAAAGTCATTTACTTTTGTTTTTGGCTCTGCAAGTAGCTTCAAAATAGGGTCTCAAAATAGAATAATTTTATTTTGAATAAATTCTTTCACAATATCATTTTACCATTATTCATACAGTAAGCAATTCTGAACTATGTGCACACAAATACAGTCTTTGTGGGAATACTTTGAAAAGTCTTTAACAAATAATTTGAAAATGTTCCTCTTATAATGATTTTTGAAGCCCTTTCTCCTTAATTTCCTCAAATCTTTTAAATAGTCTCTGGTGATTTGACAATGCTTGCTCACATTTGTTGGTGGTCATAACTGGAAGTTGGAGGTGGAATGGTGCCACTGGCATCTAGTGGGTAGAGGCCAAGAATCATGCTAAACGGCAATGCCAGGACATCCTCCGCAATGAAGAGTCAGCCCAAAATGTCAATAGCGCTGAAACTGAGAAGCTCTGTATTGAATGTACTGGTGAATTGGTTAATGCTCAAAGGTGCAGTTAACAGATATTCATGGAGATAGACCATTTAGAGACATAAAACAATTATTGACTCTAAACATGTAGATGGGTAAATACAGTTATCAATTAATGTCAAAATTCAGCCTATAAGGTAACGTGAGCTCAATAGAGTTTGTGTGATGTTACATATATTATAAATAAGTTTGGGAGTATCTGCCCTCCCTTTTCCCCTTTACCTCAGCAGTTGAATAGGTACCGTCATGAGAATACTGGATATTTCAATTAATAAGTTTCAAATAAAAGTGGAATTAAGCTAAAAATTATAAAGAGTCCTTGAATGGCTTGTTGATTAGAAACTAATGTAACTCCTTGTCTAGGATAAAATACCAAACAGGCAGCAGCTGCTGGTAATTTGGTGCAAGTAATTGTACAGCCAATAAGTTGAAGAAGTGCTTATTAAAAGAAACTGCTTTCCTATCTGCTTGTAAGTTCAATTGAGTAATGCACTCTACATGTGGTCTGACATTGGGTAAATTATACACCTGATTTAAAAACACTCCATCCATAAGAGCTCCTATTTTGCTCATCCATAAAATTTTTACTTTCTTCATTACTACTTGCAGCAGTGTATGGCATAATATCTATCAAATTAGGCTTTGAGGACATCTCAGGCTGGCACCCTGCTGACTTGAAACATGTGTTTAATATTACTGCAGTGCTTTTAACCCCATGAGTGCCCCGGGTTGGCCCACAGAGGCATGCAGAATCTGTTCCGCTGTCTCTGTGCAGACACATTCTCCACCTACTGAGAATGAGAAACATCAAAGATAAAGGGGTGGGGGTTGGATTAAGGATTACTCACTGGGTAGGAGAAATAAGTAGTTAAAATTTGTAGGAAATAAGATAGACAAAATGAAAACTGTGTAGTCTACTATTTTGCAATTTTTAAAAATATGAGCCAGATATAAACATTTGAAAGCAAGGCATACTATTTGACCTAATAAACTCTGAAAACAAGACCCAAGAGGACTTTCTGGATAACTCACATGAAAGCCAACTTTGGCATGTGTCTTATTCACATTTATAAATATGTGGATGACTTTAATTAATTTTAACAAACATTTATTGCTTTCTGTCTACTAAGTGCCAGACACTGTGCTTGATGCTGGAGACACAGTGATGAATGTATATGGCCCTTGCCATCTTGCAGCTCAAATCTTGTAAAGGGGTCAGGATTTCAACAATCAACTCTAATATAGTGAGTAAAGCATAAGTGATCTCAAGGTTCAACATTCATTCATTCATTCATTCATTCATTCAGGGCAGATGGTATCTGACACAACTACTCTACTTGCTGGATCCCCATGGCAGATATTGCACTATTATAGAGCTAGATAGACCTGTGAATCTCAGCCTGATGCCATTAAGCATTCAAGTCACGTAATTATTTTCTTCTTTTCTTTTCCATACTAACCTGCCAGTCTTCTGATTATAATTTAGCTTCCCACCTGGAGTGTCTATGGAAAAAAATGGACTTAATAAAGAATTCTGTGTCTGTTATTATTTTGTGTGTGTGATTAATACTACTTATTTTAAATTAACAGACTGGTATATTGATCATAATTTAGCTCCGTGTGTATGGATACGCTATGGATAGAGGTCCTTTGACATCTACTTTTTATTGTAAGTGAATATTTTGTCATTCTTATATATTAGTCTTATGAGATTGGTTAATGTGAGTTAATGTGACTTTCTTCCTGAAGAGATAGACCCACTCTCACAGTGATGACAAGTTAAGTTCTGGGGCCAGCCAGACTTCAGAAACTAGAGTAAAGAATAGAAGCTACTGAAGGATTGGAGAAGGTTTTTAAAAACATATACCTGGAGTGAGAAAGAGAATGAGAGAGATACCAACCTAGATCCTGAGAAGCGTCAGGATCCACCAGTGAGAAACAGACTCAGGGTCAACCAGCAAGAAACAGAGGAATGCATTCAAGAAGAAGTTGGAGAAAGAAGATAGCAGGAAACAAAGGAATAAAAGGATCTAGGAAGGAGCTGGTAGTCAGAGATACATGAGCCTGAGAAACAGACCATTGGATAGGGTGGTTCAGAAACCTGTCAAGAGAGCAGTGTTATAGAGAAGCTGGAAGGGGTGGGGAACCCAATTGCGTAAGGTTTATGGAATAAGTAGCTGGTACAGAAATGGGAGTGCAGAGTGTGGGTATTCTTTCTAGAAGTTTGACAGGAGAATTGCACCTTGAAGACTTGCCTTCTGAAAGAGAGAACCTCAATATGTACAAAAGGCAATGCACAGGTGCATAAAGAGAAGATAAATGATGACACAAACTTCTAGGTAAGACATTCATATGTCTTCATTTTTCATTAATTCCTTTATTCAAGTAGCGAGAACATAGTTTAGTGGTCAGGCACATGGATGCTGCAGCCAAATGGCCTGGATTTGGATCCCAGTTTCACTATTATGACTTTGGGCAAATTGACCTCTGCACTTGCCTCAGAGGGTTGTTGGAAGAATTAAATAATATGCATAAAGCATCTGGAACTGTACCTGATGTAAACATGTATACATATTTGATAAATAATAAAGGATTTAGTCTGGACAAGGGTTAAGAAACATGATACTCTAGGAATCTATGATGAACTTTTTTTTCTATGTTTTATGAACTTCTTACAAGGTGTATTTGAGATCTAAAATTACCGAGAGCCTGCAGAGAATGAAATTGCTATAGATGTCAGCACAAAATGTCCTAACAATCTTATTCATAGGTATAAGTAGGTAAAATTGTAGAACTCTGTCAAAGAGTTAAAAGAATTTCCTGATGAAATTGCAGACTAATTTCTATGATGTTTTTGTGGAATTTGCCAGATATTACTCAAAGTTCCTTTCAGAATACCCATACAACCTTTATCTTCCTATCTTCTTTGAATTTAACCTGCCCTTTCTACTCTGTCTCCTTTACTGTAGATATTATTTAGAGCTCAGGGAAGTAGGTCCCTAAAATCTTTCCAAGTTTTCTTCTTATTTTATTCCTTGTATTTTTTCTCGGTTGATATCAGCTCAGAGAGTATTGGGTTAATTTAATAAATGCATCAGATGGCTCTTTCCTTGGGCATCTCAGCTGATGTGAATTAATTGCTTATTAATTGGTTGAGAATATTCTATGAATAAGAAAAGGTAGTTGAATAATCTACTAAACTCTCCTTTCTTTCCTTTCCTCTTAGACATATTATTTCAATTCAGGATTATAAGCATTGTTTATGGTGACTAGTGACCCTCTATTTTTATTTTTTAATTTATTTTATTTTTTTGAGCTAAGTGGCTTTTTTATTAGAGAAATCCAGAATTGCAAAGGACTTAAGAGTTGGATTGGGGACCTTCTTCTTGCCAAAGGTGGGCACAACATTGACAATGCGCTGGTTGTACTGAATCCACCACTTAACCCTGCCTGTCATCATCTTCTTCTTCTTTTTCTTTTCCTCCTCCTTCTCCTCCTCCACCTTCTTCCTCTTCTTCTTCTTCCTCTTCCTCCTCCTCCTCCTCTTCTTCTTTTTCTTCCTCTTCTTCTTTTTCTTCCTCTTCTTCCTCTTCCTCTTCTTCTTCCTTCTCCCCCTCCTCCTCTTCCTCCATTTGGCCACCGTGAGAGTCTGACCTCTCACTTTCCCAGAATGGGCCAGAGAAACATGGACTTTCCCTCTAAGCATGTGGATGGCTACTTCCAGGGTAATCAGGGCCTCCACACTGTACTTGCCCAGGGTAGTCTCATCCTCTAGGGGTGTGCTTGCCAGGAGCACAGGTTGATCTTCCCAGGCAGTGCCCTTCAGTGAGGCTACATGTGCCTTGATTTGGGCAGCTGCCTCCTGGCCAGTCACCTCAAGGGTGTGTAGCTCCTGGGCGCGGACAAAGAGCTGCATGAACCATGCTCCCCACTGTTGCTACCACAAAGACAGAGTTGAGAAAGAGGACCCACTATTTTTGAAGCTTAATGTAAGAAAATAGATACATGGGAAATTATTGGAAGCTTTTACTTTCCACAAAAGCAAGTGATGGTTTTGCTCAGAGCAGCAACACAATGACCTGTTGCTAATCTTGGCTTATTTTTCTCTCTCCTTGTGAAGGAGAGAGGAAATGCTAGTACATATTATTTAATTTTAAAATGCATATTGAAAAAGAATTCTGATGGCTGCCTTTCAGAGCAAACTAATAGATAACTGTTCTCATCACATCTGTATTGAGATTGCCTCTAAGGCTGTGGTAAAAGATGTTGAGTGGGCTCTTCCTAGGGTTCATCTCTTTATAAAAAAATTTTTAAATTTGTTTAAAAAGCTTTTTTTGGGTACATAGTAGGTGTATATATTCATGGGGTACATGAGATATTTTGATACAGGCATGCAATGTGAAATAAGCATCTCATGGAGAATGGAGTATCCATCTCCTCAAGCATTTATCCTTTGAGTTACAAACAATCCTCAGGTTCGTCTCAATGGGTTATTTGAGAACTTGGAGCTGGGAGTGTTCTGTGGTATTCTTTTGATTGGAAATGGGAGCTGAATGGGCTGTCCAGTGGGCAGAGGGCAGGAAATTGAAAATGGAAAGAGAAAGTTTCAGATGGCTGCGAACAATTCTTGAAAATTCTAGGTTTGAAGGTGCTGCCCTGGTGATCCCGAGGATGTGGTTCTCAGGCTCATTGTATCCTAGCTCTGTGATTTGGTCCAAATCACTTAACTTCCCTTCAGCAACCTGTTTAGCCTCCCTGTGCCTCAGTTTCCTCATCTGTAAACTGCAAATGTTGGTGCTCATCTTATGTCCCTACACTGGGTTATAGTGCGATTTGAATGAAAGAACTTTGTGTACCACGTAGAACAACACAGTTCTCACTATGATTAGGATTAATCTTAATATTATTGTAGGTAGTTAAGTTAGAACAATAGATAAAGAAGTTAAACTTTACCTAAGAGTAGAACTGGCCTTAGTTACCTGACTGAATACATTTCAAAAGTTTTATCACCCCTTATTTTAAATAAATTGAATAGTACAGAGAGATGGACTGGGAAGAAAGCAGGACCTAGAGGTGACAGAGTCAAACCTTATTGCCTGACCCATGTAGACACTTAAGACATGCAGCTTGGCCGGGCGCGGTGGCTCACGCCTGTAATCCCAGCACTTTGGGAGGCCGAGGCGGGTGGATCATGAGGTCAGGAGATCGAGACCATCCTGGCTAACAAGGTGAAACCCCGTCTCTACTAAAAATACAAAAAAAAAAAATTAGCCGGGCGCGGTGGCGGGCGCCTGTAGTCCCAGCTACTCGGGAGGCTGAGGCAGGAGAATGGCGTGAACCCGGGAAGCAGAGCTTGCAGTGAGCCGAGATTGCGCCACTGCACTCCAGCCTGGGCGACAGAGTGAGACTCCGTCTCAAAAAAAAAAAAAAAAAAAAAAAAAAAAAGACATGCAGCTTACATGAATGAGCCATAGAGATATCTAAATTATTTGAAATTTCTGCATTACACTTTTTAATTTCTTTCTAAGTTTGATACAAGAAGAATATATTTGTTTTAAAATGAAGAGCATCATTATTTAAAAGAAAATACAACAACCAAAATAAACCATAGATAATCAGAGTGCCACAGACAGCTGATGTGGCAGCAGATAATAGGGGAGGAAACCTGGGGAGGGATAGAAAGAGCTCAAATTCATTGGGCGCTTATGTTCTAGACACTGTGATAAGTGCTTTCTACACCTGGTTGTATTTAGTCCTCTTGACAAGTCTAAAGGGTAGATGCTGGTAGTATCCCATTTTATAGATTAGGAAACTAGGACATAAGAGAGACCAAGTGATTTCCCATCTTAATGCTAGTTGGTGGCCAAGTAAGGATTCAAACCTGGTTGGTATGGCTTTAAAAATCTGTGCATTTCATGTATGTTTATTGCAGCACTATTTACAACAGCAAGGGCATGGAGCCAACCCAAATGCCCATCAGTGATAGACTGGATAAAGAAAATGTGGTACATATACACTATGGAATACTATACAGCCATAAAAAGAATGAGATTATATCCTTTTTAGGGACATTTAAAAATTTGTGCATTTCATGTATGTTTATTGCAGCACCATTTACAATAGCAAAGACATGGAGCCAACCCAAATGCCCATCAGTGATACACTGGATAAAGAAAATGTGGTACACATACACTATGGAATACTATGCAGGCATAAAAAGAATGAGATTATATCCTTTGTAGGGACATGGAGGAAGCTGGAAGCCATCATCCTCAGTGAACTAACACAGGAACAGAAAACCAAATACCACATGTTCTCACTTATAAGTGGGAGTTGAGGAACGAGGACACATGGACACTGGAGGGGAACAACACACACCGGGGCCAGTGTGGGGATGGGGAGCGAGGGGAAGGAGAGCATTAGGACAAATAGCTAATGCATGTGGGGCTTTAAAACCTAGATGATGGGTTGATAGGTGCAGCAAACCACCATGGCACATGTGTACCTGTGTAGCAAACCTACAGGTTCTTTATTTGTATCCCGGAACTTAAAGTAAAATTTAAAAAAAAAATAATAAAAATATTAAAATTAAAAAAGTCTTTGCATTTAATACTGAGCTAGATTAATCTCCAAGATCATGTGGACAACTTCCCATCTTGGAAGTAACTATCAGGAACTTCTGCTCTAAGTTTGTTCAAGCAAGTCCAGAACCAGTTTAAAACAGTCTACTATATTTAACTCACTTATTAATTAACAAACTGTGCCTTGAGCCCCAATACATCTTCATTTCCTCTATGCTACATCCTGTATGCCAGGTAAACTTGCTAAGTTATTCAACAATCTGATGCTTCTAGGCTTTCCCCGGCTAGAAGTGTGCCTCTGATCTCTTTCCCTAGAATTCCAAAAGGACCAAATTTTGCTTGCCTCTTTCGGTGCCTGTGTCATTGTCCCCAACTCAGGGGCAAACTGTAAACTTATACCATTAAGAGACGCCCCTTTAAGAAGAAGAATGCATGATTATAAATTTAATATGAAATAAACATCAATATTTACTTAAAATATAAATGATAATAGATTACAATTTTTTTAAGCTGACAAATATTTCACCACTTTTTATTGTTAAATCTCTCTCAGGATCTTGGAAATGGCCCATGCAAGTGAGAATCCCTGAACTGCAAGTGTTACCACCTTTGTCCCAGCTCCTTCCTCCTCACAGCTACTGGTCATTATTAAAACACAACCTTGGCCAACTACCCCAGTTCTAAAGGAAAGAGTAGTTATAAAAGGCATTTCTTTGGCCTCATGCATACGATAAAGTTGGAAATTAATAATTAAAAAATAATCTAGACCAGGCGCGGTGGCTCACGCCTGTAGTCCCAGCAGTTTGGGAGGCCGAGGCGGGCAGATCACGAGGTCAGGAGATCGAGACCATCCTGGCTAACATGGTGAAACCCCATCTCTACTTTAAAAATAAAAAAAGAAATAATAAAAAAATAATTAGCCAGGTGTGGTGGCGGGCGCCTGTAGTCCCAGCTACTTGGGAGGCTGAGGCAGGAGAATGGCATGAACCTGAGAGGTGGAGTTTGCAATGAACCGAGATCGTGCCACTGCACTCCAGCCTGGGCGACGGAGCAAGACTCTGTCTCATAAAAATAATAATAATAATAATAATAAACAAACATGAACAAAAGCTAGTCACAGTACAGCTTGAAAAGATGGATTTGAAATCAGATAAACCAGAAAGTAAGGGCAAGGCCAGTAGCAGGTGTAATGCTATAGGCTTACCGGTACATTGTGTACATTAGCAGAGGGTCTTTTAAAGAGAGAGCGTAAAATGCCCCAGAAACCATGTGAGCATTAAAGTTGGATCCCTGTGTGTTAGTAGAGCCAGAGGAATTACTATGTAGTGAAGACCATTTCTAGGCATTTCTTTATTTTGTCTTAACTCTACCTGAATTAAGTTCTTCATCTTTCCACTGCCCTTGTGCTCCATGTTATCCTATAATCCTCGAGATTATCCTCCCAGTGGCCTCTCAGGAGGTTGAACTTGCCCAGACAATGAGAGAAAGTAGTTCAGATCTCAACAATACACAGGGGAAATCAAAGTTCTCTTCCATATTCTGTCCATTTTTTAATAGGAAAACATTCAACATTGTTAGAAATGCCTGGGTCAAGTAGGGCCATAGGTTGAAGGCTCAGAAATTAGACTAAATGAGCTTAGGCTGCTGCCAACAGCAATAATACAATAACACTTAAATTTGGCATAATAGTTTGCTGATACAAGATCTTTTAATATGTTATTTTATTAATACCACAGACAACTTTGGGAGGTAGGGATTTTAGTCCAATTTTATTAATAATAATAACATATTTCTTGAGCCCTTACTATGTACTATGTGTTGTATTTGGCCCTTTAGCAGGAATATCTCATTCCATCTATATAATATATGATATATTATAATAGCCCCATGAAGTTGGAGTTTTATTCATTAGTGACACTAGGAAGTAAAAGCCCAAAAAACAAAGTAACCATCCACAGTCACGAAGCTTAATGGGAGGGACTGGAATCTGCATCCAGGAGGGCATTCTTACCCTCAGTTTGTATTGTCAGTGACCTGTCTCAGGCCGTACCGCTGGTGATAAAGGATGGAGCTATCTCCAAAACTCAAGGTTTTTACATTAAGTCAGCTTAGTGAAGCCAAAAACAAACAAATCATGTGTAGTGGGAATAGAGGAAAAAACCTGGAGGAAATGGCTTGAATTCTAGCCTCTTGTAGTTGTGTGACCCTGGGTTCTTTCTAAGTCACACTTTTTCTTTATTTGGAATGGGTATAAGAATTCCTTCTCCAGCTACCCCATCAGGGATTTGCAAAGCTCAAATGCAGTGAAAATCCTTTGTAAAGTAAACTTCTCATCACAGTTTGAAGTGCTTGTTCTTAAGTGAAAATTTAGTGTTTTAGTATCATTTTAGAATAGCATTAAAGGCATGGGGAATGTTTGAATTCTTCCTTTATTTATATTGCTAGTCATACTGTATGCTGTCTTACATACTAACCCAAAGATCAGTGAGTAAACTTCACATATGAACGAATAAAAATAATCCATTCTACTTGTGACATTCATTTTATAAAAAGAGTACCTCTTCATAGACCTTCTTAAATCACAGTTGTGAAAGTATCATAGAATGCAGGAAATTAATTATTGGAAGTAGGCACTAAAATGATACAGCATCTAAGAATATCAGATAAAGAGCACAGAAGAGATTTAAAATGCTTTTCATAAAGGCTTTACTTTATATTTAGCTAAATAATATATGGAAAAATTGGCACCTTTCAGCACCAGAGCAATTACTACTACTGTTACTGCAAAAGTTGATGCTTGGCCAACACCTGCAGTGGAATTGAATTAATGGAATTGATTTGCAGCCTCATTAAAAAAAAATACAAAACAAAACATGAAGTTGTTTTTCGGGAAAAAAATAGATTTGCACTTGGTTTCTAAAAATGTTTAGGTGACTACAAGTTACCTATTTGTAATTATAATACACTTTCTGCTATTGAGGACACTTTTCTACAATGGGTCAAGGCATTTCACACTTGCACAGAACAACACAGTGATAAAAGCAAAGCTGGGGGGCAATTTCTAGATAAACCATTTAATTAGTGACTGCTACATGTCAGCTGTGTGCTACACTTTACATATGTTGACTCATTTAATTTCTCAAACAACAAGGTAGATATTACTATTATTTAATGTTTGCATATAGAAAACTGAGGCTTAGAGGGGATAACTTGTCCAAAGTAGTTACTAAGTATGGACCTGTACTAGAACTCAGAGATGCCCAAAGCCTTGTTTTTCCTCCTCATTATGTCATGAAATAGTGTCATGACTTCCTTAAGAATGGATGGCACTCTTGACTCCCTGCCCTTTCACCACTGTGATTTGACTCAGTTTTGCTGTTCAGCAACTTATCTGATTCAGAGTCTCTGATTCTTAAGGAGAACCCTTGGTTCCTTCTACTAACTTCAACCTTATTTTTGTGGATAGATTGTTAAAAAAAAAACTGGAAAAAATTGAAATAACAAGCAGTTAAAAGCTATATACTCTCCTTTTTAGAACAGTAGTCATAGGAATTTTTCATATTACCAGCTCCATTGTCCCCAGGGTAATATTGTTACTAAATTTAAAAAGTGAAATCATGTACTTCATAATATCTTTATGTTTTATCTGCATTCTATTCATTTAGTTTATTTACAATGGAACCAAACCAAAGTCAATGAGATACAATAATAATTATTGTTTATATATGTATGTTTTATTTTTTTATTTTTATTTTTATTGTTTATTTTTTGAGACAGGAGTCTTGCTCTGTCGCCGAGGCTGGAGTGCAGTGGCGTGATCTCGGCTCACTGCAACCTCTGCCTCCCGGTTCACGCCATTCTCTTGCCTCAGCCTCCCAAGAGCTGGGACTACAGGCGCCCGCCGCCATGCCCAGCTAACTTTTTATATTTTTAGGGGAGACGGGGTTTCACCGTGTTAGCTAGGATGGTCTCGATCTCCTGACCTCGTGATCCACCTGCCTCAGCCTCCCAAAGTGCTGGGATTACAGGTGTGAGCCACCCCGCCCGGCATATGTATGTTTTAGATAGACTGATAGAATAAGTATATAGGCTTTAGCTGGGATTAGTGTGAAAATTTTATATAGCTAAGTTCAGGGAGCGTTATTTATTGAACCTGACTCTAAAGTCCAAATTTCTACCTGCAAAGCAATTCAGTCTGGAATTGTATGTATAAATAGCAGCAATAGCAGTAGCAGCAGCTAACATTTAAGCAGCAATCTGCATATCACACCCAGTGATCAGTGCTTTATTTACTCAATTTCATTCTCATCCTCACCTTGTAGATAATTGAACTTAGTGAGTTAAGAACTCTGGCAAAGTCTCACCAAGCCTGATCCATATTCATTTCCAGATCTGGCTGGCTTAGGAGCCTGGACCCTTAGCTTCTGCACCATGCTGTCCTCAGGGACCAGCCACCAAATATTGGCATATGAACTACATAGACTTTCTTTGGGTTCTCTCCCACTTGTCTGCTCCAAATAGCCTCAGAGAAGGTTCTTAAAGAAAAATTTCCCCCTGCTACTATTTTTTTTATTCTTTATTTTTACTAAGAAGCAGTCAAATCTGTTGGGGCTCATCATTGCCATCAACTCTGCACCAGGGTTTGGTGTAAAGGTGTGTTACTGAAATGCCACCTGCATGTGTTTAGAATAGTGTCGACCCAGATTGAGCTTCCTGGGAACACCTGCTAATAGCCTGCAGTGCCAATGGCTTTTTCATTGGGTTGCAAAGGCAGTAACTTGCTGTGAGTTGGGTAATTTTTCCTTCTAACCCTGCAGAAAAGGGCAGGACATCTGTAGAAAATATACCAATTTCTTTGATACATCCAAAGTACTTGTTCAATCTTACTAAAATTGAATGAGAGAACTGTGTATGCATTAATATATTTCTGTATATGACAGACAAAAAATGTTTGATGCTGGCTTCTTCCTGATTGCACAAAATTTGTGATTATTTTATGCTGCCAAATTGGTGAAATTAAATGGTTTTATTTTGCAAAACTTTGCAATCACTTGTGCAAAATGGAAAGAAAAAACTTGAAAAACAAACAAAACCCTAGACATATACAAGGGTATCAAACTATTAGAAAATTTAAAAGCCAACAACTTGAGTTATTTTGATGCCAACCAATGGAATAAAAGTTTTATATGTTTATGTGACTGAATAGTTGTTTTGTTCTGGCTCCAGATTCAGCTTTTGAAGTCGTAAAGTAAGTGTCTTGCAGATTCATGGAAACTTTTGTTTCCCTGAGCCTTACAGCAGTGTGCTCTGTAGGAGGACTGGGCACAGAACACCCAAAGTAGGATGTGCCTCAGCAGAGCCAAAGAACTGGTTTCTGCCAGGCTTGGAGAGAGCAGCTGGGTCCTCTAGTGTAGACTCTGCAGGAAGGGACCTAGCTAGCAAAGCCGTACACTTGAGTTCTAATTATAGCTGTGCCAATATCTAGTTCTGTGCTCCAGCGAAAATCACTTAATTCTCTGACTCTCACCCTCACCATCTCTCAAATGAGAGGGTTGCACAGAAGGACGCCTAAGGTCATTCTAACTTGAACAGTCTGAGAACCCTCATTCTCACCATTCCTCTGTTGAAGACTTATGTGAAGGTCTGAGGTCTAGTTTGTGAAGGTCTGTGAAGCCTTTGTAAAAGTTTCAACTTAGAAAATAACTAATTTTACATGTTGACTGAATAAAACCCCTTTTGCATTTTTCCAGAAAGGAATCTGATTCCCATGGGGTTACTCTGCTTTCCTGCCTTACTGCCTTCTCCCTTCCCCTTCCCCTTCCCCTCCCTTCCCTTCCCTTCCCTTCGCTTTCTTTTTTGAGATGGAGTCTTGTTCTGTTGCTCAGGCTGGAGTACAATGGCACAATCTCAGCCCACTGCAACCTCCACCTACTGGGTTCAAGTGATTCTTGTGCCCCAGCCTCCTGGGTAGCTGGGACTACAGGCGTGCACCACCACGCCTGGCTAATTTTTGTATTTTTAGTAGAGATGGGGCTTCATCATGTTGGCCAGGCTAATCACTATTTATTTTTTCATTAAAAGGATGCACTATTCTGTTCTCCAGTATCATGTCACACCTCGAAAGAAACATGTGACTTTGTGGATGAATTATAGACTTTAAATTGCAAAGGCAGCCACATCAATATATCCATCTAGGCGTATACCATATTATCAAATATGTAAAATGGAAGACATTGGATAAAATGCTTATTGCTATGAATGAGAAACTTAGCTTCTTTGGTTATGGAAAAAAGTAACAAAAGACAGGAATCAGTAAGGTCTGGCATTGCGGTTTGTTTTGTTTTTCCCTAAATAACTAGACTACCGTTTGACACTAAGACATCTACAGAAGCATTGCATAAGCTTTTTACTTTGACTGTAAATTTACATCTTTATACCATTTTCCATATTACACTGAAGTCTTGCCTTCCATATAGCTTCTGAATTGTTGCCTGCCCCTCATGTTTGATATGTAAATGCAGTGTTTCTTATGGAAGGACTTTAAATAATATATATACCTCTGCCTGTTTGTATGTTTAGAAATATGGAATTCTGTAATATGTAATATGTAAGTGACTTTTAGGCACATACACATGGCCTCTTTTATGTGTCAACTTTTTGACTGATGAAAAACTTAACTCTATTGAGTCCAGAGCAATTCCCTTTGAGTAAAACCTCACAAAAAGTTTGGAAAAAAAAATTGCTCCTTGACAAATATTTTTCAGGGACAATAGCTACTTTTCTGGTTGTGAAAGGCAAGCTGAAACCACACTTACATGACAAAACAGTGGGCCACCAGAGCAACATTTTATACTCAGAAAGAAATGCAAATCTAAACAGAGAACTTACTTTTTAAAAATAAAGGCAAGAGGGTTTTTTTGTTTTGCTTTGCTTTTATTTTGCGGTATGTTTTTGTTTTTGTTTTTAATATAAAAAGCCCCTTTCCACAGTAAAAGCTTTTTTTTTCACCCCCAAGAGGTTTAGAACTGTATACAGATAGTTACATACACGGGCATCTCAAATGAGAGGGCAGCATACATACATGTAATTGGTTGCTTTTTTCTTTCCCTCGGCAGTCTGTAAAAAATGTGAAAATGCTCCTGCTTCTGCCTAGCCATTAAAAGGCAGTGGCTGCACCATACTGTGATTTGGGAGCTGAAGAAAATGGCCAGAACTGACTGATATCTGATAAACAGTAACAGGAGTCAGTTTATTGCACCAATCGTTAAATAATGGTGCTGATTATAAGGCTGCTAACTGCAGATGCTGTAATTGTCTGTCATAAATCTTAGTCATTTGTGACAGGAGCACAATGAAAGGGAGCATCTGCTTGAGGGCAAATGACTTCTGATAAATATCAGCTCTACGAAAATGTACTTGGATGTGTCTCAATATTTTGGAGAGCCATTCATGTTGCTTCCACAAATGTGAAGTTATTATTGGTTTGTATTGATTTTGCCACCTTTTTTTTTTTAAAGAGACAGAGAGTGACTCAAGGTTGAGTTGAATAGCATCTCAGCTCTTTATCTGATCTACTCATTTCTCTCAAATGCATGTTTGAGTGAAAAAAAATAATTGCACTTTTTTCAGTAGATTGCTGTTCAGAAACACAGCCTGGGAAATTCAATATGCAGCATATAAAAAAATAACAAAAGCCAACATTTGTTGAAGGGGGAGGGAACACATTTGGATTTTTACAAAGGTTATTTTTCAGAAAAGATTTTAAGTCTTAAAATGCCAATCTCTAATGAATTTTAATTGCATGAAAATGAATTTTATGTTCTATTATGCCTATAGAAAAATAGCTAACATTATCATATTCATTATAAAAATTGCTCAAATAATAGAAACTATACAACAAGGACTTTTGTAAGTTAAAAAAACTTGGAAAAAGTTTGTATTACATAAAACCAATACCCACATTTTAAAAACAGCTGCTTTTTCCTAAAACATTTATTTCATTTAGTTGCTGCATCCAGGACAGCTTAGAAATATAAAGCAAATAAAATGAGGAAATTCAATATTGTGTTGGGCTCAAACTTAAAAATATGATTTGAGGATAAGAGTTATTATTAGTAAATGCAGGTTACATCTGTTTATAGCTGTTTGCATTTACCAGAGATGTGGGGCTCTTCACAAATCTTTCCATGTGAAGAATGTAAATGTTTTTTAGTTTGTTCCATGCAATTCCTGAATTTGAGAGTCCAGCTGAGTGGTCCAGGAGTGGCTTAGGTTTTGGGTCTGAGGAGAAGTGACGACATACCACAAAAGGAGAGATGGTACTCAGAGAGGGAATCAAAGTACAACTTTCATGTAAGCTGCCTGGAGTCTTTTCTTCTGAACTGCTCTGCTTCTATTTATAACTCAGTGCCTCAGGCTGAAATACCCGGATAAAGTTGTCCATACATCCACAGAACAAAGACTCCAGAGACTGTCACAGTGACACTATTAACTGTTTTACCATCTTATTCACAAGGGGATTTAGATATATTTTTTCTGAAAGGTCGACTCAGATTTTTCCTTGTGTCCTTGGCCATAAAAGGACTTGAGCTTATTGGACTTCCTAATGACTCTAATAATTATAGATACCCAGAGCTTCATGGTAACAGCACCCAGGGTGTGGGACAACTTTAGTTAAAGATTCCTTTAAAACAACATCCCTCTGGTATTATTGTACTAAATTTCCTGGGAGAATATCTGAAACAGAGTGCTCTATACTGACCCTAAGTTTTAGAAAGGCAAATTTTGGCAAGAAAGGTAGTTTTGATTGATATAATTAAGAAATAGAAAAACAAGTCCTAAATCTTAACTGTGTATAAAGATATGGAAGAAGGGAGATATACAGAAAAACAGTGTATTTGGGAGTCAGGCCAAACTGGATTTGATTCCTAGCTCTACGAAACAAGTTCTTAACCTCATCTTTCATTTTTACAAATTCACTATTTCTGTTAATACTAGGGTTGTCAGTAAGAAGTCCTATCTATAAATCATTTGATACAATGCTTGACACAAAGGAGACATGCAATAGTTATAGCTATTGTTGGTTATGTAATTAATATTGTGTATTTATTGACTCATATTACATATTAATAACAATAACAAAATTTGCATGCTTGTCTGAGTTTGCATTTGCATATGATTTTAATTCCCCTGATTATAATATTGTGATTTATCTTCTTCTGGAAAGAAACTGCTAGGAAACTTAGATAAATTGCGAGTTTCTATTTCTATGGGTATATTTCCATGAGTAGGTAGAAATAAAGCAAATACGTGTTAAATACCTAAGTCCTGTCTTCTGGAGGTTGGAACTGATAAAAGGGGTGCAAGGGAAGAACACTCTAACATTCATCCCTGCTTTCACAGAGCTTATTGTATTGTTAGGTAGAAAGAATTGGCAGTTGATAATGTATTAATTTTCTCATGTGTGTTAATGAGTGAGTGTAGGGCAACAGAAGGTCAGAAGGCCAGAGTCATCAGTGAAGGGACCTGAGCTAAGCTAGGCTTTATAGCCAAATGTGATTTGGGTAAGTCCAGTCACCTGATTTCAGTGGGGCCAACAGCATGAGCAGAGGCATGAGTATGACACATGACATATGGAAAACATAACATATTCGAAAGTTAACTGAAATAAAGCATAGAGTATATGTTGGGGCATAATGGGAAATAAATGAAGTTGAATTGGTGGTGGTAGGTGAGGTCCTAGTAGTAGTGTTATTATTTTTGTTATCCTTAATAGCTAGCACTATTAACTCAACTATGTGACAGATATTAAACTAAGTTCTTTCATGCATAACTTCAATTAAGCCCAACAGCAAGCCCAAAAGATAGTAATATTATTATTCCCATTATTTGGGTAAAACAGTTAAAGCTTAGTAAATTTAAGCAAGAGTCAGTATTGTGTGATGGTCAAGAGTATAAACACTGTGACCAGACTGCCTGGGTTTGAATCTTGGCTTACTAATTACTACCTGTGTGAAGTTGGGCAATTGCTCATCTTTTTTTGCTCATCCTGTGTATCTGTTTCTTCACCAGTAAAATAGGGATAATAATGATACCTAGCTCATAGGGTTATTGTGTGGATCCAATTAGTTAAGTTTATGTGTGTGTGTGTGTGTGCACGTGTGTGTAGGTATATATGTATGTACATATATACATACATATATACACACACATAAATTTAACTAATTATGCGTATGTATATATGCATGTAGGTATATATTATGTACACACAAACTTAACTGTGTATGTATATATACATATATGCACATATACATATATACACACATACAAACACACACACATAAACTTAACTATTTGGATCCACACAATAACCCTATTTTATATGTGTATATTTATACATATATACATATGTATGTATGTGTGTGTGTATATATCTTCTTTAGAATACTGCTAACTATATAGTCAAGTGTGATATAAGTGTTTGCTCTTATTAAGTAGGTAACACATAGATAGCAATTTTGTAAAAGACACAGAAAATCTTTCTATGACTTTTTTATGTTGACTGTCCATTTAAGCTGAGAGAATAACATACATAAATAATTTATATTCACTTTCAAAAAAGTAGAATATACAGATAAAAATTTAAAATGTTTTATTTCTCATATATAATCATTATATTGCTATATGATTTTTCAGAATATGTATTTATAAACATATATATATGTCTTATAACCTCATTTTCCACTTTAAAATATCTAGAAACATTATGTCAATAAATACAGCTACCTTATAATTGTAAAGGTCACATAATAATCTGATATGTGGATGTAGCATACAAAATTAAACCAATTGCCTACCTTTATAGATGGTGTTCAATTTCTTTTTGCTATTTTAAACATTCTGCAATGAATAATCCCATAGATTATTGGAATATCTCATAGATTTATGGAATTATTTACTTAGGATAACTCCTAGAAGTGTAAATTCTGAGACAAAGTTATGCCCATTTTTCAGAGATATTATATATTTACATATTGCCAAATTACCCTTCAGAAATTTTTAACATTTTGCAGTTCTGTCAGCAATGTATGAGAACTGTCATCTCCCATCCCTCACTCAGATCACACAGTGGTTATTGCTCTTTTAAAAACTATTTTCAAATCTAATACGTGAAATGCCTTATCATCATTTGAAATCACTTAATATTACTATTACTTCAAATATGCTTATTGAAAATTTATATTTTTATAAATTTTCTGTTATTTTTCTCCTATTTTTAAAAGTTTGAGGTGTTTTATTTGAAGTAAATTTCCATAATTATGATAGTAAAATTTTGTCTCACACATTTTGAAAATATATGTGTGAGTATACTTTGCTAAAAGTTTGAAAAGGGGAGGAGTAAATGAGTTTGGAACCATGTGGAAGTTAATAAGGATACTTTTTCTAACATTCAAATCTTAGTGTTTTAGTTCATTTTGTGTTGCCACAATAGAATACCTAAGACTGAGTAATTTTGAAAGAACAGAGATTTATTTCTCACAGTTCTGGAGGCTGGGAAGTCCAAGACTGAGGGGCTGCATCTGGTAATGGCCTTCCTACTGCAGTAATCCCATGAAAACAGTGGAAGGGTAAGACAGCATGTGAGAGAGGGCAAAGGAGACCAAACTCATCCTTCTACCAGGACCCCACTCTGTTGATAACTTACCCACTCCCTAGATAACAGCATTAATCCATTCATAAGGTCAGAGCCCTTTTGACCTAGTCACCTCTTAAAGGTCCCACCTCTCAATACTGTTGCATTGGGGATGAAGTTTCCAACACATAAACTTTGGGGGCACATTCAAATCATAGCACTGAGAATGTTCTATATTTAAAAAAAAAAAAAAAAAAAACCTTTGGTAGCTTCCCTTTGCAATAGAATAAAGTCGAGGTTTTAAAACTTGGCATATGAAGTCCACCAGGACCTGGTATCAGTTGGCCTTTATAGCCTCTTCCATAAACACTTTCTCATTGTGAGGGCCAATTGTGTGCATCTCTTCCCAAGTCCACATTCTGTGAAGTCATGTTGGTGGATTGAGATCAGACATAGCAGGAATATTTATACCATGGAAATTGGCAAACACTATGAATTAGGACTTTTTCTTTTTCCCTGGAGACTCAATTGTTAAATATTTAGCAGCATTTTACTGCATGTACTCTAAACTCCAGGCATCCTAAATTTCTTAACATTCCTCATCTAGGGCAGTAATAAAACATGTATGCACCCCAGTCAGGGTAATATATCAGTTGCCCATCAACACTCATTAGCAATGTCTAGGAGAAGCGGGAAAGCGGGTCCTCTAGTGGCAGTGCTCAGCCTCTCTTGCTCTGACTAACCCAGGGCTGGCCCAAAGTTGCCCATTCGATGCAGTCACACAAAGCCCCGTTTTGGAAATATGTCACATTGAAAACATCATCCAGTGTGCACAATGACTGGAAGAAAATGACCACTGATGAGAGGACTAGTCAGGATGTTGAAATTTTGTAGAGTGCATCACCTAGTCTTGAGGGGCTGGTGAGCCCCTGCAGATGGGTGGTAGTAATGAGGATAGAAAGAAAAAGCAGACATGAGCCATTTTAGGCAAGGAACAGTGGAACTTGGTGAAAGATGGACTAGGAAAAGAAAGAGTAGGCAAAATTAAAGCTCAAGATGTCTTTAAGCTTCTAATTTAGAAGATGTTTAGAATAGATATTGGAGTCATCTGTGTAAAGCCATGGACTCACCAGGAAGAGAACCAAAAAGGTAAAAAAAAAAAAAAATACAAGAAAGACAGAGAGAGGCAGAGAGAGAGAGAGAGAGAAAAAAAATCTGAAAGTTGAGTGCTAGGAAAATCTATGCTTTGGGAGAGATCAAAAAGGGGTGTAGAGGCTGGACACAGTGGCTCTTTGGGAGGCTGATGCAGGAGGATCGCTTGAGTCCAGGGGTTGCAGAACAGCCTAGGCAAAACAGCGAGATCCCATCTCTTCCAAAAATTAAAAAATTAGCTGGGCACAGTGGCACATGTCTGTAGTTCCAGCTACTCAGAAGGCTGAGGCAGGAGGACTGCTTGAAGCCAGGGGTTTGAGGCTGCAGTGAGCTGTGATCATGCCACTGCACTCTGGCCTAGACAGCAGAGTAAGATTCTGAAAATGGCAGTGTCTCAAAAGCTGGGGAAAGAGTTTTAAAGAGCAAAGAATGCTTCAAAACATTTGAAGATTAGTCAATATACTTTAAAGGGAAGAAAATTGAAAGTGTAAAAAGGCCAAGAAAATTATCATTGACTTTGGCAAGAAGGTGTTCACTAGTCATAGTAAAGCTGGTATCTTCAGAGCAGTAGAAGGTGAAAAGTCACTGCCCCACAACTCAGTGGATTGTGTTCAAATTCCTGTGCTACTTACTGGCTGTAGTTCACTTTATACAAATGTCTTCATCACTCCCAAAGTCAGGCTTCTTCTTTTATTAATCAGAGATAGTTTTTGTTCTGCTATTTCATAAGGTTATTGTGAGGGTCAAAAGAATGGTATCTATGGAAGTATTTTGCAAATTAAGTTTTTAATGTGACACATTTCCATTATTACAGTCATAATCAGCGCTAGATGGAAACAACAGGAAGAATGGTTAATAAAAAGGTAAAGGATGAGAAGAAAAAATGGGGTGATTGGGCATCAGCTTGAAGAAGAAATGGGGTATTTATTTATTTAGAGACGGAGTTTTGCTCTTGTCGCCCAGGCTGGAGTGCAATGGCACAATCTCGGCTCACTGCAACTTCTGCCTCCCCGGTTCAAGCGATTCTCCTGCCTCAGCCTCAGTAGCTGAGTTGAGCTCAGCTCAGTAGCTGTAGCTGAGACTACAGGCTCCCACCATCACACCTGGCTAATTTTTGTATTTCTAGTAGAGACAGGGTTTCACTAGGCTGGCCAGGCTGGTCTGGAACTCCTGACCTCGGGTGATCCGCCCACCTTGGCCTCCCAAAGTGCTGGGATTATAGGCGTGAGCCACTGTGCCTGGCAGAAACAAGGATTAATGAAGGATTTGTTTACATTTGTTTGAAGGCGGGGATACTCTGGGCATGGCTGAAGATAGAAAGGAAGACTTTCATTGTGGAGGAGGGGTGACTACAGGTGTAGAGTCCAGGTAAATGAAGAGCATGATCATTCAACTGAAGGACAGAAGCCTCTTCCTCTGGGACTGGTGGGAAGATTGAGACCCACATATAGAGACAGGCACTTGTCAAAAGGAAAATGGGATGAAGTTGCTCTTGTGCAACACTCCAAACATGTGCTTGAAGGATAAGGAAAGGCTGTGGAAGGACGGTTAGGGAGAGAGCTATGGGATCTTGAATAAGAGTTAGAAGACAGAAGTATGGTTTCGATTACTGCTGTGGTATTATCTTCTTATGTCGTAAACTACAGTATTCAGTCCCTTTAGAGGAGTTGCCAAATCTAACATTCACGATCTCCACCCTATATAGTCACTGTACATTGGCTCAGTCCAGGTTGCATAACATGACCTAACAAGAAAAGGAGTTATGCTTCCGCACAGCTGGATTGGATAACAAACACGGTCACCTCATTATCTGAACTGAAGGTTGGAGTACCTAGTTGGAGATGGGATTCGTATATATTTTCCAGTTTTGAGAAGCCGTGTGGGAGGTAAAGTCTGTACACTAAAATGTTGGATTCTCCAGGATCGTTCTGTGGTTTATAAGTTGAAAGGGAGGGTCCGTTTGAAAATCAGGAGTTTCTTAGAAATATGGATCATATGGTCCATAAACATCTTTGGTAACTTCCCCCTCAGATATCATGGGACTTATATTAGGATGTGAAAGTGCAAGATGGAGATGAGATGGTCATGAGAAGATGCCTCTATTCTAGTGTGGTCATAATTGGCCGGAACTGAGTGGTGGCTACCTTAGAAATGACTTGCCCTGTACAGGTTGCCACAGTTGCTACCACTCCCACTGATCTGTCAGATACTGAGGCTGAGGATCTGTTTTCATTCAGAATTACACAGGATCCCTTGCTTTTCTTATAATAAAAAGAAAGTTCTCTGGTTCTTGACTCTATCAAAAGTGGAAAAAGGAAAGAATGAGAGGTTTACATGTTTTAACTCTTATACACCTGACTCCAGTAGGCATCTGAGTTTAGGAATCATGTTATAACTCAACAGTTATCAAACTCAGTGTTATGTATGACATGGGGTATGTTGAGATCAGTCCTGAGGTATGGTTAGTAAGTGTAGATAAAGTAGGTATTGTGAATATTGAACTTTTGACATACTAAAAATTGTTCAGGTCAGGTGTTGTGGCTCACGCCTATAATCCTAGCACTTTGGGAGGCTGAGGCAGACTGATGGCTTGAGCCCAGGAGTTTGAGACCAGCCTGGGCAACATGACAAAACCCTGTCTCTACAAAAAGTACCAAAAATTAGCCAGGCATGGTGGCACATGCCTATAGTCCCAGCTACTCAGGAGGCTGAAGTGGGAGGATTACCTCATCCCAGGGAGGTACAGGTTGCAGTGAACTGAGATTGTGCCACTGCACTCCAGCCTGGGTGATAGAGTGAGACCTTGACTCAAAAAAAGTGTTCAAATTTATCTTATAATATATTGTATTCATTTGTATTCTATATAATTTTTTTTTGTGTGAGAGACAGAATCTCACTCTGTCATCCAGGCTGGAGTGCAGTGGCACTACCTTGGCCCACTGCAACCTCTGCCTCCCAGGTTCAAGCAGTTCTCCTGCCTCAGCCTCCCAAGTAGCTGGGATTACAGGTGTGCACCACCATGCCCAGCTAATTTTTATATTTTTAGTAGAGACAGAGTTTCACCATATTGCCCAGGCTGGTCTTGAACTCCTGAGCTCAATCTGCCCACCTTGGCCTC
Organism: Homo sapiens; assembly: GCF_000001405.40. Lineage (NCBI taxonomy): Eukaryota > Metazoa > Chordata > Mammalia > Primates > Hominidae > Homo > Homo sapiens. The sequence continues at coordinate 181,261,469 of NC_000003.12, forward strand.
CCAAAATGCTAGGATTACAGGTGTGAGCCATCATGCCCAGTCATAATTTCTTTTTTAAAACCACTTTACTGAGGTATGATTGACAGGGAAAAAGCTTTACATATTTAATGTATACAATTTGATGTTCTAGACATCATTATACACCTATGAAACCATCACTACAATCAATGCCATCAATGTATCCCTCACCTCCAAAAATTCCCTCCTGCTCTATTTTGTGTGTGTGTGTGATATGAGCACTTAGGATCTCCCCTCTCAGCAAAGTTCTAATGTATATGATACAGTAGTTTACTATAGACACTATGCTGCACAATAGTCTCCTAGGACTAACTTACTTGCATAAGTGAAAATTTATATCCTTTAATGAAGCCTCCTTGTTCAGCACCCATCACCCCAGCTTCTGGCAGCCATTATTCTACTCTGTTTCTATGAGTTGTAGTATTTTTCCTTCTGTGTCTGGCTTATTCCACTTAGCATATGTTCTCTAGGTTCATTGATGTTGTCACAAATGGCAGAATCTCCTTCTTTTTGAAGGTTGAGTAATATTCCATTGTATGTATATACCATATTTCCTTTATCCATTCATCTGTTGATAACATTTGGATTGCTTTGGCTAGTGGGAATAATGCTGAAAACCAGATATCCGATAAAGGGTCAATGTAAAAAAAATAAGGAACCTCTATAACTCAATAGCAAAACCATGAATGACCAGTATAAAAATGGGCAAAGAACCAGAACAGACATGTCCTTAAAGAAGACATATGAATGGTTAATAGGTATATGGAAAAATGTCTAACATCAGCAGTCATAAAATGCAAATTAAAACCGCAATGAAATATTATCTGACATTTGTTAGGAAAAAAAGGAAATATAAGTGTTAGCGAATATGTGGAACCCTTGCAAACTGTGGACAGAAATGTAGACTGGTACAACTACTATGGAAAACAGTATGGAGATTCTTCAAAAATTAAAAACAGAGCTCACTATTGTATAATCCAACAATTTCTCTTCTGGGTATATATCCCCCCAAAATTTAAATTAAAATCTCAAAGAGATATCTGATATAATTAAACATTTACAAAAACTTTGTTTTTTTGAGGCAGAATTTTGCTCACTCCCCCAGGCTGGAGTGCACTGGAACAATCATAGCTCACTGCAACCTCAAATTCCTGGGCTGAAGTGGTCCTCCCACCTCAGCCTCCCAAGTAGCAGGGACTACTGGCACTTGCCACCATGTTTGGCTAATTTTTGAAGTTTTTTGTAGAGATGGGGTTGCCCAGTCTGGTCACGAATGATAGCTCATGTAAATTAAGCAGGAGAGAAACATCATGTTAGAGTTAGCACCATGGGAATATCCATGAGATTATGTCACACACATAGCTTGTCATGTGCGTCTCAGAGGAAAAAACTTGAGAACTACTGTTCTGGCAGATGGCGGAACAATGAGTGTATAGTCATTTTAGGCAGCACTAAAAAATCACATGATGGAACATTTTCTGCAGAGCTGTATTTTGTTCTCAATTTAATTTTTATCAAAGTCAAACATATACATAGTTTAAAAAGTCAACTAGTGTAAGATTCATCATGAAAATCACACATCTACTGAGACCTCTTCCCCACCCTATTTCTCCTCCCCCGAGGCAACATTTAGGTTGAATGAATAATTGGTGTTTACATTACAATCACATAAATTTTGTTCATAATTAAATCTCAAGGTATGTTACTGTCATGTTTTGTTTCTTCTAAACTTCGCTTTTTTCTGGACTTAATCATTGTCTCATATTTTGTTTGTTAGGTTTTCTTCCTTAAATCATCTATTAGAACTACATCCCTCTCAATATGATCAGGTATGCTAGATAATATCGGTTTCCATTTTATCTTGGAGACCACCCTCTTGAAGCCTTCCTTCCTTCTGCTCCAATCAAACTAGTTGCTCTCTAGGTTGCTACATAAGCATCATCCTGGGATTCCCCACTGCCATGGTTCAGTTTACTTCACTTTTCTCTTGGGTTGGATCCCATGCCTATTTATTCCCCTTTACTCTACTTGTGATGAATTATTTCCTGGGAGTTTTCTGAGAAAGGATAAGGATAAGTACTTCTGATTCCTTACAGGACTCTAAAAAGGTCTGTAGTCTACCTTCACAGTTGGCTAAGTGCAGACCTCTGTTGTAGAAGAAATAATCACTGTTTGCTGATGGCATTGCTCCATGTGCTCTATCTTTGAAAATTCTTGTTGAGAACTATGAAGCCATTTTGATTGTTGCTATTTCATATATGACCACCTTTTTTTGGTATTGTCTTCTCTATCTTCAAAGTTCTAAAATATCACAGTCATCTGTTAATCCAAGTTCTTTAGGGTTTGGAAAAATATTTTTGGCTAATTTCCTTCTCCAAAGTTTTCTTTTTCTGGAACTCTTAGAATAAGAAAACTCAAAGTTTTCTTATTTCTGGTCAGCTTTTAAGGTTCTTAGATTAGTTTTCTACGTTTCTTATCTTTTCTCTCCTGTTTTTCCATTACTTTGTCTTTTGTTTTACATTTGAGAAGATTTTTGTCAACTCTGTCCTCTAAATATACTACTGAATTTCTTTAAGTTTTGGTGCCATATTTTCTAAGACTCAGAAGCTCTTTGTTGATCTGTTCTTGTTTAATGGATATATTAGTTTTTTATGTATAATTAGTAACCAGAAAATATACCAATTGCATTGCCTCTGTTTTAAGAATTTGTGTGTTTATATCTGTCTGTCTGTTTTTTTCATAGAGAACTTTTAAAAATATTAGGAATCTTTGACTTTGTGTCATATTTAAAATGTGAGGGTACAAGAAAATATAGGAAGCTCTGTGTGGATGTGTGTGTGTGTGTGTGTGTGTGTGTTAGGGGGAGAGGATTCTCCACTGATTGGATTCATTGGCTGTTTCATTGGTTAAACCCTTAAATGTCATTATCTTTAGGTGTTAAATCTCAAGCTGACATTTCTCTAGAGAGAAATTGTTCAGTATCTTGCCTGGAAGTGAAAACCTGATTACCAGATTTTGAGGAATTTCTCATAAAGTATTTAGGCTGGGGATTCTCAAAATGCAGTCTTCAAACTTCAGGGGGTTCCTAAGATTCTTTCAGGGATTCTACAGTCAAAACTATTTTCATAATAGTACCAAGATCAGAAGTTATTTGCATTTTTGTGGTGGTGATATATGCATTTATGATGCAAACTCAACCACGTGTAAAATTGCTGGTGCTTAGCGTTAACCAATGTAGTAGCACCAAACTCTGCTAGTCATTATTGTATTCTTCACAAACATGCATGTAACAGTTAAAGCAAAAAAAAAAAGCCACTTTCATTAAAATATGTCTTTAGTGAACAGTAAGAGTTATTGATTATTATTTAACCTTGACCCTCAAATGCACATCTTTTTTATATTTTCTATGATGAAATGGGAAGTATGCATAAAGCACTTCTGCAGCATGCCAAAGTGCAATGATTGTCTCGAGGAAAAGCATTTGTGCTATTGCTTGAGTTACAAGTGGAACTACCTGCTTTTTTCAAAGAACCCCATTTTGGTTGAAAGAATGATTGACAAAGAATAGTCTTTCAGATGTGGCTATTAGACAGACAGCCCTCAAAAACGAACAAAGTAACCTTATCACTTCAGGGAAAACAACTGATGGTATTTGTTGCCAATGATAGAATTTGCGTGTTCAGGAGAAAATGAGAATCTTGGAAAACTTGTATCCTCCACCATTAGCTTGAAAGTTTCCTAAGTGGGGTTACTGGTGATAGTAACCATGTGATTTTTCAATATTATATAATAAAGTGCACCTATATTTGAAAGATATGCCTAAATCAATGAACTGCTATTTTCCAAATGATTAGTGCAGGATGTTACCAAATCATGCATGGGAAAAAATGCAAGATAGGTTTATGCAATAAATTTTAATGTAATAGAATACAAAAAGTTCACTGATGCACTTTCAAATTTTGTATTGAAACTCTTCTTTAAGAAACTACCACTCATCAAATTTTGGTGTAGCATTGAAGAAAAATATTTACAACTATCTGAAAATGTTATTAAAATAATGCTCTCTTTCTAACTACATAACTCTGCAAAGCTGGATTTTCTTGGTATTCTTCCACCAAAGCAACATATTATGATAGATTGAGTGCAGAAGCAGTTATGAGAACCTATTTTCTATTAAGCCAGACATTAAAGAGATTTGTAAAAATGTAAAAGTGCCACTATTCTCACTAATTTTTTAGTTGTGAAAAATATAGTTACATTTCAGAAAAATGTTATTTATATTAATATATAATGGACTTGCTATTGTTTTAAATGAATTAAGATTTTTTCAGTTGTAATTTGTAATAAAGTAAATATTGATACATATAACCAATGTAAACAAAAGATCTTTCTCAAAAAATGATCCTCAAAATTCTTAAGAGTATAAAGTGGTACAGAGAGCAAAGTGTTTGAGAGCAGCTGAAAGACAATTACTTAATCCTCCCCAACCCTACGTTTTCTCAATGGCTTCACACCCCCACTTTTTACTATACCAGTGTCTCCTAATTTAGAGAGACACTTCTCTGTTCAAGTCTCTGACTGGTGGTGGGGGGCCTGAGAGTCTAATTTTTCTCTGTACAGATTTCCAAGCACTATGTCCTCCTTGCTGCATGCGTCCGTGTGCTTCCTGTTGCTTCTGCCCAGGCAGACATCTAGGTTTCACTTTCTTCTTTTTGCCAAGCCAGTTACCACTCATCACTTCGTTCCAAAATTTTAATAACATCTCTTGGTTTTCTGTCATCTCCTCTCCCATTCCTTTATCCTTGTGGGTTTATAATTTTTAAAAACCTCTTTTCTGTTATTTTAGTGGAGATTTGGGAGGGAGTGGAGGTAGAGGCATGTATTTGACTGGGAGTACTATGTGTTGATTTTGGTATGTGTGCCAACATGTGGAAGCTATTAATTGCTACCTATTTATAATACATTATTTAATTTTAAAATATTAAATTAAAAAACAATTCCATAAATAAATTAAAAATATTCAATAGAAAGAGGATAGTTGAAATATCTGTTAGATGTTTTCATATAGAATATTTATATTTTCCTTTATTATTTAATTACTTAGAAACAATCAACAAAGTTTTTGGAGTTCTTTGGGGAAATGGTCCTGTTTTTAAAAATAAGCATCTATAAAATGCTGATGTTTAGCTTAGAATTAACTGCATTGCCCACCTAACCAAGTATAGATCAAAATGACTTATGTTTACTTTGGGTTTACCTTATATATAGCTTTTAATATGAAAATAGTGATATTTGGGATTTAATACTGACCCTTGCATATTTAAATCTATTGAATAACAGATTACATTATTATTAGGTTTTATATAATGTTTCTAAAGTATGTTACAATGAATATACTGACCAAGAAAATTTCCAGGGAAGAGTTCAAGAATTTATGATTCTATTTCATGCCACATCATATTGATTACACTCTTTGAAGTCAAGGAAATCTTAGTTCTATGAACTACAGCAAAAAGTGAGAAATAGTTTTCAGTGTTATTCATTTCCCAAATATAAGAACACAAGGAAGATGATCATACTAGAGTCTGGAATTGTTTGATTTTGATGTTAATAGTTATGACACTGGAGACTAGTAACATGAGGCAGGTTAAGTAAATTGAGATTGCATTTTAGAAGATAAAGATCAGAATTGAGAATGACCTTATAAAGTTGGAAATAAAGAAACAACTCACAGAATTCAGAACATCATTGAAAACCTGGAATGAACCTTGAAAATAATCTTGTCCAATACTAGCATTTAATAGAGGAGGAAATGAAGATCCGGAAATGTGGAGTGAAGGTCAAATTGCTACTTATTAGCAAATGTGTTATTAGAACCTGGGCTTCCTGTCCTCCAGCCCAGTGTTCTCTCCCATGTATCCACTTCATCAGAGACAAAGGGGGTATCATTCCCTGAAGAAGAAGGAAAGGACATTGCCAAGTCTGCCTTCCATTCTCTTCTCTTTTTATTTATTTATTTATTTATTTATTTATTTATTTATTTATTTATTATTATACTTTAAGTTTTAGGGTATTTATTTATTTATTTATTTATTTATTCCATTCTCTTCTCTAGGTATGTAAGTCTTTCCTTGATCCAAGGCCCAGCTAAAACATTAACTCTAACAAAGCTTCCTAGCTGATTTCACCTCCTCTGTCAAGTACTGTGATCTTCATTTCTCCTGTACCCCTGTCACATCTGCTGCCCCATATGATACCTCATATTTGTGGCCCTTCATGGTTGTCTATCTTTAAATGTAGATATTCTATCTCCCCAGCTAGATAGTGGTACTTTTGAGGGCAGGACCCTATCAACAGTGACTATAGCCCTGTATCCCTCAAGGTGACTTGGATTCAAACATCAGAGGTGATCAGCTGCTGTTGCTGTTGTATTGTTGGAAGATCTGGCTGGTTATGTACACACTGAGCAAGAAAAGTTCCTCAACATGGCAGGGGAGTTGGTATCATTCAAGCCGCAGCTCAGGAAACAAGCATACTGTGGAAATAAATAGGAGAACATCATGTACGAACCAGAAAATCCAGGATTTAGTTTTTAGCTCTTTTCAAGCTATTTTCAGGATTCTGCTAAGCAATATGTTATACTTTTTAAAGAACAGAGGCGAGAAGCTGGAAATGGTGTTTTTTTTTAAAAGAGCAATATTCTATGGCACATAGAAACCATATGGCTAGTCCTATTTTCTAAACACAGATGACCCAAAGACAAGGCTGACATATGTGGTTGTTTAGTTGGTTCAGTGCATAGAGGTACCTGGCCAAGAGACAGGAAGGAACACTTTTTTCTTCCTTCCAAGAAGAAATTCTACTTTAGTGCACGTCCCAGAGACTGACTTTGTTCTACCCATATGACATTTTTCAACTATTACTTTATATACACAGAGTGTACTTATGTATATACACACACATATATCTTGTATACATATATCTTATATGTGAGGGTGTGTGCCTATCTGTATCTATCATCTATACATAATCTATCTTGTTCCCAAAATAAATTTTAATCTAATAATAATAAAAACAATAACTAACATTTTACTGGTCATTTCCTAGACATGTTCTAAGTGCTTCACACATAATCACATGATTTATTCCTCATAGCAATCTCTCTGAGTGGTGGTACAGTTATGAGAATTTAGTGGCTGCTAAATACATCCAGAGCATTAGGAGAGCAGCAATAGTCAGACACCTTGCAGCCTTTCACCTTTAGAGGGGCTCTCAAAACATTCTACGGCTATTAACTTCTAACAGCAGGTCTGAAGAGTCACATGCCCAGGGGCAGAATTTAGGGGCCAGATTTTCTTAGAACCTGACAATACTCAGCAAATGATCTTTTCCTCTGCTAAATTGGCTTTTCCTTCCATTTCAGTAGCTTTTTGATAAATATTTGTTGAATGTTAAAATGATTGCTCTCCTTCTAGTTAATTCAGATGTGAGACATCTGACCCATTCTTGGGCTCTCTCCCCTTCTTCCCATCTTTTTCAAATTAGTCCTCAATTCCTTGCAGCTGCTTCCTTTGTACAAAGTCTTGAATTCCTTAGTACCCAATGCTATCAATAAGTTTGTTCTCAGCCTCTCACAGTGACATTAGCCAACAAATTGTTTCTTCAATCATTGATTTCTTCAGCCCATTCAATATCACACATTAATATTGGCTTCCCTTATTTTTTTGGAATCTAATACAGACTTCAGAGCCCTTTACTCTAGCTTTTTTCTCCATGAGAGGCAGAGTAGTGTTTCAAAAAATGAGATGGTCTATGATTTCTATGGACTAGTCTTTGGATTTTCCTGGCCATTTACTATTTGTGTAGTCTAGAACAAGTCCCATAATATCTGAGTTTGTTTCTTCACTGCATAATTATATGGTTTTGAAAAAAATTAAAATATTATATGTAAAGTAATAACAGCAGTGCTTGAAACGATATAGATTCTGAATAATGAGAGTTATGTTGGTGAAGATGGTGGTTGTAGTGATAATGAAAGACCTGGATCTCGGGCTTCCTACAGAGCCTGCTTATCTCTGACCTTTATTTTGTTGTTCTCCTGCCTGGAAGGCCTCCCCATCCTTCCCTTTACTTTGTTTATGTGAATATGTATTTGTGAATTGTTTAAGATGAGCAACAATATGACCTTATTTTTAATATATTATGTTTGGAGATTTAATATAAGTACATGTATATATACATGTACAGAGTTCAAAAAGTATATGTGAAAAGACAAGTTTCCCTTCTGGCCCACAGTTCCCCTCTCCAGAGGCAACCACTGTAATGATTTATTAAAGGTAAATATTTCATTTACATCTTGCTTTAATTTTTAAGTAAAATGCATCTTAGAGATTGTTTCAAATCGGTACATCTTCTTCATCTCTTTGACATGCTTTATTTTTATTTTGCTCTTCACTTTTAAAGAGCTTAGAGTTAGTTGGAAGACTTATCCTCATAGTCATCATTTTAATTTCTAGGAGGATGATATTATTGGCTCAAATTTATAAAGTATTTATAGCAATAATTATATCATGATAATATTTTAGTCTGTCTTAGGAATTTATTAATCTAAAGAAATATTTTTAAATTTCTGGTTAAAGAGGCTGAAATGTAACCTTTTAGTTAAAAATTGCAGGACATATAGAAAATTGGTTTCAGTTAAAACAATACCTGACTTTATTGCCCTGGAGGGGCAAGTGTATATATTACTCACGTCTGCGTCTCTAGTCTCTAGCAGGCTGCTCAATATTTAGGAGGAATTCGGCAAATGTCCAATGAATTTAAAAATGTGTGAATAAACAGATTAATGAGGTGCACACCAGGGCACTTTGCGCCTAGGTTTATGAAATGGTTATGTGCAGAAAATATTATATACCCAAAAGTCATTAGTTTACAGCATCCTAATAAAGGAGAAGTAATTTGCGGCAATAAATAATCCTGTACATATATGCAGAAAAGAAAAAGCATCCTTTGGACTTAGGCTAATCTGCATCTTTCATAAAACTCAACTTCAGTTGATTTGGTATAAGTTCTGATGCAAATGACTGTCATAAGTACTCGTGAATGCAATGAAAGTAACAAGTATTAAGGTGCTGAGTAGTGGACCCTGTTATAATCAAGCTGATATGGGAAAGAAAAAAAAAGCTAAATGTTAAGGTTTACATTTGTCTTTAAGGCTTCTGATGTATTTGTAAACTATGTTAACATTGTCTAGATAAGCCATGCTTGGTTGTACCTAGAGCATTTGGTTAGAGAATATTTTCAAGACCTACTGCAGTCAGATGAACCATTGCAAATTTTTGCCCAAATTTGTACTATTTTAATAAACGCTTAAAATTAATGTGCTTTAAAAATATGAGGAAAGTAAAAAAGCACTTTGTTGCAAAGTATAGCTTCAAGTGTCTCAATAAGTTAGAAGAGAAAGTGATCTAAGCAGCTGGCAATACAGAGTCTGAAAATATACCTTTGCTATGAATACAAAGAACAACATAGTCCAATAGGTAAACAAACATATGAAAGATATTTCTTTTTCCTGTCAAAATCTTGTAAAAATAAGCAAAACTGAGACTCTGGCTTATTCCTACTTAATTACCAAAAATAAATTGAAAAGTAATACCCAATAGGGATGAATTTGTGGTTTAATTAGTGAACTTGAATATTGCTGATAGCACCATCATATGGTATTGCCCCATTGAAAACCAATGTAGAAATGCATTAAAAGCCATAAAAATCTTTAAATCTTTTATTTCATTCATCCAAGTTAATTTTATTTTATAACTAATTATTATATTAATAATTAAAATTTTATTTATTTCAAGTTAGTTGTTCCAATAATGGAAATATTTATTTATATATTAAGAACAACCTTACCTGTGATAAGACAAAAACATAAACAAACTAAATATTCAGCATCAAGGTTTAGTGCAGGGGTCCCCAACTCCCGGGGCCATGGACCAGTGGTCCGTGGCTTGTTAGGAACTGGGCTGCACAGCAGGAGGTGAGCGGCAGGTGAGCGGCAGGTGAGTGAGCATCACAGCTGAGCTCTGCGTCCTGTCAGATCAGTGGCAGCATTAGATTCTCATAGGAGTGCAAACCGTATTGTTAACTGCTCCCACGAGGGATCTAGGTTGCCTGCTCCTTATGGGGATCTAATGCCTGATGATCTGAGGTGGAGCAGTTTCATCCTGCAACCATCCCTCATTCCCCCCACCTCCCCTGTCTGTGGCAAAACTGTCTTACATAAAACTGGTCCCTGCTGCCAAAAGGGTTGGGGACCGCTGGCTTAATGTGTGGTCTATACGCTAAAGGTATGTTGTTTGTCTGTTAAGAATGACTATAAAGGCTTTGCTTCAGTATATTAAACTATTTGTAAAATAAATGAAAAACACAGATATTCATGATGACTACAAATGTGTAAATTATGCACACTTAGGAGTCACTAGAAGAAAATACCAAATGAAGAAAATTATTGGTATAGGTGACAGAGTTGGTAGACAAATATTTTACCTGAAAATTGTTATAATTTTAAGCAATAAATATTAATAGTAATTTAAAAAATATCATTGACATCATTTATGCCAATACTATTTGTGTAAAATGACTAGCAATTGAAATCAGACTTTTTCACTTAGCTTATGCTGTTTACCTGAGATCAACCTAGAACAATCCCATCGTAAATGGCAAATCATTTTCTGAAACAGTGCTCCAGAGAATTGGACACTGGGTGAATGAGATTTTATTTTATGTTTATTTCCCTTAGAGTTTGAAGTGAGAATTAGAAGGTGGCTCCTTGGTAATATCTAGTGCAATCCCTTCCCCTCACCCCCACTTGCTACAGGGACCTGTCTCTTATGTCACCAATCTGACTGGTGTCCCTATTAGAAAAGGAGATTTGGACACACAAAATGACCCCAGGGATGCACACACACAGAAGGAAAACCATGTGAGAACACAGAGAAGACAGCCATCTGTAAACAAAAGAAGACAACTTAGAAAAAACTCTTTTCTGCCAGCACCTGAATCTTAGCCCTCTAGCCTTCAGAACTGTAAGAAAATAAATTTCTGTTTTTTATGCTACTCAGTCTGTGGTATTTTGTCATGTCAGTCCTAGCAAACTAATGTGGGTGGTTTTCTGGCCGTTGGTTAAGCTTTCTTCAATGACAGACAACTCGTGACCTGCCAAGGCCACCCGATTTTATATTAGGTTGACATCAATTATTTTACAGATCTTTCTAATATTAAGCTAAAATTTTCCTCCACGAAACTTCTCAATGAACCTAATTCTGGCTTCCAGAAGCATGAAATAAATCTCATCTTCCAATGATATTTCCCAAGTGTCTTCCCTATGAAGACTGTGTTTTCTTGGAATATCCTCCACCCCCAATTCCTGTCACTGTCCTCATTTGCTGTATTTTTAAGCCCTCTTTTTATGATGATCATGTTCTTTTCAGTCTTATAAGCATCTGTTTGAAGGACATTTTGAAAGCATTTCCAGGTGGAATATTTTGATCACTAGTGTGCCAAACAGGCCTATTTCTTTTGGGGAGATTAAAATTTATGGTGAGAGAGGGAACCAGCAGTTTGTATAACCCTTTTTTGCTTAGACATGTAAAACAGAGGACTGATCATACATGTAAAGTAGAAACATGGAGAATAAGCACCACGACTCCTTACAACCAGGCAAAAACTGTCATTCTTTGTGCTTATAGACAGAAATCTACTTTTTTGTATCCTATGTAATGTTAATTTAAGTTCTGTTTAAAGACAATTTAAAATATTTGGTGATTGAGTTAATTTTAAAACCAATCTTAATAAATATATATAAATAAATCTAATTTTAGAAGTAGTTCTAATAACCATAATATTAACTTAACTCTTGTTATTTTTGAGGATTATTTATTCATCAAATATTTATTGAGTACCTATTATGTGAAAGGGTTAGATCAGGAAAAAATGTAGAAACCACCTATATCCATGTGAATGGTCAAAAATTCAGCCAAATTTTTGAGCATGTTGCATTTATAATGTTTGCCTCTCCTTTAACAAATGCTAATACAACTGTGTATTTTAAAATTAGCCCCACTTTTTTTTCTTTTTTTGAGATGGAGTTTCACTCGTTGCCCAGGCTGGGGTGCAGTGGCGCGATCTCAGCTTACTGCAACCTATGCCTCCTGGGTTCAAGTGATTCTCCTGCCTCAGCCTCCCAAGTAGCTGGGATTACAGGCATGCACCACCACAGCTGGCTAATTTTGTATTTTTAGCAGAGACAAGGTTTCACCATGTTGGTCAGGCTGGTCTCGAACTCCTGACCTCAAGTGATCCACCCACCTTGGACTCCCAAAGTGCTGGGAGTACAGGCGTGAGCCACTGCGCCTGGCTAGCCCCACTTTTATCTATCCTCTTTATTACCTTATCCTTCCAGCCAGCTGAAGGATCAACAGTTGTTAGTGATCCTGGCTGGTGAAATATCAATTTCCATGGCCTCACTGCAGTATATAATTTTTAGATTGCAATCTCAAAGACACTCAGAATAAGTTTCCTGAAACTTAGAAAATTTATACACACAAGACACAATTTAAAAACAACAACAAACTCTCTAAGTGATGTGTCCTTCTCCTTTAGCTCATATCTAATGGCCAGTCTATTGGATTGTGCAGTGTCATAGAGTTTAACTCTGCGAAATAACAGAGAGATCTTTGTCAACCTCTCCTGAGTCACTCTCAGAATGTGAATCAAGTTTTAATCTGAGTGTTCATGAAGAAGTGCATGCTACTAGTTGGTAAAAGCATTTGAAGTTTTCTTTATTTCTCAAGTTCTCCTATGAATGAATAAATATTGCCTTGACAATAACTTCATAATCCCAATGATGAGCTCAAGTAGTCTAGGGCTTTGCTACTCCAAGTGTGCTTGTATACCAGTAGCATCTCATTACCTGGGGGTTTGTTAGAAATGCAGAATCTCAGGCCCCACCCCAGACTTACTGAATCTGAATGAGCATTTAGCAAAATCCCAGGTGATTCATGTGCACAATGAAGTTTGAGAAGCACTGGTTTAGAGGCGCAGTTTCCAAAATTTTCCGGGGAAACAGCCATACTCATCATCTGTCAGATGCCTCATGAACTACTAGCTTGAGTTAAGTTCGCAGTTTCAACACTAAATCATACTACATTTCATTTGATGATGTCACATCTCTGCAAAGCTGTGGTTTTGCCAGTTTCTGTGATGAAAGCAATTCCCATGCTAAAAATTAATAAGAACAGAAAACGAGAGTGGTGATGTCCAATCAGACTCCAAGTTTTAATAAGGTATATAGGCCAGGTGCGGTGGCTCACACCTGTAATCCCAACACTTTGGGAGGCTGAGGCAGGCGGATCACTTGAGGTCAGAAGTTCGAGACCAGCCTAGCCAACATGATGAAACCTTGTCTCTACTAAAAATATAAAAATTAGCTGGGCTCAGTTGTGGTCGCCTGTAATCTCAGCTGCTCAGGAGGCTGAGGCACGAGAATCGCTTGAACCTGGGAGGCAGAGGTTGCAGTGAGCCAAGATCACACCACTGCACTCCAGCCTGAGCAATAGAGTGAGATAGATTCTGTCTCAAAAAAAAAAAAAGAAGTTATAAGTTATATAGTACCCAAAAGACCCAAGCATCCCATTAGTAAGTAACTGTGGTTATCTAAGGATAAAAAAGAACATTTTTCTTTCAACTTATATGTATGTTTTTCTTCAAATGACTACCAGGTTGTTAGGACATAAATGCTGATTAGGTTGTTTGGATCTCATTACTTAATAGATGAAATTTCTTTTGACTAAGGGGTGCTGTGAAAAAAATTACTGAGCTATTAGAGTACCATGAGCTAAGACCATTTGGGAACCTCTAGTCTATAGCATTGTCTCAAAAAGAGCAACATAAAGGCTATTACGCTGTCAAATAACTTTGGGAAATACTGCATGGCTATTTATTTTTGAAGGAGACAAGGGAGACAGGCTCAAGGCAAGTGGCCTGGGACTCAGAACCATTCTAGAAGGGGCCAGGAGTACAAAGAGAAAGCAAGAGAGATGGCCAGACATGTGTCCCAATGAGAATTAGCGGGTAGTCCTCTGGTAGAGTAGGCTTCATGGCACCTGTGGACTCACCCCATGCTAAGAGGAGGAAAAATTCCCAAAGATAAGCTTTCTAATATACTGTCAACTTTGATTGGAATAGACCATGAATTAGGCAGTGACCTGATCCTATAAATCAAAGACCTTTAGTAACTATAGCTTAGGAAGTAAGCATGGATGCTTTGGATAATTGTAAGAAGAATGTCCCCAAAAGTAATGACAACAGTAATAGCAATTACAGCAGAGTAATAAAAATAATTATATGAAAATTTATTATGTTCTAGCTACTGTTTTAAGTGCTGTATTTATATTAACTTATTTATTATCCTAAAATTCATTCACTTAATAAACATTTATTAAATGCCTCCTGTGTGCAAGGTGCCATGGGCAAAATAGATAAAACCTCCTTCCCTTATGAACTATATTTTAGTGTAAAGAAAAAGACAATCATTGATACAAAAAATGAGTAATTAATAAATTACATCATATATTGGAAAGTGAGAAATGGTATTTTAAAAAGTAGACAGGGCAAAGGAAATCTCAGTAGTGCTGGGGTAGGTGGGGATCAGTTTGCATTTATTAAATAGAGAAGCCAGAACTGCTTGCAGTGAGAAGGCGGGATTTAAGCAGTCTTGAAGGAGAAGATGCATGAGCAGGCAGATATCTAGGGGATGAGGGTTCCAGGCTGTGGGAACTGCTAGAGCAAAGACCTCTGTGTAGGAGTTGCCTCTGTGTTCAGGAGCAGGAAGATCTTGTGGCTAATGCTTGAAGACTGTCATAAGGAACTGAACTTCACTCAGAATTCAATGTGAAGCCACTGCATGCATTTGATCAGAAGAGACACTTGGTTCGACCGTGTTTTAAATGGATCACCCAACCACACTGATAATAGATTTGTGTGGCAGGAAGACTGATTAGGAGACTTTTGAAATAATAGTGGTGGGGACAAAGGTGGCCGTTGTGAAAGTAATGAAAAGTGGCCAAATTCTTACATTTATGTTGAAGACAAATTAAGTAACTTACCCAAAGTTACAAAGTTAATAAATGACAGAATTGGCGATTGAACCCAGGAAGTCCAGACTCAAAAACTGCTCTGACATAGAGTATGGCCTGACCTATAAAAAGAGATGGTGAGAACTCATAAGTGGGAGTTGAACAATGAGAACACGTGAACACAGGGAGGGGAGCATCACACACTGGGGCCTGTCGGGGGGTGGGGGGCTAAGGGAGGGATAGCATTAGGAGAAATAGCTAATGTAGAAGACAGGTTGATGAGTGCAGCAAACCACCATGTCACATGTATACCTATGTAACAAACCTGTTCTGCACATATGTCCCAGAACTTAAGGTATTAAGAAAAAAAAAAAAAACAGAGCGATGGCGAGAAGACAGGCAGAGCTTTCTAACAATTATGCCAGTAAGAGAGTGATTTTCGATGGTGGGGTCTAAGTTGAAAATGGAAAGCCATTTGTCTGTGATAAGCAGGGGAGCTTCATACATGGGAGCAAGGTGTTTAATAAAAATGACTTTTAAGCCCCTTCTAACCCTATGATTCCCAGATTCCAAATATAGAATGGCACAGTTTATACTGTTTGTCAATAGAAATTGACAATTCTAATGATTACTATTTTGAAAACCATTTTCTTGCCTTCATCTAGTTTACCAAGGTGTAACCAATGCTAGATTTGTCCCCTGTTCTCAAGGAAAGGATGAAAACTTGATGAATCTGATGAGTCTCTGAAGTGACTAAAAATAAACCCATGAAATTGCCATTTTGAATGCAAATTTAAAACATTTACATATTTGCAGTGCAAATGCCATTACTAGGTAGTTTGGAGATATAAAATCATAAAATAATAGAGGATACTCACGGATTAGGATGATGCATGATCATTGCATAAAACCCTTCAGTACTGCTATATGGGTCTGGCTAATTGTTCAAACAATCAAGGTACTATACCCTGTATGTGTGCATTGTTGGCACACCACTGGAGTGTTAGACTATTTGTGTTTGTTTATGAAAAGTACCTGACTCTGTTTCTGGTATAGCTGTGGGTTGATATGCTAGGTGGTGATCCAAAGATACAACTTCGCCTAAATCGTTTTAAATGTTCTTTACCATAATGTCAAAGTGTTTTGGACAAACTCCTGCTAGGTGTGATATTTCCTGCTATGAGCAATGTATAGCAAGTCTGTAAAACCTATCAAGTACTGCTAGGGCATTTGGTGGGGCAGGAAATATGACAACCTGGGAACAATTTTTGGGCTACTTGTAGTTGACCAAAGAGACCAGATAGATGCATGCTGCTTGGTAGAACGGGAAGAGAGGGAAACAAAATGAGGTTGAAGTAGATCCTGACAATTGACAAAGAAATGCCAGAGCCTCTATGTAGAAGAAAAGCTATTGAAATTCAACCTATCTCTGAAGGTGGAAAGTTGTAGGTTAGTATGCTTTGCCTGAATTTGAGTATATCTGGAGTGCTATTGGTTAGTCTTTTCAAAGAAGGAAAATTAAGCCCAAAGAGAATAAGGAAAAAATAGACCCTTTTCCCCCACCCACATACTACCTATAGAATGGAATCTGTGATAATGACCCTGTTGGACTTGATTCTGTTTTTAAAATTACAAAAAGTAAAACTGTTTCTTTCTTTACACTGATGTGTGTGTGTGTGTGCATGTGTGTGTACTTTCATCATGCAAATATTCCAAGACCTAACAGAGAGAGCCATTAGTTACTTGAGGCAACTTGCCAGCCTACTGTAGAGCATAAGTTCAGATCTTAATGGTGACTTCTTGTCATTTGAGACTGTTTGAATAACATATCAAAGGAAGAGAATCTCAAATAAGTTGTCTAAATTTAGTAAAGAAACCTCTTCTCCCTGGTAGTTTTGCTTTGTATTTCTTTTGGAACACCATAGACATAATAAAGAGCACTAAGAATTTCAAGTCTGATACTTTACTTTTTGAAAAGCTGTGGCTTTCTTTCAGGTTTTGTTTGATACTAGCAACTGATGTCTGAACCATGAAACAAAACTGTATCGATCTTACCTCTTGCAATGTATAATTGTATTTCCACTTGGACTCTTGCTGTTTAGTTCTTAGTGCAATTTTAATGAGTTCTTTTTGTTTGTCTTCTTCACACGTAATATGCAGCCAACGTACTGTTTTAGAATTTTAGATCAACTTTTATAATTCCCAAAAATTAATTGTAGAAAACGTTTCACTTTGTAAATGTGTACATGTAGAGAACTAGCACCCCCTAGTGTATTTAAAGCCCCCAAAGGTGTGATCTGGCATTTAATAAGCTAATAACAAACAGGAATGTGTTCCAATAGACAGGTTATTTGTTAACTTTTCCCACTGGCATTATGACATAATTTGTTTAGGCACAGGGAAAGCATTTCTTAAAGTTAATAAAGATTATAAATAAAGAATGAATATCGTATTTCAAACATGGAAACTAAAATTTTAAAACCATCATTGGCATTTGAACTGCTGGTGATATTTAAAGGCTGTGAAATAAAATAGCAATCTGTGGTCATGCTGCTAATTTTCTAAATTCTCTCTCTTTTAGAAAATTTCAGCAACATTCTTGTTTCTGGAAGGCTATAAAATTGAAAGTGTTTAGGATTTTTCTTCTGTTGGTGACTGTTGTACTGTGTGTTCCTTAATGAAACTGTAAACTGAAAATTACAGCTTTATTCCAGAGAGAGAGAGAGAGGACTTATTCCAACAGATGGCATCAAAACACCGGTCTAAACTGTATGATCGCTGATTGTTAATTGCATCTGTAAAACAATCCTTTTAAACAGAGTAATACATTTTATCATACAGATTATAGTTCCATGCTTTTTGGTTTTTCAATGTGTGTTAACATTTTCTGCTCCAATATAAGATTTGTGCTTGTATAATTATCAGATTAAACAACAGAACAACAGTGACTCAATCATTTTTAGGAAACATGCACAAGGGAGATAGGGAACCATAAATCACATTTTATTTGGACATTGTACTTGAGAAATGTTGGGGTTTTTATCAGGTTATATAAAAAGGAAGAATGGGCTAGAGCTCACCCTCATCAAATTAAAACGGTAGAAACCTATAAAATATCTTAAATATATGCTAAACATATACTGTACTTTAAAATGTATCTCACTGTAGGAAGAAACATGTTTCATTTACATAGATCTTTGAAATGAAAAGGAAATGTAAAAGACACATAATAAGAAAGAAGTGTTCTCTGAAAAATTAGAGATTAAGGCACACAGCTTCCTTTCTGAAATGGTTTCCATGAAAGCCTATGTAGAAGCAGAGGAATGGGTTTGATGACATCGTGAAGACAGACCTTTTTAGTAAGATTTTTCCAAGATATAGACAGTATTGGGCAAATGGAATATGAAGATTAGATCTTGTGTTGCTTCTGCAGCCTGGGTGATTCAGAGCTGGGAACCTGAAATTTAGAGATGTGGAAAGGATGGTTAACATTCATGTCATCATGAGACAGCTTTTTGGTTCATAGGTGCCACATCAGATTCTCCTGTCTACATTTGATATATTAAGGGTGAATAAAATTAATGGATGTCAAACTTCTGCTATTTCAATTTTTTGTTCCATCCTCTGGGAAAGGATTATAGACAGGAGGGTACCCTAGCTTGTTGAGCTGGAAACATATATTTAATAAGTCAAATTGTGATGATCCCATTTCTGAGTTTTCAGGTATCTTCACTTGATATATAAGTACCATTAAGATAATACTTGGCTTAGGAAGGTCCACTTATCAGACATTATTAACAATTTAGATTCTAGATAGAAAGTCTCAAAACTGGGAACATGAATTTAACTATAAAGGATGTCCAGCAGCAAAAAGACATATCTTTAAAAGTACACAATAAACCCTTGCCTAGAATGCACTTTTTTAATTTTAAAAAGAATTCTAACAAATCATTGTTTTCCCTGATATTGAAGCCTAAATTAGAAAGGCAAGTTACTAGTGGTAGGCATAAGGAGTGACATCTGATGCCTCGTTCTGAAAACAGAGTTGGAAGAACTGTGTTAATAATTCAAATAAACATTTGCTAATTACAAAGGGAAAATAGTTACTTGGAATATCTCATCCAACACCACCTTAACCAAGTGATCAAGGTTAACATCATCAGGAATAAGACATATCGCATCATGAACCCTCTGATATGATTACCAAAGAAAGGGCATGACCTTCCTTGTGTTGTAGCATTTCTTACCAAAAATGTATGACCTCGGTATAATCATTAGAAAAGTCACAAATTGAAGAACAGTCCATGTAATAAACTGACTAGGACTCATCAAGAGTGACAGGATCATGACAGACAAGGACAGACCAAGGATCTGTCACAGATTAGAGGATGCTAAGGAGACAAAAAATTTAACTCAATATGGGGCTCCGGGTTGGATCCTGGAACACAGATTTGGCATTAGTAACTGGTGAAATCTGAGTAAAGTTTTCAATCTAGTTAGTAGTATTTTGCCAATGTTAATTTCTTGGTTTTAAAGATTATATTGTGGTTAAATAAGATAATAGCATTAGGGGAAGTTGAGTGAAGGATATATATGGAGACTATACTTTTTTGCAACCTTTAAGTAAGTCTAAAATTGTTTCTGGATAATTTTTTTTTAATCCTACAAAACTCAAAGTGTATAGTAGTCTGAGGCCATTTAATGTAGGAGCAAAAGGCCCTGTTACATACTTGAGTTGTCTAAAATAATGATTGATATTTAATATAATGAGCTCAAGGAAGAATTATTTGTAATGTTATTTGCTTAATATAAGTCAGAAAGCCTGTAATACATTTTAGAAGCATAATTTTTAATATGAAAATTTGGAAACTGTAAATGAGTAAATTTCAATTACTTGGGAAATCGACTTTTTGGACAATTTTATCACCAATGATGCTGTATAATGAATCATTATTCTTCAATAAAAACTTTCCTGCCTGTGTCAGACCTATAATTCTCCTTCAATCCTCTACCCGAGGATAGATATTTTATAACTTAGAGTAACTGTGCAGATATCTGATGTAATCCAGGCCTTCATTTGATACTATAATCTAATGAAATTTCAAAATTGAGCAATGATTGAAGGAATTTTATCAACCCTTGATTTTGGTACTGTGTATGAATAGGGAATTCAAATAATTTTCTTCAAGGCTTACCTCTGATTTCTGCCTTATAAGCAGGAGTTGGATATTTTAGTATCTACAGATCAGCTAGTGTTAATAAAACCATAGCCCTGAGCCCCAAACCTATCTACAAATATTCTCATATTTTTCAATAAAGAGTGGCAATGAGAGGTTTCACCAAAGTCCATGCAAGGTGGCCATGATCGGAACAAAGTGTGGAAAGCTCCAGTGTCTTAGGCAACTTAATAAGCTGTAAAATCATCCTTTTACTTAGCCTGTCATTTAGCAAATAGGCCTACATTTCTCTAAACTATACCATCACACTTCATTAGCTGAAGGAAGCTTGTAACAAGCTTGTAACTTGTTGCGCACCTACCATGTATTCAGTGCTGTATGAGGTGCTGTAGGATTCAGAAGTATGCTCCAGTTCTTCTGTATCTTAGAAGAAACTCTTTAAAACCCTCATGGGAGCTTATAAGATTAAAGAACATATGCAATTGCAAATCAACCAAATTGTACATACTTAAATATTTAGACCATTGGTTTCCAAGCTTATTGAGATCAAGGACTCTTTTTTTAGTGTCAGATATTTTACAAACTCTATGTGATAGCTGATAAGTGTTTAGTACTTGTAAATAGGAGAATACATAATGGCAAAAGACAAGCACAAATTATTTTAGATTAATGTATTTTGCCACAAGTGTCTATTAACTTTTGGAAAATAGTAACAAATACATGCAAGGGGCATACAACTTGGTATATGCTTTGGTGCACGTAGGGATTTATAGACCCATGATTTCTTCCCTTGCTTGACCCCATCTCATGGATGCTGGTCCTCAGGCTGTGAGCCACTGTGCTGGAGCATAAATGCTGTTGGAATTCAACTGAAGAAGGCCAGGTGATGATTGCCAGAGCCATCATCAGAGCCCCTGGATGGGGCTTAAGGCATGTGTCAGAGGTTTGAGAAGGTGGGAATATGTCCAAGGGAAGCCATGGAAAAGCAGAAATAAGGTAGGCAAATTGAGAGGGAATGAGGAGCCAAGGCTGGATGGGGAGTTAGAAAAAAATAAAATTGGTTAAACAAGACCAAGAGAGATTATGGAGAGTTTTGAAATCCAAACACAGGAGCTGCAAATTTCTATTAAGGCAAGGCACTGGACCAGGACTGAAAGGACTGGGCTATAATCCTGGTACTGCCAATTACTAGGCTTCAGCAAGTTAAATTTTGGAGCCTTGACTGTCATTATTGGTAAAACTGGGATAATAATACATACCACTCAGGAAAGAGAGCATCTGTGAAATTTTCTTGTGGGCTTTCAGTCCATTTGGGTTGCATCTGGAATATCTAAGGGAACTATCTAAGATTATTGAGCAGGGAATCAGCATGATGAAAGTAATATATTAAAGAAGATTAGTTTGGCAGCTCTTTTGCAGTTTGGATTAGAGTCAGGAAAACCAATGAGAAAACTGTCCCAATGATCCAGACTCAAAGACTGTGAAAATAAGGACAAAAGGAAGTTGAGATGAAAATCAATTGGAATTTTAGTTTGATAAAGTATCAAGGATGAGATGAATCAAAAATGATTTTGCGGTTTTAGAGTTAGTTGCTATGGAGGAATGGTGGATACAATGAAAAAGAAAAGGAAAATGGAGAAAAAGCTGATTTGGAGAAAAAGGATGTGAAGTATGGCCATGGTGAATGGCATGTGAGAACCAACAGTCAAGTAGAAATCAACTCTAAACTCTTGGGAATATGTAATTGGAGTGAAGTGAAATTTGTGCTGGAGATGGCTAGAGATGGCAAGTCATGAGCTGCTAGAGTGGCAGTTGAGCTGTGAAATGGATGTGCCACTTAATAGAGATTATAAACAGAAAGAAAAACCAAGGTCCTAGGATTAAGCCTGTGTGGTACTTTCTCTTGAGAAACTATTCTAAGGGCGGATCAATTCATTATTCTGTAACTAATGTAAGATGAAATTGAATTTTAATCATCTTATGGGGGGTTTTAACTTATGACCATTTTTTTTGCTTGTTTTAAAATTCATATGGACCAAAGGTATATAAACATGTCATTTTTTTTTCTTTTCAAGAGGATGTTTGATTATTCATTTATAGCACTGCTCTTATGATGAGGCATTAAAAAAGACTGGGTCATTTCTTCCTGAATTATGGCAGGGGAGCCTGGCAACATTTCTGAGGCTACTGCGTGGCTGAGCCGCTCGTAACAGGTATGTGTCCAGTGGGGCACATCTGGCATAAATCCTTTGTGATCTGACTTCTCCCCAGCATCATCGTGCAATATTTCCCAGCTTCTTCCAGCCGCACAGATTTGAACTCCAAATATAACAGGTCTATGCTAGCTCTGAGCTCTTGCTCATACTCTTCATAAGAAGTAGAAACTTGGAATGCCTTTCTCTTCAAGTCTCCTTCTTTTGAAATTTCTCAAGACCTAGTCCCATTGTCCTGTCTTCCCTGAGACTGTTTCTGATTCCACAGTGGGAAAGAATCTCACCTTCACTTGTATATGCTTCCACCTCTGCACAGCTCTCCTTCCAGTCTACCTTGCATTGTCATTACTTGTTTCCACACTTATCTCCTCCACATGACTGCGAGTTCCAAACAGCAGGTGATGTGTCTGACTCACCCGTGTGCACCCCGCACAGTGCCTAGCCTAGTCCCTCACTTAATGCTTGCTAAATTGAGAAGAGAATGACATTTCCCTGCCCCCAGCCCCACCGGCAACATTTTAGTAAAGCAAAATGGCAGAAAGACAGCCTAGGAAAGCAGGGAAAAGAAGAGCCTTCTGTCTTTGGCTTTAAAGGAAGAAGAGGTGGTGAGAGCAGTAGGGTAATAGCCGTTTCTGTGGGTGGCCCAGGAGAAAGATATAGGAGGTTCCTGGAGAAGAAACATGAAAGTCTGACTTCTCGTGGAAGCCTGTGGAGCCCTGACTCTCTAAGCACTGAAAGCTAGTGTTAAAGACCTGACTCCTCCATGGAAAGTTTTAGGTAATGGGGTAAATTTTAAGAAAATGAATATTCAGGGTGGCCCAGATGTACAAAAGGTGGGCAATAGGTTATAAAGGCTCAGGGAGGGACAGTTGGGGGTTGTGGAATAGATTGAAAGGAAGAATGTCCAATCTATGGGCAAAAGCTAAATATTAATAACTTAAAACATCAAAATGAGGTGGGGAGTATGGGGAAAAATAAAGGGATTATTTTGGAAAGGAGAAAATTTATCTCAGTCTTGGTTAACCTATTCCCCAAATTATAAAATGAGTAATAAGCTATCCCATTTGGTTAAGGCTAGAGAACCTTCAATTAAATAGAGACTGAACATTTAAATTTGATTAAGTAAGGTGACTCTTAATAATACAGGCAATTAGCCTGTGGAATGTGCAGGTAGAGAATGAGATGGAAGAAACAATGCTGCATTTTGAAAGCTGGTTTTAGTAATTTTTAATATAATACCTTATGCATTTGTAGCACTTTTCAATTTACAATGCTTCCTGATCTTTGTTATCTCACTTGAGCCTGGCATTCTCCTGTTGGGCAGGTAAAGAAAGCTATGCTCTCGCCTGGACTTCCTGTGTTCCTTTCACAGCATCCTGCTACCTCTCTCATGGATGTGAAGATAGATCTAGGGTGTTTAGAACTCTAAGCTGTCATTCAAGTAATACATGACAATGTGGTTTGACATGAGTTATTTGAACGCAAGGCTTGTTTTATTTACTTTTGTAGTTATTCCACATGCCATGTGACACAGTGCGCTGTGTATGGTCAATATCCACTAATATTTGAGAAACAAATGAACTGTTATGCAGTTTCCCTTGTCATCCTGACATTTCTAGAAGGTTCCTGAGAGGCAGTTTAGTGGGAGAATAGGAGTGGTGCTGATGGGCAGAGGAGAAAGGAAGGACGGGCCTAGGAGGCTCCGGCTCCTTTAACCCCAGCAGCTCAGTTCCCTTTTATCTGTCTTATATGTGTCTTATATGTTAAATGTTAAGAGTCAAATTGTACCCCCAATTCATATGTTGAAGTCCTAACCCCCAGTACCTCAGAATATGGATGTGTTTGAAAATGGGGTCTTGGGATAAAATTAAGTTAAAATGGGATCATATGAGTGAGTTTTAATCCAATATAACTAATGTCCTTATAAAGAGATTTGGATACAGAGATTTACAGAGAGAAAATGATGTGAAGACCCCAGAAGGCAGCTGCTATGGTCTGAATGTTCTCCTAAATTCATGTGTTAAAACTCAACGGTGATTGTGATAGCATTAAGAGTGAGGCCTTTAGAAGGTGATTAGGTCATGAGGGCTCTTCCTTCATGAATGGGATTAGCAAATTTATAAAAGGGCTGAAGGAAACTGTCAAGGCCTTTTTGCCCTTCTTCATGTGAGGACACAGCATTTTCCCCTTTTTTGCATTTCTGCCCTTTCACCATGTGAGGACACACAGACAGAGCCATCTACAAGACAGAGCCATCTCACCAGACACCAAATCTGCCAGCACCTTGATCTTGGACTTCTCAACCTTTATAACTGTGAGCAATAAATTTATGTTCTTCATAAATTACCCAGTATCAGGTATTTTGTTATAGCAGCGGAAATGGACTAAGATAGCAGCCGTGCGCAAACCAAAGAAAGAGGCCTTAGAAGAAACCAACGCTGCTGACACCTTGATCTTAAAATTCCAGCCTCCAGAACTGTGAGAAAATAAATTTCTGTTATTTAAACCACTCAGTTGTCTGTGGTACTTTTCTTATGGCAGCCCTAGCAAACTAGTATATTAAGGTTCTGAAGAGAGTTAAAGGGGGAAAAAAAGGAGTTAAAGCACTTAACGCGTTATGAAACTGCAGTTCTATGGTTGATTATCTGTGAGAGTCAGATAAATGCTTATTTTACGTTTAAATCACATAAATCATCAGCAAGTAATGATGCTCGAGATGATATAGCTTCATTGGACAAATAGATCAAACAGCTTCTAAATGTTGTTATTTTCCAGCTCTAGAGTATTAAGAATCAATTTGAGCAAACATTGCATCTTGGTATCTTGCAGCATAATTACCATTGTTCCTGAAAAAAAAAAGAAGCAGTTTCTAAGCTGCATGTGGCACAAACCTATTCCTTAGCTTCCCACCCTTTGTACTGAATACTTCAAACTCTGAGCATCTTCTAAACCCATAAAGAAAAAATTGGAATCATTTCACAAA
Source organism: Homo sapiens (assembly GCF_000001405.40). NCBI lineage: Eukaryota > Metazoa > Chordata > Mammalia > Primates > Hominidae > Homo > Homo sapiens. The sequence continues at coordinate 181,286,994 of NC_000003.12, forward strand.
AGCACACAAAAAAGCAACATACATATTTTTTTAGCATATTTTGAAATCTCTGGGGAAGAATTCTACATCTTTTAATATCACTATTTGTTTCAAAATTATCTTGAGTCTCCTGGATCTGAATAAATCACTAACATTGAAAGATAAGCTAGCTCACCAACATTTTTTAGCATGGTATGGTGTAACCATCACCAATTGAGGATGCAGTTTTACAGCAGCGTCACTGTCAAGAAAATTTTCACTGCTGTTTACAAAAGGGAACTAGTGGGAAGGCCTGTAATAAAATTGTTTCTAAAAGGGCTAGATGTAAACTTGGATATTTGGGATCCATTGTTATTTTGCCTGATTCCAAGTTTGTATTATTTGCAAATGAAATTAACATCAGGTTTTTATTTTTTAGGCCTGCTGGAGTCACAATACTGAATCTGCTCTGAAGGATTCATATTTTGTATTTTCTAATTTGAACCTAAATTCTATAGGGGTTTTGAATGGAATTGAAACATGAAACTTAGTTATTACTAAGTGTAAAAAAGGTTAAGATAAATAGGCCAAGTCTATATGTTTACTGTCTTTCATAATAAGCATTGTCTATATAGCATTCTTTAAGAACATAAGTGGGCCGGGCGCAGTGGTTCACACCTGTAATCCTAGCACTTTGGGAGGCCGAGGCAGGCGGATTGCCTGAGGTCAGGAGTTCGAGACCAGCCTGGCCAACATAGTGAAACACAGTCTCTACTAAAAATACAAGAAATTAGCTGGGCGTGGTGGCAGGTGCCTGTAATCCCAGCTACTTGGGAGGCTGAGGCAGGAGAATTGCTTGAACCTGGGAGGTGGAGGTTGCAGTGAGCCGAGATTGCGCCATTGCACTCCAGCCTGGGCAACAAGAGCAAAACTCGATCTCAAAAAAAAAAAAAAAAAAAAAGAACATAAGTGATTGGAGCCTTTTAAGAAACAATCAGACAATTGTCTAATTAGGAAGTGGAAAAGAAAACACTGTTTTATTTACAGTCTACAAAAATAATGTTTTACATGAAAGCATAACTTATTCCAAATGATCTGTTGTGTCAGTATCTGGCAAGTTTTAAAATTAAAATAATTATATGTAAATGTAAATACAGACTATCATTGACCATATTCCGGTGATTGAATATACAAGCTAATTCTCTCACAGGACCATCCTCCTAGGACATAAGCCTGCTGGTAACCACCACAACCAAAATGCATATTCTATTATCTCACTGGCACTCAGAACGCTCACAGATTATTCCAATAGAAAGGCCTGTGGTTTGTAAAAGGTTATTGGCTTTTAAGCCAAACATTGTTTCTTTACTTAAGTATTGAAGCACATGTAATGTGTCACCTTGAAACTGAGAGTTGAGCAATGAAAGTCAACTGCTATGCAAGAACAATAAAGGGATGCATCTTCTTGTGTATGCTGGGAGCTGGCAACCTGGCAGGAGTCGTTCTAAATTGTCATTCCTAAAGGGATGCATCTTCTTGTGTATGCTGGGAGCTGGCAACCTGGCAGGAGTCGTTCTAAATTGTCATTCCCAGCCCTTTCTTAAAGGCTGGAGTGTATCACAGTCTTGTACTTACTGCCACAGATCACTTTAGGTTTGCATAATCTATACTGCTTGTGAGTGAGATTGACTACAGTATCAGGACAAAATGGTATAATTCATCCTCTGTGAAGAGTCTAAAGTAAATTCCCAATTCAGCATGAGTATGCAATTCACCAGTGTGAGTTCTAAATCAGCATCTCTTTATGTTTTCTAGTATCATGCAATGTACTTGAAATAATAGATATCCCCAACTTTTCAAAACTTTGGTTGCATACATTTGCTTGTAAGTTTGTTTAGAATTCAGAGCATATTTTTTCCTATAGAAACAAGATTATGAATATGCCAGTAAAATCCAGTTCCTATTAAGAGTTAATATTGCCAAAATATTGCAAGGCTTCAGCTGTCTTCTTCACTAATAAACAGAACCAGAACAGAATAAAATGCAATTAGAATTAGCTTCATATTTATCTTGGCCACTCGTGTCTAAGGAAAAGAAGGATCAACTAAAAAAAGATAGGGCAGAAAACAGTCTTCTAGACACTTGAAAGACCTTAAAAGAATGAAGGTCTTAGTGACTTCAAGCTTAAAGATGGGGATGGTTTTCCTTTTCTTGACACAAATGCGCTGTTAACCATGCTCTAATGCTAATGCTTATTGACGATAATTAGTATTAGTCTTTGGGCTCACAGTGACGTATGAGGGGAGGGCTTGAGAGAATAAGGGAAATAAATGTTTCTAGGCAAATGTGCAGGGATTTGATGTAATGTAAAGAGAAAAGGGGGCTCTAAATATAAGCATATATGTGAAAAGAATATTTACCCGAATAGAATTTATGATGAATTTAAGGTCGAAATACAACAAAAAATCATCAAGTCTATCACCTCCTGGCCTGCAGAGAAAGAAGGAAGGGAGTAGGGCAGAGGCTTGAGATCTGACAGCTCCCTGTTATCAATCTCTCAGTGATATGACAGCTTGACAGCTACCTGGAGGCGGCAAGGGAGCAGGAGGCAGTGAGGAAGAAGGGCTAGAGCCAACTGGATAGCTGTATGAAAGGGGTGTTTGTATCTTGAGGATGATTCATGACAATAGGTGTTTTAGTATTATACCATTATTTATAAGCATCATAGCCATTGCAGTTTTGTGTCGCTTACTATCTTTCAGGCACTGTGTTAATCCCTTTATAAACATTATCACACTTGGTCTTATTAACTTCAAAGGAGAAATATAATTACACCTATTTTCCAGATAAGGCAACTGAAGTTACATAGAAGTTAGTGTCTTGTCCAAGATAATAGAGCTAGTATATAGTGGCCCTGAGACTTGAGCCCTGAGCTGGCCATACTAAGATGTCACTCTTGCCTAGAATGAGACATGAGCCCACTCTCTGATCCATATTGAGGTTTCGTGCCATTAAAATATGAGAGAAAAAATGTGCACTTAGAACAGTGCTTGGCACAAAGTAAATATTCATTAAACATGGTGATTATCATCTGCCAAGGTAAAATATTGCTTATAAAATACCAACAGGGTCAATGTTGGGTCTTGGTATTTATTATAGTTTTTGCTTCGTTTTGGTAGTCTTTCTCCACCCTTCAGGCATCTCATGGTTATACATTTCTAACTTCTTGAAAATCCACTGATTTTTCTTTCCTGTGCTTAACCAACCTACAAGCCTGCAAGAACAAGGACTGTTCCTGGAACATAGTAAGCACTCATGAAATATTTGTTAGATGGGATCATTTAATTCAACAACTAGATCACTCACTTTGGCAAGAAGGCAAAATAAAAAATTTAGTTCCATGGAGAAATATCTGTACCATATATATATATATATATATATATATATATATATATATACCTGTACATATATGTACATATGTATGTATATATATGTACCTATATACCTGTACATATATGTACAGGTACATATATAAATGGTAATATCTGTACCATTTATATATATATATAAAATACATATATATTATAATATATTATACCTTAAATATTATAATATATCTTAAATTTTTGGTATAATATACCTTAAAATTTTGAAGTAAAACATTAGAAACCGAGTAGGACTTTTTTTTTTGTCCTGATGCTGTAGTAACACATCCTATGGCATACCATACATACCATTAGGCTTTCCAATGTAAATAGTGTATTTTCATGTTTACACTAAACTAACACGTGAGGAATTTAGCATTACTCTTCACCAGTTATATAAGACACCTCATTTGAATTTTTGAATTCTATTCTATTTAATATTCTATTGAATTCTATTTGCATTCTATTGCACACATGGCACTGCCCCTCTCTTCTTACATTTTAAAAAATTACATTTAGAAACAAGAGTGAATATTGCCACTAAGAACGTTCAAAATCATGTTTCTGAGATATATATTCTATCTGCTTTCCTCTGGCTGTGTATCCATTCATGGGTGTAAAAAACAAGAATATTTTATTCTTGTTCTGATATGTCCTACTAATACATGTTTGTGGAATAAAATTGCCATGGTTATTAAAAGAGTCTGTGACATTTTCTAAAGAGTGTGGGTATTGCCTGCACTGCCTGGCTGAATTCCAATTTGGGTAATTACATTCGGCTTTCTGGTTACCTTAGCGATCCTCTCTTTTGCTCCAAGGGTCCTCACGGTGGTTGAGCTCAGCTGAGATATTGCTGTTTGCTGTCCTTAGTTCTAAATAATAGTAGCTGAGGGGTTCTAGTCTTTGGAAATTTAATTTTCATCTATTTTAACAAACAAAATGTACACATTTTGGGGTGTATAATAAAACCTGGCTTTCTAATTGAAATTCTTCTTGGAGTAGAGTGGGCAATCTAATCAGGGAGGAAATTGTGATCCTTGATTTCTTTCTCTGTTCTTGATCATATTTATTATTCCTATGGAAATTGGAGCAATTTTCTAAATTTATTTAATCTCCCCTGCCTCTCAAACTTCACAGCAATTTTCTGAAACTTCTGTTATTGTTCTTATAGTCTGCCTTGAAGTAGAGCTTCCTGTGGGCTTATCCTAGGCCTGTGACAAATGCTAAACTGTAAGGACCTCCCTACTTTGTTTTCCCTGATGGAAACTTTCACAGAATGACATGTTGTAGTTGCTCATTAAATGATGAATGAATGATTTCCCTTTAGGTTAATGTTATTTACTATTAACGACTAAGCCTGTGTTTTGAACACAAACAGACTATTTATTATTCAACCTAATACAATCGTTTCAATGTAAATATTTTAGTTCCTGGACATTAGCATCACTATATCATAGCAGGTTGTGCATAGGGGCAGCTGCTTCCCACTCTGCACCCTCAATATACTCTTGGAAATCTTAAGGGTCCCGAAAGAACCAAGCCAGAATTATTATAAGGGTAATATTGGGACTGCAATCAGTTTATTCTGCACTGGACGATTGAATCTGATCATAAAGTGTAATTCAAAGCATAGGGTTCCCAAACTTTGAACCACTACATCAAAAAAGAAAAAAAAAAACGGAGAAGAATGGTCGCAAGTAGGCAGTATAGTTTTAACTGTCCCATCCCCCCTACCAAAGAGATTCTCTTTCTCCCACTCAAGGAGACATATTGGAATGCAAATGTCTTAGACTAACTTTACTGTAGGGTTGAACTTGAATTGGTTTTAACTTAAAATTTAAAAGGTAAGAAATTCATAATTGTCATTACTCATTATGAGGAGTGAAATTCTTGCTACATATCCCTTAATAGATCGCCATGTATTGTTGTCTTAATACAGATTTAGATTGTTCTCAAGGACTTCGAAGGACTCTCTCTTATACCTTTAAGCCTTATCTTAGGGAACCACTCTTGTGCTTGGTACTTTGGTAACACCAAATTGCTATTCATTTCCTGCACACAGGGGGGTTTCTTTGGCCTGGAATGCCATCTTAGTATTCCTGTCTGGCTGACACTTGTGCACCCCTCAAGACTGAATAAAAAGCCTAGAGGAAGGGGTAGGTGCCCTTCTTCTGTGGTTCTGTTGCATCCTGAGTTTACCTTTGCATTTCTCCCTTGTTATAGCAATGATCTGTTTTTGTATATATGCCTTTTCTGTTACTATTGGTGGAACTGAACTAAGATTTCTTAGACATTGCAAGTATACAGCAAAACCACTTGCTAAGGAGCCATTTCCTTATTGAGATATAATTTTTCCCAGGACTGTAGTCTTCAAGGAGAAAGTGCAAGGAAAATCACGTTTACCTGTGTTTCTTTTTCTTCTTTCCGTATATTAAATGCAGTCCAACTATTTACTGTTAGGAAAACCCCCATGAATTTGTTTTATAGTAAATGAAAAAGGAGCTTAATTACTTTCTAGTTAAGCTCTTAGAACACCCTTTCTAAAAGGTTTATCTGTAAGCCCAAAATTCCTAACTTATGTTTTGGAATTGCTATTTCCTAGTTTTGGAAAATTTTTAAAATTAAATCTTTTTTTCCTTCTCTTTATAAGCACTGAAAAAAACGAATAAAACAAGAGATAAAGAAAGAAATCTTTTTGTCCTCCCTTTAAACCCCAGCAGGAAATGAGTCATTTTGGTAAATGTTTCTATTATTTAAAAGTCATAAGTTCATGGGTTTTACTCTAAGATTGACTCATTGCTATGATGCCATGGTGTCAATGAATACCAAATCAAAAAGCTACATTGTATTTAAAATGTAAAAAAATGAGTATTATATTCCTTCAAGAGGCAGTGTGATATTGTCAGAAGGGCACTGACTTGGGCATGAGAAGACTAATGGTCCAGTCTCAGATTTGCCACCAGCTATGGGACTTTGCCTCTTTGGAACTCAGTCTCCACTTTTGCAGAATGGTGAAATTTAGAATTGGGCTGCTAAAACAGTAGCGACCACAACAACTAAAACTAAAAAACTGGAAGAAATGTTCAACTACTCCATAGAAGGAAACAATTGGAGGAAATCCAGACATTTGCTAAAGATCCTCCCTTTCAAATGGATAATTGAGAAAACATGTTTTAGTTCTCTCATTTGATAAAGTTACTAAATTCATAAAAAAGACTGATGACAAGGTACAGGTTTAATTTTTAAAATCTTGCATGTAAACCTGGGATACAATATTGAAAATCAGGAGGCTTGTGGTCTGGTTCTTGCTTTTGGAAGAAGGCTGGCATTATAGTACCCTAGAAAGACTGTATAGGGATTGTTAAGCCAAATGAACCAGCCTTGACCAAACCTAGGAGGCAATATTGCCCAGCTGTAAGGAGCATGGGCTTTAGAATCTCTGGTTGCTCTTGTTAATGGTGCGACTTTAGGCATGTTATTTAACCTCTGTGGAGATAAAGTTTCTCATTTGGAAAATGAGGATCATAATATTGACCCATAGGGCTTTTTGAAAGATTACTTGGGTTAATATAAGTTAAGGGTACAGTAAATAACAGCAATTATTGTGAGGTGACAAATTATTATTTGTAGTCTGAGTCAGATGGGGATTGAGTCCCAGACTTGTTGGGGCAATCATCTCAGACTTAGTGCCAAGAGTCTTTACCCCGAATGATAATCATAAACAACATTTATAAAGTGGGTTATAGAATTGCACATAGATTATCTCGTTTGCTCGTTATAATAATCCTGGATACAGCTAAAGGTCACCCAGCTAGTAAGTAACAGAGCTGGGGCTCAAACCACATTTTCTGCCTCCTAACCCTTATTCTGTCCACTGCGATTCTAGTTCTACTTAGCACTAATGAGTCTGTGGCCTAGGTTAATTGCCCAGCTTCTCTATTTAGCTTAATTAATAAAATAACTAGAAAAGCTTTAAAAATACTTTTATAATTTCAGATAGTTTGTGGACAGGTAAATGTAAATTCTAATGAAAATATGTTGAAACACAACTTTATTGTAAGTATTATATTGCTATTACTATGTGTGTAAATAAGAAATTCAGAATAATTCTGACCTTTGTTTTGGGGATTGAGATAGTGAAATTTAGGAGGGATTCACAGAGACCTTCAACTTGAGTGGTAACATTGTACTTCCTGAACTGGTATATGGTAGTTGGTGTATCATTTGTTCTTTTTATCTAATTGATATAGAAATATGTCATAATAAACTTCTCCAAAAAAGACTGGAAGGAAACTCACACAAATAGAGAAATATATTGGTGCATAATAAATGTATTTTAATATTTTCATAACCTAATGCAGAAATGTTTTGCAATGTACATTCATAATATAAGGAGAAATTTAAGCATTATAAAGAACACATTTATATTCCCTAATAGCCCTAGCACTTCTCGTAGTTAATCTTGACTTTACATTCGGGGACATAAATAAATCTGTATTTCTCTTGGCTGGGACTGAGGATGTCGTGGCAGCAGTGTTAAGAAAAACTAAGAAAATTAGTACTTTTGAGTAAGTTGCCTTGTTTATGAACAGCTTATTTTGAAGAATAGACAGTTCCTAATTTCTGCTAGTCAAACAAAGGTGCATATGGACCTCAGCTGCTGGCAATATGTCAGAATCCTCATAGCACTGCTGCCCAAGTGACCCAAGTTCCCACAGGCATAATGCTTTATAGCTTACAAAGACTCTCTCTATACCTTATCTCATGGGAGCCTCACAGAAACCCTATGATAGAGTCATCACTATTAGCATTTTCACCATTTTAGAAATTGAAGAAACCAAAGGCTAATTGTAGGATAAATCAGAACTAGGACTGGAACCCACATCATTTTACTGCAAAAGCCCATGATTGTCTTCACTACATCATAACGTCCTTTTATTTGCAGCTCTCCATCTGATACTTTGTTTTCCTGAGCTAATCACTTACACCAGCACCTTGGTTTTTTAAACTTTTCTTCTAATATTAAAGCTCTTGACCTCTTTCTTATTGTAATAATTAAATATGACGAAGACTACTCTAGAGTTTACCAAATGTCCATGGGTTTCAATGATCCTAGGCTGTTTATATACTTTCTTTACAGCTTTTTCTTATAGTAGCAGAAAAAGTAAGTTGACTTTTTCATTGATGTTAGGAAATATAAGGATATCAAGGCAAACACTCCACCACCCATCCTACCCCCCAGCCCCAAATTAACCAAACTACACAACAACCGTGTTGTCTCTCCTGGGGCCCAAAATTTTGTTAGTGGTTTAAGTGAAGACAGAGGATTCTCTGTATTTTTGTCTTAGCATCTAGCACATTGCCTTGCATTTGGCATTCAATTGATTTGTTTTAATTTTACCTAAACCTTTACATTATCTAGTTCCAGCCTGTGTCTCTGCTGAGGTAAAAAGCACAATTATACTCAAATTGATCAAAATAATGATTTAAAAGAGAACTATCCTTTAATGATCATTTACACAGAGACTCATGCTTTTTTCTGTCATTCTTGAAAACTTTATGCCATATTATTATAAATTGTACTGCAAATGTTCATTCTCAACGTGAGACTCACTTTTGAGAGAATTAATTCATACCGTCCAGTTCCTTTTCTGGGAGACATCTATTATTCTTCCTACGAGTTTATCCAAAAGAGAAAATAATGTTTTATGCTAACCAAAAATGAAGGCTACTATGTGAACAATGAGCATGGTGGTTTTTCTTGCATGATTGCATTTAGTTCTCCTCATTGACCCTGAGAGGTAGGCCATGTTATCCTAATTTTACAGATGAGCAAACAGATTCAAGGGGGGAAGTGACCTGACATGTACACATCATACACCAAGAAGTGGCAGAGCAGGTGTTTTGGAATCTTTTCATAGCATCGCAATCTCTACAAAGATGAAAGGTAGATGGAGAACAATCATTTTATAGACCATTTTTGCAGGAGCTTCTTCATGGTCATATTGTCCACTGTTTATACTGTCGATAGACCAGCAACCACCTTCATAAGATATCTGGCTTTATGGCCTATGGAAAATGGATTAGACTATTAATTCAGAAAGAAAGCACTCAAAGGTTGTGGGTGAATTTGGGAGGTACACTGAGGAGCCAGTTTTCATATGCAATAATACAGCTATGGAGAATAATTTAACTAAATGTCTTAATGATTGAATATGTATATTTATGAATATGAATATACACACATGAATATATATGTCCACACATATATAGTCTTCAAATGTTCCAGGATGAGGCTGAAGCTCAGTTCAACTCAGCAAATATTGTGCGTGTGTTTGTGTGTGTGTGTGCGCACACACACAAACTTACTAGGTGCCAAATACTCTTAAGGGAACCCAAAGATGAGTGAGATGTGATTTCTGCCCTACTGGAAGTCAAGATCTAGTGAAGAGAATTGAGGTTGATAAAGAGCTTCAATATAGACAAACACGGATTTATTTTTATACTCATTTCTTAATTGATGATATTTACCAGGATTTTATCTTCAGCCATTCCCATTTCGTACTTTTTTCTTACCCTCAGGAAACCATCTATTTTCTTTATTTTGGCCACCAATGATGATCTGTAGCTCCAGAAGTTTCTCTCTCCTGGATTCTAATCTCCTATTGATAGCTGTCTTCTGTGCATTTCTGACTGTGTTCCTTAGATATTTTAAATGCTAAATATACAAAAGCATGCCTCCTTTTTATATTCTCTGTTTAGTTTAATAGCATCACTCTGCATCAGTTTTCTAGAGACCTCAAATGCATCATTTATCTATCCACCAGCTTCCCATCCCTCATTTTCAGTTGTTCATCAAGTCCTGTGAATGTTGTCTTCTAAACATGCCTTAAATGTGATCTTGCATCTCTGTCTTCATGGCCACAGGTTTAGTTCAGCTGCATTTCATTTCTTACCTGGACAATCATCCAACAATCGTCTTAGCCTTTTATTTCATCCCATTCAAAGTCATTTTTAATACAGTTGCCTGGTTAATCTTTCTAAAATATAACTGATAACATATTTTTTGCTTGCTAAATGCTTTCAATGCTTCCCTTCTGCCTCCTGGAATAGGTTCAAATCATTATCATAGCCCTGCTAATCTGTTATTGATCTATTCCTTACTGCCACTCCTCTTTTGCCAAGTACACCTGACTTTGGTTCTGGGCTAATATTCAGTTATTATGTACAAATGAAACCATTTTCTATTCTGATTGGCCAGTACTCATTCCATACTGATTGTTAAATATTTTGAATATCACCCTTTCTTTAGTGGTACCAAACTGTCTTTCTCCCCAGTCATGCACATATTTTTATGCTTCTGTGCACTTTGAATAATCAGTTTTATCTACCAGGAACATTCTTCTTTTTTTCTTTACCTGGCAAATTTATATTAATCCTTTGAGATCCTGCTCAAATATTACCTCCTCTATAAAATCTTGCCTGCCCTCCCTCCACACAGGCAGAATTTTTCTTCCCTCCCTGTACATATCTGGATTAAAGGACTTATCATGTTACATTGTAGATATTACTTACTGACCTAGGGGATTTTTAAGAAAAAAATATTTTTAAAATCTCCAACATGTAGCTTAGTATTTGGTGTACAGCAAAGGCTCTCATAAAACATTTATTGAATTGATAGATAGATAGATCTAGAAAAGTTTTATGGGATGGAATTCAAGATTGATTTTGAAGACTAGGCTGAGGATTGAGGCTGGAAAGGCATTCCAGGATGGAAGACTGCATGTGACAAGGGGCAGGAAAGGTCAGTATATTATGGAACAGTGAGCCTAAGATTAAGATGCAATGGGTTATAGGTAGTAGTTTAAGATAAGTAGGTTGGGATCAAAGAGTGGAGTGTTCCAATAGCCATAGTAAGAAGTTTGGACTACATCCTATGCATTAGAAGACTGTGAGCATGGGTGACATTTTCCTCTATGTTTCAGTGAGACATCTCTAACAGCACTGTGCTATATGCATTGAAGACCCAGAGCCTGCAGGTGGCCACGGTCCAAGAAGGGTCAGATGAAAAAGTCGCCATCTAAATCTATGAGATTGCAGAGGTGGAAATAAAAATGAAATTCATTTTGGAGGCAGAATTGGCAAGATTTTAAAATTAGTAAAGTGTATGACTAAAGGAAGAGCGAGAAATCAATTATAATTACAATGTTTCAAAATTAAGTGACTAAGAGACCAGAGATGGTGTATCATGGGATGATTCACAGAGGTTATGTTTGGTGAATTAAAACAAGACAGAAGAACATAGATGCTACCAGCTATAGACACATATTTCTACCATCCTTGGAATCTTGATTAAAAGTTTACCTCATATGTTTTCTCTGTATTTTTCTATGTTTAATTCCCAAGTGTAGTTACAAGCCTCACTGGAAAATTCAGAAGCAATGGTGATAAGCACTACCAGTCACTACTGTAGGAACTTGTTAAAGATAATTCAACTAACAGAGACAATTATAAATGTTCCTTTTTTACGGAGCTGGGACCACAAATGTTACCTCTCAAATATTCGTTGTCAAAGCAGCTTATTTTATATATTGGAACATACATTATTTTGTATTATTGGCTACACCAAAACATCATTAACTTAAAACACAAGAGAGAAAATACTTATTCACTTAACAGGGTTTGAATTGCTCATGTTAACCAATATGGTAACCAGAAGCTACATGTAGCTGTCGAGCCCTTGAAAGTGGCTAGTCCGAAACTGAGATGTGCTGTAAATATAAAATGCACACTAGAGTTTGAAGACTTGGTACAAAAAATGAAATAATGTCATCTATCTTATAAATAATTTGATAGTTCCCTTACATGTTGAAATGCTAATCCTTTGAATACATTGGTTAAATGAAATACATTATCAGAATCAATTCCACCTGTTTCACTTTACTTTTTAAGTGTGGCTCCTAGGAACATTTAGAATTACATATGTTATTCACATTACATTTCTATTGGACAGTGCTGGAATGGTGTTCTTATTTAGCAACCAGCCAACAGGCATCTTTTAAGTTCTTGTGTACAGATGATTAAGGCTTGAAGTTAGCTGAGAAGTTGCAATTGCATAAAGTGATGTATTTTTAGGGCTTGATGACATTTCAATCAATATACAAAATGTTGGTTAAAAAAGCAGATCTAAATGTCTGTGGATTTGATCTGTCTCCCCTTTTAAACATTAGTTCTGTTTTTTTTACACTATCTCACCAATATCCTATTAGGTGATTTATAATGATCCATTAAATCTTCTGTTTGTAGCAAAACAGTCAGGAATTTGATTTGCAAGTTCCCTTTGGTTAGTGGAAAAGAATTAGCACATATCCACATATGGGTGTCAAGGATGTAGAGGCCTGGAATATAATCACTATGCTTAGTCCTCAAACTATATACTCAACATATCTTATTCGTTCTCTGAAGAGTCAGAACATACTTCTCAGTGTCATAGGCCTTGGAGTCATCCAGAATATTATTTGTTAGCAACAGCATAGAAGAAAGAAAAGAAAGAGGAGAGAGAGGGGAAGGCGGAGAAGGAGAAGAAGGAGAAGGAGGAGGAGGAGGGGAAGGAGGAGAAGAAGGAGAATGAGAAGGAGGAGGAGAAGGGGAAGGAGGAGAAGAAGGAGGAGGAGAAGGGTAAGGAGGAGAAGAAGGAGAATGAGAAGGAGGAAGAGAAGGGGAAGGAGGAGTAGGGGAAGGAGAAGGGGAGGGAGGAGAAGAAGGGGAAGGAGGAGGAGGAGGAGGGGAAGGGGAGGGAGAAGGAGATTATTTGCACTTTATAAATATTGACGTTTTGGATTAAAAGATATTTTCTATGTGTTGACGGCCTTACTGATATTATATTTGCACTGTTCTTCCAGATAAACCATGTGAATATCTGTGATTGTACAGAATTCACTATTTTTTAAGTAAAATGACTAGTCATTGGACAATATTTTAATTTCAATTTTTTGAGCAAGGCACTTGATTTTTTAATGCCTTAGTTTCTTCAATCTTCAAATGGGATAGATTTTTATTTTGTTTTGTTTTTATGGTAATGAGAAGTAAATGCTTTATTTTTTAAAAAGCTAAGTCTCTAATTATAATGAAAAGTGCTTCAAAGCTACAACAATATCCTGACTAGATCATAAGTGGCAAAACAACAATGTAATACAGAAGATGCAAAGCATTCTTTGAAAATGGCGACTTCGTTTTAAAAGAATTTCTATTGCGTTAGAGTAGTGCCTATGAAAATAAATAAGTAGTGAAAAACCATTCCTGAGTACTCAGAAAGTATTTATGAATACCAAGATACGAATGTAGTTTAGCTTTGCAATTCCGAATTAATAGCCTGCCTAGGGAACATCTCTTATTTAAAAAGGGCTGCCTGAATTAAGGTTAAGTTATGTTTGGTTTCCCAAGTGCCAGTCAGGATGTGTTTTTATATTCTGATTACCAAAAAGCATTTTATTTCCTTTTTAAAAAGAAAATTTGCATGAGTTGCTGAATAGCCCACATCATGGACTAAAATGCTCTAAAAGTATGTACAAACAAAGCAAAAAGAGGAAAATGGCTAACTTTTCAAATGAATACGGTGAATTGAATTATTCAAGACTAGACTGCATATTCAAATATGAGTTATACATTTTGACAAAACATTGTTAACATTTCTGTTGACTATGAATAAGTATTAATAATACACAGATTGTACCTAGTATTAATAATACACAGATTGCACCCTGTATTCTGGCTGCAAAATACGCCAAATGTACCATTGTCTCTCTGCATTCAGAGTGGTATATATTTTTGAGTCTGCATTGTAATATATGATACTGGTCTCAATATCTACTCAGTCTCAAAAGAAAGTATCTGTGTAAATGGATTATTTTTATATAACTTATATGTTTTAAAATACCAATGACACTTAAAACGTTTTGCTTTTTAATTAAAATCTTTAAAATAAAAGGAATTAAGGCATTTAAATAAAAAAACAAAAGCCCAAAAAACAAAAGCATTTTATTCACTGAGGCAAAGACACATGAAATACTTTCTGCCAGGTCAAGCTGTCTTTCTGGATTAAGGTAGCAGACTGGTCCCCAAATAAGGAGGAACAATGTCAGCAGCTAAAATAGCTCAGGGATATGAAGCAGTGTTCAGCTTTCAACCCATATGTTTATTTTGAGCTGAACGTTTGGCCATTGATTCAATAATTGTTTATTGAGTTCCTTTTATGCATCAAGCCTTAGCAAAATAGACATAACTACAGGCTCATGGTACTTACAAACTATTGGGGGTTGGAGGGGGGGATTAACAAATAATGACTAGACAATTGTGCAAGTAAGTACAGTGGTAAGAAGCAATGGTTAAGAGCACACACTCTGAACCCAGGCTTGAGTTTGCATCCTGGCTTTACCACTTGTTAGCTGCAGAAGCTTAGGCAAGTTATTTTATGTTGATATGCCTCAGTGTCTTCCTCCTCAAGGTTGCTGTGAGGTTTCTGTTAAAACATATAGTAGTCTAGCACATAATAAAGTTTATATAATTTGCTATTATCATTCTTTTTCTTACACTGTAATAAGTGCTGCAAGAGTAAATATCACCAGGTGACTGGAACTGGGTGTAGGAGTTTGGAGAAAGCTTTCCTAAGGAAAAGATGTTTGAATTAGGATCTTAAGAATGGGTAGGACTTAAATAGATTGAGAAGATTGGAAGTGATGAAGGGAGTGGAATTGAAGTTTTAAAGAACTTTCCAAGCAGTAAAAATAACATGTACAAAGACTGAGGCAAGAGGGAACATGGTAACTAAACAGCCCCCAAAGCAGCCCAGGGTAGCTGGAGGGAGGGAGTGAGATGGGGAACCAAAAAGAAGGGTGATGATCTTTGCTCACAAGAGGAACTCAAGTTTTGCTTCTCCCCCCACCCCGCCTTCTGTCTCTCTTTCTCTCACTCTCTCTCCTCTCTCTTTCTCACAAGGGAGGGAGAGGATATTTTCTGTGTCTTCTCTGCCCAGCCTTGGAATTAAAAATAATTTACAAGTGGCTCTACATATATAACCAAAATGCAACATTCTGTCTAAATATAAGATATGAATTAAATTGCCGCTTGGTATTCAACTTATCTTTCTATATGCATTATAATTGTCTATTTGTGTTTATGCTCCACAGCCAAACCTAAGTGGTGCAACTAGCTGGAAGGTTTCCTTTTTTTTTTTTTTTTTTTTTTTAGAATACTCAATACAAAAGAGGTGGGATGATTGGGTACTAATTAAACCTAAGTAGTAAGGGACTTAAGGAAAACGAGATTTCTGTATTTCTCCTAATGGGATGAATGTCATGTTCCAATTCCTACTTTATGTAAAATCCATTGTACAATATGTAAAATAATTCTCCAAATCTTGATTTCCTCAATTGAAAATGACCCTGAGCATAAACTATAAGTAGAGGAAGGTTTGAATTTCTTGATCTTTGGTACTCTTTTGTTCTCTCAGTACGTGGAGTCTTAAATCAGCAGAATAATTTAGGAATGGTAGATATTGAAACAACTAATTTTTCTTTTCTGTAATCTGCATAGACTTCAAAATGCCTACAAAGCACAAAGTGCCAGTTCATATAATTTGTTGGCAAGGATAAAAAGAAGAAAGGAAATTATTTCCTAAGCGTGTGAATCAGCCCAGCTTTAACAGATATTTTTCTGTCATGTGCAGCCTGAGGGCTTATGCCTATCTGAGCTTTATTTGACAATTACCACTTGCCAGCATAATTAAATGATAATTTATAAATACTAAGAAAGCATAATGGGGAAGAGCAAATAGGTGCTTATCAGGGCATTGAATAAAGTTGATCTGCTCCAGTGGCAATTTTCATCTCTTATCTTGGTTGTTAACTGGTCTCACTTTGTATGCGTGTTTTGTTTAGGTTTGATATTTGTTAGGGTGATATTATCTACCTCATATACACCTTTTCCCTCCATACAAAATTCTAATATTTCTTTTGGTATTCATTTTGCAACCAATGTATTTACAAAATATTGCTTATATTTTAATTCATAATATAAATTTAGGATTTAGAATTGCACGTATTACTAGACAAAACCCCAAATAAATAGGAATTTTTCTGTTTGTCTCCCCTTCCCCCCATCTTTTTTCAGTGAATAAGGTCTTTTCTGTGTTGTGTGTGTTATTTTCTTTTAATCGGTTTTTTAATCACCTGGGCTTTGCAGTTAATTACATTCCACAGAGTCTCTTCATCTATTTCCTAGAATGCTGGCAGATTTTTTATAAGTAAGAGAGAAAGCACACATGTAAGCCATGGACTCCGGTGAGGAGGGCTTCCTAATCTTGCAGTGATAAGAATGATACTTTATATGCAGCATGGACATTTTGCTATGTTCCTACAGAATATAGAAATTACCCAAAGAAGAATTCTGTAGGGCAGACAGCTTTTGTCCTATCAGTATCTCTTCTCAAGTTTTCTTACCTATTATAAATATTAGGGCAATCTGTGCAGAAGTTGTGGCGAGGCCTTGGACAGAAACACAGATTTGTCCTGGGTAACCTAGATAAAGCAGTGCAAGAGCAATCATCTATTTGAATGGAAACAATCAGTAGAATGACAAAAAAAAAAAATGAATTTCCATGCTTTTAGAAAAGCAGGTTTGAGGAAGGCAAATGGGGGAAGAAAGCAAGACACATTAGTGGGTCATGAAGAGACTAAGGTCTCTCTCTCGCTCACTCTCTTTTTTTTTTAGCCATCACAAAATTAAATAATTTTAGTAACTACTGATTAGGATTGTGGTGGTTTGAGTGAAGAGTGTGCGAATGGCTTATCAGGAGAATAACAAAATAAAGGGCTTTGGTGTTTAAAGTTGTCAATTCCTCAAATTATTCAGCATTTTGTCCTTATAAATAGCAATTATTTGCCATTTCAGAGCTGAAAAATTATCTTTCATATTCAAATATTTAAATATACAGTGCCGTTACTGGGGCAAAAAAAAAAAAAAAATCCTAATGTCGGAACCGATTTTTATACAAGGAATAATTTGAAAGTGGTGGATTAGTTTCCACCTTTTGAAACACAGTGCTTTCTGTAATCTTCAAACATTATTTAGGATAATGGAAGCCATCATCCTGGTTCTCAAATGTTAGCACTTCCATTAGAATTTGCAGCTACCTCTTATTTTTTATATTAAAATACAAGGCTTAAAAGGTATTATCTTACTAAAGGGGGGCAATTGTAGAGATGATTTGATTGAATAAAGGAAAAAGCTGTACAGGCCTTTTAAGATCAAGGATGTATTGATGGAAAGCTATCATTAGAGACAATTAATGTTCTCCAAGGGAAGAAATTGATTATGGACAAAGATGGACCCTAAGGAGCAGATATGTCTTAATGCCCTAAGGCCTTAAGGATTATACATCTCATTCACAGCATCTGTATTTTAACCCTTTGTTGTAAATAGAATACTAGCTTATTCTTGCAGTGACATGAATTAAATTTATAAAAAGGAATGTGCCTTGTAAAAGATGCTCATAGTGATTGACTTTTGATTCTTTAAATAATATTAAAATAATTAAATTCATGGTATCTTTTCTCTATACTGCCCTTTAGAGTAGATCTAGACATAGATTTGTAGAAGAAATAAAATTAGATAGTGATGGCCAGTCTTCAGCATTATGGGAGTGTGGTAACGCCCAATAATTATGGTTAAAGACGTGTTTTCATTAGGAGCCCCTGAACTTCAGCTGCATTTATGTTTCCAAATAACATATCCCTTTAACTTTGCTTGTCCTTCCTATAGATCTTGTACAAAGCATTCATCATGTTGTTAGCCAGTCCCTAGCAGCCGCAGATCACAATTGGGTACTTAATAAGGTGGCAACCCTACTGGGAACATTTCACGTAATTATTCTTAGCAGAAAGAAGATTGTTATGGCTTTTTTTTTTCCTTTTTGAGTCTGGCAAAATTCCAGGTGATTTAGTTTGTGCTCCTAAAAACCTGTTATATATCATCGGTGAATTATACTTCATGTGTATGCTGCATCCTCACGTCCCTGCCATGTATATTGCAGGCCAGCAGACAGTTTCACTGTACAGTTGGTCTCCTCTACCAGCCAGCCCCAGAACCAGTTCCAGAACCAGTCAGTGATGCAAACTGCTTTTTGGCCGTAGGTTTCGGAGTGTGTCAGTCTGAGCATGCAAGTTCTTTTTGAAATCAGCCTCTCTCAAGACCACTGCACTCTCTCTGATGGTGTATTATGATTATCACTAAATGCACATGAGAAACTCACACATGAAGTAGTGAATAACTTATCCAGAGAGCTCTGTGATTTTAAGTACCACTTAAGGGAAAGAGAGTTTAGACCCTTGGCCCTAACTTTGAGCTTCTAAGTTGAGAAATAACTGGCATTTAGTTAACCAGATCATTAAAGCAGTTTAGACTTCAAGTTCTAACAATTTAAAGCTATACCTTGATTCTCCTGGACCTTAAAGATTATGCATTTCATTCACCATGACTGAATAAGTTTGTCTAAATATTTCAAACAATTTGGAAATAATTATTTTAAAAAACAGTGGGCAAATAAGCATGATACCTTATATTATGGTGCTACTGGATTGTAAGTTTAATTCTCCCAGCTGCATGGCCAACTAATGTCTCCTCTCACATGTGAAGACAAACACCTTTACATGTAAGAAAAGAGTTTCCTAGATGGTTCTTCTTAACAGGAAAAATGGAGCACAGTATATACATAATCTTTCTTTGATTTAGACCTACGAATAGAACATACAAGGGTTGTGAAGGACCTCTTCAAGGAGAACTACAAACCACTGCTCAAGGAAATAAGAGAGGACACAGATAAATGAAAAAACATTCCATGCTCATGGATAGGAAGAAGCAATATCATGAAAATGGCCATACTGCCCAAAGTAATTTATAGATTCAATGCTATCCCTGTCAAGCTACCATTGACTTTCTTCACAGAATTAGAAAAAAACTACTTTAAATTTCATATGGAATCAAAAAAGAGCCCTTATAGCCAAGACAATCCTAAGCAAAAAGAACAAAGCTGGAGGCATCACACTACCTGACTTCCAACTATACTACAAGGCTACAGTAACGAAAACAGCATGGTACTAGTACCAAAACAGTTATATAGACCAATGGAACAGAACAGAGGCCTCAGAAATAATGCCACACATCTTCAACCATCTGATCTTTGACAAACCTGACAAAAACAAGCAATGGGGGAAGGATTCCCTATTTAATAAATGGTGTTGGGAAAACCAGCTAGCCATATGGAGAAAACTGAAACTGGACTCCTTCCTTACACCTTATACAAAAATTAACTTAAGATGGATTAAAGATTCATACATAAGACCTAAAACCATAAAAACCCTAAAAGAAAACCTAGGCAATACCATTCAGGACATAGGCGTGGGCAAAGACCTCATGACTAAAACACCAAAAGCAATGGCAATAAAAGCCAAAGTTGACAAATGAGATCTAATTAAACTAAAGAGCATCTGCACAGCAAAAGACACTATCATCAGAGTGAACAGGCAACCTACAGAATGGGAGAAAAATTTTGCAATCTATTCATCTGACAAAGGGCTAATATCCAGAATCTACAAGGAACTTAAACAAATTTACAAGAAAAAACAACCCCATCAAAAAGTGAGCAAAAGATAAGAACAGACACTTCTCAAAAGAAGACATTTATGCAGTCAACAAACGTATGAAAAAAAAGCATATCATAACTGGTCATTAGAGAAATGCAAATCAAAGACCACAATGAGATACCATCTCATGCCAGTTAGAATGGCAATCATTAAGAAGTCAGGAAACAACAGATGCTGAAGAGGATGTGGAGAAATAGGAATGAAGCTGTTTTACACTTTTGGTGGGAATGTAAATTACTTCAACCGTTGAGGAAGACAGTGTGGTGATTCCTCAAGGATCTAGAACTAGAAATACCATTTGACCTGGCAATCCCATTACTGGGTATACATCCAAAGGATTATAAATCATTCTACTATAAAGACACATGCACACGTATGTTTATTGCAGCACTATTCACAATAGCAAAGACTTGGAACCAACCCAAATGCCCATCAATGTTAGACTGGATAAAGAAAATGTGGCACACATACACCATGGAATACTATGCAGCCCTAAAAAAGAATGAGTTCATATCCTTTGCATGGACACGGATGAAGCTGGAAACCATCATTCTCTGCAAACTAACACAGGAACAGAAAACCAAATACCACATGTTCTCTGTCATCATTGGGAGTTGAACAATGAGAACATATGGGCACAGGGAGGGGAACATCACACACTGGGGCCTGTTGGGGAGTGGGGGGCAAGAGGAGGGATAGCATTAGGAGAAATATCTAATTTGGATGACGCGTTTATGGGTGCAGCAAACCACCATGGCACATGTATACCGATGTAACAAACCTGCACGTTCTGCACATGTATTCCAGAACTTAAAGTATAATTAAAAAAAAAAGAAAAGAAAGATTATGGCTAATTTTTTATTTAATTTTGAAATTTCCCTTTCCAGTTCATTTTCCTTTTTGGGGAAGGGCAGAGGTGTTATCTATAATTTTTATTGCCCACATTGCTGCTGAGAAGTGGCATTAAGGCCCTTTTAGAGAGGTAGTGTAGCTTGTGAAAAGAGTGAGTTTGCAGTAGAAATAGCTAAGTAGGGGCTCCAACTAACTACCTGCCTCTGAGGTTTTGAACCCTGATGCCTAGGGAGATGGTGGTGCCATTAACAAAAATAAATAAGGAAGGAGAATGAGCTAGGGAGAGGCATATGAAGCTTTTGAGTTTCTGGTCAAAGCCAGGCAGAAATGCCCAGCAGGCAATTGGAAATGAAGGTATGGAGTTTAGGAGAGAGGTCAAAGTTTATAATACTGATTTGGAGACCTAAAAAAGAATTGAAAGTTAGGAGAAAGAATAGTCTAATGCTGTGACTATTAGTAAGTCCAGAGAGAAGAAACTTTCAGGGAGAGAGTAGTCAGTTGCCTTTGATGATCCAGGGAGATCAAGGACAATAAGAATCTAGAAACAAGGCCATTGGGTTTGATCATTTATAGCTCATTAGTCGGCTGAAAAGTCTGATCTGCTTGAGTTTAAGTCCCAATTATCCAATTACTAAAGGACATGTGTATCCTTGAGAAAGTTACTTAATTTATCTGGGCCTAAGTTGAACCATTTATAATTTAAGAATACCTCAGTGTACCCCTTAAATTTGTTTTGAGGATTAAATGAGATAGTCCATGTAAAATGCCTAGATTACTAGGTACCTGTGGAACAGTAGGGGCCATAACCAGATAACTGGGATCAAGACATGATGAGGGACTAGGAAATAGAAGATTATAAACCACTATTTGGAAGTAGGGAGGTGAGTGGTTGAACAATTTGTGGAGGAACCAGAGATCTGAGCAGCTTAAAGTCTAAAATACATAAAGCACCAGGGACATATTCTGTACCCTTTATATAAAGTAACTCGTTTTGCTTCTTACAACAACCCTGAGGGGTGGTAATATCATTAGAACAAAACTGAGGGGTAAAGAAGTAACCTCCTTCAAGATACATAGCCAATAAATGGCTGGGCAGTACCTAGCACCAAGGAATGTCTAACTCATAAGTCTCCTATCTGTTTCATAGATCAGTACACATAGAAAGATTAAACTAATTAATTAAGGGACAGAGCCATGATCTGAATCCATGTCTATCCAGTTCTTAGTTATCTACTTAATAGATAATCCTCCTTTCCAATTCCTGACTATAAAAGCATGGAGAGGAGTTTACAAGGATCAGAAATTTGGGGTCCACTGGCTTCAGGTGGCTCTACTTAGTCACCAGTGACCTCTGTAGTTGGACCATGTTGGAAGAACTTAATGTAGTCTGTCAGACCTAGGATGTCAGAGTCTGGGAGACATGTGTATTCTTCCTGAATAAAACCTGTGAAATGGGCCCTAATAAGATCCTACAAACTTGGGTGTTGTAGAGTGAGGATGAGGGAGGATGAATGAGAATGAGCCTTCAGGCTATGGGGGAGACATCAGAATGTAGTTGTTAAATCTGTGCTGAGGCTGCCACCTGGGGAATAAAATAATAAAAACTGACCCAGATCCAGCACAAATGTGCCTTCTGTGTTTATGCCTTTCCAGAATTTAGCAAAATAAACTTGTCTCTGCTTTAAATTGAGTATCTCTGAACTATCCTGGAGACTGATTACTGCAGAGCAGTGGCTCTTGGAGTATCTTCTCTGGACCAGCAGCATCAGCATCACCTGGGAAGTTGTTAGAAACGTAGACTGTCTGCCCCACCCCAGACCTGCTAACTCAAACTCTAGGGGTAGGACCTGCCAGTCTGTGTTTTAATAACACCTGCAGGTGAGATTCTCATGCATGCTGCAGTTTGAGAACCACTGTCTGAATCTAATTTGCTTCCAAGTTCTTCTGGTGACTAACTAATGCCAAGTGGCCAGATAGATCTGGTTGTGGTATAGAACTGTGGTTCCCAGTCTCAACTGCCATCAGAATCAAATTAAAAGATTTAGTTCACTGAAAACTGGCTGCCACTCCCAGAAATTCTTATTTAATTGAGCTGGGGTGTGGCCTAAGCATTGAGATTTCTGAAACTCATCCCCCCATGCCCTCTCCCCACCCCCCCAGTGATTTTAACACACTCTGGTCTAAAACAGTGTTTCCCAAACTTTAGTAAAAATCAGAATCTCACGTGGAGAGCCAGTTAAAAGGCAAATTGGGCCGGGCACGGTGGCTCACGCCTGTAATCCCAGCACTTTGGGAGGCCAAGGTGGGTGGATCATGAGGTCAGGAGATCAAGACCATCCTGGCTAACATGGTGAAACCCTGTCTCTACTAAAAATTCAAAAAATTAGCCCAGCGGTGTGGCGGGTGCCTGTAATCCCAGCTACTCGGGAGGCTGAGGAGGAGAATGGTGTGAACCCTGGAGGTGGAGCTTGTAGTGAGCCGAGATCGCGGCACTGCACTCCAGCCTGGGCGACAGAGCAAGACTCTGCCTCAAAAAGAAAAAAAAAAAAAGGCTAATTGTTGGGTCCCACCCTCAGGGTTTCTAATTCAGTAGGTTTGAGGTGAGGCCCAAGAATTTGTATTTCCAGTAAGTTTCCAAGTGATACTGATGCTGCTAGCTTGGGGATCACACTATGAGAATTGCTGGTGTGGAAGTTAAATATTCATTTTTGGAGGTATGGAGCTGATAATTTCCATCGCAAAGCTCCCATTTCTGCTGCCAGGCCTAGGTGAGGGTCTTTGCCAGAGAGTCCTGGCGATGCCTCCATTTATGTATCTCATTGGCAAGAGAGACTTGGTCTGGAAATACATGTGGCTGTGCAGTGCTTCTCAAACATTAATTAGTGTACAGATCACCCAGAGATCTTGCTAATGTAGGTTCTAATTCAGTGGGTCTGGGGCTGAGCCTGGGGGTCCACATTTCTCACAAGCTCCCTGACAATGCTGATGCTGCCAGTTCATGGACCATGCTGGGTAGCAAGGCACATAAGAAAGTGTTTCTTAAATTTTTCTGATGATCTCATCTACCTGAAGTGCTTTTACTAGAGATTTTTGGCTTCCCCTGTGACCTACTGAATCATAATGCCCAGGGAAAACAGCCTTACATATATGTATCTGTAAGTGACTTATTAATTTATTCAACAAATATTGATTAAACATCTACTTTGTGCAGGTTCCATGCTAGATGTGAACAAAGTAGATAAGGAGTCCTTTATCTTATGGGGCTTACATTTTAGTTGGAGAAGCAAACAATAACTTATAATAGCGACAATCACCTCAAGGTCCACGAAGCACGGCCAAGTGTCTGAGTTCTGGGGTGAAGCAGCATTGCACAGGGTGTTCAAGAAAGCGTTTCCAAAGAGGAACCACCCCAGCTGCAGCTTGTTTATGTGAAGGTCTTGGGTAAGGAGAAGCAAGGGCTCTGAGGATGGACTAAGCTTGGCCGATTGCCTGCAGTTAGGGGTGGGGAGAGGATCAAAGGTAGGAAGATTGAGTGCCCAGCTGATTTTGATATTTCGTCACATTTGGAGAACACTTCAAAACTCTTTCTTACCAGCTGTCAGAGAATTGAGTCCTGCCCATTTTGAAAACATCATCAATCACCCCATCATTGGTCCCTAGAGGAAGAATGTAGAAGCTGTTATACAGTCCCCTAATGGCTGATAAAAAGAAATTGTCTCTGCAATTCATAGGGATAAAATTACAATGATTTCTTGCTAATTATTTAACTATGCAGTAGTGATCTTGTACACAGTCAGAAAGTAACAAAAGTATGAAAGAATTCTACTTAGAGAATGTTTCTACAACTTTGAGGTTTGTATAGCATAATAAATACTTTTTGGAGGGTTTGTATGATTTTCCAGAAAGCCCAAATGCATGAATAAAAGGAGCAAGAAAAACAACAAAGAGCCAAGAAAAAAATAAAAAACAAAAAACAAAGCAAAACAAAAAAAGAGGAAGGAATACACGGGGTTTCCTGAGGGAGCAAGTAAGCTCAAGTGTTTTTAGCGTTAAGTTACAAATTTGTTTTATGACTGCTATTTACATAGATAATAATTTTGAGAGCTTACTTTTTTATATATGCTGCATTTAAAACTACCTAAATGGCAGAAGAAAAATAAATAAGAACTCTTTGGGCAGAGGCAGCTTTCACCTGTATTATTTTTTTTCAAGCTGTGTGCACTCCTTAATTACCAGTTTAAAAAAAAAAAAAACACTTAAGATTGGTAACATATGTTGTTGTCAGCATGTGTTTAGCACCTGCAGAAATGAACATGAAAAATGTGACAGCGCATAGGTGGAACACCCACTGCATTGACTGTGAACACTGTCAACAAATTTTACTTTGTTAGTTTTTTCTTATTAAAAAAATCTAAGAAAAAAATTTAATAGCACAGGTGTTCGGAGCATCACAGCAAGACGATATAATGAAGGAGAGGCTATAAACCTTTAGCATGAGAGCCGAGGTCTAGATCTGCACATCTTTAAGCTTTGCCTCTCACACACTTCACTCTTCTTTTCTTTTCTTTTTTTTAAAAAGCCCCTCTGCATGTTGGAATTGGCAGGCTTGTTTGTCCTGCAAAGCATTTCCTCTCAGAAGTAACGGTGAGAAGCAGCTCAGGTTCACTCAGTGGAGATCAGCTGACAGGCAGGACCAGGCAAACAGCACCTAAAATAACCATTTTCCAAGGTTGGAGATGGAGGTGTTTATCTTGCACATTATTTTCTAGTAATGAAGTCCTAATCATTGTGGGTAAGAGGTTTTCTGTCAGCTTCTTCTACAGCAAAGCTTCTATGAATATAGGCTCTGTCTTCTGAACTCTTATTTTGGGGTACAGGAAATTTCGTTTGGCTAATGGCATTCCTCAAAATGCAGCGCTATGCAGAGAGCAGGCCTTACTGAATGATGCTGCAGTTGCTATGCCTTCTCTGGTGTTACTGGTTTGTTCTACTGTAGAATGAGAATGTTGCAAGTTGCTTTCCATAATTTCCTATCATTGATTGTTTCATTTCTTAATTCTTAGAACCAATTTCACTCAAAAGGAGTGGGTTATGTATGCTCTTCATTTGCAGAGACATTTCTCCCCAAAATGACTTTGCCAAAGTTCAAAATAAACACTGGCAGGTGTGTTAATTCCTACTTTGGAAACTTTGAAGTCAACTTGTTTCCACAAAATCTTCCCCATTTTCACACCTCTTACACTCGTTGTGAGGTCTAATTACTGCTAATCTTCATTCTGGCAGGCTGTAAAAAGAAATTCAGTGACAAAGTATTCCAGTGACCCAAAGTATTCCTGTGGCACAAAATAGAAAATTTTAAGTTAAGTTTAAGCTCAGCCAGGTCTGTATTTCCTCTCCGACCCAGGGAAAAGGCTCTTGATTGAGTTATGGCTCTCTGGCTGCGTGGTGTGGGAACTGTTTGCACTTCTCATGGCTGAGAGAAGACCCTGGAAATGACACGTTTTACACCTCTTAGATGAGACTGGGGAACTAGAAAGCACTTCACTCCCGTCCCTCTGGGACGAAGAATCTGTTTGCAGTAATCACTGGCAGTGTTGACAGAATGTTCAAAACCATCTGCTCAAGGGCAAGTGTTAACTCTATCAAATCCTAATATTTTAAGCACACTGATCCCTAAGCCCAGGAGACCTCCTGATGGAGCTCTCCTTGGGCTCTGTGTCAGCCTGCCATCAGTTATTATCCCGCTGCAGAAAGGCCTGATGCACCAGCCAGAACTCAGTGAGGAGAGGCTGTTAGAATGAGAAATGCAGCAACAGAACGCACTTCATTCAAGTCTTGTTAGTTATGATGAATCTGAGGCTTTCTGATTCTTTAATACAAGAGTTTCTTTGGAATAATAACTGCACTTTTTGTCTTTAAATGTATTGTGTTAAATGAGCATCTTGATTTGTTAGAATCCAGCGTATACCACTTTCAGCATAGATTTGTATAAATTCATGTAGACTTACTGTGCGCACACAATTAGATACAAGTATGCTTCCAGCCAGGCATATATCATCATGTTAAAATCCTTTACTAATATTACTTAATAAAACATAAAATTCAGCGGAAAGATTTTTGGTACATTATTCTCCCAATAATCACCAGTCATCAAGTTGTTTAAACAGGTCAGAATATTTATTTACTTTTAATATACTTAATATACTTTGCTAGCACAATTGCTCCAAAATATTTCAGAATTAAAACTGATAGAGGAATTGGGGGGAGCATATAGCAGTAAAAATATTCCAAAGTCCAGTGAACCAAAAACACTCCCTTCTCAAAGGAAGCCAGTCAAAATTTTCTAGGACAGGTTTGAGCCTTTTGCTGCAGGAAGGACACCACTGGAAAAAAAAAAATGCACAGGCCTGAGCCATCTGTGAAAATATCTCCCTACTTCTCCATCCTTGTCAGAGACATTTCAGTAAAACCGACATTATCTGTCATAGTGACTTGGGGTGGTTAAAGGAAATACTGAGAAGAAACCTAGCACTAAGAGAAACTTCTTAGCCACAATCCCCTAAAAGTTCAAATATGATATTTTAATTTTTAATTTTCTGTTTCTATTTCTGTGTATGTATGAATTTCATCTTATGCCACTTATTAGGCCAGGCTATTGTAGGTGCTCAATAAATTACATGTTAAGAAAATGGAAATAGGCTTTGCTCTACTATGGTTTTAATGTTATCTGAATTTATGTCCCAGATATGCAGAAGAGTAATTAGCAGAGTTCTGGGATTGTAGTCACCACCAGCAAATACAATGCCATCCTCACATAACAGTCGCTGGGTGTCTGCTAGCATGTGCCAGGCACTTTTAACATATTTTTTCATTACCTAATTACATCAGATACATTAAGCAAATCTTATCATAAGCCCCATTTCAGAGATGAAGAAACTGAGGCTTAGAGAGCCAAATAGCTTGGCTAAAGTCAAACAGTTAATAAGTGGTGGAGCCCAGACAGGAACCTAGGCAGAAGACTCCAGACTTCATGTGCTCAACATAATGCTGAAGCACTGCTAAAACAGAACTATTTAATTTTTTTTTTTTTTTTTTTTTTTTTTTGAGACGGAGTCTTCTTCTGTCGCCCAGGCTGGAGTGCAGTGCCGCGATCTCGGCTCACTGCAAGCTCCGCCTCCCGGGTTCACGCCATTCTCCTGCCTCAGCCTCCCGAGTAGCTGGGACTACAAGAGCCCGACACCAAGCCCGGCTAATTTTTTGTATTTTTAGTAGAGACGGGGCTTCACCATATTAGCCAGGATGGTCTCCATCTCCTGAACTCCTGATCCGCCCCGCTCAGCCTCCCAAAGTGTTGGGATTACAGGCGTGAACCACCGCGCCCGGCCACTATTTAAATTTTACAGAACTCTAGGAGGCCAAAGAACACAGAGAGGACTGCACATTTTCTTTCAGAGTCTCATCAAATGCCATTTATTCATTTATTGGTCAGACATTTATTGAGGGTCAAGCACTGTGCTACCCGGAGGAGATAACGGGGATTGACCTTATAGCTTAGAGCAGTGAAAAATCTGGGGAAGTTATAAAACACCATTGCAGAAAAATGCACAAAGGCACAACATTTGCAATTTTGTTTTGAGGGAAGGGGCTGTGAGCTACAGGTTTAGAACTTCTGGGAGAGGTTCCGTGTATTAAAACAAGGCAAAACCTATGTAGACATTTAATAAAAATTCTGGGGTAGTACAAGGGCAGGATTTAGTAACTGCTTGGAGAAGTCAGGAAAATGAATTTTGGAGTGCTGTGCAGTGAACAGACTAAAATCTACCTACAAAGTCCCATCTCACCTAAAAACCTAATAGATTTACATTTTAATCATTCTGTCTAAAAATGACCATCAAGACTTCTCATCTGACAGTTTCTGATCCTGATTTCCGTGAGAGGATGTAATATTTCTATGATTTTATATTTATCTCTGCTATCCAGAAAACATTGTGTGTTGCTCTCAGCATTCCATATTTTATTGTAGTTCTCATTGTAACTGTGTTTCTGTGTCTTTCTGTGTGTATATGCGGGGGAAGAGAGAGAGAGAGAGAAACTTAGTGAATACTTAAGCACACAAATTTACTAATAACTAGGAGCCTGGTTAATAGAAGCACTTAGATCTTCTGGACCTCTTGGATCAGTTTCTTAAAATCTCTGAGCTTTAGTTTCTTCATCTAGACAAGAATACCTATTTCTTAGAGTTATTATAAATATTAAGATAATGTTTTTTAAAAGTGCCAATGTTTTTTATCAGGCACATTTTAAAGGCTTAATGAATATTAATTCCTTCTCTGGTGTCCTCCCCTCATCTTCTTCTTTTTTTTTTTTAATATGCTATTTGTAAAAGGGAACAATGTTGGTAACCTTGGTCCACAGGGAAGAAAAGGGAAAGTAATGGCCTATTCGTATAAAACTCATTGGGGAATGGTTCCCTGAAAATTAACTTGTATTTCTGTTTGGATATGTGCCTTTTATGTTAGCATTACTTGAGATGAGGCTACCAAAAATTTCTGTAATTAAAATAAATAAACTGGCATAATAGTTTGCTACTTAATGATGTCTAAAAAGATGATTTTACTTTGTGCCTATATCTTGAAGGCCAGCTTTTTTTTCCATCTCCTGAAATATGTAAAGAGTTCTGCAGCAGAGTCCTGTCCTTCAATATGATACTGTTTATTTCTTCAGATAGTTACGTGATGATGAAAATGAGGCACTGTCCTAGGTGCTGAAGGGACTGTCAGGCATTAGAAGAGCTATAGATTCAAGATAAGACTAGGTAATGGTGAGTGATGATTTTTAAATGCACATGTATGTACAGGCAATAATTGTTCTAAAGAATATCCTGTACCTCTGACAATGAAATTTAAATGATATACACTCCTTAAAATCCCACCTTTAAAATTAAGGAAGATAATTAAAATAAACCATGTATTAATTGCCTGTACACTATAGAGGCCCATATTAATGCAAAATGCTATCATTATCTTAATTTCCAGGATGATCGTCAGGGATATAATGAGGCTATCTATAAGGTGTGAGTGTTTTTGTTCTCTGCTTATTTGTAACATTAATAATAAAGAAGTTTAATATGTTCTGTAAACAGTGGCTTCCAAAAATACAGAGCTTTCAGCTTTTTCCAGATGGCTGGTTTTTGTTGAAAGGCTTTCTGAGGAGTGTTAATTTGTTATTCAACCCTTATTCACTCAGTGTGTTCTCATCTCACTATCTGTCAGAAATTCTCTTCTTTCAAGAATTCTGACTCTTGGTCATTTGGATGTAGCATTCACCTGTGTGGGATAGGAGAGAAGAAAGTGAGTCCCTGATGCTTATAGAGAAGAAGAATGCTGAGCATTCCCTGACATATTTCCTGGTCAATGCCTAATATAGATGAATGACTTTACCTTTTGGGAAATGGGAATACAATAGGAGACTTGCCCCAGGGTTATGTATCTAGGGTGGGCCTTGATCACAGAGGCCAGGATGTCCAAAAAGGGCAAATGGAAGATTGAAATGTGTGTTCAATTTTTCTGCAGGCTGTAATGGAAAAGGGGGAATGACAGTCCCCCTTGGGAATAAGTGTCTTCCTCATTCTGTGCAGACATTTAGGGAGTATTGCAAGCTGTGAGCTTCTCTGAGCACATCTTGTCTCTTGCTTTCTCCTTGCTGAGCCCCTTTCCTCTGTTGCTCCGTCCTTCCAGCTGCTTCTGTGAACTCTCCTCTGCCGTGTCTCATCCCCCATGGCTGCTCAAATGTGATTCCTCTAAGCCTCTCTTCCTGTCCAGCTGCATCTGTTCACCTCCCCTGCTGATCGATCTACTTCTTTAGCTCAGGGACAGCAAGAGGAAATGATTCCAGCAGCTAAACAGCTTTTATGCAGAGAGAATATTTAAATATTCTCAGTTTGCCTGATTCCCCTTCACCTCATGCTATGATCAGAGGTTAATGGAGACAGTTTGGAGCTTCTCTCTGTTGGTAGAAACCAGAAGACTTTTAGAAACGAAGGCCAAGGTCTTGCAACATCCCACCCACCCACCCCCCAAAAAACCCTATAAATTTATTAGGAGGGTAGAAATATTTTTTTTCATCAAACTCATTATTTTTAAAATAGTGGTCCGATGTTCCAGTTCTCCCTCTCACCCCCACCCACCCTCCCCACCACAAAAAAAATAAAAACTCTGGACAAGACTGCAGCCGAATTAGAAGCTGTAATTAATTTTCATCATTTTTAGTAGATGAAATCTTAAAATGACTGTTGTATTCTAAGTGTTTGTATCACTGAAAATTATCTTTTGATATATAAAGTGTATTTTTACAGTGCTATTTAGTGAATATCTGATTTTTTTAAGATAGTTTATTTGGGCAAATTTAAACTGTGAGTCTTGGTACAAAATAATCTGCCAAGGCAGAGCAGTTGTGAAGATTAAATGTAGCAAAAGCCTAGCATAGTGCTTGACCCATCATGCCCAGTACACACACACACACACACACATAAACACACACACATACACACACACACACACACAGACAGACATACACACATACACACACATACAGACACACACATACACACAAACACACACACAGACACATACAGACACACAGACACACACATACAGACACACAGACACACACACATACAGACACACAGACACACACACACACACATATATATATGAGTATATATCCTCCATGCATTGGTCCAATATATGTATTTCTTTTAATTAATTATATATTGTCTCTGCATGTTGCTATGCCAGTTTACTTATCTATTTCCTTATTCTTGGACATTTATCTTATTTCAATTTTTCTTTCTTTACCTCCCTTCTCTTCCCTTCCTTGCTGTCTTCCTTCCTTCCTCTCAATTTTTTAATTTGAAAATTTGTTTCTTACTTTTCTTCCTTTCTTGTGTCCTTCTGTCTTTTCTTCCTTTATTTTTATTTTCCTTTTCTCATTACCTTCAGGTGTATTGAGAACACCTTGTATACATTTTTCTTTTTCTTTGGCTGTAGTCTTCTGTTGTGGTATAATTTTACCAAATAAAATTCCTAGGTCAGGGGTCTGAATAATGCCTGTCTGTATTATTTTCTCCAATGTTGGCCCATATTTTCATAGTAAATGTACATGCTATATATGCCAGGTTCCCCATGGTCCTACCAACATTGAGTTTTCTTATTTTTGTGTATTCAGTAAATTTTAATGGTATTTTTAAAGGTCTTTTGATCAGTTAGTAGGGCTATAATTTTTCTATTTGTTAATTTTATATTTAGAGTTTTTGTATGTAAACTGTCTATCTTCTTTTTTTATTATTGTACTTTAAGTTCTGGGATACATGTGCAGAACATGCAGGTTTGTTACATAGGTATACATGTGCCATGGTGGTTTGCTGCATCCATCAACCCATAATCTACATTTAGTATTTCTCCTAATGCTGTCCCTTCCCTTGCCTCCCACTCCTGACAGGCCACAGTGTATAATATTCCCCTCCCTGTCAGCATATGTTCTCCTTGTTCAACTCCCACTGATTGAGAACATGATGTGGTATTTGGTTTTCTGTTCCTATGTTAGTTTACAGAGAATGATGGTTTCCAGCTTCATCCATGTCCCTGCAAAGGATATGAACTCATTCTTTTTTAGGGCTGCATAGTATTCCATGGTGTATGTGTGCCACATTTTCTTTATCCAGTCTAACATTGATAGGCATTGGGGTTGGTTCCAAGTCTTTGCTATTGTGAATAGTGCTGCAGTAAACATACGTGTGCATGTGTCTTTATAGTAGAATGATTTATAATCCTTTGGATGTATACCCAGTAATGGGATTGCCAGGTCAAATGGTATTTCTAGTTCTAGATCCTTGAGGAATAGCCACACTGTCTTCCACAACAGTTGAACTAATTTACGCTCCCACCAACGGTGTAAAAGCCTTCCTATTTCTCCACATCCTCTTCAGCATCTGTTGTTTCCTGACTTTTTAACAATTGCCATTCTAACTGGCGTGAGATGGTATCTCATTGTGGTTTTGATTTGCATTTCTCTAATGACCAGTGATGAGCTTTTTTTCATATGTTTGTTGGCCGCATAAATGTTTTCTCTTGAGAAGTGTCTGTTCATATCCTTCACCCACTTTTTTGATGGGGTTGTTTCTTTTTTTCTTGTAAATTTGTTTAAGTTCTTTGTAGATTCTGGATATTAGCCCTTTGTCAGATGGATAGATTGCAAAAGTTTTCCCCCATTCTGTAGGTTGCCTGTTCACTCTGATGATAGTTTCTTTTGCTGTGCAGAAGCTTTTTAGTTTAATTAGATTCCATTTGTCAATTTTGGCTTTTGTTGCCATTGCTTTTGGTGTTTTAGTTATGAAGTCTTTACCCACGCCTATGTCCTGAATGGTATTGCCTAGGTTTTCTTCTAGGGTTTTTATGTTTTTAGGTCTTACATTTAAATCTTTGATCCATCTTGGGTTAATTTTTGTATAAGGTGTAAGGAAGGGGTCCAGTTTCAGTTTACTGCACATGGCTAGCCAGTTTTCCCAACACCATTTATTAAATAGGAAATCCTTTCCCCATTGCTTGTTTTTGTCAGGTTTGTCAAAGATCAGATGGTTGTAAATGTGTGGCGTTATTTCTGAGGCCTCTGTTCTTTTCCATTGGTCTATATATCTGCTTTTGTACCAGTACCATGCTGTTTTGGTTACTGTAGCCTTGTAGTTTGAAGTCAGGTAGCGTAATGCCTCCAGCTTTGCTCTTTTTGCTTAGGATTGTCTTGGCTATATGGGCTCTTTTTTGTTCCATATGAAATTTAAAGTAGTTTTTTTTCTAATTCTGTGAAGAAAGTCAATGGTAGTTTGATGGGAATAGCATTGGATCTATAAATTACTTTGGGCAGTATGGCCATTTTCATGATAATTATTCTTCCTGTCCGTGAGCATGGAATGTTTTTTCATCTGTGTCCTCTCTTATTTCCTTGAGCAGTGGTTTGTAGTTCTCCCTGAAGAGGTCCTTCACTTCCCTTGTAAGTTGTATTCCTAGGTATTTTATTCTCTTAGTAGCAATTGTGAATGGGAGTTCACTCATGATTTGGCTCTCTGTTTGTCTATTATTGGTGTATAAGAGTGTTTCTGATTTTTGCACATTGATTTTGTATCCTGAGACTTGCTGAAGTTGCTTATCAGCTTAAGGTGATTTTGGGCTGAGATGATTGGTTTTCTAAATATACAATCATGTCATCTGCAAACAGAGACCATTTGACTTCCTCTCTTCCTATTTGAATACCCTTTGTTTCTTTCTCTTGCCTGATTCCCCTGGCCAGAACTTCCAATACTATGTTGAATAGGAGTGGAGAGAGAGAGCATCCTTGTCTTGTGTTGGTTTTCAAAGGGAATGCTTCCAGCTTTTGCCCATTCAGTATGATATTGGCTGTGGGTTTGTCATAAAAAGCTCTTATTATTTTGAGATACATTCCATCAATACCTAGTTTATTGAGAGTTTTTAGCATGAAGGGGCACTGAATTTTATTGAAGGCCTTTTCTGTATCTATTGAGATAATCATGTGTTTTTTGTCATTGGTTCTGTTTATGTGATGGATTACGTTTATTGATTTGCATATGTTGAACCAGCCTTGCATTCCCTGGATGAAGCCAACATGATAGTGGTGGATAAGCTTTTTGATGTGCTCCTGGGTTCGGTTTGCCAGTATTTTATTAAGGATTTTCGCATCTATGTTCATCAGGGATATTGGCCTGAAATTTTCTTTTTTTCTTGTGTCTCTGCCAGGTTTTGGTATCAGGATGATGGTGGCCTCATAAAATGAGTGAGGGAAAGTCTCTCCTTTTCTATTGTTTGGAATGGTTTCAGAAGGAATGGTACCAGCTACTCCTTGTACCTCTGGTAGAATTCAACTGTGAATTCGTCTGGTCCTGCTCTTTTTTTTTTTTTGTGGTAGGCTATTAATTACTGCCTCAATTTAAGAACTTGTTATTGTTCTATTCAGGGATTTGACTTCTTCCTGGTTTAGTCTTGGTAGGGTGTTTGCATGCAGGAATTTATCCATTTCTTCTAGATTTTCTAGTTTATTTGTGTAGAGGTGTTTATAGTATTCTCTGATGGTAGTTTGCATTTCTGCAGGATCAGTAGTGATATCCCCTTTATCATTTTTTATTGTGTCTATTTGATTCCTCTCTCTTTTCTTCTTTATTAGTCTGGCTAGTGGTCTATTTTGTAAATCTTTTCAGAAAAACAGCTCCTGGATTTATTGATTTTTTGGAGGGTTTCTCATGTCTCTATCTCCTTTATTTCTGCTGTGATCTTAGTTATTTCTTGTCTTCTGCTAGCTTTTGAATTTGTTTGCTCTTGCTTATCTAGTTATTTTAATTGTGATGTTAGGGTGTCAATTTTAGATCTTTTCCACTTTCTTCTGTGGGCATTGAGTGCTATAAATTTCCCTCTTAACACTGCTTTAGCTGTGTCCTGGAGATTCTGGTACATTGTGTCTCTGTTCTCATTGCTTTCAAAGAACTTCTTTATTTCTGCCTTAACTTCGTTATTTACCCAGTAGTCATTCAGGAGCAGGTTGTCCAGTTTCTATGTAGTTGTGCAGTTTTGAGTGAGTTTCTTAATCCTGATTTCTAATTTGATTGCACTGTGGTGTGAGAGACTGTTTGTTATGATTTCTGTTCTTTTCATTTGTGGAGGAGTGTTTTAATTTCAATTATGTGGTCAATTTTAGAATAAATGTGATGTGGTGCTGAGAAAAATGTATATTCTGTTGATTTGGGGTGAAAAGTTCTGTAGATGTCTATTAGGTCCGCTTATTTCGGAGCTGAGTTCAAGTACTGAATATCCTTGTTAATTTTCTGTCTCAGTGATCTGTCTAACATTGACAGTGGTGTGTTAAATTCTCCCACTAGTATTGTATGGGAGTCTAAGTCTCTTTGTAGGTCTATAAGAACTTGCTTTATGAATCTGGGTGCTCCTATATTGGGTGCATATATATTTAGGATAGTTAGCTCTTCTTGTTGTGTTGATCCCTTTACCATTATGTAATGCCCTTCTTTGTCCTTTTTCTTCTTTGTTGCTTTAAAGTCTGTTTTTATCAGAGACTAGGATTGCAACCCCTGCTTTTTTTTGCTTTCCATTTGCTTGGTAAAGTTTCTTCCATCCCTTTATTTTGAGGCTATGTGTGTCTTTGCACGTGAGATACAGCACACCAATGGGTCTTGAGTCTTTATCCAACTTGCCAGTCTGTGTCTTTTAATTGGGGCATTTAGCTCATTTAGATTTAAGGTTAATATTGTTATATGTGAATTTGATCTTGTCATTATGATGCTAGCTGGTTATTTTGCCTGTTAATTGACACAGTTTCTTCATCGTGTCGATGGTCTTTACAATTTGGTATCTTTTTGCAGTGGCTAGTATTGGTTTTTCCTTTCCATATTTAGTTCTACCTTCAGGAACTCTTGTAAGGCAGGCCTCGTGGTGACAAAATCTCTCAGCATTTCCTTGTCTGTAAAGGATTTTATTTCTCCTTTGCTTATGAAGCTTAGTTTGGCTGGATATGAAATTCTGGGTTGAAAATTCATTTCTTTAAGAATGTTGAATATTGGCCCCCACTCTCTTCTGGCTTGTAGGATTTCTGCAGAGAGATCTGCTGTTAGTCTGATGAGCTTCCCTTTGTGGGTAACCCAGCCTTTCTCTCTGGCCGCCCTTAGCATTTTTTCCTTCATTTCAACCTTGGTGAATCTGACAATTATGTGTCTCGGGGTTGCTTTTCTCGAGGAGTATCTTGGTGGTGTTCTCTGTATTTCCTGAATTTGAATGTTGGCCTGCCTTGCTAGATTGGGGAAGTTCTCCTGGATAATATCCTGAAGAGTGTTTTCCAATTTGGTTTCATTCTCCCCTTCACTTTCAGGTATATCAATCAAACATAGTGTTGGTCTTTTCACATAGTCCCATATTTCTTGGGGGCTTTGTTCATCCTTTTCATTCTTTTTTCTCTAATCTTGTCTTCACACTTTATCTCATTAAGTTGATCTTCAGTCTCTGATATCCTTCCTTCTGCTTGATCGATTCAGCTATAGATAACTTGTGTATGCCTCATGAAGTTCTTGTGCTGGTTTTTCAGCTCCAACAGGTCATTTATATTCTTCTCTAAACTGTTTATTCTAGTTAGCAATTCATCTAACATTTTTCCAAGGTTCTTAGCTTATTTGCATTAGCGTAGAACATGCTCCTTTAGCTTGGAGGAGTTTGTTATTATCCACCTTCTGAAGCCTACTTCTGTGAATTCATCAAACTCATTGTCCATCCAGTTTTGTTCCCTTGCTGGCGAGGAATTGTGATCCTTTGAAGGAGTAGAGGGGTTCTGGTTTTTGGAATTTGCAGCCTTTTTGCACTGCTTTTTCCTCATCTTCGTGGATTTATCTACCTTTGGTCTTTGATGTTGGTGACCTTCGGATGGGGTTTCTTTGTGGACGTCCTTTTTGTTGATGTTGATGGTATTCCTTTCTGTTTGTTAGTTTTCCTTCTAACAGTCAGGCCCCTCTTCTGCAGGTCTGCTGGAGTTTGCTGGAGGTCCACTCCAGACCCATTTGCCTAGGTATCGCTAGCGGAGGCTGCAGAACAGCAAAGATTGCTGCCTGTTCCTTCCTCTGGAAGCTTCTCCCCAGAAGGGCACCTGCCAGAGGCCAGCTGGAGCTCTCCTGTATGAGGTGTCTGTCGACCTCTGCTGGAAGGTGTCTCCCAGTCAGGAGGCATGGGTGTGAGGAACCCGCTTGAGGAGGCAGTCTGTCCCTTAGCAGAGTTTGAGCGCTGTGCTGGGAGATCCACTGCTCTTTTCAGAGCCTGCAGACAGGAATGTTTAAGTCTGCTGAAGCTGCACCCACAGCCACCCCTTCCCCTGGTGCTCTGTCCCAGGGAGATGGGAGTTTTATATATAAGCCCCTGACTGGTGCTGCTGCCTTTCTTTCAGAGATACCATGCCCAGAGAGAAGGAATCTAGAGAGGCAGTCTGGCTACAGTGGTTTTGCTGAGCTGCAGTGTGCTCCATCCAGTTCAAACTTCCTGGGGGCTTTGTTTACACTGTGAGGGGAAAACCTCCTACTCAAGCCTCAGTAATGGTAGGACGCCCCTCCCCCAACCAAGCTCAAGAAACTCAGGTGGACTTCAGACTGCTGTGCTGACAACTAGAAATTCAAGCTAGTGGATCTTAGCTTGCTGGGCTCCGTGGGGGTGGGATCTGCTGAGCCAGACCACTTGGTTCCCTGGCTTCAGCCCCCTTTCCAGGGGAGTGAATGGTTCTTTCACTGGCATTCCTGATGCCACTGGGGTATGAAAAAACACTCCTGCAGCTAGCTCAGTGTCTGCCCAAATGGCTGCCCAGCTTTGTGCTTGAAATCTAGGGCCCTGCTGGTGTAGGCACCTGAGGGAGTCTCCTGGTCTGCAGGTTGCAGACTGTGGGAAAAGCGTAGTATCTGGGCCCTGATCTGCCTATCATCTTCTATCCAGCAAAATCTGGATGATGATATAATATATTCCTTTCAACATATTACATATTTTGAATAGTAATGAACCATTAAATATTAATTTAGTGACTATTTTGTGCTAGGTATTATTCTAGAAATAATAGGAAAGTAAGGATACAATGACTGATAGCATAGTCCCTGGCTTCAAGGAGGTTTGAGAAATTTGTCTGGTAAAAGGTGACAGGTATATAAACAAAGTGCATTACAGTGTAATAGGTATTGTGATGAAAATATGTATAGAGTTCAGTGCAGCCACATGGGAAGTGGAATAATTAATCAAGCTAGAGTGTAATAAAAGCTTTTATTATTGAGGATCATAGAGGAAACGTTTACCCTTTAAATTTGTCACTTATTTTCTTTCTGATTCTCTTGGACCTGTGTGTCTTTTGATTGTTCACCAAAGCAACTTCATTCCTTTCATTTTATTATAACACCATGGGCATCTATGACTCAATGGTATATAACAAAATATGTGTGTGCAATACTGCCTCAAAGTACATATTACTATGATGTGCTTTATAGGACTCAAGGTGAAAATAGAATATCATTAATGCTGAAGAAGACATAATGATCTGTGCTTTATTTGTTATTTTGTGTTTCCAATTAGTGATTATGCACAGTCTCAAGTTTGAGGTTGATCCTCTCATGCCCAGCCACTACAACTCTTATACACCTCTGTCAGAGTGCATGGAATGATCTCATGGGAGAGCATCTTGGGGAGCATTATGAACTCTGAAATGTCCTCTTCCCTTGCTCCTGAAGATTCATCAAACTATATGAACCCTGATCTTGCTGATATCAAGGTCTTAGGCTCTTTCTAAATGATAGTAATACAGAAAGTTCCTGGGTTATGGGAAACACAGTTTATCTAGTTTTATCTTCTGCTAGGTTTAACAGTTAATTTTGAGGGTGGGCCTATCATAGGTATTCAAGAACTACTTCAATGCTTGGTTGGTTGGATTTAGCACTTTTTGACAACAGCCAGTATGAAAATGTTCAATTTTTTTTCCCTCCTTTAAAAACCTAGCTTCTCTTCCCATCTTTCTACTTCTCTTTCTTCCATGCTTTCTTTGCTTAAATGTGATTATCTTAGTCTATGAGCTTGAGGGCAGGGATGCTCTTCTATTCATCTTTAACCAATGTGTTTAGCACCAGTATTGGCACATGGTAGGCCCTCAACATATGCTTACTGTATGAATGACGCATGTCCTTCTTGTCTTTGGGATTACCCTAGTTGCTACTCTTAATGCAGTAATAGTAAGACATCTTTATGCCCCCAGAGTCCCAACTCCTGACCCCACTTCATGTGAGAGAATTGCTTTGACTCCAGGTGTTTGTATATCCACTAGAGGGCACTGTTTTGTCAGAGGCTGTTCTAAACTTTTCTTCAATATCAGGATAGACACCTTAACTTCATGGGCCACTCTCAGCTTCAAGTTCTTAATATTTCTGTTAATGAATAATTCTTTGAGTTTTCCATCACAACTATTCTTGCCAATATATAATCACAATAAGAAGTCATAATTAAAAACAATCGTAATAATGTTAGATACAAGCTAATACTTATTAATGGATATGGCAAATACATATTTAATAACCAAACGTGGTAAATAAGAACACTCATATATGTTAAGGGAATTCTTTTATGTTTCTTGTTTCCAGATTTTCTTCTGACCAAAAGTAGAAGGGCAAGTAAAGTAGCCATTAAATCTCAAACTTCATTTTTTGTACTTTCACAATAAAAGCATTTGTAAGGAGACTAGGGAAATTCCAAGCTAAACACATTATATCCAAATTTGAAAGGTAGCTTCAGTAGAAATTTGTTTTAAATGAGAAAGGCAGTATTGAGTGTGATATTTTCTAAAGCTATAAAAACTACATTTTATGAAAAGTTTCTTCTCCCTCCATTACTTCTATTTCCACAGAACTATCTTTAGGCAGAATCAAATGAGTTCCTGGGCTTTAACGTCAAACAGTTTGAGTTTGCAAATATTTTCACCTTACACGTGAATCAACACAGGGGATATGTGAGAAGACAAAGCTGTTCACACTGTCAGCAAGCTTCCAAACACATCATTAACCCAGTGGTGACTTGGGAGGTCCTACTGTAGCTGTCTAAGGAAGCTGCAAAAGAGGGAGGAGCCAACAGGGAGGGCCTATTTTCCCAAGTTTAAAATCTTAACTCCGAATTATGTCATAGAATTGAAAGAGATGGTGGGACCCAGTAAACCCTGTCAACAATTAAAGAACAGAACGTAAATAAGAACTCTTGGCGTTTTCGCACAAGAATCTTTGTGATAATCTGTTAGCAAACTCTCTTTTACGTTATGTTTAAGGACTTTTTAAAATGTGGCATTTTTTTGTGCCAGGCTGCAAAGTCATTTGTGAAGTGTTTAATTAGGCTTACTTTGATTAAAAATGTAGGCTTAAATATCTGTTGATTTTGTGACAAGCTGTGGATGTTAATTGTCTTGATTGGTTTTATTTTGTATTCTTAGGACAACAGGATCTTATGTGTATAACTGTAGTTGGAGAAAGGAGCAAAAGTGTAATTTTTGAAAGGAAACATATATTTCTGAAGTTAGCCAGATGTTACAAGACCACGTACGTAGGAGGCATTGAGCCTGAGACAGAAAAACTTGAAAGATCTGGTAAAGAAATTGAGCACCCCCCTTAAATTTATATCCAGCAGAAATGGATGCTAGTTTTTTTCATGAATTTTATGTGGAATCTAGAGCCTATCTAGATTCCTACTCAATAATCCCAACATTTGTATATTTATAAATGACACCATTTCCCTTGAATATCATACTTCTTTTCCAGAGGACTTTAAAACTTTTAACAAAGAGAGAAGACATGTATTTTCACCTATTTGATGTAGCAGATTATTTACGGAGCCAACATGTTGACACACTATAAACTGTAAAAAATGAGGCCTAATAAGGTTAATTGTCATCTGAACCTTCCTCTGTAGGCTGCAATCTGTGGGCTTTGATTGTTTCTCTGGGGGAAACTCTGCCCAGATGGCGAAGTCCTCAAGGCCCTGACCCACAAGAGGCCTGCGGAGATGGAGAACAAGGTGCTTCTCCACAGACTAATTAATTTACTAGTATAGCACCTGTTCCAGAATAGATAGGGCTGGAAGGGAAAGCAGTCCCTGGGCACAGTGGCAAGCTCTCGAGTAAATGGATTTCAGCTGATTATATTAAGCTGCTGCTTTGATCATCTAAAGGCGTTAAAATGGAAATATGTTTTTTTCTGGCTGTTGGCTACTGTGAGTGTGGTTTGTATTATTATTATTATCATAAATGTTGGATAATAGAAAAGGCTGTTTTAGATTTCAATACATCCCACTTAAAAAGTGCATGGTATCTTTGTGTATTTCTATTTCCAGTTTAGAAATGCGTGTTGTCATAAAACTGCACCTTTTAAACAATTCTGCTTTCTTGTTTCCATTTTATTCCAGCCAAATTACTAGCTGGAAATCAAACACCAGCACAGATTCCTTTTAGCTGGAACATTTTATTATGTACTCACACCTTTAATTCAATGTGTGTAATTAGGCTTTAATCAGCTGAACACTATTTGTGAAAAAATAACAGACACTTCTTTAAATGAAATTCTGGTAAAGTCATGCCATTAAGCTTTGGTGACTAGTTACTGGCACGAATAAATCCTTGTGTAAACAAGGCTTGGTAGTAAATGGATTTACAATGTGAGTCTTTCTGCACTCAATTTCACTTTATTGCCTCTTTGATTCCCAAAAGGATTAGAGATAATTTTTTCAGTCCTTTAGATGCCATAAAACTGTTTCCCTTTCCAAATTAACACTATGATCTTCCATGTAATGTGTTTGGCAAACATGAGGAATTTATAAGACCACTAGTCTTACGTTGTATAGTAATGGAGATAAGAATATGGTGCCTTAGATGTCATGGCCTTACAATGGGAAGCTTTTACCAAGGTTGTGAATGAGGTTTTGAAAATAGAAAAGTATTCTTGATTGTATGGAACACAGCCTAAAGAATGTTAATGATTATAGCTCTTTGGTAAGTTAAATGATTTGAACTATTTCTATTACCATTGCGAGTTAATTTCTCATATTGAAACAGGGAAGTGCTGTTAACATTATGACAGGCAAAATTTAGTCCTTCTTTTTTAAGAAGATATGACACAGGATAGGAAACCAGCAAGCACAACAAATTTAGCATATAATCCTGAGGTTTATTTCCAGATTGTCCTCTCTCGTTGTATCCTTATAATCCTTGGAACTATCCGTTCTGTGAAAGAAATTGAAAATTTCATGGCTGCTTTTCCTTGGTTCTCTTCTCTGAAACTCCAAAAGCATCCTTAAGGTGTTTTTGTTTTAGTGGATTTATTTGTTCAATACACATTCTTTTTTAAAAATCAAAATGCACAGAAACGTGTATAGTAAAAGTAGTTCATTTACTATCTTAACTCCTGAATCTGGTCCCTTAATGCAGCACCTTAGATTGACCAGTTCCTCACGTTGCCCTCCAGAGGTATTTTAATGGTGCTTGGTACAAACTAAAAGACATTTGAGATATTTCCAGTGATTTGCTTCTATAAGTAATACTGCTGTTAATATCTCTGGGCCAATAGTGCAAATGCAACTGCAGTATATATTCCTAAAAGTAAAATGGCTGGCTCATGGGGCACATGCATTTTAAATCTGGATAAATATTGCCAAGTTGTTCTCCAAATATGATACAGGAATGTGACTGTTTCCCAACAACCAGGTTTGTTTTCTCCCTAACCTGACAGTTAAATATTGTATCTTATTATTTTAATTTGCATTTCTTTAATTATGACTGAGGTTGAGTATCTTTTCAAATGATTAAAACCCACTTGATTCTCTTTTGATGTGAGCAGCTTGTTCATGTCCTTTGCCAGTCTCTCTGTTGGGCCATCAATGTTATTCTTATGGGGTTGAAGAGCTCTTTATGGAAAAAGGAAATCAGCCCTCTGTCTGCCAACATGCAGTATTTGTCATTTCGGTGGCGTTTCCCTTCATATCTGTCTCTCATTTACCATGCCTTCTATTGCTCTTCTTTTATCATTGGCAGTCTGGATTTAGGGTTGCTTAATAACTCCTGGAAACCAGAAATGATAATGTCATGGGAAAGGGGTTAATTTAAGTGTTTTCGTAACTTTGACTTTTGATGAAGTAGGAGGATAAGGACTGAAAGGACAAAATTAAAAAGAGTGTGAGGGGACTTTAGTGATTTGAAAGAGGGGCTTTTACACTGACAAGACCTTGAAAAAAATAGCGTTTATACAAAAAAAGCAATTTACTTTACCCATAATTTTCTGCTTTTCTTTTGCCATTATTACAGGTATTTGTGTCAGAGTAAGAAATCTCTTTCTAGATGTTTTTGCCATAAAGTCATATTTCTGTGTTTTGGACATCGCATTTTGTGGTCATAAAATGGAAGTGATTGTAAGGCCACGTATTCAGCACAATGACCTTGATCCTGAATGAAGTGGAGAGAGGAGAGAGAGAACAGCGTGACTAACAGCTCTTGTTGAAGCACAAGTAACTTTTTATGTTCCACTCCACAATGATGAAAAAGTAAACACAGAGACAGGTTTTAGATGTTGATGGCTTTATATCAAAGTGAAATATATTTGTCATGTTCCAAAGTTACCTTCATTATCA
The DNA here is from genome assembly GCF_000001405.40 of Homo sapiens. Lineage (NCBI taxonomy): Eukaryota > Metazoa > Chordata > Mammalia > Primates > Hominidae > Homo > Homo sapiens. The sequence continues at coordinate 181,331,157 of NC_000003.12, forward strand.
TTATTTTTAGAGGAATGGTTAAAAGCATAGGCTCTGGAATCAAACAGCTTGGGTTCAAATCTTGGATCTTTCACTTCTTAGCTGCATGACCTTCATTAAGTTCTCATCTGTAAAAATAGGGAAAATACGAGAAACTACTTCATGGGATTGTTACAAAGATAAAGTGCAATAATGCATGTGTCTGGCATAGAGTAAGCTCTTTCAGTGTCAGTTAGTATTAGCATAATTAAGTGCAGAATGTTTGTAAAATGTTATCTAAATTGTACTATACTCGACCTGGTTTAAAGTAAGTGAATGGATATCTGTGAAACTTTCTGACATGTGCTAAAATACATTGCAGCCTTCATTAAATCTCATTTGAATAGTTTCTGACTAAAGTTACTTCATAGCATCTCCCCTCTCTTTGCAATTTTTACCAAGCCAGGTTGTTTACAGGTGAAAATCTGATACATAGTAGTATTATCTGATTGAAGTTAGCCATGGCAAGAAGCCTCTTTTATGCTTCACTAGTCTTAGAGTGAACATTGGCTACCCTCTTGCCCCTCAGTCCCTATTGCATTTATGTGTATGTTCATGCTGTTCCTTCTGTTTGAAATGCTATTCCTATCTTTGCCATTTACATCTATATATATACACACACACATATATATATTTCCCCCTCTATTTGTCAAGGAAATTGGTAGCTACATTTTATTCTAAGTCACTTCTGCTGATGAGCAAGAATAATGCTAAGCAATACTGCTGAATTGGGTATGACCATCCAGTATTATAAGGGAGACAAGTGTGTTTATGTATTAGTTTTAAGTGAATGACTTTCAATCACTCCAATCAACATTTCTGATATGGATATTTTCATGTGAAATGATTGCTTTTGTGTTGGTTAGTTTTGCAAATCAGAACCTATTTGCAGAACACTATTAGACCAATATATCTTATCATAATATTTGCCAGTACCACAGGTTTTACAAATTAGTTATAATGACTGTAGTTTTCTATTAACATGAAGTTACTGATTGACTAATTTATTTACTTTATGGGAATTCATATAGCACAGCGCCAATGTTCTATGACTAAGGGTGAGTGCATGGATTCTTGATATTAAAAACAACTATTCATTGTACCTTTTTCTCTGGCTCTGCATGCCCAGAAAGTGCCTGATGGAAAAGATTATAAAATAGTTACTCAGGAAATTAATTAGTAACACTTACATACAAGATCCTGAATCAAAATCTACTCAATTTACAAGGGTTCCTTCATGAGTGACTACAACATCAACAGAGGAAGATCACTGGAATTGTGGTGCCTAATGACTTTATTTTTTCCCAGATAAACAAATGAAAATAAAAACTAAATAACACTTCCATCTACCAAATAGGTAAAACTTCTAAAATAGTAGTCAATGCTGGAAAATGCATAGATAGATACCCTCATGAATGGTTGGTGAGGCTGTGTATCAGTATAACTTTTCTGGGAAGTAATTTGGCAAGACATATTAAGAGCCTTGAAATGGGCTTCTCAGCAAAATGGTTAATGGAGCACACACATCTAGCCTCCAGGCTTTGCAGGATTCTGTTAAATCACCAATGAAATATAAAAATTGGAAAATGTCAGTATCTGGACTATACTGCTACTACTACTACTGATGATAAAATTCTGAACCCAGAATCCCAGATAACTTCAAAAATTGGAAAATGGGTGAGGAAAGGCAAAGGAAAAAATAATGCATGCTGTTTCTTATCTAATTTAGGAGTCATTAAATGTTGTTCATTATGGAGAAAATCATGTGTGCATGTGTTTGGATCTGAGTGTGTGTGTTAAAGGTAATCACTAGTAAAATAAAAATAGGATAAATGTTTTCCAATTACTAGAAAAAAATATATAGGAAAAACAAAATGGTTTATGACATAAAAAAGAAAAACTAGATACAGAAAAATCAGAAAACAGATAACATTTCAGTTTTAACTCAGGGATGTGAACTACACGCATAAGACCAATAAAATTTTATAACTTAATTTTTAATTTCAAATAGTGGCTATAAAAGGGGGTTTAAGTACAGTCTGGCAGCCAGGACCATGAGAAGAATCATCCTAGATGTCCACAGGCAGATGTGGCTCTCACACTGGGGCCAAGAATTTTGGCTGTAAGAAATCCAAGTTACCCAGAATGAGTGAGTGGCTTTATACCTTTCAGTCTAGAAGGATATACAATTAAGGAGTTTCAGTTAATTGCCACGGAAACTGTTCTGCATATTTCAAAATTTGAAATATATAAATATTTGTGTGTTAAGAAGATATCTGTGTATATTTAGTATCTTATGTACTTGGATATTGAAGTTAATTTAGTTTAGTAGAGTCTGTTCAACATCAAATAATATTGGTCCATTACAGCCTTGTAACTTCAATTTAAATGTGGTAAATTGTTAACTTGATATGTTAAATTGAGTAAGTGATTTAGACTTAAAATTTTAAATTGAAATCTAACTGAAGTTTAAGTACAATGTTGGCAACCAAAATAATTTAATTATATTTACTAATGTAAACATTGGATTTTTTATTTATGTACTTAGGAAGTTTCAGTTTGTTAATTCAGACAACTGAAGTACTTAAAAAAAAGAAGCCAAGTACATTAAATGTATAAATGCAGTTTTAAATGTTTGAAGTTGTTAAATATCTATAAATGGGCTCAGCATTACCAAAAAACTCCTTAGAAACAACTGCTAAAATCTGCCAAACTTCTAAATATAATTATAAATTTCTTAAGCTCAACTTTAAAACATAAGGAAAAACTAGATTTTTAAAATTTATGCCTTATTACATTAATATAAATTTTAAAACAAATATAAACCCAATAACAAACATTTCTGTATTTAAAAGCCACCATCAAGGACAACAAAAAATTCACATTACCAGATATAATAATAGGTAAAAAATTTCAAAAGATGACAATATTAATTGTAGAAAAGGTAAAATTCAAGACAAGAAACATCAAATGGGACAAAAGAGGCCAGTTAATAAAAAACTCTATGGTAAGGATAAAATAATTATGGACCATTACAATGTAAATAATAGCACTAAAATTTTTTTATTAAACAAAAACTTACTAAAATACAAAAAAAAAAAACAAACCCAGCAAACTAACAGAAACATGAGCGAAGAAGACTTTACACAGTAACGGCAGAAGGTGTATTGAAGCCTAAAGCAAGTTCATATTTTTCTACTCTGAGTTTTCACTTTGGAAATCTACTGTAATTATATAATTGGAAATGTAGGCAAAGCTTTATATGCAAGAATATTCATTAAGTTTTAGTCATAGTAGTGAAAAATTAATTACTCAAATGTCTAACAATTGGGAAATTATCAAATCAGGGTTCTTAATTGAAAGGATCTTTGAATATCTGAAGTTACATGCCAAATTTGGTTGCCTATTGTAACTTTCAGCAGCTTCACAAAGTAACTCATGTCCCCATAATAGTAAGAATAACTAAATAAAAATTTGAGCATCTACAGACTGTGACTAACACAGTCAATAAAAATGTTTCCAAATAATTTTAACAAGATTAAATGATAATTTTTTAAACTTTCCAAATGGTTTTAGTAAATGTGATAGTAAGCATTACAAAAATGTTTCATACATTACATGGAGTGGAAATCAGCTAAAAAACTCTCCACATATCTGACAATTGAATGAAGACCCCACAAAGAGTGCACGTCTGCAGACTTATACACAGAGAAAGAAGTATCTATATGGAAGCTTCTTACAGGCAGGAATTTTGGGTTGTTTTCTTCACTGCTGCAGACTCAGCGTCTAGGGTCGTGTCTGGCATGTAGTAAATGCTCAGTAAATATTTCTCGAATGACTAAATACAATTCCTCAAAGTGTTAATAATGATGACCTAAATGACAAGATTATGTATTCTTTGCTTTGTTTATATCACGCTTTCCAAATTTTCTATAATGTGCCTTTATTACATTTAGAATGACAAAAATAGTTTAAAAACTGGAACAGGACTCCCCTATTGTGAATCTCTATACTAATGAGAAATCTTCCCTTTCTTCCCTTAAGATTTGTTTTCTTGTGTGCTTTGTGTTGATATTTGCCACCTGAAATAAATCTTATCACCCTACCGCTTGGGAGTCTTGAATGTTTGCAAGCCAAATTTTGCTTCAAAGTCCAAAATATGGCCCTAATATAACTTCCCAACTGAATCTCCAACTCCTAAATGTTAGAAAATGCCCTTGCCACCTTCATTTGCTGCTCTCAATATTTACTTCTAGGGAGAATGTGATGGATAATGCAAAGGCACTGGCATCACCCATTCCAACCAGGTGGTCATGTTGCTCATCTTACCCTTGTGTTCATAATCCTGCTCATTTTCACACCCAACTACTCCCTCATGTTTTGTGTGACCATCCCACTCCAAAAGGAATTCTCTATCTGATATCCTTTAGCCCCCTTTCTGTCTGCAGATTCTTTAGACTCTTAACCCTGTATTGTTACTGTTTTCCTGAAATGTTTCATAAATGTATGCTATGTTTTCCCCAACATGCTAGCAAACCTTTTCGGACTGGGGAAAATGATGCTTACTTCTTTATATCTCTTATCAAGCCTGGTACAGGGCATTACACACAGCGGGCACTAAACACATGTTTACTGAAAATGGCTGGAAGCTGTTTAGTTCTAACACTGGTGAGAAAAGTTGAAAAAACAGAGATTTGGGGTCAGACAGGCTGGGGTTCAAATCTAACCTCTGCTGGTTACTATTTAACTTTGTGACCTTATGTAAATTAATCTCTGTGAGACTTTAATGTCAGTTTACTGCAGTGGTTATAAGTTCTTACTCTGTCTTCTCAGCTGTGTCATTTACTGTGTGAATTTGAGAAAATTATTCTCCCTCTCTGAACCTCAGTTTCCTCATTGGTGAAGTAGAGAAAACAATACCATCTAGCTCATAGGATTAGTGGGAGGATTAAATGAAATAAAGCATGGAAAAACCATTAGCACAGTGCGGAGCACGTGATAAAGCCTTGTTCAAAATATATTAGTTGTTACATGTTCTCACATATAAGTGGGAGCTAACCAATGGGCACACATGGACATAGAGATGGAAATAGTAGATACTGGGGACTCCAAAAGCGGGGAGGGTGGAGAGAGGGCAAGGGTTGAAAAATTACCTATCAGATACAATGTTCACTATTTGGGTACTTGGTACACTAGAAACCCAGTCCCCACCAGTACGTAATATACCCATGTAACAAACATGCATATATACTTCCTAAATCTAAATTTTTTTAAAGAGAGTATTAGTTAGTATTAGACATGTTAGTAATGAGTAGAGTATTATATATTAAATTATAAGTATTAGATTAGTATTGAATCACATTCTAGTTAAGTATTAGATATTAGTATTAGATTACATTCTTGTTAAATATTAGATATTAAATTAGATATTAGTATTAATTAGTATTAGATATATCAGTAGTAAGAGTATTTGTATTGGATGGCACAAGATGAAATTAGATTTCCGTAGCAGTGGGAAAAGAGGACCCAACAGTGGTTTCTAAAAGGACAACACTTTCCACGTGAGAGGCATTTGGCTAGGCCTTGGGAGGAGTTTGAAGTTATTTCAACAATGTGGGTTCTATAAATATTTGCTGCCTGGGACCAGTTCTGTGTTAAATCTGGCAGTCCTATACTAGCAAGAATTGTCCCATCTAAAATGCCAGTAGCACTCCATTGAAAAACCTTGAAAGATCTTAGGCTCTGTAAGGACAAATCAGAATGAAAAATAAGAGGCTTTCCAGACAATGGAATATTATTCAATGGTAAAAAGAAATGAGCTATTAAGCCGTGGAAAGGCATGGCGGAATCTTAAACGCGTATTAGTAAGTGAAAGAAACCAATCTGAAAATGCTACATACTGTATGATTTGAACGATATGACATTCTAGAAAAGGCAAAACTATGGAGATAGTAAAAGGATCAGTGGTTGCCAGGGGTTAGTGAGGATGGAGAGATGAATAGGCAAAGCATAGAGGATTTTTAAGGCAGTAAAACTATTCTGTATGATACTATAATGGTAGATATATGTCATTATATATGTTTGTCAAAACCAATAGGATGTATAACACAAAGAGTGAACCCTGATGTAAACTCTGGGCTTTGGATGATAATGATGTGTCCATGTAGCTTCATCTGTTGTAACAAATGTACCGTTCTGGTGTGGGATATTTATAGTAGGGGAGGTGGTGTGTATGTGGGGCCAGAGGGTATATGGGCAATCTCTGTACCTTCCACTCAATTTTGTTTGAATCTAAAACTGCTCTAAAAAGATGAATTTATTTTAAAAATATATAATGGTTGTTTTGGTATTTGGGAGGACAGCAATGGCAAGAAAAGACATTATTTCTGAATCTACTATGTCATAGACTTCCCACGAATGTTAAATGAGCTACTGCAAAAGGAAATGCTTAGCATGATAGTAGCTCAATAGGTTCTGGGGCAATCATTATTTTAGTTTCTTGTATAATGGATTAGTAGTACAATCATGCACCACCTAACGACTTTTTAGTGAACAGTAGACTGCATACACCACGGTAGTCTCATAAGATTATAATGGAGCTGAAATATTTCTATTGCCGAGTGACATCATTGCCATTGTAACATTGTCATAGTGCAACACACTACCTTTTCTATGTTTAGATATATTTATATACACCAATATTTGCCATTATGTTACACTTGCTTACAGTATTCAGTACAATAACATGCTGTACATGTTTGTAGCCTAGGGGCAATGGGCTACACCTTAGAGCCTAGGTGCGTAGTAGGCTGTACCGTCTAGGTTTGTGTAAGAACACTCTGTGATATTTGCACAATAAGGGAATCACTGCATTTCTCAGAGCCTCTCCCCACCATTGAGCAACACATGACTGTGCCTAGTTTGCAGAATTGTTGGTTGGGTTCAATGAGAAATGACTATACTACAAGTGATTAATAGATTATAATTTCCCCTCACCTTCCGTACCCCACAACTAATTCTTCTTGACACCTCCTGCTGTAGTCCTGAACTTCTGAAGAATTGTTGGGGTACTCTAGTCATGTCTGAATGTAGAAATGGTTTGTGGAAAAATGTTGGTCCCCACCGAGCATCTCTATGTGTTGTTTGACCCTCGGTGGCATTTACTTTGTATGCATCATGACTGAAGTCATAATTCAGATTATAGCAGAACCAAAACAAATGACAAGTCAATAGCTTGCAGATGTAGAAAATGAGGCCCAGAGAGGTTCTGTGAATTATCCAAGGTCACCACAGTATGTTATTTGTGCAGTCTTTTGTGGTGTGTGGGCCTATTTTGCCTCTTTTCCCCTGGGCTTGTCATAACTCTCACAACCCATGTGAGACCTGCAGTGTCCTGCAGACAGCTGAAAAATTTGCCTCCTCTTCTGCTGGATCTCTCAGAAAATACATTTAAGTAAAAGTTTTTTGCTTTTATTTTTTTTTCCAAAACTCATGTTGTTCATTAAAATCGCTATTTAATATAAAAAAACAAATTAAACGGGAGGGAAAAGAAAGCATTTCTTCAATGTTTTTTTTCCAGTTGCTTTTTGTGCAGGTGGGTTGCTACAGGAGTCCCCTCTTCCAAAGCCCATCTGGGATGTTAGTTTAGCTCTATTGATGTTTAAGGCTCTGTCTTTCATCGTAACCACATGCCAAGACAATAAGTAATTGAACCACATGTTTTGCCTTTTTTAAAAGGTGTAATCTCCTTCTGAAGTGTAGCGATGTTTAGCAGGATTTTTCTAATTTATCTGTCATCACACCATGTGGGCTAGGCTCCAAGCCTTGACTGCAGTGTCTCTTTATCACCGTCTTTTGATGAACACCTGTTTCCAGCATATAAATATATCTGCTGAGAAGCAAAATTAAAATAATTTCAACAGTATAGGAATAATTAGGAACCTTTTTTGCAAGGTCCACCTGTTCCAAATATGAAAACATAATATTTAGTTGCATATACATTCTTTTATCACTATATATTCTTTATGCTAGTTATGTATATATTTGGTAGTAATTCTCTGATATTTCATTAGCTGAAAAAAAATTTTCACTTTTAGATATTTAATTGTAAGCAATTTTTTAAAAAATCAGAATTTCTTATGCCCATTAAGAGACGAAAGGAAGGAAATTACTCCAAAACTTCTTAAAATAAGAAACTTTAAAGTGCTCCATTATTTATGTTTGTTATGCTTTTTGTTAAGGACTTAACTTCTTCATGAATAAAAAAAGATTATATGAATCCTAAGTTGGTTATAATAGATATTATTTTTTAAATAAAAATATGAGTGCCCTTATAAGAAAAGGGTTTTTTTGTTAACGTTTTGTATATTAACATATTTAAATCAATAGATTTAATATGAAGAATTATCGTTTTTATGATTCACATGCATGTCTCTTTATATTTAAGGCTTTATCCTTCATGCTTATTCTTGGCTTTCCCATAGACCTTGAGCTGGATGGTTTGAGACTTCAAAGTGAAATTACATGGCAACTGAAATCCCTCACTTCAGGAGGCCTTCACCAATAGTGATCCCTGTCCTATTACTACATGAGAGGAATTGCCATTTTCAGGAATTCATACTTTTTACAAAAATATTCAGAGTAAGAGAACTTGCTATACAAAAAGCTGTGTAATGATTTAACATTAGCCACGCTGTTGTTCACTCAGGGTAAGAAGTAACTAGGTATTTATCCAAACACCCAATAAAGCAAATTCACAGGTGAGAGCCAAGTTGATGTAGAAATATATTACAATTTGTCTTCATTTTCAGAATGTGAAATCTGAAGTGCCAAATTTTTGGTTGTTTTTCTGACAACATGGGAAAAAGTAAATCACCAGTTGCCTGGCCCTTTCATGCAAAGTTGTACGTGAGGCATTATGTGACTGGTTGCTTTTTAGCAGTCAGGGACATTTTGGGCAATGGTTATATACACAAGACTAATTACACTAATTAGTCCACACCAATGTGTGAGCAGTATGCATGTTTTTACAATTAGGATGTAATTTTAAAAAATCATTTATTGGGCACATTTAGAGACACAGCAGTTTTGGATTTACCATACAATAGAAAAAGAAATTATCCAAATTGAATAAATGTGCATTTCAGCATGGGCAAATAAATTAATATATGGCTAATGAAACCTATGCTTGTGTCACAAATATGTACTTGCATAAGAATGATTTTTCTAAGCAGGTGTATGGATTGTAGCTTTTGTGGTCATTAAATTATAGTGATCTAAAAATCACTTTGCTTAATGCAATATGGCAACATCTCATTACTTCTACTAGCTTTTACTTCTGATGTGGGTAGTTGTGTTAGGCAGAATAATGCTCCCCATCTCCCCCAAAGATGTCTACATTCTAATCCCCAAAACCTGTAAATTTGTTACTTTACATCGCAGAAATGCACTTAGCAGATGTGGTTAAGAATTTTAAGATGGGAAGTTTATCCTGGATTATCTCAGCAAGCCCACTGTAACCACAAGGGTCCTTACAGATATGAAAGAGAGGCAGGAGAGTCAACGTCAGAGTTGTATGATGTGAGGAAGACTCACCAGCCATTGGTGGCTTTGAGAGTGGAGGAAGAGGCCACAAGCCAAGGAATGTGGGCAGCATCTAGAATTTGGAAAAGTCAAGGAAATGGATTCACCCCTGAACCTCCAGACAGGAATATGGCTCTGCTACACCTTGATTTTAGTTTCTGAGGCCTTCAGAATTATAGTAAATTTGTGTTGTTTTCAGCCACTAAGTTTATGGTAATTTGTTATAGCAGCCATAGGATATGAACACAGGTTTTGGTTTTTTGGTTTTTGTTTTTGCTTCTCAGAGCCTCAGATTCCTCATCTATAAACTGCTAATAACATTTGCTTGCTATTTTTTGTAAGAATTAATAATATAATGTGTGTGTCTTTAAAATGATCAAAGTCTTAAAAGATAACTTTTTTGTGAAATCAGTAAAATTATTTCCACAGTAATTGATTGAGAAACTCTGCCAGTATAAATCTCCATCATTTAAATTCTTCCCCAAATCCCTAAGAACTAGCAATTAGAGCCCAGCGCCGTGGCTCATGCCTGTAATCCCAGCACTTTGGGAGGCTGATATGGGAAGATCACTTGAGGTCAGGAGTTCGAGAACAGTCCAGCCAACATGGTGAAACCCCGTCTCTACCAAAACTACAAAAATTAGCCAGGCGTGGTGGTGCACACTTGTAATCCCAGCTACTTGGGAGGCTGAGGTGGGAGGATGGCTTGAACATGGGAGGCAGAGGTTGCAGTGAGTCTAGATCACACGCCACTGCACTCCAGCCTGGGCAACAGAGTGAGACTCTGTCTTAAAAAAAAGAAAAAAAAGGTCACTACAAAATATAGAGTATATCCAGCTTCATTAGAAAGCATCTGTTGGCCGGGCGCAGTGGCTCATGCCTGTAATCCCAGCACTTTGGGAGGCCGAGGTGGGCGGATAACGAGGTCAGGAGATCGAGACCATCCTGGCTAACACGGTGAAACCCCGTCTCTACTAAAAAAATACAAAAAAATTAGCCGGGTGTGGTGGTGGGCGCCTGTAGTCCCAGCTACTCTGGAGGCTGAGGCAGGAGGATGGTGTGAACCCGGGAGGTGGAGCTTGCAGTGAGCCGAGATTGCCCCAGTGCACTCCAGCCTGGGCAACAGAGCAAGACTCCGTCTCACAAAAAAAAAAAAAGAAAGAAAGCATCTGTTACAACATATTGAGGCAGCCAGAGAAAGGGATTAAGTAAATGACCTGGACAGTATGAAAAGCCACGAACATAACTGATGTCAACAGGGCAGAAATTATCTTAATAGGGCTGAGGAGAGGAAAAATAGAATCACTAAAAAGCCAAGTTAGATTATTTACAGCAAAAAACAGCTTAAATGCCCATTAAACACTATTTTCTAAAAAGATGGGTAGATAACTCTTTTACTCAGAGGTATTCAGTGTTGAATTACTTATATTAGAAAAAAATGAAAACCAATGTAAATGCCCAACAATTAGGGAATGATTAAGTAAGATATGGTTTAACAATAGAATTAGGTGTTGTAATAAAGAGTAATTGAGAAAATCTTTTAATCACCTTTGGGGAAAAACAAATACATATATGGACTATTTTATCAACTTTGTAGAAATCCCTTTTAAAATATAGTAGGAAGAAATTTACAAATAAAAATGTTATCAGTGGTTCTCTCTGAATGGTAAAGTAATGATAGGTGTTTTCTTTTTTCAGTTTTTCCTTTTCCAGTGCTCTGCTCTTTTTTTCCTTTTGTCTTTTTTATTTTTTTGAGACAGGATCTTGCTTTGTTGCCCAGGCTGGAGTGCAGTGGTGTGATTATGGCTCACTGCAGCCTTGACCTCCTGGGCTCAAACAATCCTCCCACCTCAGTACCTTGCCCCACCACACCCAGTAGCTGAGACTACAGATGCATGCCACCGCACCTAACTAATTTTTAAATTTTTTGTAGTGATAGAGTGTCATTATGTTGCCCAGGCTGATCTCAAACTCCTGGCTTAAGTGATCCTGCTGCCTTGGCCTCCCAAAGTGCTAGGATTATAGGTGTGAGCCACCGCACCCTGCCTGAATTTTCTAAAGTACATATACATTGTTTTCTATAATCTCCTAAAACAGCCTACATTTTAGAAATTATGTCATACTTTTAAGAATATATACTTTGGGAGCCGTGGTGGCTCAGGCCTGTTGTCCTGGTGCTTAAAGAGGAGAGGCTAGGCATTCGAGGCCAGCCTGGGCAACATAGAAAGCTCTGATCTGTATTTAAAAAAAAAAAAAAGAATATATACTTTTACTGGGCAAGTTTATTCACTGTGGCCATATCCTAATTAATGACCATCTTTTTGTCTTACTTCTCATTTAATCCAGTGACATTTATTAGATAGCTCCTTTATTCTGGGCACTTTGCTAGGTGGTGAAAAACATAACAGTGAATAAAATATGGTAATTGACTTTTGTAAATTTATAAGCTAGTGGGCAGAAAATACAAATACATAAACATAACAGGTTTAAGGTATAAAGGGAAGACTATAGAAAAATAAGAGAAGGTGAGGTTAGGTGCTATGGAAGGGGGCGGGGTCTCAGCAGATACTTTAGAGATGACTAGACATAAACAAAGAGACCCAGGGAAGATGGAAGTATGTGCAGGTAGAGATGTAGGTACAAATGTAGGGGAAAAGATCAAGGGCATATCTGGAGAAAAATGAAAATTTTCAGGGAGTTAGGGTAGAGTTTGGGAACAGGAAATCATAAGAGGTTGGAATGAAGGGGGAACAAAGAGTTGAAGCTAACGAGCTGGAAGACTAGGCTGGTAAATTTGGATATCGGCTTTGTCTATGCTAACTTCTTGATACTAAACCACCAAGGTGAAAATTTAAGAAGAAAAGGCAGGCGATCATCTGAATATTTGACAGCAAGGTAGTTGGCTAAATGCTTACCTTTCATTCGAATGTTTTAGTGTATTGAATACACACCCATAGAACAGGTAGATTCCTCCACTGAAAATGTCTCCTGGATCAGGATTTTAAAGAGGCAACTCCATTGATCTGTTCACTTGTCTCAGTCGTAATCCCAGGATAAATTTTAAGGCAGTACTGTAATTTACTGTAATTCTTGGATTCAAATTCAGAACCCTGAGACTGAATTTGTATATTTTTCTGTATTCAGCCAATATTTCCCTTCCCAGCTTCTTTACCTTTTACTTTGTGTTTGCTATCTGTGCCCTCAGAAAAACCACAGCTCTTCAGTGGGTTAGAATTGTGTCTTCTCATGCCTGTTCTTCTCTTACATTTAGGAATAGAAGGATAACCACACAGGTTTTTAAATAATTGATTGAAATCCTATCCATTTGTGCCAATTCATGTGTAGCAACACCTGCTCAGCATTTAGATTTAAAGGATTTCTGTTGGGTTCAGAAACCATTGCCTGAGATATTTAGAAGGAACATGGCAACATCCTGAGTTCTCCAGTTTTATCTTAGCATTTTTTGCATTTCTGCTACGTTTCCTGATTGAACATATTATTAGGAATAATGTGTTTTTGCATGGCTCAAAATTTAATTCTCCGTTTTAAACTTTCAGTATAAGTGTCTGGACTAAGAAAATATAATCCCTTTTCCTTTTAGATTTCTTTCCCACATGGTATTTTAAAGTCTTTTCTGCCTCCATCAGATCTCTTGGCAGTTCACACTCCATTCTCTTAGACTCTTTTTAATGGCATGTTTTCCAAGCCTTTTATCATTATTACTACCCTTTGGATTCTTTCCAAATTAGCAATCTTTTTTATATAGAAAGAGCCAAAAATTGCATGCAGTTTTCCAGACGGCGCTTTAGGAGTATGGTGAATAATGGGATAATTACTTCCCACGTGAGCTTCAGTGACACCCAAATGGATTCGTAGGCGTTCTCTTTTCCTTTTTTTTTTTAATCCCTAAGGATGATGTTCACTAAGAAATGATCAAATCTTTTATTGAGGAAAATTTAATGAGGAAAAGTTTTGCTAAGTAACAAATTAGGTTATGCCAAAATACTGATAATTATCTAAAAGATGGCCATTTCTTTTGGGAAGTATTACATTTGGTGGAAATCGTAAGCTCCTTCTAAATAGTATGTTTTGAGTTTGATGCAGTAATAGAGAGGGAGTAGAGAAATTCTTAAAAATGAGAGTGATTTAGAGTGGGGAGAACAGCATATTAACACCACATTTAATGATGCAGCATTGAAACTTCTATGAAAAGTCGCCTAGGCGATAAGCAGAAGTGAAATTGACATCAGTTGGCATTGCTTATTTCTACAGATAACTAGATATGTTTATTAAACACCTACTTTGTGCTGGGCATTGTCCTATATGCTAGGGCTATAGATGTGAATAAAATTGTTTCTAAGTATCAACCAGATTACTTCTTTTTTCTCCTCAAAACACTCCAATGGCTTCTTCTCTCTCTCTGTAAAATCCACACTCCTAAGTCTGGTGTACAAGGTGCCACATGATCTGATCCCCACCAACTCTCTGACCCATCACCTACCCTCTCCTACTCAACTCACTCTGCTGTAGTCACACAAGGCCTCAGGGCCTCTGCATTGAACTGGAAAGCTGGGGTTCAGGGCAGCACTCTGAAATCACTCTTATTAAATCTTTATGCTATGTCAGGTACCATGCTAAATGCTTACAGACATTGTTGCATTCAAGCTTCACCAAAGTAGAAAGATGGTTATTACTGCTTCTATTATTATTATTTTTATTTATTTATTTATTTATTTATTTATTTATTTATTTATTTATTTTGAGATGGAGTCTCGCTCTGTTGCCCAGGCTGGAGTGCAGTGGTGCAATCTCGACTCACTACAAGCTCCGCCTCCCAGGTTCACGCCATTCTCCTGCCTCAGCCTCCCGAGTAGCTGGGACTACAGGCGCCTGCCACCATGCCCGGCTAATTTTTTGTATTTTTAGTAGAGACGGGGTTTCACCGTGTTAGCCAGGATGGTCTTGATCTCTTGATCTCGTGATCTGCCCGCCTCGGCCTCCCAAAGTGCTGGGATTACAGGTATGAGCCACCACGCCTGGCCAACTGCTCCTATTATTTTTATTAGTAGTTGTTAAATATTACTAAAAATTGGTAGTGCAGCTGACTCTTGAACAATATGGGTTTGAACTGTGTGGATCCACTTAAATACAGATTTTCTTCTGCCTCTACCACCCTGAGACAGCAAGACCAACCCCTGCTTCTTCTCCTCCTCTTCAGCCTACTCAATGTGAAGACAACAAGGGTGAAGACCTTTGTGATGATTCACTTCCACTTAATGAATAGTAAATATATTTTCTCTTCCTTATAATTTTATTTTCTCTAGCTTACTTTATTGTAAGAATACAATACATAATATGTATAACATACAAAGTATGTGTTAATCAACTGTTTATATTGTTGGTAAGGCTTCTAGTCAACAGTATGCTGTTTGTAGATAAGTTTCTGAGGAGTTTCTTATGAGGAGTTATAAGTTACATGTGGATTTTTGTCACCACTCTTAACCACTACAACGTTCAGGGTCAACTGAAGTATTAGACCATTATTGCCATCTTATTAAAGTAGAGAAGTTAGGTAACTAGCTAGTAGTTGGTAGAACCAGACCATTGTGCTCTAAAGATCCCCTTTCCTTGGCTGGTCTGTTGAAAGACTGAACTGTGGAAAAGTCTGAATTTGGTACCACAAAGTCTGACAATTCATCCACTGGATTTTTTTTTTCTTTAACAGAGCCTTACTCTGTCCCCCAGGCTGCAGTGCAGTGGCACGGTCACAGCTTACTGCAGTCTTGAGCTCCTGGGCTTAAGTGATCCTCCCACCTCAGCCTCTCCTGAGTAGCTGGGATCATAGGCACATGCCACCTTGCCCAACAATTTTTTAAAAAAAAAAATTTCGTACAGATGGGGTCTTGCCATGTTGCCCAGACTGGTCTTGAACTCCTGGCCTCAAGCGATCCTTCTGCCTCGGCCTCCCAAATTGTTGGAATTTCAGGAATAAGCCACCACAGCTAGGCTGGATCTTTTATTCCTATATTCAACAGAGCTGCTTTGAGCCTCTTCTTAGATGCAAAGCTCATCAGCAAACAAACTCCTTTCTTCAAAAAACTTTTAATTTAATTTAGTTATTGTATGGACGGCAATCATTCAGATGAGTTCCAACTCATCTGACATTGACTTAATTCAAGATGGTTATTTGAACCTAAGTGTTTAATGATCCTTTCCTGATTTCTGAAATAAACAAAGAAATATAAATTAGGATGAAAAAATTACATCAGCCCTGGAAAGGGAGAAAAGTTAACCAATAGACCAGAAACTTGGAGTTTGTATTATGTTCTACAAATAGAATTGTATAACCTTCAATTTTTGGAGTGCCCCAGGGTGCTGGTCTAGGGGCCTTCTCTCTTCAGTTATACACAGTGAACCCTGTCTCTATTTATTTTATTTTCTTTTATTATTATTATTATTATTATTTTTGAGATAGAGTCTCACTCTGTCACTGAGGCTGGAGTGCAGTGGCGTGATCTTGGCTCACTGCAACCTCTGCTTCCTGGGTTCAAGCAATTCTCCTGCCTCAGCCTCCTGAGTAGCTGGGATTACAGGTGCACACCACCACACCTGGCTAATTTTTGTATTTTTTAGTAGAGACAGGTTTTCACCATGTTGGCCAGGCTGGTCTTGAACTCCTGACCTCAGGTGATCTGCCCACCTCAGCCTCCCAAACTGCTGGGATTACAGGCGTGGTCACAGCGCCCGGCCCCTATCTCTATTTCTGCTTTAAATTTTCTCCAGAACTCTAAACTTGTATACCCAAATGACTAGTAGATATCACTCATGGACACTCAGATGAGTATGTCAATTTAAATTAGTCAGAACAGAACTCATAATTGCTGCACCCCTATCAAACCTGTCCACTCCTTCAGGGATTTACATTTCAGTAAATACCACCACTATTTACCAAATCGCTGGAAAAAAACACTCTAAGTATTATATTTGATTCTGCTCTTGACCTCACTCCCCTCAAATTCAATCCATCAGTAAGCCTATCATCTTTACATCCAAAACATATCTGGTAACTTTTCGCCATCTGCATCATCTGTCCTGGTGATGCTCTTGCTTTTTCTAGAATAGATTCACACACAGCAGCAGAGGGACATTTTACAATTCAAAATCAGATCATGTTACTCCTTCCCCTCAAACAAACAAACAAAACAAAGACCAAACACAAACAATCCCCAAACCCCCACAATCTTAAAACTCTCCAATGGCTTTGCAGTGCACTTGAAATAAACTCTTTATTATAATTTACAAAGTCCTCCTTTATCTAGACCCTGCCATGTTTTATCACTTTCTCACTTACAACATATGCTCCAGCTTCTTTCAATTTTTAAAACTTACTGACTCTTTCCCACCTCAGAGTCTTTCTTTCCTCTCCCTAATATTTGGAGAATCATTACTGATCTTTACTCTGCTGGCTCTTTCTCATCAAATGGGTCTCACTTCTATAGAGCAGCCTTGCCTGCCCTCCAAATTTAAAGTGGGCACCCCTTCTCTAATTTACTATGTAGTAATTGCCACTGGCCAAATATTTTCTAATTTGTCTTTTCTTTCTTCTCATCTTCTATGAAGAAAAATCCCCTGAAAGCAAGGACCATGTCTGTTTTGTTTACTGCAGAATTCACTCTACTATGTGGTACAGAGTAGGTACTTAATTAATATTTGAGTGAATGAATAATTTTATTGTTCTTAATATGGTGTGAATTGTAACACAGATGTAAAAAATGTGTAAGATAATAATTATAATCTAAATGTAAAGGTCATTTCAGCTTAATCTGAGAAATAAGGTAAGGCTATATAAAAGAAACAAAAAAATAAGATGATAGAAGCAAGACCAAATGATGCTACCTATTGTGATAAATCTGATGAATTAAACTCCATCATTAAACAAATATCTTCAGATTGGATCTCAAAACATAATCAAGCTACTTGTTGTTTATGAGACATACCTAAAATAGACATAGAAACGATGAAAAGAAAAGGAAGGTCAAAGAAAAACCAGGAAAATATAAAAACAATGGTAGTGATATCAGACAAAGGAAAAGTGAAAAAAGCCCACATATTTTAAATTGTTAAAATATACACTCAAATTATTTCAACCATTGTGGAAGACAGTGTGGTGATTCCTTAAAGACCTAAAGAGAGAAATACCATTTAACCCAGCAATCCCATACCTGGATATATACCTAAAGGAACATAAATTGTTCTCTTATAATGACACATGCACGTGTATATTCATTGCAGCACTACTCACAATAGCATATACATGGAATCAACCTAAATGCCCAGTAATAATAGACTGGATAAAGAAAATGTGGTACACATGCACCATGGAATACTGTGCAGCCATAAAAAGGAATGAGATCATGTCCTTTGAAGGACCATGGATGGAGCTGGAGGGCATTATCCTTAGCAAACTAATGCAGGAACTGAAAACCAAACACCACACGTTCTCACTTGTAAGTGGAACCTAAATGATGAGAACACATGGACACATAGAGGGGAACAATACACACTGGGGCCTTTCAGAGGGAGGAGGGTGGGAGGAGGGAGAGGATCAGGAAAAATAACTAATTGGTACTAGGCTTAATACCTGGGTGATGAAATACTCTGTACAACAAACCCCCATGACACAAGTTTATCTATGCAACTAACCTGCACATGGAGCCCTGAACTTAAAAGTTAAAAATAAAATATAAAATAAAATATATACTCCGCAAGGCACCTATATCAATGATACCCTATGTGCATTCACTAACATAATACTGAAACACATAAATCGATACATTTAGAAATTTCAGATTAAAAAAATCATAAAAGTCTCCTGCATACCTCAGAGGCTTTGATAAGACAAAATTGCAGAAGAGCTAAACTCTGTAACTGATAACATTGTTTAAATATGTATGGAACTTCATACACCACTAACAGAGAACACTGTGTTTCAGATAGCAAAAGAAAGTTACAAAAATTGCAAAAAACATTTAAATAAACGCCCAAAAAGTATAAATACTTATTATTTGACAGTGATGCAATGAAACTAGAAATTTAAAATATAAATATATGAAGTCACAAGAAGAGTAAATACTCTATCAAAAATGTTTGTTAAAGAACTAAAAACTGGCTGGGCGCAGTGGCTCATGCCTGTAATCCCAGCACTTTGGGAGGCCGAGGTCAGGGGTTCAAGACCAGCCCGGCCAAGATAGTGAAACCCTGTCTCTACTAAAGAATACAAAAATTAGCCAGGCGTGGTGGCAGGCGCCTGTAATCCCAGCTATGCAGGAGGCTGAGGCAGAGAATTGCCTGAATCCGGGAGGCGGAGGTTGCAGTGAGCCAAGATCGACCCACTGCACTCCAGCCTGGGCGACAGAATAAGACGCCGTCTCAAAAAAACAAAAACAAAAACAAAAAAAAAAACAAAAAAACCAAAAACTAAAAACTTTAGCAAGTAATGAAACTAATACATATCAACATTTATAAGATGCAGCTATAAATTCACACGGAGGAAAATTCGGACCTTTAAATACTTTTATTATTAGAGAAAAAAGTATTAATGAACTAAGCATTTGAATGAAATATTTTAAGGCCGGGCACAGTGGCTCGCGCTTGTAATCCTAGCACTTTGGCAGGCCGAGGTGGGCAGATCACTTGAGGTCAGGCCTGGCCTGACCAGCCTGGCCAACATGGTGAAACCCTGTCTCTACTAAAAATACAAAAAAAAATTAGCTGGCCATCGTGGTGGACACCTGTAATCCCAGCTACTCAGGAGGCTGAGGCAGGAGAATCACTTGAACCTGGGAGGTGGAGATTGCAGTGATCTGAGATTGCACCACTGTACTCCAGCCTGGGCAACAAGAGCGGATCTCCATCTCAAAAAAGAAAAACAAACAAACAAACAGAAAAACAGAAAGAAACTTTAAAAGGAATCAAAGAAGCAGGAAAAAACATCAGATGTTACTGAAGAATAAGGCAGTAATTATTGAGGTAAAAATGAAAAAAATTGTTGAGGTTGTAATCCTGGAGTTCATTCAAAAGGGCCAATAAGATAAGCAAACTTCAGTTTATGTTGATTAAGGAAAAATAAGTAATAAAACACAATTTCTAGATATATAAATGGAAAAGGGGTGATAATAAGAGAAATGTTTAAATTAAAATTATATAGCATGTAATTCTATATTAATAAAAATTAAAACTTTAATGAAAAGATAATTTCCAAGGAAAGTATAAATTATTTAAATTTTCTAAAAAAGAGTGAATATGATATTCTTGTGTAGGATTGTTAAATCTATTTCATGAGTAGGCATTTTTAGTGTTAGTATTAGTTCAGTAATAACTTTCTCCTTTTCTTCTATATTTTTCTGTTTCTATTTCTTCCCCAAATTCTCGACCATAGTCTAAAAGGCTTTTGTGTAAAAGAACTTGTTTCAACTATATTTCTTTGATTATTATTGAGACGGAAATTTTAAAAATCTGTTTATTGGCCATTTTATGTTCACTAAGTGCCTATCATTATTCACTAGACAATTTTCTATCAGGTAGTTCATTTTTTTTAAATCACTTTATATATGGCTAGTAACCCTTTGTCTATGTGGTAAACATTTTTTTCCTTAGGTTAATTTATGCCTTTAATTGTTTCATTGTACTTTTGTCAGTCAGAAGTTTTTAATGTTAGTATAGCAAAACATGTCAAACTTTTTCTTTATTTTGTGTCCCATTGGAATTATAGTTAGAACACCTTTCCATGCCTCAGGATTATGTAAAAATTCATCTACATTTTAAAGTATTGGCATATTTTATATTGAATACTTGCCTTTGATTCATCTGCAATTTACTTTTGTGCGAGGTAGAGATAAAACTTTATTTTCTTCTTCATGTATATTTAGCTATTTCAATATCACTGACTGAGTGATGCTCTTATCACTTGATATGGTTTGGATATTTGTCCCTCTAGATCTCTTGTTGGAATGTAATCCCCAATGTTGGAGGTGGGGCCTGGTGGGAGGTTTTGGGATCATGGGGGCAGATCCCTCATGAAAGTCTTGGTGCTGTCCTCACGACAGTGAGTAGTTCTCATGCGATCTGGTTGTTTAAAAGTGTGTGGCACATCTCACCTTGCCCTCTTGCTCCCACTCTCACCATGTGACACGCTGGCTCCCCCTCATCTTCTGTTATGACTGTAAGCTTTCTGAAGCCCCCACCAGAAGCAGATGCCAGCACCACAATTCCTGTCCAGGCTGCAGAATGATGAGCCAGTTAAACCTCTTTTCTTTATAAATTACCCAGTCTTAAGTATTTCTTTATAAAAATGCAAGAATGGCCTAACACATCAATCTATTAAAAATTGCACCTTATTAGTATGCTAATATCTTCTAAAACAGCGGTCCCCAACCTTTTTGGTACCAGGGACCCATTTCATGGAAGACAGTTTTTCCACAGATGGGAGTAGGTATGGGATGCTTTCAGGATGACACTGTTCCACCCCAGATAATCATTAGCTAGATTCTCATAAGGAGCATACAACCTAGATCCCTTTTATGTGCAGTTCACAGTAGGATTCACGCTCCTATGAGAATCTAATGCCAATGATAATCTGACAGGAGGTGGAGCTCAGGAGGTAATGCCCGCTTACCTGCCGCTCACCTGCTGTGCAGCCTGGTTCCTAACAGGCCATTGACTGGTACCAGTCTGTGGCCAGGAGTTTGGGGACACCTGTTCTAAAAAATATACTCAAATTTTTTTCTTAAATTCCATTAATCAGTTTAACTAGTCCAGCATCAGTATCATACTCTTTCAATTATTATTATTATGTAATGTGTTGTTTAGTAAAAGACATTTCTCCACGTCATTTAAAAAACAACCTTTTTTGACCCTGGGCAACATGGTGAAATGTAATCATTTCCCAGAAGCCCCAATTTCCTATTGGAAAACAGTGTCAGAAATATTTCTTCTTTAGTTACATCTGTTTCATTTTTAAATAGTTCTATTTCTACAAAACACACACACACACACACACACACACACACACACACACACACTAGCCAGATATGGTGGCATGCAGCTCTAGCCCCAGCTACTCAGGAGGCTGAGGTGGGAGGATCACCCGAGCCCAAGAAGTCGAAGTTGCAGTGAACAGTGATTGCACCACTGCACTCCAACCTGGGTGACAGAGTAAGACCCTGTCTCAAAAAATATATAACTTTTTTGGACATCCTTTAATCATTTTTAATGAATTTTAGAAAAAATATCCCAGAAGTTGAGTGGTTTTATTAGTTTTCAGAATAATTTAGAGATAATGGACATTTTTATAGTATTGAGTCTTGTGATCCAATAATATTGTATCTCTATTTATTCAAACCTCTTGTATATCTGTCAGCATAATTTTATAGCAAATATATAAGCCACCTGAACTAATAATGCTACTGTGGATCAACTCATTTACTTCAGAATGTCCTAGCAACCGAGGCAAAAAGGTGGGTTTGATGAATTCTGTAATTACTCTCTGACAAAAGGAAATATGTACATTTTATGGGAAGAGAAATTTTTCTTCCAACTTCTTAAAGAATTTAGCACAGATCAACTTAATAGCTGCTAGTCATGTGCAGCCAATATGAAAAAATATAATTGAGAATACATATTGGGGTGATGAAGGGAATAGAAGCAGGAAAGTGAGATAATCGTACCTGATAAAATTTTCTGGAGATAAAGTCTGAATTGTACAGAACTTAGAATACTTGGAAGAATAAATGAAAACAACATATATCCAACTTTCTCCTCTTATAGCAAATCACTCAGGCTTTTACCAGAGTTTGGATGAAGTTTCAGGCTAGTTGTCAGTTTCTCCTTGAACACCCTATAAGAACAGAGCTTTAAGCATAAGCAATCTCTGTTGATGAATCCAGGGAGACCCCATGCAAGGATGCCATTTTGCTATGAAAGATGAAGGTCCCAGTTATATTCTCCTTGATGAAGTACCTTTGTATATTAGCAGTGGACTAACACAGTGGATGGATTAGATCTGAAGTCAATGTTTTGGAGTCTGCAAATGGTTGGAAGCTCTTCCCTTCACATTATTTCACAGATATTGATTGCTTCTGCCCTCTCTGAGTGCTAATCATAATCTCATTTAATCCCACAAAGACCCATGAGTATCATTATCAATCCCATATGCTAGATGAGGAACTGCCCTATTCACACAGTGAATCAGTGATAAAACTAAGATTTAAATTTACGTTCTCATGACAAGCAAGCCTGTAATCCCAACCACTATCCCACATCATCTTTACTCCTAAATGTACCAACACTTGTACAACCCACAATAGCAGCAATATTCACTCTTGGTACAAAGAATACATTAAAGTAAGAAATGAGGCTTTGTCTACACAGTTTGAATATATGAACTTTTGCATTTTCCAATTAAATAAGAAGCATTTGTCTTGTTTTTTAATTTTTATAGAAGTCCTAGAATCTTGAGTAGAATAATGCATCTGAAACTTTAATATGCATGTAGTTCACCTGGAGATCTTCAGGTGGAGTCCAAGAGTCTGCTTGTCCACCAACTTCAACTTCCCAGAAGATGTGATGCTGCAGTCCCACAGTCCACATTTTGGATGGCAAGAGGCTAGAGGATCATCATCAATCTGGTTTTCTAAATTTGAGTCAGGATGAAGGGCAGTCTTGATTAGCATTCAGTACCTAATGAATGCTAGGTAGCATTCAGTACCTAATGAATGCTAGGTAGCATTCAGTACCTAGCATTCGTTAGGTACTGAATGCTAATCAAGACATAATGTCTGTTCTTAAGGTAATGCAGTGATTGTCAGCTCTGGTTGCTCAGTGTAATCACAGGGTGAGGTTGAGATAGATATAGATAGATGAGATAGATGTAGATGAGATAGATTAAAACCTCTGGGGCTAAGATCAAAGAGGCATGGATACTTAAATACTTTAAGTATATATATTTGGATTATATCCAGGCTGAGGATATAAATTTGAGAAAGGTGGTAGCTATATTCATCCTGACTTTATCAGTTACTTTGGACAAGTTAATTAACTGCTCTATGCCCATTTTTTTTTCTAACGTAAAAATGGTAGTTGCACATATCTGATGGTTGAAGAATTAAATGAGAAAAGCATTATCTAGAACACAATAAGCATTCATATATTAGTTGTCAGTAATAGTTTCATCATTGTCATTCCAAAATTTTAGGTTCCTTGTTCCTTATATGGAGTAAATCACCCCAAAATAAAAAATGAGATGTGTATTTGTCTCATAATTGCACTTCTGTCAAACAGCTCTGTAAAGCAGCATCTCATGAGAGAGACAAAGCATGAAAAAATTAAAAGCACTTTGAATGTAAGAATAAAGATGTAAGATGATGACCCACCTCTCATTAGTACCACCTTTGAAACCTTCCTGTGTTTATTTCCTAGTCTCCCTTGAACTTCATCATTTCCCAGAAGCCCCAATTTCCTATTGGAAAACAGTGCCAGAAATATTTCTTCTATGTCTTCTGTGGTTACATCTGTTTCAATATATTTTTTTTTTTTTTGAGATGGAGTTTCGCCCTGTCACCCAGGCTGGAGTGCAATGGCATGATCTCGGCTCACTGCAACCTCCGCCTCCCGGGTTCAAATGATTCTCCTGCCTCAGCCTCCTGAGTAGCTGGGATTACAGGGGCATGCCACCACGCCAAGCTAATTTTTATATTTTTGGTAGAGTTGGGGTTTCACCATGTTGGCCAGGCTGGTCTCAAACCCCTGACCTCGTGATCTGCCCACCTTGGCCTCCCAAAGTGCTAGCCAAAATGTGCTCTGACTTTTCATTAATGCCTGTGCCATCCCCTACTCAGCCTTATACCACATCTACAGTTACTCAATAAGGACATGACTGTAAAAATAAATCAAATTTTAAAAATAGATTCATGTAAGTTGTTAGGAGAGCTTCCTATTTCAATGAATCTGTTCTTTAAATGAAACAGATTCCCTTTAAAAAGTAAACAGTCCACTCAGCTCATCTGTAGAAATACAGGAAATCATACATCCTTTCATTTTGCTTACTAGGTGATTATGTGGTGACATCCATATTGGTTTGGAGATGTTAATGTAGAAAACAGGTCCATTTGCTTCAGATTGTAAGTTGAACATTAGATTTTTACCTTTATTTTTGTTTTCAGCCAGGTCTGCCAATGCTGCTCTTTTCTACATGTGTGCATTGCATTGCATTCTTGTTCTGGCTCTTTTTACTCTTCCATTCTTTAGGCATAATTATCTTTCCATGATAAAAAAGCATACGAGACTGCTTCTTCCAATAGACCACTTTTATCTTTCAGTCACCTCTGCTTATAGGACCAATACAGTTTGAAAATCCAGCTTTAATCAGTTTACTGTCAAGCAAGAACCTTCAACTGGGCTTGTGGAAGTAAACAAAAGAACTATACTCTTCTCAAAACTCAAGCTCACTTCTCTCTTCTGTCAGTGTGTCACATCAAATGCTGGGCCCTCTCTTTAAAAGGGTCCAGGACAGTCACAGAAACTCAAATGTGGCTGTCATATTGCAGCCTCCTGTTTTTCCCAAATATACTTGTTTTTTGCTCATCCATTGAATCAATCAATAAGCATTTACTGAGTACTTACTATGTGCTGGGCACAAGGCTGGTGGAGATACAGTAGTGAAAAAGACAGACAGGGTCCCTGCCTTCATGGAGCTTACAGTTTAATGAGGCGATAGATAGTAGGCATAGAATCATATAAATACTGAATTCCAAATAGCTATTAATATTATAAAGAAAAAAATTGAAGTTTATTTAAGAGTATAGAAAGAAGACTTAATCTGGACTATGGAGTCAGGTGGGTTTTTTTTTTTTTAATTAACCTAAAGCTAAGCAATTAAAAGTGAGTAGAAAGTAGCAGATTAAGAGAAGAGACAAGAGACATTTAGATAGAAGGACAGTCAGTGTGGAGGCCCCGGCTATATTCAAAGGGCTCAGAGAAGGTAAAGATGAGAGGCGGTGAAAGATGAGTCTGGAGAGTCAGCCAGGGATCATTAATTTTGTTGTTGTTGTTCTGTGATAGTATTGCTTGGATTCTTGTAGCCTGTTTTCTCCTCCACTTTTTCCTATTTTTGACCTTTTGTTTCACTGTATTCATTCACTTATTAAATTCTTTTATGACTCAAAGCTTTGGTGAGGAATACTTGACTTTTCCATGAGCTATGTTTTCTTCCAGGTTGGGTTTTTCACCTGTCTTCAGTATGCTATGCTCTATCATTTGTTTTTCTCTTCTTCTTTGTTAGATATTCATGGATATGTTTATTTGCTGTATCTTGTTTGTAATGCTGCCTTGCAATTTCTACTCTTGCCTGTGCTTAACATAAGCATTTCTGTCCAGACATTCATTTACCCTCAATTTGTATGGCTAAGTTCTTCTTATTTCTTTCCCATTGTATTTCAGAACTATTTTTTTTTTCCTCTCCCAGCTACAATTAGAGAGTTGGAATACTTCTCTTTGGTCCATTTTTCTGTAGTTTGAAAGTGGTGAGGTGAGGGAGTAGTAGAAGAAAACTATTCTGTGGCCTTGAATGACAGAACTTTGCTCTTTTTCCTAAAATCTCATTAAATGGCCTACCCAGAGTTTATTCTACCGTCACAGCAGAGGCCCTACATTTCAGACCTTGACCCTTCTTCAGTGTGGAAACCAAGAAAACAATAGCCTTGGTGCTCACCTATGTCTGCTGAGCTCCTTGGATTCACACCAGAAGGTTTCACTTTGACTCTTTCCTGAGCAACCCACTCATCTCAGTCCACATCTCTACTAATTGGGGGGCAGTAGTTATTAATGAAAATTCCTGGGATTTGCAGACTCTCCCTTTCCAGCTTCTGCAAGGTGAAAGATTTGTTGCAATGGTCTTCTGCTTTTTCTTATACATTATTTTTGAAACATATGGTGTATGGTTGTAACCCTTAGCTAGTTTGTTTGCTGTTGACAATTTTTGGAAGGTTTTATTTTGTTATTGTTGGTGGTTTTATTTTACTATTTCAAGTGTTGTGATAGCAATATTTTGCAATCGGGCTTCATTTCACTGTCTTTATTTCCATATTTTCATCTTCAAAATGCCACTCTAGATTCCTCATGAAAAATGATTGAAAGGGTAAATAGAGATGTAAGAAGTGAATAAATTTAAAGTGTGTTTTGGAAACAAAAATCAACAGCACTTGATAAAGTGTTAGATGAGATGGTGAATGAGAGGATGGCATACTGCAGGAAAAACTGGGTGTATAAACAATTTCTAAAGACTTGTATCATATTTTCACCTTGAAGATCTTGGCCAATATTAGTTCACAATTCAAACGAGAATGAGAACAAGTATGTACTGAGTCATCAGTGCCAACTCCATGCTAAATGCTTTTGTTATCTCTTCAGTCCTCACCAGATCCCTGAGAAGGATCTCTATGTACTCTGCCTCCCCAGTTGTGATAGAAATGACACATTGTGGAGGACAGGGAGGGCCAGAGTAGGGGGCAGTGTGTACAGCTGGAAGCAACCCCATCATCCTTGCTCACCACCAGGCACTTTCATTGACTCCACCTCACTTCATCCTCATGACTACCATATGAAATATATATTCTTACCTCTGTTTTTTCTAATTGAGAAAACCAAAGATGTTAAATTAACTTGTTTGAGGTTATTAAGTTCATAGATGGCAGAGGCAGGCTTGAAATCTAGGACTTTTGATTTCTCCATACCTGTTTTGTTTGTTTGTTTGTTTGTTTGTTTGTTTGTTTTTTACCACACTCTAATGTATTATCAAACCCCTCTGCCACTCTGTGGGTATGTGCATAACAACACATTTGATCATCATCAAGCCCGTTTTCCGTGGTTTGTTGCACATCTATTTCTAACTCATAAACACAGTTGTAAAATGAGTCAACCTGAGAGAAATCAGACTTGTTTACTCATTTTGCAGAAATCTGGGTTTGGAGGCTTTCATTACCCCAAGGTTAGAAAAAGAAGGCTGCTATTGTAGTGATGCAAATGTGGTTCATTGTTCAAGTTGGACCGTATCCAGCAATGGATTCCATAAGCACCATGGCACTTTCCTCCTTTGCCCCCATTGGGTCTTATCTCCTTTATCCTGGGAGTGTTTGTGGCATCTTCACTTCTATTGTTGAGCTATAGGAAGGAGAGGGCTCATCTCAGCACTTCATTTGACAAGTCCAAAAGGAAATCAACAAAAGAATAAAAAAGTGAAGTGGCCTTATCACCCTACTCCCTCCTTTGGAGACATTGCTGCAATGAATACTTTTCCACAACCTGGACCTTTGGCCTTCTCACATGCACTCTAATTTTCTCCTGGGGCACAGAGATGAAATCACGATGACTTCCCCTGGTGGATGTGCTCAGAGTGGTTTTACGGGTCATGAATTAGCCTATCTGGGGAGAGAAGATCAAAAGTAAAATTATAAGTCTAGAGTTAGTAACTTAAAAGTTCTAAACGTGTGTTTGTGTGTACATATGTATATTATATAAGAGGGTGCCTTTGATGTCTAATCTGAATGCTATGTCAATGTATTTGTTTATAATTAGGCCAGACAAAAACAAGATAGAGAAATAAAGTTGTCACTGCAGGTGGCTACTGATGTGTGACAGTGTGTTCTGCATCAAATCAAATGCTGAATAAGATTGAAGAGGGGAAAGGCATAGAGAAAAAGGGGAGAAGACACTCTTGCAAAAGAAGGGAGAAACAGAAGCAATAGCTCCTTACATTTCCTCAGAAAGGGAGAGTGAGAAAGCTTGATTATTTTCTAGGAAATGGTATGTAGAAAGGTTTGGCAGGAGGTGAGTTTATGAGGGAATTTGAAAGTATTAAAGGGAAAATTACTTCTCTGAAAAAGCAAGAAGAGTACAGAGACACAAGAGCCAAGGAGAAGAAAGTTTTGTTATGAACATGCTTGAAGTTTTGCCGACATTCTGGACATATGTAAACAGAGTGCTCAATGGAACATCTGTCTGCTGCAGGTAACTTTCTTTTATGATATATTCACGTATGGTTTGCATTTTGTTTAGTTTCGAAGTTTGTGAAACATCTTATAAAACATTCCTGCTAAAGCATGGGTACAATGTGGACATCAGGAAGGCATGCTCAGTAGAAGAAATAGTAGAAACACAGGTAAAGACAGTAAAAAAAAGGGAATTGGAATTACAAGAACAGTGAGGAGTTCTGTTTCACTGGAGTATAGGATTCTTGATGTGGACTAGAACAGGAACTAGTCAGAAATTAGATTGGAGCAGCATCATGGAGGACTTAAATCTTAGTGTGAGATGTACAGTTTAGAATTTGTTCAATAGATAATTTTGTTCTGAGAACCCAGTGCAGTTTTGAGTGGATGTGTGACATATTCAAAGGTGTTCGCAGGTGTCTCATGCTCTAGAAAGAAGTCAAGATTAATGACAACAATTTCAGTGCCTTTTACATAGAGGTCATATTTGAAGGCTTGGGAGAGATTATGTGGTCCAGAAAGAAAACATGTTAGAACAGAGACTTAAAGAATGTTTACCCTTTTAAATAATCAGGATAAGAAAAGAGGCCATTGATGACAGAGGAGAAAAAGAATCTGGATTGCACATTATCGTAGGAGCCAAATGAACAGAAAGTCTTAAGAAGAAAGGATGGCCAGGCGTGGTGGCTCATACCTGTAATCCCAGCACTTTGAGAGGCCGAGGCAAGTGGATCACCTGAGGTCGGGAGTTCGAGACCAGCCTCACCAACATGGAGAAACCCCATCTCTACTAAAAATACAAAATTAGCCAGGCATGGTGGTGCATGCCTGTAGTCTCAGCTACTCAGGAGGCTGAGGCAAGAGAATCACTTGAACCCAGGAGGCAGAGGTTGCAGTGAGCTGAGCTCACACCATGGCACTCCAGCCTGGGCAACAAGAGTGAAATTCCGTCTCAAAAAAAAGAAGAAGAAGAAGAAGAAGGAAGGGTGTTTTCAACCATACTAAAAGCTGGGAGTGTGTGCACATTAAGGAGAATGTAAAGGGAGAACAGTTCATGGGTCTTGGGAATTTGTTGGTTCAAAAAGCATGATGAGTTCAAGACCACAGGGAAACACAGGTGTTGAGAGGTATAAACCAATTCCTTGTTCCATTTCTGTAAGGACTTGGAAGAGATCAACATGTTAGTAATTTAACAGAGGGGAAAGGCTCTTCTGGGTCAACACTAAAATTTTTAAAAACATACTTAACGTTAAGATGTTTTAGGGGAAAAAGCGATGAATGCTGCTGAAAGTCAGCAAGAGGCACTATAATTAGAAGTCATATCTAGAAACAAACATCTGAGAGGCAGTGGATTTGTCCTTTTGCAAGCTCTAATTCTTCTTTTTTTATTTGTAGAGTGGTTTTTCTTTAAAAAAAATTTAAAATAAAAGAATGTAGAGTAGAATGAGAATGATGAGGAGATGGACCATTCTGAATTTGACATTTTTGCCTTTTGTGGTCATAGCTAAGCCTAAGTAAGTATGAGCCTGAGGCTTTATTTCCTTGACTTCTCTGCCCTACTAATCAAGGGCTACGTATTGAAAGTGCTGAACAATGGAAGAATCGGAAGAGGGAAACCCTTTAGGACTGTACCTTTTACTCTATTTATGTCTATCCCCAAACCTATCGAGGCCTAACCCCTTCCATTATTCCCACCAGTCAAGCACTATTAGCGGCCTCCCTTGTTCTTTCTCATGCAAGGAAGGAGCTACAGATATGTTGGCTTACAGTTGACAACTTAGAGGATGATGTTTGATGTTGAGCCTGTACTTTCTTTTTTTTCTTTTTTTTTCGAGATGGAGTCTCACTCTGTTGCCTAGGCGGGAGTGCAGTGGCGGGATCTTGGCTCACTGCAACCTCCACACCTCCCAGGTTCAAGCGATTCTCCTGCCTCAGCCTCCCGAGTAGCTGGGATTATAGGCGCGCACCACCATGCCTGGCTAATTTTTGTAGTTTTAGTAGAGACAGGGTTTCACCATGTTGGCCAGGCTGGTCTTGAACTCCTGACCTTAGGTGAGCCACCCACCTCAGCATCCCAAAGTGCTTATACTTACTTTCTGAATATAAAATAAACTTGTCAATTATGTGGTTTTTAAGAGAGAGACAAGGGACCTTTAATAAAAGACACTTCTGAGGAACGTTTTCATTGTGTTAATATTTTAAATTACGGTTTAGTTTGGAACACATTCAGAACCTATCTCTACATCGTCTTTGTCTATTGAAAGATTTATATGTTTGTATATGTACGTGTATTTATTCACCGTTTCATTTTGCAGGAGTAAGACTTGTGTGGTTGGCCTCAGTCTTTCCACAGACATCTTGTAAGAGGATATGGTTTCCCCAGTCCCTTTGAAGTTACATTTGGCCGTATGACATGTTTTGGCCAATAGAATGTGGGTAGAAGTAGTGTAAAGCACTTTCAGACTGAAGGCTTAAAGCCTAGTATGTAATTCAACCCACTTCTCTTCCCTCTATCATGGCATCTGGTAATTCCCCAGATGGCAGCTTCTGTATCTGCCTGATCCTGGAGGGAGGACCACATGGAACAGAGATCCCAATCAACCCATCATTGACATATAGCTTGAGAGAGAAACATTTTGTTGTAATAAGCCACTGAGATTTGTACCTGTGGTACAGCTTTCAAGAACTTGTTCTTATGGGTTTAAAAATATTCTTGATTCCTGTGACTGAGTCATATTCTTGGTAACCTTCCCAGCCTCCAGTCCTGCTACCTGCTGATACCAAACAGCTGCCTGCCTGCTTTTTTTAGCATTTTATTCTGCATAATGTGTTGCAAGGCTCCTAACTGCTTATGTCACCCCAGTTTTATATTGTACTTATCTGACCCTTGCTTATCTATTACTTGTTACTGCACTTTCCAGAGATCCTCTTCCCTCTCATAGCCTGGACTACCCAGACCCTATATGTGTGCCATCCCCTAAGCATCTAGCTCACCCCAGTGTTTTGCTTTTGCCAGTTTCTATGGAATTAGCAATGCCCAACAATGTCTCTTGATGTGATTAACCTAAATGACTCTAAACTAATTGAGGGTAGGGTTCATGTCAGATTCAACACTGTAAATACCTCCTGTCTTAGAACAGGTGTTCTATAAACATTAAATGAATAAATGCACACTTGTATCGAATTTCATTAAAATTTATTCGAGTTTATTCAAATTAGAGAAAGATTTCCACCTGTTAAGTAGATTGGCTTCCATTGTGTTTCAAATTAAACCACAAATTAAATTTAAGGTAGAGTGTCTTTTGGTAAATTTTATCAAAATCATTCAAATTTTTTACAAACAAAGCAAAACCAGTCATTGCTGTCTGATTGGACATCAAGAGGTAAAACCATTATTTTTGCAAGCTTTTGCAAGCCATTTAAAAAATCTTTAGTAATTCAGTATAAGTAACTGCAGAACATACCTCTGGTACATCATATTCCATCTCATTGGCCCATCTCTGATTTCAGCTGTAATTAGAACAGACAGTTC
The DNA here is from genome assembly GCF_000001405.40 of Homo sapiens. Taxonomy (NCBI): domain Eukaryota; kingdom Metazoa; phylum Chordata; class Mammalia; order Primates; family Hominidae; genus Homo; species Homo sapiens. The sequence continues at coordinate 181,363,329 of NC_000003.12, forward strand.
AGTGCAAATGCTTGCCTTCTGCTTTTTGCCTCAGGCTATTTTCCAGGTAGGAGCCTTCTAGCAAGGTCAGAAACCAGGAAGTGTTGGTCTTTACTACCTCTTGGAGGAACCCTCAGCCAATGGATGAAGGGAGACACTGAATGCATCTCAGGCATTCTGAGTACTTTCCAGGTGGTCTGGCAAATCAAACCCGTTTTCCACAGCTAGAAACTTGATATTGAACCTTTATATTGACCTTTCTTTTTTCCCATCTATCACTCTCCCAGCTCCCTGACTCCTGTTTCCTGGCTTACCTTCTTCATGCAAGTCCTTATTTAAGACTCTCCTTATGGGGGAACCCACACTGAGAATGTAATACTCTTATCTAGTCAAGTACACAAATCAGCCTGTCTTGTATAGATCTTATCTGTACTTATTTCAAAGTGAACGTTTTGTGTTTTTAAATCTTCAGTCAATTACTATGCGCCTACTATGTGTTCAACACTGTGCAAAGTCTTATGAGAGAACACATAGGAAAAAAACATGAGATTTGCAGTCAGATCTGGTTCTAGTCTTGGCCTTGCCAAACACTATCTAGTACTTGGCAAATTACTTAAATTCCCTAACGCTTGCCTATAGGTTAGAGATAATAATAATGCCTCTTTCTGAGGAATGGGGAAAATATTGCCAACATTGTAATTATTAATGATAGTATAACACATGTAGTCTGCATTATCAAACTTATTGTATAATTATAGAACATCATCTTGCATTGCTCCCTACATAAACATACTGAAGGCATATAAAGGTTGCAAATGCATTGAAACCCTGTGGTGTATTTTTTATGTTTTTATGCTCAAAAATACATAACAGTGCTGAATACATATTAGTCAATTAATAAATTAATGGTTGAAAAAATTATAAGATCCTTGTCTAGACAAGTGGCACAATTAGGGTGCTCACCTTTCATTTTGGGTTATTTGTAAAGTGTTTTCTAGGTACTTGATTTATATGTTAAAGAAATTGAATATTGTTAGTTTTATAATTGTAAATAGAAATCAGTTTAATCAGTTTGTGTGTTTGTGTTTGAGAGAAGGAGGGAAGTGAAAAGGGAGAGAGAGAGAGAATCAATTTGACAATGACTGTTTACTTTTCCCCAAGAAACTATACCTTTGGTGGTTAAGGGAGGATGAGGTAGGAGACGAACAGTAGCATGCAGAATAAATCACTGTCAAGTGTTAGTTCATTTTAAGAACCCTCGTGAAGTAACTTAGTCAAGGTTCAACCTTGAAATTTGAACTAATTGATTCAGATGGCTATCCTAAGAAACAAAGCCAGCAAAGGCTAATGGGATAGAGGATGAGAATCAACATTTGTGCCATTACAATAGGTTGACCTCAGGTAGTCAATTTTCCAAGATATTATTGAAGTAACTTGGAATTTCCAAAGAATGCAGTGCTGTCTGGAACCACACAAAAACTAGAAATGTGTCTCTTTCGTGATGGAAAACAAACGTCCTTAAACCATTCCCTTCTACCTGGTGGGTTTATCTTTGTGGTCTCCGCTCTCTGTGAGCAGGAACACTTTACAGACATTGGCTGAGGTCTTTGGACCAGAGTTAGAACCAGGCTTTAAAGTTAGAGGGGTTGGTCCTTCCCTGTGGGCAGAGCCCCAAGCAGCAGAGACAGACTCATTTCTGGCTGTAGCACTTTTTGAGTCTGGTCCTTGGTAAGAGGAGAGTTGGGAGGAATAGACAAATTAAAACAGAAATAATTTAACCCTGATGTCAGGCTTCCCAGATTACTGCTGGTGGTATGTTAGAACATTTTAAGTGGTTTATAAATGAACAATTCTTACTTTTAAAATGTTATATGTTTATTTCAATGTTTATTAAGTACCTTCTATTTATAAATAATTGCAGTTATGGAAAATTAATTAATAAAAAGGAGTGAGCCAACACAAGAAATATTGACTGCTGTTCAAAGGGTGAGATTCATATGATGTGTGAGATGATTATAGGTGCTATAGCGATAAATATTTCTTAACCTCTAAAAAATTATACCTAAAACCTTTGATAGAAACATGAATAAAACTGTCTTAATTCTTGTTGCTTTATAATAAGTAGTGATATCTGGTAAAGCACATTTTTTCACTTTATTTTTATTTTTCAATGTGTCTTAACTATTCTTTTGTTTTTATGTTTTTTGTTTTTTCCTTTTCATGTCAATTTTAGAATAAGCTTGGTGCGCTGGCAAGCTGACTCTCGGGGGAAAAAATCTTTGATTTGTAGTGTTTGCAAATTTCCATGGGGGTAACCACTCCCACAGTGGGTGATTTCAAGCCACAGTGGTTTAATAATCAGTTCAAAGATTCCTGAATATTCAACAGTCGGGTCCCGTGATTTGGTGTGAGCTAGTATGAACTGGCGCACCTCATGAGTTGGTATAAGCTAGCTCCTACACCCCACCAATAACCTTGGCCAGCATTACACATGTACATGTGCACACAACACCACTGTAACTATTTTTATTTGGATTGCATTGAATTTATAGAGGCTTGAAGAGAATTGACATGTTTACTATAGTGAGTTGTTGAGCCCATGAACATGATATATTTCTGCATTTACTTAGGTCTTCTTCAGTTTTTCTCAGTGATACTTTATCAGTTCATTTTTCCTTTCTTCTTCGTAGTCTTTTTTCGTGATGTCCTACTCATCTTCTTTATATTTATATATAATATTTACATATAATATATGTATATTTATATATAATATTTACATATAATATATGTATATTTATATTATATTTACATATAATATTATATGTATATTTATATTTACATATAATATTATATGTATATTTATATTATATTTACATATAATATTATATGTATATTTATATTATATTTACATATAATATTATATGTATATTTATATTATATTTACATATAATATTATATGTATATTATATTATATTTACATATAATATATGTATATTTATATTATATTTACATATAATATATGTATATTTATATTATAGTTACATATAATATTATATGTATATTTATATTATAGTTACATATAATATGTATATTTATATTATAGTTACATATAATATTATATGTATATTTATATTATAGTTACATATAATATTATATGTATATTTATATTATAGTTACATATAATATTATATGTATATTTATATTATAGTTACATATAATATTATATGTATATTTATATTATAGTTACATATAATATTATATGTATATTTATATTATAGTTACATATAATATTATATGTATATTTATATTATAGTTACATATAATATTATATGTATATTTATATTATAGTTACATATAATATTATATGTATATTTATATTATAGTTACATATAATATTATATGTATATTTATATTATAGTTACATATAATATTATATGTATATTTATATTATAGTTACATATAATATTATATGTATATTTATATTATAGTTACATATAATATTATATGTATATTTATATTATAGTTACATATAATATTATATGTATATTTATATTATAGTTACATATAATATTATATGTATATTTATATTATAGTTACATATAATATTATATGTATATTTATATTATAGTTACATATAACATTTATATATAAATGTAAACTTTTTAAGTTTTGTTTTTTAAATATTTGTTGCTGGCATAAAAAGTGTACTTCTTTTTTTTAAAAAAAGGTTATATTAACCTATAGTCAACGTTCTTCTGTAACCCATATATACATTTTGAAATTTTATATATACCTTTTTTTGGATTTTTTTAATGTAAGCAGTCATACTTTTGTGTGAATAATATTTTTATTTTTTCTTTTTAAATCCATTGCTTATATTTCTTCTTGCCTTGTCACATTGTGTACCTATACAATGTTAAATAAAATGAGTGACTGCTGGCATTCTAGTCCAAATTCAGATTTCAAAGTAAAAGCTTTCAACATTTACTATTAAGCTGATGTTTTCATATAGAAATTTTGTTGTTGTTTGACTTGTTTGTGTTTATTTGTTTTTTTACATGCCCTTTATTGAATTAAGGAAGCTCCCTCCTGGTTTAGTTTGCCAAGGGTTTTTACTTATGAATTGTTGCTGAATTTTATCAAATGCCTTTTCTCCATCTAGTTAGATCATATGACTTTTTTCTTTTTTATGCTAATGTAAAGAATTACACCAATCACTGTTTTAATATACCAATCTCAAGTTCCTAGGTAAACTAGTAAGTGCATATTACTGGTTTCAGTTTGCTAGCAATTTGTTTGAAATTCTTATATCTATAGTCATTAGTGTGATTATCTGTAATTTTTTCTCTTAATATCCTTGTTAGATTTTAATATCAAAGTTATTCTGGTCTTGTTAAAGAAGATACAGTATGTTCCCCTTTCTGTAGCCTCTGGAAGAGTTTGAATTTATTTCTTCCTTAAATGTTTGGTTGAATTCACTATTAAATAAAAAGAGTAATATGAAAGAGTATAGGACTATTCAAGTTTTATATTTCCTCTTGTGTTAGTTTTGTAAAGTAATATTGTTAGACATTTTCATTGTCAACATTTTCAAGTTCATTTGGGAAAAAGTTGTTCATGATCTCTTGTAATCTTACAATGTCTATACAATCTGTAGTGATGTTTTGTTTTTATTACTATTTGTGCCTTTTCCTTTTTTCTTCATTAATAGCAATGTACGTATTTGGATTTTACTAATTTTCTCAAAGGAACAATACCTGAATTTCATTGATTTTCTCTATTGTTCAGTTTCAATATCATTGCTTTCTGCTGTTAACTTTATTTCTTCTTCTTTCTATTTTCTTTGGATCTTGTTTTGTTGTCTTCTAATTTTTTGAGATAGATGCATAGTTTATTGATTATGAAATTTTAAAAAATACATACTTCCAACACACTAAAGTTTTTTCCTACATGACTTTTGCTGCATCCTAGATATTTTGATATTTAGTAATTTCATTATTTTATAATAATAATAATAGAGACAGGGTCTCACTGTGTTGCCTAGTCTGGTCTTGAACTCCTGGGCTCAAGCGATTCTCCTGCCTCTGCCTATTATTTTATAATTTTCAATATGTTCTCTTCATTGAATCATGGCTTACTTGAACACGCAAGAATATTCCAGCAACATTTTTTTTTCAATTTCCAACTTAATTACTTTGTAACCACAGATATACTCTATAACTTCAGTTCTTTAAAATTTGTAGAACCTCAATTTGTGGCCAATTATATAATAAATTTTTGTAATGTTCCAATGTACTTGAAAAAATGTGTATTTTTTAGGTTTAAAATATAGCCTTTTATGCATATTAATTAGGTCATTTGCTTTCTGTGTTATTCTACTGTATCCTAATTGATTTTCTGTCTGCTTGCTTAATTGTTATAAAGAGATACATGTTATAATCTTACACTATAATTGTGGGTTTCTCTATCTCTTTTTGCTGTCAATTGTTGCTTTATTTGAAGGCGATTTTATTAGATACATACAAATACAGAATTGTTATCAAATGTCCTTTTAACTTTTTGCTTAAACACCACTTTATATGATATTATGGTTACACTGATTTTTGTTTGGCAAATATTTTACATCCTTTTATGTCTATATATTTTATACATGTCTCTTGTAAACAGAATCATAATTTTAAAATGCAGTTAGTGATGTTTGTCTTTATAGGTTTAGAAATTGGAATACTTAGTCTGTTTATATTTATGTAATTACTGATATGTTTGAACTTAAATCTACCATTCTGTTGTGTCCTTTCTGTTTCCTTACCGCTTTGCTTTTTTCCTCTTTTTTCTAGCCTTTGTTTAGATAGATAATTTTTCAAATTATTCCATATTCCCTCTATTTCCTCAAAAGCTATATACTCTTACTATTCTTTCTGTAGTTAGTCTAGAAATTATAGCATATGCTTTTTACTTATCAAAATCTAATACTAACTGGTTATTTGAAACTCTACCCAGATGATGCAAATAGATAAAAAATATTAGAATAATTTAATTTTATTTATTCCTATTTTAATTTGAATAATTTAATTCCATTTATTCTCCATTTTGAAATAAATATCATTAGTTTGTATTTTATGTATACATATTAAAAACTCAACGAAACACTGTTGTGATTCTTTGCATGGTCAATAATTATTTTGATTTACTCACTTACTAGCTGTTGTGGCCACACGTTAGAAGTGGGATGGCACCTCACCCAAATTTTGGTTTGGAGGTTGAAAGTGATTATGCTACACACATATCAAGAGAATATGAAAAAGTTTATTAGTCTGGGGAGAGCAGGACAGACCTCCCAAATTAGTCCAAAGATATCTTGAGAGATTAGGAAAAGGAGACTGGTTTTTATGGTAATTAGAGAGTAGGTCTGGGATGAGGGTTCTTCTGCATAAGTAGAGGTTTGCATGGTTTAAATATTTCACTGGCATCAAAGGAGGGAGTACCCAGGCTTTTTTATTAGCTTGCTCAGACGTGGAACGGAAGAAGAGGGAGGGAATGAAGCTTAAAAGCTTTCAGCAGTCAAACATCAAAACATGGAGCCAGACGCCTTATTACATTAGTGTTTCCATTGCTTTTCAATTCTTCCTACCTTTCCAGGCTTTCCTGTGGATTGTTTTCCTTCTGCCTAAAGAATATTGTGTAGTATTTATTTTAACATGTCTGTTACTGGGGAATTATCTCATGTGTTAATCTAAAAAGATGTTTTTTTACCATCAATTTCAGAAGATATAAAAATGACAGATGTTTTCTTTAACACTTTGAAGATATCATTTCATTGCTAGGTGAGGTCCTTTGTTTCTGCTGAGCAGTTAACTGTCTGTCTATTGTTGCCCTTTTAAAGATAACGTCTTTCTATGACTGACTTTAAAATTTTTTCTCCATTTTGGGGTTTCCACATTTTTATCATTTAGCATCTCAGTGTAGATTTGTTTTTCAGCTATTCTTCCTGGTATTTGTGTGGTTCTTAAATCTGTAAATCTGTAGCTTGATGTCATTCTCCAGTTTTAGAAAGTTCTCAGCTATTCTCACTTCAAAATTTGTTTCAGCCTGATTATATCTCTCCTCTTTTTCTTCAGCCTTATTTCTCTCTTTTCTTTTTAGAACTCAAAATATTAGAAATTCTCACTGTATCCTCTACATCTTTTACCTTCTTCTCTGTATTTTCTATCATTTTATTTTGACAGATATTGCTGAGAATATTCCAGTTAAGTATCTCCGTAATTGTATATGATCTATTAGACCCATCAATTTAATTTTTAATTTCAGTTCTTGTTTTCAGATTTAGAGTTTCTGTTTACTTTTTTCTTTGCAAAAAAAATTGTTAATCTTGTCTTTTATCTTCTAGAACATGGTAAGCAAATATATTTTATTATATTATATCATATTATTATTATTTTGAGACGGAGTTTCACTCTTGTTGCCCAGGCTGGAGTGCAGTGGCAGAATCCCGGCTCACTGTAACCTTCGCCTCCCAGGTTGAAGTGATTCTCCCACCTCAGCCTCCGATGTAGCTGGAACTACAGGCGCCTACCATCATGCCCAGCTAATTTTTGTATTTTTAGTAGAGATGGGGTTTCACCATGTTGGCCAGGCTGGTCTCCAACTCCTGACCTCAGGTGATCCGCCCGCCTCGGCCTCCCGGAGTGCTGGGATTACAGGCGTGAACCACAAAGTCTTTGTCTAATTATGACAATTTTGGAAGCCCTTATGGAATAATTCTATTGCTGGTGGTTTCTGCTAGGTTTTGCTCATCTTGTCTTGCTCCTCATTGAGCTGTTTAAAAAAGTTGTGCCAAACATTATATTATAGCTTAAAATTGCTTCTAGAAATAATTTGGTGCCCAAGATAATGTTATTTTCCTTCAGAAAGGCATCTGAGGGATTCTGCAAACCATCCAGGGGTACAAGCCCTCCTGAATGCCTGAAGGCTCTAGCAATCTGGCATTATTTTAATTTTACTTCAAGGATTAAGATAATTCAAGACTGAGCTGCAAGAACTTGTCTACTTCCTGTTTACCCTGTTCCTTAAAATATATTCCTTTGTGGTTTTATCCCCAAACAGGAGTGTTTATTATGTCTACTCATCATCTTTCAATAAGATTAGCCCATAATTTACCCTTTCTATATTGCTTTTCCCTTCACACTTGTTTTTAATATAAAAACTGTCTTATTATGTTATATATATAGTACTTTTTTTTTTGTATTTTACTTTGGACTAGAAACATTTCTTAAAACTTGTAAAACCATATGCAGCTTCCAGACCCTAAGCCATCCACTTACTTTGCCACTTTCACTTGAAATTTTGACATTTTTGTTTTGAAAATGTTTTGAAAATTTTGACAAATGTTCTAAATTTAGACAAACAGCCCTATCATATAACCTTCAATCAGAGAACTCTATAGGGTTCTAAATCAATTCCTATATTAAACTTATAGTTAAAAAGAGAAATCAGTAAGAAAAGTACCTAAGAGATTCCAGCCAACTGAAAAACAAGGATAAGAATTATCTGCTCCTAAGTCATATTCTTTGTTTTTGATGCAACCAAGTTGTTTGCTAGATATATATCCTGTTACCTTATTCGCTACCACCTCTGAAAACTGTTGCATCGAAGCCTTGCCCATACCAGTGTTCTATGAATAATTTTGATATTAAAAAGTTTATAGAAGTTGCATCATAAAAAATAAAACAGAAGACAAAGCCAAAAATTGATCATTTGAAAAGATCAGTAAAACAGATATGCCTCTAGGAAGATTAATTAAGAAAAAGCAAAATGAGAAGGGACAGATAAATAAAACATAAGGATTAAAAAGAGGATATAACTATGGATAAAACAGAAATTTAAAAGTAAATAAGAGGATACAGTGAAGAACTTTATTCTAAGAAGTTTGAAGACTTAAGTAAAAGAAGAGAAAATTTAAAATTTTATTTTATTGGAACAGACTCAGAAGGACTGCAGAACTACATAGGTCAATGGCCATACAAAAATTAAATCAACAATCAATAATCTTTAGAAAAAAAAGAGACAGACCTAGGTTGTTAAGTATCTTCTGATGAATTTGTAAGCAACAGACAATTCCAATTTTCTATCCATAGGTTACAAAAATATGAAATGCTCATTAACACATTTTATGAAGCTGGTATAGATTTAATATTGAAAACAATGATAAGGGGTAGAATAATACAAGAAGGGCAAATTATAGGCAGATCTCCCTCAAATATGCTAGGATCCTAAATAAAATATTCTCAAACTATTTCCACCCATATATAAAAGATTAAAAACCATTACCAAGTTAAATATATCCATAAATATAAGGTTAATATAATGCTAGAAAAATATAATATATATAAAAATATATAGTTTGTCATGTTTACAGCATAAAGGAGAAAAAGAAAAAACTACAACAAACATGATGTTTAATGGTGAAATGTTGAAAGCATAAGTAAATCAGAAAAAGAAATTAATACAATACAATAAAAGGCAAGAGGATTGGGAAGCAAGAAACAAAGCTGCTCTTATTTACAGGTGATGTAACTCTTTAAAAATAAATCTGAAACAAACTTTTTGTATTAGTAGGGGATTTTGGAAAGGTTACCAAATATAAGATCAATGCGCAAGAATCTATTCCATTTTTAAATAATTAGAAATTATAATTTTGGCTGGGTTTGGTGGCTCATTCCTGTAATCCCACCACTTTGGGAAGCTGAGGAGGGAGGATCACTTGAGCCCTGGCATTTAAAGCCAGCCTGGGCAACATAGCAAGACCCCATCTCTACAAAAAATAATAAGAAAATTAGCTGGGTATAGTGGCACACACCTGTAGTGCCAGCTACTTGGGAGGCTGAGATGGAAAGATCACTTGAGCCCAAAAGGTGGATGGAGGCTACAGTGAGCTGTGATCACAGCACTGCAATCCAGCCTGGGTGACAGAATGATACTCTGTCTCAAAAAAAAGAAAGAAAGAAATTGTAATTTAAAAATAGGATACAATAAAAGTTAGGTATACAATTGATTTTCAAGTTGAAAAAATAAAATTTAATTTATATCTCACACCATACACATAAATAAATAAATTTTTAGTGGATTAAAGACTTCATAATGAAAAGCAGAATTTTAAAATTCTCATGAGAAAATTTGGTACTATTTTTATGACCTTGATGTAGGCAAGAATTATTTATACAAGATATATAAAAAGCACTAACTACAAAGGAAAATACTGACGGACTTGTCTACATTAAAATTTAAAACTTCTATTCATCAAAAACACCATTTCAAGAGTAGAAGATCAAGCCATATCATAATTTGAAGAATATATTTGGAACACATGCAACGAACAAAAGAATAGTATTGAAAATGTATACATATTTTTAAATGGCTCCTAACAATCAATACAAAAATTACAAATAATTCAATAAAAATATCTGCCAGAGGGATATATAGACATTTCACAGAAGAGGACATATGAATGTCCCACAGACAAAAGCAATATGTGAACAGAGAAAGACAAATATAAGTCTCAGTGAGATACCTACTTGGCTGGCAATTGTGTTGAAGTCTGACAATACCAAGTGCTGTCAAGAGTGTGAAACAATGGGAATCCTTAAATATTCCTGGCTGAAAAAAAAATTGGTATAATTGCAGTATAAAACAAATTCAGCATTATTTAATACATTTTAAGATATGTAAAACTATGTAACTAAAAAATTTTCTTCCTTGCATATATTCTAAAAAACATTTTCATGTGTCCATTGGAAGACATACCTGTTTTTTTCAGCATGATGTAAAATAGCAAAAACCTGGAAACTGCTATAATAGGTAAATTTTCATATATTTATAACAATGGAATACTATAAAGCAGTGATGACTAAACAACATCATACACATTAACACGGATGAAAGTCATGAATAAAATCTTGAACTCTAAAAATGTTACATAATAATACATATTTTATGATTTTTAAATATAAAGTTAAAAAACATGTAAAGCAATATAATATGTTCAGGGACTATGACTGATCATACTGTTTACTCAAAATATTCACTATCCTTTTTACTTTTGTTGTGGGTAGCACTTCCTACAATACTGATGTCCGTCTCAGCCATGTGACTGATTTTGGTCAAGAAAGTGTTAGCAGATGCAATAAATGTCACTTCTGAGAAGAAGCATTAAGAATTATCAGTCACATGGTTCTACTGTCACCCTCCTCTGTCTGCCACAAACATGGTATGTTCTGGTGTAAGGCTACTCTTTTCATCCTAGATTCTGGAAGAGGACATAGGAAATAAAGCTTCAAACAATCCACCACCAACTATGTAATGTGAGCAAGAAATAATTTTTGGTTTTGTAAACAATTGATATTTACATAATTATTACCTCAAAGTCAATGCTACCATAACAAAACTTCTAAAACATGTGCAACTGGCTTTGTGGCAGAGTGGTAGGTAGCAAAGAAACTGATTTTAGAGGATAAAACATGGCAATCTATTATGCAGTGGTGAAACACTTAATGAAACTTTAGCTGCAATAACATGCAAAGCAGATAATATATTGAATGACCGTGTGACTTTAGGTAGGGAGATTGGAAGACAGAATAGTACTAGCATGTCTTGGTTGCTGTTGGCTGCATTCGACATGGTGGTACAGAAAAACTAGGAGCCCACAAAAGAATTGACCAATTTGTAAGAAAAGATGAAAAGAAACTAAAGGAGGTCAGAAAGTTGGGGACCTAGAAGTTTGAAAGATTCAACTTATTCTCACATCCAAAGTAAAACTAAGAATATTTTTGAGTGACAAAAGCTGATTAAAACTCAGTTTGCGGGAGGCATAGACCAAATCCAGGATATCAGGAGTGCCTTTTGTTTAGTTGATTATAGTGGCAACTGGTAAATCTTTTCAGGTGTGCAAAATGGCTCAAAAGAGGCTAATGGTGTAGCTCCTCCACGGAAGTCTGGTAAGCTCAAAAATATCAATTTAAATCTGGAGAAAGAAAGGCATGTCTTAAATGGAATTGAATTTGTTGAGAGGATCATACAACCCAAGGAGCCATCAACCTAGATTGACAGAGACTGTGTCTGTTCTAAGTCTAAAAGCTGGAAGCAAGAAAATCTTAGCCTCCAAGGGACAGTATTTTCCAGTGCCCTTTTCAGATGTGGCCCAGTGAGGATAATAGAAAAGGAAGAACCGCCCAGAGGGTGGAGCCAAGAGTCATCTATAACCATGCACTGTGGTGCTAGTCACAGAGAACAGAATGAGCCTAATCAAGAAGTATTTCTTCTGCCCATGTTAGAGGGCCTTCACAATGTTTGCCCAGTGGGATTTCAGAATTGCTATTTTTGGCACATAGGTTTTAGTTTTAGTTCATTTGTCTCTAGGTGAAGAAGAGCTGTATCTGGACCTGATGTTAAAGCTAGGACAAAATCCTAGTCCTGGAATCTAATGCTGTGGTTGAATACATCCTTTCAGCTATTTACTTGGAAGATGGGGGATTATGTTATTGTGTAGAAGGGCAAGAAATGAATTTTCATGCCCAAGAGAACAGACTATGGTCAATTTTATTATTGCTTCCCACTATTCACCATCATTTCTTGTAAGGGAATTATGCATCCTTGTCCTTTGCCATGTACCTTTATTTTCCTTCTCTGTGATACAGATTCTCCATTGATAAAAGGTTTGACCAATGAAACATGATGTGATGTGTTTCCAACAGAAGTTTTAAGAGCCATCACATGGTTCTGCACTGCTCTTTTTCTTTTACAATGAGACTGAGATAGGGGCTATTCCTTTAGCCTGAGTCTTGGAGTGAGGAAAACACCAAGCAGTAGCAACACTGACCCACAGAGACACAGCCAACCTGCACATAGTATGTACTTGAGAAAGAAATCAGTTATTGGCATATATTGTCACTGTAGCATAACTTAGCAAAAGCAGACTGAGAAAGGAATATGCATAAGTAAGAAAACTGAGAGGAAAAGCAAGGAAATTTTAAACACAAAGTTTGGGATAAGAGTTACCTTTAGTGGAGGGCAGGAGAATACAAGGAGGAACACATGGGATATTTCTTAAGTTTGGTGGTGTGTATGGGTGTTTGTTTTTATCATTCTTTTACTTTGCATATACTTCAGATAGATTGTATTATATATAGTGTATGAGCATGCATGCATGTACAGTCAGCTGTCCATATCCATGGATGGAGAACCTTGGGATATAGAGGGTCGACTGTAAGGAACTTGAGCATCTATGAATTTTGTTATTTGGAAAGTGGTAAGGGGAGGATGAGAGCCCTGGAAGCAATTCCCCCTAGATACCAAGGGATTACTATATGTACATACCTATATATATTACATATATAAAAATATTTCATATGTGTAGATACAATCTATTGTATCCCTTTATAATTATAATATGGAAAAAATATAGCAAACCTATAAAGTAATAAATCTACCAAATACTTTGACCTCTGTTTCTTCCAAAAACCACACTAAAATGACAGTAGAAAGACTAAAACAACATAAAGAGAGGGAAAATGAGAGACGAGAAATAATAAAATTTTAACAGTCCAGAGAAAGCCAGAATGTAGACTGGCTGCTTGGGAAGCCCAGATTCAAGATGATTTAAATCAAATTACTCCAGAAAAACTTGGGAATTGTAGGCACAATGTCTCTCTGAATATTTGTGTTCAGCTAATGCTAAAAACAGGAGAATTAAAAATCCTGTAATTTGCAACTTCTCCCCTCTACCCAAACCCTATCCTCTCCTTCACCTCAAGCAAGCTGTTACAGCTGCTTCTCCACCCTGCAGAAGACTGGAGGTTTAATTCTAAAGATGTTGAACTACAGCACATCGGACAGAGTTGATCACAGAAATATCATTCTGAAAAACAGGGAGATCAAATAACAATTCACAGTGAAAAATGTTCCTCTAGTTTTTAATTTATTGAATGCCAGAATTACTCTGAAAGAACAAGCAAGTAATCCTACAAAGAGAATAAAGTGATTATTCTTCTAGGGCTGTGACAACTCCTAAAATGTGAATATGTGGGCAATCCCCAATTCGGTCATTCAAAAAAAATATTTCTTGAGTGGCTACTACATGGCAAGAACTGCCTTAAGCAGAGAAAAAAATTGTCCCTTACTCGCTCAAGAGGTGAGCATTGGAGAGGATGGGTGGACGTTAAACAAATCTGCACATTTTAATCAATTATGAATATAATAAAAGTGCTCCGTTAGTGAACCAACCATTCTGGTAAATATTTCATATGTAACAAAATATTTAACAACTGCTATTGCATGGATGCCAACCATCAGAATGGACACCAGCTATGAACAGCCTGTCTGGTCATTCCAGTGCCTCCCAGCTAAATAGCATCGTTGAATACAGTAATAGCCTCTCACTCAAAGTTTAGTCATTTCAATTTTATTATTAAAATTGGAAAAATAGAAGACTCCTAGGGAGAATGCTTGTCTAAAAGGCCATACCTGTGACATTAAAAACAGCTAAATTATAATGCCATTCTTGAGGTCAGATGACATGTCATTTTAGTTAAACCCAATTCACTCAACTAATTTACCACACCTGTAGGGTGGATGCAGATGAATACGGAACAGTAGAAATCATCATCAAAACCTGGATTATTAGACGACTGAACAATTCTACAATGCTCATTGTGTTTTACAAAATGTTAAAATTATTATTTTAGGGGGTAGGAATGAGAGTCAGCAGTCAGCAAAATGCCGAATGCAGCTTTTTGAGATGAAAATATTAAGACCAGGAGCTAATACAGAGGTTTTTTTTTTCCCCTCCTTAACTGCAGGATTTGGGGTTTTAAATTTGGATTATGGAAGTGAGGAAGGGTAGGGGTCTTAAAGAGGGTTTAAAGAAATCACCTACAGAGTAGAGGTTTAAAAAGAGTCCTCTGTGTTCTGAATTCTTCGAGGGTATCTATCTTGTACAAAGCAGCTTTTTTCTTTCCTTGCCCTGCTCTTTCTGCCTCCCTCGTGCTCTTTCTCTCCCCTATCCCCCAGTCCAAACTTCAAGGTGACCTCCTCCTCGTGGTGGGTAAATGATGGATGAGAGGGACCACCCGGCTGGGCCTACCACACTGCAAGTGCCACCCGGGTCCTGTAGGGTTCAGTAAGGCCCCCCCATTTAGAACGCTTTGTATTTTTTGTTACAATTGTTCTCCCAGCAATGGATGAAAAACATAGCATGAACAATAGAGCTGTATGAGATTTAAAATATCTGAATACATAATAATTTCACCCAGCTTTCAGAAAAAAACTAAAAAGTAAATAACAAAAACCACTCCTCAGAATGTGTGAACCTAAATTTTCGGTCACTTTGGAAGCATTTTCTTCTTTTTCTGGTTTTTCATTATCTAGGCCACTTGGCAATAAAATAGCATTTAATTATACATAAACGTGAGAACTCTAGTGAGAGAATATGGGTTGTGATCTAGTCAGAACTAGTTTGAGGCCAGAAATTGTTCATTCTCAATGCCGTCATTCTTACCTGCTTTTCCACTGTTTATTTTTTACCTATATTTTCCCATGCAGTTTTTTCTCAATTTTAAAAAATTTTTTGAAGATGGTCTTCATTTTCTATTCCCCTTCATTATTTTCTCTTTCAAAAGTCCCACCTTTACTAAGGTACAAGTCATTCCATTGCAGGAAAAAAAAAAAGAAAAAAAAAAAGAAAACTATTTTGTTCAGAAAATAAGTACCCAAAATTGTTTGTTTGTTTTTTTTTTTTTCTTTAGCAATGTAACTTGTAGTCGCATTAATGAGATCACATTTTATAGTGGAAGGTACTTTTAGGGAAAGTATGATGACATATGTTCCATTTAAACCTGAAGCTTTTCCTGGAAATGTATTGTGGACTTCATTTGAATAAAATGCTTCCGATGAATCTGTTGCTCCTTACAGATTTTGAGAAAGTACCTTGTTCTTCCTGTCAGTGGCAGGCAGCATCTCTTTAATTTTTTTTTCCAATAATATTGCAGTACTCTAGTACTCATTTTAAAGATAGATGGATTTTTTTTTCTCTTGTAAAGAAGAACATTGTGGGGGATAAAACGCTGGATGTGATTTCAAAAAATGTCAAAATATGTCAAACGCAGATACCACTCAAGGGTTTCATTAACTGAAGCTTTGGTGATAAGTGTCATCTTGTCAAAGACCCACCCATCTCTTCCAATACATTACCAAATGTACTAATTTCCTTGCCGAGCTTGATGTTTATTGTATAGCTGAAATTGAAAATGGTCGGTAATGGAGTGAGCTTCAATCCAAGACCAATTCTGAATCTAAATTACTTGCTTCTTTCAATAGCATCGACAGAGGAGAGCTTTATGCACCTTGTACCTAATCAACCCTTACTGTGACCCTAAATTCAGCAGTCTTCAGAGATTAATAATAAAATCCTCAGTTCAAACAATTATTTGCCCTGAACAAGTTGCCCATTTCTTATGCTGAGAATGAAAGAATGTGACATTATTTTTTAAAAGCTCTGCATGTTGTGGGCCACCATTTATTTTTGATCTCTGACCCCCCTGATGCAGTCTGATTGCAAATCCCACATGCTTACTTGAATATTTTTTTGGTGTTGGGGGGGTAGTTGTGAGATTTCTTTGTTAGCATTTTAACGTGCCTGTTCTTCCACATCCCCTAACAGTTGTGGTTTTCATAAAGTAAACAAGATACATTCTATCAATATGTATTTCTAAAGTTTTTAATATAGAGCTCTATAAATCATGGAAAGCATGATCGAATTCTAGTTTTGTACAAAACTACTCAGAGTCTCTAGAAAATAAAAACAAACTCCCTGGAAAAATCAATTATTTATCTACTTTCTCAAATAAAAAATTTAATTCAAAGAATGTCTTATTGAGGCTTAAACCCTAAATGATTTTTTAATGAAATGTTTTCTACTCCATTCCAGTTGGCAGTGTAGCTTATAGTTCTTGAGTGAAGTTATCTAAGCAATATCAAATTCTTTTAGTCATCTTTACAATGAAAAACATTCATTCATATTCAATGCCAGAGCATTTTTTTCTAATTTGGTATCTTCAACTTCCTTATGTCCAATTAGTATTCATTAGTGTAATTATGATGATGGAAAGGCTCAGTCCCTGTTCTTCAAGACATTAGGAAGTTTGGGGAAAGCCTTGAAACAAAATAGTAAAAGAAATATTTGGACATCCCAAATGCTTCTTTGATTCAATACTGTGATTTGATTCATCAGTGAAGGTTGGTTCTATGTCCAGGAGCTTGCTGGGGGAGGGAAGAGACCCATAGTGGCTTGCTGCCCTAGAAACTCTGCCTGCCATTGTCAACATTTCCTCCGGCTGTCTTGCTTTTGGAGGGAAACTCTCCCTAAGGACTGCCCTGGTTGACAGAATGAGAGTCTCCAGAAGATTCTTCTGCCATTTGAATGCATTTTTTTATGCCCAACAGCAATAATGGCCATCTAAGTATTGATTATATAATATGTCTGCTGAGGTGGCAAGTACGTTGTCGTTGCAAGAGGCCGAGAGGATGAGAAACTAGGTTATCTATGAACTCTCTCAGCCATTGAGCATTTCTTCCGGTAAGGGTCAATATACAAAGCTATCTTTAGATGTTATTTTACTTTATTCTCTGATTCCAATTGATGGCTAATACAATGAGATGGCCAGCATGTTTCAAGTTCTTTGAAAACAGCCTCATGTTTACCATGGAATGGGCATAATCATTTCATCACAAGGGGACAATAGTCGTATGGAGGTCTGCGACATGAGGAAGGCTAGGAATTGCCCAGGGTGTTGCCCTATTAGAGTCCCAGATGCTAATTAGCAGCAATGAATTGGTTAAGTAGGCATTGAAAGGCAGTTAGGGCATAATCTAATACTTTTTCTTTCATCCAAAAAAATACAATAGATGATATATAGTAAGTCTGCTGTGTATAGTAACAGCAATAAGGGCACTGAGCTTTTATTATAAACTGAATTACATCCCCTGTGTGGGGACACTAGACAGCCTATCGTGTATTAAGAATTCAGCTGAGATCACAAGCTTGCCTCACCTAAACCTTCTGTGATGTGATGAGAATGACTTTTGGTTACCGTACATCAAAGAGGGTCTAGCAGGCTAAACAGTGATTGATCCATTCTCCTCTTTCAAGTCCTCTCTTCAAAAATAGCTTTAAAGCAATCATCTAATAAGTGTCAGAATAGAAGATAGAAAATGTTAGTACAAGCACTAGGCATATGTCTACACTAGCTAAATTTTCTGCAAGATGTTCAATGACTGAACAAGGTTTTTAGAGTAAATGCTATCATCTCTTAAGAGATGAGAAATACCAAGTGGGCTGCCACTGACATGGAAACAATACAGAGATTTAAAGTGATTTGAGGCAAAAATACCATGATTTGCTCGACTAGTAGAGAATTCTGTTAGGACAATTTTGAAATAATTTTATTTATACACAAAATCTGGTATAGGAATTAGCTTCTTGCTTATGCACACAGAAGCAATAGTATTTTCACAATATTCATTCACAAAAATATGTTTATTAAGTGTGCTTATATAAGATGAAAGCTTAGTTAAAGGAATCAGCCATATGAGTGACCCAGTATGGTGATCATTAGAGCTGTTCACAAATATTCTGATGCTCTTTATCTTCCCTGCTCTCTTTGAAGTCAGGTCTAGTGATATGACTTGCTTTGGACAATGAGATGTGAGACAAAATGACCTGTGTCACTTTGGATGGAAACGTTAAGAGCTAGTGGAAGATTTGCCACGTCCCTGTTCCCCTGTATTGATGACTGTGGGAGCATGTGTCAAGGTGGCACTTCCTTTGGCATGGGTTTCTGAGTCATTAGTATGAGCAGACCTCCCTGCTGGCCTGTACTGATCCCGTAGCGTGAGCAAGAAATGAACCTGTAATGTGTTAAACCACTGAGGTTTTGGAGCTGCTTGTTACCACACCATAACCTTTATTCATCCAGGCAACAAATACTCATAATTACACACTATGTGCCAGGCAGAGTACACAGAGATAACAAATAATTGCTGATCGTGGTTTGATGTGCCACCCTTCGTTACCTGTTTGCTACATCCTTGAGGAGTAGATGAAAAATAAGCCTGCATTAATATAACTAATCAAGATAAATTGATCTAAGATTGTAAGAGGTGACAAATCCATACAGGTCTGCAGCAACCTCAATTCTTGCCTCTTCGAAAAAAAGAATTCAACTGAGGGGCAAAAAGCAGAAGGAGAGACTGAGGCAAGTTTCAGAGCAGGAGTGAAAGTTTATTAAACAACTTTAGAGCTGGAATGAAAGGAAGTAAAGTACACTTGGAAGAGGGCCAAGCAGGCAACTTGAGAAATCAAGTGCACAGTCTGACTTTTTGACCTGGGGTTTTATACGCTGGCATGCTTCTGGGGTCTTGTGTTACTTCTCCCCTGATTCTTCCCTTGGGGTGGACTGTTGACATGTGCAGTGGCCTGTCGGCACTTGGGAGGGCCCACATGCACAGCGTGTTACCTGAAATTGGGCACATGCTCACTTGAGGCATTCCCTTATCAGTTGAGTGTTTCTAGAGTAGGGTCATATACCAGTTAAACTCTGCCATTTTGCCTCTTAGTGAGCATGCTTGTGCCCACTCACCCAACTCTTGAGATCTTATCAGGAAGCTGCTGATCACCAGTTTCAGATTTTTTCTGTCTATTGGAAGACTGCCTTTCCCTGGTACTGGCTGTAATCAATTCTTATTTTAGAGAGACAATTAACAACCACCTGACCATGACCTGATGGTCACCTAATGATTCTGGTTGGGGGTCGGGAGTGGGCACTCCTGCCCTGCTCATGTCTGACTAGCTACGTACTGTAACAAGATTAGTGATGTTTCGACAGTTTTTGAATGAATGACATTGTTTCAGAGGACACTTTATTGGAGAAAAAGAAAGACTCATTTCAAAAGCCCTGAGATTTCTTATACTGGCCAAAAAAAAAAATTCTGTTATTTTTAACTTCTACAATCCAGCCATTCCCCAACCACACTGGGCACTTTCCAGGTATGTGCGCTTGGCTCGGACTGTGCCCTCCACCTCGTACACTCTTCTCAACCCCGTCTCATCCTTCAAAGACCCATTCAAATGCCTTCTCTTCCATGAAATTTTCCTTTCTCTCCCTCTTCACAGCATCAAGTTACATACCTCTACTGAGTGCTTATTTCAGTCTGCGTTGCATTATGATTATTGTTTACATGACATAACTTCCTGCACAAGATGGCCCCCTATCCTCCTAAAGCTTATACATTCATTGTGAGTACAGGCTTTGTTTTATTCTACGTTATGTATCTCCAATCTGACTCTCCTCTCCACAGCTTAATAAATGTTAATTGATGTTTGAATAGATTTGAGAGATTTGTTTGGGTGTAATCATGGATTTCTCAAAACATGTAACTGCCCTGGTTTGGAATATTGAAGAAACAAAGAAACCCTTTCAGCTCTAAGAAGGGGAGTTGTGAAGCTGATACTTTTGGCTACTCCTGGGGGAATTAGTTCTCTCTTGGCCAAGGACCAAAGCCTGCCTCCTGAACACCCATCACACTTAACTAATTTCCATTCTCCCCAGGGACCAAGACAGTAAGACAAAAGAGGAAGGAAGTAGGCATTTCAGAAGAGTAACTCACCCACAAAGAGCCATTTGAAAGGGAGAAATGAGGAGGGGAGTAAGAAGTCAGTGTTAAAAGAAAAAAAGTCACTAAATGAATGCAGATTTTAGATTACATTTCCTTATCCATCTTCTCTGCATCATACCAATAACTTTCTTGACTTGCTAACTTTCCCCAGGACAAGTCCTGTTGCTCAAAGCTTGCTGCCACTGGAGTAGGCATCAGAAACCCCCAGTGTTTGTGTCAAAGATGTTGAGCTATTATGTTCAGTCTCTCTCTTTTCCTTTCTGCTTTTTGCCCTTCCTTACTCCACCCCAGCATCCAGAAGCCAAGACATCAGCTCCTCTCTGAAAGTTTAACCCCATGAGTAATAAATAAGATAGAGAAGCATGTGCTTTTCTCCACCGGTTTATCAGCCATCCTGACCTATTACCTATTCAACACTGTCACTTTCCAGCCTTTCATTTTTCTGTGAGACAGTGAGAAAACCAATGACTTTGCATCAAATAGATGAAGGATTACATCCCAGCTCTTCCACAAACTTTCCTTAAGTACCTCAGAATTTACTTGACTATTTAGCCTCAGTTTCATAATCTTATAAAATAGAGTTGGTTACACCTGTGTAAAACAATTGTTATAAGGATGGGTGGGATAAAACGTAAAGTCTTCGGCACATAGTTGGTGCTTAATGAATCTTACTATTGTTACTAATAAATATTTCTCAAACATATTTCCTCCTCTTCATGATCTTCCTGCTACAATGATCTTATTTGTGTTCTAATTTTCTCATGTCTATATGCAAGACCGCTTAAGTGATCTTTCTAAAACTAGAAATCAGA
Organism: Homo sapiens; assembly: GCF_000001405.40. Classification (NCBI taxonomy): domain Eukaryota; kingdom Metazoa; phylum Chordata; class Mammalia; order Primates; family Hominidae; genus Homo; species Homo sapiens. The sequence continues at coordinate 181,384,841 of NC_000003.12, forward strand.
GCAGGGCATCTTCACACAAAGCCCTGTCATACTTCCAAAACTACAGAAGCCCTTCCAGTTATTCTTAAGGATCTACAGCAACAACAAAAAAAATCTTAACTCAGTGTAGCACATGAGGGCTGCAGCTATCTGGCATCTGTGTCTAATCTCTTTGCCCATTATTCCCTTAATTGTAACTGTAAGAGATTGTTTTTCTAACAACTTCCAATGAATCACACCTTCCAGGCTCCCCATGCTGTTGCAGTTCCCTCCCACACTGAGGCTGAGCTTGGCCATGTGACTTGCTTGGCCACTAGGACATCAGCACATGTGACACAATCAGAGGCTTGAGAAATGCTTACACATTGGGGCTTGCCCTCTTGAAACTCTGTTGGCACCATGTGAAGAAGTGCAGCCTGGTCCAGCCTCCATGAATATGCTCTTAAAGAGAGATGCCCAGCCATCCCAGATGTCCCAGCTGAGCCTAGTCTCAGCCAATCTCCTAGCTGAATGCAGCTGCATGAGTGTACCCAGGCAAAGCTAGAATGAAAATTGTCCAGCCAACTCACCCAATAGTGAGAAATATTAAAAGCGTTGTTTTAAGCTGTTATGTAGTTTGTTACACCGAAATGGATAACTGATATAGTGCCTTTTATCTCCAAAATAATGAGCAACTATAGTTCTATGAAAACATCATTTTCTGTCACACCTCACATTCCTTTGCAAATACTGTTTCTTGTGCGTGTAATGTCTTTCCCCCTTGTCTATTACCCTTTGTATCCCAGCATATGCAGCAGGGGCTGGCATACAGTAAGTGTTCAATAAACGTTGAATGAATACATTTTAAAAGTCAAAACATGCCACAAAACCTCCAAGGATGCACACTAAATCCACCATTGTTCTGATTGAAATTTTAGATAGAAATGCATGCATGTTACTACTTTTATGATGGAAAATAATGATTTATACGCAACTACACACACGTAATAAAAGCTACAAAAGAAAATGCATTCACTTCAAAATAGATTTAGGTTTTAATAAAAATAAAATACGTCCATTCACATACTAAATTAGCAACTTAAAAATTATAATATCTAATGCTAGCAGAGGTGCTATAGAGTAGCTTTGTGATGTCACTAGAGAAAATCAGAATAAAATTTGGGAGATGAATTCTGGTATATGTATTAAGAGCCATAAAAAAACACAGCTTTCCTTTGATCTGGTAATTTCCTTTCTGGCAGCTTAATTCATTTTTTAAAATTCAAAATATAGAAAAATAGTCACAAGAACATTGAATAAGAGACTATTTGTTTTGAAAAAGTGGAAACAAGTTAAATTCCCATCACCAAGAACATGGTTCAATCAGTTTTGATGCATTTATTTGGGTGGCCATTTAAACTAATAGCTATGAAGACTGTCTTGAAATATACAGAAAAACCAATGTTAAGGGACAAAGACAAGGACGCATAATTGTATGCATCCAATGACTACAACAATATAAAAATGTAAATGTAACAATAATTACAAGGAATTATGGGTCATTTCCCTCCTCTCATTCTATATAATCTCATTATATTATTTTTAGAATTTAAATAACATTTTTAGAAGATAAAAATAAATGACATATAGAATACAATATAAAAATGATAGAATTATAGAAACAACTTTGATACTGGCTTTCAATCTAATTTTTTACCTGAGATTGACCCCTGGTAGTAATTGCTATTACATTACAGAATCCAGGAATCATGGTGCTCCATCATCTGGTCTGTGCCATCTCTTTAATCAATATTTATGAACTTACTTTGCAAAGGTTTTATGACTCATTGTACCTTATAGAAGTTTTTTTTAAGAAAGTAATTTTGTCAACATTATTGATACTCATGCACGAGCCTTTTGCATAGGGCGTTAGCTATTTATATTGAGAACAATTTCTCATGATGGCGGTGAAGCTCTATTTTAGGATGGATTTACATATTTTATTTAAAGAACTGCAGCCTGGAGATGAATTTCATCTGAGTTCCAGACACATACCCCCCAAAAAATCACTGGAGCAAGACTCAGGATGAGCTCCCAGTGACTTCAGCTCTTCCTGCAAGTTGGAAGACCTCCAAAATCTCTAGCTCTTAGGACGTTCACATGGTCCAATCACATTTCCAAATATATTTCTACTGGCATGATTTACTTTCTTCTAAAACTTGATGTGCCTAAAATGGCCCCAACTGACTCTTCTGACTTTTGTTTCTAACATCAGTACCCACTTTCCGAGTCACTTAAACTCTAAAAGTCAGAAAACTAATGATAATCTCTCTCTTCTTCTCCCACACATATAACCAGTCAGCAAGGCCTGGCTTTCTTGATGATTATTCTTGGGTCAAAACCTTTCTCTTTGTTTTCCCTGCCTTTACACTTATTCAGGTTTGCCATTAATTCAAAAGTGTCATAATTAGTCTCTCTGTCACTATCTCTTCCTCGCTGTCTAATCCTGTTGCTATATAAATATGTCTAGGGTGCTGATTTGGTCATGCAACTCCCTAGGACACTAAGAAACTTTACATACACTCCTCATTACCAGCTGGATGAAATAAGCTGCAGTGTTCAAAGCCCTTTGTAATTTAGTGCCAACCTAATTTTCTTGCCTCATTCTTTCAAGGCTGCCACATTATACAATGCCAAGGGCACTATTCACATTATAAAATACATCTTCAGAATAGGTCTCCAGTAGGCTGCAACCACAGAACACAGTGTGAATAGTGTTCCCTGGAGTCATGCAACATGGAGCTCATAATCCTATTCTCTAGTTTTTACCTAGCAAATCTTGCCCACTTGTTAATACCCAGCACAAACTCCTCCTCTAGGAAACTTTTTCTGATTTCTCCAACCTTTTTCCTCTTTCCTAGTATAATTTTAATTATGTCTGTTATGTTCATGTATTGAGATATGTCAGAATCAGCTGGAAGTCTTATTTATTTACTTACTTATACATTCAGAATAAAACAATTTGTGTGTAACTGAATAACATGCAATAGTAATCTATGGTGATAGAATTAAGAATACCTCTTGCTTTAGGTAGGGGCATTGAGTGGAAAGAGGCAAAAGGAAACCTTTTTTTCCAGTGTTATTGAGATACAGTGGACAAAAATTCTATATATTTAAGATATACAACATGATATCTTGGTAAATGTATACATGGTGAAATAATTATCACAATGAAGCTAATTAACATATCTATTAACACAAGTAGTTACAATTTTTTTTGGTTGTAATGGTGAGAACACCAAGTCCTTAGCAAATTCCAAGTGTACAATGCAGTATTATTAACTATATTCACCATGCCGTACATTAGATTTCCAGGATTAATTTATTCGGCATAACTGAAACTTTGTACCCTTTGACCAACATCTCCTCATTGTCCCTACCCCTAGCCACTGACAACCATTGTTCTTTCTACTCTGCTTTGATGAGTTCAGCTTTTTAAAATCCCACATATAAATGAGAGCAGCAGTGTTTGCCTTTCTGTGTCTAGCTTATTTCAAATAATAGGATTTCCTTCTTTTTCAAGGCTGAATAATATTTCATTGTGTCTTGGCTATTCTGAATAATGCTGCAATGAACATGGTCATGCAGATATCTCTTTGATTATGTGGTTCCATTTTCTTCGGATATATACCCAGAAGTAGAATTGCTAGATCATGTGGTAGTTTTATTTTTAATTTTTTGAGGAACTTTTATACCGTTTTTCACAATGGTTGTACCAATTTACATTCCTATCAGTAGTATGCAAAAGTTTCCTTTCACCTATATCCTCAACAACACTTATCTCTTTTTTTTTTTATAATGGTCATTCTAATAGGTGTGAGGTAATATCTCATTGTGGTTTTAATTTGCATTTCCCTAATTATTAGTCATGTTGAGCACCTTTACATATACTTGTTGGGCATTTGTGTGTCTTCTTTTTGGAAATGTCTAGGTCCTTTGCCATCTTAAAAATTGGGTTGTTATTTTGGTATTGAGATTTTGAGTATCTGTATATTTTGGATATTAGACCTTTATCAAATATATGGTTTGCAAATATTTTCCCCAGTTTCACAGGTTGCCTTTTTCTTCTGTTGACTGTTTTCTGTGTAGGTGCATTTTAGTTTGATGTAGTACTCCATATGTCTATTTCTATATTTATTGCCTGGGTCTTTGGTGTCACATCCAAAAGATTATTTCCAGACCGATATCAGAAAGTTTTTTTTCTATATTTTCTTCTACTACTTTTATAGTTTCAGGTCTTTTATTTAAATCTTTAATCCATTTTGAATTTATTTTTGTATATGGTGTGAGATAAGGGTCTAGTTCATTCTGGATATCTAGTTTTCCCAACACCATTTATTGAAGAGACTATGCTTTCTGAATTGCATGTTTTGGTGCCCTGTCAAATATCAGTTGACTAGATATGCGTGGATTTATTTCTGGGCTCCCTATTCTGTTTATTGGCCTATATGTCCGTTTTTATGCCAAGTACCATTTGTCTGTTTTAGGCATGGTACTAGTTTTAATTACTGTATCTATGTAACATATTTTGAAATCAGAAGTGTGATGCCTCCAGCTTTGTTTTTATTCAAGACTGCTTTGGCTATTCAGTATCTTTTGTGGTCCATATAAACTATAAGATTGCTTTTTCTATTTTTGTGAAATATACCTTTGTGATTTTGATAGAGATTGCATGGAATCTCTAGATGGCTTTGGATAGTATAAACATTTTTAACAATAGTAATTCTAACAACCCATTAACATGGGGTAACTTTTCGTTTATTTGTGTCTCTTCAATTCTTTTCATAAGCATTTTATAGTTTTCAGTGTACATTACATATATTTCATGACTTTGATGAAGTTGTTCCTATTTTACTCTTTTTATTGCTATTATAGATAGAATTGCTTTTCTAATTTTTTTCAGATAGTATGCAACAGATTTTTGTATGTTGCTTTTGTATACTATAACTTTATTGACTTTGTTTATTAGTTCTTACTGGTTTTTTGTAGAGTCTTTAAGGTTTTCTATTACATATATGATCATGTCATCTGCAAACAGTTCATTTTACTTCATCCTTTCTGATTTTGGATGTTTGTTTTTGTTTGTTTGTTTTGTTTTGTTTTTGTTTGTTTATTTTTCTTTTTTTTTTTTGAGACAGAGTTTCACTCTTGTTGCCCAGGCTGGAGTGCAATGGTGTGATCTCGGCTTACTGCAACCTTTGCCTCCCGGGTCCAAGCAATTCTCCTGCCTCAGCTTTCCAAGTAGCTGGAATTACAGGGATGCACCACCACACCCTGCTAATTTTGTATTTTTAGTAGATATGGGGTTTCTTCATGTTGGTCAGGCTGGTCTCAAACTCCTGACCTCAGGTGATCCACCCGCCTCGCCCTAACAAAGTGGTGGGATTACAGGCGTGAGCCACTGCGCCCGGCCTAGATGTCTGTTTTTAATTTTTCTTGTTTAATTACTCTGGCTAGGACTTTCAGTACTATGTTGAACAGAAGTAGTGAGAGTGGGCATCCTTGCATTGTATGTGGTCTTAGAGGGAAAGTTTTCCATATTAATTATAACGTTGGCTATGGACTTTTCATATATGGGCTTTACTGTGTTGAGGTACATTTTTATACCTTTTTTGTTTTATTTTATTTTATTTTATTTGAAATTCCGGGTTACATGTGCATGATGTGCAGGCTTACATAGGTAAACGTGTGCCATGGTGGTTTGCTCACCCATGGTGGTTTGCTCACCTATCAATCCATCACCTAGGTATTAAGCCCAGCATGCATTAGTTATTTTTCCTGATGCTCTCCCTCCCCTCAGCCCCCATGACAGGACCCACTGTGTGTTGTTCCCTTCTCTGTCTCTATGTGTTCAGATTGTTCGGCTTCCATTTATAAGTGAAAACATGCAGTGTTTGGTTTTCTGTTCCTGTGTTAGTTTGCTGAGAATAATGGCTTCCAGCTCCATCCATGTCCCTGCAAGGGACATGATCTCATTCTTTTTTATGGCTACATAGTATTCCATGGTGTACATGTACCACATTTTCTTTATCTAGTCTATTACTGATCGGCATTTGGGTTGATTCCATGTCTTTGCTATTATGAATAGTGCTGCAATGAACATATGCATGCATGTATCTTTATAATAGAATGATTTATATTCCTTTGGGTATATACCCAGTAATGGCATTGCTGAGTCAAATTGTATTTCTGGTGCTATGTCTTTGAGGAATTACTACACTGTCTTCCACAGTGGTTGAACTAATTTACAACCCCACCCACAGTGTAAAAGTGTTCCTATTTATCTGCAGCCTTACCAGCATCTGTTGTTTCTTGACTTTTTAATAATCATCACTCTGGTGTAAGATGGTATCTCATTGTGGTTTTTATTTGCATTTCTCTAATGATCAGTAATGTTGAGCTTTTCTTCATATATTTGTTGGCTGCATAAATGTCTTCTTTTGAGAAGTGTTTGTTCATGTCCTTTGCCCACTTTTTAATGGTGTTGTTTCTTTCTTGTAAATTTGTTTAAGTTCCTTGTAGATTCTGGATATTAGACCTTTGTCAGATGAATAGACTGCAAAAGTTTTCTCCCATTCTGTAGGTTGTCTGTTCACTCTGACAATAGTTTCTTTTGCTGTGCAGAAGCTCTTTGGTTTAATTAGATCCCATTTGTCAATTTTTGCTTGTGTTGCAATTGCTTTTGATGTTTTCATCATGAAATCTTTGCTCATGCCTGTGTCCTGAATGATATTGCCTAGATTTTCTTCTAGAATTTTTATAGTTTTGAGTTTAATCCGTCTTGAGTTAAGTTTTGTTTAAGGTGTAAGGAAGTGGTCCAGTTTTATTTTTTTTTATTTTTTATTATTATTATTTTTTTAAGATGGAGTTTCGTTCTTGTTGCCCAGGCTGGAGTGCAATGGCGCGATCTTGGCTCACTGCAACCTCCACCTCCTGGGTTCAAGCAATTCTCCTGCCTCAGCCTCCCGAGTAGCTGGAATTACAGACATACATCTCCACGCCCAGCTAATTTTGTATTTTTAGTAGAGATGGGGTTCCTCCATGTTGGTCAGCCTGGTCTCGAACTCCCAACCTCAAATGATCCACCCATCTTGGCCTCCCAAAGTGTGGGGATTAGTGGTCCAGTTTTAATCTTCTGCATATGGCTAGCCAGTTCTTCCAGCACCATTTATGAAATAGGGAATCCTTTCTCCATTGCTTGTTTTTGTCAGGTTTGTTGAAGATCAGTTGGTTGTAGATGTGTGGTCTTATTTCTGAGTACTCTATGTTGAGAGTATTTATCATGAATCAATCTCAGACTTTGTCGAATGCTTTTTCTGCATCTATTGAGACAATCATGTGGGATTTTTTCTTTCATTTTGTTAATACAGTGTATCATATTAGTTGATTTTGCATGTTTATCCTCCTTGCATCCCAGAGATGAATCCCACTTAAATCTTTTAACGTGTTGTTGAATTTCGTTTGCTCTATTTTATTGAGGATTTTTGCTTCTATGTTCTCAGGGATATTTGCCTGTAGTTTTCTTTTTTGTGTCTGGCTTTAGTACCAGGTTGATGCTAGCCTCGTAAAATGAGTTTAGCAGTGTTCCTCCTTTAATGTTTTGTAAGAGTTTAACAAATATTGGGCATTTATCCCTTTTCAAATACTTAGAATGTACCATAAAGGCATCTGGTCTTGGAGTTTTCTTTGTTAAGGGTTCGATTACTGATTCAGTCTCATTTGTGACTGGTCTGTTCAGGCTTTCTATTTCTTCTTGATTTAATTCTGGTAGGTTGTATATTTCTAGCAATTTATCATTTTTTCTGTATTATCCAACTTGTTGGCAGATAATTATTCATAATAGTTCTTTATGTGCCTTTTTATTTCTGAGGCATTCATTGTCACATCTCCTCTTTCATTCCTGATTTTATTTATTTGAGTCTCATCTCTTTTATTCTAGGTTAGTGTCTTATTCCATTTGTGATGCTATAAAGAAATACCTGAGGCTGGGTAATTTATGAAGAAAAGAGGTTTACTTGACTCCTAGTTCTGCAGGCTGTCCAAAAAGCATGGCATCTCCATTTGCTTCCTGTGAGGGCTTCAAGCTGCTTCCACTCATGGTAGAAGGTGAAGGGGAGCCTGCATGGGCTGGGCTGATCACATGACAAGAGAGGAAGTGAGAGAGTGGAGGAAAGTGCCAGATTCTTTTTAATAACTAGCTCTCTGGGTAACTGTCTCTGGAACTAATAGAATGAGAGCTCATTACTTCAAGGATGTCACCAAGCAATCAATAAAGCTGAGGGATCTGCCCCCATGAACCAAACATCTCCCATTAGGCCTTATCTCCAACACTGGGGATTAAATTTCAATATGAGATTTGGGGGCCTCAAATATCCAAGCCATAGCAGTTAGTCTAACTAAGGTTTGTATATTTTTTTTTAAAGCAAACACTTTTTCTGTTGTTTTTCTATTCTTTAATTTACTTCTGCTTTTTTCCTGCTAACTTTGGGCTTAGTTTATTCTTTTCTTTTAGTTCCCTGAGGTTTGAACTTAGATTGCTTATTCGATTCTTTCCATTTTTTTTAATATAGCTATTTATTGCTACAATTTTTTTAATATTGCTTTTGTTGCATCCTGTAAGTTTTGGTATGTTGAGTATTTGTGTTCGTTTGTCTTGAAATAGTTTTAAAGTTATCTTTTGATTTCCTCTTTGACCCAATAGTTGTTTAAGAGTGTGTTTTTTAGCTTCCATATATTTGTAAAATTTCCAGTTTTCTAACTGTTATTGATTTCTAGTTTTATTCCATTATGGTCAGAAAAAAATACTAGAAATGATTTTTATCTTCTTGAATTTCTTAAGACTTCTTTTGTGACCCAAAGTGTGATCTATTCTGGGGGATGTTTTGTGTATGCTTGAGAAGAATGTGTATTTGTCTGCTCTTGAGTAGAAAGTTCCACATTTATCTGTGAGGTTCACTTTGTTTATTGTTCAGTTCTGCTGTTTCTTTATTGGTTTTCTGTCAGAATGATCTATTATAGAAAGTGGGGTATTGAAGTTTCCTACTATGGTACTGCTGTCTGTTTCTCTCTTTATTTCTGTTCATGTTTGCTTTATTTAGTCTGCTTTGATGTTGGGGGCACGTACTTTTAAATTGTTATATTTTCCTGTTAAATTGACCCTTTATCTTTATATAATGACCTTCTTTATCTCTTGTGACAGTTTTCGATGTGAATTCTATTTCATCTGATATAAGTATAGCCACTTTTTCTCTCTTTTTGTTGCCATTTGCATGAAATATCTTTTCTGTCTCTCACTTTCAGCCTATGTGTGTCCTTTAAGCTAAAGTGAGATTCTTATAGGCAACATATTGTTGGATCTTGTTTTTTATAAAAAATACATTCAGCCACTCTGTCTTTTATTGGAGAATTTAATCCATTCACATTTAACATAACTGTTGATAGATAAGGACTTACTCTTGTCATTTTGCTCATTGCCAGAAAACCATGAGCAAAGTCTGTAGTTTCTTTGTTCCTTTCTTCCTTTCTTGTGTCTTTCTTTGTGATTTGGTGATTTTTTTTTTTTTTTGTAGTGGTATATTTTGATTCCTTTCTCTTTATCTTTTGTGAATCTACTAGAGATTTTTCCCTTGTTCTTACCATGAGGCTTATATTTAAATTTCATAAGTCAATTTTAAGCTGATAAACACTTTAATCACATATAAAAACTATGCTTTTACTTCTTCCCCTTGTCACATTTTGTTATTTGTGTCACAATTTACATCTTTTTATATTGTTATTCATTGATAAGTTATTGTATCTATAGTTTTTAATAGTTTTGTCTTTTAACTTTTATACTAGAGTTTAAAATGATTTACACACTGCCATTACAGTATTAGAGTATTCTGAATTTTACTATATGCTTATCCTTACCAATTGAGTTTTATGTTTTTATGGGTTTTTATGTTACTAATTAGCATCCTTTTGTTTGAATTTTAAGAACTAGCTTGAGCATTTTTTTGTAAGGCAGTTTGAGTTGTGATAAACTTCCTCAGCTGTTGTTTGCCTGAGAAAGTCTTCCTTTCTCCTTAATTTCCTAAGAATACCTTTGCTGGGTATAGTATTTTGGGTTGATGGGGCTTGGGAGTGGTTTCTGCACTTTGAATATGTTATCCTACTGTTTCATGGCCTGCAAAGTTTTCCTGAGAAATTTACTGGTAGCCTTATGGAGGATCCCTTGAATGTGATAAGTTGCCTTTTTCTTGCTGCTTTCAAAATTCTTTATTTTTTTGATTTTTTGATAATTTAATTATAATGTGTCTTGGTGTTATCTTCTTTGGATTAATCCTGCTGGGGAACCTCTGAGCTTCAGTCATCTAGACATCCATATACTTCCCAAAGTTTGGAAAGTTTTCCAGTCATTATTTATTTAAAAAACGTTTCTTTTTCTTTCTCTATCTCTTCTCATTCTGAAACTCCATGTGTATGTTGGTTTGCTTGGTGGTGTCCTATAAATCTTCTTCACTCTTCCTTATTCTTTTTCTCTTCCCTGACTGGATAATTTCACATGACCTATCTTTGCATTCATAAATTCTTGTTGAGCTTTTAGTTTAGATTTCCTGATTTCATTGAGTTGTCGGTGTCCCTTACAGCTTGCTGAGAGTTTCCTTAAAGCAATTATTTTGAATTTTTTGTCAGGCATTCAATAGATCTCCATTTCTTTGGGGTCATTACTGGAGCTTTATTAGTTTCTTTGGTGGTGTCGTGTTTGTCTGATTCTTTATGATCTGTGTGGCTTTGCATTAGTGTCTGTGCACCTGAAGGAGCAACCATCTCCTGACTTTACAGACTGTTTTTGGTAGATATATATTCTCCTGCTAGGTTCACAGACTGATAAGACTGCTTCTGGGATTGCAGTCAAGCTTGGCTGAAGCTGAATCATGTGGCTGCTGCTGGCTCCTCAGTAGAGTCCATAGTTGCCAGGCCTGTTGCAAGGGGACAAGCAGCCATGGCTCCTGTCTGATACCCAGGGGAATGGGACTGTTTTCTGGACAATAGTTGAGCAGGGCTGAAGCCAGGACATGGGGCTGCTTTTGGTCCTGCATTCAAGTCTGCAAATGGCAGGCTTGTTACCAGGAGCATGGATAAGTGTGGCTGCCAGCAGCCCTAAGTGGGCTCCTGCTGGTTCCCTGGACAAGCAGCACTACATCTGCACCATGACAAAATGGGTCTGGAACCAGCTCACAGGACTGCTTTAGAGTCCACAGTTGGGTATGAGATTGGTGGGTCCGTTACCAGGGGTGCTGACAGGCATGGCTATTATTGTGTCCCTGGGCAAGCAGAACTGTCTTCAGATTGTAGTAGAGCATGGCTAGGCTATGTCACAGGGCTGCTGTAGGATCTGCAGTTTGGTCCAATTTGGGAAGCATGTTACTTGGGTCATAGCTGGGTGTGTTTCCTGCTAGGTCTTTGGGCAGGCAAGGTTGCCCCTGGACAACAGCAGAGCAAGGCTGGGATTGAACCAAGTCACAAGGCTGCTTCAGGATCCAATCTAGGACTTAGGGCAGGATACTTGCTGTGCCTCTGGGTCAGGACTGACTGACTACAGTAGATCGGGGCTGGAGTTGGATCACAGGGCTACTTCAGGATCCACATTCAGGACAGAGGTTGTCAGGCCTGTTACTGGGAGTATGGAAAGGTATGTGTCTCTCTGGTTCCATGAGTGGGCAGGACTGACTTTGTGGCTGCAGTAGAGTGAGGCTGGAGCTGAGTCATGGGGCCACTTCAGGATCCACAGTTAAGTCCAAGTCTGGTGGGACTATAACTGGGAGCATAGACAAGTGTTGCTCCTTCCGGGTCCATTGGCAGATGGGGCTGATTTCAGGACAAACTGCAGCCAAATGGAGCTAAATCTAAGTCCATAGGAGGATGGAGTGGTTTTCAGTCAGCACCTGGACCCACATTTGGCAAGCCTGCCACCAGGGTGTAGGCCTGCCTTCTCAAAGTGGCTCCCCCCAGTCTTGGGCTTCATCAGGGCTTTACATCCTTTTACCTGGGTCCCAAGTCTCCCACAATGGCACTTTTTTCCATGGATGACTGCCAGGTCACTGTTTGTGTGGGAGGATATGAGCTGGGGACCTCCTATTGCACCATCTTGCTGACATCACATACACGCTGAGAAACCTTGAACAAATTCTCTTTACCTTTTTGAGCCTTGGTTTCCTTTGCAATTAAATGATCAAATGACATAATGGATGAGAAGATGTCTTGTAGAGTAGGCAGGCTGCATGAATGCAAGGTAGCAACCTCAGCATAAGCACCTGGATGACAGGGGTTTCATTCATTTCTTATCCTTCTCAGGTCCAATTGTCATGTGGATAAGTAGTGCTCAATGTGATATCATACAACCTGCTGAAATGGGTAAAACTTCATATATTAATCCAAAGAGTTATGGAACATAGTTGTTACGTGCTTTTAGAATTTGAAAAGGTTTTAGAGATTGTTTCCATCAATGCCCCACCTCACCTTCAACTAAAGTTGTACCAGAATATGAACCATTTTTACTCACAATACTTCTGACATCAAATATGTGTGTGGATAGGGGGTTCTATGCCAACAATCAGTTTTCCAATTTTCTGGACACCGACTGGGTGTCCTGCAAGCCAATTAAATTCTGACATTAACTACTCAGAATTAGTGTCAGACCCCACAGGTTTAAGCAGTGTCAGACTCCATAGGTTTAAGCATTTAGTCCCAAAAGACTGCTCTCACCTCAGACACCAGCCTCAAGCCCCAGGTTAGTGCCTATATTTCTGACTAACTGACTGTAAATTGGGGGTTCTCATGACTCCACTCCTCAGATTCAGTGATTTGCTAGGATGGCTCACAAAACAGGAAAGTGCTTTACTTACTATTACTAGTTTATATGAAGGATATTGTAAAGAATAAAAATGAACAGCCAGATGAAGAGGTACATAGGGTGAGGTCTGGAAGTGTCCCAAGAACAGGAGCTTGTGTTTCTCTGGAGTTAGGATGAATCACCCTCCTGGCATATGGATGCATTTACCCACCCAGAAGCTCTCTGAACCCCATCATTTAGGGGTTTTAATGGAGATTTCATTATGTAGGCATGATTGATTAAATCATTGCTCATTAGATATTAACTTAATCTCCAGTTCCTTTTGTCTTCCTGGAGGTGGGGGGAAGGAGAGCTGAAAGTTCTAATCTTTTAATTATGCTTTGGTTTTTCTGGTGGACAGCCCCCATCCTGAAGTTATCTAGGCCTCCCAGACACCAGTCATCTCATTAGCATATAAGATACTCATCACTTCAGAGATTCCAAGGATCTTAGGACTTGTATGTCAGGAACCTGGACAAAGACCAAATATATATTTTTTATTATGCCACACAGGGTCAAAGAGATGCAGTTGCTGAGGTCACATCTGCATGGAGGTTTTCAGTTTTTCTTTCAATTATTCTTTGCTGATTCCTCATATTAAGATCCCATAAATGAAAGACAAGTACAAATATAAATATTATTAATTTTGAAATTAACCAAAAACTTAGTAACCTGGTTAAGGAAATTGATGAAAAGTTTACCTAAAGACAGTGGAAGAGCTAGAAATAATGAATGCTGGGATTTAGCACTATTGCTATTTTCTTTTCTTCTGCAAAGAACAGCAAGCACTATTGAGCTTGCGTTCTGTTGAGAAGAGCAGGGTATTAGCAATGACTGATGTAGGGAAAGCAAGTGGGATCAGACATCTGGAACTGGGGTAGAGACAAGGAAGAGGCAGGGCCAGGCATCCATGCCAGAAGGGTTTGTTGTAATTCTTTAATGCCATTCCTACTGTCATTATCATACCTTCTTTATCTCTACTCTTTACTCATCTCTGTTGGTTACTCATAGGTACCACCACTGCAACACCCCTTAGATACCTGAAAGTTCTTTGAGGTGAAGGATTCTATCATGTACATCTTTGGATCCTCCTGATCACCCAGTAATTCACTATTGAGGCTTGATAATGATGGATGAATGGGTGGATGATGGATGGATGGATGGAAAAATTGATGATGGATGGATAATAAAAACAGAATAAATACTGACAGAAACCCAGAGGTAGCAAGGAAAATCATAACAACTTACTCTCCCTGTCAGCAGGGTCCAAGCATATTTTGGAGTGACTTTTCGGAGATATGTTGGGTTTATTTTATTTTAATATCCTTTAATCCTGAGATTACCAACTGATTGCCCATGGACCAAATTCAACCTAAGCATCTGTTTCATTTGCCCTTGTTATTAAGTCTGTCTACTGTTAAATACACAGGGAAAGAAATAAACTTATATCATATTGAATGCATTGCCAACATATAAAAATTGAGAGATGTATTATTTTAAAAGAATTGATATTTTTCTGGAAACTCAGCAATAGTGGCCTCATTATTCTACTCCCTGTAAATAGGGCAGGCACTGTCCTATGTGCCACAATAATGATCACTGGCATAGGTAACAGTCAGTTGCCATCTATTACTCATGTTCAAAATTTTAAAAATTCTAACCCATGCTTCTTGATTAAATTGCCTTCTTGGCCCATTAGGCTTCAGGGTTTACAAAACTGGCTTTAGCCAGTAACACAGCACCTTCTCCACACTAAAGGAAAGAACAAGATCAAAGGAGAGAAATTTTAAGAAAGTAATAGTAACAACAACGCTTAACGGGCTTTCACCATTCATTGTGAACTGTGCTATTTTACATATACTCACACTATACTCTGTGAATCAGCTATATTCTTGTCACAGTTTCATAGCTGAGGAAACTGTGACTTAGATATTGGGTAACTTGCCCAAGACTGTAGTTCATAAGTATTCATAATCCAGATATTTCTGCCTCCAAGTCTGTCATTGGAACCACTACACTGCCTTTGTACTCTTTCTTAACATATAAATGATGAAATCAGCACTATAATATGCTTTCTTCATCTCTTAGAAAAAGCAAATAAATATTGATTAACTACACTCAAGCAATTTTAAATTAGTCAGTCAGTTTTGAAGTGCTCCAAATCTTGCCTTTTTTTGTTCATGTGGTGGGGCTGGCATTAATAACATGCCTCGGTAAATTCCCTCAGCATTTGGTAGCTTGAAACATCCAACATACAGGTGGGAGGATGTGTATAGCAAAGAAATAACATAAAATTTCTTTCTTTTCTTTTCAATTGAACTTATTGTGACATGTAGGAAATTCATTCTGAAAGATGGTGGGTTTCTTAAATGGTAGCTAATTCTGATGCATCTGCAAACACTTGACTCGTTGGGAACCCGAGCTCCTTCTGCAATCGTGTGTGCAAAAGGGGACATTATCACTGAATTAGAGGAATTAGAGGCATCCAAGTCTCACTATCTCAGACACTCTGGCCCTCTTGCAGCATGGAAGGTTTCTTTGCATTCCTTTTTCAGTTAATAGCTCCTGTGTTTTAATCAAATACATCTCCCTGGTTTAATTTTTTTCTAGTAACGTTTCATTTTTTTTTCTTCTGAGCTGTGCCTTCTATGTTTTTTTTTCTCGAGAAATTCTCATCTAAACCAAATTTCTACACCTACCCCATCATTATTATGCATTATCTATTATAATAACAGACCTTTTTGACTGTTCTACACTATGCTGAAGGCACCCAAGGCCTTTGTCTAATTGTCTGTATCAACTAGACATGGAGGAAACCAAAACTTGTGTGCTGCACCTTCAATGGGGTAGAAAGTTGCTTCATCCAAGGGATAACTCAGGTGACCATAAGGATTGCTGCTTTGTTCTATATGTGAATGCCTTTAAGAACACAGTTATGATAAAATAACATTGATTCCATCTATTTATTGCACATTTTATTATCATAAAACTTCTAGAGGGTCATATCCTAAGCAGCAGCTTGGACAAAGAGGGGGAAATGATCAGTTAAGTGTATTTGGGGAAAGACTTTACATTGTTCTTCTTCTAGTGGGAAGAATATCTTCTATGGTTAACGTAAATATTTGGATCCAATCAGAAATTGTATTTTTAAGAACATCTTGGGAATACATTCCATGGCCGGATTTCAGAATGCATATTAATGTCCAGTTCACTGGTTTATGCCCTTTTCATTTGACAGCTATCACAAGAAGCTCCTTCGTGAGCCTTGCCTCAGGCAACATTCTAGTAATGTGATTCGAGGGATGCTGAAATCCTCCCGACAAAACCCCACCCAAAAATATAGATCCCACATATCTACCCCCTAGGCTGGAATTCCCACGATTAGTCACTGCTCGGGAAACAGAGATGCCTATCCCTGGGAGAGGAGGCTCATTTAGAACTATTAAATATGCCTCTGTAAAATCAATACATTCAAGTTTTCTCTGAACTTGCCATAAATTTTCTCACCTCTGTACCTGGTCAGGGACATTTGGAATGCTCTTACATCTCTTTGCTATTTGTCCAGTTGCTTCTCAAAATCAGAGATCTGGCTCAAATGTTGTATTTCTCATAAAAAATAATCACTTATAACCCCAGCCAAAAATATTGCCTACCCATTGAAACATCAGTGGAGCACATTTATACTTCACTAATTCAACATTAAATGGAAACCAGGAAGTTAGAAAATGTTGAAAATAGAGAAATAAACACGGGTGTCTGCCCCTGGGTCCTCATGTCCTCCAAGACAGCTTTTCCCAAAGTGATAAATGTCCCAAAACAGTATATGCAATGATTTTAGATGATGCATGGATTGTTTTTGTATTTCATTATTATTTAATTACTCTTACCTTTACTAATTATGGTAAAAGACCTTGATTTTCCAATCATAGAAATGATATGAAGATCTTTAAAAGAATAAATTTATTTAAATAAGAAAAAAACAAGTAGAGATAATGAAATAAATCTTTAAATAATAATACAAGTCATTTAAAGATATGGCAAAAACAGAAAAGACACCTACCACCCAAAAAACAAACAAACAAAAAAAACATGAAGTAGGAACTTAGCATGCATAGATTTGAGGAAAAATGTTAATAAAGTATTTTTTAAAACCCTGAAATTTAGAAAGTTGCTTCAGGAAAAAAAAGACTTGGAAATAGATAAATGGCCATGTAACTTGGCAGGGACTATGACAGAGTTATGAAGAGACATCTGTCAGAGGCCAACAGACACATCAGCTATTTGTGCTGAAGGATCAGAGATGAACTGGCTTGTGCACTGCTCAACTGATCTACCACATTTTAGGCATGTACCTCGTCTTCTCAGAAACCACATCATGTGGCCCTAAGAGGGAAGGATTCCCTCTGCTTCATCAGCCCTCCACACGGTAATGCATGTGTGAACTACTTCTTGTTCCCAAAGCTAAGATCTGAGGAAAAGGTATTGTTTTTATACCTTATACCTGCTATACCTTATATTCCTTGCTTATACCTGCTATACCTTATATAGCAGATAAAATAGAAATGTATATGTATTTCAGCCTTGCCATCTTACACCTTCCTAGATTTACAATTTTAGTTCTCTTAATTAATAACCATAACTCTTTCCATTTTTTATAAAGTGTTCTGAAAAATGATCTAAAACTCTTGGGAAATACCTTACCAAAAAAGATCCTGCTTCAGAATAACCAAGATCTGGCTAAACAGGACTCTGTGGGGAGATGGGTGTGGCTAGCAGTAAATCCTGGGAACTTCGGATTTATAGGCCTACAAGAGATCTCCATAAACAGCCAGGATAGAGCAGGAGTAACTTCACGGCCGGAGGCAGGACACACACCCTCCACTCTTTCCTCTCCCACTTCTGCTTCTCAGTGTGCCCTCTCTGGAGTCTTTATGGAAGGCACATCACCTGGGAACTAGCATAGCATATGAGAAAATCCTGGGTTTAAATTCTGGCTTTGCCACTTGTGAGCTATTTAGCCTTGAGAGTGTTACTTTACCTCTCCAAGTTTCTTCATCAGTAAAATGAGGCTTATAGCATCTTACCCTTACAAGGCTTTTTTTTTTTTTTTTTTTTGACAGAGTGTCGCCCTGTCACTCAGGCTGGAGTGCAGTGGCATGATCTCGGCTCACTGCAACCTCTGTCTCCCGTGTTCAAGCGATTCTTCTGCCTCAGCCTGCCACGTAGCTGGGATTACAGGCGTGCACCACCAAGCCTGGCTAATTTTTTGTTTTTTCCTGTATTTTTAGTAGAGACGGGGTTTCACCATGTTGGCCAGGCTGGTCTCAAACTCCTGACCTCAAGTGATCGCAAAAGTGCTGAGATTACAGGCATGAGCCACCACGCCTGGCCCAAGGCTTGTTATGAGGACTTGAGATAAAGAATGTAAAGGGCCTGTAATATACAGTAAGAATCATTTTATAATGATTGTTGCAAAAGGAGAAGTTTCCTTGAATGCAATGTTAGGACAATAAGGGCTGCAATCCTCCTAATATCCAGGGTTCAAAATGAGCCTGGAGGGGAGAGGGTAGGAGAGGTAAGTAAGGTAGTGAAGGAGCTCTCAGATTCTTGCACATCAGCTGGGACCTTGTTAGAAATGCACAAACTCAGTTCTTACCCCAGACCTACTGAATCAGAGTCTGCATGTTAACATAATACCCAGGTGATATGCGTGCACATTGGAAGGGAAGAAGCATCGTTGTTAGATATTCCTCTTCCTCTGCTCTTCTAACTCCATCCTTTCTTCCCCTTGTCAGGCAAATATGACCACAAACCTCTTCTCCCGAAATAGCTCAAAAATAATCACAAAAAGAGTAATGGTGAACAACATGTGCCACATACTGTTCTACACACTTGGCACACTTGACATCCATAGATTTATTTAATCCCCCCAACAACACAATGAAATGAATACTATCATCCCCTTTCTACAATTGAGGATACCAAGACACAGGAAGGATAAAGTCACTTACTAGGGGTTATACAGCCAGCAGATACAGGTTCCTGGACCAGGGACCAGGCATTTTGGAACTAGAGTCCTTTCTCTTGACCATCACAGACTCCAGCTTTCCCTTTTACCTCTCCAAATCATGGGGGAACAAAAAAATGTGTTTCAAGCAATGATGCACCTGCCTCTAGAAATATAGGCTCACAAGCATTAATCTGCCCGCACATCCCCTGTCAGAGTTTGGAGCTGGATATCTTCTCCCTAAACTTAGGCAGTTGCTTCCTCAGCAGACTTGCAGCCTCTGGTCTTTCTCCCAGTCCAGGCTGTTCAAACACTGTAGCCAGAATTTTGTCTTTTTTAAGAGCAGCTCTGGTCACCTGTTCCTATGTCAAAACTTCAAGAGCTTTCTTATTTGAATAAAAGTTACTGCTTCTACTTGACATTCCGGTTTCCTGCTTGAGGCACGTCTTTTCTCAAGCCCGTCTTTCCAAAACTATCTCCAAACATCTCTCTTTCCCTCCCAGTACGTGCACATTCGTGGAGCAACACAGCCGTGTGCTCACTTCTCAGCTGCCACATCTTTGTCTCTTTCTAGAATGCATTTCCCATATTCTGTCTGCCTGAGCCACATTCAGGCCCCACACAGATACTCTATTCTCAAGAGACTTTTCTACATGTACAAAGTCAAGATTCATCTTTCTCTCTCTTCTTTTCCTGTTGAACTCTGACTCACTCGTAGGACTTACCACACCCTGTCTTCTATTAATATTGGGCATGTGCCCTGTGCTAGGCTAGTTAAATGTTCTTGAATAAAAATATTGACTGTAGATAATGAACACTAATCTACTTTCAAGTTCAACTTCCTGAAGCACATTTATTCAGCTTTCTCTATGGAGTATCTGGGCATTTAAGCAATTACATTATAGTATGTTGCAGGGGTGGTAGAAACTCCCCTTTACCCTGCAGCAGACTGCTCTGAGAAATCTGACTTATTCATTGATTTTTAACAGATGTGAAAAACAATCTTACATCTATAGCAATGAGTAGCTTTCTGGCTATAGTACTTTATTCATCTATTTTCCCTTTACACCTAAGTTCATTTTATATACAGATGTTTTTAAAAACACATTTTAGGCCGGGTGTGGTGGCTCACACCTGTAATCCCAGCACTTTGGGTGGCGGAGGAGGGTGGATCACCTGAGTTCAGAAGTTCGAGACCAGCCTAGCCAATATGATGAAACCTTGTGTCTACTAAAAATACAAAAATTAGCCAGGTGTGGTGGCATGCACCTGTAATCCCAGCTATTTGGGAGGCTGAGGCAGGAGAATAGCTTCAACCTGGGAGGTGGAGTTTGCAGTGAGCCAAGATCATGCCACTGCACTCCAGCCTGGGTGACAGTGTGACACTCTGTCTCAAAAGAAAAATGAAAAATCCCCACATTTAAAAAGTAGGCTGACCCCTAACTATTGTCCAAAATAGCTCATTTTCTAAAAAGCTGTACACTCTTTATGCAAGTTTACTTCTAGAAATCCCAAGAAATTATCATTAATATATTCAAAGATTAAGCTACAAGGATGTTCATTATAAGGTGACTTATGTTAGCAAAAATTAAAAAATAACCTAAATATTCAAAATAGTAGTGGTTAACTACATCATGATTATGTCCAACCCGTGACATGCTTTGCACTAGCTAAAATTATATTGAAATTGTTGGTGGAAACAAGTTTACGGTATTTTTTAATTGAGCAAAAATCATATGAAAGAATAGAAAAACCATAAATAGGCCCACATAAATATGTCCAACGGATTTTTTTTTACAAAGGCGCAAAAGCAATTTAATGAAAGAATAGTCTTTTCAACATATGATGCTGCAGCAATTGGGCATCCATAGGCAAAGAATAAAATAAATAGTTAAAATTATTTAATAATAAAGTTAAAATTATTGTGTAAAATTATTTTATATAATAATTACTTCATAATGGATCATAGATTTAAATGTAAGACATAAAACTAGAAAACATGTAGAAGAAAATCTTTTGGGCCTAGTGACAGAGTCAAGAGTCTTTATATATGACTGAAGATTTCTTATATATGAAATTGTATGGAGAAGAGAAGAAAAACTGACATTTTGGGCTGTGTCAAAATTAAAACTTCATGCTCTACAAAAGTCTCTGAGAGGAGAATAAAAAGACAAACTACAGGCTGGGAAAAAGTGCCAACCACATATCTGACAAAGGAATTGAATCTAGAGTAAAGAATTCTCAAAACTCAGCAAGACATAAAAAATTATAAAAACAAAAATCTAATTAGAAAATGGGCAAAACACATGAATAGACGTTTTATTAAAGAGGAGATGGAGATGGTAAATAAATACACAAAAAGATGTTCAACATTATTGGCCATTAGGAAATACAAAGCCATAATGAGATGTTACTGTAAACCTATCAGTATAGCTAAAATAAAAACTGATAATAGTAGCAATGTTGGCAAGGACAGGGAGACACTGAACCACTCATACATTGCTGTTGGAAGTTAAAAAATGGTACAGTCACTCTGGAAAACAGCTTGGCAGTTTCTTAATAATGAAAACTTTTGATATGCACTTACCATACAATCTAGCAATTGCATTCCTAGGCATTTATCCCAGAGAAATAACAACTTATATCCTGGAGCAAGACCCTGTTTCAAAAAACAGACAAACAAACTTGTGTCCACCCAAAAACCTGTACGTGGTTGTTCATAACAATTTTGTTTGTAATAGTTAAAAACTGGAAACAATCCAAATATCCTTTGGCAATGAATGGTTAAACAAACTGTGATCTGTCTGTACCATGAAATACTCTTCAGCAATTAAAGGAATGAACTACTGATACAGCAATTTAGATGGATCTCAAGGGAATTATAGTGAGTGAAAAAGCCAGTCTAAAAAGGTTACACATGCATGATTCCACCTATATAACATTCACACAATGACAGCATTACAGAGATGGAAAGCAGATGAATGATTGCCGGGATTTAAAGATGCGGCAGAAGAAGGAAGGGAAATGAGTGTGACTATAAAGAGATAACACCAAGGGCTTGGTGGTGATATAATAGCTGGGTATTTTCATCATTGTAGTGGTTACATATATATATATATATATATATATATATATATAAATGTATATTTATATATATTGTTATTTATATATATGCATATATAAATAACAATATATATGTATATACGCGCATATATACATACATATGTGTATATACATATATATGTATGTATATATGTGTATATACATATATATGTATGTATATATGTGTATATACATATATATGTATGTATATATGTGTATATACATACATATGTATGTATATATGTGTGTATATACATATATAAGTATGTATATATGTGTGTATATACATATATAAGTATGTATATATGTGTGTATATACATATATATGTATGTATATATATGTGTATATGTATATATACACATATAAATATATACATATATATAAAAATATATATTTATATATACATATATCTTATGTATACATATATGTAGTGGTTACATATATATATATAAAATTGTATTTCTCTAATGACAAGTGATGATGAGCTTTTTTTTTCATATGTTTGTTGGCTGAATAAATGTTTTCGTTTGAGAAGTGTCTGTTCATATCCTTCACCCGCTTTTTGATGGGGTATTGCAGCACTATTCACAAAAGCAAAAACTTGGAACCAACCCAAATGCCCATCAATGATATACTGGTTAAAGAAAATGTGGCACATACACACCATTGAATACTATACAGCCATAAAAAAGGAGGAGTTCATGTCCTTTGCAGGGACATGGATGAAGCTGGAAACCACCATTCTCAGCAAACTCACACAGGAACAGAAAACCAAACACTGCATGTTCTCACTCATAAGTGGGAGTTGAACAATGAGAACACATGGACACAGGGAGGGGAACATCACACACTGGGGCCTGTTGGGAGTGGGGGGCTAGGGGAGGGATAGCATTAGAAGAAATACCTAATGTAGATAACAGGTTGATGGGTGCAGCAAACCACCATGACACATGTATACCTATGTTACAAACCTGCACGTTCTGCACATGTATCCCAGAACTTAAACTATAATAAAAAAAATTGCATGAAACTACACAGAGACAAACACATACACAGAGGTAAACGCTGTGAATTCTGAACAAAGCCTGTAATGTAGTTAAAGGTACTGTGCAAATGTCAGTTTTCTGCTTTTGATACTGTACTACATTTACATAAAATGTAGCCAGCCTGGCGGTGGCTCATGCCTGTAATCCCAGCACTTTGGGAGGCTGAGGCAGCTGGCTCAATTGAGGTCAGGAGTTCAAGACCAGTCTGGCCAACGTGGCGAAACCCTGTCTCTACTAAAAATACAAAAATTAGCTGGGCCTGGTGGTGCGTGCCTGTAATCCCAGTTACTTGGGAGGCAGAGGCACAAGAATAGCTTGAACCCAGGAGGTGGAGGTTACGGTGAGCTGAGATCAGTGCCACTGCACTCCAGCATGGGGGACAGAGCAAGACTCTGTCTCGAAATAAAAATAAAATAAAATAAAATGTAGCCAATTGGGGAAGCAGGGTGAAGGATATATTGGACTCTTTGTACTATTTTTGCAATTTCTTTTTATTTTTTATTATTTTTAATCCACTCATCTGCACACAGATATATTTGCAATTCCTTATAGTTTATGATTATTTTAAAGTTTTAGAAGTCTATAAAACAATATGTGTACTTCAACTATGTATAAATAATTTTAATTTGATGTCTCTCAGTTGCTCATATAGCAGTATTTGTTACACAGTAGGCACTTTATTAAAGAGGCTCTCCTTTTTCCCCTTAACCTTATGGATATTATGAATCTTGTACCTGACCATGCTTCCTCCTTAGCTTGTGGCACGAAGCAGCACCCCTGTTGACTCTGGTATACTAGGTTATGCTTTCCTGTGCGTGCAGCTCACCCTTGGCCTTATTACTGTTCAATCTTTATTCTTCCTGTGCCTTACCTTTCTTAACCCTTAAATGTACCATTAATATATTTGACCATTAATACATTTAAGGATTAAGCTACAAGGATGTTCATTATAAGGTGACTTATGTTAGCAAAAATTCAAAAACAACCTAAATATTCAAAATGGTAGTGATTAACTACCATAGATGCTGTACCTCTCACATTACATATATGCTTGGAAGCCACGTTAAATATCTTGTAGAAGGTGTTGGGATGGAGGGTACCGAGCAAGTGTTGATGGATTCCCGTATTCTCCACCATGACTAGGCACCAAAAGAGGACCCTTCCCTGTTTCTGCAGCAGATAGATTTTTCAGAGTTTAAGAGAGCCCACTCTGCTTCAAGCGGGCCCACAGAGTTCCATTTAAAGTAGATCTAATAAAGAAATGGCAGGCAGAATCACTTAATACGTTCAGCACTTGATTCTTCAAGTGACTATTAGCTGCTCTGTGTAAAGCCTACAGCAAATTCTTAATCTTCAACCAGCTTTCACCTATCATCCAGCTGTTTTTTGCTTAGGGAATTAAAGCTGATGTTTATAAGTAACTAAGCAAAATACAATTAGGAAGGAGCTCTATTTTAAAGGAGGTATGTGATACATTCCAAAAATAAGTAGGTATCCCAGATTGTAACTTGATTTTTAAAAAATCAATTTTAGCAAATTAGTCATAATATATTGTTACAGTTATTGATCATTTTTTCTTCCATTGAAAAGTACTGTCATTGATAAAGAGACGAAGCTCATATTTCCTAAACATTAATAGTGAAAAAAAACATATGCAAATAAGTATGAAGATATTTTCTATGGCTCTTGAATTGGACCAAGATATGTGTGTTCTGGTATATATGCTTAAAATCCTTCCACCTGGTCAAAATGCTTTCAAAAGGGAAAGAATAGCTGATGCCTCTTGTTCAGACTGGAAAGTATTGTGATTACACTGAAAAGCATGGCCCCTCTTGAAGTTTAGTTTTTTACTTCTTTTATTTGAGTATAAAGCAAAAAGGAGGTTTCTCTAAGATGTCCTAATAGAAGCTTTTGAATGATCTGCAGAGGTAGCATTGAGGTGAATGGAGTCCATCAAGATTTGCCAGAAGTATGAAATAATTATCGAAAGGATTCCATTAGAGACGAAAGCTACCTAGACTAATAGAGACAGAAAAGGCTGACCCTTTTCAGGCTCTTAACTCTCTCTAATGGATGGCCTTAAGTTGAAATCAAGACTCAACTGGATCATTGATTCTTAAGGAAAAAATATTGAGCATAGTGGCGTATAAGCAAAAATTGTAAAAGTGGTCAGACAGATTTATCTTTTAGTTATAGTTTGTAATGAAAAGTATGTTTTTTACCTTTTTCTGCGCTCACAGGAATGGAGGCTAAACAATGTGACATATTATCATAAAGTAAAAATTAGTTTTAATAAAAAAACAAAAGTCTTACTTTAATAAATACAACATGTTTCCACTCAACAAAAAGAAATCTACAGATTTTTTGGATAAGTGTCATTATGTGTTACCTATTAGATAACACAGAGTGTTTTTTGGCTGGTAATTGACCCATAGGTCAAATCCTGCACTTTCCTCTGAAGGGATCATGGAAGTGCTACTCCTTCACAAGTTTTGGAGCTATATTTTGCAGTGCATGCTTCAGTAACCCACATGCAAAGCACACACTCACATACAGACCAGGCATATCCATGCACAGGCACACACACCTGGCTAGGGTAAACAGGATCAAATCCCTGAAATTATCTAAAATTTCCTGTGTTTGTTGAAAACAGTGACTGATGCCTTTGCGTTGGTTGTTCCAAAGCACTTCATTGCGGCTCGGTAGAAGTGTTCTGAGTGTCAAATTGGTAATTAAGTGGTTTGTTATAGAGGAAAAATTGCTAATAATAAATAAAAATACTGTCATTGTCTGAGTGTAGGGTCAGCTGAAGTCATGGATCAAGGAGAGAAGCGAAATTGCAGATGGGGCATTTTGGTTGTCATTTACGTTAACATTAGGTTGTTCCTGATGAGCAAAAGTGGCCAGTAATATGAAGGTAGACGCAAAGAACTTATTTTTAGACCTCAAACACAGCACTAGGTTGAATGT
This sequence comes from Homo sapiens, assembly GCF_000001405.40. Classification (NCBI taxonomy): domain Eukaryota; kingdom Metazoa; phylum Chordata; class Mammalia; order Primates; family Hominidae; genus Homo; species Homo sapiens. The sequence goes on from NC_000003.12 coordinate 181,410,859, forward strand.
TTTAAAAATCTGTATCATTTAAATGGGCATATCAGTACACTAAATGTACTTGTTAAAAACTAGATCATTAATAAATAAGATCAGTATTCAAATAGATATTCTGAGAGAACATAGGAAAACCTATAGTACAGTTAATGAATTTCCTTTCTTCAGAATTATATATCATAGGTGTAATTTTGCACTTGAGGGTAGTAAATAATCTTATAATAATGACTCAGCAGATATTGGAAATTTCTATAAAAATTTTCTTATTTATCTCATTGAAAGCTACGAAGTATTTTAATTCATTCTTAAAGGTATTATTTTAATCAGTAGATAAATATCGGTTAAATATATATACATACAACACTTATGTATATGAGCCGGGCGAAGCCAAATATAGTTGGACTTTTACTAATAAAATAAAATACTTTATGAAATATAAAACAATCTCTTTTAAATATGGTATGACCTAAATGCTACTCTTAGTTCTTCACCTTCAGAATAATTTTTTTGCCTCACCATGTTTTTGTATTATGTTTGTATGGGTGCAGCTTTAAAACAAACTTTTATATACATTTTTTTCAATTCTTTCTAAAATATTCTATGAATTAAATGAGACAAATATCATTACCTCCATTTTACAGAGGAGAACACTGAGGCTTAGAAGACTCAAGTAAGTGATTTACCCACAGTCACACAACAACCAAGTGGTGGAGTCTGGGATGAAATCTGTCTTCTGATGACTTTAAATAGTGTGGAAGGTGGCTGTGTGTTTAGGTATTGATAGAGCAGATGGTGAGGGTGATTGCTCTTCATATTTGAAGATACTCATGCTGATGGCCTTTGTGAGAGAGTGATTTGATTAGTAACAGAGAGATGGAAGGAGGCAGGAAAGGAGGAAGAGAGGGAAGGAAGAAGAGATAAAATGAAAAAAAAATAAATAAATTGATGGGTCCAGTTCCTGCAGTGCATGGGAAAACGATGGCTGGTGAATGTCTTCCTGTTTGCTTATAAGATATTTTCCTGTTGAGACTCATTTGTATGCTTTTCAGACCACATGACACCTTTGTTCCAAAAAGACACTATATCACAAACAGTTAAGAATGTCATCCAACCCAGTGTCAGCTAATGGAGACCAAGCTATTTGCAAGGGAACATCATCACAAGCATGGCACTGGAGAACATGACATTAGTTGAAACTAACTAGGATGAAGAATACCAGCACCTGGTAGTTAGCAGATTTAGAATAAAGCTGTTGAAATAATATATATATTGGTATTGGAAAATGAGGTTTATTATTGAATTTTTTTGTTCAGAAATCTCCTACATTTATATATACTATGTTATATATAGAAAATGTATGCATGAATCTTTAAGTATGGAAAATGCAGTTATTTCCTGATTCTATATAATTTTTATAATAGTCACAGAATTAACGTGTTCCAAGAAACTATAGTAATTTATAATTACCTCTCCAGCATGTCTTGAGAGGTAAATAAATTAATGCATGTGAAGCTTCCTCTACAAATTTGAACTTTGCCATGAATGAGTGACCCAACCTAAGTGCCCAGCAGCGTATCTCCATCAACAGAGTTCAGATACAGAGGGATTACTGAAGACTTTATTATATAAATGAAAAAACTATTGAAATGCCTACTTAGTCCCCTATATTATAATGACAATTTGTTTGATAGGGTTTTCCTCCCCCTTTGAATATGTTTATAGCTATAATTTGCTTGCAAGGTGAACTCTAATGGACTCAGAGTATTTAAATATTATATAATTCAATTGTTGACAAAATTGATAAGGTACAAGGTTCATAATATCCATAAGGTTAAGGGAAAAAATGAAAGCCTCTTTAATAAAGTGCCTACTGTGTAACAAATATTGCTCTCTAAGCAGGTATTGTTATTTTGGTTTTGCAGACATTACTGATTAATGACTTCGAAGGGAGAGTACTGGAGTATGAATGTTCTAGAAATGCTGAAATGTTTTTACTATATATCAAACTATAAATTCCACTAATTATGCATTTATATTCCACTCTGGGCAAAAAATAAAGATTAATTTTTCTAAATATGTTTTTCAGGTTCCTAGTAGCTATCATATGCCGAATGGATAGCTCAACTGTTCACAAGTGAGTGAGCCCAAAATGATGAGAATTGCCAGGGCAGCAGGCCTACCCCATAAAAAGCCTTTTTAACTGAAAATGTTTTTAGTTTCCCCAGACATAGAAGGAAAAAAAATAGAAACGGATAATGGTACAGATTCTGATAGTCCAAGTGTCATGTCAATCATTAAGTAACAATATTTATTTAACGGACTAAACCAAGCTTGCCCTATGGATTAACTTTAGGGTCTAATGTTATTATAGCTAGCTAGATAGATAAAGATAATAAAAAGGAGAGAAAACATTTGATTTTTTTATTTCCAGGGACAAGTGTTAAAAAACGTCAGCATATTACTAGGTTCATTTGCCATTAAATATTGCCAAATATATTTAGAATCTATAGAAAATGTCTGATTGAGAAACTATTGAAGAAAATCTGCCTACTCAATCAACTGCTCCTAGGACATGGTTCAAGGGCAAGCAGAGGAAGGAAGGAAAAGTTTCTTTCAAAAGGTTCAAATGAATAGGGCTTGTTAGACCTCTGAATTGGGCTTGTTTCCTTTAAAATGAAAACCTCTGAATTGGGCTTGTTTCCCTTAAAATGAAAAAAAGTCTTTTTTTTTCAATTTTACATAAAGAGAAAGAAAAATATAATATTATCTATGATTTAGCAGGTTTGGAGATCTAAAGAAAGAGCTCATACTCAAGTTAATAGCTTTACTGGTAATACCTTTAGCTGAAGAAGTTTTAAATGTGATTTACATGGAACAAATCAGTTTTAGGTTTCAACATACATTTCAATCTGAAGCAGTTTGCAGAATTGAACTAAATAGACTAGCAAAACATTTATTTGAGATCAGCATGTGCATTTGAAAATGATTTTCCTTTTAAAGGAGAAAAATAGCACCAACTTTTACTTAAAATTTTATTTTCTTGTTATTTTATCTTAGGTCTTTGTTTTAGTTATTGTTTTATTCTCTTTCACCTTGACCAAATAACTAATTTCATTTAGATTCTGTATGTTAGAGATCAATCTCTGCCTCCCTCCAAAACCCTTCCTTTCTGTTAAGGGACTTCTTGGTTGAAGTTGTGTAAACTCAACAGTCAGTTAACTGGATGCACTTTTCACTGCTCAACCTTTGTTTTGCGTTAATTAAAAAGCAACTAACATTCATTCTTTCATTTTGTTTGTCTTTTGAAAGAATCAGTTAAATAATATGTGCTTAACTGGAGATTAAGAGGAAAGGGTCTTATAACTATTGTTCAATAAAATCTCTTCTTTTTGTGTCACTAAAGATACAGGTTACATAAACATCAACATGAAAGTAATTTGAAGTTTTATTTTTACATATTCATGTATAGAGAGTGGGGCTGTCTTTGTGCTAAGAAAATGAATGAAAGACTTCTCATGGTAGATGAAAATCTTAAGTAAGACCTAGAATTTTTTATTTTTTCAATTATACATATTAGCATTCAGTACATAAATGTTGGCCAGGCTATTCTAAAAAAAAAAAATGGATACTTTCCTCCTTATTTTCCAACAAGGTGTCCAATTAAAGATTATGTACTGCATCTCAGGAAGAGTCAAACACCTGATGTCCATTTGGGCTGGTTCAAAATGAAGCCAAAAAAACAGAAAAAAAAAAAAAAAAGCTCCACACTTGTTTTCAAACTGTTAAGTCTCTAATAATTAACCATTGTTTGAAACATTTAAACATTTTGTCACATATTTAAATTACAGATGGGCCAATGAGTCATTTTCTTTATAGCACATCACCCACTGTTTGTAAATTAGCGATGATCCACATAAGCTTGGAACAAATAGCCATGTGTGTATGGGATTTAGAGGAGGCAAGTTCTCATCTTTTGTTGTAGAGATTATTGCTTCTGTCTTACTTCATTCACTTGATTTCACACTTCAAACTGACTTTTTTTCCTTTTTGTGATTTTTCTGCCTGTCTCATAAATCTGAAAAGCAAATATTAATGTTTTAAATTAAGCTTTAATATCATACGTGGCATAACTTTATATGAAAACTAAAATGATTATATATTAAAACCACTCTTGAAAAAAGATAGCCAGAAAAGCAGAAACAAATTTTTAAAGTTACAACATTTTTAGGATGAAAATGTTCTGAGTCAGTAGAATAGCAAGAGTAAATTTGCTTACTGACATACAGCATTAAGGAATATTACGGAATTATAAACTTTAACCTTAAAGATGACTCATTTCAACACCCTCATTTATAGGTAAAAAAGCCCCAAACCCCTGGAGTTAGGTACCTTACCTAAAAATTATAATACAAGTGACTAGAAGGAGTTATCAATTCATTTATTCAACAAATATTGTTGGAAAACCTACTATAGGTTAAATATGGTGGAAGATCCCAAAGTGAAGAAGATCCATACCATGTTTGCTACTCATAAGAAATTTATAACATATAGTAGAGTAGAAAAACATGCAGAAATAATAAACTATGAAGAGAATATGGCATATCATAAAGTTGATTCAAGTAAAAGGAGTTACAGGATTCAAGAGAAAGAGCAAAGATTAGAACTTGGGTCTGATTTCCCCCAGTTTATCTCTACCCCTCTAGAGTATAAGATCCATGAAAGCAGGGACCTTGCTTATTCACTGTCATCTTCCCATGCCTGATAAAGTGCTTGGCACACAAACAATTCCCAGTGAATGAACAAATGCCTGTTCTTTCCATACTATAACACTGTCTCTTAAAAGCGGTAAATGTGTATGTTTCTCCCAGCAAACATTTATCCTCCTCACAATTATCTGTTCTCTCATTGACTATCCTGTGTTTAATACATTCTGGTGATATGCAGGAGGCTAATATTCTTATTTTACTATAGCTAAGCATATTCAAGCAATAGGTAAAATATTCTCATATTTACCTTTCATCTTAAAGTGTATATTTTGAAAATTATGCATTCTAAAGTATAGAGTTAAAAACATGAATGGAACCAATCATATTGTTTCTAACATACTCCTAAGCACATATAATATGTATATTTTTAATATGTGACTTGGAAGATAGCATGTTTTTTAATAATAACACATGAAAAAGAAATTTGGCCAGTTTCCATTGTAAAATGTTTCGCCTCTAGGGTAGAAGTTACAATTTAAATCCTCAAGTACACATGCTCACAATGTAAAAACCTGGGAAGATTTCTAATAAGAAAAGTAGACATCATTATATGACCAACCAAGAAATCTCAGTGTGTTTAATTATGATCTGTCTGGTTTAAAGGAGAAAAAAAAGAGCAAAATGAAATGTCATCTATAGGTCATGTATTTATTTCAGTGCAAAAAGACTGGAACGAAGTGTGACAACCTGTTTAGGTCTTGTGTAAAACAAAATGAAGAACAGAAAGAATGATCACGTTAATTTCAGGCATAGCTACTTGTTCTAGCCAGAGTTATTTAAACACTAGTTTTCTTTGAGTCCTTCTTTACTATTGTGTAAATAGAATGTACTTTTAAAATTTGTTTAGAAATTGGTATAAAAACCATTCACTTTACATATTACATTCCTATTAGAGAGTATAAAAAGTATTTTTTTTTTTGCAAAAACATAAGTCAAACAGGGCAATACTAAAAGTCAGTATTTTTAATAGTTTTATGTAGTGTGTTATTTACATAAAAATGAAAATATGCAGATAGTGGCTTCTCTTTTTTTCTTGGCTAATATTCAATTACATATATTCGATATGTTAAAGTTTGAGAGTCATTAGCTAGAATTCATTGCTGAATTCTAAAAACATGGAATAACATATAGTATATTAGGCCAAATTGGAATTCTGGGCATATCTAATAAGTGGATTATTTATAGGAAATAAAATATTTTCCTGCCTTTACCCAGAAACGGAAGAGATCACTAATTTAAACTTAGGGAAGGGTTAATTTGGATAATTGTAGATATCTTTGGTGTTCATATGTTGTGGCTTACTTGAGTAACATGAATATGTGGGTTTAAGTATCAAAATTTAATATCCAAGTATCCATAGAAAATCTGACTGAAAACACAGATAAAGTATATATTTAAAATTAAGTAGATAATAGAGATATTATGACATTTTATTTTGAGAGATCCACACTTAAAAATTATTCAGAGATGCCATATTACAAAATGTACTGCAGCTGTTTTTGGCATTTTCACTGTTTAAGTAAACAGATTCAATTTTTAAAATATATAATTACACATGACCATCAGAAAAGTAGTCCTGTGTCCTGAATTAAATAAGAGATTTGAGCCACTGTGTACTTTAAGGTATCCTAATGATAATTACAAGAATTTTTTTGCAGTTAACATCAGATTTAATTAATTATAAATTAATTTCGCAACATGAAAAGAAGTTATAAAGTTGCCCAGTGCTGGTAAAAGTTATTTTTTAATTTAAAAAAGCCCCATTCAATGTAATGCCAAAATAAGTGTCCATAGTAATGGAGTTAAACATTGTAAATTTTGCTGATTTGTCTTATCACGCTGATTTGTGACTCAGTATTCAGCCTATGGAGCCTAGAGACTGTGCAATAAGTAAAAATTATGTAATAAAACATAAAAATTCTAACCTAATATTACAGAAATAACTTTGACATTTTATGATTTTGTAAAGAAAAGGCCACAAAATGCATCTTCTGGTTACAAAACAAAAGTCTAATAAAATGTACCTTTGCATGGCTGACTTTGAAGTCCTTCCTTATAAATGGGCAATGCATTTTGCATTTTTTGGTCATTTTCCCCAAGTGCCTTTCAGTTGTAACAATCTGAGTTTAGTTTCCTAAGAAAGAAGCCCCTCTTTCTCATTCGTCACATCTAAGAGGTTAGAGAGTATGTTTAAACAGATATATTTTCTTTTCGTCTAACCTTGTCTGGAAGATATAGGAAAACTAATTTGCCTTATTTACATATGGCACAATCTATCCAGTATTCAAGGGTTTGTCAGAAACAGGAACCTTGTGCATTTCCATGGTAACCGATGGCATGCTGACAGTATCTGGCTTGTTGCAGCTTCGTCTAGGCAGGCCGGCAATTAATCAGCCATCTACATGCACAAAATTCTTTGTGAGTGAATGGCAGCGCGCCTCTGTAGTGCTGTCTGTGCTTTTACAATTTTGTATTCCTGCCGGGCAAAGTACTTTTTTGTCTCTTCTATTCATTTTCCATAGCTCCCCAAAATGTGTTAGAAAAGAGTATGGGGGGTGGGGAGAAGGGTAACACAGGTACCTGTAATTTCAAAATGACCTTATTTCTTCTTAGCATCAAATATGCCAGGGTATGTTTCTTCCTTTTATTCTATGCCTCATAGTGGGTTTGCTTTTTATTTTTTTCTGGGTTTTCTTGGGTTTGTGCTAGATGGTCCCTTAATCTGTGTCTCAAGGTCCTTTATTGTTGGTGCAAGTAGGGCATACCTACCAAAGCAGGTCTGTGCATAAATTATGGCTGGGCCTGTGTCATGCAGTGTTGTCTTCTTAGAGTCCCTTTACACCACTTATCTGGTTCTATCTTCTCAGCTACGTGGAAGGTATATTATTGCCATTTTGCAGACTGAGATGCAGAGAAATTAAATGATTCAGCCAGCTTTAAGTTTGGGATGAAGCACTCCAGTGCTCTTACCACTGTGTCAACACAGAGAGGCTGGCAGTCCCCTTTTATGTATGATGATGTTTTAAGGTATAGAAATCACTGTTATTTCACATCAATATTCTGGCATTTTCTTTCTCAAAAAATAGTGCCATTGAATTTATTCAGTTGGGACCTTGTATTGTCTAGGATCTGGACAAGAGCATGAGTAAGTTAACAATTTGGGCCTTAGGTTGTTAGTAGAAAGCTGTGTCTGGATTTTGCCTACAATTCTGACTATGTCACATCTAGGGAAGCCATCTAGCTTCTTTCTCTGTGAAAAAAAAAAGGGAATTGATTCGATTATCTTCAACAGTTCACCAAGCACAGAAATTCTGTGGTTCTCCATGTTTTCTAGGACATTAGTTTGGGTAGTTAAAAGTAATTTGGATAGGTCAAAATTAAGATCCATAATTCGTTCAGTCTTTTGTCCTTGAAAGATGACAGAATAATTTGCATCGAATTGAATTGAATAAATTTCTTTTTCAAAAAGGAAAAAGAAAGATTTGACATCTGGGTGGCTGACAAATCTCAGAAGGTCAAAGCTCATTGAAATCAGATTTGGACATTTGCATTTCCACAGATACCACATAGCAAAAATCCAGTTGCTTTCAAACTTCAGTTTAAGCAAAATATCTTTTAAAAAACTAGGTATATTGGAACCTAGATATATTAAGTTTCTGAAAAGTTTTGTGCATTGGAAGAAAAGTTTTTTGTCGGGGGAGTTTTAATGTAAAAAGAAAAGTGGCAAGAAAGGTGTTTATTTATAGATGAAAATGCATGTAATTTTTGTTATTCTTTAGAAATCTAAAGTTATTGTATTTATTTATTTTTTAAAAGTCATCTTACTAGTGTAGGGATGTAAATATAAATATATATTTTATATGCAACCATCCTTTTCATAAGTTCACTTTTTATTACATTTATTTATTCAAGGAAGATTATTATGTAATTTTTCTTTAAATTTAGAAAGTAAAAGGAGACCTTAATTTCAAAGTAAATCCCATTTGGATAATATAAAAATAAGGATGCTCTTTCATACAAATATTTGCCACTCATTACTTCAACTCTGTTTCATTCATATTATGAATGATCAAGTCTCTAGTACAACTGTTTTCTCCAACTTTGTCTTTTTGTTAAAAAAAAAAAAAGTTGAAGTGTGAGCACAAAGCTTGTGTTTTTCTCTAACCAGCGATTGTCCATCCTTTTGTAAGTGCTGACAAGAGCTTCACTTATTCTTCCATACTCAGTTTCTCTTACTTGTTTATGTGCTAACTATAATCCACTACTTAATGTTCTATTTAACATTTTAACCTATTTTAAAATATCCTATTTCCTCCAGGATTCAATTAAATTTGTCAGTAGTATTCCAGAATAGAATGTTGTTTTTCTTACAATTAAGTCCTTTTTTCTTCCAATTTCTTTGGATATCTTGTGTTTATACAAGAAGTGTATCTATTTTTTTAATACAGTGTGGCTCATAGTATGTGGTCTCTGTAATTTTGTGCTGCTGATAGAAGAACCAGGCAAAAACTTTCTCTACCTGGAGAGTGTTACCATGAGCTTTTGCATATTCTCCTTCAATTTCTTCTTCTATTTCTCCTTCATATTGTCTTGGGCCTCTTTTATTTAAGAAGGTATTCTATCACACCATTCACTTAGTCATTCAACCAGTATTTATTGAACTCCATTATTTGGATGTTTGGGAATCCACCAACACCACTACTACTTAACAATAATCCAATATATGAAAAATCTTTTCTATAGAAGAAATTATTCTCATTCATATCTAACTTGAATATAACAGATATGAAAATACGTAGCAATTAATTACTTTCAGATGTAACTTTGTATCTACTAAAACTTTTTCATTTTCTAGACTATAAAGTAAGAATAATAGCACTTAATTTGTAGTTTTGTTAGGATTAAAGTGTGTAATGCACCTTGCAGATTTACATACTCAAAAATGATAGGCTACTGGCACTTAAGTAGTCAATTCATAGCAACAGGAAACAGAATGGTGGTTACTAGCATCTGGGAGGAGGGGGGAATGAGGAGTGACTGCTTAATGGTACAAGGTCTCCTTTGGGGGTGATTAAAAACTGTTAAAATGTACACTTTAAATGGATAGATTTATGGCATTTGAATTATATCTCGATAAAGCTATTTTAAAGCTAACATTAAAGCTTGGAAAATTTTACACAAAATTCCAGATTGACTTCTCTTGAAAAAGCCTATAATCTGACACCACCAGCCACATGGTCTCTCATGGGGTTCTTCTTGTTTAAGGAGTACAGAGTTTCAAATTTGCAAGATAAAATGTTCTAGAGATCTGTTTCACAGTAATGTAAATATACTTAGCACTACTGAACTGTACACTTAAAATGATTAAGATGATAAATTTTTTGTTAGGGATTTTTTACTACAGTGAAAATATACATAGAAGTAGTTGTTCAAAAAATGGTAGAAGTGTTTGTTGATAATGTTATGAATACTTTTCTAATTATTATCTGTGTCATTATTCTTACTAGCTTGGAAGTCCTTAGTTTATTGTGATGGTTAAGTAAAGGCAGAAAACTCTGTATTAGTAGAACCTGATAATGATATATATTAGATCAAACCATATACAAGCATGATATTCCATTACTTTTGACCTACAAAAATGGTAATTTTATATTACTTAACCTAGCACTTGTGAAAATATCTTAATGTAACTAGAGTATGGCTTATTGATTTGCTTTTGGATACCTTAAAATTTAATGTAAAGTACACTTTCTTTTAGCTGCTTTATCCCCACTTCAGGGCCAATATATAACATTTGATTTCTGGCTGTTCCATTTACTGGTTGTGTGATCTTCAGCCTCAGTTGTCTTATCTGTAAAAAGGAGAAGATAAATAGAATTGTGGTCAAGCTTTACTTGATTGATGGATTTACTGTTGTGAATAGTTTGCACAATCCTTTTTCCTATACATTGTTGATGTGGGGAGGGGAAAGGGGTAGAAAGAGGAGAACAGTAACCAAAAATATATCCATCTTTCCTCAGAATATTTCTCCCATTTTTATTCCATTCCCTCTACCTATCTCCCTGGCCCCAGAGTCACACTCATCCTACATGTGCGGCAGAATTCACCTTCCTCCTACCTGACTCTTTGTCATACTCCCAGGGTCCAAGCAGGAGGGTGATTAGAAGGGGCAGTGCAGGGGGTTCCCATGACCTCGGTACAGATTCCAGCCTCAACAGTCACTAATTTGTAATCTTGGCCAGCCATTGCCCTTGTGAAGAGTATGGAGAAGATCAGGGGTTTCTCAAACCTCCAGGTTTTAACCAGTCTAAGATGAAATGAGGAAAATAAAGACAATATTTATGTAGCTTTAACATTTTAATCTGTTTTATATTTGTAGCTAGATCTATATTGCTATAAAGTTATACCAGTCCTTCCTTAAGAAAGGCTGTTCTTTATACTAAGATTATGTTTTTCTACCTTTTTTTTGTTTTTGCTTTTCAAATGTCTTCTCATTTATGAAATCACGGGCAAATGGATGATGGGTTTTATGCAACAACATCACATGGCAAAATTAAAACCTGGCAACCCTCCATCTTCCCCCATAAAAGTTGTACTGCCTTGTAAAAGCTGAAAGTCAGAACCTTATGGATTCATAAATTCTAAGGATTTTCCTCAATTTAACATTCTATTATTTGAGAATTCATTTAAACTGTAGATCCTTAAGTGATTTCTCGGCCTGAGGATCAGAGAGGTTTCATGGTCTCAATGAAATCAGCATTTTTTACAGGTTTTTTTCCCCAAACATCTTTGCTTCACCAATATAGAAGCATAGTAAACTTTTAAGAAAGATAAATTTTCCTTTTGCAAGTTGGGTTCTTTGCATATCATAGTTAAGTATGAGAAATATGTTGGGTTAGAGAGGGGAATACATTACCTAGAGTAATATAAACAGAAAAAAATGCATAATCACTTATTGCATTTTTATTTTTCTCCACACAATGCATAATAGCTGGGGTTTTTTCTTTCATGACGGTTATCACTGGAATTATGCCTTTACTAGTTGTATGGTTATGGGGTTAGTGTCTCTCCTCCTTGCAAGATTTTAAGCTTCATGAGGACAATGATGATATTTCACTCACCATAGTGTGTCTGGCATCTAGTTCATGTTCTGCAAATATGAATACAGTGACATGTGCCATAAGAGAAGGGAGGACCTAAAGATCTACAGCAAAATCAAGGAAAACCTTTCAGAAGAAATGGCAGGTGAGGTATCCTTAAATGGTGGCCAGCATTTCAGCAAACAGATATGAAAGATTACATGGTATAAACTACACTTATAGAACAGAGTACATTTAATAGTGTTCTAATCCTTTAAAAGTTGGTAATCTCTGTATATAAGATAACTTCTAAATAATCTTTTTAAAATTATGATTAGTTAGATCTGCGTACCCTAAAGCCAGTCTAAAAAGAAGGGGGTTCTCTTCATATGAAACGTAGCACATAGGAAGGACTGGGAAGTATTTTCAACTAAAGGATGTAAAGAGTTAAACATTATTCCAAGAGTGTTAGCTTGAGAGACCAACAGCCACAACCTCATTGTGATTAGAAAAAAAAAAAAACAAAAAACCCAGGAAGAGAAGGGCTTGAGTGAGAGATAAGAAGCTCTGTTTCCATCTACCTGCAAGGTAATTGATGAGGTAGCAAACTTAGAGACAAATCGTAGGCATGAGGCAGTGTGCTGTGTGAAATAAGCTTTGATTTTAAGTGAATTTGTGTTTTACCCTCAGCTCTACCACTTACTAGCTGGTGACTTAGGGCAAATTAGTTAAACTTACTAAACCTCAGTTTTTTCTTTAGTAAAATGAAGAAAATAAAACTCCATAGAATTTTTGTGGTAGATAAAATTATGTAAAAGGGACTAGCACAAAATCTAAACCAGTAGATATTAATGAAACACTCATTTCCCTCCACCTTTTTATTGTCTACTTGGTCTACTTTAGGTCTTGAGCTTTGCTCCTTTGCAGGAAGATACTTATTCCTTGGCATCACATAGGCTCTTTGTATATCCCCAAATCTGGAAGCAAATATTTAAATACAAAAGCATCTGGGCATGGTGGCTCATGCCTGTAATCCCAGCACTTTGGAGGCCGAGGTGGGCGAATCACTTGAGGTCAGGAGTTTGAAACCAGCCTGGCCAACACGGTGAAACCCTCTCTCTACTAAAAATACAGAAGTTAGCTGGGTGTGGTAGTGCACACCTGTAATCCAAGCTACTCAGGAGGCTGAGGCAGGAGAATCACTTGAACCCAGGAGGCAGAGGTTGCAGTGAGCCAAAATGGCACCACTGAACTCCAGCATGGGTGATGGAGGGACATTCCATTTCAAAACCAAGGAAAGAGAAGGAAGGAAGGAAGGAAAGAAAGAAAGAGAAAGGAAAGAAGGGAGGGAGGGAAGAAAGGAAAGAAGGAAAGGAAAGGAAGGAAGGAAGGAAGGGAAAGAGGAAGGAAGACAGGCAAGCAACCCAATGAGTCTAATAGTAGCACTAAGTTAGTTTAATCTGCAGAATTGAACCTAGAAAATCAAAGCTTGGAATCTTCACTTTTGTAAAATGCCCAAAGCAATTTACCCATCTACTCTGCCTTCTCTGTTCTTTCTTCAACTTGAAAGAGAATTAAACGTCAGATTTACAGCTCAGATTCAGGTTACTTTATGTCAAATTCTCTATCTACGTAGACAAATTCAGCCAGGTCTTGCTATGCTGGAGCAGCTTTCACTGTGGGAGGAGGTGGTGGAAGTATTATGGAAGTTACTACTTATCACTGGGTGCTGAGAAGCAGCATGCTCCGCCATTCTCATTACCAAACTTGTAGTCAGAAGAACTCTGCCTGAGCCCCTGGTCTGCTGCTTCCTTGCTTAGTGATCCAGAACAGGACCTATTAACTTTCTCAGTCTCCAAAAGAAAAATCTTGCCCCTTGAATAGTGCTGACCTAAAGTTAATACTCAGTAAGCATTCATGAAATGAATAAATGTTACAGAAAGTGACATCAGTAATTATGTTCTACGTATTTGTGCTGTCGTCCCTTAAAACTGTGGATATAAGTCCACAGTCTATATCAAGTCAAACTTAGTTAAGTTAGCCTGCACCATTTAGCCAGGAATGTATGTGCTCCTGTTACAAAATGAAAGTAACTGGCCTAGAAGCCTGACACATCAGTTGTCATCTTTAATGTCCCTTCATCATACAATTCCTCGATGGCTTCATATATCACCTGTCAGGTAATCTTCCAGAGAAGCTTGACTTTAACCATTTGTTCTGTGGTTCAAGTGATGAATGAGATGGGTTAGATCATTTAATTCACTATATGGCACCCAAATGTTAAAGCTGGAGGAAAAGAATGTCTGACAAATTGTTTGTTGTCATTAAGGTTTATTTCTCATATGCCTTTGATGGTTCCCCTCACCTCATTATTGTCCAACACACAAAGCTAACTATTATAAGGAAGACAATACTTAATGGATGCTAGACAAATGATAGTTGGAGCTGTCTGGTGCACTACCTGATAAGTGAGAGCTAAATTATAATGTCATTAGATGGAATGCCTCAAGTTATTATAAAGTTGTGCTTCCCACAATGTCCTTGCTTTATCCTCAGCATGGTTCTTCCTGGCATCCGTTTTCACTCAGCAGCTGCCTTGTTTCCAGAACAGCTGAGACCGAGTGTTGAATCCTCTGTTATGCCAATTTTAAAATGTCCAACCAATACTGAGAATGTGTGTTTTGAGTATTAATGTCATCCAAACATAAACTTTAAGAAAATAAAAACGACATATTTTACAAATGCAGCCTTTAAAAATTTGTAACAATACAGTTAAAAACTTTGTATAATTCACAGGAAGACTGGGTATATAGAACCATAAATCCCCATTTACACTATCTTTTTCTCCAGGCACAAATTCCCTTCTTAGATTGTTCGTATGACAATTTCCTACCCAGTCCTTACAACATATTGACACTCAGTTAATAATTCAAGATGAATGAATGAATTTATGAATGAGAGGAAGTACATTCAAATATACAGATACTAAAAGCATGTTAGTGTAAAATATTTTGCGGACAAGTTGATTGTAAAGAAAATTAATTTCACTTCATCCACAAGGAAGTTAGGATTTCTTGGCATTTTGTGTTTGCAACAAACAAATAATCCTGATTATTATTTAAAATAGCTCCATGAGTTCACTTAGTGTTTGTCAGATTTTAACAATACCTGACAAACAGAGCTCTGTATTTATTCGTGCATATGAAGAGCAAGCTTCATTATTTTTTGGTATTAGGTAGATCAACCAGCAGACTCACTCATTCAGTGACCATAAATGTTGTATAATGCATTAATGACTCCTTAAGTAGAGCTCACAAAAGTACCACCCCAGTTTCTTGTACTAAGTAGCATATTTCAAATATAATTTTTCTGTTTCACTGGTTGTGAATACTACTAAATCAGATATATCTGGGTTTAAATCCTGGCTCTACCAATTACAAACTTCTTCAACTCTATGCCTCATTTCTTCATCTTTAAAATGAGAATAAAAATCATACCATCAAAGAGTTGTTATGAAAATTGTTTGCCTGTAAAGAATTTAGAGCAGTGTCTGGCACTTAGTAGGTATTCAATAAATGTTAGCTAATGTTGTAGAGTTGTAAATAATTTTAGTCTTGTTAATTTTCCAAAGTGATAAAGCAGGAAGGGTTAAAGGCCCCTAGTTCACCTTAGGTCCTGCCTGGCCCTTAAGCCAATGTAATCCAAAAGAAATGTGAGAGCCACATGTGTAACTTAAAATATTTTAGTAGTGGCATTAAAAAAGGTAAAAAGAAACAGATACCATTAATTTTGATAATATACTTTCTTTAACCCTGTATATCCAAGAATAGTAACATTTTAACATGTACCCAACATAAACAATTTAATAAGGTATTATACTTTTTTTTTTCTTACTAAGGCTTCAAAATATGGCATATATTCTATACTTTTAGCACATCTCAATTTGGGAGCTGAGTTTTGATTAGGAAGAGTTGGTTTCGATTACATAAAATTTACAGTTGAACAAATGAACACACATCCAAGTTATTTCAAAGATATTTAGAAGTTTTTACATTAAATCTAGTTCTTAAATTTAAATTTAAATTAATAAACTCAGTTTCTCTGTCCCACTAGTCGTATTTCAAGTTCACCATAGTTCCATATGGCTAGCACCACCCAAATTAGACAGCACAATCCTCAGCAATCTCAAGTTGAACATACCCAAGACCCTGCCACTCCACCTATCATAAAGCTGAACTACATTTTAAGCTCCGGTGTTAGGATACAGGAGGTTTGAGCAGGATGTTACGAAGAGAAGAGGCTGAGTCTACATGACATCGTAAATCTGCTATAAAAGTGAAGACACAATGGTGAAATTGGTGGTGAGGGATTAAGGAAGCCAAAACATATTCATAGAAATAGAAGCTTCAGCCATGCATGGCCCTATGGAATGCTTGGTCCCCTCTGTGCCTTTTTCTGCACTACTCACTCCTGATGGTTTCTTTTTTTCCTTTTTTTTTTTTTTTTTTTTGAGACGGAGTCTCGCTGTGACACCCAGGCTGGAGTGCAGTGGCTCGATCTCGGCTCACTGCAAGCTCCACCTCCCAGGTTCACGCCATTCTCCTGCCTCAGCCTCCCGAGTAGCTGGGACTACAGGTGCCCGCCACCTCACCCAACTAATTTTTTGTATTTTGAGTAAAGACAGGGTTTCACCATGTTAGCCAGGATGGTCTCAACACTCCTGATGGTTTCTAATGGGCCTATTGACCTGTAATTAGAATTCTCAGGAAGATATCACAAACCACATTAGCACTGTTTTTAATTTATGATCAATAAATACAAATCTTCAGGCTTGAGAGTGAGTGTTCCTTAGAACCAAAGTTGACTGAATCAGAGGGTTTGTTTGTTGGTCTACTTTTACTGAGTACATTCCACTAAAAAATTTAACTTTACAATATAAATCTTTAAAAAATAGGTTTAACCACCAAGCTTATTTATTCCTTCAACAACTATTTGGTAAGTACCTACTTTGTTGCAGGCTCTCCATTAACTAATCAAGACACAATGGTGAACTGTAATAGGCAAATCTTTTTCCTCATATAGCAGTGTCTGGTGGGGCTGTAGACTAGTAAATACACAACTGCATTTCAAGGTGACATGTCTTGGCAATATGGGGACTATTCAGGCACAGAGAAAAGATGCCTACGCCTGAGATGAGGCACTGAGGGAGGAAGTCAGAAAGACTTCCAGGAGGAAGTACTGTCTAAATGGATAGAGAAAGAGAAACAAAGACTTATTCAGGGAATAAACTTTCTTTTTACAAAAAAGGACTAGAATGTCAATGTCTGGGAGAATGGCAAAGAGAAGAATGTGCAAGAAAAATTCAATGTGGCTGAATGGCTGAACTATTAGGATCAGGGTCAGTCAGAGAGATTAGGCTGGGGAAGTGAGCAGAAGTGAAATTATCCAGAGCCTCATGAGCACATTGGAGAACCAGTGAACAGCTGAAAAAAGCATGATCAGATTTACACCTAAGAACCATCATAGTGGCTGTCATGTGGATGATGGAGTAAATAGGACAAGAGGCAGAGAAGCTTGGTAAAAGACAGTGACGCTGTAATCTAGGTAAGAGATGAGAGTGGTCTGAACCAAAACTTTAGCAGTAGGGATGGAAGGAAGCATATGACTGGAGGGAGATTTAGAACATAGCGTTTACAAGATTTGGCAATAGACTCGGGTAGGGGGGTGGGCAGCAGAGCCCAAGTTTCTGGCTTGGTAGTGTTCCCATTCATTTGATCAGGGAAGAGAGGAGATTGAATAGTTTGGGGAGAACAGTTCAGATTTAGGCATGTTGTATTGAGAGATGTTTCGGATAAACTAGTATCAATTTCCACTTGGCAGGTGTGTTAGACCGTTGTGCATTGCTATAAAGGAATACCTGATACTGGGTAATTTATGAAGGAAAGAGTTTTCATTGGTTCCTGGTTCTGCAGGCTATGTAAGCATGGCTCCAGCATCTGCTTCTGGTGAGGGTCTCAGGAAGTGTACAATCATGGTGAAAGGCAAAAGGAGAGCAGGAAATGTCACATGGCAAGAGAGTGAGGGGGGAAGTGCCACACTCTTTGAACAACCAGATTTTGCATGAACTCAGAGTGACAACTCATTCATTACCAAGGGGATGACACAAAGCCATTCATTAGGATGTGTTCCTATGATTCAATACCTCCACTGGGCCCCACCTCCAATATTAGAGGTCACATTTCAACATGAGATTTGGAGGGGGCAGACACATTCAAACCATGCAGCAGGTATATATCTACAAGTCTGAAGCTCAGGTAAAAAAAAAAATCAGACTCAGATGGAATTCTTGGAATTGTCAGCCTGTAGAAAGTAACTGAAACAGTGATAATGTGTGAGGACACCAGGGGGAGAGTATAAAGAGAAAGAGATCAAAGGCCAGGAGAAACCCCTGGGGAATGCCAACCTATATGGGACAGACAAAGGAAGAAAAGTCTGCAAAGGAGATGGGTAGCCAAGGAGAGAAGTGGACAATCAGAAACAGAGTGTCAAGAAAGTCAAAGGACAAAAGTATTCCAAGCAGGAAGGAGTGATTAATAGCTTCAGAAACAAGATTGTTAGTGACCTTGGTAAGGCTGATTTCAGTGATTGGGTCAAAAACCAGAATGTAGTGGGTTGATGAGAAAGTAGGAGATGAAAAAAATTGAATTTCTTGTCTTCTTGTCTAAATTTCTCATGTAAATTTTCAATCAAAAATCAGTGTAGGAAGGGAGAATATTGTTTTTTATGCAGATGTTGACAGCAACTCTTAGTATCACACTTCTGACCTCAGCCAAGTGTTCTTGGCCCTCCATGTCCATTGGTTCTGCATTCATTAATTCAACCAGCCAGACTGAAAATATCTTAAATTATATATATAATAGAACAATAAAAAATACAAAATTTAAAAAATACAGTAGAACAACCATTTACGTAGCATATACATTGTATTAGGTATTATAAATAATTTAGAGATGATTTAAAGTATACAGCAGGATATGCATAGACTCTATGCAAATACTATGCCATTGTATACAACGGACATGATTACCCATGGATTTTGGTATCTGATGGGGGTCCTGAAACAAACCCCCCATAAATACCAAGGGACAACTGCATTCCAGTTTAGAGCAGTCATTAAAGTCTAATGTAGGATACCAAGGCTTTGTTTAGTCATTCTGTTATCAGTGCTGGAAGTGAAGAGATGAGAAGACTGGTAGTAAATCTAGATTCTTGGAAAGCCCAAAATAGGAATGGAGAGTAAAATTCTTCAGTATTCCTGTATTTCCCTACTGGAGTAGAACAAAAAACCAAACGCCGCATGTTCTCACTCATAGATGGGATTTGAACAGAGAACACTTGGACACAGGAAGGGGAACATCACACACTGGTGCCTGTCATGGGGTGGGGGGAGGGGGGAGGGATAGCATTAAGAGATATACCTAATGTAAATGATGAGTTAATGGGTGCAGCACACCAACATGGCACATGTATACATATGTAACAAACCTGCACTTTGTACACATGTACCCTAGAACTTATTTTTTATATATGTATATATAAAAATAAATTCTCTCATAGGGAAATCCCTAGTACTTTCCCCCTTTCTTTCTTTCTTTCTTTTTTCTTTTTTTTTTTTTTAGGTGAAGTTCCTGTTCTTGTTGCCCAGGCTGGAGTACAATGGCGTGACCTCGGCTCACCGCAACCTCCAACTCCCGGGTTCAAGTGATTCTCCTGCCTCAACCTCCCGAGTAGCTGGGATTACATGCATGTGCCACCATGCCCGGCTAATTTTGTATTTTTAGTAGAGATGGGGTTTCTCCATGTTGGTCAGGCTGGTCTCGAACTCCCGACCTCAAGTGATCCCCCTGTCTCGGCCACCCAAAATGCTGGTCCCCCTTTCTTAGGATTCCGCCTTTTTGCCGTAGGCGTTCTCCTTTTATTTTTCCTTTGTAAAATTCCTTGTTAAAATATAAGGTCTTTGGAAGTTCTTAGCATCTCAATTAAAAGTTAAGTTTCATTAGAGCAAATAAGAGATGGAATAGAGACCAGAGGAGGAAAGGGCAAGGGCAGAGGCAAATGGCTACAAAATACGACTTTCTTTTACTGAACAATTTTAGTGTCAGTTGCCTACCAGCCTCACTGATACACCAGTTATACCTATTGAAAGTCACATGAGAGCCACTTTTGTCACATACTCAGTTACCCCAATTGCCATCCTCTGGTAAACATAAGGAAAAAGGATCAATCTGATGAATGGACACATTGCAAGGGGGCATTTCTAAGAAGTACTGTTTTAAGAAGGGCAGTTGTAGAAAAAACTTGGGGGTTCACTTCTAATTTTTTTGAAACTAGAATTCAGCTAGAAGATTGCATAATGCATGGATATATGAATAGGTGGATGGATGGATGGATGTTGAATAGGTGGGTGAGAAGAAGAAATAATGGAAAGAAGGAAGAAAAAAAGGAAGGAAAGGAAGAAGGGAGGAAGGAAGGAAGGAAGGTAGGTGAGCAGGGCTCAGAAGAGGCCCTGTGGCCGTTATTATTGTCGTTGATGATGTTTTAACGTTTGAACTTATTACATGTTATTCACATTTATGGTGGGAAAAGCACAGGTCTAGGAATCAGATGACTATTACCTCCTGTCTTGTGTTCTTAGAAAATTCACTTCCATTTTCTGAGCCTCATTATTTCATCTGTCAAGTGGCATTATGCTATGCACATTACAGGGATATTATAAGCATAATACATCTTTTATGTAAGGATCATATATGTAAATTATGATGCACTATACATACATTAGTTATTGTTCTGCATCTGAGGACAATTTATCTTCCTAGAAGGAGGATTGCTCGGATATAACCTATTGTGAACAAGTGTGAGAACTTTTAATACACTAATAGCCTTAGACCTCAAATCCTGGACAGCTTATTAGTGCTTATTAGTGCCCATGTAGTAAGTCCTCACTAACTCCTTTGAGCATTTTGTATGCTATAATACTCTTTTTTTGTACTGTTTTTAGTTATTTCTTCACTTTCCTCAAAAATGCCCACTTTTTCTCTTGCAAGTGCTTTCTCCATGCTTAGCTCTTCCATTTTATAAAGTAAATAATCTTATCCACTCCCACCCACTGACATACTTTTAAATCACTGCTAGTACTTGAGCATAGTTTTGTGCTTCTACTTACTCTCGGGAACACTATGACAAACCTACTCTGAGTGCTAATTAGGACCAACTTGAGCATACGTAAGCAGCCCTTTAACTGTTTTCTTTGAAACGGTTCCAGTTAGTCCTTTTAAATGAACTTCAGAAAAGAACTCAAATTAATTTGCTTCTCAATATCCTATGGTTCAGACATTGGATTTTTTTCTCCCTAGCGACTTCTGGTTAGCAATCAAAGAGCTGCTTTTCTACATTAAGATTTTAACTCAACTTCCTGGGAGTGGAAAGACTCAATTATTTCTTCAAAATCTATAACTGTTTTTTGTCTTTTACATTTTTAGCTTTCCCGAAATGCTTTCCCTGCTCATTGAAGCTACCTCCTGTTCCGTTTAAGTTCTCCCTTGATGACGACATTTCTTATGAGAAGCCTTACCAAAAAGTCTAAGACAGGCGGACTTCTGTGGGGATTAATTTGTTCATAACAATTATGATTGGCTACATAATTTGTGGGTTACTGGGCAAAATGCAAATGCAGGTATCTTTGTTTATTAAAAAATTACTAAGAGTTTCAAGATGGCAACAACAAAACAGCAAATATGGGACCTATGCAGCTGCACAGATTACACACCCATGAAGTTAGCCCTACGTATCATTGTGTGTTGATACAAACTTTGCCATCATGGACTTCACATTTTTAAATACATATATGCCTTTGATAATTTCTGCAATAGGCTCCTACTAGATATGCAAACTCAATCTACTTGGCAACTTTTCATCACTCAGTTATTTCACTGTTATGCGAATTTTCTGACACCTTTATTTTTGTCAATGCTTACCTTAGCTTTGGGTTATGAGATTAATTGGAATGTTTAAGAGAAGTTGAATTCTTATACAGTCATATTTTAGTAATTGCATTAAACCATAAAATGTATTTATTATAGTTTCATTGGTTAACACAAGTACATCTATAATGTTGAGAGGTTTTACAGTCCAAAAACACTAGAGCAGCATAAGCATGAGAGAGTATGCAGTCTGGTAAAACCCCAGAAGCATTTCTTGCATGTTTGAGGGCAACCTACAGTATCTCAGTTGATTGTAAAGTATATTTAATGCTAAATTTGATGGTATCATTACAGTGCCTTAGATTCTTACATGCATATTTTCAGACCTTCTCCTCCTCCACCTGGGCTTGCCACCACTTAGCCCAGCAGGATGCTGAGTTTCTAGGCTTATGTGCTAAGCTAGGGGACAGCAAGGGATGTTGATTTTGCTGTATGTGGCCAATTATCTTGACCTTTATGATGGATGAAGCCAAGTCTCCCTCCCGTT
Source organism: Homo sapiens (assembly GCF_000001405.40). NCBI lineage: Eukaryota > Metazoa > Chordata > Mammalia > Primates > Hominidae > Homo > Homo sapiens. The sequence goes on from NC_000003.12 coordinate 181,433,216, forward strand.
TATATCTCTTTCTCGGGATTGTAGCCCATTGCGGTCATGTCAGTTTGTGGTCTTGTCTTTCACTCCCCAGCAATGCACATCTTGAGATACTGTGATTAGCATCCCTAATTCATAAAAATTGACTTACCTTGTTATAACTAGAGAGCTGCCGCCTAAAATACTTCCACCTACTGTTCGAAAGGGTATTATTTTAATGCCCTGGGGATAGGAAAAGTTTTCAACCCACCAGTGCAGGGATTAGTTTTATTTTAAAGTATTTGAAGTGTGTTAGATAAGTTAGCTAAGAATGATCCAAGTTCAGTTGCTTCCCAAGAGCCTTTAAAGATGTGCTCCAAGTCCTTATCTGATAACAATCTGTAAAAATGCTTACATTTTGTATGTGTTTGAGCATCAAGATCTACCTCTTTCATATGTAAGGGAAAATTAAGACACTTTCTGCGTCAACCAAATACAGGGGATGATTTCATTTGGATAAATAGCTTTCTCTTCAAATAGGATTTCTGACTAAATTATCTGGATTTAATCATATGTCTATTGAATAGCATGTGCACCTTTCCTTGTTTTTCATATCCCTGTACACTAAGCAAATAAAGGCATTTCTCTTTTTATTAATTGAACGTTCACAATTGCCTGTAAAACTTTTAGAGAAATACCTAATTTTGAGATTCACTTAAAGTTAGGTTAAAGTTTTATCTCTAAAAGACTAAAAGGGCATCATCTCCTCCAATGACTTCTATTCATCAACTTCTTGGCGGGTTTAACCAGCCAGACTGGTTTATATGTTTAGACACAGTCCGAGTCACACAGTTAGTATAAATAGGGTTTTTTCACATTAAATTACTGTTTTACTTTTGATTAAAGTAACTGGACTTTTCAGTATTAATTTGGAAATGGTGTATTTTCTGTTTTATGAAAATGTGCAATGATGTCACATGTTCAGGTTATGTGACAAAACATGTGTTCTCATTTTCCTTCATGCTTCTTCACCTGGACAGGAAAGGGTAACGTGATGTCCCCTTGATAGCAACAGCATTGGTTAGAACTGGTATCAGAGAGCTTCCATCTTCTTTTATGACTGTGACTGCCCTTGCTAAGTCCCATTTTTCAAAGGGGGAAACTTAGACATAGAAAAAACAAAACTATATTGTTAAGTCAAACAGCCTAGTCAAATAGCTGTTCCACTTCTATGAGTTTCTAAAATGTTCTCCTATTCATTCTATTGGTGGTTGCTCACAATTGTACCTACATCTCTTCACCATTTCATGTGAAATAGAGCTCTTAGGTGATACAGTTGAGAAGTCAGGTGTCATGAGTTTAGCATGTCAAGGAGTAGTTACTAGTCTTCCTTTACAGACAAGTGATTGGTACATGTTGGTTAGAGAAAAGTGATTTTTCTAGAGTTTATCACTCCAGAAAAAGCCAGGCACTTAGAGAAGCAGTTATTGTGATTGCATTACTCAAGGTTTGCTTGAGGAAGAGAGCTCTTAATTAGACTCTGAACAGTTAACAGAGAATGCAACAGTGAAGCCAAAGGCATTGGTAGGTCAGCCTCAGAACTACTGATTTTTTAGACCAGATAAGTCTTTGTTGTGAGGGGCTGGTCTGTGTATCGTGGAATGTTCAACACCATCTCTGGCTTTACCCAATAGATTCCGGTACTCTACCTGATCCTGGTTGTAACAACTAAAAATCTCCAGACATTACCAGGTATGAAAAATCACCCTCACTTGAGAACCACTGGTATAGGTCTTTTTAGTATTAAAAGCACTTTGACGTTTTCAACAACTGTGTTAGGGATTTTTTAAATCTCTGTTTTACAAAACAGAAGCTTAAGCTCAGAAAAGTAAAATGACTTGCCTAAGGTCTCACAAGTAGTGATTGGAACCAGAATTCAAACTTATGCAGGTCTTCTAAAGCCATATCAGGTGCTCTTTTCATTACACCACTAAAGAAACAGATACAATATCACTGACCCAAACTACTTCTTCTCTCCCTGTTTCTTCTGCTGTTATTTGGGTTTCCTGGGCTTTATATACATACTACTGAGCCAAAATAATTCTCATCATCCCAAAGGTCACTTAACGTTCAGCATTTTAGTAAGACATCAATTTCTCATTTGATCTTTCATCCCAAAAGCTCCACCATTTGATACGTTGACAGAATAAATCCAGTACATTGACAGCTTCAGAATTAAAAAAAAAAATCTTAGATTTTATTAAGGTGAAGAAATCACTGTAGTAAGGTTATAGATCTAAATTTCTTTTTAACTTAAACTTTCTTAACACATCAAATCCACATTAACAATTGACACACAAAAGTTGATTGAGTAAAAAATAGGTTCACCTTTTTTATGTCAAAGTTTTGGGGCAGTCAAGAAAAGAAACTTTTGAAAAGTATCCTCAAATGCAAATAAATAAATAAATGCCTTTAAGAACTAAATTCAAACAGATCTGTGTTGGCTCATTTACATATATACCATGATCACTAAATACCAAGGCCTGTGTTATAGTACCAAAAGTAAAATGAAGCGTCCCTGTTTAGTTTGCCATGAGATAAAATATGGTTTGGTCTAAATAAGTAAGTTGGCAGTGGTTTCTAAGGATTATTTAGGCTCCAAAGGTCATTTGATTCCAACGATAGAACCTATATTTAGGCCCGCAGTAGCAGCAAACCAATCTCATTGTGACTTAGAGTTATAATCTACTCAGCAAATATTTCAGTAAAGACACTGAGGAGACTTTTCTAATTTCCATTTGAGATCTTTCTGTTTTAAAAAGAACAGTATGATCCTGCAAATCATACTAAAGACACAGAAAAGTCTCTGCTTTTAGATGCTAGTGGCATTTTACAAGGCTTAAAGAGTAATAGAAGTTTGGCAGTTCCTTAAAAAGCTAAACATAGAATTACCATATAACCCAGCAATTCCACTCCTAGGTACTTACCCGAAATAACTGAAAACAGGGACTTATACGGGTACTTGTATGCAGAAGTTGATAGCAGCAATATTCACAATAGTCAAAAGGTGTACAATCCAAGTATCCATCAAGAGATGAATGAATAAATAAAATGTGGTATATACATGTAATGGAATATTATTCAGCCATAAACAGGAATAACGTTTTGATACATGCTGGAACATGAATGAATCTTTAAAATGTTATGCTAAATTAAATAAACACAAAAGGACAAATATTATATGAGTACAGGGATGTGAAATATTGAAAATAGGCAAATTCATCGAGGTGGAAGGTAAATTAGAAGTTACCAGGGACTAGGGAGAGGAGAAAATGAAAACTCATTGTTTAATGGGTACAGAGTTACTGTTCTGAGTGATGAAAAAGTTTTGAAAATAGATAATGGTGATGGTTACACAATACATCATGAATGTAATTAATGCCACTGAGCTGTACACTTAAAAATGGTGACTATAATAAGTTAGTGAGGTGATAAATATATTAATTAGCTTGATTGAATATTTCTACAATGTATATATAAATCAAAACATCACACTGTACCCATAAATATACACAATTATTATTTGTAAATTAAAAATAAATTAAAAATGGTGAATATGGCAAATTTTATATTATGTATATTTACCAGAAAAAAATAACTAGGGGAAATATTTTAATTTTATGATGGGTAAATGGCTAAAATTCCTAATATATAAACCAATTTCAAAGTCATAAGGAAAAGCTCAATATCCCAATAAATTTCAGACAAAGAAAACAAATAGGCAATTTACAGACAAAGTATAGTTAAAAAATACATGAAAATATGATAATATATATGATTATCCTTGCCCATAATAAAGTAAATATAAATAAAAACAATATATTACCTCTTTTTCCCTAAGCAAAAATGTGGGTAACAGGTACTGTGGGGAAGCCCAGGAGTTGTCCATCTTTTTATAAAATAGTGTGCAAATGTTGATAATATCTATGCAATTTCTTATTAATATTTTTATCCTTTCACCCTGTAATCCAACTGTTAGGAATAAACCAGTGGTCATCACATACATGTGTAAAAAGGCTATGTTCCAGGATGTTCATCACAAAACATAGATGTCACACAATAGGAAAGAAGTTATGTTAGTCATGGGGCATCTATAATGTAGAATGAGTACGGTGTCACCATTACAAATTATATTAAGGAGAATGTTAAATGGCAAAATATTTAGTGGTCTTTACCTATATTTTTTACCTTGACACATTTAGAAAATATTTATGCCATTAAATATTCTTTCAACATCATTTTTAATGGAACATGGTTTTCATCATTTGGGTGTATTATATCATACTAAACTAGTCAACTTATTATCAGACATTGTGGTTGTTTTCAGCTCCTGCTATTATGAAAAGGTTGTCATAAATATCCCCATACCTCTGTACATTCTTAGGATAAGGACTTTCCTTAAGATAAATTCCTAAGAGTAAAATTACTATGTTAAAAGTATGAAATGTTAAGGCTTCTAATTCATATTGCAAAATTGCTCTCAAGAAAGATACTATCAACTTATGTTCTCACCAGAAGTACAGAGGAATACTCATTTCCCAGTTCCCTCATCATCACTACTATCATTTTTAAATCGATATTGATGGATGAAAATCGTATCTTGTTATTGTTTGAATATGTATTCTGCTGATTACTACTGAAGACAAACTCCTTTCATGTAATTATTGATCACTTATAATTATTCTTTAGAAATTTCCTATTCTTGCCCTTGGTTCATTTTTCCTTTTGCCATGTTAATTTTTTTCTTATTGATTTATAAGAGCTCTTCTTATATTAAAAATATTACATGAATGCTCATTTGTTATACTTTGTATCTTCTACAAAATCTAGTAAAGAGATAGGCAAGTGGTGATATTTCTTTACAGGAGAGCTTTATACATTACCTGTGATTAAATCAATAATATGTATTTCTTCATTTAAAATATTGTGCAAATTACATTATTTCTCTTTACTGAATTTTGCTTGAAGCACTGAATGTGACAATTTTAGTATTTCAGAGGATAAAAACAGCCCATGTCTGACTGAAGAAATTCAAAGAAATTAGTGCTCCTTAACAACAAAAAAAGTGGGGTTATAGAGAGTGAAAATAAACTTTAAAAATTCTAAAAGGCAGAATCACTAAGAGAACTTTGATTTAACAGAAAAAAGTGTGATTTAGAAAAGAGCACTTTTGAAGGTATGAATGGTCTAAGCACTGAGTTGTGTTCCTCTAGGTAATTAAAGAGGATTATAAATTTTTTTTAACAAGAGCAACTCAAGGGGAGCAGAGATTGGGTCTTTTAATTTTGTGCCACCGGTGCTAAATACAACTAAGCTCAGTGGGAAAGGAAGAAGACAGTGGGCCTCTGGCCCAGGCATCATACTCACCCAGGGCCTCCAATGGGCCAACACATTGAATCACAGAGATATTCCGAGAGGTCAGAGAGAAGACATAGTGTTCCAGTACCATGCCATGCTACCTGGACGGCCCTGCAAATTGAAAATTGTATAACTATATTTTTATATAGATAGTCATATAGCATTATATTGTGGGTATATATTTATAGCACTAGTGTGTTAGGTGTAATCATTTTAAATATAAAACAATTTTGATAACTCTCTTTTAAAGCTTTTTTAACAAATGAGGAGCCTCAAAATATGAAAGCGACTGGGCTTTGTCTGACCTTTGAGAGGCATTTATCATGGATTAACAAATTGGAAATGCTGAAAATCCCCTTATAGGGTTTGTTGATTTGCAGATTATTTACTGGGAAATGTAATTGAGCAATGCTGCGACTGGCCTGCTACTTGTGATTATGGGGGCCTCCCAGGGGATCATATTAATACCAAAATTACTTAGCTTTTTATTAATCAATTATGGGCTTCTTTATTTAGGGGATGCAGAGAGTTTGCAGCAGTAGAAAATCCACTAGGGTTTTAAAATTTCTTATTAAATCTTCTAAGGGATTTTTCCAAAATGTAGTTAATAACAGAGTTCTATGACATGATAAGCTAAGGAAAAGCAAAGTATACCATTTGTAATTCTAAAAGAAAATTATGGGTAACTTAACTCCAAAAGCAATGATAATTAGAATAGCAAGAGGTGTGAGATAGAGTGAATTAAATACTTTGGGCATTTTGTGGTTATTTTGGAGAAATCGTTACCTTCTTTAATCATTTAGATTGTGTGTGCTGGGAATGCACTGGTGATTAGGGGTTTGATAGAGGTCTAATTCGACTCTGGATGTCAACAGGATCACAACACTAGATAGTAAATATTGCCTGTTAACTGATGATACCTGTGTAACTTAAAATGTCTTACAAGTTGCGTCTTGGACCTCATCAATATATTTATGCTAATAAACTCATTTGTGGGAGGGAACATCATGAATTTCTCTTTGGTAGTTTATTTAATTTTCTCTCTTTGATTTTTTTTTCAGCTCTCTAATTCTTTCCAGTCCAGATGGACTAAGATATAAACATTGAAACTGGCGTTTCTGTTTGCCTGTTTGCATGCTTTAGAAAGGCTAGCCTTTTTGGTTGATTAATATCAATGTAACAGGAAAATAGTTGGTTGGTCCAGTGGTTAATACAACTTTCCTGAGTTAACGGTATCACTGCACACTGATTAGACCATCCAAGATACATAGAGGGAAGAACCTGGTACTGGGGAAAAGGGAGGGAGTCATTCGTGTCATCAATATGCTTTGAGCCTAGTATGTGCCTGATGTATTAGGGCACCAGATGCCCTGGGTGTGTCATCTTACCTGTTACATGGCCAGTCCAAACAGTTGCTAAACTCAACTCTCGGTGTTCACTGGGAAGCTGCAAGTTCAAAGTTGGGTTTGAAATTATTTAAATTAAGGGAAAATCATGTGAATGACCAAAAAAAATTCTCATATGAATTTCCAAAACCTAAAATTATATTAAAATATGTTAAGTCTTATGAATGATGTAACTACCTTAAAGTAAGTTAGCATTTTAAAAGCTGTTTGCTATTTATAGCACAGATACTATCATTTGCAGTAGAAAAGTGGCTTGTTCTTTAGTGCCTAGAAAATCGACCAAAGCATTAGAGAAATGCAAATCAAAACCATAATAAGACACCATCTCCTGCCAGTTAGAATGGTGATTATTAAAAAGTCAGGAAACAACTGATGCTGGAGAGGATGTAGAGAAATACGAATGCTTTTACACTGTTGGTGGGAGTGTAAATTAGTTCAACCGTTGTGGAAGACAGTGTGGCTATTCCTCAGGGATCTAGAACTAGAAATACCATTTGACCTGGCAATCCCATTACTGGGTATATACCCAAAGGATTATAAATCATTTTACTATAAACATACATGCACACGTAAGCTTATTGAAGCACTATTTGCAATAGCAAAGACTTGGGACCAACCCAAGTGCCCGTCAATGACAGACTGGATAAAGAAAATGTGGCACATATACACCATGGAATACTATTCAGCCATAAAAAAGAATGAGTTCGTGTCCTTTGCAGGGACATGGATGAAGCTGGGAGCCATCATTCTCAGCAAACTAACACAGGAACAGAAAACCAAATACCACATGTTCTCACTCATAAGTGGGAGTTGAACAATGAGAACACATGGACACAGGGAGGGGAACATCACACACCAGGGCCTGTCGGGGGATGGGGGTCAAGGGGAGGGAGAGCATTAGGACAAATACCTAATGCACGTGGGGCTTAAAACCTAGATGACAGGTTGATAGGTGCAGCAAACCACCCTGGCACACGTATACCTATGTTAGAAACCTGCACGTTCTGCACATGTATCCCAGAACGTAAAGTAAAAAAAGAAAAAAAGAAAAGACAGAGAGAGAGAGAGAAAGAAAAAGAAAGAAGAAAGAAAGAAAAAAGGAAGAAAGAAAGAGAAAGAGAAAGAAAGAAAGAAAAAGAAAGAAAGAAAGGAAAGAAAGAAAGAAAGAAAGAAAGAAAGAAAGAAAGAAAGAAAGAAAGAAAGAAAGAAAGAAAGAAAGAGATAGGAAAGGAAGGAAAGAAGGAAGGTAGGAAGTCAATCGACCAAAGTGGAAAGATGTGATTACACATGTAGTGGGGAAAACATAAACCATGGATTTCTTAGAAATTTTAGGAAATAGAGACTAGAAGTGGAGTGACTGCACATATTTATCTATTCTAGTGGTCAAAAACTAAATGCACTTAAGGCAACAATATCAATGTATACATACACGTAAAACAGACAGGAATTGACCCATGACTTGGAAGACTCAGCCTCACCCACCTCACCCTAATCCAGGTCCTGAATAACAGGTTCCCAGTCCCATAACCTCTGACAACCATTTCCGTCCCCCATCTCTGACAAATGAGGCTTGGGTTGGGTTGGAGGGTAGTCCCAGAATCCTGAGCTGGACTGGGGACTTACTGCCTACAGCCGTACTATGTTGCCCACCAGGGGAAATACTAGAAACGGGGTCCTCAGAAAATGATAGGTGAGAACCAGAGTAAACAGCCCAGATGGGGTCATTTTCCAAATGGAGCTAAAGGTAGAAAGGCAGCCAAGGTATAAAGTTAAAGAGACAAAGGCTGCTGCTGAATGAGGAGGAGGGGAGATTAGCCTGCAATATTCCTGAGTCATCTGTGGACATCTGCAGTCTTTTCTTATCCATTTTCCACGGCTGCTGTGAGAGCTCCATCAGCTTTGAAGTTATGGCCAGAGACAAACCATTTATGTGTTTTTGGCACTTCTAATCATCTGACAAGACACACAGCCAAACCCGTGTACTTTTCCCCATTGTAGTCAGCCTTATGCTACCTTTAATTCAGTCTTGAGGCAAGTGAGTTCAAGATACTTCCATAAGTGGATGACCCAGAGTGTGAGATCCCCAGTGAGGAGGACACTTGCTACTGGGTTGAAAATCACCCCTTAGAAGAGCCTCCATGTCCGCCCCCCAAAAAGGCTGAGTGACCTACCCAGAGAAACTGGTAGAGCTGTGAGTCAAGGCCATGATGGCTATTAAGGGACAGTTTGAAAGCTAGACAAACAGCTTTCGAATAGCAAACAGCTTTCAAAATGCTGACTTAAGAAAATTACATCCTTCGTAAGACTTAAGGTTCAACAAGATTAGCAGTCCCCTGAACAACAAAAAAACAATTTCTTCTATGCATTTTCAAAACCCACCTGATTCCAAAGCTGAGGCTTTTTCTATTGAGCATGAAGATCAGGTAAAAACAGGATCAGGGAAGTCCCATTCAGAAGAGTTTCTGCACACATGTCATTAGCTCCACCACCACAATCACCACCAACTTCGCAGGGGCACATTTCCCTAGGATACTTTGTCCAATGAGCAAATCAATCTGAAAACAAAAGCCCCTTGTGGAAATGTTCATTACTAAGAGGTTTTCTGCTCTTTACGATGAAAACTGAGAAAGTTGACGCTCCAGTTTCCAAATCAGCCTTGATCAATTTCTGCATAATAGTCTGGGTAGAAGGTACAAATGAAGGGTGGGGGGGCAGGGAAAGCAATATTTTTTATTACTTGCATTTGTTTAATTTCTCAGGATACTATTATTAATAGACTGTACTTTTAGGAGAAGCAAATTCACTTTATACAGTGTTTAAGGAATATTGTATATGTAGGATCAAATGAGGGGAAAGGATAGTTTTGCCAAAGGCAACTGTTATCAAGGTTCTGAAATTAATTGGATGCTTTAATTGAGGTAGATTACTAGCTAATGCTTGCTTGAATACAGTAATTCTCCTATTAAATTATCTTTGAATAATTACCTGAAATTTCTCAGCTGCAGGGACTGATGGCTATTTAATTGCACAGTGATGTTGCTATATAATTACTTAACAAGGTGTCCTGTAATAGTTTAATTCCCCTTTTACTGAAAAAAAGTGTATGATAAAGTAACTACAAATACTCCTTTCATAAAAAATAAATTGCCGTAGTTTTTTCTTCAAAGATTATTTGTTATTTTAAAGTAAATTAAATTATTTCTAAATTTTTTATTTATAATTCAAGTATTGATGCTCTTTTAATAGAATAGAGGCTCTCTAACATATAATACATTAGGTAACATTTCAAAGGATTGGAATTGTCATTTAAAATGTTTACTTATCAATAACATTTTATGTCTTATTGTTAAATAAGACACCACCCCTTTCTCTTCATTTTTATTATTTTAATTTCAAGGTTCTCAAATTAAGTATATAGACATTAAATAATGAAATACTTTTAAAATGTGGCCATATGTTACATGACAATGATATTACAGACAATTAAATACATTTCTTAGGATTTTTAAATAAACAATCTACAAAGTAGGTACTTTCCACCAAGACATCAATTTATTAGCATTTAGGATATTGCCACAGATGTTATTGGCATGTCAATGACGAATATCAATAAATATCATCTGACTCTTAATCAGGTTAATCTAATTGACCCCTATAGTAAGCATAATCTGATACAAAAGTCAAAAGCAAAGGACACACATTTTGACAATTTTTCTTTCTTATGTAACTTGGTGATATAAAACTAGTAAAATAATCAGGAGGTCATGGCTGATTGGGATGACTAAAAGAGAAAATTATTGTCAGTGCACTGCCAGTTTTAGCATATTAAATATAGTTCTAGAATTTGTCCTAGAATAGTTTTATATTGTATACATTACTTTAATGCAGAATAAAATGCTTGTTAAGCTGGATAATACCAAAAATTGATTGGAAAAAATTAAAATTGAAAATTATTTTGATAAATTAAGAGAATGGATTACATTTACAAGATGAGGCTTGACAGATTCAAAGCAATTTTATTCACATAGGGAGGATAGATGAGAATGTTCTATTTCCAGCACAGCAAAAACAGTACTGAGTCATTGTGAAAAACTAGCCAACTGTGAGAGCTCATATAAGGTCTTTTTTTCCTAAATAAATCTAATACTGAAATGCATAGATGGGAATGTAAAATATGGAAATCTCACCATCCTAAGCATTGGTTGGGACTGAACCGGTGAAGACAAAGCCAGTTTCCGATTTTGTTTTTAAATCACAGCTCACAGATGTAATATATGCATCACATGGGTTAAAAAAAAACAACTTTTCAGTATCTGCAGGTTATTTGTCCTGGCTCCAGTATAAACAGTTTCATCCTACTGAGAATACAATTTTTGGATTAGGTGAAAATATAGAACAGAATACACTTTTTGATTATTGTGCAAGGAATGTAAGAAATGGAGAAGCTCCATACTTTGATGAAATTATCCTCATCTATTATAGCTACAGATGGACAAGTTGCCTGAGAAGTATACCAGACAGGGAAATGTACCGTGTGATGTTAGAAGATTTTCCAGTGTGCCAGAAGTCCATAATCCAACAGCCTTTTCCTATGGAAGTGGGTGGAATGAATTTTGCAGCTGAGTGAAAACTGGGTATCAGCCAGGAAATCTTTGAAATCTTTAAGATGGAGTTCTGAAATTCTGAGGAAGCAGAGGCAAGATGTTTGATTATTCCAGCCTTTTGGCCACTTAAACAACATTTCAAAGCCAAGGCCAACAGAAACCAGTTCCTACAGAGTGTCAGTAAGAGAGAACGTGGTGATGTGGCTGAGGATGGGATCATGGTGTGATGGATATGGTGGAGATTGAAGTAGGGAGATGCAGAAATGAAGGGATGTTCTTGATGATCCCTAAAATGTTGTGTACCCCAAGATCCGACCCTTTGGATGATCATGAATATTATGGTCACTCTTCAGGTTTTCATTTTATTTTTTTGCCAATATCTTTTTGCCTTTACCTGAATGGTCACTCTTTTGTGATCCATGTCACTTTTGTATACTTCTGGTTTTGAGGACAGACTGCCAAAAGGCAATATGAGTCTGCCACTAACCAATGAGTAAAAGGGAAGTGGATAAAGTACTATTTCTGGGATGCATTCTCTCCACATTGCAGACACCTGGCCAAGCCTATGCTGTGTTTGTGTGTATGACACACCCTCTCAAGCAGCTGTCCCACTAAGATGCAAGGGCAGTATTAGTCAAGACACAACATAACCATCCTGAGACAGTGGGCCCATTTGCACTGTGTACACTTGAATAATTCATTTTTCTCTTAAGTAGTAGTACTACAGCAATAATAAAAACATAGCAACAGCCAGGCATAGTGGCTCATGCCTATAATCCCAGCACTTTGGGAGGCTGAGCTGGGAGGATCACTTGAGCCCAGGAGTATGAGACCAGCCTGGACAACATAGTGAGATCCTGTCTATGCAAAAAAATTTTAAAAATTAGTCAGGCCTGGTGGCACATACCTGTAGCCCCAACTACTCAGGAGGCAGAGGTGGGAGGCTCACTTGAGCCCAGGAGGTTGAGGCTACAGTGAGCTATGATTGTGCCACTCCACTCCAGCCTGAGTCACAGAACAAAATCCCATCTCAAAAACAAACAAACAAACAAACAAAACCCTAGCTACAGCAATTTCCTGTAGACACTACAATTTCTTATTTTTCCAAACAACAATTGTGGATAAATTTTTCTTTTTTCATTCAGGAAGTATATCATGTGCTTTACCAGGAAATATAGTATCATTATCTTTTTTGGAGGTCTTTATTTTATTTATTTAAAGTTGGAGCTCTATTCCAATAACATGATTTAATCAATGGGTGTGGTAGTCTAACACCACTATTGTGTTTGACTTCAGAATCAACTATGTTCATTTTTAAAAATAGATGTAGTCCTTGAATAAAATGAATAGTCTGATTAATTAAAAATGTACTTCTTTTTTTTGTATGGTTTTTCCTCAGATGGAAACATGTATCTCAGAAGTAATTATACAGGAAATCTTCCCTCTACTCACATATCCGCTCACTCCTAAAATAAAATAAAATAAGATTTCTTCATGTGGTTCCAGAAGGAAAGTGGTATCATCTCTGTTCCTTGTCTCAATAATGCATCTTCTGCCAAAAGACAAATGTCAAATTAAATGAGCAAGACGAAATAGAAATGTCTTTATTAGGAGCAAGCTGCTTTGTCCTGCAGGGTATAGATGTGTGTTTACAGTAGTGTCACTCACTGTTCAGTGACTGAGATCAATTCTTCATTGGGATTCACATTTTGACCATAAATGAGAGACCACAATTAGGTCGAACTTTGATCAATTTTCCTGCCAACAGATCTGGAATCACATTTTAAGCCTGATCTGAGCTCATGTTCTTCCTTTATTTCAGCACAAAAGCTTGGGACCACAGCATCATTGAATCATCCTTGAAATCATTTGTGTTTCACTAGTGATGTGAGATATGGCAATTCTTTCATTTCACAAACTAGATGGGCTTTTTTTTTTTTTTTTCACTTTCATCTAAGTAGAATTACCTAACCTTTCATGGCCTTGTTCTCTCGTCTGCAGACCTAGAGTTTTAGACTGTGAATTCCCAACTTCATTGTGTTTAATAATCACCTGGGAGCTTTAAAACTGCATTTTCCTAGGTTTCACCACCTGTGATTTTGGATCAGTTGAGTGGGGGTGGGGCTCAGGCATCTGCATTTTTAACAAGCTCCCCAGGTGATTCTGATACAGGCAGATTATACTTTGGTGAACATGGCTATAGATGATCTCTGAGGTCTTTTCCAGATTTTTACCTCCGCAGTCATTTGATGAAATCCTAGAGTGGGAAGTTCTCCTAAAGAGTAAATGGAATTATGTATAAATTGATTGAGCAACAGAGATGAGATAGTATGTCAGGTATGAGATAGTATGTTGATTGAGCAACAGAGATGAGGTAGTATGTTAGTATATTAAACAACTAACGTTTGTTGGGCATTTTTAGAGTTTCAGCAAGCCTTATTTTTTTATTTTTTATTTTATTTTATGATTACTTTTTTTTTTTTTTTTTGAGACAGTGTCTTACTCTGTCACCAGGCTGGAGTGCAGTGGCACAATCTTGGCTCACTGGCACCTCCGTCTCCCGGGTTCAAGCGATTCTCCTGCTTCAGCCTCCCAAGTAGCTGGGACTACAGGCGCACACCACCATGCCCGGCTAATTTTTGTATTTTTAGTAGAGGTGGGGTTTCACCATGGAGCAAGCCTTATTTTAAGCCCTTCATAAATATTAACTTACTGAACCTCAAACAATATTTGAAGGCAAGTAGCATCCTTACATCCATCTGATGAGTGTGAAAACTGAGGCACAAAGAAATGAAGTCATTCGTTCAAAAGTAGATGGGACTTGTGGAAGAGGTAGAAACTCAATAGCCTGAAAAGGGTGCTCTAGGTGGAGAGAGTAGAAGGAACAGAGGCTCAGTTCTGTTAAAACTCAATAATAATTCAAGATATCAAGTGGTTGGCTTATTTCAGTTAGCATATCTTCCAGGTTCGTCCTTCTTGTTGCAGATGATAGATTTTACCCCATTTAAGGCTGAATAGTATTCTTTTGTGTGTGTGTACCCTATTTTTTAAATCTACTCATCTGATGATGGACACTTAGGTTGGTTCCATAACTTAACTATTGTGAATAGTGCTCGTTAAACATGGGAGTGCAGATAGCTCTTCAAAATACTGATTTCAATTCATTAAAGCCAAGCACAGAAGATCAATACCACAGGATCTCACCTATATGTGGAATCTAAAAACGTTGAGCTCATAGAAGTAAAGAGTAGGATGATAGTTATCAGAGGCTAAGGGAGGGGAGTGGATGGGAAAAAGGGAAATATTGATCAAAGGATCCAAAATTTCAGTTAGACAGGAGAAATAAGCTTTAGTGATCTATTGCACAGAATGGTGACTGTAATAAATAATAATGCTTTGTATATTTCAAAATTGCTAAGAAGAGTAGATTTTAAATGTTTCCATCACAAAAAATGATAGGTATGTGAGGTTATGGATTTGTTAATTAGCCAAATTTAATCATTCCACATTGAAAACATATATCAAACATCACGTTCCCAAATGATCATTGAATAAATATTACATTTATTATATATGTAGTACAATAAATATTATAATTATAATAAGTAAATATTACACTTATATAAGTATAATATAAATATTAAAATTACATTATAATAATTGTATATACAATTATTGTTTGGCAATTAGAAATAACATCCTTTAAAAAGAATAGCAAGTGCTCCCATGCCTGGGGCCCTAGTCCCACTTTGGGAAAAGTGTGAGGAAAGAGGCAGGAGGAAAGGAGAAAGGATGGTGAGAAAGTTTAGACAAAGCTGAAAAGGTAGCTCATGGTCTAGTTTATTAAAGTACTTGGATGTTAGAGAATTGGGGGATTTTTTTACTTTTTACTTTTTTCTTTTCATTATACAGTCAAACTCAAACTATAGCCCCAAATAAGGCCAGCTGTATTTATAATGCATGTATCTTTTATTAACCAATAATTCCACTCCTGAAATGTTAAGTTCACAAGCAGAAACAGGCATTAGAAGATATGTACAAGGCAATTTCTCACAGTTATTTGTGATGCTAAGGAAAGTTTTGCAATAAATTTTTGTGTATGCACATAATGGAACATCATTTAGCCATTAAAATATTTTAGAAAAATACTTAATGATGCGAAAATGCTCATGATACAATGTCAACACTTTAAAAACAGGTTATCAAGCAATATACACACTAGAATTCTAATTTTGTGAAATATGCATATATAGGTATATGGTTATGTATGTGTATTGAAAAGGCTGAAGCATTAGCAGGGTTTTAACAGAAAGTTGGATGCTTATGCATGATTTTTATTTTTGCGTTAGTCCGTTTGGACTGCTATAACAAAATATTATAGACTAGGTGGCTTTTAAATATTTAGCATCATTTCTCACAGTTCTGGAGACTGGAAGGCCCAAAATCAAAGCACCAGCAAATTTGGTATCTCATGAGGGCCCAGCCCTCATAGATGGCACATTGTATCTGTGTCCTCATATGTTGGAAGGGGCCACTTAGCTCTCTGGGACTTCTTTCTAAGGGCAGAGCCCTTATGACCTAATCAACTTCCAAAAGGCCCCACCTGTTACTACTGTCGCCTTGGGTTTCAACTTATGAATTTGGGAGAGACACCAATATTCAGACCCTTGAAATTTTCTTTATATTTTTCCATGTTTTACAAATTATTCTCTTTGAATTAGTGTTATATTTTATTTTATGAAATAAGTGCAATAAAGTATATTGTTTAGAAATGTTTCAGTGTGAGGCCAGGCGCAGGGGCTCACGCCTGTAATCCCAGCACTTTGAGAAGCCGAGGCGGGCGGATCACGAGGTCAGGAGATCAAGACCATCTTGGCTAACGCGGTGAAACCCCGTCTCTACAGAAAATACAAAAAATAAGCTGGGCGTGTTGTTGGGCACCTGTAGTCCCAGCTACTCGGGAGGCTGAGGCAGGAGAATGGCATGAACTCAGAAGGTAGAGCTTGCAGTTAGCCGAGATCGTGCCACTGCACTCCAGCCTGGGTGACAGAGCGAGACTCCACCTCAAAAAAAAAAAAAAAAAAAAGTTTCAGTGTGAGTTAAAGCAAATAAGATTTTCTAATAACCAAGGCAATTAATTAGTAAACCCCATTTTTGTGCACCCAGTTAGATGCAATGATTTCAGTTTTCCTGTGTAATTGCTTCAACATCATTCCAAAGTGCCTTTATTTTGGGCAGCACTCACCTGTATGGAAATTTAGGAAGATAGTGTTGTGTTCATAGTTGATGGGAAGATTGATAGTGTTTCCTCACCCTGATGAGAATTCAATGATGTGGTGCCATGCCATGGCACAATAGTGTATATGTCATGGGCTTAGGAATTACCTTTTATCAGGGCAGAGATGGTGAAGCAATTAGATTGTTTCTTCATTCTCTTTTGGTTGGGCAATGTAGAAAGCAACTGTGGCAGTGGTAACAGGCCATTTATACAACTTCATAGGCCACCTGTGGTCAAGCCAAATCAGTATTCACTGAAAAAAGGAATTAATTATTCTTTACAAAATCATCGTCCCTTAAATTTTAAGGAACTTTGCTCAAGAGTTACTAGCACTTGTAGTCTAGGTATATTTTTGAAGCATATGACAATTGTGTGGATGAAAGAGTGATAGTGTGCTTGTAGACAATAGAATCTTTGGAGTTGGAAAGTGTGGTGCCATTCATTCTGGTGACAGGATTCTGGGTGTGTTCTCTGAAGCTGCTCCATAGTGTTAGTCATGTGTAGGTAAATAATAAAAATGGCAAACCCATTCAGTGCTTACTATGTGCCCTAAGTGTTAACTTGTCATATATTCACAGTGACCACCATGATGTAGGTAACATTATTATCCCCATTATACCTGTGAAGAAACTAAAGACATGGCGAGGTTTAGAAACTTGTCCAAGGTCACATAATCAGCATTACTTAGTGTCTTGCATGTGACAGGCACTAGTACCTCAGATCAGCATGCTGAAGCATTGTACTATAAGCACCTTGCAGATTTTAACTTCAAGCCTTACCACAATCCTGAGATGTATCAATATGTCCATTAATCAGATGAGGAAACTGAGGCTCATTTTAAGAGACCATACAATACCTAAGAGAGAAGTGCCAGGTGGGAAGAAGCAATGTGTAAGTGGCACCTGTTCTTTCTACCCTGAGTTACCTTTTCCTCTGCTCCTTGCTCTTCACAGCCCTCCATAATATGATTGTTCTACCCTTTAAAAGTCTGGTCCAAAGATAGATTTAGACACCATCAAGAAACACTTTTCTACGGCTCAGGCAAGAAGAGGAGTTCACGTCTCTAGAGTCAGACAGAAATTGTTGAATCCCAACTCTGCCACTTATTGGTGGTTTGACTTTAGGAAGGTTTCTTAATTTCTCAAGGCCTCATTTTCCCCAACTGTAAAGTGAAGATTACAGTGATATGTCATAGAGTTACAGTGAGGATTAAATAAAATCATTTTAATAAAGCACTTAACAAAGTGCTTGGTATATTTCAAGTACTCATTAAATAGCAACAGTAATAACAATAACAGAAAGGATGTTGTTTTTAAGGGAATTCATCACCAGATCAGTATCAAACTGTGCTCCATGAATCAGTAGTTTCTTGAAATAATAATGGAACTGTCTAAAAAGGAGAAAGAGGGTCATAAAGCAAAATAAAAGTAGAAAACTCTGGTTTAAACAAAATTAAACAAGATTTTTATTGTAGAACTCTTATAAGCCTTTAATAGCCAATATATTGGTAGAGCTATAAGAGGGCAATAGAGAAGGCAAGACTTCCTAATCCATTTGAATAGTTCTATTTTTCTGGGGGGTCCATTAAGTCCTGGGGACTCTTTGGGAATCCCTCTACTGGACAAAATCCTGAGTATCCATTACATTTTTCCGAGAAGTAGGGAATTCTATTATGCTTCCCCATCAGAGATTTTGAAATAGAGATGAAAATAGTATATTCTATCATTTTCAAATTTGTGTAACATCCCATGTGCTTAAAAAATACTCCTAGGGCTTTAGGAAAAGTGGGGTTGATTCCAGTAATAATTAATATTAACTAAAATAGACCCACAAACTATCAAAAACCACAAGTTTAATAACATGAAACATGTATGTAGCAGTACTGAACCACTACCCAACCCTCTCCTCAACCTGGAACGTTCTTCTCTACTCTGACCGTTCCAACCCTGCTTACCTGGTTAACTCCTAGGCATTCTCCAGGCTCACTGCAGATGCCATCTCTGCCAGCAAGTCTGTTCTGTATAAGATGCCCCGTAGCCCATGTATTTGCCCCGTCACAGCACCACACCAAAATGGCAACACGTTGATGGCAGAAACAATGTCCTCTTCACTATTGAGTCCCAGGGACTCACATAGCACATGGCACAGGATCAGTGCCAAATAGACTTTAGTGAGCTGAATCTCAGCACAAAGGGCAAAGCTAGAGTTGGAGATGGGAAGAGAGAATCCTACATGGGGGAAAAAAAAGGGAGAGGCTCTGGGGAGCAGAGGCCTGATGGATAACACATGCAGGATGGGCTTCAGGTTGCAAAGTTGGTAATAGCAGCGAATATCCTCGTAACCCTGGGGAATCAATAAGGAAGGGGCCCTTGAGGGTGCCAAATAGAGGGTCTCAACTTTGCTTTGCACCACCTTTTTTAACCTCAGCTGTTTCTATGTAATCAGTTAGTATGTGCAGGAATTTTTGTCCTACACAAGTGCATTTATTTGCATATCGCTAGAAACAACACTAGTGAAAGTCAACAATGCTTTGCATAATTTATGTTTCTTTAGAAAATATGAGCTGGGTGTGATGGCTTATGCCTGTAATCCTAGCACTTTGGGAGGCCAAGGCAGGAAGATCACTTGAGGCCGAGAGTTCAACACTCAGCAACATAGTGAGACCTTGTCTCAAGAAATAAATGAATAAATAAATAAAAATAAAATAAATATAAAAGAACAATGTGGTTGACTGTGTCTTAAGGGCAGCTCCCAGATGATCCCTTAGTAGAAGTATGACTGGACATTCTTTACAGTAGACTGGGTATAGAGAGGTTACTGGAGCCTGGAAAGATTTCTCAGGGTGCCCTAAGGTAAGCTCACAGCCTGAACCCTGAGGAACGTTTAATAGTGAAGCTCACTGCCTTTCTCCTTATCAGCCTTCTCAAGTCTTTATCTTGGTTAACCTCAACACCATCCACTTAGATTTCTAAGCTGGAGATCTCAGAACCATCCTTGCTTCCCTCCTCTTCCAAACCAAGCATTCAAAGAGTCACCAAGTACAACTGATTCTATTTAAGTTCAATGTGGCATTTTGTTTTGTTACTAAATTCTTAAATACATGCATCCTCATAGAAAAAATTGATAGATGAAAAGATAAAGCAGCAGGAGAAAAGTCACTCTCAATTCCATTGTTAATATTTTCTAGTATTCATGAAATTTTCTATCAAGTTCTGTATATAACTTTGACTATAGATTTTTTAAATTTGTTTTTTTAATCTATTCTTGACTCTCCTGCTCTCCTTCATTTATTGAAACTGATTTTAAGACCTTTCCTCATCTGAAACAAAGTATTTCCTGTCCCTAAAGACAGAAGAGTAATGAAAACAAGCGTGAACCCTGCTTTCATGGGGCCCACAAGGAATGTATGTAAATCTTTCCTTCCCTTCTTTAACACAAGGAGTCTCATACAGCTCATACTCTTTATTCCTCATAACATTATATTTGGAAATCATTTTATATCAATTCCTCATTCCTATTTCCTTGTATCCTAGCATCATAATATAACCAGCCCTACTGATGGATATTGATGGGTATTTAAGGTGCTTCCAATCTTTTGCTATTGCAAACAGTACTACAGTAAACAACCTTATACATAAGCCATTTCATGCATGCAGGACCAGAGCTATAGGATAAACCCCTGAGAGTAGGGCTTGGGGAGAAATTGCCAAATTGCCCTCCACAGAGTTTTACCAAATAACATTCCATCAGCAATGTATAAGAGTGCCAGCTTCCCCACCACCTTGGAACACTTTTATTCTCTTCTTAGAACTACTTGGTGGCCTGGAGAAATCTCGTAGCTGATCAAACTGAAGGAGCAGGAATGTGAAGTGGAAGGATTCTCCCCTCTCCCAGGCCACCGAGAAACTTGTCTTAATGGAGGTCTGGGTTTATTTTTTAAGAGCCTTTATTCCTTATAGAAGAAAGAAGAAGGAGAAAAAAACAGAAAAACCTACAATGCTACTATGTGAGTGCCACAAAGAGGAACAGATTTCTGTCCCATGTTTCCAACGAAACCAACCACTTAAAAAGATACAGGGCGCCATTCAGGGTTGTTGGAGCAGTAGAAGAACACGTAGCTGATCTGCAATCAAATGGCCACTCGGGAGAGCAACCTGTGTGCTTTTACCCACAGAGCAGCCAGTTTCAACTGGAACTTATGCAGGGCCCGTTTGCAGACTTCTTTGTGCGGTGGTTCATTCCCCATCTTAGAGGCTGGGGCAGGTTAGGAGAGAGCGCCCATGTTGTACAACAGTATATCTGAGCTGCCCTTTATGCCTACCTATTTCTTTCCCTGCTTTCACCCCTTTGTGTGTTTTTAATGGGGATAAGTGTGAGCTATACTGGAGCGCAATCACATTGTGGTCTTAAAAGGGTCTCTGATGATAGAAAATATGTCAATTTATTATTTCCCTCAGGACAGAGAAAAAAGTACAAAGGTTCAATGGATGATGAAGATAATACTTGTGCACTGTATAGCATTTTCCAACAAAGGATTTTAAGGTGATTTTCCTTTAAAAAATATTTTATATTTTAGTCCCATTTTGTAGGTGGGGAGACAAGAAGATTTCGTAGTGACTAAAATGTCCTAGTGGTGGGACCCTGCATAGAGTCAGCATCTCTATGATCCTTCCGGGCTCTTTTCACTCCCTCTAGTGGAATTTGGTTCTTCACATCAGAGTTTTGACAGCAATAGCAAGCACTGTGCTATTGTGTGCGATCTTTTGGGTACCAGAGCCAGTTTCATCAAATCTTCAACCTGATGGCTCTATCTGTGATCAGAGCTATCTCATGTACCTACAGTTGCAGTTTCTTTAAATAACAATTAGCGCAGGAGATCCTGGGCTGCTCTTGAATGCAGGGAGTATGCTGGTGAAACTCAGCAAGGAGGTGGTCACTTGTTTTTTTGTCACGCAGGGTCTTTCATAATGAATCAACAAAGCATTGACAATAGTTTTCTTGTAAACTGAACAAACCTTATAAATGGTGTGTGGTCTCCCCTCCCCCATGAATTAGTTCCTTTGTCCTGAAATGTGTGGTTAGCCCAGATATTCATTCCGCTCTGCTGGGAGAGTGGCAGAGTCTAGGGAGGCACCCAGAATGTGCAAGACAAGTCGACATTTTACATTTTGGTCTTCTTTATCAGAGCTGGAAATATTTCATTTGTACCTTGACAAATCAGGAAAAAAAAAAAAAGCATGGGTGGACAGCATAGAAAACTTTCCCAAGTATCTGAGTGATCAATTTTAGGACATGAATGTGATAGCTGCTTCCTCTTTTTTATGTGTACAATGATGAAAGGAAATTAAGACTGTAGAAACAGTTTTTAAAGTGCTTTGTATGGCTGCTTGAAATTCATTATATGATTGCCTGTTTTTTAAAAACCTAAATAAGGAGGGCTAAAGTACTTAGGAGAAAACTAATTGCTTTAAGCTTTTCCTCCTCAGTGTATGCTATTCTCTGCTGTTATATAATCTTGGATATTGAGCAACTGAATGAAAGAAACAGTGTCTTACTTAAAGTAAATGGACAAACATCATTTACTGCTGGCGTTTTTGGCTCTTGGGGTGGGGGTGGGGAAGATATCTCATAGTGAAGTTCACCATAGCTTAGAGTTCATAAAATCAACCTTATTGTCAAAACACTGAAATAAAAATTCACAGAATTGAAAGGAGCAAATCTATGTGGAGGCAGGTTTTTAAAATCTTGAAATGTTCAAGTTTTGCTTCTTGTCTTTACAAAAAGGCAAATTATGATGGCATAATTTTTGACATGTTGTTACCAGAGAGATTGTGTGTTGGAATGTATATTAGATTAAATTGATAGATGGTTGTGTGAAAAGAACTGCAATATTCAAACTTGACTGTATGCATAAAATTATTTACAGAACTATACCACATTAATACCATCTTATTTCATTTCAGATATAATTTTACTTAATGGTAATTTTTATAAAGGATATGAATGTGTTTTTCTTTTTTAAAAAAGAATTGCCAAAATCATTGCCAACACATGAAAACAAGTCAATGATTAAGATCACATAAACCCATGTCATATGTATATTCAATCCAGAATTGTTTTAGGGTCATTGTAGCCATAGAGTTTTCAAATAAATTATTTGAATATAAAAGTAGATTATGTATTTCCCCTGTGGCTGGCCAAATGTCTTTTCAACAAAGGGTAAAATAAGAAGGCTATTTTTTGTGTAAAAGAGTGATCTTTTTAGTCATGCTTGGCTGCCTTTTCAGGACTGTCTCCATTTATAATGAGATATTCTTGAACTCATTTGAACCAGAAAGTTTAGTAAATTTGTGGTACATTTTTACATAAAATATCATAATTTGTTTTAAAGGATCAGGTCTAGAGCAAAGAGAAAGTATATGAATGATTGTTTTGATTTTTAGACTATAATTTTGAGCTGACATCTACATTGGACAATGTCTGGAATATTGAAAAAATATATTTATTTGGTTACTATTTCATACTTCTTGGCAGTTCTAATTTCATCTTATTGTCTACTTAAAAGTGTGCTTGCTATTCAAATCTCAGTTGAAGCTGTCATAAAGACTATCATTACAATAGTTTCTATAGTTTTCAGAGTTCTTGGCATTGAAAGGTGATGATGGCCCTTCCAGAATAATAAGAAAAAGTATTTTATATAAATTTTATGGCTCTGCTTTGAAGTAAATTTGACTTATATGCAAATTTGCTAATATTAACTTTTTTCTTTTCCTATTAACATAGTTAGTAAAAAAAATAATCCTAAGGCTGGAAATGCACGGGCATATGCTTACACACATGTAGTGGTGAAAGAAATCTTTTTGAAAACTGAAAGTAAATTTTGACGTGATCATTAACATATAAAAACATGTTTGTGTTATTCTCTAGTGTTTTAACATTCTCTACACTTAACTATTTTTCTAATATACCTGAAGATCTTTTTTAAAAAATTTTAGTTATATTTTTTGCAGTTACAAGCAGAAAAATCAGTTAATAGATTTTTAATCTGATATCAAAAATCAACTCCATATAGTACTTATTTCCAATCTTATTTCTCTAATTGTACTTTGAAATGGATACATTATTTGTTTTACATTTGTACTTCCCTTGAACCTCCTATTTTCTTTTAACTACTCTACAACAAATGCCATTTTTTTTTCTATTCTTTTCCCTTTATCTGATTTTTACAGCAAATGATGTGTCATGTCTCTCCTGAAATTGACCATTCTTTTCAGAAAAGATTTTTTCTTTTTTGGCCTATGGTGCTACACTGAAAAAGTCACCCAGCTAAAATGAGTTACTTCATTTCCAAATAAAAACAATAGTGTTTTCATGCCTGCACTTATTATTATTCTGAGAATGTACTAATTTGTTACATCCAAGATGACGGTTCGTTGGGTCCGTGAAAAGGGCAGTGTGCCAACTACAGCAGGGAAGTAAAAGGACTTCTTTCATGGGAAGTAGTGGGACAGAAAGTAGCCCGCAGTTCTTGTGGGCATCAGGAGGCACGCTGCCAATGGAGTCATCCCAGTATCAAGATTTCCTGTGTTGGGTTCTGAATCAAGCTAAAACTATGATTTCACTAATGTCGGCCTGGGCGGTCAAATTTTCAAACTCGCTATTACGCTAAGGAACAACTGATAGATGTTTTATCCCCATAGGCACTGGCTGATGCGAAACAAGGATTTTGAATGTGTACAGTGCATTATTACTTTTGGTATTAAGCTTAAATAATTGTCTACTTACCCTGAGCTGGTAATAGCAAAATACAAGCAAAGGAGGACATTTTTACAAAGTAAAACTGCAAAACAGATTTATCTATATTACTATGGATTTTTTTTATTGTTGTTCTTCTCCCCTATTAAATTTGAATGATAATGAAGTTTGATTCTATACTTTTATTCGGCTCTAAACCAGGGTGGTCTCATAATTTTGTTTTACATGCATGACATTGCTTAAGGTCATTAGTTGTAAATCGTAGTACAAAAAGGCTGAAAATATATTCAGCACTTTGTAGTTTCCGAATACACATTTAAGAGCTGCTATGAAAAGTCGAGACCTACATGGCAGATTTTCTGGCACTGAATGGTCAATTTAGTGATGTAGATTAGTGAATCCAAACAGTAAGTGGAGAGAGACTATAATAATGCTTTGATATGTCCCTCTGTTGAAGCATATCCTGGTTGATCCATTTTCTGTTATTGTAATATTTTTCTTTGCTCTATGGCAAAATGCTCTCTACTTTCTTATTTTTTAAGAATATAACCCAGAAAAAGTTATCCATTTTTAAAAATAACTTTCATCTGCTCTTGGTACCACTTAATAAATGAAAAAAAAAAGCAGATTTGGATTATGAATTGAGTTTTATTTTGTTGGAATAAAAAACTTTCCTTTGATAACATTTGCTTTTTGTTCAATATGTATTTGCCGAGTTTTTCTTTTATCATAAAGTTTTAATTCATGGTCCCTTTTATTTTGAAGGGGAGTGTACTTTAAGCAACATTTATACAGCAACCATTTTAATAATGATGATAATGTTATTTTATCGAAATCTTGAAATAGGTTTTAATCAAAGTTTGACTGACCTTGACTTGATATTTTGAGTCCTTTTTCATTTTTGTGACTAGGAAGTAAAAACAAGTTCTGCCTTTTATATTCTTCATGAGTTATGAATTTAATTTTCTTGACATCTTACTTCAAAATCAAGGGCAATATGTATTTTTCTTTTTAATTCCAAATGGAAACTGGCTGAATTCACAATAAAGACAACTGAAAATTGGAATTGTTTAAAAATTAAAAAAAAAAATACACCGTTGTAGCAGATTTTAAATGAAGTAGGTTATCAAGTGGACTGCTAATTTTTGCCTTTCCAAAATGTTGGATATTTAACCCTCAGAATAATTAAATATTTGTAATAAAGCAGTTAATTCAAGCAGTTTATTGCTGTAATTTGCAAAAGTACATTGAGCTGCTTTCTTTTCAGCTCATTGATGGAGGAACAAACATTTCTTTAATAAGACTACAGCACATTCTAATTTTGTTGCAAAAGCTTAGATAAGGATCAGGCCCCCTCTGAATCACTGCATTGACCTATGACATTGAAAGTGCTGAAGCTCTTTGGCAAAAGAAGAGTTAGACATTCATTATTATGCACAGGACTTTCCAGTTCTAAAGGGGCTCTGTGCTTTCTCTCAGATAGACTTTGTTTGTTGGAAATGAGAACTGTATTTTGGCAGCAAAGGACCAGAACTGAAGCTACTCTGCAGGCAGAATCATTATGACATAATCCTTCATTAATCCTCATTCTCTATTAATAGATCATGCAGAAGTTTTCCTTTAGTTGATCATCTTCATCAAGGAGCTATGGAAAAGCATTACCAGTGAAATGCCCACCTCTGGTTTTAAGACTGTTTGTTTATATCCATCTTTATTAGTTGCAAAGATTAATGGTGAAAATAATCTCTTAGACTTTGCTTGGTATACAAACCACATATGAGGACCTAAAAAATCTGATATAACTGAATTTTCATGTTTTGGGGGTAAAACTCACCTGGAAATAAAACATAGCACTTAACAATAAAAAAGAAAAAATTATCAGGCTAAAATTTGTTTCTGGTGAGATAAAGGGGTTCTAGTCACAGAAGCACGGGAATAGTAGCTAAGCAGCCCAACTTCCCATATTGCTTAAGAAAACAAGTTATCATACAAAATATGTATTTTTCTAACTGTTACTTAACAGATTGAATTACTCTTGAGATGCTCAACTTTTCATGGTGGGTGGTGAGGGTGCATCTCCTTTAGAAGGATACATATGTACTTGTTTTTGTCCAAATTATCTGCCCAGATCAGACACTGGAGCTGCGACCTTCCAATGTAAGATTTTCATCATATCCTTTTAAGAATTTGGGGACTCATGTAAAATGTATTTAGAGAAAATAAATAAATATCACTTGCTGTTTTCATATACACCCTTGGGGTCTTGATAAGCCAAAGTTCTCACAGAAGGTCTGGTTCATCAGTTCAGCCTCACCATGAGCCCCATGGCCTGCTGCTGTCCCTGACACTGACACTAGGCACCACGTCTTTGACTCATCTTTGTTGATAGACCCAAAACTTCATTTGAAGGCATAGTTTAGGAATATTAGGAGGAGATTTTTATGATATTTATTTTACATTTAGTCGACAGAATTTAAATATTTTAAAATAAAAACTATCTATAGGGAGATGATTCGATTAAGCAGTATGTACCGTTCCTAGAGGAGTATGCTGAAAAAGCTTTCTCTAGGTTTTGCAGGTGATTGTTCCGGTAGAGGTGTGCTCATAGTGTTTAGTCATTAATGGAGACTGTGCCTCCGTTGGAACTGGCTAATAGGTCCAGATTGATCCCTCATAGTAATGTCACTAATACTTGTAATACTAGAAAATATGCATGCTACCAAAAAATTGTAGGAACATATTTTTATGTTGTCTGGCACATATTTCTGAATTAAAAACTCACAGAAGGTAAGAAGTTGTCCATAGACACACAAATTGTAATTGTTTAATTTGGCTTTTAATCTAAGCCTTCCCATCTTTTAATGATTTTATGTATAATCTGCAGTAAAGAGAACTAGGATTTATTGAACAACTGTTATAAATAGACCACCTCCCTAGGTCTAATTAATTTCAAGGCTAATAGTCTAAGCTAATTGAAAGAGAGTCACCATAGAACTGTAAGGTAAAAGCTGTACTTTCTAGGCCTTTGATGTTCAGGTTGAATTGGAATCTGGGTTTGAAAATTTCTACAAGCTAAACCAGAGATGGTCAGGGGACACTCCAGGCAAGGCCTAAAAAATCAAAATGTGACCAGTGTTTTAATGCAGTGGCTCTCCTTTTGTTTATCAGAATTGCTGGTGGTGGCTGGTAAGGCAACATAGACAATGCATAATATTCAGCCCTCAAAAGGACATTTTCATAATACTAAATGTTTATACTCAAGAATCTACCAGAAAAGTACTTGAAAGTTACCGTAGTCAAGCCAAGACCTGCAAACCTGGAAAGCCAGTCAATATCACCATAGTGGGCAGCTTTTCCAAAATGTTTGCCCAGATCTTAATTTATTTGCTTTAACCTGAGATTTTTGTTGACAGTAATAATATTTGACAATTAGTTTGTATTTAAGAAGATTTTACACAACAAAAAGTATGGTTGCATATGAAGAAAATAGGATTAAGAAATGTATTTCAAATTTAATAAAAATGTGGATCATGGCAATTTGATATTGGCTTTTCTTGATGAGTTTTCCGGTGTGTGGATTTTGAAGTGGGCACAATGCTCCCTATCAGATCATTTCAAATTGCTCCTGGACAGAATTCCTCCTCCTCCTCTGTATTATTTTTTTCACTGCTGCTGTAGTAACTCGCCACAAACTTACTGGCTTAAAACAACACAAATTCATTATTTTACAGTTCTAGAAGTCAGATGTCTAAAATGAGATGGTAAGGCCGTGTTCCCTCTTGGGGGCTTTAAGGAAGATCTATTTTCTTGAGCTTTCCATCTTCCAGAGGCCACATAAATCCTTTTGCTTGTGACCCGTTCCCCCATCTCCAAAGCTAGCAGGCAGCATAGCATCTTCGAATGTCTTTCTCTATCTCTCAGCTTCTATTGTCACTCAGCCTCTGTCTCACACTGACTTCTCCTGCATTGCTCTCATAAGGACCCCGGTCATTACCTCAGGCCAACCAGGCAATCCAGGATAAACTCCCCATCTCAAGACCTTTAACCTGATTACTTCTGCAGAACCCCAAGGTAATATTCACAAGTTTTGCGTATTAGGGTGTGGACATCTTTGATGGTCATTACTATCACATCCCCTGACCCTCTGGGGAAGAATAGGGGACTGTTTTTCATTTCCTTGGGCATCAAACAGTGCTGAGATCTGTGGTTCCACACCTCTGCTGGGATGCTTTTTAAAATCCTTATGCCCAGGGTATACCTCAGACCTATTATATCAAATTTCTCGGGGTGCGTCACAAGGCATCAAGTATTTTTAAAGCTCCCCAGATGATTTTAATGTGCAATCAAGGTGGATAACAACTTATTTAGGAGCCTCTTTTTCTCTCTAAAGACTCTCCTGGGATTTGGCTAGGATATATGAAAGCATTTAAATTTTATCAAACTGAATTCAGATTTTGTTGAGAGACAGGCACAAATTTCTAGGAGAATTTATATTTTAATGGCTCAATATTTGTTAGTTTAGACCAGCTTTAAAGTTTTATACTCAAAAGGACAGGATAAAGAAAACTTATTCTGTAAGTATCTAGTTCAAGTACTATTGGTTTAAATTACTTTAATCTATAGATGAATCTTGTATTCTTTAAATGTGTAAATTAAAAAGCACTTTTTAGAATTTTTCCTGTAATAGTGTGAATTCAACTCAACATCTCACATGCTGTTTCAGCTGTAAATCAATGATACTGAATGTAAGCTAATATTCTGGGCTTGAAATTGGCTTAATAGTGAGTTACGTGGACTGGAATATAGAATAATTCCTACCTAATGTGTCATCACTTAAAGTTTACTTCTCCACATAGCCAGAAGAATCTAATGATTTAGGAGGGCTTATTTTGGTTGAAATTTGAGTGTTCAATTTATATAAAGTCACTGATTGGTCAAGACCTTTAGCCACAGCATGCAGAATCTTGACTCTTCTAATATATACATTACGAAATAATGTATATATTCTTAATTACTCCAGATAATTACTCTTTAAAAAGGAGAGAGACAAAGAAAGTTGAGATTATTTTTACTCCATGGACTGAATGTTTGCATTGTTCATACGTTTTTACAGGTTATTTTTAAGATTGGAGAAGAAGATCATTTGTATACTGGTCTCTATTGAGGATAAGAGTTTGGGAGACAGTTACAATGTAAAATGAACATGAGCCATAAAATAGTCACTTGGTGTTTATGTTTTGATGATACAAAGACAACAAGGAATATAGTGGCTGCATTTTTCAGATGAGGACAAAAAGTCTAAGGAACAATGTTTGCCCTACTTCTACACTGATGAGAAATGTAGAAAATATTGCATACATATTACATTACTGGATTGCATAGAACATTTTCACAGCTTATGAGGGCAACAAATAAAGCCTATGAAATCAAAACTGCCTTCTAGAATACTCCAAAAGTAAGCTTGAGTCCAAGTCATTTGTTAGATTCTTGTTCTTACTTTTCATAATGGAAAATATTTATTGATAATAAATACCAATATAAGAAATAAATAAAATTATGTGATACCAAATTTCTCAACTCTGTTGTGTATCAGGACCAAGGAACATGTTCATTAGAATTTTTGACAAACACTAAAATCACTTTAAAAAATCCCACACGTGGAAGCTGTTAAATTAATACATATGTAATAACTAATAGCTACAAGTAGGCACTTCAAATTACTTCATTTAATTACACCTCACAACAGCTATTCAATATAAATAAAAATAATACTCCACTTTACAGATGAAAAGCCTGAGAACTAGAAAGATTTAGTAACTCTATCAAAATCATACAACTAATAAGTGGCAGAACCAGGAGACACATCCAAATGTGATTCTTAACTACTCCAGGGCACTTCAGTTCAAGCTAGTGCAGGTTTTAACTAACTTGTGCTTTGGATTCACATGATCCCAGATCAGAGTAGAGAACAAGCATAGGCCAAATCTTTGTGGCCAGTTTGTTTTGCAGGACATAGGAGAATAGAATGAGAGATACTCCTCCAAAAAAAAAAAAAAAAGGTGTTCAAGAAGTTTAATTTTTCATTTGAATTTATATCAAGTACTCATTTAAACCATTCTCAAGATTATATTGATTCCTCTTTGTGTGCGTCCCACTTTGAAAATTCTCATCATTTGGAGGTAAAT
This sequence comes from Homo sapiens, assembly GCF_000001405.40. Lineage (NCBI taxonomy): Eukaryota > Metazoa > Chordata > Mammalia > Primates > Hominidae > Homo > Homo sapiens. The sequence continues at coordinate 181,463,817 of NC_000003.12, forward strand.
TTATTCCATTTTATTATTATCCTATAGAGGAAATATCTAAATTTTATTATTATAGATCACTGTTTCTCAGCCTGTTCTTCTAATTGCAAAGATAAGAATTCCTTCCTTGTAAAAAACATTTTTCCTGGATCTCACTTTAGAATGCCTGAATCAAACTCTTTGGGGTCATGGCCTGGGGAATCTGGCTTTTCTTTTGCAAACTCACCAGGTTATTTGTGGTAGAAATGAATTTCATTTGCTCAAAATCTAGATTTTGAAATCAATGCTCATTACGATGATTTAGACAGACAATGCAAAGCATCAGAGAGGTAGAAAAATGGTGAGGATATACTCCATATTCTAGTCTCCTCTATCCCCATTTCTTGCTAACTCCCTCCTGCCCCTTTCTCCATTCATCAAACATGAGATGAAGTTTCCACAGTGTGCAGTCACTGGGCTGGCCTGAGATATTGCCAAATAGTTCAGGAGAGTGCATACTTCATCCCTGCTTTTGAATACTAAAGAAGGCCTGCTGTAAAAAAAAAAAAGTGTTTGTTATTGTTATATTCAGTGTTTTCCAAAATATTTACCCACAGAACCCTTTCTTTAAAGAATACGTGCTACTCCGGAAAGCACTGTTAGAAAAAGTGGACATGACAATGACATTATTTACATATCAAAATGCAATCAATAGCTGGTGGAATTCACTGGTGATGCATTCATTGCCTTTTTAAAACCACTGTTGCTTAAGCTAGCTCCTGGAAGACCTCACGCGTATTAGAGGCAATCCAGGTATTTGTGATACCAGCCCTTATGTAGCCAAAAAGGATTCTTACTTCAAAGTTTCTACTTCTCTTTAGAAAGGCGTAAATTCAACTGATTCAATTATTCTGTTATAAATTTAGGCAAATAACTCAGTATCTTCATCTTGGTCTCTGTCTCATTGCTATTTTTCACCTTGCCTTTATTTGTTGCTTAATTATTAAAGCATAATGTGTACTTAAAACGCACACAGCTCAAACAAAACCATACAAAGTATACAGTGGAAACCAAAATTACACCTCATTCCTACAATATCAGTTCTATTCTTCAGAAGTATTTTTGCATTTTTCCCATATTTTCCCCCATATTTTGTGTGCAGTTTTTTTATTTTTAAATTTTAAAATATTTTAAACGTCTGGGGAAATAAATATGTATAATGTGTAATATATGTCATACATGATATGACTGTATATTTTTACAAAGATGCCATCATATACTAGTCTAAAATTCACTTTTGTCTATTCAATATATTGCCTTAGGCTTCCGAAGTTCCCTGGAAATAAGGATTTTATGTTCCTAATGCACCTCACAATTTTTAAAGTGCATTGCCATGAACTGTGTAATAACAGTACCTGGACCTAGTCTTAAAACAAGTTCTTTCCCAAATATCTGGGTACCACTTGGTTAGTTAATAATGTCTTAGCACATTATTATATGAGAATGTTTTCTCATGTAATAGTTATAAGTGTGTCACACGATTTTTACAAACAGCTTCTATAGAAACACATTTTTTGCAAATCACTCAGTAAATATACTACAAGATATTATTATTTAAAGGAAAACTGGTATGAATTTTATTTTACACTAAGAAGCCTATTGAAAAAATAAATAATTGCTCTCTAATTCATGAGTTTAAGTTATCCAAATTTTTATAAATCAATATGTGGACTTTGTGGAGAATTTACGACCACCCAAATATGATAACAGAATTTTACTCTTCAAGGTTTACATTCTTTTCATTTGCAAAGTCATGATCAACAAGGTAAGTAAAGCTAAATAATTAAATAAAAAATAATGTTCCTTGCGTAGTACTATCTCTTTCCCTTTTTTTTTCCCACTTGGTAAGATAGCAAATGGAGAATATTTTTAGCTTATTTATACTGAACTGTTATTTGGCAAAATTAACATTTAAAATAAAATATTCATTTCAAAGGATTAGCTATCATTACATTTAAAAACTGGATTTGCAGAGAGCAGACTGGTGGTTGCCAGGGGCTGAGGAAGTAAGAGAAGTAAAGAGATGTTGGCCAAAGGGCACAAACTTTCTCTCAGTAGATAAACAGGTCCTGGGGATCTAATAATGTACAGCACGACTAGCAATAAATGTTAACTAAATTGGTTGTGGTAATCTTTACATAATGTACACATATACCAAATTATCACAGTGTACAACCTGAATATATCCCATTTTGTTTGTCTATTAAACATTTTAAATTTTAAAAAATATAAAAAATAAAATGTATTACAGTATTTTGTAAAATAAAGTGAATCGTGCATTTGATAAAAATACTCAGGTAGTAAAGAAAGGCTAAAAGTAAAATCTCTTTCTTCCAATCCCTCCTCCCAACAAAGAGTGCCACTCCCCAGAGATAACTATGGTTAGTAGTATCTTGTATTTATCCTTTCCAATAAAAATGTCTATCATATATATATATATACACACACACACACACACACACACACACACACATATACATATACTTTTTATTTTTTATTGATTCCAGGGTACCTGTGCAGGTTTGTTATATAGGTAAATTGCATCTCATGGAGGTTTGGTGTACAGATTATTTCATCAACCATATAATAAACATAGTACCTGATAGGTAGTTTTTGCTCCTCTCCTTCCTCCCAACATCCACCCTCAATTAGGTCTCGGTGTCTGCTGCTCCTTCCTTTGTTCCTTATATATTCAATGTTTAGCTCCCACTTATAGGTGAGAACATGCGGTATTTGGTTTTCTGTTCCTGCATTAGTTCACTTACGATGTGGCCTCTAGCTCCATCCATGTTGCTGCAAAGGACACGATCTCGTACTTATAGCCTTTTTATTAGTTCCTAAACAGGATCATACCACATGCACTGTCCTGAACCTTGCCTTTTTTTACTTAATACCTTGTTCGAACTTTTATCTTATTAGCATTTACAGATTTACTTCATTTAAAAAAAAAAAAAACACTTGACATCCCTCTTTGACTTCACTGTAATTTATTTAACCTAGCCCCTCTTCTGGGACACTTGGGCTGTTTCTCTCTTCTGGCTATTAAAAACAATGCTGCAATGAACATCCTTATGCATTTATTTTAGCATGTTGTTTGAAGAATACCAATGGCACAAATTTCTAGCAGTGATAGTATTACTTGCATAGATTAAGATGATCAATAGTACTCAAGAATCAAAAGCATGTCAAGAAGCAAGAACTCTCTAACACGGGTAGTGTAAGTGGAAATTGGTGCAAACTTCTGGAAGGGCAATTTGATTATGCCTTAACAAAATTTGAAATTCATATATAATTTCAACCAGAAATTTCAGTGTCAGAAATTGACCTGATCAATACATAAGATTATTTCTTATGAATTACCCTCCTACATTACATCTATGCAGCTGTAAAGTTAAGAGTATTAGAGCTGGAATGGAATGTAGAAATTATCTATTCCAATTTCTGAGGCCCAAGGAGGTTAAGTTACACAGTGAACAGGTGCCCAACAGAGAAATTCTGCACTAGCTGCTAGATACTTCAAAGGGATAGACAATTAGACACATCCTTTTTCTCTCAGGCCTCCATCTCATTGGTCATAGTTACTATATTGCTATCTCTCTTCCTTGCTGTGTCTGTCCTTGTGTTGTTTTGTTAGATTTTTATCAAAGGTGTGGTTCTGTAGGTTTCATGTCCCAGGAAAACGTTTCACCAGAGGACAGGTCCATTCAGTATGATTGAGGGCTGGGGAGAATAAAAGAGTAACCAGGGTGTTAAGCCTTAAGAAAGTGAGTTAGTGGTCTGGTATCTGTCCTTTATAGGTTGCTAAATTAAAAACCATTTTTTGAAAATACGCACAACACTTCTGACACCAAATATGTGGGTTTTTCCTTCACATTAAGCAATTATCCAACTCTTGGGACACCAACTGGGTGTCCTACAATTCAGTTCTGACTTTATCTGGAGTGAGAGTAGATCCCACAGGTTAAGAGCTAAGTCCTATGAGACTGCCCACCACTTCAGACACCAAACACAAGTCCCAAGTTGTCACCTGTACTCTGACCAACCAACTATAAATTGTTCCTTCCCAAACTCCTTGATAATTTGCTATAAGAGCTCATAAAACTCAGGGAACATTTACTTCTGATTACCAGTTCATTACAAAGGCTATTATGAAGGATGCAGATGAACAGCCAGCTGAAGAGGTGCATAGGGTGAGATCCAAAGTGTTCTGAGCACGGCAGCTTCTGTCCCCGTGAAGTTGGGGTGAACCACACTCCTGGCACATGGATGTGTTCAGCAACACAGAAGCTCTCCAAACCCTGTCATTGAGGGAGGCTTCATCACAGAGGCATGGTTGAATATTCACTCACTCTCCATTCCCTCACACCTTCTGGGAGGATAAGGGCAGGGCTGAAAGTTCCAAACTTCTAATCATGGCTCAGTCTTTCTGGTGACCAGCCTCCATTCTGGATCTATTCAGAAAATTAAAACAAAAGATGCTCTTATTACCTAGGAAATTCCAAGGGATTTAGGAGCTCTGTGTCAAGAATTGGGATCAAAAAACAAATGTTAGATGAAAAGAAGCTCCTAGCACCCCTGTCACTAGGAAAATACAAGGGTTCTAGGAGCTCTGTGCCAGGAGCCAGGGGAAGAGACCAAATATGTATTTCTTATTATGTCACAGATGGGAATTCAAAACAAATAGGGGTCAAGGGTGGTATCCTTAGTGACCAGGACAGGTCCTGATCCGTAGTGACCTTCGTTACTCCAAAAAGGAAAAGCATCTGCCAGTTTTGTAAAACACATAATGAGTCACAGATTTCCACAGCTAGCATCAATTGACTGGTCAATAACTTTATGTCCATGTATTTTAAGACTTAAAATCTTAATACTTGTTATATATGGCAGAGTGTAAGCTGGACATCAACAGGCAATTCACATACAAAAAAGGAGTTACTAACAGAAAATGATAGAATATTAGAATAAAATAATTAGAAAAAAATGACAATCTTGAAGCATCATTTTTTCTGTCCAAGTTATCAAAGTTTATCTTTTCACAGTAATATTTCAGGTTATTGAGATTTTTTTGTTTAATGGGTGCTTATTTGGGTAGACGGGGGAAACTTTGAGAGCACCGTTGACTGCACAGACTTAAAAACTGAAACATTTTGGCCCAATAATTTTGCTACTAGAAATTTAGCCTAGAAACATCATTCAGAAAAAGAAAGTTGCTATAAACACTGGGATGTTCCCAACAACCTAATTTTTTGACTAGAAAAATTGGAAGATGCCTAAAGTCCAATAAATGAAGAGTGGTGAGTAAAATTGTAGTAGGTCAAACAGATGAAACATTAAATAGATGATGATTATCAAAGCCATGTAACTTAGTAAGCAAATATTGTCATACATTTATAAAATCAAGATGTGAAATTGTGCATACACTAGTATTGATAAACTTAATGGATGGCTGTGTATGAATAAGTTCCAGAAAGGAATATATAAGTACATACACACACACAAAGTAGACTTTGTATTATAATTTTTGTAATATTTTATTTGACCAACAATAACAAAATTAAGCAATAAAAATAACAAAACAAAAAGACATATGAATATTTTTACTTTTCATAGGTTTTCTCCTGTTGCTTCTGTACATATTCTTGGTTAGTTCCACCTAGAATGTGAAAAAGAGGAGAACTGTTTTGCTCAATACATACAGTTTTAGGGAGACAGTCTCAGAATTTGAGTACAACCCCAGTGCACTATCTTAATTCATTCTGGAATGAGAGAAATCTAATGATGTAACAATAGAATCAAATCAAGTAAGACTTTAAAAATGGTTACTTTTTTAAAATGCAGGAAGATGTACAATTTCAAGTTTCAACATTTCCAATGACAGGAAAGTCACTACCCCACAAAGCAGCATACTCAATTTATAAATAGCTATTCATTCATTCTACATGTATTGAGCCGATTTTCTGTTTAGAATAATCGAATCGAAAGCAACAAGACGGAAAGCAGGAAGATCAGTTAGGAGACTCTCTATTTAGTATAGGTGAAAGATAATGAGGCCCAAACTAAGTCAGCACCAGGAGAGAAAATGAAAGAACAAATTTAAAATATATTTGGAAAACAGCTCAATTAGACTTAATGACTACCTCCAGACGAGGTCTAAGGGAAGAGTATTAGATTTCCCCTCTCAGTAAGAGTAGAAAATAATCTCTGGCCATCTTTACTCTGCCATACCCTCCTTCCATCTTCCATAAATTTGTTTTAAAATCTGAGCTTATCAGAGAGCCCAGACTTCTATATTGTTTCTTCTCCTAATTTTTAAAATTGATTTTTATTTTTATATATTTAGGGGGTACGAGTGCATATTTCTTACATTCTTATACTGTGTAGTTGTGGAACCTGGGTTTTTCGCGTACCCATCACCCACATAGTGAACACTGAACCCAAGAGGTGATTTCTCAACCCTTGCTCCCACACCACTATCCCATGTTTTGTAGTCTCTAGTGTTTATTATTACACTCTGAATGTCCATGTGTACCCATTGTTTAGCTTCCACTTATTGTTTATTGGAAATAAAATACACGTTCAAATGTATTTGCAAATACATGTTCAAATACAGCATGTTTTTGACTGTATATTTCTGTATTTGACTTTCTGTTTCTGAGTTATTCCATTTGGGATAATGGCCCCTAGTTCCATCCATGTTGCTGCAAAAGATATGATTCCATTCCTTTTCATGGCTGCATAGTATTCCATATATAGATAGAGATATATAGATATATCACATTTTCATTATCCAGTCCTCTATTGATAGAAATTTAGGTTGATTCCACATCTTTGCTATTGTGAACAGTGCTGTGATAAACATGCAAGTACAGGTATCTTTTCCATATAATGATTTCATTCCCTTTGAGTATATACCCAGTAGTGGAATTACTGGATTGAATCGTAGTTCTTTTTCTAGTTTTTTGTCTTCTCCTAATTTTTAACTGCTGACTTATTTTATTGAGACACAATTTTTTTACTTGTAAGGGTCCTCTTTCCGTTTTTTTTTCTTCAGCTTTTAAGTTCTGAGGTACATGTGCCAGATGTGCAGGATTGTTACATAGGTAAACATGTGCCTTGGTGGTTTGTTGCTCAGATTATCCCATCACCTACATATTAAGCCCAGCATCTGTTAGCTATTCTTTCTGGTGCTCTTCATCCCCCGACTCCCACTCCGACATGCCTCAGTGTACTTTGTTCCCCTCAATGCGTCCATGTGTTCTCATCATTCAGCTCCCACGTATAACTGAGAACATGCAGTGTTTGGTTTTCTGTTCCTGTGTTAGTCTACTGAGGATAATGGCTTCCAGCTCCATCCATGTTCCTGCAAAGAACATGATCTTATTCCTTTTTATGGCTGCATAGTGTTCCATGTTGTATATGTACCACATTTTTCTTTATCCAGTCTATCATTACTGGACATTTAGGTTAATTCCATGTCTTTGCTATTGTGAATAGTGCTGCAGTGAACATATGCATGCATGTATCTTTATAATAGAATGATTTACATTCCTTTGGGTGTATACCTAGTAATAGGGTTGCAGGGTCAAATGGTATTTCTGCCTCTAGGTCTTTGAGGAATCACCACACTGTCTTCCACAATGGTTGAACTAATTTACACTCCCACTAACAGTGTAAAAGTGTTACTTTTTCTCCACAACCTCACCAGCATCTTTTTTTTTTTTGACTTCTTAGTAATAGCCATTCTGACTGACGTGAGATGGTATCTCATTGTGGTTTTGATTTGCATTTCTCAAATGGTCAGTGATGCTGAGCTTTTTTTCATGTTTCTTGGCTGCATACATGTCTTCCTTTGAGAAGTGTCTATTCATGCCTAGATTTTCTTCTAGGGATTTTATAATTCTGGGTTTTACACTTTAAATCTTTATTTATGGATTTAAGTCTTTAATCCATCTTGAGTTAATTTCTGTATATGGTGTAAGGAAATAGTCCAGTTTCAGTTTTCTGCATATGGCTAGCCAGTTCTCCCAGCACCAATTTTTAAATGGAGAATCTTTTCCCCATTGCTTGTTTTTGTCAAGTTTGTCAAAGCTCAGATGGTTGTAGGTGTGTACTCTTATTTTTGAGTTCTCTATTCTGTTCCATTGTTGCATGTGTCTGTTCTTGTACCAGTACCATGCTGTTTTGGTTACTGTAGCCTTGTAGTATAGTTTGAAGTCGGGTAGCATGATGCCACCAGCTTTGTTCTTTTCACTTAGGATTGTCTTGGTTATTTGGGCTCTTTTTAGGTTCCATATGAATTTTAAAATAATTTTTTCTAATTCTGTGAAGTATGTCAATGGTAGTTTAATGGGAATAGCATTGACTCTATAAATTACTTTGGGCAATATGGCCGTTTTCACAATATTGATTTTTCCTATTCATGAGTATGGAATATTGTTCCATTTGTTTATGTCCTCTCTGATTCCTTTGAATAGTGGTTTGTAGTTCTTCTTGAAGAGGTCATTCATGTCCCTTGTTAACTGTATTCCTAGGTATTTTATTCTTTTTGTAGCAATTGTGAATGGGAGTTCATTCATGATTTGGCTCTCTGCTTGCCTTTTGTTGGTGTATAGGAATGCTAGAGATGTTTGCACATTGATTTTGTATCCTGAGAGTTTGCTGAAGTTGTTTATCAGCTTAAGAAGCTTTGGGGCTGAGACAATAGGGTTTTCTAGATATAGGATCATGTCATCTGCAAACAAAGATAATTTGACTTCCTCTCTTTCTATTTGAGTATCCTCTATTTGAGTATCTCTTGCCTGATTGCCCTGGCCAGAGCTTCCAATATATATTGAATAGGAGTGGTGAGAGAGGGTATCCTTGTCTTGTACTGGTTTTCAAGGGGAATGCTTCCAGCTTTTGCTTATTCAGTATGGCATTGGCTATGGGTTTGTCATAGATGGCTCTCATTGTTTTGAGGTATGTTCCTTCAATACCTAGTTTATTGAGAGTTTTTAACGTAAAGGGATGTTGAATGTTACTGAAGGTCTTTTCTGCATCTATTGAGATAATCATATGGTTTTTGTCTTTAGTTCTGTTTATGTGATGAATCACATTTATTGAATTATGTTTTCTTAAAATTTTACTTTAATTTCTGGGATACATGTGCAGAATGTGCAGGTTTGTGACATAGGTATACATGTCCCATGGTGGTTTGCTGCACCTACCAACCCATCATCTAGGTCTTAAGTCCTGCATGCATCAGGTATTTGTTCTAATATTCTCCCTCCCCTTACCCCCACTCCCTGACAGGCCCTGGTGTGTGATGTTCCCCTCCCTATGTCCATGTGTTCTTATTGTTCAACTCCCACTTATGAGTGAGAACAGGCAGTATTTGGTTTTCTGTTCCTGTGTTAGTTTGCTGAGAATGATGGCTTCCAGCTTCATCCATGTCCCTGCAAAGGACATGAACTCATTCTTTTTTATGGCTGCATAGTATTCCATGGTGTATATGTGCCACATTTTCTTTATCCAGTCTATCATTGACGGGTATTTTGGTTGGTCCCAAGTCTTTGCTATTGTAAATAGTGTTGCAGTAAACATATGTGGCATGTGTCTTTATAGTAGAATGATTTATAATCCTTTGGGTATATACCCAGTAACGGGATTGCTGGGTCAAATGGTATTTCTGGTTCTAGATCCTTAAGGAATCACCCACACTGTCTTCCACAATGGTTGAACTAATTTACACTCCCACCAACAGTGTAAAAGCATTCCTCTTTCTCCGCAGCCTCGCCAGCATCTGTTGTTTCCTGACTTTTTAATAATCACCATTCTAACTGGTGTGAGACGGTATCTCACTCTGGATTTGATTGATTTGTGCATATTGAATCAACCTTGCATCCTGTGGATGAAGTCAATTTAATTGTGGTTGATAAGCTTTTTGATGTGCTGCTGGATTCAGTTTGCCAGTATTTTATTGAGCATTTTGGCATTGTTGTTCATCAAGGATATTGACCTGAAGTTTTCTTTTTTTCTTGTACCTCTGCCAGGTTTTGGTATCAGGACAATGCTGGACTCATAGAATGAGTTAGGGAGGAGTCCCTCCTTTTTATTTTTTTGGAATAGTTTCAGTAGCAGTGGTACTAACTCTTCTTTGTACCTCTGTTAGAATTCAGCTGTGAATCCATCTGGTCCTGGGCTTTTTTTGGTTGGTAGGCAATTTATTACTGCCTCAACTTTGGAACTTAGTATTGGTCTATTGAGGGATTCAGTTTCTTCCTGGTTTAGTCTCGGGAGGGTATATGTTTCCAGGAATTTATCCATTTCTTCTGTATTTTCTAGTTTATGTGCACAGAGGTGCTTATAGCATTCTATGATGGTTGTTTGTATTTCTATCAAGTCAGTGGTGATATCTCCCTTATTTCTGACTATGTTTGATTTTTTTTTACTTTATTAGTCTAGCTAGTGGTCTATTTTATTAATTTTTTTCAAAAAAAAACAGCTTCTAGATTCATTGATTTTTTTGAAGAGTTTTTCATGTCTCTATCTACTTCAGTTCAGCTCTGATCTTGGTTATTTCTTATCTTCTGTTAGCTTTGAGATTTGTTTGCTCTTGCTTCTCTAGTTCTTTTAGTTGAGATGTTAGGTTGTTATCTTGAGATCTTTCTAGCTTTTTGATGTGGGCAGTTAGTGGTACAAATTTCCCTCTTAACACTGCTTTAGCTGTGTCTCAGAGATTCTGATACATTGTGTCTTTGTTCTCATTAGTTTCAAAGAAGTTCTTGATTTCTGCCTTAATTTCATTATTTACCCAAGAGTCATTTATTTAGGAACAGGTTGTTCAATTTCCAGGTAATTGTGTGGTTTTGAGTGAATTTCTTAATCTTGAATTCCAATTTGATTGCACTGTGGTCTGAGAGACTGTTTGTTATGATTTCCGTTCTTTTGCATTTGCTGAGGAGAGTTTTACTTCTGACTATGTGATCAATTTTAGAGTGAATGTTGTGTGGCAATGAGATGAATGTATATTCTGTTGTTTTGGGGTGGAGAGTTCTGTAGATGTCTATCAGGTCCATTTGATTCAGAGCTGAGTTCAGGTCCTGAATATATTTGTTGAGTTTCTGTCTCCATGATCTGTCTAATATTGACAGTGGGTGTTGTAGTCTCCCACTATTATTGTATGGGAGTCTAAGTCTATTTATAAGTCTCTGAGAACTTAGTTTAAGAATCTGGGTGCTCCTATATTAGGTGCATATATATTTAGGATCATTAGCTCTTCTTGTTGAATTGAACCCTTTACCATTATGTGACATCCTTCTTTGTCTTTTTTGATCTATGTTGGTTTACAGTCTGTCTTGTCAGAAACTAGGATTGCAACCTCTGCTTTTTTTCTGTTTTCCATTTGCTTGGTAAAATTTCCTCCATCCCTTTATTTTGAGCCTATATGTGTCTTTGCATGTGAGATGGGTCTCTTGAAGACAGCATACCAACGAGTCTTGGCTCTTTATCCAGCTTGCCATTCTGTGCCTTTTAATTGGGACATTTAGCACATTTACATTTAAGGTTTGTATTGTTGTGTGTTAATTTATTTGATCCTGTCATCATGATACTAGCAGGTTATTATGCAGATTTGTTTATGTGGTTGCTTCATAATGTCACTGGTCTGTGTACTTCAGGGTGTTTTAGTAGTGGCTGGTAATGATTTTTACTTTCCCTATTTAGTGTTTCCTTCAGGAGGTCTTGCAAGGCAGGCCTGGTGGTGACTAATTCCCCCAGCATTTGCTTGTCTGCAAAGCATCTTATTTTTCCTTCACTTATGAAGCTTAGTTTGGCCAGATATGAATTTCTGGGTTGGTATTCTTTTCTTTAATAATGTTGAATATTGGCCCCCAATCTCTCCTGGCTTGTAAGGTTTCCACTGAGAGGTCCACTGTTAGTCTGATGTGCTCCCTTTTTTAGGTGACCTGGTCTTTCTCTCTGGCTGTGCTTAACATTTTTTCTTTCATTTTGACCTTTGAGAATCTCATGATATGTGTCTTGGGGTTGATCTTCTTGTGGAGTTTCTTACTTACCCCATTCTCTGAATTTGCATTTCCTGAATTTGAATGGTGGTTTATCTTGCTAGTTAGGAAAGTTCTCCTGGATGATATCCTGAAGTATGTTTTCCAACTTGGTTCCATTCTCCCTGTCTTTTTCTTGTACCCCAATCAGTCATGGGTTCATGACATGGGTTCATACATAATCCCATATTTCTTGGAGGTTCTGTTTATTCCTTTTCATTCTTTTTTCTCTATTCCCTTCTGGCTATCTTATTTCAGAAAATCTTTAAGCTCTGAGATTCTTTCCTCCACTTGGTCTATTCTGCTATTCATGCTTGTGATTGCATTGTGATGTTCTTATGTTGTGTTTTTCAGCACTATCAGGTCAGTTATGTTACTCTCTAAACTGGCTATTCTGGCTATCAGCTCCTGTATTGTTTTATCATGATTCTTAGCTTCTTTGCATTGCATTACAACATGCTTCTTTAGCTCAGTGAAGTTCATTATTACCCACCTTCTGAAGCCTACTTCTGTAAATTCAGCCATCTCAGCCTTAACCCAATTTTGTGCCGTTGCTGGAGAGGTGTTGTGGTCATTTGGAGGAGAAGAGGCACTCTGGCTTTTTGAGTTTTCAGTGTTTTTGCATTGATTCTTTCTCAGCTTTATGGGTTTATCTACCTTCAGTCCTTGAGGTTGCTGACCTTCGAATGGGGTGTTTGTGGGGTCTTTGTTATCATTCTTGTTTTCCGCTTGCCTGTTTTTATTTTAACAGTGAGGCCACTCTTTCATAGGGCTGCTATGGTTTGCTAGGGGTCCGCTCCAGACTCTAGTTGCCTCAGTTTTTCCTGTACCTGGAGGTTTCACCAGTAAAGCCTGCAAAATAGCAAAGATGGCAGCCTGCTCCTTCCTCTGGAAGCTCCATTCCAAGGGGGCACTGACCTGTTGCCAGCCTGAACACACCTGTAGGAGGTGGCTGGAGACCCCTGATGGGAAGTCTCACCCAGTCAGGAGGAACGGGATCAGGGACTCATGCAAATAAGCAGTCTGGCTGCCTTTTTGTAGAGGAGATGTGCTGCATTGCAGGGTTGGTGGGGGGTCTTCCTTGTCCAGATAGTTTGTATTCTCCAAAACCAGCAGGCTGGAATGGCTGAGTTGACCAAACCACAGAGATAGTGGGCATCCCTTCCCCTGGGAGCTTTGACCCAGGGAAAGATCAGAGCTCTGCCTTTAGAACCTTGCTGGAGTGGCTGAAGCTCCCACAGGGAAGTCTTGCCCAGTAAGGAGGAATGGATTGGTGTACCACTTAAAGAAGCAGTCTGGCCATGATCTGGCAAGGCAGCTGTGCTGCACTGTGAGGGACCCCTCTCTGTCCAGACTCCCTGTAGTCTTCAAAGCCAACAGGCTGAAACAACTGAGTCTACTGAATCACAGAGATGGTGGCTACTTCTCACCCCAGGAACTTGGTCCTGACTCAGGCAGACCCTGCTGCCACCAGCCAGCTGGAATTCCAAGTCAGTGGGTCTCAACCCACGAGGTGCTGTAGAAGTGGGATCCTCAGAATGACACTGTTTGTGTCCCTAGACTCAGCCCCCTTCCTAGGGACATGCATTGATGGTTCTTCTGCCTTGCTGCTGATCCCAGGGCCAGAGTATGCAAAATTCCTGGGTCTCTGTGTGTGCCTGAGTGGCTGCTCTGCCAAGACTCCACACAGCTCTGTGTGACAGACCCAAGGCCCTGGTGGCATGGGCTCATGAGGGAGATCTCCTGATCTATGGGTTGTAAAGATCTGTGAGAGAAGTGTGGTTCCCAAGTCAGGTTGCACAAACACTCACCACTTCCTTTGGCTGGGGTGGAGGTTCCCTTGACTCCACGCTCCTCCTGAGTGGGCTGTCACCCAACCCTGCTACTCTTCACTCTCTGTGGGTCAAGCTGTTTGCCTCATCAGTCCCAGTGAAAGAACCCGGATATCTCAGTTGAAGGTGGTAAATTCACTTGCTCCTTTCATTCCTCTCCATGGGTGCCACGGACCTCAGCTGCTTCCAGTCAGCCGTCTTGGGCCCTCTCTGGGATTCTCTTTCTTTTTAAAATCAATCTTCTTTACTAAGACTTATGTCTACAGAATAATCTGAATTTTGTATTTTAACTTTTAAAAATCCACTTTTCTGAATTCTAAACATGCGTCTCAAATATTAAGATACACACAAATCACCAGGTGATCTTGTTGAGACACAGATTATGATTCTGTAGGTCTGGGTTGGACCTGAAGAAAGTCTGCTTTTCTAACAAGCTCCCAGGTTATGCAATGCTGTTAGTCCTCAGACCACATTTTATTTTTTACTCTTTTTAAATTATACTTAAAGTTCTGGGATACATGTGCAGAACATGCAAGATTATTATACAGGTATGCACGTGCCATGGTGGTTTGCTGCACCCATCAACCCATCATCTACATTAGGTACTTATCTTATACTGTCCCTAGCCCCATAGCCCCCAACAGGCCCCAGTGTGTGATGTTCCCCTCCCTGGGTCCATGTGTTCTCATTGTTCAACTCCCACATGTAAGTGAGAACATGAGGTGTTTGGTTTGCTGTTCCTGTGTTAGTTTGCTGAGAATGATGGCTTTCAGCTTCATCCATGTCTCTGCAAAGGAAATGAACTCATCCTTTTTTATGGCTGCATAGTATTCCATGGTGTATATGTGCCACATTTTCTTTATCCAGTCTGTTCTTGATGGACATTTGGGTTTGTTCCAAGTCTTTGCTATTGTGAACAGTGCTGCAATAAACCTATATATGCATGTGTCTTTATAGTAGAATGATCTATAATCCTTTGGGTATGTACCCAGTAATGGGATTGCTGGGTCAAATGGTTTTTCTGGTTCTAGATCCTTGAGGAATTGCCACACTGTCTTTCACAATGGTTGAACTAATTTACACTCCTACCAACAGTGTAAAAGTCTTCCTGTTTCTCCACATCCTCTCCAGCATCTGTTGTTTCCTGACTTTTTAATGATTGCCATTCTAACTGGTGTGAGATGGTATCTCATTGTGGGTTTGATTTGCATTTCTCTAATGACCAGTGAAGATGAGCTTTTTTTCATATGTTTGTTGGCCACATGTTTGTTGTTTCTTTTGAGAAGTGTCTGTTCATAACCTTCACCAATTTTTGATGAGGTTGTTTGTTCTTTTCTTGTAAACTTAATGAAATAAAGCATGAAGACAAGATTAGAGGAAAAAGAATGAAAAGGAACAAACAAAGCGTCCAAGAAATATGGGACTATGTGACAAGAACAAACTTACGTTTGATTGGTGTGCTGAAAATGACAGGGAGAATGAAACCAAGTTGGAAAACACTCTTCAGGATATTATCCAGGAGAACTTCTCCAACCTAGCAAGACAGACCAACGTTCAAATTCAGGAAATACAGAGAACCCCCAAAGATATTTCTCGAGAAGAGCAACCCGAAGACACATAATTGTCAGATTCACCAAGGTTGAAATGAAGGAAAAAATGCTAAGGGCAGCCAGAGAGAAAGGTCAGGTTACTCACAAAAGGAAGCCCATCAGACTAACAGCAGATCTCTCTGCAGAAACCCTACAACCTAGAAGAGAGTGGGGACCAATATTCAACATTCTCAAAGAAAAGAATTTTCAATCCAGAATTTCATATCCAGCCAAACTAAGCTTCATAAGCAAAGGAGAAATAAAATCCTTTACAGACAAGCAAATCCTGGGAGATTTTGTCACCACCAGGCCTGCCTTACAAGACATCCTGAAGGAAGCACTAAATATGGAAAAGAAAAACTGGTGCCAGCCACTGCAAAAAATACCAAATTGTAGAGACCATTGACACTATGAAGAAACCGTGTCAACTAATGGGCAAAATAACCAGCTAGTATCATAATGACAGGATCAGATTCACACATAACAATATTAACCTTATATCTAAATGGGCTAAATCCCCCAATTAAAAGACGCAGACTGGCAAATTGGTTAAAGAGTCAAGACTCATTGGTGTGCCGTATTCAGGAGACCCATCTCACGTGCAAAGACACACATAGGCTCAGAGTAAAGGGATACAGGAAAATTTACCAAGCAAATGAAAAGCAAAAAAAAAGCAGGGGTTGCAATCCTAGTCTCTGACAAAACAGACTTTAACCCAACAAAGATCTAAAAAGACAAAGAAGGGCATTACATAATGGTAAAGGGATCAATCCAACAAGAAGAGCTAACTACCCTAAATATATATGCACCCAGCACCCAGGTTCATAAAGCAAGTACTTAGAGACCTACAAAGAGACTTAGACTCCCACACAATAATAGTGGGAGACTTTAACACCCCACTGTCAATATTAGACAGATCAATGAGGCAGAAAATTAACAAGGATATTTAGGACTTGAACTCAGCTCTGGACCAAGTGGACCTAATAGACATATACAGAACTCTCCACCCCAAGTCAACAGAATACACATTCTTCTCAGCACCACATCACACTTATTCTAAAATTGACCACATAATTGGAAGTAAAACACTCCTCAGCAAATGCAAAAGAATGGAAATCATAACAAATAGTCTCTCACACCACAGTGCAATCAAATTACAACTCAGGATTAAGAAACTCACTCAAAATCATACTACTACATGGAAACTGAGCAACCTGCTCCTGAATGACTACTGGGTAAATAACAAAATTAAGGCAGAAATAAATAAGTTCTTTGAAACCAATGAGAACAAAGACACAACATACAAGAATCTCTGGGACACAGCTAATGCACTGTTTAGAGGGAAACTTATAGCACTAAATGCCCACAGGAGAAAGCGGGAAAGATCTAAAATCAACATCCTAATGTCACGATTTAAAGAACTAGAGAAGCAACAGCAAACAAATACAAAAGCTAGCAGAAGACAAGAAGTAACTAAGATCAGGGCAGAACTGAAAGAGAGAGACACGAGAAGCCCTTCAAAAAAAAAATTAATGAATCCAGGAGCTTGTTTTTTGAAAAGATTAATAAAATACATAACCTGCTAGCCAGATTAATAAAGAAGAAAAGAGAGAAGAATCAAGTAGACACAATAAAAAATGATAAAGGAGATATCACCACTGATCCCACAAAAAAAAACTTCTATCAGAGTATACTATAAACACCTCTATGCGAATACACTAAAAAATCGAGAAGAAATGAATACATTCCTGGACACATACACCCTCCCAAGACTAAACCAGGAAGAAGTTGAATCCCTGAATAGAACAATAACAAGTTCTGAAATTGAGGCAGTAATTGAGGCCTACCAACCAAAAAAAAAGCCCAGGACCAGACAGATTCACAGCCAAATTCTACCATAGGTACAAAGAGGACCTAGTACCATTCTTTCTGAAACTATTCCAAACAATAGAAAAAGAAGGAATCCTCCCTAACTCATTTTATGAGGCCACCATCATCCTGATACCAAAACCTGGCAGAGGCACAACAAAAAAAGAAAATTTCAGGCCAATATCCCTGAAGAACATCAACACAAAAATCCTCAATAAAATACTGGCAAACTGAATCCAGCAGCACATCAAAAAGTTTATCCACCATGATCAAGTCGGCTTCATCCCTGGGATGCAAGGCTGGTTCAATATATGCAAATCAATAAACATAATCCATCACATAAACAGAACCAATGACAAAAACCACATGATTATCTCAATAGATGCAGAAAAGGCCTTTGATAAAATTCAACACCCCTTCATGCTAAAAACTCTCAATAAACTAGATATTGATGGAATGTATCTCAAAATAATATTTGTTTATAACAAACCCACAGCCAATATCATACTGATGGGCAAAAGCTAGAAGCATTCCCTTTGAAAACCAGCACAAGACAAGGATGCCCTCTCTCACCATTCCTATTCAACATAGTATTGGAAGTTCTGGCCAGGGCAATCAGGCAAGAGAAAGAAATAAAGGGTATTCAAATAGGAAGAGAGGAAGTCAAATGGTCTCTGTTTGCAGATGACATGATTGTATATTTAGAAAGCCCCATCGTCTCAGCCCAAAATCCCCTTAAGCTAATAAGCAACTTCAGCAAAGTCTCAGAATAGAAAATCAATGTGCAAAAATTACAAGCATTCCTATACAGCAATAATAGACAAAGAGAGAGCCAAATCATGAGTGAACTTCCATAAGAGAACAAAACACCTAGGAATCTAATTTACAAGGGATGTGAAGGTCTTCTTCAAGAAGAACTACAAACCACTGCTCAAGTAAGTAAAAGAGGACACAAATAACTGCAAAAACATTCCATGCTCACAGGTAAGAATCAATATTGTGAAAATGGCCATATTTCCCAAAGTAATTTATAGATTCAGTGCCATTCCCATCAAATTACCATTGACTTTCTTCACAGAATTAGAAAAAAACTACTTTAAATTTCATATGGAACCAAAAAAGAGCCCGTATAACCAAGACAATACTAAGCAAAAAGAACAAAGCTGGAGGCATCACACTACTTGACTTCAAACTACACTATAAGGCTACAGTATCCGAAACAGCATGATAATGGTACCAAAGCAGATATATCGACCAATGGAACAGAACAGAGGCCTCAGAAATAATGCCACACATCTACAACCATCTGATCTTTGACAAACCTGACAAAAGCAAGCAATGGGGAAAGGATTCCCTATTTAATAAATGGTGTTTGGAAAACTGGCTAGCCATATGCAGAAAACTGAAACTGGACCCCTTCCTTACATCTTATACACAAATTAACTCAAGATGGTTTAAAGACTTAAACATAAGACCTAAAACCATAAAAACCCTAGAAGAAAATCTAGGCATTACCATTTAGGACATAGGCATGGGCAAAGACTTCATGAGTAAAACACAAAAAGCAATGGCAACCAAAGCCAAAATTGACAAATGGGATCTAATTAAATGAAAGAGCTTCTGCACAGCAAAAGAAACTATCATCAGAGTGAACAGGAAGCCTACAGAATGGGAGAAAACTTTTGCAATCTATCCATCTGACAAAGGGAAAATATCCAGAATCTGCAAAGAGCTTAAATTTACAGACCACATTTCTTATTGCAAAGGTCTAGAGTATTGTATGTCTAGCATTGCTCAGATAACTTTGCTCCATGACACTTTCCTAATCAGTTCATTTTTGGGGGACAGAGTAAAGTTCAGAATGATATTATTTCCTAGGCTTTTTCAAGTGATATATTCAGAAATAAGTCAAACCAATAATTTATCAAATGTTCTGCTCTTAGTGAAATATATGTACAGATAACTAAAGTTGCCTATCACAAATATATGCCACTTTACCTATTTTGTAAGCTATAATATATTGACTTAAAAAAATTTTTTTGAGACAAGGTCTGACTCTGTCACTCAGGCTGGAGTGCAGTGGTGTGATCATCGCCCACTACAGCCTTGAACTCCTGTGCTCAAGTGATCCTCCCACCTCAGCCTCCCAAATAGCTGAAATTACAGACCCAAGCCACTGTGCCTGGCTAATGTTTTTTTGTATTTCTTGTAGGGACAGGGTCTTGCTTTGTTGCCCAGCCTGATCTTGAACTCCTGGGCTCAAACAATCCTCCCACCTCAGCCTCCCAAAATGCTGGGATTACAGATATGCACCACTGTGCCTGGCCTGATAAAACTTCTAGAGGGTCACATAGCAGTGGTATGAAGCAGGTATAATTGTCTTCATTCTGTAAATGAGGAAACACAGGCTTAGAAAACAGAGAACAGGTAAGTCGCCATAGGTAAAAGCTGGTGAGGGTTAAAAGTTGCCTCCCTAATCTGGATTACTAGATCCTGAGCTGTACAAAATTAACAGAAATAAATATCTGATAAAGGTTTGTAAGACAAGCATTGCTTATTTAGTAGTCACATGAATCAATATCCCAAGTACAGAGCACACCTAAAATCTGGGAGGAATAAAACTGAAGTCAGGTTTATGAATATTTGAAAAATAAATAAATCTTTCCATTTGGACATGAGAAACATCATTCTTGATTTATTTGTCATCACTAACTATAGTTGAAGAAATACTCTCACCAACCCTGGTTCTCCCGAACAGCTATAGTGACATGAGCAACTTCAAGTCTTCCCCCTCCCCTTCCCAGTCCCCCAAGAACAGGCTTAGGTGTAGTGATGGCATTGTCATGTTGAAGTTGAATTGAGAGCTTTTTGTCTTTGTTGAACACCAAGAATCAGGTCTGGGGGGAAATCTGTAAGTACTATAATTAACTTCAATTTTAATTTCTGGGTGTCTCTTTCCTCCCTACTGCTTGCTGCCAAGGTTCTCCTTCAGTCCCATCAGTTAGAGCAGCATTCACAAAGCTCAGGCCAGACTCCTTTTGGCAATTTTTAAGAGGTTTCTGGGTGATGTGCTCAAGCTCCTCTGGGAAACTTGGAACCAAACTGAAGTGTGGCTTGACTATTAAAAAGGGGCCACTAGTTTTAAGAAACTACTTTGCCTTTCTCTGTTTGGGAGAAACTTACGGTGGTTGAATTTTTAATACTTCTTGGTTTACAAATTGTTTTGGTATACACTTAATCTTTAGTTTATTTTTTGTAGTTTGTTTATATTTTATTATTCCTTCCTTTTCTGTCAATATTCTTTTACTTTATAAGTGTTCACACATAGATCTATGTGTATTTGTTCTATGATTTGAATGAGAGCACTGAAAGACCCAGAAAATATATCTCTCTAACTTACCCTACTGTTGTTTAAATTAAGATCCTCACTCCTTTTAAAATCCAATTTATGTTACTTGGAAGTTAGATTTCATATGATCTATTATAATGTTCACTTGCCCACAGATTAATAGTGAACCAGACAGAACAAGTGAAATAAAAATAAAATCTACTTGAGGAGTCAGGCTTAATGAATAAAAAGTCCTACTATGTAATTTGTTGTAGAAAGAGGACAGGATGAGGGCAATGTGGATGGACTGAAAGCAAGCAGGCAACCAGTTCTATTCTGACATTTACTAAGGAGTAAAAATGTGCTTGATGTACTAGGTATTTTGCAATTTTAAGAACTTACGTGACACAATTTCAGTCCTCAAGATGCTCACAGTCTAGACAGGGAGACAGAAAAGACCATAGAAAGTAAAAGGCAATGCTATGGGAATTACCTAGGAAAGATATTTCTTTCAATGAATGTAGAAGATATTGGGAAAAGTTCATGGAGGTGATTGCATTTGAGCCAATGCTTAAAAGGTGAACAGGAATTCAATAAACAGGAATGAATGGTAAAGACAGTTCAAGAGAAAAAATAGCTTATGCCATTGTCATCCACAGAGGTGGGAAAATGCAAACCATGTACAGAGAATGTATGATTAAATTGAAAGATTTCCATGAAGACCATAGAATTGAAAGCTAGAAAAGTAAACTCTCCTTTTTTATGACTTTGCTAGTGGCATATATCCAAGCCCAATGCTGCTCACTATTTTTAAAGCGTGCTTTCTTTCCATAAGACCTTTTGATTGGGAATCACTGTACCAGGTCTTTTGTTGGCATATATTTTTTTTCTTTTCCTTGCTCCTCAGTTTACCTTTTTTTCCTATTTGATAGTTCATGTATGATGTGTCCATTTCTATCATGAAAGCTGTTGAAAGATACTGATTGAAATGATTCTTTTTGAATTAATTAGACTTGAACTTAGATTGCCATATCTGACTTTTTTCTAGTCTCAAATGTTAATATATGTTTTTATTTTATAGATGTCAGGTTCAAATTCAGGATCACTATTTTTTTTCTACTAATTCCGATTGACTTGTATCATCTGATTTAAGTTATATCCATCTCTGGGCTTCAGTTACTTCCATGGTTATGTGAAATCACAAATTTTTAGGTATGTCAGTGAATCTAAATGTAGATAAAGTACCTTATTCTCTAAATTTGTCTCCTTATAGGGTATTACCTAATCATTTAGTTCATCAAAAGGTTTTGAAGAAGACTTTGTACAGGATAGACATTGAGGGCCAGCCCCTGGCATCTGGAAGCTCCTTCTTTACTCCCTCACTTTAAAATTCTACTTTTGTCAGTAAAAAAATTTGCCATTGCTGAAAGTAAAAAGATATCTTGATTTTTGATAGCTTTTCCTAACCTTACATTTATTATTTCCAGAGCCAAAAGTTCTCATTTTCAGGAAAATGTGTCATCATTATTTTGTTGGACTCATAAAACTATAGTATTTAAAATTATTATACTGTTGAAGGTGACTATTAGCATGCATATTGAACATATCATAGGTCACTGATACCTCTTCTTCCAAATACCTAACTGGTAAGGGTAGCCAGATTCTGTTTTTACCTTCATTTTCTACTCCTTTTCAAGATGTGAAGGCAATACATTCTTCTATTGCTTCCATCTGCTCCCATTGGCCCCTTTTTTTTTCCTTTTTTTTTGCTCACAGTGTGGAAACTGCAGTTACAGCTTAGCACGTTTTGCTTATGGAACGTTGCCAGAAGCAGTTTTGAAGGTGTTTTAAAAATGAAGACATCTGGCAGCTGGCATACTTACAATTCATTTGCCAAAGACAAGTTGCACGCTGCTGGAATTTTCAACTGAAGGGTCGTGCACCAGGTAAGAAAGGAGTCAGGTGGAGCTGGTGCATAGGCAGCCACACACTGAAAAACTGTTGGCTCTGTGAGGTTTTGATGGGCTAAATCAGGAAGCATGTGTGTCATCTTCTTGTCCAGCCCACCGTCTTTGTCACTATAACACTTTAAAAGAGGTAAAAGGCAAAAAAAAAATCCAAGCTAAGAAAATTGGCAGTGAATCATAAGGCTGTGACATGTCAATAAAAGTCTTGCCAATTTGGCAAAAGAAAAGAGTGCTGAGAGCAAAAAAAAAAAAAAAAGTTGAAAAACGGAATTTGACACAACATTGGACAAACATGTTCCTGTCAGTTGTCTGGTTCTGTTTTTTTCAGGCAGAAAGAATCTGTGGGATTATGGATTTACAGCTTACCCTCTAAGTGAATTACTAACGGTACACCAATGGATGCCCTCTGACTGAAAATTTACTTGGTATTTCATAGTATTAGCATAGTTTTTGGGGTTTTCAGTTTTAAAATCTTTTCTTGTAACTGGTAGTCACTAAATACTAGTGCTACTAAATACTACTTTCCAAATAATTGGTCTGTGTGATTTTACACTTGTATTAAATTTTTTGTTTGTTTTGAGTTTTGTTTTGTCTTATTTTGTTTTTGCTGCAACAAATAATTTAAAATGTGAACATGGGAGTTTTATAATGAGATTAACAATTGACCTAGCAGAGCAAGGGAGGGAAATTATCTCACTATATTGACAATCTCTCTCTGACCAATTTGAGCACTTTAAAAGAAATGTGAGCCATATTTGACAAAGAAGTAAGGAGATTTATGTGTATAAAGTAATAATTAGAGATGACTTGTACTAGATGTTAGTATATTTTCATGCAACAAGCCTAGGTTTTTTTTTTTTTTTTTTTACCTTCTGTACTTGTAAGTTCAGGTCAGCTGTTTTAAGTGGGTGTTCCTGTCTTCTGCTCAAAGTATTATGTATAAAAGTATTGGCTAATGGAGAAGGAAGAAGGAAATGGTGTTGCGGTTACAGTTTTGTTGTAAGAGACAGTTGACACTTACCTTACCTAAAATGAAGACAGAATTACCAGCCTTAGAGAGGTTGCAAACTTGTGGCCTAGGTACAGAATCTAGTCCAAAAATATGCACATTTGACACATGCACTATCATCCTGCAGATAGTTTACATTTTAAAAAATATAATTTAACAGGAGAGTTTATATTTTTAAAAAATCTGAATTTACAGTTATTTTTATTTTTATTTTTTAATCGCAAGATCAGGCATCACTCCCTCTTGAAAACAGTCTGCTAGCCCTGGCCCGCTTCCAGTAGTGTGAGGAGCGTGAGTACTTCCCATTCACCGGAGTCCTGCACACCTGTTTCCTCCCCCAGGTTGAATGCAAATTGCCACTTCAATGCAGTCCTGCTACTGTTTTTCCAAAATTAGAGTGAAGAGGAAAGTGAACTGTTTCCTGTACCTTTGTATCTGTCAAAACTGAGAAAATAAAAACAGGCCAGAGGGGCAGGTTTTTCTCATGCCAGGCTCCCTTCCCTCAGTGGTTCTGTCTCCTCGGCCCCTGTCCTCCTTTGGATTTGCTTCCTTTCTTCATGAAGTACCTTCTCTGCCCACCTCAGGTTCTGTGGGTTGAGACTCCAGGGTTTCCAGCTGCCTCCTGGTCTAGCTTGGGGTCCTTACCCCTGTGACCCCCAGTGGAACCATGGCAATCTCACAAATGGAATCTTCTTAAAGACACCCAACATATAGCGCATTCCTGGATTTCAAGGCAGGGACTTGGTAAACTCTTTGATAGTATTATGCCACTTAATAATGTACTTTTTGTTCATACGTTTCCTCATAAACTGGTATTGCCTTTGAGAGGTTTATCTCCTCCATTAGGCTCTGCATCTTTAATTGAAATTTAGCAATTACAAAATCTGGGAATACTTTTCTTTTAGCTTTTAAAGAGAAAATACTATAAACACATATGAGGGAAATGCTATGTGGGAAAAATGAAGACCTGAGCCTGGTGATTTTAGTGGTCAGATATGAAATCAATGAGGCAGTAACTAGCTACTCTTTTCACAGGGCATCCATTTAGTATAATTGCTCCCTGAAGAGAATTTTATCCTTCTTAGAATTTTAAACTATGTGAAGTACCAGCAAGCTCTACTTCATGTAATCTAAATTGGAGACTTGAGAGATGAATTATAAATGCTTAGAAATGGATTTTAGAAAGAATATTGATGATTTGTCAACTCTTCATCTTTCCTTTAAGACATGTTTGTTTTTGTTTTCGCCCGTCAAGTGCCTGTCAGATGATGCCAATCTGAAATCCTTGCCATGTTTTCATTCATCGCATAAAGCCCTCCATTCAGACCTTCTAGTATATGAAGCCAGATTCTATGAAGTATTTCATTACAGAGTATTGTACCCTCTAAAATGATCTGGGAAAATAATTACTACAAAAACATTAGTTCTCATTCTCCTTGTGGATGATTTTAGGTCTTTTTCATTTATAAAGAATGTTATTACTAGGTTAAAGGGAAGCGAAGTATAGTTTGTTGATCGCAAATGTAATTTCCAGTAAGAAACATCAAATGGGAGTTGGGAAAGTGGGAAAAGTTGATTATTGGAAAGAGGTGCATTTTTAAGGAACAATTCCAGATGTGTGGAGAGGGGATGGGAGGGTAGGGTACATGTCGACAGTAGAGTGTCAGAGACTTATGTGTTCTTTTTAACCATTCAGTTAAAAAAAAAGGTAATTTGAAAGTGAAATAAAATTACATTTGATTTCACAAATAAATAAATGTGAGAAAATTTCCACTTATAAAAAGGCAACCTAAAAATCTGGAAAATGGAGCTAGTTACAGTTTTTCATGGTGGGAATGTTCTCTAACATTCTTTCAACAAATTTTACTAAGCAGCTATTAAACAAATTTTACTGAGCACATACTATGTCTAAAGTACTCTCATTCAACTCTAGAAGGAAATTACAGTAACATTTCTTGAAAGCCTATTTTATTTTTGTTTTGAAAAATATATTTTATATTAATATTTATTGACAAATATAACAATGCTTGACATTTTAATAATGATAGAGTTTGCAAATTGTTTATATTTATGATTTTTAAATGATAGTTCTGTGGGCTAAGCAGCAAGGTACTATTGCCTCTACTTTATGATTCAGAAAGGGTAAGTGACTTATTTAAGAGCACACAGCAAACAAATAAGTAGTAGAAACATTTTCCTGGCTCAGTGCTTTGTACAGTTCACCATGCTAAAAGAGATGGTTATGTTCTCTTTATCATTACAATTGGCATTGAAATAGATTAATATTAAACTCAGATGGAATAATCTAGGGGTTTAAATTTTGGGTGATTCATACATGCTATATGCTAAATGCTATGGCAGGTGCTTTGTGTACAGTTGAAAATAAAACAGAAGTCGTCCTAAAGTTTACAGGCTAATTGGAAAGACAGATCTTAAATAAATTATTACACTTGCAGGTATTCCAAGAACAAACCAGGCATGCTCCTGCTCTGGGGGCATTTCCACTTGCTGTTGCCTTTGCTCAGACTGCTCTTCCCCCAGATATCTATGCAGCTCCCTCCCTCACCATCTTAAAGTCTTTGCTCAAATGTTACCTTCTCAATCTTTGTCTAATTCTAAATGCAGCCAAATGAGCATTCACGTGTGACAGCAAAATGAAGCAATGTTAGGAAGTCCATTCAGAAAGAAATATTCAAGGAAGTACTCAAAGAAAACAAACAAACAAAAAGATTTCAGGAGAATGAAATTGAATACAGGAAACAGAAGGTAAAAAGAAACCAATGAACCTTCTGGTTAAGTAGATATCTTTACAGTCTGTACATTTTTACAAATATTAAGAATGTAGAACGAAACTCTAGATGAATTCATTATATGATTTGAAGGTCAAGGCAATGTTGGTAAAGGAGAAAGTAATAGCGTGCTGAGGTTTATTGTCTTTTACTAGGGAAAGGTATACACATTTAAACAAATGAGCTTTTAAAATTCACAGCTAGCCAATACAGGAACAGAAACAAAGCACTCAATTTTTAAATCTCTGGGAGGGGAAGAAAAGTAGAGAAAACTCGATCAGTCCCCCAAAGAGATAGGGGAAAAACTTACTTTTAAGAAAATAAATATTAACTATTTAATAGTGGTAATATGTTCAAACATATTAATAATCATGAATAGTGCAAAATGTTAATTCTCCTGTTAAAAGGCAGGGATTATCAGCTCATGCCTGTAGTCCCAGCACTTTGGGAGGCCGAGGTGGGCAGATCACAAAGTCAGGCGTTCAAGACCAGCCTGGCCAACATGGTGAAACCCCATCTCTACTAAAAATACAAAAATTATCCGGGTGTGGTGGCGCGCCCATGTAATCCCAGCTACTCGCTTGAACCCAGGAGGCAGAGGCTGCAGTGAGCTAAGATTGCACCACTGCACTCCAGCCTGGGCAACAGAGCAAGACTCTGTCTTTAAAAAAAAAAAAAAACTAACTGCTTCCTATTTGCAAGAGACACTTCCGAAATGAAATGACACAGCAAGATTAAAACACAGGATGGACAGAGTTATTTCAGAAAGATGCTGACTATCATAGAGAAATACCAGTTTAAGACATATTAATATGACATAAATTAGATATTGGGGCCAAAATTGTTAAATGTGACAAGGAGGAAGATTTATAAATACAACAATCCATTAAGATATAAAAATCACAAATTTTATTTACCTAACCATGGAGCTTTGGCATATATAAGAAAAACCTATTAGAAATACAAGTGATACTGTTAAATTCATAATGTTATTGGAAAAATTTAGTACATCTCCTAGAATTTGATGATTAAAGTATCCAAGAAATAATAAGAATAAATAGGATTTCAAATGCACACACACACACACACACACACCCAACAAATAGAAGATACACATTTATCAAATACACATGGATTATTTATTTTTTTAATTTACAAATATGTTTCAGGAAGCAATCTCAATAAATGTCAAAGAAAAACAAATTACACAGTCATGTTCTCTCTTCAATGCAACAAAATTAGAAACTAATAACAAACTTATAGATGATACAATCTAACTACTTGGGCAAAGTTTTAAAAATCATTTAATTCCTACGCTGTAGGAAGAATCTAGAATACAACATTGCCCAAGTCATACATAGAGTAACTCAATACAGTGAAGCTGGCAGTTCTCCTCAAATTAATCTGTAATTCAATGCATTACCAAATAAAAACTTAAAAGTTAACTCTGAAATATATCTGGAGGTGAGAATAATCGATAAAGAAAAGAAAAATGTGAGTAAAATGTCTTCTAAAACCTTCTAAAATATCAGAGCATACTAACATGTTAAAAGAGTCTGGTATCGGCCGGGCGCGGTGGCTCACGCCTGTAATCCCAGCACTTTGGGAGGCCGAGGCGGGTGGATCATGAGGTCAGGAGATCGAGACCATCCTGGCTAACAAGGTGAAACCCCGTCTCTACTAAAAATACAAAAAATTAGCCGGGCGCGGTGGCGGGCGCCTGTAGTCCCAGCTACTCGGGAGGCTGAGGCAGGAGAATGGCGTGAACCCGGGAAGCGGAGCTTGCAGTGAGCCGAGATTGCGCCACTGCAGTCCGCAGTCCGGCCTGGGCGACAGAGCGAGACTCCGTCTCAAAAAATAAAAAAAATAAAAAATAAATAAATAAAAATAAATAAAAAAAGAGTCTGGTATCAATGTCGGGGGCAGACAAATAGACACATAAATAAATGAAATAGAATGCAGAGTCCAGAAAAGTGAATTCAAGATATCAAAAAGGTTGTATTTTAAACCATAAAATATAGAAAAATATTTTTATAGTAATTGGAGTAGGATGAGCCCTGTTAAGGCAAAACCCAGAAGCTAAAAATCAAATGATTAATGGATTTTAATACGTCAAATTAAAAACCTAAGTTTGACCCAATAAAAATCAATAAACAAAACTAAATGACGAGAAATAGACTGGGATAAAATATTTGCTATATATAAACAAAGGATTACATAGGATTATATATAGGATATATAAATAACTCCCAATAATGAACAAGAAAAAGTTAACCCAACAGAGAAAAATTGCTCAAAAAGGCAAGGAATATGACCAGGTAATTAAACAAAGAGAAAACATAAATGGCTAGTTAACAAATAAAAATGTGTTTTACCTCAATAGTACTCAGATAAATGAAAATTAAACAGAAGTGAGATATAATTTTTCCAGTCATCAGATTGTTTTTTTTTTTATTTAATTGCTAAGGTTTAGTGTTGATAACGATGTGAGGAAATGAATACTCGTATAGCCTTGCATCCAGCCCCTCACTTTGAGACTTCTGTAGTGAACACTGTTGGCTGCCTGCACAGGGTTTCCGCCCTCTAAAACCCTGATTTCTTCAATGTTGCTCCTTCCTATACATCCTGTATTCTTCAAGGGAAGCTGACCCACCCCCTGTGCTAGGGATGAATCTGACTGAACTAAAGGTAATTTCAGCCCCTTCTCCCTCCAGTGATGGGTCAGAAATCTGGACAATGAAAGCAAGAAAAATTTTGTTGGAAGTTTTCAGAAAAGTTTTTTTGCTCTTAAGGAGAACATCAAGAAGCCAACTGTGCTTTCTCCCACAAGGTATTGCAAGGAAGAATGTAGCCTGAAGCTTCTTTAACCTCTGAAATTCCTCTTATAGGAACAGATAATTTTTCTACAACGTGCTAGACAATATTCTGGGTGCTGGGAACAGACAATGTACAAAACAGGCAAAACTCACTGCCTATGAAACATTTTTGGGAGGCAGATAGAAACAAACAAGGGTAAGTAAGTGAAATATATTGTTTGACAAATAATTAAGCAGAGAAAGGAG
Organism: Homo sapiens; assembly: GCF_000001405.40. Classification (NCBI taxonomy): domain Eukaryota; kingdom Metazoa; phylum Chordata; class Mammalia; order Primates; family Hominidae; genus Homo; species Homo sapiens. The sequence continues at coordinate 181,493,321 of NC_000003.12, forward strand.
ATTAAAAATATTGGGGTATAATAAAAATAAGGCAGTCAGGGAAGGCCTCCTGAAAAGTGGACATTTGAGTGTATTCTTGAAGGAAGGAGGAAGAAAGGTATACTGACATTTAAGAGGAAAACATTCCAGGAAAAGGAAGAAATTGGTATAGAGGCCAGAGTATCCTGGAATGTTCAAGGAAGAGCAGAAAGCTCTGTGGGGCGGGATCAGAATGAGCAAGAAGCAGAATAATAGCAGATAAGGTCAGAGATGACAGGGGGCCAGATTGAGTACGGCCTTATAGACTGTTATAATGGCTTTGGTATTTTTCTCTTTGTGAAATAAGAAACCATTAGAAGATTCAGAGTGGTGACGTGGTCTTAGTTTCATTTAAGCAAGATGACTGGTTGCTGAGTTGGCTGGACTGTCAAGGGACAAGGGAAGAAGTAGGGAGATAGAAGTTAGTGGTTTAATGCAATAAAACCAGGGAGTATTGACAGCAGGATGGACTAGGAAAGTGGCCTGGAGAATTTGAAAAACGGTTGAGCTCTGGATATATTTTGAAGGTAGAGTCAACAAGATGTGCTGATGGACAAGATACAGGGTAAAGAAAAAGAGAAGAGTCAAGGAAGACACCAAAGTTTTAAGCCTAAGCAACTCCTCAAGAATGGAGTTGCCCTTAACTGAGAAGGAAAGCTGGTTTGGAGTAAAAGTGGGAAATCTGGGGTTCAGTCTGATTTTGTTAAGTTTGAGATGCTCATGTCCCAAAGTAGAGATGTCAAGTGAGCATTAAGATATTCAAGGCTAGATTTCATGAAAAGGTTGGTTTGAAGGTAAACATTTGGGAGGTGTCAGAATCCACATTACTTAATTACTTAATACCATGAAATTTGTAATGAGATCACCAAAGGAGGGAACAGAGAGAAAGAGAAGACTTGGCTGTGGGGCACTCCAGTGTCAAGATTTAAGAAAGCCAGCAGGAAAGAATAGGCAAGAAGATTGAAAAGGAACAGCCAAGAAGATAGGAAAAAATCCAGGGAACATGGTGTCCTGAAAGCCAAGTTTAAAAAGTGTTTTTAGCAGGGAGCAACCAATTGAGTTAAATGCTGCCAATAAGTCAGCATAACATAGTGGCTAAGATAAAGGTTGTAAGCTATTTTGCCAGGTTCAAATTCCACTCTGCCATGTATTTGCTTTGTGACTTTGAAAAAGTTACTACACTTCTCTGTGTCTTTTTCTCCATCTATAATCTGATGATTATAATGGATCCCATTTCATATGACTTTTGTTAGGCATAAATGCCTAAATTTGTTTAACATTTAGAATAGTGCCCAGAGTATAGTAATTGCCTAGTAAATAGCAGTTATGCTTATTATTACCATAAATAATACCGAGAAGTAGTAGTATTAGGAATAAGAAAAGTACTGAGTCTTGACCATTGAATATCACAATGTGGAGGTAATTTGTGACATTGACAAGGAGCAATTTGGGTTAAATAATGGAAACAAAAGCCTATTTGGAGTGACTTCATGTCCAAAAATAATGGAAGAAGATGAACTGGAGACAGTGAGTATAGAAACTGTTACAATAACTTTTTCTTGAAAAAGTAAAGGAGAGCAGAGACATAAGTTGGCAGTTATAGGCAGAAGTTTGGTAAGAGAGGATCTTTTATTACAGGAGAAATAACAGGCTTCAGATAATAAGTGTATTTATTTTAAATATACCTAAAATCAGAGCTTGGCCTTAGGGGAGTCATTCAGAAGGCTTGCTGGTGATAGACAAAACGGAAGGTGAGCAGCACTAGAGAGGGGCTGACTTTCTATCACCTCCATTAAATTTATTGTTTATTATATGTCTCTCACATACAAGAATGTAGCTCCAGAAAACAGGACAGTACATTCCCTGCTATAGCTCCATCACCTCAAACAGTACCCAGCACACAGTAGGCTTTCAGTAAATATTTGTTAAATGGATGACGATTTCTGGTGAAAATTTGAGTCCCAGAGAAGTTTCGTAAATTCCTTGCCCAGCTTATGATGTCAGAGTTGAATCTAAAACCTGAGTCTCCTCGTTCTCAATACAATGAACATTCCAATCCTGGGATAAACTGGGTTTCAGAATTCACATCCTGTTCCCAAAGCAGTATTTTAGAAAATTAAAGCTATTTTCAAAGGCTGAAATGAGGCAGAAAAGGATGGAATGACTTCCTCCTTCTTTCAAGATTCTCTGAAATCACCCTACATTACTGAAAACACCACCTTTTATTCTGTAAAAAAAAAATTAAAGTTTGTTGATAATGTGACTGTTAAATAATAAAAACTTAAATGTCTTAAAAATCTATATATGATCTAACAAAACTCATTGTTTGTTGAATAATGTAAATGAAAATGACATTTTTTAAAATTATCACAAATCTTGACCTTGGTCCTATTGCACAGTCTCTCTAGTATTTTTCAAGGACTAAAAACAATTGAAAACATGCAAATATTATTCCTTGAGGTAAAAAGTTAAATTATGTATAAATGTAGCAGATACTTTCAGAAAGTTCATCAGTAATAGGACTGCTAAGGCAATTAGAAATAACCCTGGATGTCTTATTCTGTAGTTTAATACAAACTAGATAGAGAGCAAGATTGAAAGGTTAAGAGAAGAAGTGTGTTTCTCTGTAGGATTTATTCCTGAATGTTTAGTGGCATTATTAACTAGAAATTAATAACTCTAGCCCTACATAAACCTTCCATTCCATCTACATAAAAATCTCTCACACCATGTAAAAAAAAGACACGGTTTTTTTCTTTTGCATACATAAGTAAATTAGAATTTTTGTCCAAAATAAGAGAACTAAAATTTGCTTTTATTAACTCAAATTTTATGGCTCATTTATAGTTCTGTAAAACTATAACTAACTAGAATTGGAGAAATATTTTTAGAATGGCCAGAGACTATAAAAGGAAGAAAATTCATAGAACGTCTTCAGTTAACTAGAGGATTTTAGAAAATCTTAATAGGTTTAAATCAGCATAGATAGAGACTTGTAACATGCCTGTAATGGAAGTTAAAAATTAGGTCTTCAATCATGTAACCATAAAAGTATCTCTCTTGCTAAGTTTCTGAAAAGCATACCATTGTGAAATAAGGCAAAAAGTTTGCCAGAGATTTGTTTTTCTCCTTAAAAGTGGCCTTATCCTTTAGCCTAATAATCTCACTTCTAGAAGATTACTTCAGGGAAATAATCAAAAGGAAGAAAAATTCTACATGTTCAAAGATGTTTGCTGAAGTATTATGTATATAATTTAGGATTTGGTAAAAATCTAGCTGTTTAACAATAGGGAAATATTTAATTAAATTGGAGTCTATCCACTTGAAGTGATAATATGTAATCATTAAATGCATAGTATAAAACGCTCATTGTATATAAATGCGTATATATGGTTAAACTGTGTGTTTATTTTATTAAACAGTTCAATCTCAATTAATTAAGCTATTGTCATATACATGTAACTGCGTGAGTACTACCTGGACTTAAGGGTGGGAAAAAAAAACGGATAAGTAGCACTCTTTATAAAATCTTGTCTTCAGAATGCTTAATTCTGTCTGGTTGAGCCACATGACACACTGATAGACTCTTAGGTTCCCAGGGTAATTATAGGCCACACCTAAGTAATCACCAGTTAGGCTTTCTCATTCATTGCAACTAGCTTCATGAAGCGGAGAAATTTACTTTATTGATTCTGGGTATTTTGCTAGCCTCTTCAAGTCATTTTGGAATCTTTTTTCAGGCGATATGAAGTATCTCTATATTTCAGTGCACATCTTTGCTATAGAAAAGTGATTTTCGGCTTTGCAGCCCAAAGATGCATTCCATGTATGAATAGGAGTCTTTGTGCCATAAGAGTAAAGTCATCAGCTTCTATGTGATGCAGAAGAAATGTTCATCTTCTAATGTGCATATATGTAAGCCACCTCTTTAAAATCAGCCCCTTTAAATGGCACTGAGTATGCTTCTGTGTATGACACATCAATGTCCATTAATTGCATGCAGAGAGAACTGAGATTCCAATGGCAAAATCTGTAAAAGTAGATATACAAAGAAAAGTGGAAGCATCTGTTTAATATATACGACATTAGAATTTAATTTTACCTCTGTGATGCTTTTGTGTGGCTGCAGTGTTACAGCAGAGCATATAAGCATAGCCGTGCAGTGTCAGCAGGTGCATGCCACCAAATTACTGCTTTTAATTTGCATATTCATCTGCTAAGAAGCATGTCATTATCATATCAAAGGGATACTAAGCAACATCTAGCTTGGAGAGATGTGGCATAGTTTCAATAGGAGCAATTAATGCAAGATGAGGACTCTCTTTCTGTCATGTCTCCCAGGGCTAGCTGTAATCGGGCTGATTATTGGATACCAATAAGACTGAGGGCCCAGTTGGCACAGAATAAGAGAAGAACTGGAAAGAGAGCCTGCTAGTCCTCTCTACTGTACACTTGATGGCAATTTGACACTCTGGCCACTCAAAAGAATCCTATTAATATCATAGAAGCTGTCTACATGCACCCATCTGTTTTAGTTGTCATAAAATGACCAAATGCAGCCCAAAAGTAATGTATTTTAAAAAAGAAGAATCTCGACAAGTGGGCGTGAAACAGAAATGTGAAAGAGGCATTAAAATTGTGTTTACACATATGGGTTTTAGTACCTAAGTAATTTTCATTTAACAAACATTGTCTTCTTTCTTCAAACATTTATTGAGCACCTACATATATGTCAGACAGTGTCAGAACCTACAGATACAGACATAAGCCAGTCACAATCCATAATATGAACAAACTTGCAGTTGAGCAGGGGAGGTGTAAACCAAACAAAACTTGGATCACATTTAATTTTTTGTGTTTATTAGAAAAGGTCAAAAACGTGCAAAACCATCTTTTTGATATGATAGCAATAACACAGTATAATTTCTTTCAAGGAAAGCCTTTTCAAGAACAGAATTTTTAATTTTAGTTAATTTTGGAAACTATATCACTTTTCCTTTCTTAATGAAAGTAGCTGGAAACAGTGTGAAAACTTGAATATTAATAGTTGAACAATGGAAATATCGGTAGTTTTAAAATTGTCCTATTGTTTCTCAATTTTTCATTGGATACACTGACATAAGTAATGCTTTTAAAAAGCAGGAACAATTCATAGTTTGCTTCTTACAGTGTCTAGGATGGGAAGTTACAAACACTTCATTAAATTGTTCAACAAGGCCAGGCGCGGTGGCTCATGCCTGTAATCCCAGCACTTTGAGAGGCTGAGGTGGGTGGATCACCTCATGTCAGGAGTTCGAGACCAGCCTGACCAACATGGTGAAACCCTGTCTCTATTAAAAATACAAAAAATTAGCCGGGCATGGTGGCGGGCACCTGTAATCCCAGCTACTTGGGAGGCTGAGGCAGGAGAATCGCTTGAACCCAGGAGGCAGAGATTGCAGTGAGCCAAGATCGCGCCATTGCACTCCAACCTGGGCAACAAGAGCAAAACACTCTCTCTCTCTATATATATATAGTTTTGAACACTCATCATGTACCAAATGCTTCTACAAGCACTGAGGATATAGCTATGAACAAAACAAGCCATTCTCCTGCCCCTGTGCTTACATTCATACATGCTCCTGTGTGTGAATAAATGTACCAGCCACATGCCTAAAGGAAAGCTCAATGACATTTATTCAACAAGGATTTAATCAACACCCTATATGCACCAGACTAGTCAATAAAGGGAATTTAAGTTCACCTTGGAAACTATAAAATGGCAGTGAGTACAAAAAAAGCTTTCCAAGTGGCCAGTAAACCTAGAACTGAATGGTTTATGTGAAGCAAGACTTAAGAATGTCTTCTTTTATGGGTGTCCAATCTTTCAAAGTAGTTTCAGACATCTCTAAAACCAGTTAATTCAGTATAGCTTCAGAAAGCTCACCAATCCCTTCACTTGTCAATCGTTGTTAAAATTCAGGGATGAGGTATTAGAACTTAGTGAGCATCAGATCCAGGCAATTCGTTTGCATCATCTAATTTAGTACTCAGACGAATCCTTTAAGATATAGGCTAATGAATCCAATTTGCAGATAATAAAACCAAGGCTCAGAGAGTTTATGTTTCCCAAGATTACCCAGTTGAGAAGTAGCTGAATAGGATTAGAACTCAGAGTTTTCTAATGCCAAATATGTGTACTATTCACAGCATGTTTTCTATAAACACAGCATTCAATATCCCAGTCTAATCTATTTTTTGGCAATGAACATGAATATCAGAACTAACTTATATGATTATAGTTAATCTTTTTGAGCAAGAACAATATTTGCCCAATACCACTCTTTTACCTTATTATGGTGGGAATTAAGGGTTAAATGATGTATACTGTATCAAAACTACTGGTTGAAATTTAAGCCAATGAACAAGAAAATGGTCTCTTTATATGTTGCTACTCTGGTTAAGTTTTTTACCAAATGAAAGGGTTATTTTTAACCTTAATCTTATTAAGTTTTAAATTAAACCTATGCTGAGAATTATGAACTGAGAGTTTTCATTTTTTTTTTTTAAGTTGGGTTTTTGGTAGAGTTGAAAAAGCTGCTGACTTGGGATTCCAAAGACTTGGGTTTAAATTTTGGCTTTAAATTTTGGTTGTCTGTGAATAATACTTAGCCATAAGGGTCTCAGTCTTTTTTTCTGTTAAATGAGGAATTTAATCTAGTTGCTGTCTCAGGTTGCTTCCAAGTCTAGCTTTCTATGATTCTATGAAAAACAGCTAGCAGGAGCTCTACTTTAAATACAGCAGATAAAATATTTGAACACCCCATACTTCCTGAATTCTTCTTTCCTGCAAAAAAAAAATAAAATTGTCTAGTATGTTTTTAAATAATGCCTTTAACCAAAACTTTAGCAGATGGTAATTATCGATTGCTCCCCTCTCACAAAAGTTGGTTACATTGCAGCAGTGAATGTTTACTTATTTCTTTGTTACAAAGAAGGAAGAAAGGAAAAAATGAGAAAAGAAAATGAAAGGGAGAAAGGAAGCCAGACTTGTGTACATGTATGTTACATACACACAGGTGATCATATTGTCAATTTTTTTAAGTTCTATGATTTGCTTCTACCATAGAAAAATAAAGACAATGTTACCCTTCAACAAGTGATATTCCCAGTAGCAATCATGGCATCCTCCCTTAAGTGAAATGGGAGGTTCTACAAATGCTAGAGTTCCGCAGAAATTTTTATTTATTTATTTCTTCTGTTAACAACAGTAAATTTTATGAATTAACTATGAATCAACTTATAGCTTTTTATATTTATAACTATAATTATTCATATTGTTTATGACTATCAAGTCAAACATCACTTAATTATCAACCACTGTAGGCATTTGGATATTTCCTTTTTCCTTTTTCTTTTTGAGACAGAGTCTCACTCTGTTGCCCAGGCTGAATTGCAGTGGCACACCTCGGCTCACTGCAACCTCTGCCTCCCAGGTTCAAGTTATTCTCCTGCCTTGGCTTCCCGAGTAGCTGGGATTACAGACATGCACCACCATGCCCAGCTAATTTTTGTTTCTTTAGTAGAGACTGGGTTTCATCACGTTGGCCAGTCTGGTCTCAAATGCTTGAACTCAAGTGATCCACCCACCTCAGCCTTCCAAAGTTCTGGGATTACAGGCATGAGCCACTATGCCCAGCCAACATTTGGATATTTTCTAACTGATTTATTTAAGCCTGAATTCACACAAGGAGGTCTTCAAGATTAATCTATTGTTTTTAAGAGACCCCAATTCAGATCAAAACCTTTTCTAACTTCACATATAACTCTGTTGGAAGCATACTCAAGGGAAAGCACCTTTCACAAATAAATGTCACTTTCAACTATCAGTTCACTTTTTCCCCTCTCATCAATCTTGGTACAATTTCCCAAACTTCTATAGAGTGAGTGCAGGTATAAAAAAAAAAACTCAATTTTTAAAAAACTTGGTACAGATTTTTTGTTTATTATTCATAATCCACAGAGGAAAGTTTTGTGTCATCTGTTATCTATATGGCTTATAATGGTGACAGAGATACTCAGCAAGTCCATTTACAAACCTCTGATGTCCATTTTCAGCTGCTGCGGTAGGGAATATGAACCATCAATGCTTTCATTGGAAGGATTCAAGGTACTTCACACCTACCTCATGGAAACAAGAGGTATTGATATATTATCGGATTTTTAGGTTTCTAAAGAAAGATAAAGAGGCTACTTTCATTCATTTATATATGTATATATTAATAACAGTGAGCTAAGTGGACACAGTAGAACAAGAAAACGTAGTGTTCTTTAGAAAGCCTAGGCTTTATTGGTGCAATTCAAATGGCCAGATATCACATTTATGTCTAAAAAAGAAAAACAAAAAATTTTAAGTGATGACATGGGTTAAAATTGAAGAAAGAACTCTAGTATCACACGTCAGGCTTATTGCTGATAGGGGAAGGTAGATACGAATAAAGGAAGATAAAATTGTGCCATTGACAACATGGGGAAAGTGTGTCATGGTACATTTTGTTTTAACCGCATAAGAGATGAAGGGTAATAGATCCATTATATGCTGTATTATGCCAAATCATAGCTAGAAATCCTTGATCCATTTCAGAAGAAATACTTGGCAGCAAAGAGAAATGAATGCTTAATTATTTAATTAAAACTAACCTAAAACAAGGACAAATCCTGAAATTATCCACAACCACATGACATGAGGTAGATTTAGATGGCAAAAGGAAATTAACACTTTCCCAAGTAGAAAATTAGTGACATACAGGTATTTTGTTTGGCTGCTTTAAAAGTAGGAAAATTTTACACTTAAAATAGCTAGTTTGTTTCTCTTTTCTTAAAAAGTCAAAAGACTTTAGAGCACTGACTTAGATTTCTACATGACAATTGGAAGAAACTAGACAGTGGATGCCCCCTTCGAATTGAGTCTCTTCTATTTTACCATAATCCCCACCAGCCCCTTTCATCTTACCTGCAGCTTGGTTACCTACCTGATCCCCTGTAGGTTTGTTTGTTTGTTTGTTTTCTTTTTTATTTTTATTTTTTTGAGATGGAGTCTCACTCAGGCTGGAGTCCAGCTCAGGCTGGAGTGCAGTGGCACGATCTCCGCTCACTGCAACCTCCTTTCTTCGCCTCCCCTGTTCAAACGATTCTCCTGCCTCAGCCTCCCAAGTAGCTGGGACTACAGGTGCATGCCACCACACTCGGCTACTTTTTTTTCTATTTTTAGTAGAGACGAGGCTTCTCTGTGTTAGCCAGGATGGTCTCAATCTCCTGACCTCGTGATCCACCCACCTCGGCCTCCCAAAGTGCTGGGATTACAGGCGTGAGCCACCACGCCCGACCCCTTGTAGGTTTTTGAGCATTCAACCCCTGATATCCCAAGCATTACTCTGGGCCACATATTTTATCCTGGTAATCCTTGAAAATATCTCAAGAGACAGCATTATTCACATTTTAAAGACAAGAAAACCAAAGCTCTGGGAAATCAGGTAACTGGCACAATTGTTAATCTAATATAGACTATCATGCTCTTTCTTTCCTCTCTCCATAAATAATGTTTTAAGGATTAGAAAAGTTTAGAACAGCCTGGGTGCGTGGCTCACACCTGTAATCTCAGCACTTTCAGAGGCTGAGGGGGGTTGATTGCTTGAGCCCAGGAGTTTGAGACCAAAGTGGGCAACATGGTAAAACCCCATCTCTACAATAAATACAAATATTTGCCAGGTGTGTTGGCATGTGCCTACAGACCCAACTACTTGGAAGGCTGAGGCGGGAGGATTGATTGAGCCCAGGAGGTTGCAGTGAGCCGAGATTGCGCCATTGTACTCCAGCCTGGGTGACAGAGTGAGACTCCGTCTCAAAAAGAAAAGTTTAGACCAGTCATTTTCAAAGTTACTTGCATATTAGAATCAATTGAGAAGCTTAAAAAAAAAAAAGTGTGAGCTCCATCCCAGGCCATATAAATCAGAATCTCTCGAGGTGGTTGCAGGCAAAGATTGTTTTTAAGTTTCTCAGCTGATTTTAATGTTCAGCCAGGGATGCAAATCCCTAGCTTAGGTATCAAAAGACAAGATAACTTCCAGTTTCTGCTGAATTTTGTTTTTAATAGTTTTAAAACACATACAAAGTCAGACAGGCTTTTGGCTTTACAAAAAACAATGTACTTGAATGTTTTACTTTTCAAAGTGTATATTGAGTTGTATCAGCAAAGCATTAACAAAACTCCTAAAGTAAGTTGGATTTGACCTAACTCTACATGGATTTTATATAGCCCTGTTTGTTAAAGTACTGAAACAAAATGAGTATTTGAATTCTGGTGACTGTTTGCTGTAGGTATCAACTATCTTCACACAGCTGAATTTAAACTTTGCAGGAGGCCGGGCGCAGTGGTTCATGCCTGTAATCCCAGCACTTTGGGAGGCCAAGGTGGGAGGATCGCTTGAGCCCAGGAGTTTGAACCAACCTGGTCAACATAGTAAAACCCCATCTCTACAAAAAATAAAATAAACTAGCCAAGCATGATGGTGCACACCTGTAGTCCCAGCTACTCAGGAGGCTGAGGCAGGAGGGTTGCTTGAGCCTGAGAGTTGGAGGCTACAGTCTAGGCCACAAAAGGAGACCCTGTTTCTAAATAAATAAATAAGTAAAAATAAAAAATAAACTTAGCATTTATAAGGCGCAGCTGTCCTCTCACTATATTCAGCAATTAAGTTTTATTATGGTTCCCTGGGCAAAGCTTGCATCTTTTCTGATGCCTTAGGCTTGCTTTAGGTGGTACACCAAAAGCCCAGTTTCATCAATCAGCCAAAAAAATAATAAAACTGATTGACTACTTTTTTAAAATAAGAAATTATTCTCATTTAACTGGTCAAATTGTTGTAGGTGTGCTTGTTTGCATGTATAGGCAATCTGTAATATTAATGCATATAACTTTTTATTAAATTATTGGAAAAATTCAAAGTAATGTTTTTGTGGATCAATCCAACTATGACTGGCCCTGAACAAAGGAGGATGAGAGTTGAAAATGTAATTATTTACTCATGGCAAAGTGTGGCATAATTTTTGCTTTAAAATAAACTCCATGCATTATAGATGAGAATTTGTTTTAGAGGTCTCATTCGGTCAGAAAAAAGCCGTGCAGATTCTTCCTTCTTTTGAAATATGTCTTTACCAGTAACTGTACTGGAAATGATTCTACATTAAAGTGAGTTTTGATACAAATTTAAAAAGCAGCACCATCTAAAATTAGAATTTACTTCAGACGTGACTTATTTTGATGCATCATAAAATTATGAAGATCAATTATGAAGCAAGTTTTAAGATTGCGATGTTCTCCATTTTTGCAAATAGAGCACTAGCTAGTAAATTTTAGAATTTGGATATTCATCCAAAATTAGAAGCTAAAGAAGCACTGGAGTTGGCTATAATTAAGGCATGGGTAAGTGGAGACCTCATAAGCCTGCTTTCAACAGGTATATGTTAATCACTTGGCGTCAGCAGCCTCTATTCACATCCCCAAAGCCAGCTCATTTTAGCTCATTAATTCTCAAAGCGTCTTCATAAGTAGGAATGCTTATAAAAATCTATTTTGCAATAGAATATAGGGAAAGAAACTATACCTTGTCAAAGGTGAGACTGAAACTTTTTAAGGGGAATTTGTATTATTTTAATTATTTTTATGTACAGAAAACTCAGCAGTGTACAGTTAACCCTTTAGTGGCGACTTCTTTAGCCTTTGCCTTTCCAGCTTGGCTATGTGAGCCACAGATATGGGACCCAGGACAATACCTCCCCAGTGACAACAGATCTCATCATATGTGTCATTGTAATTAGTCCTAATAGCTTCCACCAGCTTAGCCAAAGCTCTTTTGTCTTCTGAGCTAACCTATGTGAAGGCAACAGTGGTACAGGTCTTCATAAATATCCCAGTCTTGCCTTCCCCTTAATAATGCAGTAAGGGACCCCCATTTTATGAGACGGGGCAGACGGGTAGACAACCAACTCCATGAGATCCACGTCATGTGCAGTCACTACCAGTTGAGCCTTCTTGTTCTCCACCAGCTGAGCCTTCTTCTTCTCCACCAAAGTGATGATGGTGGTAACTCCTTCTAGAAGGACAAGTGGTCTCTTGGTGGGGATGTCCCCTTTGCCAGTAGCTTTCGTCTCAGCATGGGCCAATAGTCTCTTCTTCTGTTCTTTCCATGTCTCTGGTCTGTACTTGTGGGCCAGCTTAAGCAGCTGAGTGGCTGTTTTGGAGGTCCAAGGCCTGGGTAAACTGGTTAATTGCAGGAGGCACTTTCAGCTACTTATAGTGGATAGCTCTTTGACACGGCAACCTGATATAGTGGGGCCATTTGACAAAGCAGGTGAGGTCCCTTTTGAGCTGAATATCCTGTCCAATGGCAAAATTTTTAGGCCTTTTCTCTAACAGGGGATTCACCCCTTTCCTGGCCTCCTGCTTCTTCAAGACAGCAGGGTCTAGAGCCACCTTCTTCCCGTTGGCCTTCTTTCCGTGTTTTGGGTGGCAGAAGAGACAGTGAGGTTGAAATTGTAATAAAGTTTAGATCAGGGTATTGGACACAGTATTTTAGCCTGTATGAGGTAGATAGGTAGATAAGCACATACATACATACATAAATACATACAACATATATGTATATGTATGTATATATGTACATATTTACACTTACACCAAATATAGATATGTAATACTTAGAAATACAATGTACATTTTGATATTAATGTCATGATATCAAATTCCATATGATGACATAAACTTTAGAGTCAAGTTGTAAATAACAAAAACTGATTCAAACCAACCTAAACAATAAATGGGATAAATCCTATTTATCCCTTTAACTAGTATAACCAGCATAGCTAACATAACTATAAAATGCAAGGGACAGACCTGGCTTCATTCAGTGACAAATGATATCATCAGGGCTCTATCTTGGTGTGCTTCTCAGACTGTGTCCACTTGGCATCAAGGTGGTGCTGGCAGCCTCCTTTCCCCTAACCCCACCATCATTCCCATTGTATCAGCTCAGCAGCCCCTCCAAAAAATAATTTTTCTTTCTCAGTATCTGTAACAGAAAAGCCCAGGGCAGGATCCTGATTAGCCTGCCTTGGGTCATTTGCTTGCCCATACTGATCACTGTGGCCTGAAGTATAGGGTTCTCTGATTGCCCATGCCTAGGTCATGTGCCCACCCTTGTGTCTGGGTGAGGGACGAAAGGGGCAGTGTCTTTTTGCCTTCACCAACCACGTGAATAGGGTTCCCTCATGGAAAAGAATGTTCTGATACGAAGAGAATGTAGAGAAGGGTAGTGCCTACATAAAAATAACATATGTTCTGCTTCAACAAACAAGGCCCTTTATACGTGGCCCCTGCCTAGTAGTGTAGATCTTTTGGCTCTCATTCCCCATAAATACATTAATTCTAGTCAGACCCAGTTACTAGAGTTTCCTAAACTTGATGTGGTCGTTGACTGAATGAATGAGCAACTGTATCAGTAGAGGTGCCTCTATGCTATTATTAAGTTTGTAGAAAACTTGAGGCCTCCTGAAGAGTCCAGATTACGTAAAAAAAAAGTCATGTTCCTAAATGATCTTTATTATTTTATAAGGTATTGACTAAATATGAAAGTGGACTCATTGATGATGTTTATATATGATATTGACTAAATATGAAAGTGGACTCATTGATGATGGTTATATATGAATGTACTTCTACTTATGTATGCAAATATCTGTCTCCTTTCTTAGAATAAAGGCAGGAACCCATTTGTGCTTGCAGCCTTCAAAGAACCTACTATAATGTTATGCACTTACTATGTGATTAGTAAAAGTTTCAGAACTAAAATGTATTAGTTCCAGTTCTTAGGCAGGGCACTTCTTGCTTTTCCAGGATGGCTATTTTCCCTCAGGAAGCTACCAAATACTATGATTTCCATCTGTATATCTGATGAAGAGACTCTGCCCAAGTGTAAATATTCTGACCTGTTAGTAGTTGCCCAGAGCAGCCTGCATAATAAAAATTGTGTTTCCTGATTTCTAGATTGAAGTTGAGCACCAGAGCATTCTAGAAATATTAGGGTCCATGGGTGGCCAGGTGCAGTGGCTCATGCCTGTAATCCTAGCACTTTGGGAGGCTGAGGCAGGCAGATCACTTGAAGACAAGAGTTCAAGACCAGCCTGGCCAACATGGTGAAACCTCATCTCTACTGAAAAATACAAAAAAAAAAAAAAAAAAAATTAGCTGGGCATGGTGGTGCATGCTTGTAATCCCAGCTGCTTGGGAGACTGACACATGAGAATCAGTTGAACCCAGGAGGCAGAGGTTGAGGTGAGCCAAGATCATGGCCCTGCACTCCAGCCTGGGCAACAGAGTGAGACTCTGTCTCAAAAAAAAAAAAAAAAGAAAGAAAGAAAAGAAATATTAGAGTCCATGGGTGATAAAACTCCTAGTTACAGAGTTGCCTCTATTATTTGCAGGCAGATTGGCCTAACCTGTTTTTTAAAAACGCTACAGGCATTTTTAGAAGGAAGTACTAAATATGCACCAATTAAAATTTGTTCTGTGAATTCTTTTTCTTTAAATATGGGTCAAATCTACCATATATACTACTGTTAATAGATCACATTAGTATAGTGATTTATAATCTATAAATTCCCATTCATAAATTTCATAATACTTATAACTCATGTAAAAGTTAAAAAATACAAGGTTTTAGTTGACAGCAAGTATAAAGTGAACCAGTAAGTGCTTAGTTGCCAAGAAACCTAATGCAATTTCAGACTACATCAACAGAAGTAAATGTCTGGACAAAGGAGGTGATATTTTCATTGCCATCTGTACCAGTTAGAAAACATCTGGGGTGTTGTTTAGCTATGGGCTTCATCAAGTTCTAAGAGGGACATTGATTGACACAGCTGGAGTTTTTCCAAAAGATAGCATCCCAGAGGGTGTAAGAGCTGAGGCCAAGTCACATGAGTAACAGCTGAAGGAGCTGAAGATACTGAGTCTTAAAAAGAAACCCACAATAGTTAATTGAAAAAATAGCAACAGACTCTAAATACTAATAGGGCGAATTCTTAAGAATTAGAATTCTTAGGAGATAAGAATTAGACCTTTTCCACAGATGAGCTAAAAGCTACACATTTTGATTCAATATACTTTAAGTTGTCCTAACAAAAATATTGTTTGTTTTCAAATGACATGATGATTTACCTGTCACTGGAAATTGTAATTCAAAGTCTGCATGATTGTGTATCAGGCATACCAGCTCTACCATCTACTAGCTCTGTGATGTTGGACAAGTTACTTTACCTTGCTGAGTCTCAGTTCTCTAATCTTGAAAATGAATTTTTAGTATTATTGGAAGGATGACATGATTATTTACCTGTCACTGGAAATGATAATTCAAAGTCTGCGTGATCGTATATCAGGCATACCAGCTCTACCATCTACTAGCTCTGTGACATTGGACAAGTTACTTTACCTTGCTGAGTCTCAGTTCTCTAATCTTGAAAATGAATTTTTAGTATTATTGGAAGGATTACATGAGACAATGCAAGTCAAGCCATCAGCACTGTCTGCTCAGAGTACATGCTCAATGAGGGGCAGCATTATTATTAGACTGACTTGCAAAGGTCTTCTCTAAACTATGCAATAATAATAGAGGAGGAAAATAATAGTAGGGTTTAATTCCCTAGGCCCTCTACCTAACCAAAAATTGAAAAAGATTGGTGTGGAAACCTTTGTCTTCTATTGTGTTCTACAGTGATTGATGTTAATGATACTTTTGTCTTGAATTTTCTTTGAAGCCTCAGCCAAAAAAATTATCATTTTTCTTTCCTAATAAGCAAAAAATGTTTATTGAATACCTCCCTGACTTTATGGAATACCAGAGTATTATTTTTAAGCACTTGAGGAGGAGAGTTACTCAAGAGGTGGTGGAAGTAGAAGAGGGTGGATGTTGAGCCAAGCAAAGGCCAACTTACAATTTGTGATATATGCCATGCATAAAGAAATAACGTGAGACACTTAAAGTGGAATACATATAACAGAAATGTATAATAATATGTAGCCCAAAAGCAAGATAGAATTGATGGGAACCATTCAAATTCCATCAAATCACAAACATTTGGTAGGCACCACGTAAGACTTTGAAGAATAAAAGTGAATATAGGACATATAAAAATAACTATAGGAAATGATCTCTGCCCTAAGGATTTTACACAGAATAGTCTGAGAGACAGAAATATGTAGAATTCATTGTAAACACAAACAAAACAATTTAAAGCAAATGCCATGTGATATGGTTTGGCAGTGTCCCCACCCAAATCTCATCTTGAATTGTAACTCCCACAATTCCCACATGTCATGGGAGGAACCCAGTGAGAGGTGACTGAATTACAGGGACAAGTCTTTGCTGTGCTGTTCTTGTGATAGTGAATGAGTCTCATGAGATCTGATGGTTTTAAAAAGGAGAGTTTCCCTGCACAAGCTCTCTTCTCTTGTCTGCTGCCATGTGAGATGTGCCTTTCACCTTCTGCCATGATTATGAGACCTCTCCAGCCACGTGGAACTGTAAGTCCAATAAGCCTCCTTCTTTTGTTAATTGCCCAGGCTTGGATATGATTTTATCAACAGCATGAATACGGATTAGTACAGTAAATTGGTACCAATAGAGTGGGAGCACTGCTGAAAAGATACCTGAAAATGTGGAAGCGATGTTGGAACTGAGTATCAGGCAGACATTGGAACAGTTTGGAGGGCTCAAAAGAAGACAGGAAAATGTGGGAAAGTTTGGAACTTCCTAGAGACTTGTTGAATGGCTTTGCCCAAAATGCTGATGGCAATATGGACAATAAGGTCCAGGTCCAGACTGAGGTGGTAGCAGCTGGAAATGAGGAACTTGTTGGGAACTGGAGCAAAGGTGACTCTTGTTATGTTTTAGCAAAGAGACTGGTGGCATTTTGCCCCTGCCCTAGAGATCTGTGGAACTTTGAACTTGAGAGAGATGGTTTAGGGTATCTGGCAGAAGAAATTTCTAAGCAGCAAAGCACTCAAGAGGTAACTTGGGTGCTTTTAAAGGCATTCAGTTTTATAAGGAAAGCAGAGCCTAAAAGTTCAGAAAATATGTAGCCTGACAATGCAAGAGAAAAGAAAATCCAATTTTCTGAGGAGAAAGTCAAGCCAGCTGCAGAAATTTGCATAAGTAACCAGAAGCCGAGTGTTAATCCCCAAGACAATGGGGAAAATGTCTCCAGGGCATGTCAGAGGTCTTCACAGCAGCTTCTATCACCACAGGCCCGGAGGCCTAGGAGGAAAAAATGGTTTAGTGGGCCAGGCCCAGGTTGCCCATGCTGTGTGCAGCCTAGGGACTTGGTGCTCTGCGTGCCAGCTGCCACAGCTGTGACTAAAAGGGACCAAGGTACAACTCAGGCTACAGCTTCAGAGGGTGCAAACCCCAAACCTTAGCAGCTTCCATGTGGTGTTGAGCCTGTGAGTGCACAGAAGTCAAGAACTGGGGTTTGGGAAGCTCTGCCTAGATTTCAGAGGATGTATGGAAACGCCTGGATGTCCAGGCAGAAGTTTGCTGCAGGGGCAGGGCTCTCATGGAGAACCTCTGCTAGGGCAGTGCGGAAGGGAAATGTGAGGTTAGAGCCCCCACACAGAGTCCCCACTGGGGCACCACCTAGTGGAGGTGTGAGAAGAAGGCCACCATCCTCCAGACCCCAGAATGGTGGATCCCACTGACAGCTTGCGCTATGTACCTGGAAAAGCTGCAGACACTCAATGCCAGCCCATGAAAGCAGCTGGGAGGGAGGCTGTACCCTGCAGAGCCACAGGAGCAGAGCTGCCCAAGACCATGGGAACCCACCTCTTGCATCAGCGTGACCCAGATGCGAGATATAGAGTCAAAGGAGATCATTTTGGACCTTTTAGATTTGACTGCCCTGCTGGATTTTGGACTTGCATGGGGACTTTAGCCCCTTTGTTTTGGCCAATTTCTTCCATTTGGAATGGCTGTATTTACCCAATACCTATACACCCAATGTGCCTTTACCCCCATTGTATCTAGGAAGCAACTAACTTGCTTTGATTTTACAGGCTTATAGGTGGAAGAGACTTGCCTTGTCTCAGATAAGTCATTGGACTGTGGACTTTTGAGTTAATGCTGAAATGATTTAAGACTTTAGGGGACTGTTGGGAAGGCATGATTGGTTTTGAAATCTGAGGACATGAGATTTGGGAGGTGCCAGGGGTGGAATGATATGGTTTGGCTGTGTCCCTACCCAAATCTCTTGAATTGTAACTCTCACATGTCATGAGAGGAACCTGGTGGGAGGTGACTGAATTATGGGGGCAGATCTTTCTGTGCTGTTCTTGTGATAGTGAATGAGTCTCACAAGATCTGATGGTTTTTAAAAGGGGAGTTTCCCTGCACAAGCTCTCTTCTCTTGTCTGCCCCCATGTGAGATGTGCCTTTCACCTTCTACCATGATTGTGAGACCTCCCCAGCCATGCGGATCTGTGAGTCCAATAAGCCTCTTTCTTTTGTAAATTGCCCAGTCTTGGGTGTGTCTTTATCAGCAGCATGAAATCGGCCAAATACACTGTGGTAAAATAGAATAGAAAGCAGCTGATGCAAGTTAGGGAGGTCAGTTTGCAGAAGTGATATTGGTTGGTATTGGTCTTACCTTTCTCTAAGTGGTGAAAGGAAGATAAGCATAAGACACTGAGAATACCAGTAGTCAAGATAATGAGATGTGGAAGAGCATCAGTCTTCCAGGGATGGCAAGCTGTCTGGAGTGATTTGAGTATAGAAGGTTGTGAGGAATGACGGAAAAGAAGGAAATGGACCCAGAAAGTCAAGGGCTGTCAGATGTTAAGGAGGGGAAACCATGCTAACAAACCGAATAAGGAAAGGACCTTTGGGGAGCTTCCACGAGAACATATTCACTATTATGTATCATCCCTTGTGGGGTTATTGATGACTTGTTTGGGCCAGAGGGTAACCAAATGTCCCGGGAATGTTGCTGAACTTGTGTTGAGACAACTGGTAGAGGTCTCAGACTAAGGAGATGAGGGAAGATATAACTCAGAGAGCAATTAAAACTTCTTGCCTGAGGAGTGAAATCATGAAAATTGTGTTTGGGGAAGGTCAGACAAATACAGTAGTTATGAAGGTGAGAGGGGAATTGACTAGAGGCCAGGAATTAGGCTTCAAGACAATCTGAAGGAGTCTGTTTGTGTGTGTGGTCTGGCTAGGGAAATGGTTAGGAAGTACTGAGATAGGAAAGAAACAACAGAGGAGTAAGTGGAAGGATTAGAAAAGAAATATGTAGGTGTCAAGGGAAGGAGAGGAGTAAATATACTATATAGAATCCCCAAAGTAGTGCTGTATAACCATATATATCTGAAGGATGCTATGACTCAGGTTGGGCTTTTGGTTCCTTTTGGGTTCCTGTACTGTACTACTGTTCTGCTTTTAAAAAAGGAAGAAAGGAAGAAAGGAAGGAAGGGAAAGAGGGAGAGAAAGAGGAAGAAAAAAACACTATCTTGCTATCTCATTGAAAGTCTTCTTTCCTTATTTCCTTAATTTTATTATTTATTTATTTATTTATTTATTTATTTATTTATTTATTTTTGAGACAGAGTCTGGCTCTGTCATCCAGCTGTAGTGCAGTGGTGCCATCTCGGCTCACTGCAACCTCTACCTCATGGGTTCAAGTGGTTCTTGTGCCTTAGCCTCCTGAGAGCTGAAATTACAGGCATGCACCACCATGCCCAGCTAATTTTTGTATTTTTAGTAGAAATGGGGTCTCACCATGTTGGCCAGGCTGGTCTTGAACTCCTGACCTCAAGTGATTCACCCACCTTGGCCTCTCAAAGTGCTAGGATTACAGGTGTGAGCCTTCAGACCCAGCCTATTTCCTAATTTTAATTCCATACAATCATAACTTCTTTATTGGGTATATAGATCCTGCACTAAGGAAGGGAATTTCTGCATAAAGGAACTAAAAAGGATTAATTTCCCTCACTTAAGTTTGCAACAACTAAAGCAGAAAGGAAATAGGCTTTTATTGTTTGGAGCTTTGTGAGCAAATCTACAGTGGAATTTTTGTTATTTATAAATTGGAGTATTCTAAAGATGACTGTGGAGCAAGCTTTGTCATCTGTGGGCATGATAGGCCACTTCTAAACCCAATCTTGTTAATTAGGGATGCAACCTCTTCTCAGTCTGTTGTCTTAAGCTGAAAACATCAAAAGCCATGATGTTTTCTATACGCTTTGACTAAACTCTCTAAGAATTTATTATTAAAATTTTGTGTGGTTATATCCGAAGATTTTGTTGCATGGGTATTTCGTCATCAGTAGTAAAAGGGGGCACATACCTTGGTGCATACCTATAATCCCAGCTGCTCAAAAGGCTGAGACAGACGGATCCCTTGAGCCCTGGAGTTAGAATCCAGCCTGGGCAACCAACATAGTATGACCTCATCTTTAAAAAAAAAAAAAAAAAAAAAGGAAAAGGAGGGCAATCTAAGTTTCTCATAAAATGGAATTAGTTAAATAAATTATGATGCAGCCATATGATATACAATGAAATATTCTACAGCCTAATAAAATCTTATATCAACACATTATTTAATATCATAATGTTCACAATATGGTGTTAAATGAAAAGGTACATTAAAAATAGTCTGTACTGCATAATCCTATTTTTATAAAAATTAATTATATGCATATATGTTTGTGCATAGAACAAAGAATTGAAGAATATTCATTAAAATATAAGTTATCTTTGTAGGAGGTTTTTTGGCTTTCAAAAATAGACACTTTATTATTGACAGTAGTGAAAAACCAAAGCTACTTAAATGCTCAACAATATAAAGTGGCCAGATAAATTAGGGTACATGCAGAAGCTGAAATACTTTAATGTCATTAAAATTATGGTTCTTGGAAAATTTTAGTAATGCCCAAAGTTGTCCATAATGTAATATTAACTGAAATATATATATATATATATATATATATATATATATATATATATACACACACACACACATTTGGACAGTTGCCAAGGGCTTGGACAGTTGCCCTTTGAACGCTAATACACCTGTGATGAGAAGGGAAGTATCTTTTATAGAAAGAAGAAGCTACTTGAGAGAGAAAGAGAGACAGAGCTATCTCTGTTGTTAGAAGGAAAGCTTTATGACAACATGTTTTCAGGTTTAATGGTTCTAATTTTAAAATATATGTATATACATAAACACACACACACGTGAATACTTTAAGTATATATGGATATATACCCAAATATTTTCCGTATTTTCCATATTTGGGTATGTTTAAATACATGTTTTCCACATATATTTGGACATGTTTTACCTGTGTAATTAAAAAAATAAAGTTCTGTGTCTTATAATAAAACACAGAACCATGTAACCAGTTCTCAGACTTAAGAGCAATACATTTTTTAATATAATTTCAGCTTTTGTTTTAGATTCAGGGGGGTATATGTGCAGGTTTGTTACCTGCTATATGGCATGATGCTGAGGTTTGAGATATGAATGATCCCATCACCCAGGTAGTGAGCATAGTATCCAATAGGTAGTCTTTCAACCCTAGCCCATCTCCCTCCTTCCCCCTTTAGTAGTCCCCAGTGTCTATTGTTCCCATCTTTATGTCTATGAGTACCCATTGTTTATCCCCCACTTATAAGTGAAAACATATAGTATTTGGTTTTCTGTTTCTGCATTAATTCACTTGGGAACATGGCCTCCAGCCGCATCCATGTTGCTGCAAAGGACATGATATTGTTCCTTTTTGTAGCTGCATACTAGTCCGTGGTGTGTATGCATCACATTTTCTTTATCCAATACATTGTTGGTGGGCACCTAGATTGATTCCATGTATTTGCTATTGTGAATAGGGCAGCAATGAATATTTGAGTGCATGTGTCTTTTTGGTAGAATTATGTATTTTCTTTGGAGTATATATCCAGTAGAGGGATTGCTGGGTTGAATGGTACTTACCAAGTTCTTTGAGAAATCTCCTGACTGCTTTCCATCATGGCTAAACTATTTTACATTCCCACCAACAGTGTATAAGCATTCCCTTTTCTCCATAGCCTTACCAACTTCTATTGTTTTTTGACTTCATAATAATAGCCATTCTGACTGGTGTGAGATAGCATCTCATTGTGGTTTTGATTTGCCTTTCTCTGATGATTAGTGATGTTGAGCATTTTTTTTCATGTTTGTTGGCCAAATTTGTGTGTCTTCTTTTGAGAAGTGTTTGATTGTTTTCTCTTCCCACTTTTTAATGGGGTTGTTTCATGCTGGTTGAATTATTTATGTTCCTTATAGATTCGGGATATTAGACCTTTGTTAGATGCATAGTTTGTGAATATTTTCTCCTATTCTGTAGGTTGTCTGTTTACTCTGTTGGTAGTTGCTTTCGTTGTGTAGAAGCTCTTTGGATTAATTAGGTTCCACTTGTCAATTTTTGTTTTTGTTGCAATTGCTTTTGAGGACTTAAACATAAATTCTTTCCCAAGGCTGATGTCCAGAATGATGTTTCCTAGATTTTCTTTCAGGGTTCTTATGGATTGAGGTCTTACATTTAAATCTTTCTTTAATCCATCTTGAGTTGATTTTTGTATATGGGAAAGGTAGAGGCCCAGTTTCATAGTTCTGCATATGGCTAGCCAGCTATCTCAGCACTATTTATTGACTAGGAAGTCCTTTCCCCATTGCTTGTTTTCGTTGACTGTGTTGAAGATCAGATGGCTGTAGGTGTACGACTTTATTTCTGGGTTCTATATTCTGTTCTGTTGGTCTATGTGTCTATTTTTGTACAAGTACCGTGCTGTTTTGGTTACTGTAGATTTATAGTATAGTTTGAAGTCAGGTAATGTGATGCCCCTGGCTTCATTAATTTTGCTTAGGGTTGCTTTGGTTATTCAGGCTCTTTTTTGGTTTCATATAAATATTAGAATAGTTTTTTCTAATTCTGTGAGAAATAACATTGGTGGTTTGAAATGGATATCACTGAATCTATCGATTGCTTTGGGCAGTATGGCCTTTTTAACAATATTGATTTTTCCAATCCATGAGCATGGAATTTTTTCCCACTTATGTGTGTCATCTCTGGTTTCTTTCAAAAGTGGTTTGTAGTTCTCCTTGTGTAGATCTTTCATCTTCTTGGTTAGATGTACTCCTAGCTATTTTATTTTTTGTGGCTATTGTTAATGGGATTACATTCTTGATTGGGCTCTCAGCTTGAATGTTATTGGTGTATAGAAATGCTTCTAATTTTGTGCATTGATTTTGTATCCTGGAACTTTGCTGAAGTCATTTATCAGTTTCAGGAGCCTTTTGGTGGAGTCTTTAGTGTTTTCTAGGTATAGAATCATATCATCAGTGAAGAGAGATGATTTGACTTCTTTTCCTATTTAAATGCCTTTTATTTCTTTGTCTTGCCTGTTGCTCTGGGTAGGACTTCCAGTACCATGTTGAATAGGAGTAGTGAGAGTAGGTGTCCTTGTCTTGTTTCAGTTTCCAAGAGAAATGCTTTCATCTTTTGTCCATTCAGTATGATGTTGGCTGTGGGTTGTCATATATGGCTCTTATTATTTTGAGGTAAATTCCTTTGATGCCTAGCTTGTTGAGGGTTTTAATCATGAAGGGATGTTGGATTTTATCAAAGGCTTTTTCTGCGTCAATTGAGATTATCATACGATTTTTAATTCTGTTTATGTGGTAAATCTAATAGTTATCTTTGGATGGTGATTTTTATATTCTTCTTTGGCCTTTATATTTTCTAGAATAAATATACAGAAAATAATACTTCTTAAATAAAGGAAAAGTACTTAAAATATCCTTTTAATGGCATTTCAGTATACTTTTATTTTGAAGCTTAAAGCATCAATATATTTGTCACACTCAAGTGGTGGCTAAAGCATTTTTTAAAACAATTTCTTTAATTATTTATTTAAGTGAAATTCATCCCAACAAGAATGGCTCTCAAAAGAAAGAAAAATGAATACTTTGTCATTTAGAAATATTTTATTTTCCTGTAACGATGCAGTCAGAATAACTATTTTGGTCTTTTTGTTCAATCTGACAGCTCAACATTTCTTGGGTATACATGTGTAATCCATAGGTAGTGAATTTGGAAGAAGTAAAGAGATGAAAAGGGACTTTCTGCTTGGGCAGTTGCCCTTTGAATTGCTAGTATACCTGTGATGAGAAGGGAAATATCTTTTTCTTTTTTTGAGACGGAGTCTCACACTGTCCTGCAGGCTGAGTGGTATGATCTCAGCTGACTACAACCTCCGCCTCCCAGGTTCAAGCGATTCTCCTGCCTCAGCCTCCCAAGTAGCTGGGACTACAGGCACATGCCACCACGCCCAGCTAATTTTTGTATTTTTAGTAGAGACAAGGTTTCACCATGTTGGCCAGGATAGTCTCGATCTCTTGACCTCGTGATCCACCTGCCTCTGCCTCCCAAAATGCTGGGATTACAGATGTGAACCACTGCACCCGGCTGGGAAATGTCTTTTATAGAAAGAAGCTACTTGGAAGAGAAAGAGAGAGATAGAGGGATCTCTGTTGTTAGAAGGAAAGCTCTATGACAACATGTTTTCAGACTAGAGATGAAAAAATTACTTTCCAAAAAGCTGAACTGAGATTACAAAATGATAGGGGTGTGACTCTCAGAGCATCCTGGGCAATGTGATAAGCAAGGAAGCATGGCAAGTGTGTGGCAGAGAACTCAGCAGAACCCGAACTGGTCATTCTCCCCACGGCCATGTGACTCTGAGAAGACGCCTGAGACATATCCCGGGAATGGAAAGTAGAGAGAGAAAGAGAAAGCCAAGCCTTGAGAAGTCTCTTTCTCTCTCTCTCTCTCTCTCTCTCTCTCTCTCTGTGTGTGTGTGTGTAAAAATGGCATATGAAAAAAGCCAGAAATACGTAATTTGATTTGGTATGCTAATCAAGTTGTGATCCTTAATGAAAAGAGTTATGGCTTCTCCATCAGTCAACCCAGTGAAAGATTAAATACTGCAGATGAGAGGTTAGAGGATAATGGCACAGTGACCACAGGAGTAAGGGAGATACTACAACCATGGAAAATGAGGGTTGTCTTTCATACCATACCAGATTAAACGTCCTAATGCACAGCTCTAATCAGATTATAATACTCCCTCCTCAGAAACCTTTCATGCCTCCCATCCCACCACACCCCAGGGCCTATTGAAGGAAGCTCAGATTTCCTGGCCTGGCATACAAAGTGTTTCAAGGTCTGGCATCAACCTCCTTTAAAACTTTACCTCCCAGTGCTCTCTTTCACACTGTGTGTGCTGCAGCCAAACAGGATTCTACACTGGACACATCCTGGCTTCCCCACTTTTCTACTTTGTACACACTGTTTTCTCTACCTGGAAGGCTCTTCTTCATTGTTGTGTAACCACATTCAGCTATCCGTGAAAGCTCCATCTCATGTGTCATTAGTATAAAAAGCTTCACTTGGTTCCTTCCTGGGCTGCAAATAATTTCTCCCATTCTCATTCCCTCATTTGTACTTCTCCTAGTGCTATTTTAGTTCAATCTAACCAGCATTAATTGATCATGTAGCATGTATAAGGCACTGTACTTGGCCGGGTGTGGTGGCTCATGCCTGTGATCCCAGCACTTTGGGAGGCTGAGGCAGGTGGATTACCTGAGGTCAGGAGTTCGAGACCAACCTGGCCAACATGGTGAAACCATATCTCTACTAAAGATACAAAAATTCGCCAGACATGGTGGCAAGCGCCTGTAGTCCCAGCTATTTGGGAGGCTGAGGCAGGAGAATCACTTGAACCTGGGAGGTGGAGGCTGCAGTGAGCTGAGATCATGCCACTGCACTCCAGCCTGGGTGACAGAGTGAGACTCCATCTCAAAAAAAAAAAAAAAAAAAAAAAAAGACACTCTACTCTAGAAATACAACTGCACACATACACAAACACACACAAATAAATTTCATGTCCTCAAGAAGCAATTAGTGTAAATGGGAAATAAGAAGCTAAATAATAGTTCATTATGAATTTGTGTGAAAAAAATAAAGAAGAGAAGCATATTCTAAATCCACCAATGTCCCAAAGAAATGATTAGATCATCCAGTTGGTCATTTGGAAGTCCTGTCATTCCCTTAACCCACACATCCAGCCTACTGGCAAGCCTGTAAACTGCATTTCCAAAACATATCGTGAATTGGTCCCCTTTTCTCCATTTCCACTACTGCCACCATCTCTTGCCCTATCAGTCTCCCTAATAGTCTCTGCTTGCAGTCCTGCCTTCCTGCAACCATTCTCCACAGAAAAGTCAGGGAGAGCTTTCTAAAACGTTAATCAAATCATATCTTCTTACTGCTTATAACTTACTCCAATGATTTCCAACTATTCGTAAAACCAGCAGCTCTTTCCATGGCCTACAAAGTCTTGCATGATCCAACATCCGCTTCCCTCACCAGCTTCATTCTCCATCTCTCTCATGCCCTCCACTACTTTTCACCCTCATTGATCTCATTTCCATTCTTAGATATGCCAAACTTGTCTAATCTTGGCATTTTTCATCATCTTTTCCTCTAGCCTGGAACATTCTGCCCGTGGATCTCCTCATGGCTCTTCTCATTTTCCGTTATTAACAATGAAGATGTATGCTCTCCTCTGATTGCTTAAATACCACTTCTCTGACCGTCCTACTTCAAGAAAACACCCACACCCTACTACCCTCTATTACGTCCCTGTGTGTGTGTGTGTGTGTTCTTCGTAGAAATTTTGAAATTGGAAATTATCTTGTTTAGTAATTTACCCGCTGCCTGTCACCCCCACTACAAAACAGGGAATTGTTTATTTCACATCTGCCTATCAACTAAGTTTATCATATTCCCTGGCATCTTGTAGGCACACAATAAGTATTTTTGAATAGTATTAATCACAGCTTTCATCTATGTAATACCAAATGTGTGTCAGGCACTGTTCTAGCACTTTACATATATTAACTTATTTAATCTTTACAATAATCCTATAAGATGGATACTAATATTATCTCTTTTTACAGATAAGAAAATAAAGGTATTGAGAGGCTAAGTAACCTAAAGTTAAATAACTCTTAAATGTCAGAACTAGGATGCAAACTCAGAGTATGACTCCAGTGCCCTTGCTCTTAATCCCTGTATAATACTACTTCTGCAAATGAAATTAATGTTGAACTCTGCTTGTATGGAAGGGAAAATCACTCAGAGGAAAAAAAACGCTACAGTGAAATTTAGGACAACCAAGAGTTTGCCAGAGAATAAAGGCACAAGAGGCATTCCAAGCTGAGGGAAGAGTGTATACAAAAGCATGCATTTATCCTTTTCTGCCTTTTGCAATAGTCATTTGTGCATATCTTCTTTTTTGCAATTGTATATACCTTAAATTTAAATAGTATTTATTTATGTACCTGCATGCCCTGAGTGGTGCATATACATTAGTTTTCGACATCTTTTTCTGGAAAGAGCTATGAACACAAATCCAGGGGGAAAATGTGTTCTTACCCCATTCTAGAATTTCAAGTCTCTATGACCTCGTAAATGCTCTCTGAGCCTTAGTTTCCTCACCAGTAGAATGCGAAAGATAACCCTTCGTATCAGGATTCTGGGTGCCGTCAAAGAAATTATGATATGAAAGGCAGGTGCATCTATAAAGCACAAAAGAAACATTCATGTTCTCATCTGCATACAGCTTAATTTAGCTTAGTAATTCCTTATTTTTCCTCACACCTTAAAGTCCAGGTCTTTCAAAACTGGATTTTCTTTCTTGACTCAGCTGACTTAATGGGGCTAGATGACTCCTTTGGGTTGTTCAGTAAAGCTTTATTTTGATGAGACTCAATTCTTTACTAATCCTACTACCTTCCATAGTGTATAACTGAGATATTGATTGGAATTGCATTAATCTGTGAATCAATTTGAGGACAAATGACATCTTAATATTAAATCTTTCAATCCATGAACATGCTATATTCTTCCATTAAATTAAGTTTTTAAAAATTCTCCCAGTTGTGATTATTCTGTTTGTAGAGGTCCTGTACATCTTTTCTAAGCATTTAATGATTTTTGATGCTATCGCCTATAATATCACTTCTTAAGTTTATTTTCTAGTTGGTTTTTGCTGCTATGTAGAAATACAATTTATTTTTATATATTGACTTTATAGCCAACATTCTTTTAAAACATTAATTCTAAGAACTTATTTGTATAATATTTTGTATTTTCTACATACACAATTATGTCATCTGCAAATAATGATAATATTATTTCTTCCTTTCTAAACATTATACCTTTTATTTTTCTTGCCTTATTCCATTGCCCAAGCACCCCCAATACAATGCTGAAAAGTAGTAATAGAGGGCATCCATGTGTCATTGTACATTTCAGAGGGAACTTTTTCAAGATTTTATCATATGTTATCATACTTTCTGTAGGTTTTTTGTAGATGCGTCTTCTCAGTTTAAGGAAGTTCCCTCCTGTCTTAGTCTTTTCAGGCTGCCATTTAAAAAATGCTACAGACTGGGTGTCTTAAACAACAGAAATTAATTTTCTCATAATTCTGAAGCCTGGAAGTCTGAGATCAGGGTGCCAGCATGGTCAGGTTCTGAGAAGGGTTTTCTTCCTGGTTTTCAGACTGCCGTCTTCTCACTGTGTCCTCACATGGCCTTTCCATGATGTGTGTATGTGGAGAAAAAGAGAGCAAGCTCTCTGGTATCTCTTCTTTAAAGGGGACTATTGCCACCCTGAAAGCCCTACCCTTATGACCTCATTTAACCCTTATTACCTTCCGAAGACCTAATCTCCAAATACCATCACGTTGGGGGATAGGACTCCAACATATGAATTTCAGAGGGACACAAACATTCCATCCATAACACCGCTTATTTCTGGTTTGCTGAAAATGTTTAACATGAGTGGGTGTTGAATTTTATCCACTGCTATTTCTGGACCTATTAAAATTACCACATGATTTTTCTCCCAATTATTTCACTAATGTGATGATTTAAAAGAAATAATTTTCAAATATTAAACCAGCCTTGCGTTACTGAAATAAGCTCAGCCTGGTCATAATATATTACCTTTGTAAGCATTCCTAGATTTGGTCTGCTAATATTTTGCTTGGAATTTTTGTATCTATGTTCCCGAGAAAAAGAGGAAAGAAATAAACAAGGAAAGGGAGAGAGAGAGAGAGAGAGAGAGAGAGAGAGAGAGAGAGAGAGAAAGTGCTCTATAATTTTATTTTTTATAATATTCATATTAAGTTTTGATATCAAGGCTTCATGTAATGTCTTAGAAAGTTTTCCCTCTTTTCTGTTGTTTTAGGAGGATTTTGTGTAATTTGGGGTTTATTTCTTCCTCAAAAATTTGATAGAATTTGTTGATGAAGCCATCTAGGCCTGGTGTTTAAAACTATAGATCCAGTCTCTTTAATAAATGTAGTACTATTTAGATTTTTTAAATTTCCTCTTGGTTAGTTATACTTTTCTAAGACTGTATTCTTTATCTGATTTTGTATTGGCATAATACTGTTTATAATCTTTTAATTTGTCAGTTTTACATCTGTAAGATCTGTAGTATTGTCCTGCTATTGAGTAGGTATACCTTCTCTCTCCCTTTTCTCTCTTTTAAATCAATCTTACTTTCTATAGATTTAATTTTCTTTTTCTTTTCTAACTTCTTGAGGTAGATGCTTAAATACTTATTTTTAATCTTTATTCTCATCTAATATTTTAATCTTTATTCTCATCTAATATATATATCAATTTCCCTCAAAGCATAGTTTTAGTTGAATCCACAACTTTTGATATGTAGCATTTTTATTATCCTTCAATTCAAATATTTTCTAATTTCCAGAGTGATTTCTTCCTTGACCCCCCCCCCCGCACATTTAGTAGTTTATTGTTTAACTCCTAAATTTTGTGAATTTTTTAGCCTTGTTATTGTTATTGACATCTAGTATATATCCAGTGTAGTCAGAGACAATGCTTTGAATTTTTTTGTTTTTTTGCTTTATACTTTACTATACATCAATTGGAACAAATGTTCCATGTTCACTTGAAAAGAAAGTAGTTTGGGGGTGAAATGTTCAGTTTGTTAATTGTATTTAAATCTTCTGTTCATATTTTTTGTCTGCTTGTTCTATCAGTTACTGAGACAGGTATGTTGAATTATTCCACCATGATTGCAAATTTGTCTATATCTTCTTTTAATTTTGTCAATTGTTACTTTATATATTTTTCATGCTATGTCATCAGGTGCATACAAAGTCAGAATTTTAAATCTTTTGGTGAGTTGAAACTTTTATTATTATAAAATTCATAAGCATGTTGATATCTTATTTCTTGGTCATGTTTGTGAATGGCTTCCTTTTTTTGGGGGGGCGGGGGTGGGGGACAGAGTCTTGCTCTGTCACCCAGGCTGGAGAAAATGGCTTCATTTTAAAAAGATATTCTCACTGAGTATAAAATTCTAGGTTGACAGCAAAGTTCTTTCAGTGTCTTAAAAACATAATTACTCTGTGTGCTGGCTTTCATTTTTTCTTTTGAGAAAACAGCTATCTTATTTTTGCCTCTTAAGGTAATATGGTTTTTTTCTTTCTGCTTTTAAGATTTTTCTCCCTCAATTGGTTTTCAGTTCTTTCACTATTATGTGCTTTGGGGTGGTTGTGATATGATTTGGATGGTTTGTCCCCTCCAAATCTCGTGTTGAAATGTGACCTCCAATATTGGAGGTGTACCTAGTGGGAGGTGTTTGGGTCATGGGGACAGATCCCTCATAAATGGCTTGGTGCTGTCTTTGCAGCAATGATCAAGTTCTCACTCTACAGGTTCACACAAGGGCCAGTCGTTTAAAAGGGCCTACCATATTTTTCTTGTCCCTGCTCTTGCCATGTGCTGTCCTGGCTCCCCCTTTATCTTATGCCATGATTAGAAGCTTCTTGAGCCCTCATTAGATGCAGATTCCAGTGTCATACTTCCTGAACAGCCTGCAGAACCATGATCCAAGATAAACCTCTTTTATTTAAAAATTACCCAGCCTGAGGTTTTTCTTTAGAGCAATGCGAAAACAGCCTAACTCAGGTTGTCTTTGTAGTTATTCTATGTAGTGTTTACCATGCTTGTTTAAAATGTGGCTTGATATCTTTTAATAGTTTAGAAAGTTCTCAGTCATTATCTTTTCAAATATTGCCACTTTCCTAGTTCATCTCTACTCTCTGTTCTACGAATGTATCTGATATACCTTTTATGCTTCTTTTCTATATTTTCCATTCTTTTGTCTCTCCATGCTTATCTGATGTTTTTTCTTGAGCTGTCTTCCACTTCATAAATTCTTTCTTAAACTGTGTCTAATGTGCTATTAAACCCAATTATTATATTTTTATTTCTAATTTTTCTATTTTTGAGATGGAGTTTCACTCTTGTTCCCCAGGCTGGAGTACAATGGCACAATCTTGGCTCACTGCAACCTCCGCCTCCTGGGTTCAAGCAATTCTCCTGCCTCAGCCTCCCGAGTAGCTGGGATTACAAGCCTGTGCCACCACACCCAGCTAATTTTGTATTTTTAGTAGAGATGGGGTTTCTACATGTTGATCAGGCTGGTCTCGAATTCCCGACCTGAGGTGATCTGCCTGTATCGGCCTTCCAAAGTGCTGGGATTACAGGCGTGAGCCACCACGCCCAGCCTTCTAAAATTTTTATTTGATTTTCTTGTATAGTTTTCAATTTCCTATTAAAATGCTTCATCCTGCCTTTTAATTTCTTGGACATATGGAACATAATTATTTTTAAACTTATGTCTGATAACTTCATTTTCCATATCTCCAGTATATTTATTTCTAGTATCTACTTTTTGTCGTGTCATATCTTCTCATCTCTCTCATTAATATTTTAAAGATATTTTGAAGCTTCTGATAACATTATCTTTCTTTAGTGACAAGTTACAATTGTTTCTGGCAAAAATTTAGGCTATGACCACCCCTGATCTCGTGTCACCTTGAAATGTGATGAACTAGGAAATAAATTTGTTCAAAGCTTGGCTTTAATCCCTGTAACCTAGTTCTGGGTTAATTTTACTCTAATAACACAGACTTTCTGGTTCACAAACCAATTTGGGTTATTATCAAGGTCTTGCCTCCTTGGTGGGCTCTGAGAGTCCTGAAAGCTTTGCACAACTTCTTGGCCTGTTTGCAATGCTTTTAGAATTGGCAAACACCTTGAAGGGGAGAGCCAAACAAATGTTGGACTCAGTTCTCTAGGTTTCTTCTTTCCCTAGATATTGGACCCACAAATCTTCACTTTCTTGAGGGCTTCTTAAATGTTTTTTCTGGATTCAAAAAGTATATTTTGTCCTGTTTAACCAGTCATTCTCAGCAGGAAAATTGATCCTAAACAGCTTAGATTGCCATTTCAGGCAGTGTAAATTCCCATCATCTCTTGCCAATTTTATTACAATAGACTTAACTATTCTTCCTGCTTCCACCCCAACCCACTTCTGTCTATTCACACAACAGTCAAGGTGACTCTTTTGAACATCTGTCATATCATGCCATTTTTTCCGTTCTAAATCCTCTGATGGTTTCTTATCTCACTAAAAGAAAAGCTTAAAAAAAACTCTTTACTTACAAGGCTTTGCATGACTTACCTTCTCTCAGGGAACACACTCATCAGAAGAAAGCTGGTAAGACAAAATAGAATTTCAACTAAAAGCATTATTAATGATAGATTGGCATTCCACATAATAATAAAAAGAGCAAACCCTTGAAAAGATATAACAATAATGAACTGTTATGTACCCAGCATCACAGCTTTAAAATGTTCCAAACAAAAAATGACAAATTACAAGTAAAAATTGGCAAGTGTACATTTTTAGAGTGATATTCTGAGACATTTCTTTTAGAAATGTATGGGTCAAGCAGACAAAACATTAACAGCATTATAAAAGATTTGAATGCCAAAATAATAAATTTTATCTAGGACACATAGGTTTCTTCTTTCCCTGGATATTGGACCCACAAACCTTCACTTTCTTGAGGGCTTCTTAAATGTTTTTTAAAAACATTAAAAAATAAGATAGCTGCTTTCTCAAAAGAAAAAATGAAAGCCAGCACACAAAGGAATAGCAGATTAGACACAGATTAGGCACAACATCCTGTAAATAAAATAATGTCCAAGGGCATGGAACATTTATGAAAGTTGTCTATTTACTAGGTCACAAAGCAAATATCAAAAAATGTCATCAAATAGATATGTTACATGTCTCCAACCCATAATGCAATTGTTAGAAATGAACAACAAAAACACTTTTACAAAGTGTACATTAAAAGACTTTAAAATATAACCATAAATATTTTTGATTTAAGGCATAAATCTCTTGTAAATATAAAAATATTTTGAAGCTAAAATTTCTGAAAATACAAGAGTTGAGAGATCAAGAAGCTGGAAAAAACAGTAAATTCAATGAAGTTACAACAAAAGAAAAACCTGTAATAATGCTAATTAGCTTGATTGTGGTAATAATTTCACAATGTATACATATACTAAATCATCATATGTACACCTTAAATGTATACGGTTTTTATTTGTCAGCTATACCCTAATAAAACAGAGGAATAAAAAGAAATACAAGTAATAGAACAGATATCAATGAAATAAAAACAAAAACACTAGTGAGAATTGACAGAACCTGGTTTTTAGCAGGAGAGGTGGAGGGAGAGTGAGAGAGAGAGAGACAGAGAGGGGGGAAGGAGCACAAGCACATATTCAGGCACAAATAACATTAGGAATAAAAAGGAATCAATTAAATATTATGGTAGAGGTTTTTTTTTGTTTTATGTTTTTTGTTTTTTGTTTTTTTTGAGACAGGGTCTCGCTCTGTCACCAGGCTACAGTGCAGTGGCATGATCTTGGCTCACTGCAGTGAGCCTCCCCAGTTTAAGCAATTCTCCTGCCTCAGCCTCCTGAGTAGCTGGGATTACAGGCGCAGGCCGACAGGCCTGGCTAATTTTTTTGTATTTTTAGTAGAGACGGGGTTTCACCATGTTGGACAGGATGGTCTTGATCTCCTGACCTCGTTATCCGCCTGCCTCGGCCTCCCAAAGTGCGGGGATTACAGGCATGAGCCACCATGACCGACCAAGATTATTAAAAAATAATAAATACTATACTACTGTTTTCCATAATGGTTGTCCTAGTTTACATTTCCACCGGCAGTGTAGAAGTGTTCCCTATTCACTGCATCCACACCAACATCTATTATGTTTTGATTTTTTGTTATGGCCATTCTCGAGGGAGTAAGGTGGTATCACATTGTGGTATTGATTTGCATTTCCCTGATCATTAGTAATGTTGAGCATTTTTTCGCATGTTTGTTGGCCATTTGTATATCTTCTTTCAAGAACTGTCTATTCATGTCCTTAGCCCACTTTTTGATGGGATTGCTTGTTTTCTTCTTGCTAATTTGTTTGAGTTTTTTTGTAGATTCTGGGTATTAGTCCTTTATTGGATGTATATATTGTAAAGATTTTCTCTCACTCTATGGGTCGTCTGTTTACACTGCTGACTGTTCCTTTTGCCATGCAGAAACTCTTTAGTTTAATTAAGTCCCAGCTATTTATTTTTGTTTTTATTGCATTTGCTTTTGGGTTCATGGTCATGAAATCCTTGCCTAAGCCAATGTCTAGAAAGGTTTTTCCAATGTTATTTTCTATAATTTTTATAGTTTCAGGTCTTCGATTTAAGTCCTTGCTCCATCTTGGGTTGAGTTTTGTATAAGGTGAGAGATGAGGATCCAGTTTCATTCTTCTACATGTGGCTTGCCAATTATCCCAGCACCATTTGTTGAATAGTGTGTCCTTTCCCCATTTTATGATTTTGTTTGCTTTAAAGATTGGTTGGGTAAACATTTGGGTTTATTTCTGGGCTTTCTATTCTGTTCCATTGGTCTATGTGCCTGTTTTTATAACAGTACCATGCTGTTTTGGTGACTATGGCCTTATAGTATAGTTTGAAATCAGGGAATGTGATGCCATCAGATTTGTTCTTTTTGTTTAGTCTTGCTTTGGCTCTGTGGGCTCTTTTTTGGTTTCATATGAATTTCAGGATTATTTTTTCTAGTTCTGTGAAGAATGATGGTGGTATTTTGATGGGAATTGGGAAAACAGTATGGAGATTCCCTAAAGAACTAAAAGAAGGACTACCATTTGATTCAGGAGTCCCACTACTGTGTATCTACCCAGAGGAAAAGAAGTCATTACATGAAAAAGACACTTGCACATGCATGTTTATAGCAGCACAATTTGCAATTGCAAAAATGCAGAACCAGCCCAAATGCCCATCAATCAATGGGTGGATAAAGAAACTGTGGTATATATACATGATGGAATACTACTCAGTCATAAAAATGAATGAATTAATGGCATTTCTAGCTACCTGGATGGGATTGGAGATTATTATTCTAAGTGAAGGAACTCAGGATTGAAAAACCAAACATCACATCTTCTCACTAATAAGTGGGAAGTAAACTACGAGGATGCAAATGCATAAGAATGATAAGATGGACTTTGGGGACTTAGGGGGAAACGGTGGGAAGGGAGCGAGGGATAAAAGACTATAAATTGAGTTCAGCATATACTATTCAGGTGACGTGTGCACCAACATCTCACAAATCACCACCAAAGAACTTACTCATGTAACCAAATACCACCTGTTTCCCAAAAACCTATGGGAATAAAATAAATAAATAAAATAAAGATGGAGAGAAAATAGAAAGAAAAAATAATAAATAAAATAAATTACTTAGGCTGATTTTATTGAAAACTTAGATGAAGTGAACATTTTTCTAGAAAAATATAAATTTCTGGATTGACTCATGAAGCAATAGAAACTCTTAATAAATTAATAACCATTAAAAATACAATAGCTACAGTTAATATAAAGGATTAGTAACCATTATAGCCAGGTGTGGTGGCTCTTTTCTGTAATCCCAGCACTTTGGAAGTCTAAGATGGGAGGATTACTTGAGGCCAGAAGTTGGAGTCCAGCCTGGACAACACAGAGAGGCCTCATGTCTAAAATACATATATATATATATATATATATATATATATATAGAGAGAGAGAGAGAGAGAGAGAGAGAGAGAGAGAGACTATTTACATATATATATTTATATATGTAATAGTATTAAATATTTATTTATATTAAATATTACATTTATAAATGTAAATAGTATTAAATATTACATATTAAATATGTAAATAGTATAGTAAATATATGTAAAATGTAAATATTTACACATATATAAAATACATATATATATGTATACATCTATCTATATATATATATATATAGAGAGAGAGAGAGAGAGAGAGAGAGAGAGACTATTTACAGAGGATTAACCACTAGAGGGAATGAAAAAGAATTCTATAAAGAATGCTGTAGGGCTAAGGGAGAGTGCCCAAGGAAATAACAAACTTAAAAGGTGGTTGGGAGGGGGGACTTCCCCAGACCTCACTGGAAAAGTTGTAGTTGCACTGGATGGAAAACAAGATTGCAGAGTTGATCCTGGTCAAAGCTGGTTCCCAGATGGCAAGCCCAAAGCTATCCTTAAGCTTTCAGGGTAGAGTGTTCATGGACCTCTCTGGGAAGCTTGCCATAGCAGGTCTCCTGAACTCTCTGGGAAGTTAGTTAGAGTGACTGTGGAACTTATCAGGAACATCCCCACTGGGACAGCTGCTGCACTTGCTGGAAGCCACCCTCACAGCAGGAGGGTGTCTAAAATTTTGGGGGGCTGAGCTCCACTAGGTGTACAAGAGTACACCCACTGAGCACCACAAGAGTAAGAAGGAAGAAAAACATCCTGGAACAAGAAAAGAAGTTTGCCACATTATTTATATTACCAAAAAGTTGAAAATATGTATATTAACAGTTAAATATAAAGTTAAAATGAATTCATCCTACATGTATCGACATAAATATATCACAAAATGTAGTTTTCAGTGAAAATTTGCAGAAGTTTTGTACAATATTATGCAATGTATAATAACTTTTAAGGCATGCAATACTATATACATGTATTCTGTGATAGTATGTGTGGGAATGTAGCAAATTTAGAATGTTGATGGCCTTTGAAAAGAGTAAGAGGAGAATGGAAGTGGGAAAAAGTATAGAGGGACATTTAATTAAATGTAATATTTTATTAATTTATAATAATTACTTGTTTAATGTTTCTCATAATCACTGCACTGGTCAAAAGCTTTGTTTTTCTTGTTCACTCCTGTTATAATCATTAATGTAATAAATCATTTTTATTACAGTAATAAAATAATTTTTATTACAGTAATAAAATATGACATTAATGTAATAAAATCATTTATTACAGTAATAAAATAATTAATTTTATTACTTCTTAAAAGATATTATAAAAATGGGAAATATTGATTGAGTTGAGTAGTGAGTACTTAAATGTTTGATAATATTACCCTTTATAAATTGACTGGTCACAATATATTCTGAAGGGCAGATTTTAAAATCTGTTCAGCCCAAAATTTTCCAAACTTTTCTGACCCCAAATTTTCTTTTCAACAAAATACTCATTGATATTTTACTGAACCCTATTCCATATAGCACAGATTAGAGAAATGAAGATTTGCTCAAATGAAACAGGTTATACATAATTCAATCAGTAAATTTATGAGAAGGAATTAGTCTATTAAAGAAATCATTCCAGCTGAGTCTGATTTGTTAAATGATAAACATAGTTCTCCCAATGTTTGATTTTCAAGTCATACTTTATCAAGCCGTTTGTGATACCTTAGCTCAAGCCTTGATTTTTCAACTGAAGAATCATTTGCAGTAGAAAATATTACAAAAGAAAAGTGTTGTGACCTATATGTCCATCCAATCCCACCAATTTTCCTGATTCTACACAAGCTCAATCAGCTGTAACACCCTTTAATTATCCACTAAAATAGTCGTTTTCCAGTTCAAAGCATTCAAAACCTACAAAAGCTTATGTTTTGGGCAGTGATTGACAATACTCCTTTGGAGGTGGGGACCAGAGAAATGCAGCTAATTCTTCACTATTTCTTCTTATGGATGTCTTTGTAATAGAAAAACATAAACTCAGATTTTGTAAATATCACTTGTCTAGTCAGGATGCTTGATTCTTAAGTAAATCAAGGAATTCATAAAAGCAATTTAAATAAAAATATACCATCAAATCACTGGCTGGTACCATTTGGTGTAATTTGCTGACCTCAATATTTGTCAGTTTTTCTACAAACACATAAATTTTAGTGCAATCTTAATTTGTAAAATTGTAAGAAAACCTTGCCAGGGGTGACTACTTCAAGAATTGAAAATTGGCACTACATTTAAGCATTGAAAAGAATTATCTGTTCTCCCTTTAAGATCTGTCTTTCCATAAACAGGGTTAACTCTCTTTTTCTGGTGTCACAAAAATGTTCATTTATTTATTTATTTATTTATTTATTTATTTATTTATTTATTTATTCAACAAAGTTTTCTTTTTATTTAATGTGCCAGATGTTGAATAGCTTTAAGCCAATATTGGTCAACTGAGCTCCTTTAATAAAAAATGACCAATGAGGCAATAGAAGCTGTATGACTTTAGAACGGCAAGTCCTTTTATTCAATGAATATTTATTGAGCACCTACTATGTTCCTGACATAGTTCTGGGCATTAATGATTATAACAGGAGTGAACAAGAAAAACAAAGCTTTTGAGTGCAGTGATTATGAGAAGCATTAAACAAGTAATTATTATAAAGCACAATGAGTATGACTATAGGAGAAATACAACTTGATCTTTCAGAAGCTAACTGGCTTTTATTTATTTTAAAATTATGTTTTAGCACCTAATATTTGCTAGGCATTGTTCTAGGAATTGGAGTACAGCAAGAAAATCATCAAAGTACCTGTTCTCACAGAGCTTGCGTTCTCATGGCAGTCAAATCTGCAGCAGTAGTTTTTATCAGCACCATGCACAAAACCAGTATTTTCCAAAGAGTGATACTTTTACTGCCCATAGAACATGAGATAATGTAGGTGGTTATATAATAATAATAGTTATATACTTATATTTATAATTATTTTTTATTCATAGCTTGTGATACAGGCTTTCTGTTTGTGGTAGTATATCTAATGATGCCTTTCTAACTGAATTTATTTAATTTTTTTAAAGCTGAGTTCAACGAAAAGTTATTTAGTAAGAATAGGGTGTATATCAATTTGGCAAAAAAAAAAAAAGTTATGGTGATGCACATATTACCAAAAATTGGGAAACACAAAATAAGATGTTATCTGGTTGCCAAAGGTATTATTCCATCACCCAAATTCTCAATATAAACTTTTTATTATTTTAAAGTGTTAATAGATATATGACATAAACTCAATTTTGCGGCGGTGGGGGGTGGGGCGGGTAAGAAAGAAGACAGATTTAAAACATTCTTTACTCCTGTCTTTTGTAAACTGCTTGAAAGTGGGGAAAGTCTTATTTATAGTTCTCAACATACCTGTGCTTAGTAGGCACTAAATAAATGCTGCATAAAGGAATGAAAGAACTAATTAATGAAATGAGAAATGCTCTTTTGTACCATTCAAACTATAGTGAATACTCTGGACTGACTGAATGTAATTACCCATAGGGTATGAGAGGGAAGAGTCTCTGTGAACCAATCCATCTACAAGAACAATTTAGGGCTCTGCCCCGAAGATTCAGATCTGCCTTTCTAATAAAAGGAACATAAAAGAGATTAACCTTTATGCTGTGTAACTGCAGACCAATTGGTACAGCTTGCCTTATATCACTGCCATAGAAGCAC
Organism: Homo sapiens; assembly: GCF_000001405.40. Classification (NCBI taxonomy): domain Eukaryota; kingdom Metazoa; phylum Chordata; class Mammalia; order Primates; family Hominidae; genus Homo; species Homo sapiens. The sequence continues at coordinate 181,533,296 of NC_000003.12, forward strand.
AGTGATAATGAAATACTCTTACCAAATTGTATGTATTTTTCAGAAGCCTGTCTAAATTAAGATCCCATTAAATAATATATTACCATCAGTGGGGTCTCAGTATTACGCTAACAATTGAAAGAGAACCCATGGAAATTGCAAATCATAGAGAGTTCTCATTGAACCTATAGAAAGTAAAAAAAAAAAAAAAAAAAAAAAAAGGTAGGGTGAAAGCAACTTTAAAAAATGGCATCCTGATAATTTTGTGTAGGGGAAAAATACTAAAATGCTAAAATATTGTTACTTTCCACATTTTCTGCAGCTTTAGAATAAAGTTTTATTTCTCTTATTTCAAAATGTTAATTCCTGTCATTTTCGACTACTGAGGAAACTATTTTCTATGTTGAGACTTTGAAGAATTAAAAGATTGCTAACTTTTTTGCTAATAGAAGAATCTTAAGAAACAGTTTAATTTCAAAGAACTCAAGATTCACTTACAACAAGTAGCTCCTACTTTTGTTTTTGCTGCGACAATTTTAAAGAATAACTCTACAGAAGGCAATCTCTCACTGCCATATGAGTTCAACTAGGAATTATTCTCTTTTCCTTTCCAAACTGTGATTGTCACACAGTTAGCAACACACAAATAAAGTTAATATTCTGGTCCTGTTGATATCATTCTCAGATTTTCTTGTCACGTGTCATCAGAAATATTGGCATTCGGCAGGTTGGTACATGCCCACTGCCAAGTCCTCTTACTGCATCAGACAAACTTCATAAGCCTTCCTGAACCTATTTGGTAGAAACAGGATCAAGACATCTCCGTTTGAAACTAAATTCTCCCAGCAGCTACACCTCAAGCAGTGGACATCTATTTGCTTTCTCCTTTTCCAGGCCGTGGTATGAGTCAAGTAGGATAGGACAAAGGTGACCTGCTGAGTTATCAAACTTGCTATTCTCCAAGAAACACACATATGGTTTGCTCAATTTGAACAACTGCCTGGGAACAGGATTCAGTTCCCGATCCTGCCTAAGTTCATTGTAAATAGTTTGACAGGGGGAAAAATGGCTTTCTTCTTCTTGCTAATGCATCTTTGATATGTACTACATCTAGATCCACTTACAAGTAGTTGCTATGTCAGTCCTTTGACTTCCCTGGCAAATCAATCAAAGGATCTACCATTTATCTGCAAAAAAAAAAATTAAGAAAAATGATTTATTGGTGCTGAGCCTACACTTCCATGATCAAAGACCCTCTATGAGCATGCATTTTGTAAAGCAAAACTGTGGTAAATACAGCACAGAGAGTGTGCTTTCCAGTGACCAGGTAAGCAAGGATTATTTATTCATTTATTTATTTGCATATTTACACTTACATTTTTGTGTGGGAGCATGTCAAGTCAGAGATTAGAAGGCAATTTTCACATAAAAGCTCCAAAGAAACATGTTGTTATTCTGTGGAAGTTATTTGATTGTTCCTCATAGTCTTTTCGTTTCAATTGGCATTTAGAGAACTAGCCACACAGGCTGCTCCCCATCTTCCTGCATGATACCATTTCTTCCTGTTCTCCTTATCTATAGCTGTGATGATGCACAGCTTTCTCTTTTTTCTTTCTTGTGGGTTTGTGCAGTTTCTTGATGTTTGTGACAGGCCACGATAGGGGAAGCTTTTATCACCGTGGGGTTTGGAGGCCTCAGTAAATTGAAAATTGCAAATGAAATCCACTGGGCTTGAATTCATCAGCTATTATGTCAGATGACCTTTGGCAGCTGCTGATAAAAATGAGAGAATGTTAGCTCTGATCCAATTTTCAGCACTAACCATTCCTTTTCAAATCCATTCACAGTCAGGCAGCAGACACATGGGAAGTGAAAATGATAGGGTTTCAAGAGAACGGCATTGTGTTGCAGATTAAGATTTTCTCCCCCTATTTCTAGAGGTCAGCCCCCAGGCCCCTGTCTGGTATCTACCTATTGTCCAATCAGTTTCAATATCTGCTTCAGAGGACATGTTAGCCATCCTTACAGATAAGTGCTTACAGGAGAGAATGTTGGACTTAATAGTTTTGCTTAGGAGGCATCAAGGGTCGCAGTGTAGCAATATTGACTGGCACATGTTAGTTTAATCTGACATACCAAGGAATGTGACACTAGATTCTTTCAGAGTTGTTGATCTCTAGGTGATTTTTGTTACCAGCTCTGGTTTTATGAAATTTATTTTTGCACAACTATTTATATTCATGAGTCAGAGATATTCTAAAATATCTATCATAGCCAAGCAAAGGCAGCCTAAGCTTGTCTAAAAAAAATATATGGATGCCAAAATTATGAAACTGGGAAAAAATGAGTTGTGCGTATTCTGTTCTTGCAATCCAGCTAAAGGTCAATGTCATTGATAGTATTTTAGGAGCTAGATTATCCTGAAATAAATATGTGTCTATCGACTGGTAGGCTTCTCAATAAATGTAATAGATTTTTATCATGCAGAGAAAAATAATTAGCCTTGTTACTTTCCGCTGAGGTAGCATGAACCAGCAAAATAATGCTATATATGGTTGAGTCATCAGTATGATTTCCCATCTATGAAACACAGGAGCAATCTGAAAATAAAGAAAACTGAAATTAATTTTTTCTCCACAGTTTTCTGTGTTCAGAAAAGAAAAAAAAATCTCCTTTGATCCTTTGAAAATGTTGAGTTCATTGAGGGAATAGTCTCAAGCAAATGCAAAGTTGAGAAACACCAAATAATTGAAAACCATGTGTCATTATAAGCATTCACCCAAAAATATGATAAACTGAAAAATATTAAATCTGCATTTCTCTAGGTTTTCCTGGTATGCATATTTCTTCATTTTTTTCTCTTGACATTGGTTAACATTATATGAAAATAATTGTTCATATATGACTAGGGTTGCAAAAATGCTTTTTATGGCTTAGCAATTCCTTTCTGATACACCAACCCATAGCATTATGGAGCTCTAAAAATGCTTAGATGGCCGGGCGCCGTGGCTCATGCCTGTAATACCAGCACTTTGGGAGGCTGAGGTGGGCGGATCACCTGAGGTCGGGAGTTCGAGACCAGCCTGACCAACATGGAGAAACCCCATCTCTACTAAAAATACAAAATTATCTAGGCGTGGTGGCACATGCCTGTAATCCCAGCTACTCGGGAGGCTAAAGCAGGAGAATCGCTTGTACCCAGGAGGCAGAGGTTGTGGTGAGCTGATATCGTGCCATTGCACTCCAGCCAGCTTGGGCAACAAGAGCAAAACTCTGTCTTAAAAAAAAAAAAAGTTTAGATGACTCTTCTAAATGCCAGTCTTTGGAAAGAAAAAATACGGTTCTATAAGCTTCCTTCATAAGAAAAACAATATAACAAATATATATATGTAAGTTATCCATATGTTACATCTTACTTTTAAAAACTAACTTAAAGTTAGTATCCCACTGTTTGCCTTACTACCTTTTGTTGATATTCACAAGTTCTTTTAAGAGAGGACAATTATCTGTTGTCCAGTGAGCATGTATAAATAAAATGCTTAATGATAGTATCAAAAAAAATACCATATGCACATTTTTTTGGAGATAGGGTCTCACTTTGTCTCCCAGGCTGGAATGCAATGATGCAAACACAGCTTATTGCAGCCTCAGCCTCCCAGGCTCAGGCAATCCTTTCACCTCAGCCTCCTGAGTAGCTGGGACTACAGGCATACACCGCTATGCCGGCTAAGTTTTGTACTTTTTGTAGAGATGGGATCTCGGCATGTTGCCCAGGCTTGTTTCAAACTTATGAACGCATGCAATTTGCCCTCCTTGGCCTCCCAAAGTGCTGGGATTACAGGCGTGCACCATCATACCGGCCTCCGTATGCACATTAAAAGTCTGTTTTTATTGAGTAATATTTTAAAAGACTCAAGCTATAAGCAATAACTGGGTCTAAAATTAACAGAGGATCCAACCAATCAAAAAATATGGATCCAACATATTCCATGATTTCCCCAAATAATTGGATTTTCTGCTTTTTTTTTTTTTAACCAATGAAGGGACACCTTTTAGAGTCCCATATATTTCTTTTTCTTTTTTTTTTAGTCTATATTTTCCAATTTATTTTAAAGAATGGAAACTATGCTGATAAGTTTCACTTTACCTAAATTTACGAGTACATCCATGAATTGCACCACAATTAGGACAATTTGATTATCTTAATGATTCTGTCATGAAACTTGCACACTGTATCCAAAGGTAAAGACCAGCGGATGGAGCCTCCCACAAGTTCTGTGCACAAGGACTTTCTTCTTGGGAGTTAAGGTATCTGAGAAAGTAGTTCTCCTCCCAGATTAAGTCCTCAAAAATCCATAGATTTCTTAAGCCTCGTTATATGGTTTCCTGGCCCTATTTGTACCTCAAGGAAAATGAGACCTTTGCCTGGCTGTCTGTAAAAACACCACTACAACTTTAGGAGGCTGAGCCAAACCTCCCCTCTAACAGAACAAACAGAAGCTCTTATCAAAATGATGAAGTTTGCACTTCACAAGTTTATCAATGATTGTGGCCACACATTGCTCAGTTCATCCATATTCAAGAACAGGACGTGTTTCTTAGAGTTTAGTTCCTCAAGTGTCTAACTACCTTTTAGGCTTGCAGTGGATGCTGTCACTATTTCCAAAGAAGTAAATAATTTAATAATGAACATGCTCTTAGTGAACTGCAACTGTGACAGCCCCAAGTCATTCAGCATGGACCCATTCAGACAACAGGTTCCTGCCAGAAGAAGCAGCAGCACCCACATTTGGCTGTGCCCTAGGGCCTGGCTTTCAGCCACTGCGATCTGCATGCTCAGATAGATGAAGCAATTAGATAAGCCTGTTAAGTTTTATGTCTTCATTATTGATTTATAGTATGAAATCAGCATGATTATTGAACCAGACCTGCCACTGAAACAATTGAGTCATTGATCCTTACATAGGCATGTATTTCCAATTTAGATTTGGGGAGGAAATACGTGGATATATTATTATTTCTGATGTTTTATCTAAGGGCTTGGACAGAAATTTAGATAATTCATTATTTCCACCTCCTGACCTTTCTTCATTCCCACTCCTGTAGCACCCCTTCCAATAGATGTTTCTATTATGATAAAAATGTTCTACTCTGTGCCGCTCAATATCATAGCCTGTAGCCACAAGTGGCTATAAAGCATTTGAAAGGTGACTAGTGTGACCGAGGAACTGAATTTTTTATTTTGTTTAATTTTAACCAGTTTAAGTTTAAATTTAAATAGCTACATGTGGCTGGCGGCTACCATATTGGACAGCCCAGTAGCTCTGTATTATACTAAACTTTTCTAGTCCCTGCAACGATAGCACTTGTCAAAATTCTAATTACTTTTCAAGACCCTGTTTACATACTACCTCTTTTACAAAACTTTGCTTACTTCTATCACTTCAACATTACCTTTGTCTAAATACATATCATTTGAAAACCAGGGATCATTTTCTGCCTTGTATTATCGTTATCTGCTCCGCTATACCACAAATTGCTAGAGGACAAGGACTATGTCCACCTAGTGATGTGCTGTGTCAATAACAAATATTTGAGGAATTAAAATGAGTTGTAGGTTTTGCAGAGAGAAGGACTATTATTTTGTTGTTGTTGTTTTAGTACATGCTAATTAGAGAAGCAATAACACTATCATCCTTTTCACACCCTCTTTTAAAAAATAATTTAGGAAAAATTCAGTTATTTTTCTCTCCTCATTTATTGTTATCACTGAGATGGAAATTTCAAGCAAAATTATTATGTTTTCTTCTTTTGAAGTCAGGAAACTTGAAGACACTTTTCATCTTCATAGAGAATAACACAATGCTTACATGTAGAAAGAACTCAGTAAATACTTCTTGAGTGAATAAATCAATGAATAAGAATTATTATCCAATGAACAGTCATATGTATGTGTCTTTATGATGAATGATTTATATTTCTCTGGATACTGGAAAAAGAAAATGCAGTAGATATACACCATGGAATACTATGCAACCATAAAAAAGAATAAGATCGAAGTATAATAATTTTAAAAAAAGAAAAAATAAAAGTACCAAAAGAATGGAAAAAAAAAGAACAGGATCATGTCTTTTGCAGGAACATGGATGGAGCTGGAGGTCATTATCCTTAGCAAACTAAAACAGGAACAGAAAACCAAATACCATATGTTCTTACTTATAAACAGGAGTTAAATAATGAGAACTCATGAACACAAGGAAACAACACACTGGGGTGTACTTGAGGGTGAGGGTGGCAGGAGGGAGAAGAGCAGAAAAAAAGTAACTATTGGGTGGTAGGCTTAATATCTGGGTGATTAAATAATCTTGACAAACAAACCCCATGACACGAGTTTACCTATATAATATAACAAACCTTCACATGGTCCCCCAAACCTAAAATAAAAGCTTTTTTATAAAGGATTATTATTCAGGTTTCTGAGTAGTTTTAAATCCCTGAATCAAGATGTGCTTATATTGACTTCTAATGTTAGAAAAATTCCTTCCAGAATATTCACAGGAAACTCTGCTTGAGGCTTTGGGAGGCTAAGGTGGGATTGCCCAGGAGTTTGAGGCTGTGGTGACCTATTATTAGACCACTGAACTACAGCCTGGGTGACAGAGTCAGACCCTGTCTCTTAAAAAAAAAAATACTCAAAAGTAAACTAAGAGAATGAATTTTACAGTTTATGAATCTTAAAAGGTGAATAAAAATACCATGTACATTAGTGTATGTTTATGATATTTAAGTAGTGGTTTAGCATTTTAGCACTAAATTGTTGATATTGATATAAGACATAATACTAACTTTATTCTGTGGGGTCGTATGACACCTAACTGACTTTGGGAGAATAGTAAGGTAGTCTGAGACAGCTGTGCTATGATTGAAAGAACACTGGATTTGGAGTTAGAAAACCTTGTTTTGAAACCAAATTCTTTTACTTACTAATTCGGAGTAATAATTTTTATTACCACAATATATTATAACATACTTATTGAATGCATATTATGCCCCAGAACTGTTCTCCGGACACTATATGAGTTAACTTATTTAATCCTCCAGCAACCCCATAAAGTCAGTATTATTATTTCCATTTTACAGCTGATGAAACTGAGGCACAGATAGATTAAGTAACTTGCCCAAGGTCACACAGCAATTACAGTGGCACCTGGCCATAGTAGGTTCTTCATACTTTTTGGAATATTAGCATGGTGTAGATTCAGGTTTAAGCAGAACATACTGGCTCTTGTCTTACCATCTCTGATTGTATTCTCTTCAATAAAAGGAAGATAATACTATTTTCCTCCCATGTCACAGGAAAGGCTGCTATGAGGGTCAAATGAGATAATAATATGAAAATGCGATTACCCATTTACTAATTGTACTTAGTAGTTGTGCCTGGTGTCTTACATTAAGTTTGATGTGCCTTTTTGTGAGTAGGAAAGCCATAAATCCCAAATATGCCTCATTTGCTGACAAGAGGTCCTCCTCACTCCCATTTTAATAGTCAATTAGTCATGACCACAATAAAATAAATCCAGGGAAAGGGATCCATCAGTACTTCAGCCTCCCAACACCTGGTTATACAGTAAAGCCCTTTGGGCCATTTTTGCCTTTGTGAGAAATCTGGGAAAGAATAGATGAGAAGGGAAGGAACTGGTGGATTGAAGGAAGAGTAGAATCCCCCAGAGGTCACTGTGAAGAAAAGTAATTTAATTCAACCAAGAGCGACCAACCATCCCATCCATTCACCTCAGCTGGGTACTGTGAGAGTCACAAAATGCTAGCCACTAAATGGGTCCTTAGTGTAAAACCTTTAAAAAAAATAACAGAATACTTGATATCAGAACACTTTGAAATTATTTCTCATTCCCAGAAATATATACGTGGAATATGTGGGGCTTTTTAAATGAGGTTAAATTGTTCTACTTCATACTACTTTAGGCCTCTTATACCTACTCATTTGTCTGTGAATAATTTGCAATACTTCAACGGAATCGCATGTCCATGCACTTAAGTTTGTTAGTCTATAAATACTCAAAATTATGTCCAAACAGATTTATGACTATAGATCAAACATTACTAATCAGTACCTTCCACCTACATATTGTATTAATTTCTTTTTCATAAAAGCAAGCATGCAGATGAATAAGAACCAGTGGCTTTAAGAAGTACAGGTTAGGTGGAGACCTTAAAGAAATGGAACTGATTATAATAAAATATAAAATACTGTACTTTATCATTCTTATGAACACAGCCTCCTGAGGACATACAATGCCTTTTTTAATGAGGTAAGGGTGAGTCACAGCTGGAAAAAAAAAATGAGGTAAGGAGAGAAGGTTTTCAGAGTGAAGGAAATTGTTTTAATCCATCCGACCAATTAATATTAAGTATGATTCAAGTCTAAAGCTGACATTGGCCATCGCTTTTTATTGTGAATAATAATAATAATGTTGATAGCTTCTATTGCTGAAGTATTTACCATGAGCAAATGCATTGCACAGTAAATAACTCTAGCTGCTACAATCAATAAACCCCCAAATCCCAGTGGCTTTATAAAAAAAAAATCGGATAGATATTAGTAGAATCTGATATGGGTCAGGTGGCTTTTCCTTGTGCCTTTCCTCTAAGTGATGATTTGGGGAAACACCTTCTTGCCATCCTGTAACCTTTTCATCTCAGAGTCATTCACTTCTAGCAGTGTGGATGGAATAAAGAAGACTTACCTGCAGCAGTCTACAAGTGACACATCACTTCTGTTTACATTCCACTGCCGAGACTTAGGTGACCTTACCTAGATTCTTGGGGAGCTGGAGTTTATGAATACATTTAGCTCCATGCCAAGGAAAACTGAAATGGATGGTGAACACATAACGTTGTGCCTACCACAGCCAGGCACTGTGGTTCACATATTTAATTCATTTAATGTTTATTGAGCCTTGGAAGGTAGATGCTACTAACCTCATTTCATAGATGAGAAGCCAAAAATGCAGAAAGCTTAAATAACCTGCCCAAGACACACAATTAGTGAATGGTGGAACCAAGATTCAAACATAGCCTGTCTCTAATGGATGAGAAAAACAAAATTTTATACAAGAACATGCAAAAAAATATATCATATGAACAAAGAACAAGAAAAAAGAAAAAAATAGAGCCTGTAATTTGTTTAGGAGAAATACTCAGGCTCAATAATAACTAAAGAAGTGGAAATTTAAGGGAGTAAAGGTTTTACCTATGAAATTAACAACAGGAACAAAAAACTTAATGCTATACTCAGTGCTGCAAGGGTATGATAGAAAAAAATATGTTGCAAGAAGAGTCACTGAAGTATTAATAGTGGTTGTTTACGGTAGTGGATTTATGGGCGATATGTCTCACTGTTTTACCTTTAAAAATTATTTTATCTTATAAACACATACACACACACACACACATATGCATATACATAAACACATAGCCTATAACTGGTTTACAGGAAATTCCAGTTTGGGCTATAACCTGGCAAGAAATATAGTTAGCCCTCATGTGAAACATGGACTAGGCCCATGCAGGTAAACATAAGCATTTTTTTAAAATATGAAGGCATTTATGGCCCCCAAAACTTCTACCATCTCAAAGCAAAAAACTTATTTGTGATATGACTATGAGAGAATGAAACAAATTTATTTCTGTGGCTTGTGAATTCTGTCATAATTTTATGGTCACTCATGGAACTTGTGTCTCTTAAATTCATTTCTATAAAGAAATAATGGCTTTGACATTTATAAATCTGTCACAACATTAGTGGAGAAAGAATATTTTCATAGAATCATTTAACTTTTTAAACTGCTATTTAAAACTGTTACCTAATAGTAATATCAGTCATATAGAAAGCAATATAAAGACTGTAAATATAGAATACAGTGGTTTAAAAGGACCAGATCCTGAGAAATGGGGCATAGGGTTATTCAGGAGAGTAGGGAGCAGAGGGTGGAATTTTTCACAGGGCTCATATTTCTGACAATTTTGGGAAATCCATTTTCAGTTCAGCAACCAATTCAGTAATTACTCTTTTAGCCAAAAAGGGAGGATCTAACCACCTCCCTTCTCCATCACTGAAGCATCCAGAGAACAGACTCAAGCTGCTTATACATATTTAAAGACAAGTAAATTTTTCTGTCATATTTTCTGTATGGAAAAAAACTCATGAAAATCAGCTGATGAAGATGAGCTCTTTTAAGTGAATTTTGAAAGATTTCATTAGCTGAACCCCAAAATAATCTGTAAGCAGTAAAATGTCCTGAAATAAGAAACTGATCAAAGCCAATACAGACTAACATAAGACCAGAAGAATATGAGAAAAGCAAAATAAAATAAATGCAGATAGAAAAGAGATCTCTAAGCCTAGAAAAATTAATGGGTAATGGGTTAATTAATGGGCTAATGTGTTAATTGATAAAAATAACTAATGGATTAATGGGCACAAAAACATAGAAAGAATGAATAAGACCTACTATTTGATAGCATAACAAGGTGACTATAGTCAATAATAACCTAATTGGATTGTTTATAACTTAAAGAATAAATGCTCGAGGGGATGGATACGTCATTCTCCATAATGTGCTTATTTCACATTGAATGCCTGTATCAAAACATCTCATGTACATGATAAATGTGTACACCTACTATGTACCCACAAAAATTAAAAAAAGATGTTTAAAGAAAAATCAAATTTGGATAATATTTTCTTGATCAAGGAACAATGTATGGTATCATCTTTAAGGCTCATTTCACTGAGTCTAAATAATGGGTTTGCCTTGCTTACTACATATGATTCTCAAAATTAGGCTTCCAGATTTGCATTAGTCAAAGAAACTGTTAGCAACAAGTATTTTTGAAGTATGGCCAGTTATCACCACAGCGTTTTTATTTTTTAAGGCAGTATTTCTCAAAGTGTAACCCATATAATACTGATTTTGAGACACAGTAATAAGATATTATACAAATGAAGATCCTGTGCTGGGTGTACCAGTATTATTAAAAGATTTATTTATGACAAAACTTTCAGAGCCTTTAATACTAGTACTTACTCTGGTTCTGCAATGGACGGGGGGAAGAGGGATATATAATATTCAGCATTTCACCAGTGCCATGAAACATAGTGAGGGACCAATGTCTTCTGGATCACACTTTGGAAGCACCGATTTGGCATCATTTCTTAGCACCAACCAAGGCCTTTCCTTTTAGTTGTGAGAGGTAGGATAATACAGCAGTTAGGAGTACGGACTCTGGATGTAGACACTGGTGTTTCAACACTGACTGTGGCCTGTTGTGGACTGTTGGGCAAATTGTTTTATCTCTTGGTGTTTCATTTTCTTCATCTCTAGGGTGGAGGTAATAGCAGTGCCTGGCTCAGAGACAGCATTAAATAACTTGATACACTTAAAGTACCTAGAACATTTCTGAGCAGGATACACTTAAAGTACCTAGAACATTTCTGAGCATACAGTAAACTTAACTCCATGTTGCTCTTGGCTACTAAGGCAAGTGAGCATATACATCGAATAAGTATCCTTCTTTATTAGAACAACGCCAAATCTATTTTGGGCTATGTTATGCAGAGCATCTTCTTTATTTTGTGGGGACTATTTTCTCCCTGAGACTACAAATGATAAACTCATTTTTTAAAGTCTAAAATTTGTAATTAAAACCAGGAAGATTTTCTTTTTTCTAGATTAAAAACATAGCATTTGAACCTTTGTTTTTTCCCTCTTAACACTCCCATTCTTATCATGTTGATGTAATATAGTGATAAATGAAGATATTTTCGTCTTTGTTTTGCCAACAGGGCTTCCAAGATGACCAGAACATTTTACTAAGGAATATCTCTTAAATTCTGCATCAATGAACAACCAGAGCACTGAGGTTTAATTAGTGCCTTACCACAGACAATGTTTTCACAAACATAAGAGCACTTGCGATTCTTCCTGCACCAATTTCCTTTAGCCCAGGTTCCCTCCTTGCTCTCACCTGTAGGTTCAACTATATTTACGTTCACTCCCATTCAGGAAGCATTATTTTTCATTTATTTAAATCCATTTCATTCTTTAAGAAGGATTTCAGGCAGATCACGAGAGACTGACTAAGTACCCACATTAGCTTTGCTACTTATCATCTTCCTCTCTCCCAGCAAATGACCTGCTGCTCAGGCACCCAGTAGCTGGGTTCTGCCTAGCTGCCCAGATTTCTCATAAAGGGCTCACGCACTACCCAGCGCCCATTGCCTCGATCCTGTCTCAGCCTCAAACATCCTTTGTTCCAACCCCTAGGACCCAGCCAACCAGATTTCCTATATCACTATCTGCTCTAAAAACTCTTGACCAGGCCGGGCGCGGTGGCTCACGCATGTAATCCCAGCACTTTGGGAGGCCGAGGCGAGTGGATCACGAGGTCAGGAGATCGAGACCATCTTGGCTAACACGGTGAAACCTCCTCTCTACTAAAAATACAAAAAATCAGCTGGGCGTGGTGGCGGGCGCCTGTAGTCCCAGCTACTCGGGAGGCTGAGGCAGGAGAATGGCGTGAACCCGGCAGGCAGAGCTTGCAGTGAGCCGAGATCGCGCCACTGCACTCCAGCCTGGGCGACAGAGCAAGACTCCGTCTCAAAAACAAAAAACAAAAAACAAAAAAACTCTTTACCAAACTCCTGTTTATAGACCCTCTTGAAGAAAAACATAACGAAAACAATAAATGGTGATGGTTAATATTCTAAAGGAAGTCATGCCAAGTTCCATGTTCACTTTTTGTTCAGAAAGAAAAATTTCACATTACAGAATTCATAGAAAGCATAAATTTCTTATGGGAAATCTATGTCCAAAAGTTTCTCAGCTTTCTGTTTGATGTTGCAACTAAATAAGTGGAACCTGTTCATTAAGCCCCACCAATGAAGTAACAGATGCCATCACTGTCCATCAAAAATGGCCAGAATATTCCATAATTACACAGGCAGTAGGAAGAAAAAAAATGGCCAGAGTAGCTCACGTTCCTTTGAGGCCTAGAACTGTTCGAATCCAGAGAATATAGATATGCTTAGACTCATGAATAAAAAAGAAATCGGTCGGGCGCGGTGGCTCACGCCTGTAATCCCAGCACTTTGGGAGGCCGAGGCGGGCAGATCACGAGGTCAGGAGATCGAGACCATCCTGGCTAACACGGTGAAACCCGTCTCTACTAAAAATACAAAAAATTAGCCAGGCATGGTGGCGGGTGCCTGTAGTCCCAGCTAGTCAGGAGGCTGAGGCAGGAGAATGGCGTGAACCCGGGAGGCGGAGCTTGTAGTGAGCCGAGATTGCGCCACTGCACTCCAGCCTGGGCGACAGAGCGAGACTCCGTCTCAAAAAAAAAAAAAAAAAAAAAAAAAAAGGAAAAAGAAATCAAGGGTTCGAAACGTGATATCTGAATGGTATATAATAATGTTTGGGGTTTTTTCTGACTGAATGATTTATTTCGATTTTCTCATCTTAAAATTATAAGACCCTAAAACAGATTAATTTTTTTCTGATATTTATCTGCTCTCTCAGCTTACTTACATAATATTGCCCAAACTTTTTCTACATTTTTATTGTACAAAAATATATGGTGGTAAATACATAGAGCGTATGTATAATTTGCAATTTTTACTAATTTTAAGTGTACAATTCATTGGCATTAATTACATTCACAATGTTATGCAACTGTCATCACTGTTTTCGAAAACTTTTTTTATCTCAAACAAAAACTCTGTATTCATTCAATAACCTCCCATAAAAAAAATAACCTCCCATTTCTCTTTCCCTCATTCCCTAGTAACCTCTATTTTACTTTCTGTCTCCATGAATTTGCTAATTCTAGATATTTTATATACATGGAAGCATATAATATTTTTCCTTTTGTGTCTAGTTGATTTCAGTTAGCAAAATGTTTTCAAGGTTCACCCCTGTTCTAGCGTATCATTCCTTTTTTTCTGGCTGAATAATATTCCATTGTACAAATATACCACAGTTTGCTTATCCATTTATCTGTTGATAGATAGTTGAGTTGTGTGGCCTTTTGGCTACTATAAATATTACTGCCATGAACTTTCACGTACAAGTGTCTATTTGAGTTCCTGTTTTCAATTATTTCAGGCATACACCTAGGTAATAGGGGTGGAATTGCTGAGTCATATGGTCATTCTGTTTGGCTTTTTGAGGAACCTCAAAAACTGTTTTTCACAATGGCTGTACCACTTTATATTCCCACTAGCAATATACATGGGTTCCAATTTCTTCACATCCTTGCCAACACTTGTTATTTTCTGGGAAGTGTGTGTGTGTGTGTCTGTGTGTGTTATAGCTATCCTAGTAGGTGTGAAGTGGTATCGCATTATGATTCTTATTTGCACTCCCCTAATGAATAATGATATTGGGCATCATTTCATGTGCTTATTGATCATCTGCATATCCTCCTTAGAGAAGTATCTATTTAAGTCCTTTGCCCATTTGTTAAATTGGGTTGTCTTTCTATTATTGAGTTGTACGAGTTCTTTCTATATTCTATATATTAAACACTTCTCAGATATATGATTGGCAAATATTTAATATTTTCTCCCATTCTGTAGGGTGTCTTTGCACTTTCTTAATAATGTCCTTTGATTCACAAATGTGTTTAAGTTTGATGAAGTACAATTTATCTGTTTTCTCTTTTGTTGCTCGTGTGTTTTGTGCCATATCTAAGAATTCGTTGCCAAATCTAAGCTCATGAAGATTTATCCCTATGTTTTCTTCTAAGAGTTTTATCATTTTGGTTCTTATATTTAGGTTGTTGATCTATTTTTAGTAAATCTTTGTATATAGGATAAGGTAGGGGCCAAACTTCATTGTCTTGCATGTGGAAATCTAGATGTCCCAACACCATCTGTTGAAGAGATTATTATTTCTTTATTAAATGATCTTGGTACCTTTGTCAAAATAAATTGGCCATAAATGTTTGGGTTTACTTCTGGACTCACAAGTCTACTCCATTGGTATATATATTTACCTATTTTTATACCAGCACCATACCGTTTTGATTTCAATGGCTTTTAAATCAGAAAATTAAATTTTAAAGAGTGTTTTTAAGTCAGAAAGTGTGAGTACTCTAACTTTGTTCTTCTTTAATAGAGATTGTCTTAGCAACTCAGGGCCCCTTGCAATGCCATATGAATGTGAGTGTAGGCTTTCTCATTTCTGCAAAAAAAAAAAAAGCTATTAAGATTTTGATATGAATTACATTGAATCTGTAAATAGCTTTGAGCCATATTGACATCTTAGCAATGTAAATCTTTCCATGAACATGAAATGTCTTTCCATTTATTTAGGTCTTCTTTAATATAGTTCAGAAATGTTTTCTAGTTTTAAATGTCCAAGTCTTTTACCTCCTTGGTTGAATTTATTCCTAGTTCCTTTATTCTTTTAGATGCTATTTTAAATGGAATTACTTTCTTAATTTCCTTCCCAGACTGCTCATTGCTCTTGCACAAAAACACAATTGATTTTTTGTTTGTTTGTTTTTGTTTTGTGAACTGACCTTGTACTCTGTAACTTTCCTGAATTTGTTTATTAGTTCTGGTGGTTTTCTTGTTCATTATTTGGGATTTTCTATACATAGAATCATGACATCTGTGAATAAAAATAATTTTACTTATTTCTTTCCAATTTGGATGCTTTGTATTTCTTTTTCTCATCAAATTACTCTAGCTAGAATTTCCAGCACAATGTTGAATAGCAGGGGTGTCAGTGAATATTCTTCTCTTTCTCCTGATGTTAGTGGGAAAGTTTTCAGGCTTTCGCCATTGCCTGTGATGTTAGCTATGGGTTTTTCATAAATGACTTTTTTCATGTTACAGAAATTTTCTTCTATTCCTAGTTTTCTGAGGGTTTTTATTCTAAAAGAGTGTTGGATATCATCATGTTTTGAGTAGACAATAACTGGAACAGAAAATAACTCTTTGCTTGGTCTCTGGTTCTCTTATCATACTGAAATTTATGGGTCATTGCTCATCTAACAGGAACAAGAATTAGACTTGGCCACAAGAGGGAATCACTTCAGATTCTGGCTAGTATTTGATATATAATCTTTGCTGCTGACCTGTACAGTTCTGCATTCTTAGATCATGATTTATGTCACTTCTGCCTATGAATCCAGACTATACACATGCCTTGGCCCTACACGTGGGACCGGGTCTTTTGACTCACCACAAACACTCTACAGTCTCTCATCTCAGCCCTAATCACTACATTGACATTGAATGCATGCAGAACCCCAGTTTCTACAGTAAATGATTCCTTCCCACCTTCCCCAAGCTGTGGCCCGTTGCTCAGTCCGTCATAATCTACCAAGCCTTAAGTCAACCTCTCAGCATGTCTTGTCAAGCCTCTATCTCTCTCTTCCCCAGGCTTTCTGGGCATTCCTGCTAACTTGATGGTTGTGGTCACTCTGCCTTGAGAGCCTGTCTCCACAGAGTTCTCACTGTCACTCACACATCACCACTTCCTAGTCTCTTCTCTGGGCTGATCCAATAATAAACTCCAGCCATCTTTGATTTCCACCGAAAAAAACCTCTTCATACAAGGTATATGTGTAGAGCAGACCACTAGAGGTTTGGGGAGATGGTCTGTGTTCATAGCACAGTAACAACAAAGCAGAATCTTAGATTCCATCATTCTTAAAAAATACCCTCAGCTATCTGTGCTGCTTGGGGGTGCAAGTCTCCCACAATATTGCATATGCCCTTCTCTCTTTCATTTCACTGCTCACTTTATTATGCAGAAAAGTTTAGCTCTTTTTTAAAAATCTATTCTAAAGTAGATTCTGGCAGCCCCATTGCACATCAGCAGACTTATTCTTGTGCTATGTCTCACTCTTTGTTCTTCCCTCCAGCCACAGGAAAAGAGCAGAATAATATCGATGTTTTCCCCTACTCTTATCAATTAGCCTGCCTCCCTTAGAAGAGGAAAAAGGCTGCAGTCATCTTGGGTTTTAAATAGCAGGGTCTCTCTCTCTCTCTCTTTCTCTCTCTCTCTCTCTCTCTCACACACACACACACACACACACACACAAACACATACACACACACACACATAATACAGTTTGAATACTTAAATACCTTATACTAAAATATAAGATATTGTATATAATACCCTGATCCCATAGTCTCCAAACTGTGTACAGAGGTGGCCCAGGGCACCACAAGTGAATTCTCAGAGGTGTCATGAGATATTTTATATTTTTGAGGGAGTCAGACACCATGCAAACTACCAGCTCTAGGTGGTTCATAGTTTTAATGTTAGACCATACTACATTCCTTTTGATAATTTCATATCTTTGCAACGCTGAGTTTTCTGTGGTTGCTTTGATAAAAAAAAGAAGTAACATTCTAAAATCAATGTGTAATAAGAAATTAGAATGTTGGGAACCGATCTGATTCCAAGGATTGAGAAGTTTTGCAGTGGTCAACTGGTATAGACATCCCATTAGTAAGTAATTACAAATATTTTGGAATAAAATATAAATATTTTTCTTCATATATATACACACACATACACATGTACATAAATATATATTTATATGTAACTTTTTAAAATATTACTAAGTTCTTAAGACTTGCTTTTTAATAAAATATTAAAACCTTAGGACTTTACTATTTAATAAAAGAATCTACTAAGTATTTCCTTTGGCCTGGGATGTTGTGAAAAAGATACCAAGAAAGTCTGAGGAACTTTGGCTCTACTTTTTTATACACATGACAACTAAAAAAAAAAACAACAACATATTTAACATTACAAAAAAAAGGTAACTAGAGTAACTAATACAAACATCTAGGGAAATCATTACTGTAGAAAGCATTAATTTATGAGAACATTATTGTAATTAACATTACCTCCTTTTTAATGTAAGTACCTGAGAAACTTTAAAGGGCATTTCCATTTGTGCTGCTATAGCAAAATATCTGAAACTGGGTAATTTATAAATAATAGAAATTTATTTTTTCATAGTTTTTGGAGGCTGCAAAGTCCAAGATCAAGGCATCAGCAGGTTCCTTATCTGGTGAGGGCCCAATCTCTCATTCCAGGATGGCACCTTGCTGTGTCCTCCAGAGCAGATGAACATTATATTTTCATAGGTGGAAAGCAGAAGGGCTAAAGAACAAAAAGGGGTGACAGCTCCCTTGAACTTCTTTAACAAAGGAACTCAACCCCTTCATGAGGGATCTGCCTCATGACTCAGTCCCTCCTAAAGGCCCACCTCTTAACACTATTGCATTGGCGGTTAAGTTTCAACATATGAATTTTTGAGGGGACACAAACGTTCAAACCATAGCAGGTATAAATCAGGAAAGTCTCTGGAGAAAGTCAAACACTAATTAATAAAATTGTTTGGAGAAACAAGCCACTATGGTTAGTTAAATCTTTCTCATCAACTGAATGTTAATGAAAAATCTTATGTTAATCCTTTTTCTGAAAGTTTAAAAAAAAAACATGTTGGCCATTTGTCTGTCTTTGTATGTACAATTTGCTAAATATAATTTAATTTTCTTTTGGTGACAAAGTAAGTTAATAGGAGGTTAAATTATTTTCCCAGTGCTAAAACAATAGTGAGTGGCAGAACCAGCATTTGAAACCAGACATTCAGGCTCAAGCACTTGGATGCTGAGCTCCTCTCATTAGCATCAGGATCTTTGGTCTGATCAGCAGTTATTTCTGGACCATAGGTGTTGGAGGTATTAAACATTGGCTTGAATATTACTTAATTAAAGGACACCCCCCTGGAATTCAATTTTTGAAAGTACTAGTGGAATTGTAAAAAAAATAAATAAATAACTAAACTAGAAGTCAGAGCCTTAGGTTTAAATGCCAGGTCTACCACTTCCTGGCATTTAAACCTTTTTGATCTCATTACCTTTCCTATAAAGTGGGTTGTTGTTACAATCAAATGAGACAATACATAAAAGAGTTCTCTGCACATTGTGAATATTGAGCATTAACATCATTTCTTTTTCTTATTTGACTCTTTCTCCTAGAAGTGGAGTGTAGAAAGAAAAAAAAGGCTGGATATGGTAGCTCATGCTTGTAATCTCAACATTTTGAGAGGCTGAGGCAGAAGGATCACTTGAGCTCAGGAGTTCAAGACCAACCTGGGCAACATAGCGAGACCCCATCTCTACAAAAAATAAAAAATTAGCTGGGCGTGGTGGCATGCACCTGTAGTCCCAGCAACTTGGGAAGCTGAGGTGGGAGGATCTCTTGAGCCTAGAAGGTCAAGGCTGCAGTAAGCCATGATCATGCCACTGTATTCCAGCCTGGGTGACAAAGTGAGACCCTGTCTCAAAAAAAAATAAATAAAAGAAAGAAAGAAAAGAAAAATAATAATAAAATAGAGAGTCAATTACGTGACTCTGTCTACTCTATATTATAGTTATTCACATACATTTCCCCCGCTATATTTTCTAAGTCACGCTATATTTCCCATCACCCCCTGAGCCCGTCATTAACCTTTGCAATTCTCATTTGCTGAAGAATAGTGACTCATTCATAATTTTAAAAAGAATCAGTGGAAAGCATAATTGGGTTAACCCAACAATTCTGCTTCTAAAAGTACATACTAAGGCAGTCTTTCCCAAAGTGCTAGGGGGGAACATTAATTATATGAGAGATCAATGAGGATCAATACGTTTGAAAAATGTCATATATTAGATTCCACCTTAGAAAGTCAATGTTAATGGGCATATGTATTAAATGCTCTGAGAAATACTGCAGGAAAGAAGTTCGTTCAATTTGTTCTACCTCTTCATTTTCGAATTCATTGATCACCCTCCTCCCCACCAACAGATGATTTTTTACCTAACAGCTATGTTATACTGTTTAAGAGTATGAGCTCTGGAGTCACATTGCTGGGTTAAAATTCTGCCCAGTACAACTGTTAAGCCATGTGACCTGACTTCTCTAATCCTCACCTCTCTCATCCATAAAATGGAAATAATACTAATCAAACTTTAAAAATTTGCGAGTATTGGATAAGAAAATGCACGTAAAACACATACTAAATGTTCAATACATTTAGGTAAAGTTGTTAACATTACTCAAAATTAGTGTTTGTAGACTATAATTTGAAAATGCCATCGTAAGTAAACAGATAAAAGAACAAAAATGCATATACAAGTAATTGCTGAGGGTCTATAAAGTGCTACTGAAAACAGGAAATTTATTGTAAGGCTTCCAGGTAGCATATGTCTGTGAAAAGGAAGGAGATTATTTGCAATCTTGGCAATTTGAGTTTTCATTCAGTTAGGAAGGACCAGGCAGCTGCTGTGGCCATTGCTGGGATCTGCTGATGTCTCTGTAGATGTTTGCAGGCACACAGATGGTCCACAGGACAAAGGAAAAGCTGGTGCTCAAAGACAGATAAAGGAAAGGCAGAGAGAGAAGGGAGTGCTGACTGCTGCTGCTCCTCTTACCCCGATCAGTGGAAGGGAACACCTGTATCTCCATTAATTCAGTCTCCTTCCTTAGCTCATGGAGAGAAAAGATGTTCTTCTTAGAAGGTACTATTGTCAAAGAAAGATAAATCATATTCTCTATCTTTAAAAATAAAGTAGAGAATTATGTAGTAAAAACAAAAACTGATTTTCTTCTAAAATACAGGGTTAGGTAAAATCATAAAAGAAGACAATACAGAGTAATACAGTAGGCTTCTTTTAGGTTGGTGGGTTAGAAAATTCCTAAGGAGAAATTAAGCAACTAATCTTGCTGTTGTTCATGTATTCGTATGACTATTACTTTTCCATACAGCAAAGTATTTTACATGCTACTGAAAAACTTTAATTACAAAAACACTTCAATGTAATTAATAACAATTTCTTCGCATTTACACAATGGGAAAATGGAAGATTTTCTCTATGTTAATGCATAGTTGGCAAACAAATAGTTAGTTATACTTGACTGTAATAATCAAATAGACCTTTTGTCTTAAACAAAATGAAATATTACATTTTCTACAATGTACTTTGGCTACATGCTTTTCTATGATTAAGCTGTCTCTTCAATGTGTTAGTCACACAATTCATACCTGGATAAGGTTGTATGGCTCATCAAGAAATCTTTATGTGACACAGAGTTACATAAGTAGGCTGCCTGATGTATTATTTCTTTTCTGAGTGTGATGATGAGCATTTGATTCATTTGTTCATGTCTCTCTAAGAATGATTTATCAATGTCAATGACACTTAGATATCTGACAGCAGTTAATGTTGCTTTAAGTAAATATGGCAGCCCTACTAAAGGTATCCAGGGAAAATATTGCTTCTTATGTGGATAAGTTCATTTAGTTAGTGACTGAAACTCTAACAAGTCAACCTCAACAGCCTATTGTATTTTTTGTAAGCAAACTGGAGAAACTCTCTGGAGTACACAAAAAGTATTCCCTCAGTTCAAATGTTACAGTTGTATAAATCAACTAGCAGAGCCAAGAAAAGTAATGTAAGCCTGAACTCTTGGTTTTTTCCTTTTTTCTTGCATGCAATAGCAGTTTGGTGTTTTGTTCTGACATTAAAAGCATCTTAAATTAGAAACTACTGTTTTTGTACAAATTAACGTATGTAATTTTAACTATGGCATCTTTTTTAATTCATTAATATAATCAGATATTATGCCATCTTCTGATAGTTCTCTCTTGAATCAGATCAATCTCAAAACTTTGCTCTTGCAAAGTGCTGCAGAAGTGAAGCCAGCTCCTTCAGCAGGATCTGTTTGGCTGCCCAGCCTCACTGATGTGAGGGAAGGGAAAAACAGGCAGTATAGAAGCCTCTCCAGGTGGGAGGGGCTCAGAAGTTGATAGGTACAACCTCACAATGTCAGAAATTGGAATTTGTTGAGATTACAGGTGAGGAGATAGTGCCATGTTAATTTTTTTTTCTTGGAAGTTAGTGCTGCATGCAAACAATCATGGATGTATATTGGTACTTATTCAATTGTCACTGAAAAAAATGTGTTCTTATTGCATTCTTCTGACCAGAAGGAGATTTTTCAGTGGGCGCTTTTGCTAGGGCTGAAGAAATATGAATCCTGTCTTTCAGTGTCCCAAAAATACCAATATATTTTATTTCTTGGTCTTTTGTTATCTGTTATTCTCTTTCCTTTTTACCTTTTTTATTTTAAATACTCTCAAGGTATTTCTGGGTTGAGGAAAGTTGACTCCATGCAGAAATCAAAATGTATCACTCTTAATTTCCAAAGCAATTGCATTTATCTGTAGGCAAATACCTAGAAGTCAGGTTTCTTTGACAATTAAAAAAATAATAATGGGTAAAAACATTCAAATAGCATAAAGGGCTTCTGTGGCACTGTGTTCTGTGTTGTTGCAGCATATTAATACAGAACTCTTCAGAGTCTTAATTCACTTCAGCAGCCCCTGTAAAAATTCATGCCAGAGAGTGGGAGAGAAGGTTGGCAGCCAGAGGACTAGAAGCCAAATGCTTCCTCACTGGCAGTGGCATCTGGATAGGAGGTTGGCCTGCCTCCGGGACTCTTGGCCAACAGCACTGTTGTCTATACAGACGGCTGTGTATCTGTTCAAGAGTCCAACAACTGTGTGTGTGTGTATTTTGGTAAGCTATTATTTCTGGGCCAAAGATTTCCATGGCATTTTTGCATCTGTTGGCACCAATTCTATATTTGGCTCCCTTCATTCCCACCCGCTGCTACTTTTTAGTTTTCTGATCAAAAACATTGCACATAAATGGAAATGTATTAAGGGGAGAAAAAATATTTTTAAAGATTTTTCTTAAACCCAACAAAGCATATATAGACATGACATTGACTTTATTCCAGACAGGACATTTTCCTTTCCACAAGCTATGAATAATGTTAAAATTCTAATCTCAGTGCATTTTTCTTGATCCTTTAGATAGAATCTAATTATAGAATTATCAGAAGTTACTTTAATCAGCAATATACTGAACCATTAAGAAATGCAAAGTCAAGCTACTCTTTCAACGTTTCCAAAGGAATAATCATTTTATAATTTTATAGAATATAGTTAATGCAATATGGTACCAAGAGTTGCCAAACATCCAATCAACTGGCTTGTCAAAATCCTTTACTGTGCAAGGTTACAACCTCTTAGCCTTTTAAGGTTCTACTATCCCAAACTTATTTGTTTTGAGGATATTTCTACACTAATTCAATTCAACTAACATCTCTTGGATGGTCCCTTTATGTAAAATGCTGGGGGATGCA
The DNA here is from genome assembly GCF_000001405.40 of Homo sapiens. Taxonomy (NCBI): domain Eukaryota; kingdom Metazoa; phylum Chordata; class Mammalia; order Primates; family Hominidae; genus Homo; species Homo sapiens. The sequence continues at coordinate 181,556,584 of NC_000003.12, forward strand.
AAATTGAATAAGATGTCTGCCTTAAAGTGTTCTTTTTTAATGAAGAAAACTGAGAACAGACTTGTCAACAAGTAACAAGAACATCAGAAAAAAAGACATAAAAGTCAATGGAGGTCCAAAGTACATTGCAGCACATACCAGGAATGTGGCAATAAGGAAATGAACTCCATTTTTATGTGTATCTTCTGGAAAAATTTTAGTTGAAATTAGTGTTCTAAAACTGGAAGGGTCCATGGGAATCATGTAATTCTGAATCTCTCCTCTACATTTTATTGATGAGGACACTTATTTGGTCATGGTCTCACAGTGATTAATACTAGGACACAGATCCAGTTCTCTCAATGTTACTCCTCTTGATTTTAGAATTAAGACATACTTAAAATGAAATTTGCAGGAAAATCTTTTAAAATGCCATGGCATAATTTCATGGAATAATAATGAACAGTAAATAATTCCCATGACTAGGGAATCACTATGTGATGTAAATGAGAAATGGAATAGAGTTCCTGCAATCACAGACATTTCTCTTTGGCTAGAGTGGCTAGAGCAGGACTCCTAGAAAGATCACTCAAAAATGACTTATAGAGGGCTGGGAGGCTCATGCCTGTAATCCCAGCACTTTGGGAGGCCAAGGCGGGTGGATCACCTAAGGTCAGGGGTTCAAGACCAGCCTGACCAACGTGGTGAAACTCCATCGCTACTAAAAATACAAAATTAGCCGAGCGTGGTGGTGCATGCCTGTAATCCCAGCTACTTGGGAGGCTGAGGCAGGAGAATTGCTTAAACCCAGGAGGCGAAAGTTGCAGTGAATTGCATTTTTGCCATTGCACTCCAGCCTGGGTGAGAGAGCGAGATAAAATAATCTTCTGCTCTAATTCAGCATACCAAGTGCCATGTCTATAGGAACAGAATATTCCTATCGTATTTCTCATTGACAGGTTAATAAATTAGATTTTTAGGCTTCTGCATCAACCTTGTGCACTTAATTAATATGAGTTCATTCCTAAAAGATCTGTTCTTGAGCAGGCTAACATTAGGCTTCTGCGTGTTTATGATGAGGGTCACAGTTTAACACCTTGCTTCTCAAAGTATGGTCCTCAGGCCAGCAGCATCAGTATCAGTAGGTAGCCTGTTGGAAATGCAGAATAGACCTACTAAATCAAGAATTTATTGTCTAACAAGATCCCAGACAATTTGTATGCATTTGTCCCGGGTATTTCTAAAATTTGAGAAACACTACTCTCGAGCAGGAACAAGCAAAATTTTTCTGGAGAAGACCGAATAGTAAATATTTTAGGTTTTGTAGAATATATGGTCTTTGTTGCAACTACTTAACTCTGCCGTTTTAGTACAAAAGCAGCCACAGACAATATGGAAACCAATGAGCATGGCTATGTCCCAATACAACTCTATATGGACACTGAAACTTGAATTTCATATAATATTTATATTGCAAAATATTTTTATTTTTTTAACCACTTAAAAACCTTTCTTAACTTGCAAGGCCTTACAACAATAGAGGGCAAGCCAGATTATCCTACTGGTAATAGTTTGCCCATGCTTTGCTCTGGACCAGAGAAAACTCCATTAGGATCAAGTCATCCTATGAAGTCAGGCATTCCCTATTGACCCATCCCCAATTCCCATGTGCCAAGTGAGACTTTTCCTCTTTAAATTTCCAGAGATGGGCTGGGTGCGATGGCTCACACTTATAATTGCAGCACTTTGGGAAACTGAGGCAGGAGGATTGCTTGAGCTCAGTTCGAGACTAGCCTGGGCAACACAGTGATACCTCATCTCTACTAAAACGGAAAAAAAAAAAAAGGTGTGATGGTGCAAGCCTGTAGTCCCAGCTACTTAAGAGGCTGAGCTGGGAGGATCACCTGAGCCTGGGAGATCGAGTCTGCAATGAACCGTGATCATGCCAGCGCACTCCAGAGTAGGTGATAGAGTAAGACCCTATCTCAAAATAAATAAATTTTCAGAGATAGAATACCTTTTTTGTTTTTATCAAACTTGATAAAGTATAATTCAATACTTTTAAATAATTTAACATTTAAATTAAGACATTATAGGACTACAGGAATTCTGGAATATAGATGCAGAACTTGATAGAGAATTAGCTGATTCTCTGGGAACTGTAACATAATTTGGAATATCAATGTTCTAGTCAAACAAGCAATTTCCACTTTGTTTCATGTGGTTACCTGGGTTCTCTGACCACAAGCAGCAATGAAGAAGTGATATACCAATGAACCCTACTACAACCATAGACTCATATGCACCAAGGATGAGCAAAGTTTAGGTAACAAAGTGCAGAAAGAAGCAGGCATAGACTACCTATTACCTAATTTTTAATCCATGTTTATATGTCCCAAATGGCAGGAATATTTGGTCTCTTAACTCCCCGTCACCATTTGTGCAGCAGGATATCCACTTGGAAGCATGCCACAATCACCAGTCAGCCCTGCCACCGCTTAGTTCATCTGTCAGCCACAGAAATATTTTGGCCACCATCACTGGGTTTATTTTTTCCAGTGAGATAAGGCAATTGACCCTGCACTTCTAATGAGTGGTATAAAGTAAGCTGATAGATTCTGAATATCATTCTTACTGACTGAATTATTAGATCTTTTTCTCCTCAACTGGATTAACAACAAAAAAGTGTTTCAATCATGATACTTTAAGTAACAAGTTTAGATAACAATAAAGCTCCCATATGTGATGTATGTAAGTTTCTAGACATCCATTTCACATTAATAGTTCTATCATCTGAAGGAATGTTTACTCTTTTTATTGTCATGACACAAATTTCTAATTTTATGTATTTATCCCCAGTTCTAAAGTTTGAAGACACACACATAATCACCTGAAGAACTTTTTTTTATTTTTTTTTAAGACAGTCTTGCTCTGTAGCACAGGGTGGAGTGCAGTGGCGTGATCTCGGCTCACTGCAACCTCCACCTCCTGGGTTCAAGCAGTTCTCTTGCCTCAGTCTCTCAAGTTATCTGGGACTACATCTGTGCCACCATGCCCGGCTAATTTTTGTATTTTTAGTAAAGGGGTTTCACTGTGTTGGACAGGCTGTTCTTGAACTCTTGGCCTCATGTGATCTTCCTGCCTCGACCTCCCAAAGTGCTGGGATTAGAGGCATGAGCCAACGCATCCGGCCCAGGAACTTTTTAAACATGCCCATGAGCAAGGGGCTCCCCAAAATGAATAGAAGCAGAGTACCTAGTGGTGGGTCCTGGCATCTCTATTTAAAAAAAAAAGTCTACCTCGCTTGACCAGTTGCAACTTTTGTGCCTCTAAGAAGTATCTGAATAGCTTAGAGTAGCACCTTGGGATATCGACTACCCTGGGATATTACTAATCTTAGTCTTTACTCAGGAACAAATGAGCGTAATCTTGTTTTGCTTTTTAATTTTCATTGTTATTTTGGAGTCTGTGGAGAAAAAAAATAATTTAATTGGTGTTAAAGCAGTTCATCATATGAAACAGAATATGAAAATAATCTGACTATTCAATTTCAAACTGTTGTATTAATAGTAATTAAATTGTTAATCATTGAGCCATGTCTATGCCAGGCACCATGCTAGGGTGCTTTACATACATTATCTCATTTAACCTTCTCAGTAACCGCATAATACAAGTTGGAAATGCCCTCACATTGCACTGCAAAAATGGAAAGATCAGACAGATTAAGTAACTTATCCAAACTCACAGCTAGTTAGCAGGACCACAATTTGAATCTATGTCTTTAGGATTCCAAAAATCCACAATTTTAATCTCTCCATATATAATTCAAGAATCCAAAAGAACCACAGTTAAGGCAAATAGCGTCTTTGACTATGACCTAAAAACAAAAAATAAATTTAAAAAATAAAATAAAATAAATTGGGTTCCTTTCATTACTTACACTTTGCTTGCCTGTGCACATAACTCGACTCTTGGTTAATCACCAGTTAGCTCAAACAGGTTAATCACCTCTTGACCAATCTGTTTGAAACTGGTCAATTCAGTAGAAACAATCAAGCTGGCAGCAGTTTTGAATAGCTGCCTCAGGAAAATGGTCCCTTCAATTCTGGATTGAGACATGGGGTTGGGATAACTCACACTGCCAACGTTTCCAGGGAAAATATCCAATGCAAGGAAGGAAGAAAGAAACAATTAAAACTAAAAAACAAGCGAACATCACATATCTATATGTTTGTGACTATGGTTTTTAGCATAAATATCCCTTAATAATTATTGTACATACATGTAAATGGGTATAATGAATATATGTATGTATGTGGATATGTATACACACACACATACACACACAGATTACTAGCAGGTGAGCATAAATTAAACCAAGTGTGAATCCTGTTATTTTTTAGTCTTTCTTCCACACCTGGTGAATTTAAACCCCTATAGGTCATCTTGTCAAAATACAATTTAGTTCTGAAATAAAATAACAGAACGGGAACAAACACGATCCATTAAAACTCACTGCCAATGTTGCCAGATAACTACAAAAAAATAGAGTGTCTCAGACAGAAATATCAATAACTTTAATGCGTGCGATTTGTTAACAGGGAAGAAAACAAGCAAACTTGCTCTCCGCTGACTGTCACTAATATTTATTCGTCCAGTGACTGTTAATCAAACCAAGTTTACAGTCCCGTACAGCACCTGTCACAGGTGCTGATCATTAATCAGCTATTACAGCAGTTTATTCTGCTGCTGACAACTCGCAATTTTCCACTGATTCAGCTAGTTTGTCAGGTGGGAATTATGGCATAGCGCATGTGACAAAACACATCACCCTTTTTTTTTGCATTTTCAGGCTTCTCTCTCCTGCTTTCTCCCCCTTTTTAGACAAACAATATCTGGGAACTCAGAAGTAATAAGGCGGAATGCATAATTAATTACCCAGCTTGCTCTAATTAGGGATGAATAAGTTGTGTCCCTCTCATCATCACAAATGTGGTGATGGGTAATACCAGTTTATGCTGTATTAACTGCAAATATGCAATCCTTCTGAGAGCACTTTTGTTGATGAATTTGATGAATGTGACAATAATTAGCAGAGACAGATGAGAGCTAAATTACTACTGACAATGTAATGCTATCCTGCTCGAGGGCCTGGGAACGTGGCAGGATAACATGGCAGGGACCTGGGCCTCGTTTCTAATTAATAGTCTTTTTTTCTTTTTCTTTTTTTTTCTTTTTTCTTTTTTTTTCTTTCTTTTTTTTTTTTGCCAGTGGGGGAAAAAAGGAGTAACGGTAATTGTTTTCCTCAAAGGCTGCAGGGAGTTATCAGGGTAATAAAGTTAATTAGCAGAACAAACATCCTTTCACTGCCTTACCAGTCTGAGGAAAAGAGGGTAATTCAGACTGCAGAAAGATATGACTAGATGGGATGATAAGAAAAGAAATCTTACACAGGAGGCCAACAGAGAATGATTTTCTCCCTTCATTTATTTGGCTTGATGCATGGAAAGAAATTAGACAGCCTCTTCCTTCAGGTCACAAAGTTGCTCATGTAAAGGACTTTATTGTTATGATTTTGAGTTTGGGAAATAAAGTTAGCTTAGATAAACTCCACTGTTTACTTCTTTCTTTTCTAGGTAGTGATAGGTTTGTTCAATTTTATCTTTATTCAAGTGCATTTTCCTAATGTCCCAGACGTAGAAGTGAGTTCTAATATTTGCCAAAGAGAACATTTGGCTGCACTTTGACTTACAGAAATCTGTTTTGTTCTCTGAATCTTTTGGAAAAAGTAAGAAATTGTTCAGCAATTTCCACGAAGTAGTACTCTTTATTTTCCTGTGTAAATTTAAAAATCAAAATGAGATTTTTTTAAATGTATATAATCTAATTCTATTTTTGTAATCTCAAAAGTCATCTTTATTAAAATGTGGCAATATTGTCATTTCTGTCGTGGCATTGTAGATATATGAGTAATCAATCAAAAAGGTGAATAGTTCAATGAATCTCAGTTTTACATATAGCTGTATTCAGTTTGGTCACATTGCTTAACATAAGTAGATTCAACATAATGGGAAAACATCCACCAGACATTCTGAAGACTTTGCAAGTTTATTTTTTCCTATGAAGATCATAAGTGGTTGGCCCCCTTCAAACATCCTACATCTGAAATGACTGTTTAGTATGAAGTAAATAACACTAGGATGAAAGCCTGAAGCTTTCTAAAATAATATCCACAAGGAGGTGTCTATGATTTTTACTCCTTTTAGGTACATTTCCAAAAATTTTCATTTTATGCTTCATAAATCATTACATATCTAAGTTCTACATATTTACCATGCATATAAATGTGCACACATTCATTTATTGTTAGAGCTAAATGAAACACCTTTCACATGACTGTGTGTTTAATTCTAAGTTAAGAACATAAGGAGTTAAGTGGTGAATTTCTACTTCTGTGTTTGACAGTATGGCACCAGGCTGACTTTTCAACAGAATCCTATATGGATAGACTTCCATGAAAAATGGGTGAAACTTCTAACAAAATGGCCTTTATTCCTAATATCCACATTACTAAAGTACTGTACTAGTCCCTAAGGACAAAAGTAGTATAGAGGACATAACACTGAACTGACTGAGTTGTTTACTGGCTGTGCTACCACATGTGTATGACTTGCATTGTCCTGTCATGTCCCTTATCGTTGATTTGCTCATCTATAAAACTGGTTACCCTGCCCTGCCAACCTCATAGGATTGCTATCGAGCATACACACACACACACACACACACACACATACACACACACACACACTCTGTCTCTCTCTCTCTCTCTCTCTCTCTTTTAGATTGCTATGTTTTACCTTGTATCCTTAGCAGCATTTTTAATTTTTTGCCATATAATCAAACTTTACCTTTACGTAGAACTAAAAGAAGCATTCCATGCTACTTTCCAACAACGTGTAACATTTTAAAACAAGTTCACTTACCAAAAGGGAGACAAACTGAAAGAAGTAACACAAAAATACAAATGCAAAATTGCTTTTTTCTAGAAATGGTCTAAAATTTTTATTGTGAGAGAAAGAATAACAGGGAACACATTTGTTTGTTTCCTTTGGGACCTAAGACAAACGTATTGAATATTCTGGTACTTTCCCCTCTAGCCACTACTTCCTTCATTGGACTGCAAGGTATTTCTGTTTGGAAAAGTAATGGAGTCCAGTCAACTTCATTGATCGCCAAGGACTGTCAAAATTATAAAACTTGCTGTGGAGCTCTGACATGCCAGAAGCCGCTAGAAAAAGAAGTTTGACATTCAGAAACTTATCAAGAGGTTCTACTCTTTGGATAGAGACCAAAATCATACTTTGAAGTAAGTAGTAATTTCCAATATTAGCCCATTGGGTGAGCTAAAAATGCCTTAGTTAGATTTGCCAGAATTAGAGATTACATTTGTTAGAATTAGGGGTTCACTAATTAGATGCCCTAGGCACTAGCCATATGTACTATTGGTATTATTATGAATCTTTAGGAATTTAATTCTTTCTTTGCCTTTTTTACTCTGAATTCCTAAATCATTGTTTGAAAGAGTATTTTGACCAATGCCCAGTTTATAAGGGTTCTGGGGCATTTTTGCTTCTTGTATGAGTTCAGTGGAGTGTTAGTTGGCTAACTAATTACAAGGGACTAAAAATAAACCATGGTTTATTATTTTCCAATTTTGAATTACAAAATTATTTAAATGTCTGTAATCGAAGTGCTACATTACTATGTAATGAAATTACAATACAGCTTAATGATATTAGGAAACTGCATGCAAAAAAATATTTGTACACAAGGTGGTGATGTTAGCAACCAACTACAGTACTTTTATTCTGCTAAAAAACACAATAAATAACAACAGATTACTTTCCCCAAGTGATCCCCAAAGGGCATCTTTAGTTGTTCATATAATGATAGCATGTAAGGGCACAGAGCCACATGGAAAACCTGTCAGCATATGTCATTAGAGTAGCAGAGAAAAAAGAGAAAAAGGACAAATCACAAAATAGAGAATAACTGCTAAAGAGTAAAATTATGTTTACAAGTAGTAAAGATTCAAGAATTCAGCCCTTAATACATAAGTTTCCATTGACTCCTATTTAGATATATATGTCCAAGGAGTTACATTCTAAGTGTAAAATTGTCTCTGTAGCTCTAATAAAATATACCTACTTTCCAGACAGCTTTCCGTCTGAAAACTTTTGCCTCCCAAGCTTCCCCCTGCCTTTACAGTTAAGTTTCCTGATTCCAATCCTAACTACAACCTTGGTCCACTGAGGACAATATCTTTCCCTCTATTCATGTTCCTTGTGCACAAATTCAAGTTTTTATGTTTCTATTAGTATAATTCAGAGCAATTAAAAATTGAAGCTGCAAAAATAAGTCACAAACATTATTTCTCATGAAATATTTGACCTTATCAATTCTAAAATATAAATTAATACAAGCTAACATTAAAACCAGCTCATATTTCTTGTAAAGTGGTACATTAATAATGACCTCTCAGGCATAATTAATTAATTTTATTATATTTATCCCTAAAATTCACATATTTGTTATAGTGACATGTATTTATTCTCAGATACTTTTTTAAAGTAAATGATGTCATCAGCAGGAACACAGAACTTGTTGGCTGCAAGATAGAAAGCATATATGCCATGAACCAAAAAGGTAGGAAGGTGTATTTTCAATTTTAAGGTTCTTCTCCTAAGATGAAAAGAGCTGCAACTGTTTTTGCAAGTAAGAAAGCAAAATATCTGTTCTTGAATTATCTAAGGATGAGTCAGAAACTTAAAGCCGAAGAAAAGTAATAAATAATGACAACAGATGTTTGTAAACGTGTGCTCCCCTGTTCAGTGTTTGTATGTGTTGTTTTGCCTTGATGTGCTGTCAGCAGCCTCTCACCTGGGAGTAGTGATATCTTATCAAAGCCCAAACAGTTCCTCTTCACAACAGACAGATAATAGTCCCTTTCAATTTATCATACTGGAAGTCTAAAAGAACCATGGGAACGACTGGTCAGGTGACAGCTTGATGGACAGTTTGACACCCCTTAAAGCATCATGGGAAATGGTTGTCACCTGATTTTCAGAGCGACCAGGGAGATAACCTTCAGAATGATGAGGGAAACAAAAATCTGAATATGTGTATAAGATCCAGTGCCAGCATCAGTGCTCACTTAAGTGATAATAAGTATGAATTTAGATGACTCAAAATGTTGTTATCAAACCTGAGGGGTTTTCCAAGTCCAGAAGTGCCCATCATCTCTTTAGATGCCTTTTATATTTTTATTCAAATGTCATTTCAAAAATATATACATAATATAAGGCTTTCATTTTAAAGAGACACAATCAAACGTACTAAATATTTAACCACATGTTAAATATATTAGCTGACCACTAATATTCTCCAGATTTCAAGTCTGCTTTCCTTTTGACAAACTCCTCGTATACCATATCCTAAATATAGTCTGCATACCGCAGTTCTAATTAAGAAGGCTATTATAAAAAAAATCATATAGATCAAATTTTACAGGCGGGACTAACTCAGACTCATGAAGATCGGTGTAGTGTTAGTGCAAAAAAAAAAAAAAACAAAATGAAATCAATTTGAAGATCTCAGGCACAAAAACCTTTGAATCTATATTAATTCACTCATGCAGCCAACAAACATAAATTGAACACTTACTACATGCAAGGGTCTCTGCTGGACATATAAAGATGAGAAAAATAAAAGCCCAGTTTTCAACAGCTCACAGTTTGTGAGTGAGGATAGACAGTTTTAAATGATAGTAGATGGCAAAAGAAATCATCAGTCTAAATCCACTGCCTTTTAGTTGGTGAGGCTTACACACAATTGCTGACAACAGTGTCCCTTCCATATTTTCTCTTGTATATTGTATATGCAGTTTACAATGGTTTTGTGGTCTGACCTAAAGACATACTCCCTGGAAATTGGGATTCCAAAGGGAAAAAAAAATAAGGATTCGGTGTTTATACATTTATTGAGTGCACTCCAACTTTGAAGAATGATTTCAGAAACGGTAAGGAAGTAAAGAGACTTGAGATGAAGTTCCCACAATTGAGTAGGACCCTAAACCTCACAAACTGTCTGTTCCTTAGGTATTTGAGCTACTTTTTTTTTCAGAGCAGACACTCAAAAACTTAATTGTAAAATTATATCTCATATACAGAAAATCTAGAATAATACAAAACACTCCTTTATAAACTTATTTCAAAATTTATTAATCATTAAGATTTTGCCACATTTGTTTTTATCATTCCTGTTCTCTCTCTCCTTCTTTCCTTCCTTTATCCCCATTTAGCTATCTATATATTTTTCAGTAATGTTAATAGGAAGAAATGAAAATAGATTTGTGTCTGATTCATCTATATACTTCTTCACAAAGCCTGCCAACTGCCTTGTATATATGTAATAAATATTTATGAATGAATGAATGATGAATAATATTCAACCTAGATCTTGTCTTTGATCTTTTAGATTTGTGTTTGTACATAAATATAAAATGTACTTATTATTTTTCTAAACATATGTAATCTTTCATAAAATACTAATCTACCCCCCAAAACTATGTCCGATCAATGGGTCTAATAAACAAACAACAAATTTTTTTTTTAATGCAGCAGGAATGTCAAGTGACTTTCCAAAGAAAGTAAAAGATAAAAGCTTAGGTGCTGCTGGATCTTTGTCCTGCTCTGGGACAACTATAGATGCTGGACAAAAAAAAACCAGGGATTTAAAACAGAAACTATCTTTCAGAAAAACACTCTAGTGCCATTGTTGAAATTGGTACCATTTGGCTGCTTGACACTTTTGGGATAACACTCTGCTTTCACAAATTTTGATGCTTTGGACTCACATTCCAACATGATTTTTCAAATCTAGTTGTGCGAAAGCCAGACAAGCCAGACAAATAGTGAGAGCACCCTCCGTGTTTTCCAGGGAACTGAAAAAGAGCCAGTAAATAATTTAAATAACTCTTACCAACAGAATATTCTACATGTAATTTTTCACACGAAGACACATTATTTGGAAAAATATGAATCTGAAGTTTGCAAATGAAAAACAAAATGCTTTTAAGTACCATATGCAAATTTAAATACTTGGAGAGTGATAAAAACACATTGTGCTTATTTCAAATTGGGAGGGCAAGATGTGGGAGGGAGATGTGTCATAATTGATACATGGACAAGGTCCAAGATGCTACAGAACAACTGAATTCAGAATCATTTCTGAATCAGAGCTGTGGTTTAAAATGCTTTTCCTTTCCTTGTTGAAATAAACCCATGGAACATCAAGTTACGACAAGTCCCAGATGTAGTCCCTAGTTCACCTGATATGAATTAAGTTTCATTGTTAACAACTAATGTCCTTATTTAAGCCAACGAAATAAGCTAAATATAAAGCCAGTACCAAGCCTCATAACGTGTTTCATAATAATGCCAAAATCTGTGGTCTGGAAACTTAGAATAAATACTAAATGTGAAATTTTCAATCAGACACACATTTTCTCAGAAAAAAAAATCAGACAAAAAATTCCACAAAAAGAAAAAAAAAAGATTTATTAGTTAATTCATAAAACCATATGACTTGAAAATATTACATGCACTTTTCCATTATACATTTCAAAATATAAGGTCAGCTTGACTGTTAAGCAGCATTTTGGAGGTCAGAAAAGTCTTACATTATTGGCTAGTGTAAGTTATATGAATTGCGGACTTTTTAAGCACCATGTGTACTTAGAGTGTATAAAGTTGGGGATCTTTTGATTCAAAGCATGTAAGTTCCACTGTTTAGATTCTTCCACTAAGGTATAACAGAGTCTCCGTGTGAGACACAAAGGAAACCATGTGTCTTGTGACTCAGATTAGGGTTTTTAAGTTATTTATATAACCTCTCTTCTGTCAAGGCATGTACACTGTGCTTCAAATGTGGGAAATTCTGGATTCATTTCTCTTATTTTTCTGATTGCATCTTTCCAAATTTGGTAAGTCTTGGTATTCTAAATGCGAAAAGCTTTTCATTAGGTACCTTATTTTATATAAACTTTTTTGTCATTTAATCACTTTTAATGATTAAACAACATGTAGCTTACACAATTAGAAAATGGTTTTAAGGTTTCAAAATCCTCTGAACTTGTCGTATTTATTCTGTACCTTTCTAGTAAACTGGAGGCTTGTCAGAGTAGTGAATAAATGAGTATGCTGTTTTCTTTAAAAAAAGATATTTAGAAATCCATCTGATTTCCTCAGTGCCTAAAAGTAACCATTAAGAACCATTAAGAATTATACCTGAGGCTTAATACCTAGGTGATGAAATAATCTGCACAACAAACTCCTGTGACACAACTTTACCTGTATAACAAATCTGCACATGTACCCAGAAACCTAAAATAAACGTTTTTAAAAAAGACTGTTACCCTGTTGTTACAGCTTTTATGACTTCTTTACCGCTAAAAATGTTTAATTTTTGTCATAAAAATATGAAAATTGAGAAAAACAGGGGGCTATGGCAGGATATCTCACTAATACTATTTTAAACATTTGCTATTACATTATTTAAGCTACATGTTTAAATTTATAAGCCCCTGTTTTGAGTGCAGAAAGGGGATTCTAGCTTTTTATCCAATTTCTCCTCAGAGTTCTGATTTGTAATTATTCAGAGATTTATGATAAAATTTCTGAACTTCATATATGCTGAATTATCATAGGATTATCAAAAAATAGCACCTTACATGGTTCAACTTTCACTTGTACTAATTCATTGTCATACATTACTCTTTTGAAGGATGTGAAAGGGAAAAAAAACAAAGTTAGGTTTACAGTAATTCTTAGAATCCAAGTAGCGTTAGTACCTACATTAGCACATTTTTTTTCTAGACCGTTCAACTATAATGAAAACTCAAAGTGGAAAGTGAAATTATGCCCAACCAAGTGACTATTTTGTGTGCATTACATCAAATAAACAGTTTGACTTTTTCCACTGAGTATGCTTAACTGACAGTTGTTTTGGAATTTTACAGGCACAGCCATAGTGTTTTTACAATCAAGCTGTGCTTCCCATTATCTGTTATATATGGCACTTTAAACTCTCCACTTTCTTTGTAGCCTTATAGTTAGCAAAGAACAAATGAACGTCACTAATGTCATTACATTCCACCCTTGTAATGTTCTTTATCTGTCATCTTTGAAAATTCCTCTCACCTCCTCTTTTGTCAGCCAAAAAGATTTAATTTGTTCTTATTTCTTCCTCTTCACCATCTTAGGAAAGTTACTTAAAGTTCTCTGAGACTCAGTTTCCTCATTTATAAAGTTGAAATAACTATACATACTTCGATTTGTTAGGAAGATTGAAGATTACTATAAGTAACTGCATAGTACATACTGTGACACAGTCTGCTCTCCATAAGAGGTCATTCCCTCATTTTGATTAATATTGAAATTCTTATTGACTGACTTGTATCAAAAGACACATTATTCAATGTCTTAAACAAACGTCTTTTCTCAATTGTACTGAAGCCAAGGTGTCATCAGCAGGTACTAATATTTCTTCCGGATCTATTCATTAAAAAGGACTGAACACAAACATAATCCTGAATCATAAGACTGAACATTGCCAATGCTCAGAAAGCAGAATCCTCCCCAAAGACAAAAAAAAAAAAAAAAAAAAGAAAGAAAGATTTTTTGCCCACCTTATTTTAAAAGACCAATGAAAATCTTCACTTAAGACGTTTCACCTACAATTCCATGAAGCAGTAGTAGAAGAACATTTGGATTATGTTGTCCGAGACATTTATATGGATATCCGAAAACTTCAAAAGATAGTCAAGGTATTATTAACATTTTGTTACTATGACATCAAGGAGGAAACTGTCACAAAACGGTAACAACACAACAAATGCTTATTCAGTGCCAGGTATTGTGCTCAAGAATTTGACATGGATTATTGTATTTAATCCTCACAACCCTACTGAGGTTGGTATTACTATTAATGTTATTTTATTGTCATTTTACAGATGAGAAATATAGTCACGGTTAGGGCTAGCAGCATGGTCAAGCATGGACGTGAGTGTTGGGGCTGAAAATGGAAGTGATCTACACAAAACCCATTATGCTCATTTGGACATGAGCTTAAAAAATAAGTCTATTTTTTTTTCTTAAAGAAAAAGATATTCTTAAAGAAAAAAGGGTAGAAAAAATAACATGCAAAATTTTGGCTAAAGAAGAGGAATAAGTTAAAAAGATCTGTTTTATAACATGGTGACTATAGTGAATAGTGTTTTATATGACTGAAAACTGCTAAGAGAGTAGGTTTTAGGTGTTCACAACACGAAAAAGTGTTAAGTATGTGAGGTAATACATATGTTAATTCGCTTAATTTAGCCATCCCACAATGTGTACATATATCAAAACATCACGTTGTACACCAAACAATATTGGCAATTAAAAAACAAATTTAAAAATCTAATTCAAGTTGTGAGTAAATTCTCTTTTAAAATTCACCTGATTATTAAATAAGTTAAAGTTTATTTTTAAAAGCTGACAACTTTTTATGAATCTTCGAGTACAGAGTTCCTAACAGTGTAACTCAGATATTAATGGGTTGTGTATTAAATGGTTTTATTTTCAGTTTTGCAGCACAGAAAACTGTTGAAATACCCATATCAACTTGATTTTTTTAACCTAATTCAGGTGTCCTTTGACATATCTTAAACGTTGGGGGTAGGGGTCAGAGCCAGTTATCCGGCTTCTATTTTTGTCGATTGCTTAGATTTGTTCCTGTAGTCAAAACTGTTGCCCCCAAAATTGGTGTGACACGTGCTCATGCATAAAATGTTAAAATGAGTACATCCTTGTATTTGTATTTGTTTTCAACATCGCCAACGTGCTATGGGAAATTAAAGTAACAAAATTAAAAAAAATAAAATTATTAAAAAGCCAAAAAAATCTAATTGTAAATATTTAAAGCATTTATTTAAACCAGTGGTTCTCAATTTTTTTGGCCTTAGAACTCTTAGAAACATCTTTAAAATTACTGAAGACCTCAAAGAGCTTTTGTCTATGTGGGTTATGTTTAGCAATAGTTATCATATTAAAAATTAAAACTGAGAAACTTCTAAAACAGTTAACATTTTATTTTAAAATTACAATTTAAAAACCCATTTCATGTTAACATAAATACTATATATTTTAAAATAACTATAATTGTTTCTTGAGAAAAGTGGCATTATTTTACGTTTTTTCAAATCTCTGTAATATGTGGTATAACAGAAGACAGTTAAATGTGCATACCTGCTTTGCAATTCATCTATTGTGATATGTTATTTTGAAGTCTATTTTTTAAAAACTAACCTCATACAAATGTGGGTGGAAAAAGAGGAATATTTTAATAGCCACTTCAGATAATTATGTCTATTATTTATTGATACACCACCGAAACTTTACAAACATGGTTTTTAAAGGTTAGTTTCAAAGTGGAGTTTGAAACAATATCAACAAAATTTTTATTTTTTTTTAAATTTCTATTTTAGAGCTTGGACCACAGGCACATGCCACCACAACTGCTAATTAAAAAAAAAAAAATTGTAGAGACAGGGTCTTGCTATGTTGCCTAGGTCTTGAACTACTAGCCTCAAGGTATCCTCCTGCCTCAGCCTCCCAAAGTGTTGGGATTATAGGTGTAAGCCACCACTTTTGGCCTGAAATTCCTATACACTGTATTTTAACACCGTTAGTTTATTTGGCACTTAGAATGGATCTTTTATATACCGATGATTTTGAAGTATTACATGTTAGACACATTTGGAAAATATCTGTTCACTTCAAATCTTCCACATATTAATACATTTTATTATGCCGTATTTAAAAATTAAACCACATTGGTTAATACCATCACTGGTTTTATTATGAAGTCTGCTCGTGACTCAAAAATTGCACCAGTGCTTTCCTTGAGATAGCCATCTGACTTCAATATACACAAGTGCTTTATGCAGATTTCCCATTTTGTCAAACAGAATGTTAAAAATATGCCCTTGAGAGTCAAGGTTTAATAAAATTAATGACTTTTACTGTTTTATCAAGAACATCCCTAAAGTGAAACTGGCTATTTATTATTTTAGTGTAAGTGTGTGGAAGTGAAGAATACACTGACTAGTAGTATAGCTTAGTGCCAGTACCTTAAGTTCATGAGTAGTTTTATCCATTATTGCTTGTGCACCATCAGTGCAAAGTGCCAACACAGTAAAAAAAAAAAAAAAGCAAGTAACATTTTAATATCGTTATAAAAGTAAATTTGACTTTGTAGACCCCCTGAAAGGGCGTCAAGGATCTGTAGAGCCCTTTCCGAACCGTTGATTTAAGGTTGTACTCTCCTTCTGCCACTCAAATATTCCATAGGTGATTCTAGAAGATGAATTAAAATGCAATAGAAAAGTTGCATGTAAAAAACTATTCCTTAAAGTAAGATAAATAAAATAGATTTTTTAGAAAGGGGAAAAAACTATTCATTTGATTCTTGATTCTCCTTGTACTATAAAAGTTAAGCAAAACTCGTCCTTTTTTCATATGCTATGTAACTCGGAATTCACTTCTTTTTAATTGCTTGTCTGAATTATTGTGGTCCCATGTCTATGCATACTAGTGATTACACTGTTTTGAAAGGCTTTTTGAGCAATATGTTAGGAGAAAGACAGAATAAACAATAAGATTTTCAGTCTGTAAATTCGTCACTGTGTATAAACCACACAGCAGGTGAAGTCATTCAGGTCAATAGGGTATCTTTCACTAATCAACCTCTACATTAATTTACTAATTTCTCTGTGCCTCCCCAAAGTGAGAACTCTATTCAGATGCATTATTTGTATTTCCCATTTTGAATAGATAATGAATATATTATGATGCAATTAAAGGTACACAGATTGTGTGTATTAGGTTTTTTCCATAACTAATTCAAGAATGAAATAATATATGTTGTTTTGAAGTCAGTTGTCACGGATAAATGAGAGAAGCTGGCCATAATTGAACCTGAGGTGAATTCCTTTAGACTGGGCCATTGTAAACTACTTAATTCTGAAAATATCTCTTTAAAATAAATTTTAAACTTTATCCCAACTAATTCACTATGAATAAAGGTTAAAGACTTAATCCTATGATTTTATAAATCCTTGTTGTTTAACAAATTACATGTTTGTTTTACTCTATTATCAAAATCAGTTCATAAATGAATCTTCTTCAACAAGAAGGGTTGGTGCTTAGATATAAGGTACCTTGTAGTCTGTGAACCCTTTATTGTAGTCATTTTACATTTTTAATATGTCACTAGTTTCTTAATTATTTTCTTCCTTTTTTGGTTGGAATCTAATAGTAACAGACATGTAATAACTTTTACCAAATTTCCTTCATATTATTTAAATAACTTTATTTGGGGTAAAAATAAAACTAAGATATTCATTACAGGAGTGGTATGAGTGGGGAATAGAGTGAAGGTGGTATATTTGCCTTGACCTTTCAAAAATCACCTGCCATTTCTGTACTAAAGTCATGCTAACCAGGGACTACCTTTGAGCTTGCCTGTTTCACTCTTTCCTGGTACAACAGTACCCCTCAACCTCCTTCATCTTTTCCTTTAAATGCTACTCATTCTTCAAGGATCTCCTCAATAAAACCTACTGATACAGGTGCCATACTTAGCTTCTTGTTTATTTACAGTCTAAAGGCATTGCTTGTGTTTCTTCAGCATTTCTTCTAGCTCATTACCATAGAGCTAAGTTCTTAATAGGCACCGCTGAAAAAATTGTCATGGTCAAATATAAACTATTAGAAGGAAACAAACAAATGAAAGTTAGTTTGTTAGAAGGATGCTTTTCACAAGTGATTTGCTACATATCATGATTTTGGGAAATCAACACAAAATTAGAAATGGGAACAGTTTAAAACTCAGAAAAACAATTTCCCTAAGGAAATTATAAATTATTTTGCCCTCTAAGCACTGAATAATATTGAGTAAAGGTTTTTTTTTGTTTGTTTGTTTGCTTGCTTGGTTGGTTTTTTTTTTTTTAAGAAAGAGTAAAATGTTAGCTATAAGATTGCTATAATTTGTTAATGGACTAAGCAATATTCATAGTAAAGAAGAAAAGAAACAATGTCTGCTTTGCTTTCTTAAAAGGCCATGTATTAAGAGGCATAACACAAATCTTATAAGTTTGGAAAAGAAGTAAAATTGGAATTCAGCTCAGTCCGACTCTATGTGCTTGAAATCTACAAAAAATTCTGTACTCACCTCTGTCACAAGCATTTAAAATATCTATTTCTGTTGAAATATGGACCTCAGTAAGGCTGCCATTACTGCTTTCTTAACTGTATCATTAGCTTTTAACAGAAATATGAATTACAAATATTAGAAGACACCACTTCCATTTTTATAAATATTATCATTAGAAAACTGAGAAAGGCCAGAAAAATGAAAATTTAATATACATTAAATAGAGAAAAATCGATAGCATACGTGTATGCTAGCAACAACTCAATAACTCATTAGAAAATAGAAGTTTTAAAGAAGTCCTATTGGAAACACACACACACACACACACACACACACACACAAATATACTTTTAAATCTCTAGGCTGGATGCAGTGGCTCACGCCTGTAATCCCAACACTTTGGGAGGCTGAGGCAGGCTGATCACCTGAGGTCAGTAGTTCAAGACCAGCCCAGCCAACATAGTGAAAACCCATCTCTACTAAAAATACAAAAATTAGGCTGGTGTGGTGGCACACTCCTGTAGTCCCACCTACTCAAGAGGCTGAGGCAGGAGAATCGCTTGAACCCAGGAGGCAGAGGTTGCAGTGAGCCGAGATCGTGCCACTGCACTCCAGCCTGGGTGACAGAGACAGACTCTGTCTAAAAAACAAACAAACAAACAAACAAAAACTCTAAATAGCTCTATAAAACTTTCACAAGAAAAGTGCATAACTTATATGAAGACAACTAAAAAAATTGTTAAAAGATAATTTTAAAATTTTAATAAATGTACAACTAATAATAGGCCGGGTGCAGTGGCTCACACCTGTAATCCCAGCACCTTGGGAGGCCAGGGCAAGCGGATCGCGAAGTCAGGAGATTGAGACTATCCTGGCTAACATGGTGAAACCCCGTCTCTACTAAAAATAGAAAAAAATTAGCCAGGCGTGGTGGTGGGTGCCTGTAGTCCCAGCTACTCGGGAGGCTGAGGCAGGAGAATAGCATGAACCCGGGAGGCGGAGCTTACAGTGAGGAGAGATTGCGACGCTGCACTCAAGCCTGGGCGACAGAGCGAGACTCCATCTCAAAAATAAATAAATAAATAAATGTACAGTTATATCATATGCATGATTAGGGAAACTAAACACTATAAAGACAGTAATTTTGCCAAATTATATATATATATATTCACATCTAATGTTATTACAATAAATATCTTAAACAAATTGAGAGCTGGGGGTCCTAAAATGCACTGGAGTACTAAACGTGGGAAAATGCAAAGAAACTTTTGAAAAAGAAATGTACTAAAGGTAAAGTAACCATACACATTGTTTTTTTAAACATTTTTTTTCTTTAGTGACAGGGTCTAACTCTGTTGCCCACACTGGAGTGCAGTGCCCTAATCATGGCTCACTGCAGCCTCAGCCTCCTGGTCTCAAGTGATCCTCCTGCCTCAGCCTCCAGAGTAGCTGAGACTACGGGTGCGCACGAACACACCTGGCAAATTTTAAAAAATTTTTTAGAGACGAGGGTCTCACTATGTTGCCCGAGCTGATCTCAAAATCCTGGCCTCAAGCAGTCCCCCCTCCATGGCTTCCCAAAGTGCTGGGCTTACAGGCGTGAGCCACTATGACTGGCCAAACCATACAAATGTTTTTTTGGGTTTTTTTTTTTGTTTTTTTTTTTTTTAGACATGGTCTCGCTCTGCCATCCCAGCTGGAGTGCAGTGATGCCATCATGACCTCCCAGGCTCAATGGATCCTCCCATCTCAACCTCCCTAGTAGCTGGGACTACAGGTGCATGCCACCACACCAGGCTGATTTTTGCACTTTTTGTAGAAACAGGGCTTTACCATGTTGCTCAGACTGGTCTCTAACTACTGGGCTCAAGTGATTCTCCCACCTTGCCCTCCCAAAGTGCTGGGATTATAAGCATGAGCCACTGCGCCTAACTGCACCTGGCCCATACACATTTTTTTTAACATACTTCAGCTACAATAATTAAAAGAATAAGGCTGAGGCCAGGCATGGTGGTTCATGCCTGTAATCCTAGCACTGTAGGAGGCCAAGACAGGTGGATCATCTCGACTCAGGAGTTCAAGACCAGCTTGGGCAACATAGTGAAACCCTATCTCTACCAAAAGTAGAGAAAAAGAAAAGAAGAAGAAAAAAAGAGTAGTGCTGAAATAATAATTTAGCCTAGTGTATAATAGCTCAGATATTATGTATGTATACATCCTACTTATGTATATATTATATATTATATATACAATTTAATGTATAATAATGTGTAACATAAGTAGTCAATGAGGGAAAGGAAGGATTATTCAGCAAGTAAGAATGGAAAATAAACTAAGAATTTGGAAAAATCATTACTTTAGATGGTTACTACATGCACAAATAAAGTATGCATGTTTTGAGGAGAAGAGCTAAAAGGAAAAAACTCAAAAATTTTGCAAAGAGAAGATTCTAAATATTGCTCATTTGTCTAGAGTGTTTATGGATTTTAATTTCTAATGGTTTCTATAATGTATGCATCTTTGTCTCCTTCACAACTAGCACTAAGTTTTCCATACTATTGGGTATGCAGTGCACTTTTTGCAAAGCTAGTTAGTTGATAGAGTCATTCATTCATTCATTTACTCATTCAAATATTCACTATTTTAAAATATTTGGCCACATTTCCTTTTTAAAGGTACATTTTTTCCTCTGAAGGAGTATATTTTGATCTATCTTTTTATCTGTAAAACTTAAAGTTGTATTTGTTTTGGTTGGGCCGTATTTTCCTATAAAAACAACAACAACCCAAAACTGAAAACAACTTTATGCCTTTAGCTTTTGGGTTATACCATGATTTCCACCACTGGAGCAGTTGAATAAAACAGGATTTAAGATAATAGAAACCCAAAGAACAGAGTTTTTCAATGACTTTCTTCATACCATAATTCAAACACACTAGTCTGAACTTCATTTTCCCAGTGTAATGATTTTGGTCATGGATAATTTGTGACCGAGGGTTGATATTGGAATTGGTCTCATTTCAGGATGAGAGTAAGATTTATATGAGAACAGCAAGATGATGGTCAAAATAATCTTTCAAAAGTCAGGAGATAACCTTATCTCAAGAGAAAAATACTGTCCAGTGACTACATGTTCTAAAATAAGGGGCTTGCTCCTGATCTTGTCAAGGAAACTGTAAAAATATGATAAAATGGAAGCTATTACATGAGTTCAGGGAAAATTGAAGGTATTTTATTTAAATGTTGCTCTTTCCCCAGTCTGCTATTTGTTGTTGATTTTTTACAGGATATTATTTCATGGCATTTTGTTAGAATTTTGTACCTAAAAGAAATCTTAATATAATTTGTATTATTGACCTGAAAGTTCAGAGGCAACATTTTCAAATAGTAAGCAATGTCTGAGTAAAATTTTATTACTTATGACAAAGGCATCCCTGTTATTTGTAGATATATTAGTCAATTGTACTAAAAGTACTCTTTCTAGTACTCTGTAGATTGTGTTTATTTTTTATGTGTGTATTCTATTCTTTTAGAAACCTTAAGTCTATAAATAATTTTTTTCCATTTGAGTAAAAAATCCATTTTTTTCTTTTCCTAAATGATTGCACAAGGTTCCTCTCAGTTTCATGAACCTATGATTGTTTAAAAAAGCTGAATCTACTTTGATTCCTGATGGCTGCTCATGTATTACTTTGAATTTCCAGAAACATTTATGAAATAGAAACTGATGACATATACCAGCAGTCTTGTAGAGGGCACTCACTTCATGTAGTCCATTTTGCTGAGCACTTTAGGGCATGTGATACTTAATAGCTGGTAATTTTTTAATATATTCATAGGCAGACAGACAGATATGGATAGATGGGTGAATAAATGGATGGATAGATGGATGGATGAATGGAGGGTCAGGGAGGTGACCCTATTTGTATAGTTTGGTCTATTCCTGATGAGGCCAAAGCCTTAAACTAATTTCTTTCCAAGGCCTTTGTATGACAGACATCATCTGTCTTGCCGAGTGCTTCTGCAGGAGCCTGTCCAACACTGTTCCTTTATGAATGGCCTCCCGGGGTCCTCAGGAACCATGCCAGAGTTTTGCCAACTTAGATTATCACTCATGAAGATCCTTCCAGGCTTTGGTTATTTCCATGGCTGCTGATTTTTACATTTCTTCCCCCTCAGAGCAGCACTGAACTCATCAAATACAATTTAATTCTCTGTTGTTGTTTTCTGAAATGAGCTAAAAATAAAAACCAAAAAGTTCCTATATAATATTTTGAAAATTATGTAAGGAATAAGTATTGATAGTTCATTTTTAAAGGAATGTACCTGTATATTCTAAAGAAAAAAAAAGGAATGATCTATAGGAAAGGATTTATTTTTCTGTGTAAAAATTTCATAAGCAATAATTCTTCTTTAAAAAAAAAGCTAGAATCAAGTGGTAGCACCATGAATTACCAACATTCCTCTGAATACATTCTGCTACTAGATTAAAATGAAGCATTTTGCCTCTGCTTTCTCTCTGACAAATGGGAACAATCCTAGCCATTTGGCATTAAGGCTGCTGAAAGCTGACATTAATGATCATTATAAAGATTTGTCAGAATCAGTCTGGATGTACAGGCTAATACACACACTGACATTACATGGGGTATGTTTTTTTTTTCTCTGAGAGATGGAACATGAAATAATCTTGGATCAAGGATATATAGGATGGCATTAGACACTGAAAGAATGTGAGAATAAAGACAGGGCTATTTTCACAGTAATAAATAATCTATCTCTAAAAATAATCTCTAACTTCTGGCAGTCCACATGGGCAATATCTCTAGTTAAAAGTCTTCATGGTATGATTTTTCATAGGGGAAACATAAGATACATGCAAAATACATTCATTCAGCAATCATTAAAAAGTCAGGAAACAACAGGTGCTGGAGAGCATGTGGAGAAATAGGAACACTTTTACACTGTTGGTGGGACTGTAAACTAGTTCAACCATTGTGGAAGTCAGTGTGGCGATTCCTCAGGGATCTAGAACTAGAAATACCATTTGACCCAGCCATCCCATTACTGGGTATATACCCAAAGGATTATAAATCATGCTGCTATAAAGACACATGCACACGTATGTTTATTGTGGCACTATTCACAATAGCAAAGACTTGGAACCAACCCAAATGTCCAACAATGATGGACTGGATTAAGAAAATGTGGCACATATACACCATGGAATACTATGCAGCCATAAAAAATGATGAGTTCATGTCCTTTGTAGGGACATGGATGAAGCTGGAAACCATCATTCTCAGCAAACTATCACAAATACAAAAAACCGCATGTTCTCACTCATAGGTAGGAATTGAACAATGAGAACACATGGACACAGGAAGGGGAACATCACACACTGGGACCTGTTGTGGGGTAGGGGGAGTGGGGAGGGATAGCATTAGGAGATATACCTGTTAAATGACGAGTTAATGGGTGCAGCACACCAACATGGCACATGTATACGTATGTAACAAACCTGCACGTTGTGCACATGTACCCTAAAACTTAAAGTATAATAAAATAAAAAAATAATAAAAATTATCATCCATGTATTTCAAACCCCCATGACACAAGTTTACCTATGTAACAAAGCTGCACATGTAACCCTGAACTTAAAAAATGTTTAAAAAGGAAAGAAAATGAGAAACGTGAAATTCAAAAGAGTGGTTATTTTTGTCTAAGGAGAGAAAAGAATATGATAGGGAAGGACACTTCTACCTCTGAAGTAGAGGGGAGGGAACATGGGTTCTTGTTTTATAACTCTTTATGATATATATACATATATATATATACACACACATTTCTATTATACATACAAAACAATTTGTATTATACATACATAAAATTTGTATTATACATACAAAACAATATAATATATACTTTTGCCTTGTATATATAGTTTTGTATGTATAAAATAAGGGACTTCATGTTTTTAAAAACGTAATTATAAATAGGTAACTTGTTGGAAAAGTCAAAAATATAATTTACATATCAATCAAATGCAAGATAATTTGTAAGAAAATAACTTTCATGTCCATCTGTAACTGACGGGCTCAATATCAGAATAAGCCCTGTGATAACTGGTGAAAGTAGTAAATGCTTAGAAGTGATTAAGCACTTTATCCTCAAACCATTTTATGGGTATTATATATTTGTGACAGCTGTTAGTGCCACAAGCTAATATGAAAAAAACAGTGGCTAGTACAGTGATACAATAACCTCCTTCATCATAATACAAGATATTTTCCAGCCATACTGTAAATTCACATCTTCCCTACAGCACATATCACAGGGCATTAAATGTAGTAGATACATAAATGAGGGCTTACTTCAAAATAACTTCCATTAACTGAATATTTAACATGGTCTAGATAATTCTCATACATTATTTTTTATTCTCACATCCACCCCGAAAGGTAGGTAAACTTTTTTCATTTTCAATAGCAGAAGCTATGGCTCAGAGAAATTCAAGATTTTGCCCAAGATCACAAAGGTAGTGTATGGCAAAGGCAGAATCTTAACCCAGGTCATTCTATTCCAAGAGATGTTTTCTCTCAACCATACAACCATCTAATGGCAGATAAAACTAATCCTCACAACCACCTTTTGAGGTAGGTCCTATTGTCTTCCTAAATTTACAGATGAGGAAACTGAGTCATGAAGAGATTGTCAACTTACCTATAGTCACACACTTGACTTGGGATTGGGGAGACAATAAGTGGGAGGGAGATGGGACCAGATCCCGTATCCTTAGACCTGGATTGGTGGTGACTGCTATGGTAGAAGGATGCATGTTATGCACAAACTTTTCCAAGGCAAACTAGCAAGGAAGCCTGCTGAAGGGTAGACCTTACTCGGGTGGCCTGAAACTGACAAAAATGCTTCACATTCTTAGGCCTTTTATGATCCTCTTAAGAGTGAAAAGAATCTCCACATGTGGCCCAAAAAACCAAAACCCACAGTTATATACACTTAACACTTAAGGAATTCGGTGCCCCGTCAGTGTGGTGAGACAAGAATCTCCCCAAAAACTATCACTATTCCTCTTTCTCCTTCTCATAACTAGGCTTCTGACATCAAAGTTTACTGTTAAAAGCATCCTTAATAGAAATATTACTGTATATATTTTCACCAGAAGGAAAAATGTCAGGGGGATTTGGCATGATAGGTGTTTACCATAAGTTTGACATGCATTATTGTTAGATCATTCTACTCTCCCTCCATAATTTTTCTATGCAATTTATTTATGTGCATATTTAAGTGGTGTGCCACTTAATTGAAATTATAGTGTGTTCAAGCCAGATTTGACACTGACTGGCAGTCGCTGTTAAGGAATACTTGGAACCTATGAAAGGGTCATTTTCCAAATAGTGCAGATATAACTCTATTCATCCAGCAGAATATTTTAGGAAATCAAATAGCTGATAGTGCCAGTACAACTACCCCATTCATTCCAGGCAGGATTATGTCTTATTTACCTCTCACAACCCCAGAACAACATATGACATATCAGGTAGTATTATAGTGCCGTTAGCTTCCTCACCTTCTCATACAAAGACTCTGCCTACAGATTCAAGTGTCTTGAAAATAACTGTTTAAAAATCACTCAATCCTCAGAAGACTTTTAAAAACGTAGGTGTTGGGCCGGGCGCGGTGGTTCACGCCTGTAATCCCAGCACTTTGGGAGGCCGTGGCAGGCGGATCACGAGGTCGGGAGATCAAGACCATCCTAGCCAACATGATGAAACCCCGTCTCTACTAAAATACAAAAAATTAGCTGGGTGTGGTGGTGCACCCACCTACTAGCTACTCAGGAGGCTGAGGCAGGGGAATCCCTGGAACCCTGGAGGTGGAGATTGCAGTGAGCCGAGATTGTGCCATTGTACTCCAGCCTGGCGACAGAGGGAGACACCGTCTAAAAAAAAAAAAAAAAAAAAAAAAAAAGGAGGTGTTTATATTGTGCATAAAAACAACCCAGTATTTAATTCAGTTTTCTGTATTTTATATCCATATATTTATTATTAGAAAAGTACAGCCCATAGCAACGGGATTCAAATCCAGACTATTGCAGATAGAGGATTCTTAATAGGCCAACAGCCAAGCAACTTCAAGGAACAAACAAAAACAATAAATAGCCTCAGATTTTACTTTTCAATTCAAAAGGGCTAACATGTTATAAAGAGTAACTGAAAATTCATCTTCCTCTTTCTCCCCTTTGTGTCTCCTACTCTACTTAGCTCTTAGACACATCATTAACCCCTCTGTGCCTCAGTTTCCTTATCTGTAAAATAGGATAATAATAATACCCTCTCTTTCATTGTTGGGTGGATTAGATAAATTAATACAGTTAAAATGCACATATCAGATACTTGGAGTGTAGTAAATGTTACATTTTAGTTCACATTAGTATTATTTATAATTACTGTTTCATCGTTATATTCCATGACTAAATTACATATCATGCTTTATCTTATAGTAGCTTTTAAAATAATAAATTGACTTAACATTTTGGATACCTCTATGAAAATTTAAAAAAAATTAGAAACACAATTAAATGAGAATTAGTGTATATCCAAAGATCACCATAGTGATAATACTCATTAAAATTATAAAATTGAGACCCTATTGAAATGTCCTTTATTTTCCTGCAGACTGGATTACATGACATCATAAGTGTGTTCTGCAAAGAAACTTCAACTGTAGATCAAATATGCCTATAATACAAAGTTCTTCATTACAGGAAACAACTGAATACCTTGCTGTCTTTTGAACTATATTTTCCCCTGTAGCTTTTGTGTCTATTAGAAATCAAGTAAATAGGTAAGTAATCAGTATATTGAAACTATTTGGGATACTAAAGGAGAAAAAATCTAACATTTATTGAATACCTTTTAAGTGTCAGAAAGTTTTGTAAGTGCTTTATATGTGATCATTATTTTATTTGGTCCTCATAACTGTCCCCTGAGATACTATTCCCTGGTTTACAAATGAGGAAATATTTTCTCAGAGAGGTCTTTATTTGATACGATTAGTTGGCTAAGAGGGAGTGGATCAGGATCTAGGACTTAGATCAATCTGTCTCTCAAGCCTATTCTCTGTAGACTATGTTTATTTTGAGCAACTACTTTTGACTGATTACTCTTATATACTACATAATAACACATTCCCAAAATTATCTGATAGTCGTCTTTAGAATATGACATCATGACCTTATGATAAATGCTAACAAAATTTTCTTACTTGCTGACTCTAATTAGAAGGACAGTTCTGTGTAATTTTTGGGAATCCTGGCAACATTTCTACAAAGGAGGGGTTCCTAGCTAGCAGCTGTAGAAAAATCTCCATAAACATTTCATTTGATATTCTCATATTTTACATTACTGCAAGTGTTTTGCACACCCCAGGGATGTGAAATGTGCCATGAGAAATGCAGTGAGCTGCCAGTCAGTGCCCTGCAGGGGGATTTATGAAATGGTATCCTGCAAATGTTGTTTGTTTCTTTTCAGCCCAAACTGCGTGAATTATTTCAACTGAATCGGGAGGGTAGATGAAGGGGTGCAGGAATCTAATAGAGAAACCTGCACCCCTATTGTTGCTGAATAAGTGGTCTAAATGATGGACTACTTATTGCGAAAGTCTGTAACTTTTTGTTTTGAGATACTGGTTTTATGTGGCTCCTGCAATTTTTTGAGCAATTACTCCCATCTTCATTATCTTTCTTCTTAAGGGAAAGCCATACTCGACTCTTTGACGTGCCCATGTCCCTACAGCCAGGAGACAGGCTGCATGTGAGGTGCTGATTGTTTTGTTCTGCTCAGGTTCTCTTTCCATGACAGAAGAAGAAGGGATAGTCTCAGGAGGTGGAAGGAGCTCGGTTGATTGGGAAGCATCATGGTTTCATAGAAAAACCTTGATCTTTTAAGAGCCTGAGTGTTAGTGGCAGCTCCTCTGCTTTCTAATTGTGTGACTTGGGCAAGGTTACTTCTCAGAGACTCCATTTTCTCATCTCTAATGTGGGAGATATAATATTGTAGGGAGTAAATGAGATGGTATTTCTAAAATACTGGGTACTAATTATCATTAGTATCTAAAATATTAATGATAATTAGTAAAACTAATTATCACTGTTTTCATCATTGATGAGGCAGTGACACAAAATTCCCATTATGTTCTAAATACATACTGTTAGATGTCTGAGAGATTTTACATCATTGGTTGCTGCTTAAACAAAGACCATTTTTTTTTTACTTTAGATATTGAAAGCAACCCAGTAGTGTTCCCTTTTTACTTAGTGGCTGCACATACCAATCATTCGAATGAAAACTCACATACTCTCCTGGGGGCTGTGTAGTACAGTGCCACAGATTATCTTACTAATAACTGAAATCCTGCTGTCTTCATATGAATTTATCAAATTATCTACTTTTATAAGCATAAATGAGATTATATTAGCAGTGTACAGGTGAAAATTTATTTTATTTTTTTATTTTTTATTTCTTATTTTATTATTATTGTACTTTAAGTTTTAGGGTACATGTGCACAATGTGCAGGTTAGTTACATATGTATACATGTGCCATGCTGGTGTGCTGCACCCATTAACTCGTCATTTCGCATTAGGTATATCTCCTAAAGCTATCCCTCCCCCCTCCCCTCACCCCACAACAGTCCCCAGAGTGTGATGTTCCCCTTCCTGTGTCCAAGTGATCTCATTGTTCAATTCCTACCTAAGAGTGAGAGCATGCAGTGTTTGGTTTTCTATCCTTGTGATAGTTGCTGAGAATGATGGTTTCCAGCTTCATCCACGAACTCATCCTTTTTATGGCTGCATAGTATTCCATAGTGTATATGTGCCACATTTTCTTAATCCAGTCTATCACTGATGGACATCTGGGTTGGTTCCAAGTCTTTGCTATTGTGAATAGTGCCACAATAAACATACGTGTGCATTTTTCTTTATAGTAGCATGATTTATAATCCTTTGGGTATATGTGCAGTAATGGGATTGATGCATCAAATGGTAATTCTAGTTCTAGATCCCTGAGGAATCACCACACTGTCTTCCACAATGGTTGAACTAATTTACACTCCCAACAACAGTGTAAAAGTGTTCCTATTTCTCCACATCCTCTCCAGCATCTGTTGTTTCCTGACTTTTTAATGATTGCCATTCTAACTGGTGTGAGATGGTATCTCATTGTGGTTTTGACTTGCATTTCTCTGATGACCAGTGATGATGAGGATTTTTTTATGTGTCTATTGGCTGCATAGATGTCTTCTTTTGAGAAGTGTCTGTTCATATCCTTTGCTCACATTTTGATGAGGTTGTTTGCTTTTTTCTTGAATATTTGCTTGAGTTCTTTGTAGATTCTGCATATTAGCCCTTTGTCAGGTGGGTAGATTGCAAAAATTTTCTCCCACTCTGTAGGTTGCCTGTTCATTCTGATGGTAGTTTCTTTTGCCGTGCAGAAGCTCTTTAGTTTAATTAGATTCCATTTGTCTATTTTGGTTTTTATTGCCATTGCTTTTGGTGTTTTAGTCATGAAGTCCTTGCCCATGCCTATGTCCTGAATGGTATTGCCTAGGTTTTCTTCTAGGGTTTTTATGGTTTCAAGTCTAACATTTAAGTCTTTAATCCATCTTGAATTAACTTTTGTATAAGGTGTAAGGAAGGGATCCAGTTTCAGCTTTCTATATATGGCTAGCCAGTTTTCCCAGCACCATTTATTAAATAGGGAATCCTTTCCTCATTTCTTGTTTTTGTCAGGTTTGTCAAAGATCAGATGGTTGTAGATGTGTGGTATTATTTCTGAGGCCTCTGTTCTGTTCCACTGGTTTATATTTCTGTTTTGGTACCAGTACTATGTTGTTTTGATTACTGTAGCCTTGTAGTACAGTTTGAAGTCAGGTAGCGTGATGCCTCTAGCCTTGTTCTTTTTGCTTAGGATTGTCTTGACAATGCAGGCTCTTTTTTGGTTCCATATGAACTTTAAAGTAGTTTTTTCCAATTCTGTGAAGAAAGTCATTGGTAGCTTGATGGGGATGGCATTGAATCTATAAATTACTTTGGGCAGTATGGCCATTTTCAGGATATTGATACTTCCTATCCATGAGCATGGAATGTTCTTCCATTTGTTTGTGTCCTCTTTATTTCATTGAGCAGTGGTTTGTAGTTCTCCTTGAAGGGGTACTTCACATCCCTTGTAGGTTGGATTCCTAGGTATTTTAGTCTCTTTGAAGCAATTGTGAATGGGAGTTCACTCATGATTTGGCTCTCTGTTTGTCTGTTAATGGTGTATAAGAATGCTTGTGATTTTTGCACATTGATTTTGTATCCTGAGACTTTGCCGAATTTGCTTATCAGCTTAAGGAGATTTTGGGCTGAGACGATGGCGTTTTCTAAATATACAATCATGCCATCTGCAAACAGACAATTTGACCTTCCTCGTTCCCTTTATTTCTTTCTCTTGCCTGATTGCCCCGGCCAGAACTTCCAACATTACGCTGAATAGGAGTGGTGAGAGAGGGCATGCCTCTCTCACCAGTTTTCAAAGGGAATGCTTCCAGTTTTTGCCCATTTAGTATGATATTGGCTGTGGGTTTGTCCTAAATAGCTCTTGTTATTTTGAGATACGTTCCATCAATACCTAGTTTATTGAGAGTTTTTAGCATGAAGTGCTGTTGAATTTTGTCAAAGCCCTTTTCTGCATCTATTGAGATAATTGTGTGGTTTTTGTCGATGGTTCTCTTTATGTGATGGATTACATTTATTGATTTGCATACGTTGAACCAGCCTTGCATTCCAGGGATGAAGCCAAGTTGATCGTGGTGGATAAGCTTTTTGATGTGCTGCTGGATTTGGTTTGCCAGTATTTTATTGAGGATTTTCGCACCAATGTTCATCAGGGTTATTGGTCTAAAATTATCTTTTTTTGTTGTGTCTCTGCCAGGCTTTCGTATCAGAATGATGCTGGCCTCATAAAATGAGTTAGAGAGGATTCCCTCTTTTTCTATTGATTGGAATAGTTTCAGAAGGAATGGTACCAGCTCCTCTTTGTACCTCTGGTAGAATTTGGCTGTGAATCCTTCTGGTCTTGGACTCTTTTTGATTGGTAGGCTATTAATTATTGCCTCAATTTCAGAGCCTGTTATTGTTCTATTCAGAGATTCAACTTCTTCCTGGTTTAGTGTTGGGAGGGTGTATGTGTCTAGGAATTTATCCATTTCTTCTAGATTTTCAAGTACATTTGCATAGAGGTATTTATAGTATTCTCTGGTGGTAGTTTCTATTTTTGTGGGATTGGTGGTGATATCCCCTTTATCATTTTTTATTATTGCATTTGTTTAATTCTTCTGTCTTTTCTTCCTGATTAGTCTTGCTAGCAGTCTATCAATTTTGCTGATCTTTTCAAAAAACCAGCTCCTGCATTCATTGATTTTTTTGAAGGGTTTTTTGTGTCTCTATCTCTTTCAGTTCTGCTCTGATCTTAGTTATTTCTTGCCTTCTGCTAGCTTTTGAATTTGTTTGCTCTGGCTTCTCTAGTTCTTTTAATTGTGATGTTAGGGTGTTGATTTTAGATCTTTCCTGCTTTCTCTTGTGGGCATTTAGAGCTATAAATTTCCCTCTACACACTGCTTTAAATGTGTCCCAGAGATTCTGGTACGTTGTGTCTTTGTTCTCATTGATTTCGAAGAACATCTTTATTTCTGCCTTAATTTCGTTATTTACCCATGAGCCATTCAGGAGCAAGTTATTCAGTTTCCATGTAGTTGTGTGGTTTTGAGTGAGTTTCTTAATCCTGAGTTCTAATTTGATTGCACTGTGGTCTGAGAGACAGTTTGTTGTGATTTCTGTTCCTTTGCATTTGCTGAGGAGTGCTTTACTTCCAATTATGTGGTCAGTTTTAGAATAAGTGTGATGTGTTGCTGAGAAGAATGTATATTCTGTTGATTTGGGGTGGAGAGTTCTGTAGATGTCTATTAGGTCTGCTTGTTGCAGAGCTGAGTTCATGTCCTGGATATCCTTGTTAACCTTCTGTCTCATTGATCTGTCTAATATTGACAGTGGGGTGTTAAAGTCTCCCAATATTATTGTGTGGGAGTCTAAGTCTCTTTGTAGGTATCTAAGGACTTGCTTTATGAATCTGGGTGCTCCTGTATTGGGTGCATATATATTTAGGATAGTTAGCTCTTCTTGTTGACTTGATCACTTTACCATTATGTAATGACCTTCTTTGTCTCTTTTGATCTTTGTTGGCTTAAAGTCTGTTTTATCAGAGAGTAGGATTGCAACCCCTGCCTTTTTTTGCTTTCCATTTGCTTGGTAGATCTTCCTCCAACCCTTTATTTGGAGCCTATGTGTGTCTTTGCATGTGAGATGGATCTCCTGAATACAGCACACTGATGGGTCTTGACTCTTTATCCAATTTGCCAGTCTCTGTCTTTTAATTGGAATATTTAGCCCATTTACGTTTAAGGTTAATGTTGTTACGTGTGAATTTGATCCTGTCATTTTAATGTTCACTGGTTATCTTGCCCATTAATTGATGCAGTTTCTTCATAGCATCGATGGTCTTTACAATTTGGCCTGTTTTTGCAGTGGCTGGTACCAGTTGTTTCTTTCCATATTTAGTGCTTCCTTCAGGAGCTCTTGCAAGGCAGCCCTGGTGATGATAAAATCATTCAGCATTTGCTTGTCTGTAAAGGATTTTATTTCTCCTTCGCTTATGAATCTTAGTTGTCTGGATATGAAATTCTGCGTTGAAAATTCTTCTCTTTAAGAATGTTGAATATTGGCCCCACTCTCTTCTGGCTTGTAGGGTTTCTGCAGAGAGATCCGCTGTTAGTCTGATGGGCTTCCCTTTGTGGGTAACTTGACCTTTCTCTCTGGCTGCCCTTAACATTTTTTCCTTCATTTCAACCTTGGTGAATCTGACAATTATGTGTCTTGGGGTTGCTCTTCTCGAGGAGTATCTTTCTGGTGTTCTCTGTATTTCCTGAATTTGAATGTTGTCCTGCCTTGCTATGTTGGGGAAGTTCTCCTGGATAATATTCTGAAGAATGTTTTCCAGCGTGGTTCCATTCTCCCCATCACTTTCAGGTACACCAATCAAATGTAGATTTGGTCTATTCACATAGTCCCATATTTCTTGGAGGCTTTGTTCATTTCTTTTTACTCTTTTTTCTCTAACCTTGTTTTCTCACTTTATTTCATTAATTTGATCTTCAATCACTGATAGATACCCTTTCTTCCACTTGATCAAATCAGCTACTGAAGCTTGTGCATTCGTCACGAAGTTCTCGTGCCATGGTTTTCAGCTCCATCAGGTCATTTAAGGTCTTCTCTACACTGTTTATTCTGGTTAGCCATTCGTCTAATCTTTTTTCCAGGTTTTTAGCTTCCTTGCGATGGGTTTGAACATCCTCCTTTAGGTCGGAGAAGTTTGTTATTACCGACCTTCTGAAGCCTACTTCTGTCAACTCGTCAAAGTCATTCTCCATCCAGCTTTGTTCCATTGCTGGCAAGGAGCTGCGATCCTTTGGAGGAGAAGAGGTGCTCTGATTTTTAGAATTTTCAGCTTTTCTGCTCTGGTTTCTCCCCATCTTTGTGGTTTTATCTATCTTTGGTCTTTGATGTTGGTGATCTACAGATGGGGTTTTGGTGTAGATAAGATTTTTGTTGATGTTGATGCTATTCCTTTCTGTTTGTTAGTTTTCCTTCTAACAGTCAGGTCCCTCGGCTGCAGGTCTGTTGGAGTTTGCTGGAGTTCCACTCCAGACCCTGTTTGCCTGGGTATCACCAGCAGAGGCTGCAGAACAGCAAATATATCAGAACAGCAAATATTGCTGCCTGATCCTTCCTCTGGGAGCTTCGTCCCAGAGGGGCAGCGGCTTATATGAGGTGTCTGTCGGCCCCTACTGGGAGTTGTCTCCCAGTTAGGCTACACGGGGGTCAGGGACCCACTTGAGGAGGCAGTCTGTTTGTTCTCAGATCTCAAACGCCATGCTGGGAAAACCACTGCTCTCTTCAGAGCTGTCAGACAGGGACGTTTAAGTCTGCAGAAGTTGTCTGCTGCCTTTTGTTCAGCTATGCCCTGCCCACAGAGGTGGAGTCTAGAGGCCGTAGGCTTTGTTGAGCTGCGGTGGGCCCCACCCAGTTCGAGCTTCCCCGCCGCTTTGTTTACCTACTCAAGCCTCAGCAAAGGCAGATGCCCCTGCCCCAGCCAGGCTGCCATCTTGCAGATCGATCTCAGACTGCTGCGCTAGCAGTGAGCGAGGCTCCACGGGCGTGGCAGCCACAGAGCCAGGCACAGGAGAGAATCACCTTGTGTGCTGGTTGCTAAGACCTTGGGAACAGCACAGTATTTGGGCGGGGAGTGTCCTGTTTTTCCAGGTAGTCTATCACAGCTTCCCTTGGCTAGGAAAGGGAAATCCCCTGACTCCTTGGGCTTCCCGGGTGAGGTGACACCCCACCCTGCTTTGGCTTGCCCTCCGTGGGCTGCACCTACTATCCAACCAGTCCCAGTGAGATGAACCAGGTAACTGTTGGAAATGCAGAAATCACCCATCTTCTGTGTTGATCACGCTGGGAGCTGCAGACTGGAGTTGTTCCTATTTGGCCATCTTGGAACCTACCCTGTATTGTGTTTTTGACTTTTTAATAATAGCTATTCTGACTGGTGTGAGATGTTATCTCATTGTGGTTCTTATTTGCATTTCTCTGATGATTAGTGATGCTGAGCATTTTTTCATATGTTTGTTGATCACTTGTATGTCTTCTTTTAAGCAAAGTCTGTTCATGTCCTCTGTTCATTATTTAATGAGTTTATTTGTTTTTTGCTTGTTGATTTAAGTTCCCTAAGGATTCTAAATATTAGGCCTTTGTTGGACGCATAATTTGCAAATACCTTCTCCCATTCTGTAGGTTGCCTGTTTGTTCTGTTGATAGTTTCTTTTGCTGTGCAGAGTGTTCTTTAGTTTAATTAGGTCCCACTTGCTTATTTTTGTTTTTGTTGCAATTGCTTTTGGGGACTTAGCCAAAAATTCTTGGCCAAGGCCAATGTTGAGAAGAGTATTTTGTAGGTTGTCTTCCAGAATTTTTATAGTTTGAGGTCTTACATTTAAGCCTTTAATCTATCTTGAGTAAATTTTTGTGTATTGTGAAAGGTAGGGGTCCAGCTTCAATCTTGTACATATGGCTAGACAGTTATCCCAGCACCATTTATTGAATGAGTCCTTTCCCCATTGCTTGTTTTTGTCAGCCTTGTCAAAGATCAGATGGTTGTAGGTGTGTGGCTTTATTTTTGAGTTTTCTATTCTGTTCCATTGTTCTATGTGTCTGTTTTTGTACCAGTACCAAACTGTTTTGATGACTGTGGCTATATAGTATAGTTTGAAGTCGGGTGGTATGACGCCTCTGGCTGTGTTATTTTTGCTTAGGATTGCTTTAGCTATTCGGGCTCTTTTTGGTTCCATATGAATTTCACAATAGTTTTTTTCTAATTCTGTGAAAAATGACATTAGTAGTTTGATAGGAATAGCATTGGATCTGTAAGTTGCTTTGGTCAGTATGGCCATTTTTATGACATTGATTCTTTTAATTCATGAGCACAGAATTTTTTGGATTTATTTGTGTTGTCTCCGATTTTGATTTGTTTCAATAGTATTTTGTAGTTCTCCTTGCAGAGATCTTTCGCCTCCTTGGTTAGCTCTATTCCTGGGTATTTCATTTTCTTTGTGGCTATGGTAAGTGTGATTGTGTTGTTTATTTCACTCTCAGACTAGATGTTACTGGTGTATAGAAATGCTACTGATTTTTGTACATTGATTTTGTATCCTGAAATTTTACTAAAGTTGTTTACCAATTCTGGGATCCTTTTGATAGAGTGTTTAGGATATCCTAGATACAGAATCATATCTTCAGTGAAGAGAGAGAGTTCGACTTCTTTTCCTGTTTGAATGCCTTTTGTTTCTTTCTCTTGCCTGATTACTCTGGCTAGGACTTCTGGTACTATGCTGAATAGGAATGGTGAGAGTAGGACTCCTTGTTTTGTTCCAGTTCTCAAAGGGAATAGTTCAAGCTTTTGCCCAGGCAGTATGATGGCTGTGGGTTTGTCATAGATAGTGCTTATTATTTTGAGGTATGTATTTTTGAGCAAGTCTTAATGTGACTTGATATCTTAGTTCACTTGGGCAGCTATTACAAACTACCATAAACTGGGTAGCTTGTAAACAACAGAAATTTATTTCTCATGGTTCTAGATGCTGGGCAGTCCAAGATCAAGGCACCAGCAGAGTTGATGTTTGGTAAGGGCCCATTTCCTAATCATAGATGGTGCCTTCTTGTGTCTTCACATGGTGGAAAGGGGTAAGACAGCTCTCTAGGGGCCTTTTTATAAGGGCACTAATCCCATTTGTAAGGGCTCTGCCCTTATGACCTAATCTACTCCCAAAAGGCCCTGCCCCCTAATATCATCACCTTGGGGTTTAGATTTTAACATATGTACTTTGAAGATACAGAAACATTCAGACCATAGCACCTGATACAAATGTTTAAGTTACAAAAGTCTACTTGGCCATTTTCTAACTATCCATGGTATTTTCTATTTTTTAATAACAAACAATAGTACTTATTGTTTTATTTTAAATTATGAGGGTAATTTTTGCTTTTCTTACTGAAAAAAAAATTTAGAAAATATAGAAAAATATTTAAAAGAAAATAAATACACCACAAATTTAACCCAGGGGTTGGCAAATTATAGCCAGCAGGTTGACCAACTGTTTTTTATGAATCAAATGTTATTGGAAGAGAGCCACACCCCTTTGTTTACTATTATCCATGGCTACTTTCCACACAACGATAACAGAGTTGTTTATTTGAGACAGAGACTACATGCCCCACGAAACCTAAAATATTTACCACCTGGCCCTTTACAGAAAAAGTTTGCTGGTCCCTGTTTTAACCCTCTGAAATAATCTGTTATTAGTATACTTTTCAAAGGGATATTCTAGACATATTTTTAAATAGTCATATTGTAAATTATGATCACATTATAAATAAAGTTATATATCTTTTGCTGATTTCACTTACCTCCATACCATCAGCATGTTACATATAATTATGAAAGATAACCAGAGGCCAACATTTTTAATCATTGTATTATATTTCATCGTATAAAAATATTATCATCCATTTAAATAATTTACTATTTTTTCCTCTTTTTTCTGACATTTAGACTTTCTAAGTTTTTGGTATTTTGTTTTTTGTTGTTTTTTTTTTTTTTTTTTTTTTTTTTTGAGACGGAGTCTTGCTCTGTCACCAGGCTGGAGTGCAATGGCACGATCTCAGCTCACTGCAAACTCTGCCTCCCGGGTTCAAGCGATTCTGCTGCCTCAGCCTCCCAAGTAGCTGGGAGTACAGGTGCGTGCCACCACACCCAGCTAATTTTTGTATTTTTAGTAGAGACAGGGTCTCATCATGTTGGCCAGGATGGTCTCGATCTCTTGACCTCGTGATCCACCCACCTCAGCCTCCCAAAGTGCTGGGATTACAAGCGTGAGCCACTGTGCCTGGCCTCTAAGTTTTTTTAATAAATAATACTGTGGTGAATATCTTTGTATACAACTGCTTACATTTTTATCATTTCCTTAGACTAGATACTGTTAAATGTAATTATGGAATTAAAGGGTATCGACATTTGTAAGGCTTTGGATGAACATGCTGAGGTTTTAAAACGCCATTTCCAGAAAACTCTGGGCCTCTTGCAAGGTTGTATAACATCATTTGAATAAGCTACCACAGTGGACATGGCTTTGGACTTGAAGAAATTACTATTTTCTCATACTTTAAATGCAAATGAGGATAATTATAAAAATAACTAAACTTTAGTTTGGATAGAGCATTGTTCTAAGTGATTAACATATATTAAATCATTTAATCCTTACAACAATCTTTTGGGATAGGTCTCATTACCCTATTTTAACAGTGAAGTAACGATTAAAACTTAGAGTGACTCCGAAGCTCTTGCATTTAACCACTGTGCTTAACTGCTTGAATATTTCTGTATGTGTTCCTTTTTCTTTTCATATTCACTCTGTGGTTCTACTACTGTCAAGGATTGTGTCCTGTGTTAGGTTTCTAGAAAATATATTTTCACCCTAAAGGTTCTGTGACTTCTAAAAAGTTAGAAACGCTTTCACTTTACGGACTCCATCCTGTCAGCAGAGAGTAGTTTAATTCACATTTGATATTTCTTTTACTTTCTTGGGCTTTCTCAGTGTTTGTTTTCCTCATTTTCTCACCTCTCAGTACTTTGTGTTGTCAAAACTTATCTCCAAAGTTTAAAGTTTACATATCATGCTGTTATTTTAAAAAGTAGTCTGGTGGTGCTTCTAATTATTGCTACTGCCATGAACACAGAGGCAGGCAGAAGCAGCTTCCAGAAGCTTAACGAAAATGTTATCTCCTATTTTTAAAAAGGATAAATGCAGACACAACTTTGGCTTGATGTTATAATTACTTCTTTTGGATTTCTAGCTATTTTTAAAACAAATTTACACCATTTTGTGCTTGTGTGAAACCTCAAGGATAATGTTCACTAGAGATCCTCCAATTATTTTTCCAGTGAGTAAGTTCCACCTCTTAATTGTTTTAATTAGCAAACCTATGAAAATTAATTAAAATTCTTATTATACTTCCAAAATTACATACCACTGACTACTGAACATAAAATCTTAATCAAAATATTGAAAAGGCTGGAATCCAAGTCGCTTTAATTGTCTAATATGCTTCAAAGAGAGAAGCAATGAAAACAATAAGGTGAATAAAAAGAAGATGCTTTTTCAGGGAGTCTACAAGACCTTTTACATAGATGTTTCAAAACGATGATGGTGATGCTTCAGCTAGTGAAAAATTATCAGAAAGATACAAAAAATGATGACGATGATGATCATCATCATCATGATAATGCTGGTTTCCTTCTTCTTCTACTGAGGAACAGAGTTGGTTTTCAGTAGAAGTGTCTACTTTGATGAGGGGGAAGTAATTCCTTTACAGCAAGTCCCTTGAAGCACTGCATGGAGATTATATGTGGCCACAGCCTAAGGAAGGGGCCTCAGCTAGTGTTCAAGCAGAGAAAGAAAGGAAGAAAAAAGAGAAGCAGATGGTTTGACTGACAGCAGGTGAGGAAACTGGTGCTCCTACCAAGTGCTAGCCTCTGGGTTAGGAGCTTTCACATAGGCTTTTTTTTTTTTTCTTCCAGAAAACAACCAGGTAGAAATTTGTAAGCATTAACCTCATTGTACAAATCAGATTTAAAGGGATTAACTAAACTGCCTAAACCCATACAAGGCCTTCTATCCTCAATCCTTCTCTCTCCCTTTGATGCACAGGCTAAGGTATGCAGTTTGGGTCATGTCTCCTCATCAAAGCCTAATCCAAATTCCATCCCTCCTATGGTCAGAGCCAGGATGAAGGTAGTTGTTTAAACTGGCTTTTAAAGTAAAATCAGGTAACAACAATGGCAACAACAGCAACTAACTGAGTAACAACCACAGTGACAACAGTAACTAATTGAAAATTAGAGTTTATTGTATGCCAGGCTAAGTATTTCCCATACATTATCTAATTTTTGCTCCTAACAACTGAATAAGGAAGCTACTATTATTATTCTCTTCCACGTAGGAGAAAACTAAGTCATCCACAGTTTAATATTGGAGTTATGTAGTTGGTAAGTGACAGAATTTTTATTTAAACCTAGGTCTAATTTTAGAAATAATTTTAATCACTACTTGGAAAATACACACACACACAACTATGCGTGCGTGCGTGCGTGCTCACACACACACACACACACATGCAAAGCATGAACACCATCACAGAGGTACGACCTTAAGCAAGCAGATGTATACAGCTTCTTAAATTAAAACTAGATGGGGTGAGGTAAGGAAGATGTTGTAACAGATACTGATACTAGTAAGTTATAATAGGGCCAGATATTCAACTTTTTAAAGGCACTCATTTATTTTGTTTTATACATCGAGTCTCAATAGTGTTCAGTTTCCCTTCTAGTATTTCATCTTTTGTTGTAAACATTATAAAATTGGGCTTTTTTCAGCTCGTGAAAAATTATCAGAAAGATATGAAAGCTGGCACAATTATTGTATCACTGAGAAAGATGTAGCTAAATGTGGATTATTGTTTATTTGAAATATATCAATACCTTGTTGGGAGAGGGCCAGCAAATTTCATTTACCAAAATGTGAATTTTGAAACAGACTACATTATCTAGTACACATAGTAGGTAGTTGATAAATGTTGAAAAACTGTGTGAAAAATAAAGAGTCTTTTATTTAATGACTACACCTTTTAAAAAATTATTATGAGTACATAATGGTTGTATATATTTATGGGACACGTGATTTTTTTTCCAACTTCAATCTTTTTATTTTCTGCCAGAAAGATTAGGGGTAGGAAGGGGTAGGAACAAACACATCTTATTCACAAACAGCAACATCATCAGTAAACAAATGTGGAAAAAGTGTCCATACTCATAATTAAAGTAATGCAAATTAAAGCAACAATGAAGTCGAATTTTTCACCTATTAAATTAGGGATACTTTTTTTTCTTTTTTTAATTTTTTTATTATACTTTAAGTTCTAGGGTACATGTGCACAACGTGCAGGTTTGTTACATATGTATACATGTGTCATACTGGTGTGCTGCACCCATTAACTCGTCATTTACATTAGGCATATCTCCTAATGCTATTCCTCCCTGCTCCCCCTACCCCCGACAGGCCCCAGTGTGTAATGTTCCCCTTCCTGTGTCCATGTGTTCTCACTGTTTAATTCCCACCTATAAATGTGAACATGCGGCGTTTGGTTTTTTGTCCTTGCGATAGTTTGCTGAGAATGATGGTTTCCAGCTTCATCCATGTCCCTACAAAGGACATGAACTCATCATTTTTTATGGCTGCATAGTATTCCATGGTGTATATGTGCCACATTTTCTTAATCCAGTCTATCATTGTTGGACATTTGGGTTGGTTCCAAGTCTTTGCTATTGTGAATAGTGCCACAATAAACATACGTGTTCATGTGCCTTTATAGCAGCATGATTTATAATCCTTTGGGTATATACCCAGTGATGGGATGGCTGGGTCAAATGGTATTTCTAGTTCTAGATCCTTGAGGAATCACCACACTGTCTTCCACAATGGCTGAACTAGTTTACAGTCCCACCAACAGTGTAAAAGTGTTCCTATTTCTCCACATCCTCTCCAGCACCTGTTGTTTCCTGACTTCTTAATGATCGCCATTCTAACTGGTGTGAGATGGTATCTCATTGTGGTTTTGATTTGCATTTCTCTGATGGCCGGTGATGATGAGCATTTTTTCATGTGTCTGTTGGCTGCATAAATGTCTTCTTTTGAGAAGTGTCTGTTCATATCCTTTGCCCACTTTTTGATGGGGCTGTTTGTTTTTTTCTTGTAAATTTGTTTGAGTTCTTTGTAGATTCTGGATATTAGCCCTTTGTCAGATGAGTAGATTGCAAAAATTTTCTCCCATTCTGTAGGTTGCCTGTTCACTCTGATGGTAGTTTCTTTTGCTGTGCAGAAGCTCTTTAGTTTAATTAGATCCCATTTGTCAATTTTGGCTTTTGTTGCCATTGCTTTTGATATTTTAGACATGAAGTCCTTGCCCATGCCTATGTCCTGAATGATATTGCTTAGGTTTTCTTCTAGGGTTTTTATGGTTTCAGGTCTAACATTTCAGTCTTTAATCCATCTTGAATTAATTTTTGTATAAGGTGTAAGGAAGGCATCCAGTTTCAGCTTTCTACATATGGCTAGCCAGTTTTCCCAGCACCATTTATTAAATAGGGAATCCTTTCCCCATTTCTTGTTTTTGTCAGGTTTGTCAAAGATCAGATGGTTGTAGATGTGTGGTATTATTTCTGAGGGCTCTATTCTGTTCCATTGGTCTATATCTCTGTTTTGGTAACAGTACCATGCTGTTTTGGTTACCGTAGCCTTGTAGTATAGTTTGAAGTCAGGTAGCGTGATGCCTCCAGCTTTGTTCTTTTTGCTTAGGATT
This sequence comes from Homo sapiens, assembly GCF_000001405.40. Taxonomy (NCBI): domain Eukaryota; kingdom Metazoa; phylum Chordata; class Mammalia; order Primates; family Hominidae; genus Homo; species Homo sapiens. The sequence continues at coordinate 181,599,019 of NC_000003.12, forward strand.
GACTTGGCAATGTGGGCTCTTTTTTGGTTCCATGTGAACTTTAAAGTAGTTTTTTCCAATTCTGTGAAGAAAGTCATTGGTAGCTTGATGGGGATGGCATTGAATCTCTAAATTACCTTGGGCAGTATGGCCATTTTCACGATATTGATTCTTCCTATCCGTGAGCATGGAATGGTTTTCCATTTGTTTGTGTCCTCTTTTATTTCGTTGAGCAGTGGTTTGTAGTTCTCCTTGAAGGGGTCCTTCACATCCCTTGTAGGTTGGATTCCTAGGTATTTTATTCTCTTTGAAGCAATTGTGAATGGGAGTTCACTCATGATTTGGCTCTCTGTTTGTCTGTTATTGGTGTATAAGAATGCCTGTGATTTTTGCACATTGATTTTGTATCCTGAGACTTTTCTGAAGTTGCTTATCAGCTTAAGGAGATTTTGGGCTGAGATGATGGGATTTTCTAAATATACAATCGTGTCATCTGCAGACAGGGACAATTTGACTTCCTCTTTTCCTAATTGAATACCCTTTATTTCTTTCTCCTGCCTGATTGCCCTGGCCAGAACTTCCAACACTACGTTGAATAGGAGTGGTGAGAGGGCACCCCTGTCTTTTGCCAGTTTTGAAAGGGAATGCTTCCAGTTTTTACTCATTCAGTATGATATTGGCTGTGGGTTTGTCATAGATAGCTCTTATTGTTTTGAGATACATCCCATTGATGGGACATGTGATGTATTGAAACAGGCATATGATGTATAACAGTTGAATCAGGGTAATTGGGGTATCCATCACCTCAAGCATTTATTCTTTCTTTTTGTTAAAAACATTTCAACTCTACTGTTTTAGTTATTTTTAAATATAAAATAAATTGTGGTAAACTATAGTCATCCTTTTGTGCTAACAAATACTAGATCTTATTCATTCTGTTGTTAAAAATAGAATGTTTTTGTACCCATTAACCATCTCTACTTCCTCCTCCCCACTTGCCTTCCCAGCCTCTGATAGATTGTTTCCATATCTTGACTATAGTGAATAGTGCTGCAATAAATATGGTAGTATAAATCTGTCTTTGATATATTGATTTTTTTTCTTTTGGATATATACCCAGCAGTAGGATTGCTGGAGCATATGGTAGTTATTTTTTTTTAGTTTTTTGAGGAACCTCCATACTATTCTCCACAGTGGTTGCACTAATTAACATTCTTACCAACAGAATGTAAGCATTCCCCTTTCTCTACATCCTCACCAGCATTTGTTATTACCTGTCTTTTGAATAAAAGCCATTTTAACTGGGGTGAGATAATATCTTATTGTAGTTTAATTTTCATTACTGTGGTGATTAGTGATGTTGAGAACTTTTACATATACCTGTTGACCATTTGTCTGTCTTCTTTTGAGAAATGCTTATTCAGATCTTTTGCCCATTTTTAATCAGGTTGTTTTTTCTTATTAAGTTTGAGTTTCTTCTATATTCTGTTTATTAATCCCTTGTTGGATGGGCAATTTGGAAATATTTTCTCCCATTCTGTGGATTGTCTCTTCAATTTGTTGATTGTTTCCTTTGCTGTGCAAAAGCTTTTTAAGTTGATGTGATCCCATTTGCACATTTTTGTTTTGGTTGCCTGTGCTTTTGAAGTCTCACTCAAGAAATTTTTGCTCAGACCAATGTCCTGGAGTATTAAAGACTATGTATTAGTAAAATTGTTGATCTGCATAGAATAAACAAACTGGCTTGAAAAGAAAGCAGCACTTTTCTTAAGGGCTAATGCTTGCCTATGCAAATTAAATGATTAATCAAACACATTATCAGTAATAACTTTTATAAAAATCACTACTCCTGCTATTTTCTCTACTATTGTTTTTGTGCCAAAAGTACATATACAGCTTTCTACATTCTTTCCACCTGATTTAATATATCAAAGCTGATCTAAGTACCTTCTCCTGTTACATATATGTTACATATTTTATTTATAATACATCTCTTTTTGCATGCAAAGATATGCGAAATAGAGTAATTGGCAATATTGGACTTTGGTCCAGTTGGTTTGGAAAGTTTTTGTGCCTTCATGCTTATTCTTTAAGCATCGTGGATGCATTTTTAAAATTTTTCTCTGGATGCATTATAAGATAATGGTATCAACTATTTTTCTCTAATAGTCTATCTAATGACTTGATGTACAGACAGTCTCTGACTTACAATTGTTTAACTTAGAGTTTTTGACTTTACAAGGGTGAGAAAGCATGTGTATTCAGTAGAACCCACACTTTAAATTTTGAATTTTGATTTTTTTCCCTGGCTAGTGATATGCAATGCAAGACTCCCAAGATTCTGGGCAGTGGCAGGGAGGTGCAGCTTCTAGTCTGCCGCATGATCACAATGGTAAGCAACCAATAGTCTCCAATGTACTGTGTTGTCAGATGGTTTTGCCCAACTATAGGCTAATATAAATGTTCTGAGCACATATAAGATAGTAGGCTAGGCTAAGCCATAATATTCAGTAGATCAGGTATTAAATGTAGTTTTGACTTATGGTATTTTCTTTGTTTCTTTCGTTTTTTTTTTTTTCTTTTTTTGAGACAGAGTTTCACTCTGTCACCCAGGCTGGAGTGCAGTGGCGTGATAGGGGCTCCCTGCAACCTCCGCCTCCTGGGTTCAAGCAATTCTCCTGCCTCAGCCTCCCAAGTAGCTGCGATTACAGGCACCCACCACCAAGCCTGGCTAATTTTTTTTTTTTTTTTGTGGAGTCTTACTCACCTAGGCTGGAGTGCAGTGGCGTGATCTCAGCCCACTGCTGCAACATCCACCTCCTGGGTTCAAGTGATTCTCCTGCCTCAGTCTCTCGAGTAGCAGGGATTACAGGCACACACCACCATGCCTGGCTAATATTTGTATTTTTAGTAGAGACGGGGTTTCATCATGTTGGCCAGGATGGTCTCAATCTCCTGACCTTGTGATCCACCCGCCTCGGCCTCCCAAAGTGCTAGGATTACAGGCATGAGCCACCACACTCGGCATAATTTTTGTATTTTTAGTAGAGATGGGATTTTGCCATGTTGGCCAGGCTGGTCTTGAACTCCTGACCTCAAGTGATCTGCCTGCCTCAGCCTCCCAAAATGCTGGGATTACAGGCATGAACCACCGCGCCTGGCCCAACTTATGGTATTTTCAGCTTACAATGGGTTTATCAGGATGTAACCCCATCGTGAATCAAGAAACATCTGTACTTCTCTCCACTGATATGTGCATCTCTATCAGGTATGATACAGTAAAAGACTGTGATTAATGATATAAGTTCATTTTCATGATCAGATTTTTAATTTGAGGTCCTTAAAAGATCTCTAGCAAACCCTGAGTTCTTCAGAACACTATGGAAACCACAGCTGTAGGACATGGGAAAGTGAGAGGCACACACAGATCTGCATTGTAGAATGAAATCTCCTGTCATAAAATGGAGGATGAGTTAGTTAAAGAGGGGAAATATTAGAACCAAAGAGATTTGCAAGAAGGTTATTATGTAAGAGGATGGAAAATTAAACTTTGATACATGTCCTGCACATGTACCCTGAACTTAAAAAAAAAGTTGGAAAAAAAAAACTTCGATATATGAATCAGGAAAAAAAAATGCAACATTTGATAAATAAAATTGATTTTAAAAATTAGACAATTGTTAGTTATCAGGACTGATGAGTAAGAAGAGATCGTTGATGGCTTTTTGCTTTGGAAACTCAGGCAATTAATGGTGAAGCTGCTGAGATAGACAAGCATGCTGAAGTCAGAGGTACGTGTTTAAGTTAGTTTACAGTAAAGTGGATGAAGAGTTTGATTTTACACATAGTGAAACTGAGATACTAAAAACAGCTAAGTGCAGATCTAGAATTCAGAAGAAACATTGGGGCTGCATATGAATTTGATAACCAGATTGACAAAGCTTACAGAAGTGGAGCCAGGAAAGAAGTGGAGACTGAAAAGAGAAGAGGGCTAAGGGCAAACAAACCCTGGGGATCATGACCTGTTATGGGGCATGTAGAAAAAGAGCCACCAAAAGAGTCAGGAAAGCTAAGTTAAGCAGGAGACAGTTAACTTTATAGAAGTATGCAAAAGAGAGACTTGTAAGTAGAAAGAAGCAGCAAGTGTCAGGCCATAAAGAAATGCAATTTTGACTCATTTTAGTTTTTTTCCTCTTGTTAATCCCTATGCACCTCTACTTTCTGCCATCCTTTATCCAATAACAATGATAATAATAATAATGCCTCAGTAAATGATTTTACTCCTACTTCACAAATAAGTTTGATGCCATCAGGCATGACCTATTTCATATCCATCATCTTTGCCTTCACAACCCTTCTCCTGCATGAGTCCTTCCCTTTCTTTTTCTATTCCTAAGGCATCTCTGAGTCCTTTCACTTCTTTCCTACTCCTGACTTTGTTCTCCTGAAGGCCTCTTCCTTTATTTCTTAAAATATGTATACTTCTCCCAACTTACACTGGCTTCCTTGAGCCTGCTGCTCCCAATAACTGTCCTCCTTTCTTCTTTCTGAGCCAACTCCTTAAAAGACATTGTTTATACCCACTAAGCTCATCTATCTCCTCCCATTCTCTTCTGAATGCCTGCTATCTGGCTTTACCTCTATCCCACTATTAAATTCCTCAAAAGCTATCAATGACTTCCTTCTAGCCCAGTGGTCCCAACCTTTTTGGCACCAGGGACCAGTGTTGTGGAAGATAATTTTTCCACAAACCAGGGGCAGGGGGGATAGTTTTGGGATGATTCAAGAGCATTACATTTATTGTGCTCTTTATTATTATACAATGTGCTATAATATAGAATCAATAGCAGCCCTGAGTTTGTTTTCCTGCAGTTACATAGTCCCATCTGGAGGTGATGGGAGACAGTGACAGATCATCAGGCATTAGATTCTCATAAGGAGCACACAACCTAGATCCCTCACATGTGCAGTTCACAATATGGTTCACGCTCCTGTGAGAACCTAATGCAGCCGCTGATTTGTTAGGAGGCAGAGCTCAGGCAGTAATGTGAGCAATGAGGAGTAGCTGTAAATACAGATCTTCACTTGCCTGCCACTCAGCTCCTGCTGTGTGGCTGACTGGTACTAGACTGTGACCCAGGGGTTGGGGACCCCTGTTCTAGCCAAATCCTTTTTCAATTTCTAAGATCAAGTGAATCAACTTCAGGCCCCATTTTAAACTGCAGATTGACCAGCCTATCTTTAGGTTTCTGTGTCACTGCCTCATTCAGATTTCCTTCCTGTCTCTCTGCCAGTTTTCTCTCTCCTTTCTGCTGGTGTTTCTTCCCCATCTTGTCTCCAACTGTAAGTATTCCCTGTATTGTAGCACTTGGGCTCATTTCTCACTGTACATGCTGCATACTTTCAGATAATTCATCCGCTCTGCTAGCTTAAATTGCCCTTTCTATTACAATGTCGCTCATGTTTATATCTCCTGTTGACAGAATGATTACCTCTGTGCTGCCATCCCTCTTATGCCATCCATACATTAAAACAACCACTAATTCACAAAGCAATCACAACCTTGAGAACCAGTCAAGTATGAGGCCATTGCCATTGAGTTGTTTCTCAGAGTTCCTAAGGTCTCCGCTTAGAACAGCAGTTCTCAAACTTAAGATTTCATCAGAATTTACCTGGAAGTGTTGTTAAAAGACAAGTTGCTTGACTCTATGCCCAGAGTTTTCTGATTCGGTAGGTCTGTGGTGGGTCCAAGAATTTGTATTTCTAACAAATTTCCAAGTGATGCTGATGCTGCTGTTTCAGGCACAATGCTTTGAGCATCACTGGCTTAGAAAACGGTTTTTAAACATAGCTGCACAACAGAATCACTAGGATAGCCTTTTGAAAATTACTGCTACTCTGGCCAGGCTTGGTGGTTCACACCTGTAATCCCAGCACTTTGGGAGGCCGAGGCAGGCAGATCACAAGGTCAGGAGATCAAGACCATCCTGGCTAACATGGCGAAATTCCGTCTCAACTGAAAATACAAAAAAAAAAAAAAAAAATTAGCCGGGCGTGGTGGTGGGCGCCTGTAGTCCCAGCTACTCGGGAGGCTGAGGCAGGAGAATGGCGTGAACCTGGGAGGTGGAGCTTGCAGTGAGCCGAGATAGCGCCACTGCACTCCAGCCTGGGCGAAAGAGCGAGACTCTGTCTCAAAAATAAAAAAAAGAAAGAAAGAAAATTACTGCTACTCAGGACCCACTACTGGCCTATTACATCAAAATATCTGGTAATGGGCTCCCCAGTTAACTGTAACATGCAATCATGGTTAAGATACATATGTTTAGAAGCAGAGGAAAGGAAATACCACTCAGAAAAGCAATAGCCTTGGGTAGGGGTTTGCCCCATGGTTTCCTCCAAAGTCCATTAATTCCATAAAATAATAAGCAAAAGGGTCGTGTGTGGCCAGGGAGGGAGTGCGTAGCCTTCAACATATTCTCCAAAGGATCTGTGACTCCACCACCCAAATTAAAAATCACTAAGGAAGCTGATTCTTAGGGAGGCCTGGCCTGCTTACACAATTTCTTACATTCACACACATCACCATCATATATTGTTTCAAACTCCCTTCTGTTCATACATTAAGGCTTCTGTGGGAAATACCTGCTTTACTTTGCATAGCTTCAAGGCTTGAAATGTTTATCCTTGCATATTCACTCAGGTTAATAAGCATTTGTTTCTAAGTGCTTATTAAGAAGAAGAATCCAACATCCATCCATCATTGACATGTTGGCAAGAATCACTTTATCTAGGTTGGTTTTATATTACCATATGTCCTAAAGTAATAGGTATTTTGAATGAGCAAAGAAGGGAGTATGAAGAACATTGACAGTCTAAGTAGAGGCCCACAGAGAAGTTTTCAAAAAAACCCGGACAATGGTAACCTGAAAGATTGAGACGGGTATCTGAGGCAGTAAGATATGTGTGAAGAAAGAAAAATCAGAATACACAAAGAGTAATTTTTAACTATGGTACCTGAAACTCATTGTACGATGAAGAAACGAATAGAAAATCATCTTCCTTCTTCTTTTCTTCCCTCATGTTCATCACATACAGATTCCTCAGAATCATTAACTAAGGATTAACATGATCTCTACTAGTGGGGTCAGTTTTGAGTAATGTAAAGCATGGGAGCCTTAGAGCCAATCCCAGCTCTGCCATTCACTGTCTAGGTGGCCTCGAGCAACTGTTAACCTCTCTAAGTCCAAGTTTCCTATCTGTAAAATAGCAATGATAATACCCGCCTCATGAGGTTATCTTGAAAAGTAAATGAAATAATTTTTAGTACTTATTACAGTGCTTCAAACTACCAAGTGTTCAATAAATGGCTGTTACTACAACTCAGCTAGGTTATGATCAAATAGGCATTTTTTGGACTAGCCTAAAAATGCAACTATGTATCAATTGCTATTTTCTATGTCCCAAGTGATTGGCTTTGAGATAGTCTTCACTATGAAAACATTTAAATACTCACTTTACATTTTCAATTTACTTTTTAAACGAACTACTTGTTGTTCCAACTGCCAATACTTTTTGTTTAGCTACTCAGTTACCATCTTAATCTCACAGCTAATAGAAACTTCTCCCCGAAATGAGAGTTTCTTAGGAACAAGGATCATGTCTTTATCAAATAACCATTAATTGAGCATCTATATGTCAATAACTGGACATAAAAAGATACATACGATTAGTTCCTTTCCTCATGGGGTTTAACTTCTACCTGGGAAAAATAATATGCAAATACAATTCAAGATTATGACTGTTATAATAAAGATGCGTGCCAAGAACTATTGAGTCTACTGGAAGAACAGATTTATTTTATCTCATTTGATAAGGAAATCTTCGTAAGAGAGGTGGCATTAGAACTGAGCCAAATGTATATCAAACTCAATAATAAATGAAGTAATTCCAGCACTTTGGAAGACAGAGATGGAAGGATCACTTGAAGCTAGGAGTTTGAGACAAGCCTGGGAAACATAGCAAGACCCCTGTCTCTACCAAAATAAATAAATAAAAATAACATTAGCCAGGCATGGTGGCACATCTTTGTAGTCCTGGCTATTCAGGAGGCTGAGGCAGGGTAATCACTTGAGCACAGGAGTTTGAGGTTACAATGAGTTATGATCATGCCATTGCACTCCAGCCTGGGTGACAGAGCAAGACCTTGTATCAAATAATAATAATAACACTAATAATAACTGTAAAACATATGTAGGAATAGAGAGATCTGCATGAATGCTACTGCAGGACAAGATTCATAAGTGTACTATGGTAATTTTGGACCTTGAATACATAGGATAAAGATAAAAGATGAAATGTCATGGTGTGCATCTAGGCATGTATGTAATAGTAAGAAATATTATTAATAAATAGCAAGCTGGTTGATGGGAAATAATGTTAGAGAGGTGCTACCAAGAAACTGTATTTTGTAGAGCCCTGGGAACTGAGCAGGGAAGTTTAGACCTCATGCAATAAGCAAAAGAAAAACAAAAAAAAAAAAAAAAAGAAAAAAAGGCATTATAGATTCTACAACCAAGGTATATGTAACATGATGAAAGCTAAGTTGTAGTAAGGTTATTCCAGCTATCATGTTGTGGGTAAAGGATCGAGGCTAAATATGGTAGACTAGAGCATCTTGAGTCAATTTTATTAATGCAGCTATGACCTGTGGTAGGTCTAGACGAGTACAAGTATGTGTTTAGAGATCAACTATAGATATAAATGTGATATTTCATGAATGTCACCTGGGATATTTGAATAATAATATCACTGACAAATATTGCAAAGGTAATGGGAAAGATTATGAATCATTTTTAAGTGAATAAAATTTAGCATCATCTTTATGCCAAGTATGTGAAAATATATAATATTTCAGGTATATGTATCTACATAATATGTGCATCTTCATTCAGTATCTGTTTCCCACAGTATATCTTGTTTCCACAAAGAAATTATCTACTTCTGCTGGGCGGAATCTCGTCTCATATTTCTCATGCATTCTACAGAGCCTACCGTGTAAAAAACATAAAGTTGGTACTTAATAAAAACTTATTTGATTAAATAACTGAGGTCAGAAATAGCAGAAAACTAGCCCATCTTAGATGGAGTCATTAGTGAATAAGAATTATTTATTCCTAATAATATTGATGAAGTGGCAAAAGTTTTACTGTGCCAAGTAATTCTAGACAATAAAACTATAGTTCATTTTTTTTTTAATATTCAGTAGAACAAATTTTATGGACCTGAAACATCAAGGGAAATAGGGAAAAATCACCCTTCTCATCTACTCAGGTTTGCGTAGGTTTATTTTTTTTTTCTTTTTTCACTTTAAAAGTGTGATCTTAGGCTGGGCCTGGTGCCTCATGCCTGCAATCCCAGCACTTTGGGAGACCAAGGTGGGCAGATCACGAGGTCAGGAGTTCGAGACCAGCCTGACCAAGATAGTGAAACCCCATCTCTACTAAAAATACAAAAATTAGCCGTGCGTGGTGGCAGGTGCCTATAATCCCAGCTACTCGGGAGGCTGAGGCAGAGAATTGCTTGAACCTGGGAGGCGGAGGTTGCAGTGAGCCGAGATCACACCATTGCTTTCCAGCCTGGGCTACAGGGTGAAAATCCATCTCAAAAAAAAAAAAAAAGTGATCTTAAAGTTGGAGTGGGAGAATAAGACAGTAAATCAGCCCAATCTTTTATAGCAGCATATTCACTTCACTTAGAAAAAATAACTTTAATTGCACAGGGATAGAAAGAAAGATATTTGAATACCTTTCCTTGACAAGATTCAGAGCTTTCATGTAAGAATAAAATATACATTTACAGTAAATTTAGATTTGGGGTAGAATTTAAACTCTTGTCCATCAACATGTAATGAATGAATGTGACGCTTGCATAATAGCATTTTTTGGAGCACTGTTAGAGCAAGGGAGTCTTCGCAATGCTAAAGAAAAAAGGAAGTTAAAAAATTTAAGGATGTTTCACTTTCAATAAAAAAAATCCTAGTTGAAATAAGTTGGCAACTCCATGTTCAGAATCTATATTGTTTCTCTAATGTTCAGGAATGGTTAAGGCAGGAAAGAGAATCTCAAGGTCACCAGGAATAGTCCTTAGAGTATTCTTATAGGGCTTATCTGTGCTCACATGCCTAATTTTTTTCCAAGTGCAAAAGAATGGCCACTTGCTTGAGACAGGCCCAGTGCCATCCTTTATTCAAGTTCCTTTATACTCCTCTTTTTAAAGAAGCTGTCAAGTTCTTTTTTTGCAGTTGACAGGAAAGGCCAAATCTGTGGTACAGGAAAGGAGGCGCAAAAAAGAAACTTTTTTGTGTTGATGTTTTACTAAGTGAGCTAAGGAGAATTTTAGAATCATGCAATTTACTCTGGAGGCATTTACTGTACATAGCTATAGTGATGGTAATTTCTTTCATTGTTGAAGTGAAAAGATAACCATCAATCAGTTGTCAATTGGTCAATTGCAGAAGTGATGAAAAGAAACTGGTAGGAACAATCACTTCTGTGGCTACCTAGACCATTTGGAGGCATAAGAAAAGTATGGGAACTGGATTGCATTTTAAAAAGGGATTGGACCAGATTTTCAAAAAGGTTAATAGGCATAACTTCTTTGTAAAGGATGGCTTTGCAGTTATGCATAATCAGGAAATGCATTTTAAAAATGAAAAATTTTAAAGACAATGAAAAGTTTAAAAGTAAAAATTATTTATTTAATTAGATCAGGTAAATAAGCCCAGAAGACCTTGAATTTCAGTGTGTTCCTAATGGAGGAATAAATATAGTTTACTAATAACCCAACACATGTATTTAAAACAAATTAATGAAAATTACTTTGCACTCATGCCTTAGGTTCTAATCTTGGACACTTTGAAATAAATAACTTTCCAAGTATTTATTATGAGAAATAGAACATACAAGCTAATTGTGAACACTGTTTTTAAGCAAATATTTACAGATAATTTAATTTTTTTGAACCTATGGAAGTTTATATAAAGGTTAAGATAAGAGCAATTTAAAAAATCATTAACTTGCATAAAAGGCAAATGGCACACTTAGGGACTTAGTGCTGTAAGCAAGATTTCATTTTAATTTATCCTATTTTCCTAAGAATGGCAATGTTATTGATTTATTCTGAGAGAGTTCCCCACACACATAGTGATTTTTTTTTTTTTTTTACCGTGGTAGGTAATAAAAAGGATTACAGGCCCCCAGAAGGATGAGATATCATCAGTTTGTAATCCAGCCCATGGTTTCCTAGATACCGTATTGTCTATTCTGTTCCGCTATGTGAAAAATGTTGAATATCAACAATGGGTTTCAGTGCTGTATTGTTGAGTTTTGTATGAACTAATCTAGCTTCTCTAAAAAAAAAAAAAAAAAAAAAAAAAAGAAAGAAAAGAAAGAAAGAAAAGAAAGAAAGAAAGAAAAAAAAAGAAAAGAAAAAAAAGAGAACCACAGCTTTGGACAAAAGTCTATAGCCAGTGCATTTGAAAACTCCCCTTGCACCAGGGCTGACTGTAGCTGGGGGAAGACATTTTACTCATTTGCTCTTTCCTTTCATACAGTCAGCTGGTCCCTCTTCTCAGGTGTAGATCACCTATTATAATTTTACCTAATTTTGATACTCTGATAAGGAAAGTCCCAGGACTTATCAGCTGGGATAGGCCTCACTTACAAGACAGCTCTGTTCAGTATTTGGAAGGTAAGCTATTTGCACAACTTCTCTGCTGTAGTGTACTGGCCTAGCTCTAAAACTTTGCAGTACATCACTTATTTTTAACTTTCACTTTTTTTCTCTTTTCTTCTTTTGGAGAAAGAAAGCCTGACAGGTTTCTTCGGAAAAGTGGCCATCCATGGAATGAATGAAATGTTCTCTTTCTATTCCAGTAAGTAATTGACTTGTAACTAAAAATTGAACTAGCTGCTATGTCAGCTGCAATGTGAGCTGCTGCTGGCACAGGTGTTGCTTACTCTTTAGCCTGGAAAGAAAAGGGGTTTAAACTGTGATTAAATTTCAAGTCAATTGACCTCAACATGATAGTACATAATTCTCACTTGCCTACCAAATGGCCTGAGTTCTCATTTTGACCCTGATTCTGACACCTGCGTTTTTAATGTTTGGTGTAGCTAAAGCTATGGTTGCTCTTTTGTTTAGAAATAAAGTGGGTAGAGAACAGTTCTAAGTAAATAACAAATGGTAGCCAGCCGAATGAGTCTTTAATACAGCGCTCAACGTGTTCGATTTTTTTAATGCATTAACTCTGAGTTCATGTAAATTATTATTCAATCTTTTCTTTTTAAACAGTATGGATTTATGGGTAACAATTTACTAACTATGGATACACAGTAAATCCAAATCAGTGAATTACAAATAAGGAAAGGATGTGAGAATTTTGATGTTAAGTGCTTTCAAATTAACTTTGATTATGTAACATATCATAGGCGAAATATGCCTTGCACTTCAATTATTTTTGAGCCCTAGGAATGAAATAGCAGCATTGTTTTTCTTCCTTAGTATAAATAGAACAAAAGTCTCCTTAACTTAAGCAAGATGACCGTATTTGAGTTTGGGAGACAAACCTTTATCTTTTCCCAAAAGCAAAATAAAAATCATCTAAAATTTAGTGACATCTAAAATTACAATTTACACTTAAGGCTATTCTCCATTCATTTTTTGTAAAATGGTTGCATGCTAAGGATTGATCTGTAAGATGAGAGCACCCATGGATTGTTGTTTTTTCCTCCTAACTTCCTTTCTAACCTGGGAATTAGGAGAACTTGCTGATGATGCTTGCTTAACCCTGCTTTTAGTGCCAGGCTGTAACTAGCTCTCTGTGAAACCATTTCTGATCCTCTGCTTGCAGTGGTGAGCCTGAATTTTTCCCCCTCCTGGCCCATCACTGTCAGTCAATTATAAGATTGAACTGAACCAGAAAATCTGGTACAGTCTGGTAATTACTACAAAGGGTTTCCAGTCTAGTGTAAAGACAGAGATGCAAGAGCCCCAGCAGTCTCAGAAATCGTTTTGATTGGCCATGGACATTGCCTTTTAGTGCTGCTTGGTGACTTCCTAAAGATATTGCCTCCTACCCTACAGGTCTTCTCCTTCAAGTACATTATGGGCCTTTTTTAAAAGTCGTGCGTGTGTGTGTGTGTGTGTGTGTGTGTGTGTGTGTGTGTTCATGTGTGTTCGTGTGTGTGTGTTTCTTTTTTTAGATTCAACTTCTCCCATTTTTAGTCTGTCATTTTTGCCTATCAAACAGACACATTTTGACTTGCCCAACAAAGAACCAAGTTATCAACACTCACAGAAACTGACATTTTTAATTCAGGCTTCATTATGTCTTTGAATTATGACAGTGACATACAAAGACATTTTAAGGGTTTTTCATTGTTTTTTAAAAATCCAGCATTGGGATGTTTATCTTTCTTTAGTATTCATATTTCCCTTTCTACCTTTATTCTCAGTAATATATAATTAGCATTATCAAAACCATCAGCTATTATCCTTTCTGACTTTTGACCTTTATTTTTTAAATAAGCCTCAAGCTAACATTCTCCAGAATAAGAAAAATTCCCTAACAGATTTTAATGAAATATTTTAGGATTATTTTAAAACATGAATCCCTTTTAAACATCAACACTACATGACTAGACAAGTAATGGGTCTTACGATAAAACAATAGCAACAAAATAAATTTGATGAAAAATTATTTTGTAAATCTAACTTGCATTTGATGGTAAGTGCGATTTTATAGTGTGTATTTCATCAGACATTTTAAACCATTACTTTGGAGTTCTTTGCTTATTATGAAAGGTTGTTTGGGGTAAATTCTTATTTTTTACAGAAGCAAACATTCTTTTTGATTATAGATTACAACGACTCATTAGTCATATCAGATATAGTGAAAGTGTTTGGTAATTTGTCGATATAACAAGTGCCTATCCCAAAAGATAGATTATGTCTATCTTATTTTTTTTAATTTGCTTTAAGGACAAGTTTAATGTCTGACACCCTGCACAAAATTGCAAAAGCAGCAGTGCCCAAAAGAAAAACAATCAAAAGAAAGCACAGGGTTTTCATCTCCAAGAATGCTATCTTTAGGACAATCTGCATCATGAATTTAGTTGTGATGTGTGTTGTGAATCTTCTAAAGGATCCTTTATTTATCTACACCTTAATGTAGCTTTAAATATCTGCTTTATTTCTATGTATAATCTTAACAAAAGTAGTTACATTACCATGCCTGGTACTGATTTTTACATCTGACTTTTTGCTGTTACATTTCAAGAAGGTTAATATTGCTTTTGTAACCCTGTCATGAGTAATGCATTTTCCCAGTAAACATGTCATAATGTTAAAGGCTGTTCAAGAAGCAGTGTTTCTGTTGAAACAGTTTTGTATTTATTTCTCTATTGTTTATTATCCATAATATAGTGTAAGGCTTTGAAAAGAACACGCATATTTATGTAATTAACACTTTTTGTTATTAGGAAAGCCTTCCCATTAAAAACTAAGAGAGTCTAAGAAAACTATATAAATGGGCAACTTTTCAGGAAAAATATTTGCATTCGATTTTAATTTGCCATCAAGCTTATATGTTAAAATGTATACATAAAGTGACTGAGGGAAGGGTACTTTCTGGTGTTTTTTTTCTTATTTTTTAATCTAAAATATATGTTGAAATTCAAAAGGTGTTCACCACATGCAGTGTGGCAGCGTTCAATATTCTTTAACAGCTGTATACTGTGTGGGTCTGTATGAAGTTACAGGGGCTCACAAGCTTTATAACGGACACAAACATTCTTTTCTATTTCAGTCTTAACTCCTAGAAGCAGGAGTAAGACTTGGAAAGAACCAAGCAGCCTCCTGCCCCACTGAGACCAGAGTACCTCTGCTATTATCTGCTGTGTATATTAGAGTTCCATTAAGATTTACTCATGAAAATCCCATGCTAGAAAGAAAAAGTGAAACATTACTGACTGAGGCTATCTTATAGAAAAGGAAAGCAGGGTTTACTCAAGGTTGTACACTGAGTGAGTGACAGTGTCAATTTTATCACCCAGTTTCTTGTCTCCTGGTCCCAGGCTTACTCTCCTAACCAGACACAGTCATGGCTCTGTATGTCCAGGCCTCCTAAACTATATTGCTAAAAGCTCACACCAAGAGATTCACAGCCATATGTTTAAAATCAGGATGCTTCCTGAAGATATAGTATCTAGGTGGTAAATGGAATTTTTTAACATTATAGACCAAAATCAAGCCCTTTATTTGGCAATATTATTCATTCTGGCTGCATTGTTGTAGCTGTTAGGTAAAAGATTGATTCCTCTTACTTCTTAGTAAAGTAATATTTTGGAGGTTTCTTAATGGTATTTCTAATTGTGGTAAAAAAATAAAATTTACTACCCTCACCATTTTTAACGGTATAGTTCAGTAATGTTAACTTAAGTGGTATTTTTTACAGTAGAAAAATAATTAGTACTTAAATCCAAAAGAAAGAAATTTTTTTTAAAAAACTGAATTAAGATGCTAATTTTTCAAAACATGTTTTATGGAATACCATCCCTATAAGCTATGCCAGCTAAAAAAAAAATAACACGGTCAAATAATTTATGTCCTTCTCTAAGAAATTCACAATGAAAATTTGTACTTGAAAAACTCTGGTAAATCATAAAGATCTCTTTGAACCTTGTATAATATAGTGTATCCCAAACTATTTTTCCATAGGTTTCCCCCAACCTATTTTGCCAAAAAGTCTATTTTTATTCTTCAGAGCTAATATTTTTAACACATTTTAGGAAATTTTCCTCTAATCCAACCTTTGCAGATTAAAAAAGATCTATAAAGTGATGTTTATACTATTTATGTTCACTGGCTCTGTGTTTACAAATCTTTTATCTTTATCTTATGGTAGTAAATCTCATTAATTCAATCACTCAACAAATATTTAGGCATGGGCTAAGTGCTGGGAATACAGTAATGAGTAAATCAGTCAGAACCCCTGACCTTACAGAGTTTACAGTCTGGGAAAGAAGTCACTGAAAGTGCTCTAATGTGAAAGTCAGAAGAAGGGAAGAAAGAAAAGAAGAAAGCAAGAAAGGGAGGAAACAAAAAAGGAGGGAGGGAGGGATGGAGGGAAGGAAGGAAGGAAGGGAGGGAGGAAGGGAGGGAGGGAGAGAGGGAAAAGGAAAGAAAGGAATGAATGAATACAGGAAGCACAAGCAATATTAGCTGTTTCTAACACTTATAGCTTATCTGGCTATGTTTTTTGTTGTTGTTTTTCCTCATTCTGAAATGAGAGAAGAGGGAAAGGGGGAAAAACTCCATCAGTTCAGTGGTCTGGTCTTTGAATAGAGATAGAAATAATATTTCTTTGAAAGCTACGTATGTATCAGCAATTGATTCTATGATAGTTCTCTAGCAATTCAAAGATGGGCTTCTATTGCTTAGAAGGGAAGGAGATAGAAAGAGAAGGAGAGAAGAAAAGGAGAGGAAAGGAGGAAGGAAAAAAGAAAAGAAAATGCATTTTCTGGTCTTCCCTCCTATTGTGGCATCTTAGCTGTTGATGTTACCTTCCATATAAGAAGATTCCTTTCAAGCGTCAGCAGAAGACCTTATTTGATGGTAACCATGGGTCCTACCTCTGTCAGGACATATTGCTTCTGACTATCTATCCATCCTTCTCTCTCAGGCTCTGACCTTCATGCTGGGAACCTTTCTTCATGGGAGTGGAATGTGTCTCCTAAGCAAAGGAAAAGGATAGGCCCATAGGCATATCATTGTTATCCAGCATCTTACTCATCCTTAGAGCTCCTACACAAAAATACAAATCATGATCCTGCCAAAAAGGAGCACTTGAAAGGCTGAAGAAGGGCCTCATCTTCTTGTTGGACTGTTGTCCAGTGTTCCACTTCCTTGTATGAAACTGAATGCCTTGCATCCTAACTCCTGTGTATACCACTTGAAAATACATATTGTAGGTGACTGCCCTTTGATCACAGAGATTAGGGAAGCAGGAAAGATTGCAAAATCTAAAAGAAAAAAAAAAGGCTTATAACTAAGAGAAAAAGAAGGAGGACCTTATGCCCACTCTGGTTTGTTACCTGCATTTTTCATCATGGATGTGTCACATGTGAGTTCTGTGAATCAGTGCTGAGCTGAATTCTCTGGGATATTGCAACTTTGTTTTGCTTTTTCTTTCTTTCTCATCCCAGCATTTCCTTCAATGGGAACAATGTGACATAAAATTATTATCAGAATACTGCGAGGAAAAGAACTTAGAAAATAATTTGGAATTTTCAAGTTAAAATTAAGAGCTGTGTTAGTAGGCTTCCTTCCTCTAGTTAGCTGGGAATCAATTTTCTAATTCAGTCTCTCCTCTCTGTCATTTGTCTATTGATATATGCTAGGCCATGCAGTATTTGCCTCTTTTTATTCCTTTTAATTAACTTTTTAAAATCAATTATGATTATTTATATGGATTCCTATTCTCTCTTCTCATCAAATTTGTTTGGCTTACTTTTTATTTACATGCCACTACCCACTGCTGTGAATTAACAATAACAAAAAATCTGCACTCTTCCCTTCCACCTCTTGAACTGGAGAAACAGTTAGCTAATAAGAGGCTAAATGAGCCTTAGAGTATAGAGAAGCTGGAATCCTTAAATTATTTAAATTGAAAAATGGCTGGTTTTACAATCAGAAAAACTCAAGTGGACCGTAAGCCCCTACTTGATTGTTCCCCCTTATCTGGATGATCTTGTAATGACAGCTGGAGTTATCTGCCATCAGCATCACTGTCCACAAAAGCTTCTACTCTCTCTGCTCAACTCTTCAGCAGCCCTGGGGAGCTGGGGCTGTTTCAGGGGAGAGGGCCCTAGAGGATTGGAAACTTTATTAAAATGCAAAGCTCTCTCTAGTGACATAAAAGCTCAGTAAAGGGTAATGGATCTAAAATCACAGAGCCAGAAATTATCTGCAGAATGAAAAAAACTGAGATTTCATATACTGTAGGCTAGGGTCAGTGTAAAATAAGGGGCAATATAAAATAAATAGCAGTTTAAAATAAGGAGCAAGAGATAGAAGGAAAAGAAAATGTAGTGTTTCAACATCAATAGTGCAACAAACGCCACATGTGTCAGACTGGCCCTTGTAGAATTCTGTCTCAGGAAGTGACCCAATGAAATGTATTATGGGAAGTCAGGATAGTTGTCTGCTTTGAAAGTTTAGAGAAGTGCCCCCAAACCTTCCTGATTTTCTCTTGATAAGCAATTCATTCTTGGGCTACCACCCATTAATTTTCTGAAACTTATTGTTGCTAATAGAATTGGTAGTAACAGATAGTAATAGGACCCCATCACACTTTTGCTTGACATCTGAATGTGGGCTCTCCCTTCACTGGCCTTATGAAAATGAGGAATCTAATTCACAAACTGTATATTTTAAATGTATTTGCTCATTTTGATCCATTTTACTTTAAAAATTAAAGAGTAAGATCTTAATTCATTTAACTCAAAGGACTCCACTTAAGATTACTCACTAATAAGTTAAATGTTGAAATGAAAATTGAGGCACTAAAAGATAGAACAATTATATAATTTGTCTTAAACAATGGCAATTAGTAGCAGAATGAAAAACGGCATCCAGGTGATTTCAGTTTGCATATACTAAATTATTCAAAAATCCTTTATTTTATATTCTAAATTTCTTACTAGAAAAAAATGACTGTCAGCATGAAAAAGTCATAAGTAATATTCAAAATAGCCCATTGCTCTTAAAAGGCAGAGTAGTATGTTCCCTTCTGCACATTACTACTTTGAAAACAGTTCTCAGGGAAATTTATTATCATCATCACTACCCTGACAACTACCTACCGACAATCATTTATTGAGTGCTTACCGTATTTCTCCCTTCTCCAGGTCTTATCTTCAAGCCTCGTTTTCCCTTCTGCTCAGAACTTTAAAAAAAAAAATCAGTGTTGGGTTAAATTACTTAACTGATAATTTCTCTTTTCATGCAACTAGCAAGTTCAGTTAGCAAATGAAAAGCTAAATGAAGTATTCATTCCTTCATCTTCAGCAGAAGACATTAAAATTACCAGTCAGATCACAAGTACTTCATGTATCAGGAGAATTCCCACCCCACACATATATATAATGATTTGGCTTCATTTTTTCCAAAAATTTTGTATTTACCCTTCACACATTTAAAAACTGATTTTTAGTGATGAGAAAAGGTTGATAGAATTACTTAGGACTTTTTTTTTTCATTTTTAGTGCAGAGATAGCTTCAGGTGTGACTTTATAAACAAGCTTTCATCTCCAATGTAAGAAAACAAGGTTCTCTCTGTCCCCCGAAAAGAGACTGGGTACTGGAACACAGAGAAGCTCCTTTGTCTGGGTCTCCCCTTCACCCTCCATTAGTATGCACTGCTGCAAACTTGAGGCACAGTGAAGAACTTCTTTGACTTGGGAGGGTGGTTTTTATAAAACCCCAAGCTTTGTTCCACAGGGACACTCATGTCAAATAGCAGTCCCCCATAGTAATTGTAACTCCATCATATTCTCCCATTCAAAACAGTGTACTGGGGTATGAGTGAAAGCAATACTATTGCAAGGATAATCTTGAATTTGCTGTAATTCATTCTTAAATATATTGTCTGCAAACACCAGAACTTTATTATTATTTCATACTTCTTAGAACAGATCTCAATCACAGCTGATCATGGCACATTGATCTCATGAAACTGGGGTTAAGACATATCCTTTTAGTGAAATTGGCAACTAAATTGGCAGAGCTACTAAGAAATGGAGATTCTTAGATCTGTGGAGCTGAGACTTGAGAAGGTACTCTGACCAACCATTGGCTCTTGAGACTATTTCAGCAAATGATTGGAGCACATCATACTGCTTTTCTCCTTCCAACCTGATGTCTCCTCACACCAGGTTGACTCAACAGCCTTATGTTTATGGAGCAAGACAGGACAGAGTTATTGTTTACCTTAAACTAGGATCGAAATAATCATAAAATGCCGAAATATGATTAATAGCATAAAACTAATTTTATGTGTCGTAACTAAATTTCTGTCTTTTTACTAATTGCATTATTGGCATGTGTTAGCTTAGGCTTTATGTTGAAAACTAAATTATTTTTGAAGTTTTTAGTGTTCAAAGTGTGATGATTTTCTGGGGAATTTTTTCAAAGCCCAGTACTGAGACTATGCTCCAGACAAGTTGAATAAGAGCTTCTGAGGATGGGACCCAGACATCAGTATTTTTTAAAGCTCCACAGATTATTCCAAAGTGCAGCCAAGGTTAAGAACCACCAGTCTAAGGAAGGGAAAAAGGTGGGAGAAGGGGGAATCAGTATAGGGAGATATTAGGAAACTAATTTAGTCATGCAGTTATAATTGGTGCTATTTTGATTTGTTAACCTGATAGTCTGAGAGCATCCAATGACCACTAGATGAGCCTAAGACATCCCCAGTTATCACTCCCTGCTTCTGTGCATCTAATCCTGTGGAGATTTGTAATCCTGGGAACCAAGGGCAGGAGGAAACTGTGACATCTCTATAGCTGCAGGATTCTTTGCTCTTTAATAAAGTCAGGGCAAGCTTAATCCCACATAGTTCATAGGGAGGCTCAAAATGGATGGAGGAAAACCTGTCTCTATCCCTCTCTTCAAAGGCAGGTACAAATAAAGAGTCCTAGGATTACTGCAAATTTCCTAAGAATAAAAAACATTCAGACAAGAGTTAAAAAATATTACAGTGTCTATTGTGAGCAAAGTGCTAACCTAATCCTTACTACAACTCTGTGAGGCAGGTATTAGATGTGCTCCCATTTTACAGAGGAAGACACTGAGAAACAGTAACAAGAAAGCTGCCCAAGGTCATACAGATAATGTGTGCCTAAGTCTGGACTTTTTACTCTAAGACAGATGGAAAACTGACCAAAGGTCACCCTAGCTATTCATGGACAGCTGTCTGTGTCAAAAGAATCTTCCTTTCTTTAGATAAAGAATCAAATTAGTATGCTAATTGTGTTCTTTGCTAGTATGTGTAAGCAAGCATTATACTCACAGACATGGAAAAGAACCTTAGTATTCAGACATCAGTATGGCATTTGTTGTCTTTTGAAACATCACCACTAGTTCTCATGACCAATTTGAGTCTATTGGAGTTTCTTCAATTAAAAAAAAAAAAAAAAGTTGGAATAGCTAAGATAACCCAGCATACGCATCTAAGCTCAAGCTTACATCAAACCTTGAAAACAGGGTAGAACTCCTCCTTATAATATTTCTGAAAATGGAAATCCTCTTGACTTAGTAGTGATAAAAACGAAAAAAAATTTTGTATGTTCTCCCTCTAAAGTCTTAGAATTTGATAGTGTAATTGGGATGTGGCATCAACCCCAAACAGCTGCAGCTATCTGTTTCATATTTTGTAAACTTTTTCTGAACCAGAAATTGCTAGTTACCTAAGACAGCAGCCTAAGGTAGGGCCAACCCTCAACCAATGTGAAGAAAGCAGTTTATCTTTTATTTACTCAACCAAGCGTTGTCTTGTGTCTATTATGTGCTAGGCACTATTCTTCCAGATCTTTCCCAGCTTACTGACATTTCTTGTCCCTCTTCCTCTCATGCTCCCAACATCCGTATCCCCTGTCCCTGTACCCTCTGGGTCAAAACCCACTCTCAGATACCTCACTCCCATGAAGGTAAATGTGGTTAATAACAGCTTTAACAAGTTATTATTTCCAGGATTATAGGTATTATAACAGGGACCAGATCATTTAATCTAAAAGGGTGATGGTCTTGTGGTATAATTATAGGCAGGGGTTTCCTGAAGACAGTTGAAACCTTCTCCAGTCTTGCAACTCAGGTGGCAGCCTATGACTCTCCTGAGGTCAGGGCCATGCATTTTCATGTTTTTATTTTTATTTTTATTTATTTATTTATTGAGACGGAGTCTCGCTCTGTTGCCCAGGCTGGAGTGCAGTGGCGGGATCTTGGCTCACTGCAACCTCCGCCTCCCGGGTTCAAGCAATTCTCCTGCCTCAGCCTTCTGAGTAGCTGGGATTACAGGTGCCCGCCAGCACGCCTGGCTAATTTTTTTTTTTTTTTGTATTTTTAGTAGAGACAGGATTTCACCATCTTGGCCAGGCTGGTCTTGGACTCCTGACCTCGTGACCCACCTACCTCGGCCTCCCAAAATGCTGGGATTACAGGTGTGATTCATGTTTTTATCCCAAATGCTTGGCACAGTGACTTTTCCAGTTGGAACTCAATAACGAAGGAAGCTCTGGCCTGAGGAAAGCAAGTTGCAATAATAAAGATGTCCTGACACAGATGAATGGGAAGATGTTGGATTCATTTTGAGCCAAACTGGTATGAGGAGGTCAGCTAAAAGCATGAAGAGGAGATAACCTAGTCCCATCAATTGAATTCTCCTAGGAGCCAGGGTCAGATTTGAGAAACTTCTGGAGGATCCAGTTAGCTTTAGAAGCTGTAGATCTGGTTTTACTTAGCAGTTCTGGTCCATTTTAATTTGTTACATTTGCGTTTCACTGAAATTGGTATAAAAAGTAAATAAAACGTTCAAAAAATATTTATTGAGTACCTACTATGTACCAGAAATGTGGCTAGGCATTGTGGATATTGCTGTATAAATCCCAATTCCTGCCCTCTTGAAGCTAACATTCTACTTAAAGAAACTGATATGAAACCATTAATTATATAATTCAGTATTTAATTGGAGTCATATTAAATGCTACAAAGGAAAAATGCAAAGTACTGAAAAAACACACAACAGAAGGATGTGATCTAATATAGAATATCAGGCAAACCTTCTCAGAAATAAAAATTATATATATATATATATATGTATAGAGAGAGAGAGAGAGAGAGAAAGGAATATAAAGATAAATGAGGCATATCTTTAGAGAGAGAGAGAGAGGAATATAAAGATAAATGAGACATATCTTTAGAGAGAGAGAGAGAGAGAGAGCAAGAGAGCTGATACCTAAAAGATGAGTGGGAGTTAGCTAAGCGGAGAATTTATAAATGGAGTGGACATTTCTAATAAACACCTTTAACATTCAATACGCTAGAGCTAATTCTCAGATCAATCTTCTTGCTAACAATTGTCTTGGTTCCTTTTCTTGAGGTTGTTCACATAAGAAACATTTTGAGGTCTTTGTGACAAGCTGCTTATTCTGGGCTCTAAATTCAAATAAAACATTGGCATAGAGAAATAAATCATTTCCATAGATGTCAACATCTTTGTGAGACACACAAGTGTATTATAATCTCACCCGTTACTGTTTCACCTAGGTCGTTAGCATGAATACCCATTTGAGATACCCCATCATTACACTCTAGGCCAGAAGCTTTCAAATTCTGAAATGTCCACAGACAAGACTTTCTATTTCACTCTGTCCAGAAACCTTGAGTAAAAGAAAAGGAGGTAGGAAAAGGAAATGAGTCAGGGAACTGAAAACACCAGAGAGAGCCCGGTCTGTGTAAGGGATATTTTCACCATCCCCACCCTGTTAACTCAGTACTTCGTACGTTCACAAAAAGACATTCCCAAGTTCGTCATGCTATTTTATGCAGCACCTTCCCTTGGCCCGCTTCTTCAGCTAATTAAATTCTCATTCCTAAAAACTCAGTTCTGGCATGTTATCCTCTTACCCCACTGTCCCAGTCTAATTTAGATACACCTCCTTTGTGATCTCATAGCTTGCTACGCTTTTATATCTTATGGCTGTATAATAATAATTGATTTACTTATCTAACTTATCTTCTTCTTGAGAGAAGTAGTTCCTTGAGGGCAAGGCTCATGTTTTAATCATTTTTGTACCCCTCATTTCTAGCAGAGTACTTAAAAAGAATCCTTTCAATGACTTCATATTCATGCATGATAGTTACTTTTCCTTCCTTAGCCCCTAGAGAGACATGGAAACTTAGATTTTGTTTATCCAGTAAACAAGGCTGGTTTTGTATGTAGGAAACTTTTGACCCATCCCAGTCTGAAATTCTTCTCCATTTACAGATAAGCCTATTTTAGTTACCTTGACTAAGGTATTGCTCTAGAGACTTCCTTTGAAAAACCTCTTAATAAAAAAACAGACCAGTCTACATGATCCCACTGACCAATACATTTGTCAGGAACAAAATTGAGCTGGGCATGGTGATGCGTGCCTATAGTTCCAGCTACTAAGGAGACTGAGGCAGGAGGACTCCTTTAGTCTATCTCTAAAAAAAAAAAAAAAAAAAAAAAATTAAGTTAAAACAAAAAACAATATGGGTTTTGATGTTCTATTTGGTATAGGACACAACCATATGTTTAAGTGTGATCTTTTAGTCAGTGTATTTAGAATAATTTCCATGTTTCATGTTAGAAATGGCATAATTTGCAGACTAGAAGAAAGAAAGGAATAAACTATGTCTAGCAGAATACTTGTCAACTAGTAAGATGAGAAAAGGAAAGGATACATTAATGAAGGAATAATTGAATGCATGGATAAACACAGTACAACCCAAAAGAATCATCAAGCCATAAGCTAGAATAAGGACTTATCATTGACAAAAACGACAAAGCCATCAAACAAAAAATAAAAGCTATTGGAAGATCACATTTTCCAGTCAAACAGGACCCAGATATTATTCAAATACCTAAAAAGAAAAGAATGTGTTTTTTTAAAATACTAGTGTATAGAGACAAAAGTTTGAGACATGAGGAAGAAGTATTATAAATTCCAGAAAAATCCTCTTCCCACCCAATCTTTCCTCTCACACCCACCGCTACACACACACACACCATTGTGCTATATACACACAAGTCATAGTTGTCTACTTGCTTTTCCTGAAATAACCATGATTAGAAAAAGAGGAAGTTAGGGTAAGAGAAAGTTCCTTCCCACTGAAATTTCCTCCTTCTATTCCTGCCTATCATTCTTCAAGATAAGCATAAATGCTACCTCCTCTCTGACAACCTGTTTTTGATTTACTGTAGCCCCCAGCTAATTGCTCCTTTCCTCTGCACTACCACTACAGCTTACCTCATCCCTCTTTTGCACTTATGTCACCATCTTTTATTAGAGTTAGCTGCGTACATCTTTCCTTCCTCTATCATAGGAGCTTTGGACAAGGGGCTATGTCTCATTTATCTTTATATTCCGCTCTCCCTCTCTTCCTTCTCCATTCCTATCGCAGTGCCTGGCAAAAGTAAGAACTCAGAAAATGTTTGTGGGATGGAAGGAAGGGGGAAAGAAAAAAAAGGAACAAAGTTTATTTCTGAAGAAAATGCCATTTGTCTCCCTTCTCCAAAGTATTTTCTTTTTCTAAAATCAGGGAGCAGCCTTTGTTTTTCCCCTAGGTATTAGGGTGTGTGCCCTTGAATACCTTACTTTGGCAAAAAGCCAACATTCCATCTCCAACCAGCTGAGTCATTTTCAGTTTTTTTGTGGTTCATTCATGCTTTTCTCCTTTATTGACACATTAACATTTCATGGTGAGTAGGTCCTGTTCAGCTGGCAGCCCCTCTCAGCCCCAACACCTCTAAGCTGTCCTCACTTCGCTAGTTCCCAATTGCCTGTCTCTCTGGGAGCTCTCTGTCATCATCATCAACTGGCAGCAGAAGAATTGTTTGTTTGCTGTTGCTATACCTATGTTTTGATAATTAACATGAAACAAACTCAGAGAATGAGAGAACTCTGTTAGCAGCTCTCTTTTCTTATGTGTTGTTTTCAAAAGCTCCCAGTTTGTTTTTAAGAAAAAGAGAAAAATATGGATAATGAAAACACTAGATAGATCTAAAATCCGTTTAATTTGATATCTTGTCAAAATCCTTCCTTTTAAATTTTTCTCCAATACCTATACATCTATTACTTCCATGCCATCTGCAATAGTGACTCTCAATGAGTTTCTAGTTTGCTCTGTTTTGTAGGTCATCAATTTGTACCTTAACCTAAAAAATAGTATTAATCCTAGGCTAGGTGTGGTGGCTCATGCCAATAGTCCCAACACTTTGGGAAGCCAAGGTGAGAGGATCACTTGAAGCCTGGAGTTTGAGACCAGCCTGTGCCACATAGTAAGACCCCATCCATAACAAAAAAAAAAAAAAAAAGTTTTTAAATTTAAAATAGCATTAATCCATGAGCAAATTTAGTAATTAAAAATCTAGTCTCTCTAAAGCATGGCATACAAGGGTTGTTGTTTATTGGTTTCTGAGAGGAAATACCACACAGAAAAAATTATGTTACAAGGTTACAAATTTACCTTTGCATCTTGCCCGTAGTAGGTGCTCAATAACTTCCTGCTGACAGACTGATTAGTTTTAGTAGCTCCCTGTTATTTCCAAATAGACAACATTTTTCAGACTTTTCTGATCCATAATGAAACATACTTTTTCTTAAGGCTGTGGAAATAGAATAATTCTTATTGCGAGGTTATTTATTACCAGCCAGACCCTCATCTCGCTCTACGGGGCTCTGATAATCACCTATTTCAGAAGCCATTAGCCTTCTGTGTGTTGTAAAGCACTCTTCACTATAACATATCTATGCCTTTGTATTCTAAGGGGAGGAATGGTGTGTACTGAAGTAACAGACCTCTGTTGACCAAGTAAGAAAGTCTTTGATGCACAAATAGTAAATTAAATTGCTTTTATTTGATAGTGTTGAAATTAAACAGTGTGTGGAATCCATGCCCAGGCATGAGAATATGTACATTCTTTCAAATGTTCAATATTACTGAAACAGATGTATAAGAAAAATACACATTGAAAAAAATGTAATACTCACTCAAGGTTTAGGTACTTACAGGAGGACAGCAGGAGCTGGATTTAACTTATTGATTTTAGAGCCACTGTTTTTTTAAAAAAGAGGTGAAATATTGCTTTTACTGTTTTCAGATAATAGTGACTGTTGTTGCAAATTATAAAATTTAATTAGCTATATAAATGCCAGAGGAACAAATAATGTGCTATTGTCTTGATATCTTTCCAGAAATTAGTCTTTTAAAATAAATTTGCCATATTAATCATCTAAAAATATTTTTGATCACTGAATTAATAGTTTGCAGCCTGTTTTCAGGTACTCATTGCCATAGGTGATTGCTTCTTAATTACTACATGGGCTTTTTCTATTCACTCATATTAATTCATGTTTTCTGGCACAGTCCCAAAAGGCAGCTTGCCCTATATCTTCTAATTACTTCTATAATTGAATTTGCCCACTTTTTCTAACCTATTTTTTAAACTGACTGTGTTTGTTCATGGTTTATTGTGTCTTTTTTGTGTCAGTTCTCTGCAAGCAGAATGTACATTGATTCTTTCCTCGTTTCTCATTAATTTTCAAGAGCTTTGCTGCATGTCTGTTTTTTCAGTCTGTCAGACCTATTGCTAGACTCCCCCCCTCAAAAAAAGGCTCTTATTATTAAAGGTTAGGTAAAATAGACTGAAGTTAATTAATTCATTAGTAACTCTGAGCCAATTACTGAAGCCTTCTCTTATTTATATACTTGTTAACAAGACAGAAATAAGAAAGGCCAATTACAGGCTCATGTCCTTCAGAAGTTCAGCAAACCCAGAGCTTATGCATTTATTGACATCACTTCAAAAAATTCAGTTTATATATCATATGTGTGAAATTTCTTTTTAAAAAATTGTTAGTTAACACTCTATTCTATCCCTTCCATTAATAAATTTTAGAGGTGTTTTTCTGCCATCTAGATATCATAAATATATCTAATGTTACTACATCCTCCTAAAATCTTTCTAGGGAGTACTGCTTAGCCTTAGAGCAATTACAGGAATAAATTTGGCATATTTTCTGATTTTCATTATTCTCCTCTTGTCTAAACTATTAAGGTTTTAATTCTTGAAATGGGACAATTCATTAGCAGATCTCACAACTGTAGTCACTTGACATATGTTTTACTTTTTTTAATTGAATATACCAAAGATTTACAACATGTGGAAAGGAAGGTTTTTTTATATTTTTCTTCATGACCAGTATAAAAAATTCTAATTGTCTCATGCACACAAACTACCTGCCCAATACATACTACAACTGTGACTTCCCCTTCCCTGCCTCACAAATATTTTGTTAATTTCACAGGAGTTAGGAAGAAAGGGGATGGACACTTAACCAGTTTTCTATCTATTGATACTGTCTCCATATGTTGATGTCAGCATGAGGCCACAAATCAGTGAAGAGTCACTTGATGCTAATGTTTCAGTAAATTAATTGGTTGTTTGAATTAAAACCCATTTGAGTTTTTTTTTTTAAACTTTTGAAATATGATATGGATTTGGGTTATCATAGTACAGTGATGCCAAAGTAATGTCACAGTTACTGCTACCTAACTTTTAGTTTTTTCCTCAGTCCTAGGTATATTAAAATTTAATCAGTTATTTCATTTCATAATAATGGCAATCACAGCATCATCGAGCAAGAAAAGTCTCACCAGATTATTTGATAATAATATCAATATTTGATAATGTCCTTGATTCTTGGAAAACTAATGGAAAAATAGTTGTCTACCTAATACAGGAAGCCGTTCTTAATACCTCTTATAGCAATGTAAACACTTTCTTGCCCCAGAATTCTCATGCTGTCTTATTTATAACTATTTTATAGAACTTTTCACTTTCTACTATGCATTATAGTAACTTTCTCTGCTGAATTATTAGCAAATTGAAGGCAGTAACTGTGTTTTATGTACTTTGTAGCCCCAGAATTTTAGCCCAATGCCTGCAAATAGTAAGCTCTCAATCAGCATATGTCAAATGAATTAGGGATGAGGAGTCCTAATCTCTCTTTAACTTCAGCGTCTAACCTCCCTCACTACTTTGGCTAACTAAAGAATCTCTTGCTTGAAATCGGTTAATGTATCTTAATTTTCTGTGGTAACTACAATACATTGGTAACAGATGTTCCATTATTAATGCATTATGTAGGCTTCTTTGCTCCAAGATTTAAAATCTGTATTAATTTTTCCTCAGATGAGCTGTTTTTCATTCCTTTAATTACTATATAGCTATATTTTTAATTTCTTATGGCTTTACCGACCTCAGGTCTGTGACTTTGGGCCAAGACCACACAGGCCCTTGTTACTCTTCCCACTCCCATGTGTGGCACAGTCTCTGTATTTTCAGAAACACCTATGAGAATCGGAAATTAGCTTTCCTGGACTCCTTCACTCCTTAGGGCTTTTACCCACCAACTCTTCATGCTCCTGCTTCAGTGAGGCTAGTTTTCCTTCAGCTAACTTTTGTATATTATCCCTGCCTTTCTTTCTTTTTACTTCCTTTTTCTTTCTTCCTTTCTTCTGTCTCTTTTCTTTCTATTTGTTTTTTAAAATAATATATTTTATAGCCATGTCTCCTAATAGCAGTGCTTTATATATTTATAATGAGTTCCCTGTGTAGAAGCTTTTGTCACAGATAACTTCTCACTTGATTCTTACAGGCCAAGTTCTATGCAGATGAGGAAACTAAATTCAGAGAGGTTAAGTGACTTGCCCAAGGTCACACAGCTAGGTTACAATTTCAGTTTTTACATTTTTAACTTGTTGGCCTCCTTATGAAAATGAAACACAGAAGAGTTCCTTTTCTTAGTTAAGTCTTATCTTTTGTGTAAGGAAAATACCTAATGTAGACCCCCAAAAGCTACATTTGTAGCCAGGTGAATATTTTTCCAGTAATTATATAGATCATTATAAAAAGAAAATGTAGCCTAGTCTAGTGCTTCTGCAACTTCAATGTGCATATAGGATCCTGTGAAAATGCAGATTTTGATTCAGTAGGTCTGTAGTCCTCATGAGCTCCCCGGGGAGCCAAAGCCACCAGTCCATAGGCCTTACTTGGAGTAGTTAGGTCCAATGCACAGAGTAGGGCTTTAGAGCCAGAGATGCTTGATTCACATCGTAGCGCTTCTGTTTACTAACCGTGATCTTGGGCAAGCTCCTTCACCTCTCTGAGCCTGTTTCTTCATTCTTAAAATGAGAATAATAATATATATCTTACTCGCTGAAAGCCAAGCTGGCTTGCAGGGAATTGACTTTTAGTGACTTGGCCTGCTTCCACTACACACTACTACCAGATTAATCTTCCTAAAGCCTCTTTCACTCAGAACTTTCCAGTGAGCCCCATGGCCTGGTGAATTACATACACACTCCTCTTCCCCTTGAGCCTCAAATGTCTGATGTAATAGTCACAAGTCATATTTCTAGCTTGATCTCTTCCTACTTCCTACTGACACTCATGTGTTACTAACACAGAGATTTCCTGTTTCATCTCTCTGATTCACTTTTGTCCTACCCAACCCTTCATCATATCCATAAAAATCTCACCCTTCCATTAAGTCCCTTCTTTCATCCAGGCTCTGGCTGGAAGCATTCTCCCTATTGTCTACCCTCTATTGCTCCCCAAAACTCCCACACATATCGAGTTAGGTCTCACTGGTATTTGAATTTTTCTAACAGTGTGTTTATATCTCTGGACAGTTTCTTTACATTTTTATCTTATATTCTAGTATTTCTATAATGGTGTCTAAGTTCCATGAGGATGTGGATCCGATATCGTTCAGATAGCACAGTGGCAAGAACTCAGCCCTGAGGCCCACAGACCTGAGCATGTACCTCAGGTCAGCTCTGCCATTTGCCAGCTTGTTTGCCTTAGACAGGTCTCCTAAACCATCTGAGCAAAAAGTAGGTGCCAGTAATACCTAACTTGCAGTTACTAGGAAGAAATTTTGTATTAAAAATACTTTACATGGTATCCAACGCACAGGAAGGGCTCCTGTCAGCGAAACTGAATGAATTAGAACTGACTGTTTAATCCCAACACAACTCAGACATTCATTCTAGTTGTGTTAACACTGGATTCAAGCCCAGACTTCCAGTTTGTATGAGTATTTTAACATTTTCTTTTCCGGTTATGTTTATGTCAGTATTAAGTCTTATCAGAATATTCCATATTCTGCCTCTTGAAATCAAAGCACATTTGTTGATCTAGCTCCAATAGGTATAACTTAAATGTGATGATGAAAAGGTAACATAGTGTGCTTTTATTTTAAAGCATGTAGTTTATAGTTAAACCTAGGTTTGAATCTAAACCTAGTGGTTGCCTTAACCTCTCCAAGCTATGGTAATATCTAAGTTGAATTTGGGATTTTTTTTAACTTTTTTTACTCTTAAAAATAATTAGAGGAAGAATATATGAAATAGAAAAATATTTATAGAAACAAGTAGCATATTAGTTCTACAGCCCAAAACACTAATAATATTATAATATTATCATGGATGAGGGGGATAACTCTAAACACCCCAAATAGCCCCCCTTTTGTAAGTTGAATTTACATATATTTATCCTAGAGAATTTAAGTATTCTGTTTATTTCAGTAATTGGTAAGGAGCAGTACATTTTTTTAAACTTCCTATCAGCTAATTTCAAAAAGAACTATATTTAATAAGCTATATCATCATTTAGTTTAACTTTTTGGAGAACAAAATTAAACGATTTTAAAAGTAGAAGTTAAATGATGCCAGTGTAATCAAAGTTGACTCAATGCTTAGACACAGTGTAAGAGATGAATCAAAGTTGCATCTGAACTTAGGGCAACAGAACCAAAGTCACAGCTATAGTCAGTATGTTGTTTTGTTGATGTGGGTAAAGAGGGTTTTCAAAAGAAAAATAGAAAATGGGGCAAACCTTGTTTTAATCAGGGAGTATATGGAAAGAAAATTAAATGCCTATATTAAAACCTATTCTTTCATACTACCAATAACATTTTTCCTTAGCCTCTAGAGACCATCAAAAAACAATGGCTCATAATGCTTTTAGAACAGAAACTGAAGTTGTATACTGTGCATATGTAATCCTACACAAGAGGAAGGCAATGTTTAAAGCTGCTGTCACCTCTTAGGGAAAAAACTGGAATTCTGAGTCAAGTATGTATGCATTTTCTGTTTTCCTGTCTTGTGGGTCTTTATGACTAAAAACATTTTTATGAAATTGCTCTCTGCTTCTTTAAGCTTTGTGTGGTCTTGTTTGTTTGTTCTCAAATCTCAAACCATGCCATAGTTAGGAAACATCTTGAGTTGTTAAAAGTTAAAGAAATTGTATTTTGTTTATGAGCAAAAGAGCAGGCCAAGCAATGTCTTCAGAAACAAAGATCTTATTTTATTTAAAGAAGTTCCTTTTTGTTATAAGCTAGAATGAAGAATGATTTCAGGACAATGAGACAGAAACTACCTCTTGAAAGCTGTAATGTTGAAGCTGGCTACATAGCTAAAATAGAGTAGACTGATTTTCTTTTCTAGGCCTGTTTGGTCAATTTAAACCATATTAATGGGTGATCAAACCCTGAAGAGTTCTCTGAGGATTTAAGTTACCAGCCCACAATATACTGACAATCCACTGAACAACAACAAAACAACATTTAATTTCACTTTATGCAGCACAAACGCAGACTGAGACACTCTATCAAATGGTTAAGAGCATGGGTTTCAAGTCAGATCCACCTGGATGTGAGCTCTGGGTCTAGCACTTGCTAACCATGTAATCTTGGGCAATTTAACTTCATGAATTCTATTTCTTCATCTGTATTATAGGAATGAGGCCATATTTCATGAGAGTAAGATGCATTTTTTTTCACATTTTAACATCTCTGATGTTAGAATGCATGTTACAATTGATGGTGTGTCTTCATTCAATTGCCAACACTTTTTCTTTTCTTACTAGTACATAACTGTGTAATTACAACCTATGACATTTGAGATTCAATTAAATAATTAACATATACCTCATAGAGTTGTTCTGAGATATAAATAAAATAATGATGTAGAACCTTATGTCCTATAAAACCTGCCCCACGGAAGACTTCTAGTAAATCATACCAGTTAATGTTGTACAGTGTGATGTTTGTAAAGTCTGGCATTTTCCTGTCTTGTTAGTCATAATTTCTGTTTGCCAACTCTAAAAGTTAATTTCTTTGCAAAAATCTTTTTGTTGGAACAGTCTGCCTACTGAGTAGCTCGTCAAATTTCCTCTAATTGTTCTGGCAGCATGACATTGACCCTACGGGTTTACATATGAAATATGGTCAAAATAAAGGTTTTATGAAAGTCCATATTGACTTGTCTGATGAGTTGTTTGCAGACAAAAAGAAGAGTATGTAGTGTGCATGCTTCAACAGTGCCTGGCCCACAGGAAGCACTATAGAAGTGGTGTTGAGAGGCAGCAGCATGCAGGGTGGTTAAAGGGAGAGGCTCTCGAGCCAAATTGGCTGCGATCAAATCCTGGCTTTTCCCCTTACAAGCTGTGTAACTTTGGACAAATAATCTCTCTGTGGCCTCCATGTTCTCATACAGTTGTGAGAATTAAATGAGCTAATATACTGAAAGCAATTGTACAAAAAAGGTGCTAGATAAGTTTTCTGCTACTGGAGGAAATACACCTTTCTTTTATTTAAGTACCTTTAAAAGGTCTGAGGTTTTTCATACTGAAAAAGAATATTCCAGTAAGTTTACTTTTTTTTTTCCTTTTTGAGACAGAGTCTCTGTCGCCCAGGCTGGAGTGCAGTGGTGCAGTCTCTGCTCACTGCAACCCCCACTGCCCCAGTTCAAGCAATTCTCCTGCTTCAGCCTCCTGAGTAGCTGGGATTACAGGCATGAGCCACCATGCCTGGCTAATTTTTCTATTTTTAGTAGAGATGAGGGTTCACTATGTTCACCAGGCTGGTCTCGAAAGCCTGACCTCAGGTGATCTGCACGTCTCAGCCTCCCGAAGTGCTGGGATTACAGGTGTGAGCCACCATGCCCAGCCAATAAATTTACTTGTCAAGCAGGTGATTGTTATAATTCTGACTGTAAGAGGCTTCTAGTGTATAAAACACATAACCTATAAACATGCCATTGAGATATTTGTGATCATGTGGCACAGCTCTTAAAACTGGTTTGTCTAGCAGTAAACGTATGACTGAAAACAAAATATCAGATAAGTCTGAGATTGCTTCTAACAGCCTCTAGAGTGTCTGTATAATATTATCTTGTATGGCTTAAAATCCAGTTAGTATAGGTCAGCCTATACTCCAAGAAAGGGTCATTATGCCTAGGATTTTCAGAAGGGCTTCCTTCTAGCATTTATTCACTGGTAACCCATATTGTTCTAATTTTTTAAGGTTGCAAACTGGCTGCTATGCTGGAATAACTATGGCCATCAAGCATGTATCTCTAAGCATCAACACTGGTGCTTAGTTGGCTTTTAACTTATTGATCACACCTTTTACATATAGAGAACTTCAAAATGAAATAAAACTTATCTATAGTTTTTCATTATTTTTGAGTGGTAATTATGTGTTAATTCAGCTGAACAATTGCAATTAGTATTATTTCTTTGTAACCAAGACACATTTTTTACTTTTCTTTTCTCCCTTTGTTTGCATTTTATTCACTCTCTAATGTCAATATCAAGAAACTATAGGCTGGGCATGGTGGCTCATGCCTATAATTCTAGCGTTTGGTGCAGGGTAGGGGGCGCCAAGGCAGGAGGATTACTTAGCCCAGGAGTTTAAAACCAGCCTTGACAACATAGCAAGATCTTATCTCTACAAAAAAGTAAAAAATTAGCTGGGTGCGGTGGCATGAGTCTGTAGTCCTAGCTAGTCAGGCGGCTGAGGCAGGAGGATCACTTGAGCCCAGGAGTTCAAGGTTGCAGTGAGTCATGTGCGCACCACTCCATTACAGCCCGGGTGGCAGAGTAAGGCCTCAACTCAAAAAAAAAAAAAAAAAAATTAAAATTAAATAAAAACCTATGTGTCCAGTGTGTTGAAACATTGATGTCCAGACAACTTCACTCTAAAGTTCAGTTCTGTCGCTCAGCTCACCCCCTAATATCCAATGAGTTAATAATAACTTATGTGATAAGGTTAATAATAGCTTATGTGATGATAATAATAATCACTTAAAAATAATAATAACTTATGTGATAAGTTAATAATAGCTCATGTGATAAGGGCTGGGTGGCCCTCTTTATCCTGTGGCTCTGCCACGGAATACATGTTTTCCAAGACCACCTTCACAGGAAGAGCAAGACCCGAAGCAACCCTTTTGGGAGCCACTTCCAGAAATGGCTTACAAGACTTCTGTGCCCCAATTCTTTTGGCACACATCCAGTCACAAGGCCCAACCAAATTACAAGGGAGGCTAGGAAATATCTTCCCTAGTGTCTAGGAAGAGAAAATCATGTGGTGAATAGCATTTTCTCCACCATAGCCATACAGCTGTGTAAGTTGGGTTACTTAACCTCCCTGAGCCTCAGCTTAGATGATAATACTTACCTTGCAAAGCTTCTGTGAGGATTAAATGGGGAAAAGCACTTAGCATGTGGTAAGTACTTTATTAACTTGTTGTATATTATTACTAATAATTAATAGTTTCTCCCTAAACACACAAACATACACAGGACCCAAGTCATTAGCACCTGAGCCTCTGGTCCTCTTTAGTCTGACCCTCTGCTGACCCTTTAGTTCCTATCCAGCCGGGGTTCAGGACTTAAGGCAGGCAAGACTCTTGCCCATGAGATGTGACTGTGACTAGCATCATACTCCAGGAGCTAGGATATGGGAAATCAAAGCCAAAGATGCTGAAAATGAACCCTAGCTCCTTCAGGAGTCTTGGGGGAAGGACTGTAAATACATTAACGTGGTAGAGAGGAGAATCATCAGTTGCGTAAAATTATGCTTAAAAGAGACCAAGTCTTAAGATAGCAGCTGAGCCAGATGTATTGGCTCATACCTGTAATCCCAGCACTTTAGGAGGCCGAGATGTGTAGATCACTTGAGGTCAGGAGTTCGAGACCAGCCTGGCCAACATGGCGAAACCCCATCTCTACTAAAAATACAAAAATTAGCCAGGCGTGGTGGCACGTGCCTGTAATCCCAGCTACTCAGGAGGCTGAGGCACGAGAATTGCTTGAACCCGGGAGGCGAAGTTTGCAGTGAGCGGTGATTGTACCACTGCACTCCAGCCTGGGCGACAGAGTGAGACTTCATAAAAAAAAAAAAAAATGGCAACTGAAAGAAAGGAATAAAATGAACACATATTGATATTTCAAATTTGGCAGGCATCATCATGCCAAGGCTTTCACACAAATGGCCTCCTTTAATTATCACAAGGATCCTTAGGTAAGAATCATTAACCCCAGCTTCCAGTAGGATTAAAGTAACACACCCGGGCTTACATAGCTAAAAAGTGACATATTTAAAATTGAGTCTTCAGAGTCCTAATGTTCTTTGTTCCATGACAGCACTTCACACCTCTTAGTCATGCTGAATCGTGCTAAGGATCAATAGATCTCAAGGAATATACCAGAAGTGTTTCTTGCCCAGGGGAAAGGGAAGTAGACCCATTATCTTCAAGCAATTCTCCTTCTCCTACTTCCCACAAGACCAAAAGCGAAACTCAGAATCAACGTAGGGTACAATATATTTTAGTTAACCTCTCCCAAGCACAGACAAATACACCCTTATCTGTTTGCTAATGTCTGAAATTCATTTCGCTGAGGGAGGTTATGTGTATGTGGATGGATTTCCATTAACATACATGTAAGACCATACATCTCATTTGGGTCATATAGAAGATGGAAAGATTTTACTGAGTAAAGCAAGAATTTGGATGAAGAAAGCTTTCAAACCAGGGCCACAGCTTCCTGACTTCAGTCTGACAGCCAAAAAATGGTCCAGATGTAGTCTTGAGTCCTCTGTAGCCATGCAGGCTTAGAATATGGTGGGAACTGGTCCCATGGAACAGTCCCATGAACTGAACTCTGAGTACCATGCCATAAAGTGCCCTTAGGACATCCAAATATATCCAAACAAACCAAGGGATTTGGAGCTTAGCATTTTACAGGAACAGTATTAAAACAAAACTACATCTGCAGCAGCAGGAGTGAAATGAATATAAGATTAGGTTCTTCCAATCTGTCAAAATAAATTTATCTGGAATTGTGAGCAATATAAACGCTGTAAGTTCCAGTCTCTGACTCTATTTCTAATACATGTTAGGATTCTACCCACTGATTCGGGCATGTATAAGAAGTAGTTTATGACGCCACATGCCTCTTACTTTCAATGTATTTGGGACTCCTTTGTCAGTTCTATAAGGTGGTGACTTCTTTACATTAATTTTCATGAAGAATACTTAGAACAGTGTTTTCATAATCTGAAAGGCAATACAGCGGAGTGGTTACTGGTTGAGAGTATGGGCTCTGCGGCCAGAGTAACTTTGTTTGAACCCAGGCTTCATAATGTAAAAGCTCTCTAACTTTGGGCAAGTTACTTCTGTGTGCCTCAGTTTCCTTATCTGTCAAACAAGGAGGTGACTAGTGCTGCCTTGTAAGCTTGTTTCAAAGATTAAATAATTTATTCTATATATAGCATGTAGAAAAGTGACTGACATGGTAAGGGCTTCATTCTCTAGCAAGGACCTCAAGAATAAGAGAAAGGGGCAAGAAGGAGACAAGAGCCAAGAAACCACCACAGTCACTGTTACCATGCAGCGGAATGGAGGAGAACTAGCTAATATTTGTCTCACCAGTTCATGTCTCAACAGTTGTGAAACAGAGATCAGTGCTTCTCAAAATTGAATGTGCTTATGTCACCTAGCGAACTTGTTAAAATGTGGATTTTTATCCATTAGGTCCAAGGTGCAGCTGGAGGTTCTGCATGTCTTCTTTTTCTTTTTCTTTTTCTTTTTTTTGAGACAGAGTCTCACTCTGTCACCCAGGCTGGAGTGCAGTGTCGTGATCGCGGCTCACTGCAAGCTCCGCCTCCCGGGTTCACGCCATTCTCCTGCCTCAGCCTCCCGAGTAGCTAGGACTACAGGCGCCCCCCACCACGCCCAGCTAATCTTTTTGTATTTTTAGTAGAGACGGGATTTCACCATGTTAGCCAGGATGGTCTCGATCTCCTGACCTCGTGATCTGCCCTCCTCAGCCTCCCAAAGTGCTAGAATTATAGACGTGAGCCACCGCGCCCAGCTGAGGTTCTGCATTTCTAATAGGCTCTCAGGTGATGCTGATGCCACTGGTCTGAAGATCACCCTTTGAAGAGCAAGAGTTTAGAGAACACCTGTTCCTAAATGCCATATGGTCTCTTTCTTAAGGTTGAGCTCTCCAAGGATCTACTTACGAAACCCTTTTGTTATTTTTGGTCATGGGTCATGAGTCAAGAAAACATTTGAAAATAGATGTTGCTTCAAGGAAAATGGCATAGGTATTTGATATTGCATTAATGAAATATTTTGAATTCTTAAGCATTTGGTCATTTTCCCCACTCAGGATCCAAGATTGATTTTTCCCTTTCAGATCATTAATTACAAAATAAAAGATTGAGGTTTTTTTTAAGGTAGGCAGAATATCTCCATTTGCTTTCCAAATAGGGATGGAATCAGCAAAAGCAAACATCTTCTTGTCATATGATGACTGTCCCCTTCCCAAACAACCAGTCCTTTAATTCTAACCTCATGCACATTTCAAGAGAAATGTAAAGCAGATGGTTGTGTTCCACTGATACATAAATCACAGAAATTTCTCATAAATTCTTTTGATTGTTAAAAAGCTTCAAACTGCCAGGCAGTGTTTTGCTTAAACCAAAGATGGGCCTGAGCAAACAGCTAAGTGGAACAGCATTCAGGCTTGAAAAGCTTAAGTTTAGTCAGATGATTTCCTTGCTATCTCCTATAGACACTTTTTCATAGAAATTCAAGATATGCGAAGACTTGAACACTGTGTGTGTGTGTGTGTGTGTGTGTGTTTTAAAATGTCTACAAGCGAAATCAACAAGTATCATTCCTGTTCTCGAACAGCAGAGAGACCTCCATATCCCACCAAGTTACTTGTGACAGATTGTTACTTACTAATTCCACCAAGATCATAAAGCAATGCCTTACAGTAAGAGTTGGCAAACTTTTTCTGTAAATGGCCAGATAGTAAATATTATAGATTTTGTTGCTCATTCAGTATACTAGTTTGCTAAGGCAGCTGTAATAAAGTACCACAAACTGGGTGGTTAAAAGAATAAAAATGGGTTGTCTTACAGTTCTGGAGGCCAGACATCTGAGATCAAGGTATTGGCAGGGTTGATTCTTTCTGAGGGCTGCCAGAATCTGTTCCATGCTGCTCTTCTAGCTTGTGGTGGTTTGCTGGCAATCTTTGACATTCCTCAGCTGCATCACTTCAATCTCTGTCTTTCTCTTCACCTGACATTATCCCCGGGTGCATATCTGTGTCCAAATTCACCCTTTTTAGAAGGATACCAGTCATGTTGAATTAGGGGCCCACACTACTCCAGTATGACCTCATCCTAACTTAACTAATTACATCTGCAAAGACCCTATTTCCAAATAAAGTCACATTCAAAGGTAATGGGGGCTAGGACTTCAACATATGGATTTGGGTGGGGTTTGGGAAGGACACAATTCAACCCATAACAGTATCTGTCAATAACATATGCTATTTGTCTCAGCTATTCAACTCTGCCCTTGAAGTGCAAAAGCATCCATGGAAAAATACATAAACAAATGGGCATGGCTGTGTTACAATAAAGCTATACTTATATATTTTTTAATAGATGGCAAGCCTGTAGGCAGTAGTTTGTGAACACTTGCCTTAGAGTATCTCTGATTCTTTGTGAGTATGAAAAAGAAAAAAAAAACACATGAGGAGATTTGGCACTTGGCATAGAAGAAGAGAAAAAACTTTGCAAGTTTTCAAAATGCCTATTTTATATTTGGAATTTTAGTCAAAATGCTTTACATTTAGCTTTAATATCTTATCTCTACATTCAAATATACTCTGGATTTATGTACACAGTTTCAATTAAGCAAACTGATATAAATTTTATAATGGTGACTCTAGTAAACATGATACACTTTGTCTTCAGACTGCTACTAAGTTCTAGAATGACAGCAAAACAGGCTTTTCCATTTAACATTATACCTGTATGCTTTGATTTTTTGTATGAATATGTCTGAAACATCAACAATTGCTTATGAACTTGGAATTTCTTTAGAAATGTATCCATGTTTATCCTCTGTGAATACATGTGTATATTCCTTTCCCTTTAATTAATATTTCTAGAGTACCTACAGGCAGTGTATTAGGCTGTAAACAATGAATCCTGCACAAGACACATTGTTTCCAAAGACTTATACCCTCTGGAAGATATATACACAAAGAAAACAGACAGCATATGACATATGTTCAAGCATCATCCAAAGATTTACATACACAACTGCCATGTAGAGGACATTGCTTTGTTCTGCTTGGGTCCGTATAAATGCATATATGTAAATCTCACATCTCCATTTATAATGCATCTTCACTTGGAACCTTCATGGAACCAAATTAGAGAGTTCTGTATAGGGTCATAGATGTAAGAGCACTTTAAAAGGCTTTCATGGAAAACTTGAAGATTGACTATGCCGTAAAGAAAAGACTCAATCAGGCACATACTGTATGTTTTGCAATAGTAACAAAGGTCATGCTACCATTATATTAAAACTTAGATCCAGCTTATTTTATATTAAAATGTTAGGCCTCTGGAACTCTTCCTCCACATGGTTATAAAGATAGCTAGAGTCAGGGGCCAGCATCTGCTTGAAATTTTAAAGTAACATATGTGCAAGTAGTGACTGGTGTTACTGAACCCACTCACAGGTATCAGTATTGGATATGGGGGGCTCATTCAGCTTCAGCAAAGGTGCCCCATAAAATCACTTATCTGGAGTGCCCCATTTAGAAGCTGAAAGAAAATACCCGCTAGATTATACAAATTATAAAATAGGTCAAACTAGGAGAGCAAATGAGTAGATCATGTGCTTTTAATTAGGTTTTTACCTTAAAGGTTTTCAGTTCAGACAGAGATATTCAGAGCAAGTACCAACTATGCTGACATACATGAAATGCTGTATGACCAGAAATGTCAGATGTATATGGCTTTAATAATTTTAACCATTTTAGGTCCAAAGAATACTTCTAAAATCATAATTCATAGAGTATTCTCTTTGGGATTATAAAAACACTATCACATTTCCTGACTAAAGACCCATGACTTCCAACAACACAAGCCAACATCTGCCTTTACACATACAGTTGATTCCAAAACCACATGTGGGTTGACTTTATATTGCTCAAATTAAGATTTGAACATTGGTAATGAAACTAGAATTTATCTTACAAATAAAACAATAAAGCATCCCTACATTATTTTTAACCTAGAAACTCTGTGAATCTCTTGGATTCTCTGGTCTGTAGTTTAGAAGCCATCGTCCTGTCCTAAGAATCTTCCACACATTTGTTTGGAGATGGGGCAATTTCTCTCATTTCTTTCTGCGTTTACTTAAATAAAGGAAAGGGGCTTCCATCTTCTCATAGAACTAAAAAAGAAAATGAAACTAAATGGCTTTTTTTCTTCTCAACACTTTGTAAACTTTGACTAGGAAATGAAGCACTACAGTGTGTCAATGAAGAATAATGATAATATTAATAATGATGGTGATGATGATGATAATGATGAATTAGGCAGTATAATTCTCTTCTTATTCTAAGTCTGAAAACTGAAGCAAAATGATGAAGTGCCTTTCCCAAGATCAGCGGCTCCACAATGAGAACTTGGGTTTGTCCTCCCTCACACATCTTCTTCAGAGGAGAACAAATATCACTAATGTTCATCCGCACCAGGAGAAAACCATACTGGCCCATTCAATGGCCAAT
This sequence comes from Homo sapiens, assembly GCF_000001405.40. Classification (NCBI taxonomy): domain Eukaryota; kingdom Metazoa; phylum Chordata; class Mammalia; order Primates; family Hominidae; genus Homo; species Homo sapiens. The sequence continues at coordinate 181,640,828 of NC_000003.12, forward strand.
TAGAATAAATTGTATATTAAGAAAAATACGATAGGTAGTACAAAAATCAAAAGCTCTCCAAAGAAAAGGAACAAAAAACCTGAATAAATAAGCTTAACGGTCCATTGTTTGTGGGGAAAATGATGAAATTATCATCAAAATATCCTATGAATTGAGAATGAAGATACATTTTTATGTAGAAAGATTTTTACAAAAAATAAAAATAAAAAATTCTACCCAGAAAAGTAAGACTCTTCTAGGACAGGTATTAGTTTTTGTTAAAGGGGTATCAGTCTCTTTCTGATAATAGAAACAAATATACTGTATATGAATCTTAGTAAACTAGTCAATTATGATTCTTCATCCTAACCCATATTTAAGAGAATGTTTGTGACTGTGCTGAAGATTTGTACATTAAAACTGTCTATACAGGAGAGTGTTCTAATTATCACAGAATTGGCCTCACAGAATCTGAATCATTCAGGTGAAAACATTCTTTTTATTTAAGAGCAATTTAGAGACACAGGTTAACAATAGATACTATAACACAGCTTTTTGCCTACAAAAAACAAACAAACTCGTCTAAATATCAATCTGCAGATGCCAAGCCTGTGTTTAAACAATGTGTTAATTTGCTTCCCCTGACAAAACTCTGGGTGAGGTATTGTTTCCACATTCAGGGACGTTAGCCCAGTAATGCAGAAAAAAAAAATCTTCATTTGGACATTGCATCTTTCAGACATTCCCTTCTTTTATTGATTTGTTTTCTCCTGTCCCTTTTCTCCTTCTTTTGTTTCCTTATCATAGCTTCAGGTTATTACGTGCAAAGTATTGATGGGAATGGATGGTTTTGGTCGATGGAGAGCTAATGCATCCCTAATCCCACTATTGTTGTAGAGTTATGCTTTCCTCTGGTCTCTGATGGGGGAAAAGGTGCAAAGCTGTTGATCCTAGTTTTATTTGTCACAAACCCATCCATCAATCAAGCGCAAGCATGTCTGAATGCTGAATGGCATGGGGGTCTCAGCTGAAAAAATTCGATAACTGTATTGTCAGGTCTCTCACTCTTTTTTTGATAAGAAATACATTTGACTGAAATAGATAAGCATGCAACTACTAAAGACTTGAAGAGAGAGAATGACATATTGGCACCAAAGGTTATATATCTTTGGTATTAATGATACTTATGAGTAAATAAAACAGGAGGGGGCAGCTATAGCTAGAGACATACAACATCCCTAAGGCTTGGTGATGTTTAAGTATTGTCGCTCTACTATTATGTGGATTTTTGAATATTAATCTGACCATATTTCACAGTTGACAACTCTGGTTAAAATGCAAGTCAATCTGCAGCTGGTGAAGGTGGTGTGGTTCAGGGAATCGAATATCACTTGTTTACATGGATCTGGACATTACAGACAGATCCTTTGTTGTTATGTACAGTAGGTAATCCCATGGCATATTTTTGTGTATGCATGAACTCATACGTTCACAACTGTCTCATCTTGCAAGTGAAAGCATTTGGGGGGGAAATAAGCTTTAATTATTTTAAACTGGGAATATATATGCATGTAATTTCAATAGTGAATTAACTTATAGTATCAAAAATAGTTTCTGGTGTCCCTTTTATTCTAGTTACTAAATTAGGTATTTTAATATAACATAATTAAAATTAATATTTTAATTATGAAAGCTTGTCTTTTCAGTTATATAAATTTTTCTACTCATAATTATTTCAAGATAATTTCATTTAGAAATAGTAAAAACATTAAAAACAACACTAGTATAATACAATTTTAGGGGCAAAATTAATCAACAAATCAGAACATTTTTAAAAACTAGTTTATTTTCTTGTCATAACATGTTAGAGAAGACAAGTATTTTTTAAATGACCTAAAAAAAAGCCCATCAAGAAAAACAACAAAAAGACAGCCTTGAATTAGAGGGCATGAAGATGAATGTTTTGTAGCCTTAAGTATCCCATGTTATGAAAGTAAGCCATTTTTTTCTCTGTTCAGTGACTGGGGGCTAGACAACTGAAAAAAAAAATCAATGTGGGAATGCTTTAGATTTGTTGGGTAAATTACATGTGCTTGGCTGCTCCATTGTATCTGCCCTATATTCTACACAAGATAACTGTAGATGGAACTGTCACATAATGCATATACTTCACATTGATTTTTATACTTTTAACAGAATTTCAATTGAACTCCATAATAAAGCAAGAAGAGAAATGATATCTCCCTCACATTCCTAATACTTGAATTATTTTTGAAATTAATTAAGTAAAAGCTCCCAGTTTTGAAGGCATGGTGAGAGGCAAAAAAAAAAAAAAAAAAAAAAAAAAAAAATCAAATTTGGTTTCTAATTCTCCTCACCGTCTGTTTTTCTGTTTTTGTTTCAGTTATTTACATTTCATCTTAACTTCCCCACCTCTTTAAAAATACGTTAATTCTTAAAGACTTTCCAGGAGGGCCCATGAACCAGCAAATGAGAGACAGCTGAACCTTCGGGAGTTGCGGGAGTTGCAAACATTGATCTTTCTGTTGACATCCTTTTGGGTTTCTAGCTTGCTCTAGTTTTGCCTCACTTTCCAGTGATTTTTAGCATTACTGTGAAGTCTGATCCTGTTTAAAGTCTCTGATGCCACCATAAGGGTTTGAGCAAGAGTTCAAGGAGTCCTTGGTGATCCCAAGGACAACCTTTCTCAGCCTGACCTTACCTATAGAGACCCCAAACAATCCTAGTGGGGAAAGAAGTAAGTCAGCCCCTACTCAGAAAAATACTAGAAAATTGCTCCATCAACTGTGCATACCCAGGTGTTCGGCTCTAGACAGAAATGTAATGCAGCTTCTACATACCCTGAGAACAAGGTTTTACTGAATTTGGGGTGGCAGTTCCAGATTGGGTGCCCAGGGGGAATGTGGACTTTGTAATTTCACCCAGGATGATGAGAAACTACAGCAACATCAAGAATTCAAGAAACTTGAGATTTGGCAACATTGGGACTCCCCTCATCCAGAAATGCCTTGGGAAGAAGGATAAAATGTGAGATGAAAGAGATTCATGTTCTTATGGCATTCTGAAACTATTATTGAAATATTTTAGAAAATGTAAAATATTATAAAGAAAATAAAATTGGCTGAGCACGGTGACTCACACCTGTAATCTCAGCACTTTGGGAGGCCGAGGTGGGTGGATCACAAGGTCAGGAGTTCGAAACCAGCCTGGCCAATATGGTGAAACCCCGTCTCAACTAAAAATACAAAAAATTAGCCAGGCATGGTGGTGGGCACCTGTAGTCCCAGTTCCTCAGGAGGCTGAGGCAGGAGAATCACTTGAACCTGAGAGGCGGAGGTTGCAGTGAGTTGAGATTGCACCACTGCACTCCAGCCTGGGTGACAGAGCGAGACTACATCTCAAAAAATTTAAAAAAAAAAAAGAAAAGAAAATCAGGTCGGGCACGGTGGCTTATGCCCATAATCCCAGCACTTTGGGAGGCCAAGGTGGGTGGATCACCTGAGGTCAAGAGTTCGAGACCAGCCTGGCCAACATGATAAAACCCTGTCTCTACTAAAAATACAAAATTAGCCAGGCATGGTGGTGCATGGCTGTAATCCCAGCTACTTGGGAGGCTGAAGCAAGAGACTCGCTTGAACCCAGGAGGTGGAGGTTGCAGTGAGCTGAGATCGCACCATTGCACTCCGGCCTGGGCAACAAGAGTGAAACTCCATCTCAAAAAAAAAAAGAAAAGAAAATAATTCATAGTGCCATCACCCACAAGTGGCATTTGTTGCTCTTTTATAGTATATGATATGTGATACAATGTAATATTGAGAGACAAATAATTGATTTCATGTTTCATAGGAATATTTTAATTATGGCCAATTCCACATTAATAATTCTATTCCAAATATTCTCTGATTAAAGAAAAATCATTTGATAAGACTCCATATGATAAACAGATTAATTTTTCCAAGTAAATATATAGATGTAAAACAAAAACTCTAATCCCATATTTAAACTTTATAGACTAATTGTAATGTTTATTTGGAAGAATAAATGTGTGATCAAAGCCCAAAAAAGTGTTTAAAAAAAAGAAAAATGAGAAAGGACTGGTACCAGGTGGGAACTATATTGTAAAGCTTCAGTAATTAAACAGTTTGTGTTCTAGGAATTTGTGTCCCCAGTTCTGATAATGTTCACTCTTAAATTGTAATATTCTATACCCTAAAGCACTCTCCAAACCTTAAGATGAAGAAAATAGGCAAAGCAATAGCAGCAATGACAAGAGACCTTTTTTTTTCTACTGGTATACCTCGGATTTTCCCCCGGCAGAGAACCAAGGGGAAATGACAGCCTCCACAGGATCACATAAAGAACTGAGAAATTTTTTCTTTTTTTTTTTTTTTTTGAGACAGGGTCTCATTCTGTCACCCAGGCTAAAGTGCAGTGGTACAATCACAGCTCACTATAGCTGCAACCTCCTGGGCTCAAACAATCCTCCCACTTCAGCCTCCCAAGTAGCTGGGACTACAGGCATGTGCCACTATGCCTGTCTACTTTTTTATTTTTTGTAGAGACAGGGTCTTACTATGTTGCCCAAGCAGGTCTCAAACTCCTGGGCTCAAACGATCTTCCTGCCTCAGCCTCCCGAAGTACTGTGATTACAGGTATGAATCACTGTGTCTGGCCAAGAAACCTTGATACCCATCTTTTGTCCCATCTTACAGAACTCATAGAATTCATTTCAAAACACATATAGAGAAATTTTGTTATGTTCTCCCCAGTTTTTGTCTCTATTGCATTGGTCATAGTTCTGGTAGCTGTGCCTTAAAATAGTTAACAATGTTCCTCCAAGGAATTAAAACTAACACCTTTGTAATTCTTTTTTTTTTTTTTTTTGAGATGGAGTTTCGCTCTTGTTGCCCAGGCTGGAGTGTAATGGCACAACCTCTGCTCACTGCAACCTCTGCCTCCTGGGTTCAAGCAATTCTCCTGCCTCAGCCTCCTGAGTAGCTGGGATTACAGACATGCGCCACTATGCCCGGCTAATTTTGTGTTTTTAGTAGAGATAGGGTTTCTCCATGTTGGTCAGGCTGGTCTCGAACTCCCGACCTCAGGTGATCCACCCACCTTGGCCTCCCAAAGTGCTGGGATTACAGGCGTGAGCCACTGCACCTGGCTATAATTCTTTTAAAACTCAAACACCTTTGCAGAAAAGAGAGGAAGACAACTCTACACAAAAAGCTCACTCAAGCATTTTAGGAACTGGTTATAGAAAAATAATTGTCTTATATGTTTATATATAAAGGAGTGGGAATTATTACATAGCTTTTAGGCCTGACCCTGGTTCATGAATTTTCCAAATTCTACCAAAACAGCAAAACAGACAAATCAGTAGAATAGAATAGAGTCTGGAAAAAGACTCTGGGAATTTGGTATTGGTAAAAGAGAGATCTTAAATAAGCAAGGTTGCTTTAATATACTACCAGTATGAATGTAAAATTGGTAAGCCAATTTAGAAGCCAATTTTGCAGTGCCTACTAAAAGACATGCATTGACCCAACAATGCATTGATCCAATAATTCCACTTCTCTATATCTCCCAGAGAAACACTGGCACATGTTCATAATAAGACAGTACAGTGATGTAGCAGTAGTTGAAATCGTAAAAAATTGGAAACTCCAAATGACTACCAACAGGGGACTGGCTAAATAAACTATGCCAGAACCATACTATGAATATGATGCATAAGTAGAAAAAGATAAGACAGGGCTCTCTGCACTGGCCCAAAAAAATTTCCAAACCATGTCACTGAGTGGGAAAAAAAAGCAAACTTCAGAATATCACTACACAAGGTATCATATGCTGAGGTAAATACACCTCATATACACATGTATAACAACTACATCAATACCATTAAAAAAACATAAACTCTCACTAATCTTTGTCTACCCCAAATCATACATGAAAATATATTTTTATGAATTAGGAACTTAATGACATTTTTAAAACTATAAAAATTACTAAAAATAAATATACAAAAATATGTATTTAACCTTAGCATGACACGAAGGCCAGAAACACTAAAGAAAATTTCTGGCAGCATTAACTTTATGACAGAATAACAACAATAACAAACTTCTGTATATCAAATAATGCCACAGCAAAAATTTTAAACAAAATTGTTGGAGGGAGTTTAAGTGGCTACAGTATCTCTTCAAAAAAAATTTCTCAGTATGTATATTTAAAATGCACATACCTTGTACCCTAGCAATTTGACTTACAGGGGTTTATGCCAAAAAAAATTGTACATGTTGCCAGTTGTGTGTGTAAAAGGATGTTTAGCACAGTATTTTGTGTTTATAGTTGCATATAAAAGGGGGAGGATTAAATGCCCACCAAGAAGAAAATGGCTAAATAGATTATGGTACTTCCATATGCTAGAATACAATACAGCCATTAAGATAGATAATAGTATATAGTCAACCCTTTGCATCCAGTTCCACATCTGTGAGTTCATCCAACTGCAGATCAAAAATATTAAGGAAACACACTGAAAATAACAATACTGCAGTTAAAAATATAAATCTTGGCTGGACGCCGAGGTTCATGCCTATAATCCCAGCACTTTGGGAGGCTGAGGCGGATGGATCACTTGAAGTCAGGAGTTTGAGACCAGCCTGGCCAACATGGTGAAACCCCGTCTCTACTAAAAATATAAAAACTAGCCAGGCATGGTGGTGGACACCTGTAATCCCAGCTACTCGGGAGGCTGAGGCAGGGGAATCACTTGAACCTGGGAGGCAGAGGCTGCAGTGAGCTGAGATTGTGCCACTGCACTCCAATGCATTGATCCAATAATTCCACTTCTCTATATCTCACAGCGAGATATAGAGAATTACAAAGGTGTTAGAGTTTGAATTCTTTGGAGGAACATTGTTAACTATTTTAAGGCACAGCTACCAGAACTATGACTAATGCAATAGAGACAAAAACTGGGGAGAACACAGCGAGACTCCATCTCAAAAAACAAAAACAAAAACAAAAACAAACAAACAAACAAACAATATATATATATCAAAATATAGTATAACAATGACATTGTGTTAGGTAGTATAAGTAATCTAAAGATGATTTAATATATATGGGAGGATGTGCATAAGTTATATGCAAATACTTCCCCATTTTATAGAACTGCTTAACATCCTGAAGAATGGAGGCTTTCCTGGACCCAATCTCCAGCAGATTCCAAGAGACAACTGTATTAACTTTTATTAAGTTCCATGAGCAAAGGTCCATTTCTGAGTTAAATACATTATCTCATTCAATCCTTTCAGTAATGCTTTGAGGTAGGCATCATCAGAATTCTCATTTTAAAGATGATAGGGCTGAGACTCAGAGAGGATAAGTGCCTCCAAAACATACAACTGTCTCAATCCAAAACAGAAATTCTTGGAAGATTTGTATGTACTAACATAGAAAGATGTTATTGAAACACTGATATGAAGAAAAAAGAAATTATAAAAGAAGAAAAAGGAAGTTATAGTATGTATACTGTAATGACATTTATGTAAAACAATGTAAAAGTGCAATGGGAAGAAATAAACATGTTAATGTGGTTGTCTGTAGATGGATGAGGGAGTGATGGGGATTCCCTATCTTCTTTTTACTTAACTATATTTTCTAAATTTTTTTCAGCGAGGTACACACGTTGCACTTTTAAAAATAAAGTAGATAATTCTAGGATAAAACCAGTAATGTTGAAATGTAGAGCAATGAATATTATTATTATTGTAGCAAAGATAGGTATTTAAGATTCAGTGTTTTGAGACTTCTAATGATTTTGCCTGGAGAACACATTCCTATCTGTAGAGGTTAGAACATGAAAAGGCAGCTGGCCTTTTTTAATGATAAAAAATTAGTATATCAATTAAGATATAAAAATTATTTCTTTCTATGTTCTAATTACCTAGAAGTTCAGGTACTATTTTAAGTACTTTGGTGTTTCTGTTTATTTATTTGTTTGGAGATAGGGTCTCACTCTGTCACCCAGGCTGGATTGCAGTGGCAGTAATATGGCAGCCTCAACCTCCCTGGCTCAGGTGAACCTCCTACCTCCACCTCCCGAATAGCTGGGACTACAGGCATGCACCACCATGCCCAGGTGCTTTTTTACCTGGAGTTTCACCATGTTGCCCAGGCTGGCCTCAAACTCCTGGACTCCAGTGATCTGCCCACCTTGGCCTCACAAAGTGCTGGGATTACAGGTGTGAGCCACCACACCCAGCCTGTTTTTAAGTACTGTAAAATAACAATTTATGAGCAGACTAACATGAATTGTGGGTTTCTTAACAAAAAGGATGAACGAAGCAAGTTACCCTAAACCTATTGTCTCTATTTTTCAAATGCCATCCTTTGAGATCAGACACACTTTGTTTCCAGGCAATATGCTGAGTGGGAAATGCCTAGTCCAGTGGGCTGAGCCTGTCAGATCAATACAATGGAATCTGAACTTGTCACTTGCAGGGGTGTGCTACCTGAGGCAAAATAACTGTCAAGCACCAACCTCTAACTCAACTATAATCATATCAAACACTCTTGCCTTTTCTTTGCTCTTTCTTATTCTTTTCTTTCTTTCCTTTTTTTTTTTAATCTTAGTGAAATCAGGTTAAAATGGGTATCAAGAAAACTTGGAGGCTGTAGCAAGAAAAGGTAGTCCTATACTTTCTATGGCAGAAATATTAAATGGGACCGAAAGTATTGAATACCTTTTTTCGCTCTTGTTGCCCAGGCTGGAGTACAACAGCGCGATCTCTGCTCACCGCAACTTCCACCTCCTGTGTTCAAGCAATTCTCCTGCCTCAGCCTCAGTAGCTGGAATTACAGGCATGCGCCACCATGCCAGGCTAATTTTGTATTTTGTAGTAGAGATGGGGTTTCTGCATGTTGGTCAGGCTGGTCTCAAACTCCTGACCTCAGGTGATCCGCCCACCTAAGCCTCCCAAATTGCTGGGATTACAGGCATGAGCCATGGCGCCCAGCTGAATACCTTCTTATTCCTATAGTTAGAATAAAAGCTAGCACTGCAACCTGGGTTGCCTGATTCCTGCTGGCACAGAGTTCTTTGACGGGACAAAACTAAGTAACATTCAGTCTGAGGGGGCTTGTGTCCGTAATAACACAGATGTTTTGCCTTTGTGGATAATGGCAGTGGAGGTGAGGGTGGGGTGAAGAGATGGGGATATGCACTAACTGTAGACACGTAAGCTTTAACAACAGCAATCGGAGTCACTTTCTTTTCCCTTAACTGCATTTTCCTGAGAATGACAAGCCAATGGTTCCAGTGTTACAGACTCTGAAATGCCATACTCTAAGGAAAGTTTCTATTCATGGAAAGCCAAGGACTGGGAAAGAAAGAGTCCTTGATGTTTTTTTTTTTATTTTCATTTGCACTTTGACTAAAAAGATAGTGAATTGAGGATAAACAGGCACATACACATATGATTTGAGGAAAACAGTCCTCTTGCCTCAGAAATATGTCCTCTAGTGACTTTCTGGCATACTTGATATGCCCACAGTGAAGAATCATTTGTTGGAGATGAAGAATTATCTACGTATTCAACATTGAAAAAATATTAAGAATGCATTTACCAAACCTGTTCTTCATGCCCCCCACCTCAAAAAAAGTGATGACTGAATAGTAGAGTCTCTATCCCAAAGAAACTTAAAATCTAGATAGGAGTCAGACAAGAAATAAGACAATTTAAATAAAGAGTGATGTGGGCCAGATGCAGTGGCTCATATCTATAATCCCAGCATTTTGAGAGGCCGAGGCAGGAGGATTGCTTGAGCCCAGGAGTTCGAGACCAGCCTGGGCAACACAGTAAGACCCCCAACTCTACGAAAAATTTTTAAAATGAGCTAGGCATGGTGGCACACACCTGTAGTCCCAGATACTCAGGAGGCTGAGGCAGGAGGATTGCTTGATCCCAAGAAGTCGAGGCTGCAGTGAGCTGCGATCACATCACTCCAGCCTCGGTGACAGAGTAGGACCTCGTCTCAAAAGCGAAAGAAAGAAAGGAAAGGAAAGGAAGAGGGGGAGGGGAATAAAGGGAAAAAGAAGAAAGAGAGAAGAAGGGAGGGAAGGATAGAGGGAGGAAAGGAGGAAGGAAGGAAGGAAGGGAGGGGAGAGGGAAGGAGGAAGGAAGGGAGGGAGGGAAGTGTTAGCACAAGGTGAGGATATTTATCACTCAGGAGAAAGGAAGATGAGACATACCAATCGATGAGCATAGATATGGTGGAACCCAGAACTGGAAGAAGTGGCAAGAGGCTAGAAAGTAAATAGCAGAGAGTAAGGGCTAACACAAAGGGCTCTTTTTATCCTGAGGAGAAGGAGGAGAGCCTTTGAAGGGTTTAAGCTGGTGAGGAAGGGTGGAGTGAGTAGGGATGAGAAGACATGTGATATATGAATATATTATATTTATGCTTGTATAATAATGGAGAGAAAAATGCATCAAGCCATTAACAGTCACAAACATACTTGAAGAATTTGTTTTAAAAAAACAATTGGCAGAGGGAAGCATTCAGAAATTCATCTCAAAATTACATTCTTGCTCCAAAACTGTGGAAAACCCAGAGATACAAACTCCTGACAGAATATGTATCTATTTGAGAAGTCAAAACTCCTGTACACACACAAAAAATAAAGTGTACCTATTAACCTATGGGGTGGGGATTTCTATGTAGCAGTGGCTTAGGAAAGGGCACGTTCCAGAAAAAATTAAAGCAGCCTCCAAAGGCCTCATGGAGGAGAGGAAAGAAGACTTCCTGAGGAGAGATAGTGAGGACAAGGGTTTTCTTGGGAGGGTGGGGCGGGGTAGATGGAATTTGTGTTCAAAACCAAAGGCTTGTGACATTTGTTGTTTGTTTGTTTTTGTTTGTTTGAGGCAGGGTCTCACTTGTTGCCCAGGCTGGAGTACAGTGGTGCAATCACAGCTCATTGCAGCCTTAACCTCCCAGGCTCAAATGATCCTCCCACCTCAGCCTCCAGAGTAGCTGGGACTATAGATACAAACGCCACCACACCTGGCTTTTTTTTTTTTTTTTTTTTTTTTTTTGTAGAGACAGGGTCTCACTATGTTGCCCAGGCTGGTCTCAAACTCCTGGGCTCAAGCAATCCTCCTGTCTCAGGCTTCCAAAGTGCTGGAATTTCAGGCATGAGCCACCACTGCCAGCCTTGACATTCATTCTTGAAACCTTAACTGAGCCCTGAACCAGATGGTTTTGATGTATGCAGTAAAAATAGGTGGAAACGACTTGTCTCCAAAGACCTTCAGTTTAGTTATCTGGTAGGAAAAGAGAAGATACTGGTTTGAATGGAATAGAAGCTTTGTTGAAGGGCAGTTCAGAGTAAGGGAATCTCCTCAGGGTAGGGGGTGGGGGCTGGGACTGGGAGGAAAGGGACCTGCATGACCAGGGGTGCAACTTGAGGGTTCTGAGAGAGTAGAGACCAATCAGAACTCTGAAGCAAACTTGATCACTTCACAGTATTTGTCCTACTGATCTGGCCAAAGATACACACATACATGTGCATACGCACATGTACACACACACACACATTTAATGCCTACAGACTGCAGTGTACCCTAGAAGTATACATAGATTGTCCTTAGATGGAAAAACAGCCTATAGAATGCTTCGTTACAATGTGTTTGTATTTTAGCTAGAGTTGCCTTCCAAAGACCTTATTGCTAAGAAACAATCAAAGTGAGAGCCCTCCTTTGTTAGGAACAAAGAAGTTTGAAAAAAGATTCCTTTGGTTCATGTGTCATTTAGTTGAAGGATGTTTGTTATGGAAAATGCAGTTATGAAAGTCATAACAGGCATCCTAAACCTTGACTTAAAGGGTTTGCTTTCTACATAAGAAATCGTTATCTATTTGTTATATTACATTTGTTTAAATAATTATCTATTTGTTATATTGAATTTGTAATGTATAGAAAAATATAAATGAAAAATTATTCATAGTTGACCACAGCTAACATTTAAATGTAATTTCTTTCAATTCTATGTATTTTAGCCAGTTATGTCATTGAAGCTGAGCTTTTTATTTAGTAATAGATACTTTCAGTTTCCCCTCTGATCACAAAGGCCAGAGGACTCTGTTCACCGACGCAGGTTTCTGGCCTGCTAACCTAAAGTCCTGTGTTAATGTTCCGGGTAACACAGATTTTAGGTTTTGAGCTGAAAGGCACCTAAGGGATTAAGGTAATTGCCCTAGAACAGTGGCTCTCAAAGTGTAGGCCTCAGACATGCAGCTGTGACTTTACCTGTGAGGTGGTTGGAAATGCAAAACCAAGGGATCTTCCCAACTTGCTGCATATGAAGCTCTGGGGATGGTGCCCAGAAAAGAGTGGGGTCTTGGATGGGGGTGGGGTGTTTTGTTTTGTTTTGTTTTTTGAGACAGAGTTTACCTCTTGTTGCCCAGGCTGGAGTGCAATGGCGTGATCTTGGCTCACTGCAACCTCCGCCTTCCAGGTTCAAGCGATTCTCATGCCTCAGCCTCCCGAGCAGCTGAGATTATAGGCACCTGCCACCACGCCCGGCTAATTTTTGTATTTTTAGTAGAGATGGGGTTTCACCATGTTGCCCAGGCTGGTCTCGAACTCCTGACCTCAGGTAATCCACCCACCTCAGCCTCCCAAAGTGCTGGGATTACAGGCATGAGCCACTGCACCTGGCCAGAAAAGAGTGTTTTAACAAGCTCTCCAGGTAATTCTTGTGCATGTTCAAGTTTGAGGACAAATCCCAGAGAACACACAACAAGCTAGTAATCATCACAAATCCACAGCAAACCCTAGGAATAACGTGTTCCATGGTGCCTCCTCTCACTCACACAGTACTTGCAAAGAGTAGGTACTTAAAGCTTGTTGGCCGGGTGTGGTGGCTCACACCTGTAATCCCAGCACTTTGGGAGGCTGAGGAGAGCAAATCCCTTGAGTCCAGGAGGTCGAGACCAGCCTGGGCAACATGGTGAAACCTCTCTCTACAAAAATATAAAAAGTTAGCAGGGCGTGGTGGCCCATACCTGTAGTTGCAGCTACTCTGGAGAATGAGATGGAGGATTGCTTGAACTCTGGAGCTCTGGAGGCTGCAGTGAGCCATGATCATGCCACTGCACTCCAGCCTGGGCGACAGAGACTCTGTCTCAAAAAAATATATATATAAAATAAAATAAAATAAAGCATGTTGACTAAAAGAATGCTCTCCTAAATTTCCCCAAATCTGTAAACCATTTCCCATGCCCTTCTGAACAGATGCCACCTAAATTTGCCCTTGAAGCAAACTTTCCTTTTATTTTCCCCAGACTTTCCTTTGACCTCCTCTAAAGAAAAAAATAAGTACCACAGAATTTTCTTCTTATCTTTCCTGGTTGCAGGCCCTTGCTACTCAAAGTGTAGGCAGCAGACCAGCAGCAGGGCATCGCCTGGCAGCTTGTTAGAAATGTAGAATCTCAGACTTACTGAATCAGAGCCTGAATTTTAGCAAGACCCCTAGGTGATGCATTCACACAGCAACATTTGAGAAGCAAAGTTCTAGAAAGCCAGCTGCTGCTCATGTTCCTGCTCAAGTGAGTTTCATAATAAGTAAATTTCATTTTTTTTTTTATTTGACGGAGTTTCGCTCTTGTTGCCCAGGCTGGAGTGCAATGACACGATCTTAGCTCACCACAACCCCCACCTCCCGGGTTCAAGTGAGTCTCCTGTCTCAGCCTCCTGAGTAGCTGGAATTACAGGCATGCACCACCATGCCTGGCTAATTTTGTATTTTTAGTAGAGACAGGGTTTCTCCATGTTGGTCAGGCTGGTCTCAAACTCCCAACCTCAGGTGATACACCTGCCTTGGCCTCCCAAAGTGCTGGGATTACAAGCGTGAGCCACCGCGTCTGGCCTCATAACAAGTAATTTTTAATATTACACTATGTGGCACTAATTTATTCAACAAGTATTTCCCAAGTACCTACTATGTGCAAGGATTGGTGGTATGGAAACAACATTGAACAAGACATGGTCTCAGACTCCTTGAGGAATGTATAGTTTACAGAAGAGATAGACTGTGGCCACCAATAGCCGGGATACCAAGCAGGGTTTGGTAAGAGGCTTCTGAGTGGCCTAAGGTATTGCTATTCAGAGAGGACAGAGAATACTTCCTACAGGAGTGATGACAATGATTGCTTCTACATGTAGAAGAGGATTTTAAAAGTCATGAAATTAGCAAATTATATTATAGTATAAACATACGAAGTTCAGAGTATCAGAAATGACTTTAGAAGGTCCCTCATCTAAAGACATAGCAGAATATAGTGAAAAGAGCTTCAGCTTTGAAAACAGAAAGACCTGAGTTCAAGTCCAACTGGTTAATCTTGGGAATGTTACTTAGACTCTCTGAAACTAACTTCCTCATCTATAAAAAACACAATACCTAAGTTTCAGAGTTGTTCACAGGATTAGTGAGAGTGTGTGTATAGTGTCTGGCACACAGTAGGCACTCAACAAGTGGTATGACTGTTCTGTTCTTGTTCCTGAGGTTCTGTGTGACCTATACCCTGTCTCCCTTTATCTCAGGCATGTGGCAGGAGCTGCTTGAAAGTGTCCACACTTGGGAGTGGCTGGATCTGGCCTAGAAAGGTTCTAGCCACTAGTTCCTAGTCATTGCTCTGAATTGTAGCACTTTCTTCATACTTCAGTCTTGAGTGGACATGAAACCTGAAAATTATGTGTTTCTATGAAAATCACTTATTGATCTGCACAAGACCGAGAGGATATTACTAAGTTGATTTATGTTTATGCAATAATGTAGATCAAATTATTTTGAAATGTTTTGAGTCTAGACTGAATAAGTGAGTTTTCCTTTGAATAATTGGTATTGTGTAGATAAGGCCTTTATTCCTCTCATTCAATCTAGACCAATTTGAACCTCAGTTCGTCTTGTGTCTGGTAACGTCAGGAGCCATCAGGATCCAGAATAAAGAATGAATCTTATCTCTCCTCTCCTCTCCTCTCCTCCGCCCTTCTTCCTCCTTCAACTCCTTTTTTTCCTTCTCCTTTTTCTTTCCCTCCCTCTCAAGGCTATTGAATTTTTTATTTGCTTCTCTTAGGAACTGAGCCTTGATTCAGCTCTGTACTGCCAAGTAAATGACTAGATCAGCTTGAAATCTTATGTAAATGATAAGATGTCAAAATAGTAGTCCAAAATAGTAGTTGTCTAATGCCTCTCATAGTCTTTAAGAGGTCATTATAATCTGTAAGAGAAAGCTGAAAATATTTTTTCAATGTTAATGACTCAGAAAACAGTAGATATTGTACCCTCCTATTTCTCTGAAGGAAAAAAAGAAAGCGTCTCATAGCCCAATAGATTCTATAAAACAGAAGGCAAGAAAAAATATCTTAGAAATTACTCTTGAATACTAAGGGCTTAAAGCTCAAAGTGCCTGATTATCCAATGGACAGACCCATACAAGATGGAGCCCCACAAAATCAGTATTGCCATAAAGCTAGAGTGATCATATACTTTATCACTTCTAACTCATTTAACAATTAAAGGGTGCTATTAATAACTATTAATTATAGTCATACATACTTATAATAATTATTAATGTAGAATAGTCCTGGGAAACAGGGATGTATAGCTATCCTTCCTAAAGGCATGCAAGAATAGGAATATGATTTGGAGCAGAGGTGATGGTAAAGAGATAAGAAAAATATTATTTTTCTTCATTTAAAAGACAATGTTTGATGTGATAAGTGTATTTGTAAAATCTGTCCACTAGGCTATATAGCTTGATAGCTATGAATGCTCAAAAACATACCTCACCTTATTTATTAAGCAAGTTCAGCTCTATGAAACATAACCTAGAATTAAATCTCTGAGTGGCAAAGCACACCCATTAACATTTACGTGCCTCAAAGAACACGAAAAGAAGCCCCTTAGCCCTTCCCTCAAAGCTTACTGAATCCTCCTTGAAACACAGCTTGTTAACACATTTGGTTAACGAATTCCAACCCACAGTCCTAGAAATAAGAAGTCATATATAAGAAAATATAATGAGCCTGGCACACGCAAAAGCAGCAGAGGGACACTTGATAGCCTCATTACGAGAAGCCAGACAGAAGAACTCCAAAGCACATTCTCTGTGGCCTGTAAACCTATAGTCCCTGAAAATCCCACTGTTCTACAACACAGCACACTAACTGATTTCCATCATTACAATCTTGAGTCATCAATAAGAAAGTTATAATTTAAATGAGAAGTCATGGAGTTAGAAAGACTGGATTGTAGTTCTAACACTGCCATTCACTAGCTTTGACCTTGAGTAAATTATTCAACCCCTCGTTTAGAGGGATTTAACCCTTATTAGCATTAGCATCATCTGCAAAATGGGAAGAATACTTACCTAAGGATGATGATAATGATGAAATGTGTTCATGCTTTTAAAGGCCTAGCACTGTGTTTGGTGTATGGGAGCTGCTCAATCAATGGAAGTTGTCATTCATCATAATAGGAAGTCCTGTGTGTTCTACATAACAAGAATGTTACCCTGCATGGCAAGAAACATTACAAGATTATCACTATTAGGGTTTTTACCAATGAGGTGCTAACCGGGTCAGTTTATGACAGCAGATGTTATGGCTTGTTTGGAATGGTAGGCATGAAAATCAAATAGCCATGCATGATTACATAAGCAAGAAGAAGAATTTGAGCAGTAGATTATCACAGACCAACAGAACAGAAAGTGTCATGTTCTATTGGGGTCAGGATAGAAAGTGATATCCCAGGGGCTCAATTTAGGGAGGAATAGAGTACTCCCAGATACCCAGGTCCTCTTCCAAAGTTGGGGCCTAGGATCCTGTGGCAGACCATTTGACCAACATGAATAAAATTTGGAAAAAAATAAAAAGGTTTTTTTTTCCCCCATAAAAGATTAGCCTTCAGAAGTTCCCAAAGTAAAAATTGTTTATAAGTGGATTGCATTGCCTTGAGAAATTAGTGAGTTTTTCATCAACAGAAAGGTGTGTTCAAACATAACTTTAAAATCTCTTGAAATGACCATTATTAAATGGATTTAAGCATTGTTTGGAAAGCTAAATTAAATTACTTTATCATCGTCCTTTCCAAAACTAAAACAATATTTCACTTATGTGGAATAATTTATAGATTCATTAAAAATGCTAAGTAAATGAAGTGCTATTGTAAATCATTTATTGTTCTGAATATAAATGAATATGTTAATTGAAGAAATTCATAAGGTATCAAATACATATATAAGAGAAAATAAACAATCATGAGCCTGCTCATCTGTCATAAACATTTTCTTTCCATCATTTTTCCACAAGTTTTTCCAAAGTTTAGACTGTATTATACAGGCAATTTTTATCTTACAGTTTTTTGCTTTGTTATAATCATTTTTGTGTCATCAAAAAATGTTTTGGGGGGGCCAGCCACAGTGACTCACACATATATTCCCAGCACTTTGGGAGGCCAACATGGGAGGACTGTTTGAGCCCAGGTGTTCAAGATGAGCCTGGGCAACACAGGGAGACCCTGTCTCTACAAAATTTTTTTTTGATTATCCACGTCTCTGTGATGTGATTATTATGCACTGCATGCCTGTATCAAAAGTCTCATCTACCCCATATACACACCTACTATGTACCCACAAAAATTAAAAATTAAAATTAAATAAACATTTTTTAAAAGGAAGAAAATTAGCCAGGCATGGTGGCGTGTGCCTCTAGTCTCAGCTACCTGGGAGGCTGAGGTAGGAAGATTGCTTGAGCCCAGGAGGTCAAGGTTACAGTGAGCTGTGTTCCAGCCACAGTACTCTAGCATGGGTGACAAAGCGAGACCTTGTCTCAAAAAAAAAAAAAAAGTTTTTTGGGCATTATTTTAAGGGTTACAAATATTATGTTATCTCAACACATCAAATTTGGGCTCCAAATCTACATGCCTCAGTGGAAATCCTGCTCTGCACTTACCAGCTACGTGATTTGCGCAATTTACTAACACCTCTGTGCCTATTTCATCATCTGTACAATGTGAATAATAGCACTACCTATCTCATAGCTTTATTATGGAGATGTAATGAGTTAATACATGTAAAATACTTAGTATCTGACACATAGTAAATATTCAATAAATCTTTATTATTGTTCTATTCATTTCCCTAACATGAGGCACTTAGATTACTTTTCATTTTTAACCATTACAAATAATTCTGATAAATATCTTTGTAATAAATGGGTTATGAAAGATATTCTTCACAATCCAAACTCTTCAGCCATTTTTTTTTGTTTCAGCTGTTTGTTTTTAAGCATGAAATAATGGATGAACAGATACTATTTGTTTGAAACCAGTAGCTTTGTCAATATGTTTTTAAAGAAAGAATAATAATCTATTTTTATTGTTTTCTGTCTTCCTTTTTTACAAAATCATGGTACAATACACATAAATTTTACCATAAGTGACATTTAGTATGTTCCCAATGTTGTACAATTTGCCAATATGTTTTCAGGCCACTGATCTCAAAGATGGTCAAATAAAATGCATAGGAAGGAAGCAAGAAGAAGCAAACCTTATTAGCCTCAAAATGTCTTTTATGAACAAGGAAACAATATTTCCTTGTTTTCAAATTTCATTAAGAAACTATTGGGTCCAACCACCAAGTTATAGCCACTTTAAATATTTTCTGGAAGATACATGCATCCGTAAAACTTTACTTCCATAATCTGTTCGGTCAGAAAGATGACAGAAGAAAAAGGGTTAACACTTAAGGAGTCTTTAAGGAGTTCGGATATTGTGGAAGGTGGTTAACATAAATGACCCTATTTAGTCCTTATAAAGATGATGAGCTATAGCAATTGTCCTTCAGATTACAGATGAGGAAACTGAAGTTTGGAGAATGTGACATAATTTATCTAGATGCACACAGCTAAGAAGTAACAGAGACAGGACTCAACTCAGACCTACCTGATTCCTCAGGTCCATACTCTTTCCATATACCACTGCCTTGTTGAAATAAGCATGTAGAGCCCAGAGTGGTGGCTCATGCTTGTAATTCCAGCACTTTGGTAGGCTGGGACAGGAGGATCACTTGAGCCCAGGAGTTTGAGACCAGCCTAGGCAACAAAATGAGACCCCATCTCTACAAAAAATAAAAAAATTAGCCAGGTGTGGTGGCATGTGCCTGTAGTCGCAGCTACTTGGGAAACTGAGGTGGGAGGATCACCTGAACCTGGGAGATCGAGTCTGCAGTGAGCTGTGATCATGCCAGTGCACTCCAGCCTGGGTGACCCTGTCAAAGAAAAGAAAAGACAAAGACAAGACAAGATGAGACGAGACGGGACGGGACGGGATGGGACGGGATGAAGGGAGGAAGGGAGGAAGGGAGGGAGATGAAATAAGCATGTAATATTATCCTAAAAGAAAGAGATTCTCTGAAAGTTACAACAGAAACTTCAATAACCATCTAGATAGAAAATCTCAAGTCCGCTAACTAGGCAATCCAGGTTTTGCAGCTTTCCTTAGTAGTTGAGATAGTCCTTCTAATATTGCATCCTCTATTTCTGTCCCTTTATTGCCTAGATGTGTCAACATCCCTGAAGGGGTTATCCTGAATGTGTTAGGCACTAGCGCTCAGTTCCATGTCAAAACACACAAAGGCTTGTTGACCCAACAAGAAATTGGTTGTAGTGCTGCTTTACATAAACCAAAATCACAGATCTCAAAAACTTTCACTCTTCTTCTATCAGTTATTTTTTTTCACATTTGACAACAAACACACACAGATAATCAAGAAAAGAGGGAAAAAATGTTTTTCACTGGAAGAATCACCAGAATTTACTGATAGAAATTAGCAGTGGGAAATGGAGTCTTGTGTTCATAGTCTCATCTTGTCTAAAGCCTTGTTTTTTATTTGCTCATGTCCTTGAGTTTTCTATAAGGCTCAATTTTTCATTTGCAACACATGAATAATTAAAACTTGTAGCTTTGGGACATGTAAAATCATATTCATCAAATGCTTTCATATAAAAATTGTTTTTAGACAGACATGCAAACATATATGGAACACCTAGTACTGCACTAAGCATAATAAAAACAAAATGCTAATACTAAGTAGAAACCAGTATGAACGTGGCTCCCTCATCCAACCAGCCCTGAATGGATTAGTCTGTTGTGGTTGCTGAATTCAACTTCTCTGACACTAATACAGCTGGATTGCAGGAATGTCCTGTAATTCACTTGTATTAGAAGCCATTAAAATTTTGAATATGTTGCCTATTAAGTAGGTTGTATATTCCTACCCCTCTACTTCTCTGTTACTTTTTTATAAAGAGGCCATTTCTGCTTCAGTTGTTCTTACTTTACTTTCTTTGCACCTCTCCCTCCCATTTCACCCATACCACTACCATCTGAGGCAGTGTGTGGTATTCCTGAAACATTACTGACCTTCTTCAAAGTAAAAGAAAAAGAGCTAGCAAATACTGTAAACCTTAGAAGAGGGGGAAAAAAAAACTTCCTTCCTAAATGGCTACAATTGACAACCCTGCCATTTAGTCTAAAGAGCAGTGACCAATTTTAAGTCAATCTTCAACTTTTAAGTGGGGCCAGAATTCCCCAGTCCTGTATCTAGCTCAGTGCTTTGGTGGGATAAGAGCATATGCCCGTAGAGCACAATACTCTTTTTTCAGAGTGACATTCATCTACTCAGACAAATTTAACTCCATCAGCAGAATCAAGTTCACGAAACAGTGGCTGTGCAAATTCACAATGAAATCTTTATTAAAATCTAGAATCTTCCAGAGCATTTTACAGGAAAACTGTAAAAAGTTAACTTCCTTTTTTCCTTTCTCTCTCTTTCCCCTAGCCCCCACAATGATATCAGTACCTTATGTAACTTGGATGTTCCACAGCTTATAACAGAAAAAATATGTCAGTTTAGTCTTTAAACAGATAAGGAGGAAGTGTACGCAAGAAAAAGGAAAGTTTTGGAGAGGCATTTTATAATTTCTCAAGTAATAAATACTAGTAACTATTGTAACCAAAAAACAATGCATTGACTATGGTTATCACATAAAAATCCTCTAAGGATTGCTTTTAAGGACATTATGACAAGCTGGTGATTTCCAGATATTTGTGCTAGTAGGACACTCAATACTCCATAAATCATTCCACCAAGATGGTTGCTTATTATGGTCTGTAAGATTGCATTTTCCAGGGCATGACTATAGAATATCTAAAAATCAGCTTATAGAATACTTTGAGTCAAACAAATTGCTCAGAAAAAAAGTAATTAAATCTATCCTTTAGGCAATTTGGAGGGTATTTATCAAAATTATAAATGCATATACCTTTATTACAGCAATTCTACATCTAGGAATTTATTCTAATGAAGTACACATGTACAGAATGACTTATATACAAAATTACTCATACATACAAAATATGACATTATTGCTTGTAATAATAACTATTGAAAATGATTTTAATTTCCATTATTAAGAAATAGTTTAAGTACATTATGATAGAACCATGCAGTTGAATCTGAAGCCATAAAAAAGAATGAAGATGTTCCATATGTATTAATTCATTTAGAAAGCTGTGTAAGATACAGTGTTAAATTTAAAAAGCACAAATTATCTCTGGAAAACTACACAAGAAGGTACTAACATAGTCTGTAAGTAGGGGAACTAAGTGTCTAGGGCTGGAGTCAAAAATGAGAGAGAAAACTTTTTATATGTTTTGAATTTTGAGTGATAGGAAAGAGTCTGGTCAGTTAGATCAAAACAAATGATGTAGAAAATGCCTTAAAAAGTAAAACATGGCCGGGCATGGTGGCTCATGCCTGTAATCCCAGCACTTTGGAAGGCTGAGGTGGGTGGATCACGAGGTCAGGAGATCGAGACCATCCTGGTCAACATGGCAAAACCCTGTCACTACTAAAAATACAAAAATTAGCTGGGTGTGGTGGCATATGCCTGTAATCCCAGCTACTCAGGAGGCTGAGGCAGGAGAATCGCTTGAATCCAGGAGGCAGAGGTTGCAGTGAGCCGAGATAGTGCCACTGCACTCCAGCCTGGCGACAGAACGAGACTCCATCTCAAAAAAAGAGTAAAACATTACAATCCACGTATCCTTCAAACTGGCTTGTAACAGAAAAACTGCTATAAATAGTTGTCTTGTAAATGCTTTCAGACACCAAGATAACCAATTTAGCAAAAAGGAAAAAAATCAAATCAACAATAAAAAAGGCTTTAATTATATAATATACAATATACATACATACACACAGTGAATGGCAATTTAATTTTTCGGTTTTCACATGTTACAATCATATCATGTAGGCACCATTATTTATCTGATCAATTAAGAGACCAATGGTTATTCTTTATTATCTTAAATATTTTTTGAGCACCTATGATATGTAAGTACCAGGTTGATTCTGGAAATTCCTGTGTCGAATAAGACAGACATGGTCTCTGATCTCCTGGACAGTTCTGGTACTTCAGCTACTAAAGACAGAAAAATTTCCTTTTTTAGAATGATACATGCAACCCTCAATAGCTGCTTTCCCAGCTAAGTAAAATAGTAAACATTCAAATGTGAAATGAAAACAGCTGGAGCAGCTGGGTACAATTTAACTTTACATGAAAAAGTCCTCAGACATAGATTACTTATTCTCTCCATATACTTGAGCAACTTCTGTTCTGGGTCAGGAGGCTCAGTGTATAAGAATAGAGTCAGGAAAAGCTCTCCTCTTTCCTCACATCTCCATCTTCCTCTATATGAACACCTTCCTCAGCCCAGAAAGAAGGAAACACACGAGGAGTGCTTTTAACAAGATTCCATAATTTGCAGTTGATATAAGCTGTTTGCATGATGTGTGCTCTATTTTTAGGGAGTTTAGAAACATGTTGCTTAACACTTGTGAGAAAATGATTGCACAGTCTCTATTAGAATCTCATTAGCATACGTGCTCCATTTTTTTGAGTGTAGACTTACAATTGTAAATCTCCCAAACTAGCAAAGCATACTTTGGTGAAAGGTGGGACAGGGGATGGTGTTTTCAAAAAGCAGGGGAAGCGAAGACAGAACAGGGAGAATGTAGTAAGAGTAACTCCATCCTTGAGTGCCTCCTTCGCACGTGAGACATTATACTTCAGAAATAAGATGCTTTCCCATATGAGACAACCAGAGTCAAGGGTAGAGAATAGTCTGCAAATGAGTGAATGAACAGGAGAAATCAATTGTTAACTGATGTATATTCCATGCAAGTCTGAGCAAGTCACAGGAAGGAAACAGAGAGGCCCACTACCTGAGGAATACCTGGACTGCAAAAGTGGAAGAACAGCATAATCACAAATAGAATATCAGGAAGATTTGGAATAGCTAGATTGGTCTCATCACTGACAATCTGATAAAGTGAACTCCTGTCTTTGCTTCCTTGCTCTTTTTTTTTAACACTATTGGACATACAGGTATGCACAAGTTTCAGGAAGCAATATGCCTTCAGAAGAACAAGATATACTTTGCAAACCTGAGTTCATCACTGAATCAAATAGATCATTTTTATATGTTTTTCAGGGAACTTTAATTATACATAGAAAAGGAAACAGCCTTGATTTCTATTGCATTTCTTTTGGCTACCAGAGTAGCACATATAATTTTGAAGTAACCATATGTCACTAACTTTACATACAAAGAATTCCAATTTGCCTCATAGTTTGCAAGACCACACACTTTCAAATGTCTACCATACACAATAGAAAAAATTGGTGAGTGCTTTACCTCTTACATTGAGACAAGGGTGGGGGGAGGAACTTAAATATGTTAACATAAAATGAACTAGTGAGAGCAAATTTACTGTTGAAAATTATAAAATCCTACAGAAATACTCCTGTGTTGTCTGCTTATCACATATAAATTGTACACCAAAATTTTTATTTATTGGAAACATATAAACTTTTGTACACTTAAGGATTAAATCACCAAGATGCCAACGTATTTATCTTATGGCAATTGCTCATGAAATGACATCTCTTTTAGTAGATGAGGTAGTTAAATTCTTTGAAGACAAATGAAACCTAGATCTTGTTTTAGTCATAATTCAAAGGCTAATCTTACAAAATGGCTAATCTTTAGGAATCTCATTCACACTTATTCATTACCAAATTTTTACAGTCTGGCCAAAGAACTGCTAAGAAATAATAACAAGCAGTTTAGTTTTGATATTTATGAACAATCTAAAAATAGGCCAGGTGCAATATAGCCTAGTGTGTCAATAAGATCTTTGAAATTTATTCTTTGTAGATAGGAAAGAGGATATAGATTATCTTTTGAATACTTGTTAATATTAAAGAGTTGACAGTCATTTTAGGCTTATAAATATGTAACTATAAGTGCAATTGTTTGCATGAAGAATTCACTAAAGTTTTAGAATTTCTAAGGGATTGAGTACTATCTTGAATCTCAAATTCTATAGTCTTCTAGTTAACGATGAAAATTATAGTAGTAGCAGCTAAGGACCAACACAAAATATTTTCAAATGAATAATTTTGAGTGTCATCATCTATATTATATTGGTAGAGCAAATGATAGCAAACAGATTATGTTGCCTGGGTTTAAAGAGGCTTTCCAAAAACTTTTAATCTATTAGCTATTCCTAAAATTATTTGTTTTCTGCACAGTTCACTGCTGCTCTCCCATCAGCTACCTTCTTTTTTTTCTTTCATGTTCTTTATTCATCAAATACTTATGGAGCACCTGCTGGGCACTAGGACCAGAGTAGCAAACAAGACACAGCTTTTGTAGCCCAGGTATAGTTACCTTTGGGCCTTCATTCATCACTAGGTGCCTGTACCATTTCTAATTTATGAAGGATGCAAAAATGATAATCTTTTAATCCTAGATTTATTTGACTGAACATAAAATCCCGTTTCTTAACGTCAAGCCCAGAAAATCATTTCAGAGTCATGGCAAGTGTGACCTCTCAGCCTATGAGCTTCTTCATTAGCCCATCCATCCTAGGTCATGGCCATTTTTCACACCTTTTTTACACTCTTCTGACTTTATCCCATCTTATATGTTTACTGCTTTGAGTGAATTTATTAATTAGTTAATTTTATATACATAATAGACTATATTTAAAGCACATGCCTCACTGTCCTGATGAAAAGCAAAATATTAGGTAAATTAAATGCTTTTTCTTTTTACTAATTTCTGAATTCTCACTTTTTTTTGTTTTTGTTTTTGTTTTTGTTTTTGTTTTGAGATGGTGTTTTGCTCTTGTCGCCCAGGCTGGAGCGCAATGGTGCGATCTTAGCTCACTGCAACCTCTGCCTCCCGGGTTCAAGCAATTTTCCTGCCTCAGCCTCCCGAGTAGCTGGGATTACAGGCGTCTGCCACTATGCCCAGCTAATTTTTGTATTTTTAGTAGAGACAGGGTTTCACCATCTTGGCCAGGCTGGTCTCGAACCCCTAACCTCAGGTAATCCACCCGCCTCAGCCTCCCAGAGTGCTGGGATTACAGGCGTGAGCCACCGTGCCCAGCCTGAATTCTCACTTTTTATGTAGCTGTCTTAATATTGTATATGTGATAACCTCATGTCTGGATTTCAAAATCGATAAAACTTCCAAAAAACTAGAGAGATCTATAGAAAGCTGCCACCAAAAAGATGTTTAAAACAAACTATTATCTAGCCCCTCTGTCATATAACAAAAGAACAAATACTTAAAAGTGTAAAATAACATAGTCTCAGTGTAAAGGATAGTCTTAATTTAAACTGGAGCGATTTTACTCAATTGAGCAAACTTACTATGTTGTCCTAATATTCCTATTTCATGTAGATGGGCAAAAATCATGAATTACTACTTAAGAATGTGAGCAAAGGTTATCTGAAAAGGAATTTGGAGAAAAGAGACTCCTTCTTCTTCTTTTTTTTTTTTTTTTTTTTTTTTTTTGTTGAGGTGGAGTCTCGCTCTGTCTTCCAGGCTGGAGTGTGGTGGCGCGATCTCGTCTCACTGCAACCTCCTCCTTCCCAGTTCAAGCCATTGTCCTACCTCAGCCTCCCAGGAAAGATACTTTATCCCAGTGAACAGTTTGCAAACCAAGGAGATGCAGTTTTCAGTTTCAAACAAAGATGCATTCCAGAGAGCAAAGGAGGGGGGGTGGTGGTTTACAGAGAAAGTTCCCACCCAGGTTCACAATCAGGTCCGTTCATACAAATAAACAATTCAAACCTGCTTAGGTTCTGATTGGTCAACACAGCTGTTTGATGGGTTGATGTAGCTGAATTCTGATTGGTCAATGCAGGTGAGCTCTAATTGGTTGGCTCTGGTGAGCTCTGAAAGTCCCAAAGTTGAACAGAGGTTTGTGTTTTGGAGAAACGCAGAATACCATGTGTGACTTCTAGGCAGCAAATGGCTGCTTGGTTCTATTTTAAATTTAGGCCCAGTTAGCCACTTTGAATCCATCTTGAACAATTGGCTCTTTCAGGTTTACATTTGTTCACAGGAACCACTAGTATACATAGGTAATAACAAGTCTAGACATCTCAGCTATTTTAAGAATTTCATTTAAAAGATATTTGCGAAAAGTTCACTGCCTTTATTTTAAATTTTGCAGAAAATAAATGAGTATTACGCTTTGCCAACTAAAGTAAGTTGAAACTTTTTAAAAAAAATCTTATTGCTGGCGTTTCAATAAAGCAATTTTAGAAATTAGGGAATCTATCCTTTTTTAAAATAACTTCTAAGAGCTTCCATTACTTCTCAGGATAAATTATTTTGGGGATTTTTCAGCTGTGTTGGAGAACGTTGAAGATCTGATGCAGCTGTATCTAAGACCTCAAGTTGGGTCTGTAGGGGAGTAAAATGTCTGTTACCTATTCAGTAGTTGGATTTGTATTCACTTTCAAAAAATTAATTTCAGATGCAGAAATCACAAGCTTTCCATAAATGTTTTCAGGCAGACAGACAATATAACGTTTCTGTTAATAATGAAAAAAACCTTTGACAGGCTACTCCATAGCTGTGTTCCTGCTCCTCCCATGTATGAATGGGAGGCAGTTACTGCAAAGGAATTCTCATTCCAACCATATGTGAAAATAGAGCAGAGACGCCTCTAAGTTTGAAATTATGCCATTCTCAGAAAAGTCTGTGTGACACAATAAAGATAAAAATGGATTATGTACCCATTTAAATTACTTCTGATTTTTCTTCTAGATATAAAAGTTTACCTCCTACTTTCCCAAACATTAAATTTAATTTGAAATAAAAGTGAAGTAATTTGATCTCATCATATGGGGTAAATTTAGGAGAATATTGACCTTGATTTTGTTCTCAAAGTTTACAGTCTGTATTTTTATTTATAAAAATAAAGAATAATTTAATAATGAAAGTGCTATATCAAAAATAAATTCTTACAATTATGTCATTTATAGATAATGCATTTTTATCAAGACCACTTTTTTAAAAAGTGGTGGATTATTTTGTGTCAACATATGTATATGCCCATGAACACATATGCAAAATCACAAAATGCTTCATCAAACAAGCTAAATTGCATCTTTGCTCTGTTTTCCAATTATATGTCAGAAATTTGACACCATGTAATGTGTTCTGAAGCTCTATTGCTGATAGTAAAAATAAAAAGGAAAAATTACATGCACACATGTTTATTGCGGTACTATTCACAATAGCAAAGTCTTGGAACCAACCCAAATGTCCATCAATGATAGAGTGGATTAAGAAAATGTGGCACATATACACCATGGAATACTACGCAGCCATAAAAAAGGATTCATCCATGTCCTTTGCAGGGACATGGATGAAGCTGGAAACCATCATCCTCAGCAAATTATCACAAGGACAGACAACCAAACACCGCATGTTCTCACTCATAGGTCAGAGCTGAACAATGACAACACATGGACACAGGGCAGGGAACATCACACCGGGGCCTGTCGGGGGGTGGGAGACTGGGGGAGGGATAGCATTAGCAGAAATACCTAATGTAAATGACAAGTTGATGGGTGCAGCAAATCAATATGGCATACCTGTGTAACAAACATACCTATGTAACAAACCTGCACGTTGTGCCCATGTACCCTAGAACTTAAAGTATAATAAAAAACAAAAAAGGAAAAACTAATGGTAATTACAGTGTATCATAAAAGGAGTTTATAATAACTTGTATTATGCATTACAGTTCATGAGAGTTTAACTGAGAAAACAATGAAACATCTTTTTCTGTTATTAGTCATGTACATTAAATATATATTTATATTACATTACATTAAGCACATATTTTGATTTACCAGACTGTAAGTTCTCATGGGACATTTCATATCTGAGGAAAGAATTCACTAGTATGGGAGAAGTAGGCTTACTCAGGAAACAACAGATTAATTATAAAACTTCAAACTCAGATCTCATAATGTACACAAAAGTTTTCAGTAAAATTTCAATATTTAATCTGTTTATTATTTGTAAAAGATAATGGGCATAATTCTGAACTACTAGGATGTCATACAGACGTCCATTCACATGGAGTAGTTCTTCCGTTAAAACATATTTTTATCTCGGTCTGGGTAGTGGAAGATGAGTAGAAGCTCATGTTTATGAAAACAAAAAGAAGGAAGAAAGGAGGGAGGGAAGATGAGAAAGATAATGTCCCAAGGAGAAAGGACAGTGAACTAAAAGTGAATTTTATCTCTTGTGTGTTCCATTATCTTAAAATCTACCTTACAGGCTGGGCGCGGCGGCTCACACCTATAATCCCACCACTTTGGGAGGCCGAGGCAGGTGAATCACCTGAGGTCAGGGGTTTGGGACCAGCCTGCCCAACATGGTGAAACCCCATCTCTACTAAAAATACAAAAATTAGCCCAGCGTGGTGGCAGGCACCTGTAATCCCAGCTACTTGGAGGCTGAGGCAGGAGAATTGCTTGAACCCAGGAGGCGGAGGTTGCAGTGAGCCAAGACTGCGCCATTGCACTCCAGTCTGGGCGACGAGAGCAAAACTCCAACTCAGAAAAAAAAAAAAAAAAAAACTACCTTACAGCTATGCAATGTCATTGTTCATTTATTTCATTTATTTTTATCAATATATTAAGTGACCACTTAAGATATAATTAGGCACATAATTTCAGTTATTCAATTCAGATAAAAAGATTTTTAAAATCTTATTTCCTATCTATCTAGTAACTATAAAAAGGAAATTTAGTATTTGCCAGGGAGGACAGAGTTTTTTTGTTCTTTAAAAAAGTTAATGGATAATATATTTAAATTTTTCAATAAAATATATGGGTAAAAATTCTCCCTCTTATTCCTGCCCCCAATAGGCCCCATTATCACTTTTTCCTTCAACACGTAATCGCTGTTATTAGTCCCTTACTGATAGACAGCTAATTGTTTCTAAACTTTTGCAAATACAACCAACACACACAAAAAATACTTCATTTAAATGTCAGTTCATGTCTATGCATCTGCAAGTTCATCTCTAGGAAAATTTTCTAGAAGAATTGCAGGGCAAAGAGCAATTTGCAAATTCAATAGATATTTCTAAATTCTAAATAGTACTTCTAATTTCTAAATAGTATATCCCCTTTCACAGGGAATATACTAATTGATACTGCTACAAGCAGTGTACAACAATATTCTTTTTCCTACAATCTTGGCAATATATCACCTAATTTAAAGATTTTGTCAGTGGATAAGTGGGAAATGGCATTTTATTGTATCTGTAATTTGCATTTATGAAGAGTAGGGTCAAGCATCTTTTCATACATTAAGGAGCCATTCAAAGTTCCTTTTCTGTGAAGTATCTGTTTATATGTTTTTCCATTATTCTCTTATAATCTTGGAATTCTTTACATATTAAGGAGGTTAGTATTTTGTTTTACACAAGTTACAAATATTTGTCTCTTGATGTTATAGAATTTTTTTGTCGTGCATAAGTACTTTCGTAAAAAAAAATGCAATATATTTTTTCTTCTGTAGTTTCTGAACTTCTTATTAGAAATACTTTCCCCACTGTAACACTCCAACATCATTTATGTATTTAAGTATGTATATACTTAAATTTGAATATAGAGATTTCTAAAGCTGTGATACAGAGTAGAGAATATAATCCAAAGCACAAATCTACCCTCCTTCTGTCTCTTCACTTTCTTTTCTTTTTCTTTTTCTTTTTCTTTTTTTTTTTTTTTGAGATGGAGTCTCACCCTGTCACCCAGGCTGGAGTGCAGTGGTGTGATCTCAGCTTACTGCAACCTCCGCCTCCTGGGTTCAAGCGATTCTCCTGCGTTCAAGCGATTCTCCTGCCTCAGCCTCCCCAGTAGCTGGGAATACAGGTGCCCGCCACCACGCCTGACTAATTTTTGTATTTTTAGTAGAGACAGGGTTTCACCGTGTTGGCCAGGCTGGCCTCAAACTCCTGACCTCAGGTGATCCGCCCGTCTCTGCCCCCCAAAGTGCTAGGATTACAGGCGCAAGCCACCGCGCCCGGTCCCTCTTCACTATTTCTTATTTCTTCCCCTCTTTCTCAGGTAATTTCTTGATCCCCTTCCTAAGTATTGTTCTGAGTTCCTGGGAGAAGTTCAGCTATCCTAATTCACAAATCGTTCTTCAAATGTAGAAAATGAGAAGAGATGGAAGCCAAGGAAGGGTGTGTGGAATCAAGTAGCAGTTCTCAAAACAGCATATATCAAGACCTCAGCACATATCAAGACCTCAGCACATATCAAGACAGTGGCACAAAAGCATCGTAGTGTTGTCATTCACCACTATGCAGGAGGGAAAGCCAATTTCATTTCAGAATGTCCTCAATTAATCTGTAGAAATTATTAATTTTATTAAATCCCAACCCTTGAGACCAAGTCTTTGTAATATTCTGTTTTATAATATATGAAGTATGCATAAAGCACTTCTGTGTATTGAACAAAGAACCACAAGTAATCTCATCACACTTTCAGTAGCAATTGAGTTGCATACCAAACCACTGGCACCTTTTCTTGTGAAATACCATTTTTATTTGAAAGAATAATTGGCAAACAAACTATGGTTATTCAGACTTGCATTTTTTTTAATTTAATTAAAAACAAAATGAATGTGTAATCTTGAGAAAAAAATGACAGCATTATTGACAGTAATAAATTTTAAGCTTTCAAATAGAAATTAGGATTTTGGAAAACTTATATCCACCACTGTGAGTTTCATATCTTCCCAATACTTAAGCACTTTTCTGATGAGATCGGTGTTATTATTAACAAACATGATTTTTAAATATTGTATGCGATATGCATTACTCAGCGAACCAATATTTTCTAAATGACAAATGCATAAAATTATAAAATTATAAATGGGTAAAAGATTCATCCAAGTACAAGACATGCCAATTAATTTTAATATAATAAACTTCAAAAAGTTCACTGACAATAGTTTCAGATTCTATATTGCAAATAACCTTTAAGAAACTACCACTTGTCAATCTTTGGTGCAGTATCAAAGAAAAATATCCACAGGTATCTGCAAAGGCTGTTAAAATACTCCTCACTTTTCCAACTATATGTCTGTGTGAAGCCGGATTTTCTAGATATACTTCAATCAAAACAACATTTCACACGAGATTGAATGCTGAAGCAAATATGAGAATCCAGCTGTCTTCTATTAAGCCAGACATTAAAGAGATTTGTACATGTGTAAAATGATGACGCTCTTCTCACTCAATGTTTATGTTGTAAAAGCATTATTTTTCATTTAAAAATGTTAATATTTTATGGCTTTATGATTATTTTTAATTATTAAATATTACAGTTTTCTGTTTTAATTTCTAATATGGTAAATAACAAAAGCTTTTGAGATCCTCAATAATTTTTTTTTTTTGAGACAAGCTCTCACGCTGTTACCCAGGCTGGAGTGCAGCAGTGCAATCTTGGCTCACTGCAGCCTCAACCTCATGTGCTCAAGTGATCCTCCCACCTCAGCCTCCTCAGGAGCCAGGACCACAGGTGTGTGCCACCACACCCAGCTAATTTTTGAATTTTTTTTGTAGAGATAGGGTTTTGCTCTGTTGTCCAGGCTGGTCTTGAACTCCTGGGCTCAAGAGGTCCACCTGCCTCAGTCTCCCAAAGTGCTGGGATTACAGACGTGAGCCACTTGGCCTGGCTCCAAGATCCTCAATAATTTTAAGAGTATAAAAGGGTCCTGAAAAAAAATGTTTGAGAGCTGCTGAAATAGAGTTTATTTCTCAGATAACTGAAACTTCAGAATAATCATACAGGCCATGAAAACACCCTCTATATTTGCCAGGCATATAACTATAATTTGACCTTTGGCTAAAATACCTTGATTCTCTCTTAGGAAAAAATAAGAGTACAGGAGACACCCCCAAAAATGCATAGTACAAGAAAAATGTTTTATTTTTTTTAATTACAAAATGGGTCCAGGCATGATGGCTCACGCCTGTAATCCATGCACTTTGGGAGGCCGAGGCGAGCGGATCACTTGGGGTCAGGAGTTTGAGACCAGCCTGGTCAACATAGTGAATCCCGTCTCTACTAAAAAATACAAAAATTAGCTGATCATAATCCCAGCTACTCACGAGGCTGAGGCTGAGGCAGAAGAATCACTTGAACCCAGGAGGCGGAGGTTGCAGGGAGCCCATATCATGCCACTACACTCCAGCCTGGGCGACAAAGTGAGACTCCATCTCAAAAACAAAAAGAAAGAAAGACAGAGAAAGAAAGGAAGGAAGGAAGGAAGGAAGGAAGGAAGGAAGGAAGGAAGGAAGGAAGGAAAGAAAAGAAAGAAGGAAAGAAAGAGAAAGAAAGAAAGAAAGAAGGAAAGAAAGAAAGAAAGAAAGAAAGAGAAAGAAAAAGCCTGGCACGGTGGCTCACACCTGTAATTCCAGCACTTTGGGAGGCCAAGGTGGGTGGATCACTTGAGGTCAAGAGTTCAAGACCAGCCTGGCCAACATGGTGAAACCCCGTCTCTACTAAAAATACAGAAGTTAGCTAGGCATGGTATGGTGGTGGGTACCTGTAATCCCAGCTACTTAGGCTGAGGCAGGAGAATCACTTTAACCCGAGAGGCAGAGGTTGCAGTGAGCTGAGATCAGGCCACTGCACTCCAGCTTGAGTGACACAGTGAGACTCCGTCTCAATAAATAAATAAATAGGCTGGGCGGGGTGGCTCACACCTGTAATCCCAGCACTTTGGGAGGCCAAGGCAGGTGGGCCACCTGAGGTTGGAAGTTCAAGACCAGCCTGGCCAACATGGAGAAATGCCATCTCTACTAAAAATACAAAATTAGCCGGGCGTGGTGGTGCATGCCTGTAATCCCAGCTACTCGAGAGGCTGAGGCAGGAGAATCGCTTGAACCCGGGAGGCGGAGGTTGTGGTGAGCCGAGATTGTGCCATTGCACTCCAGCCCGGGCAACAAGAGTGAAACTCTGTCTCAAAATAAATAAATAAATAAAATACATAAATAAAAATGAAATTACAAAATGGTATGTGACAGCCATTGTAGCATAATTTGAAATAGCAAAAGATTGAAATTGTAAAACACCTAAATCCGGTTTGGTTTGGTTTGTTGTTGTTAGTTTTTTGTTTATTTTTGAGACAAGGTCTTGCTCTGTCACCCAGGTTGGAGTGCAGTGGTGTGATCATAGTTCACTGCAGCCTCTACCTCCTGGGCTCAAGCAATCCTCCCACGTCAGCCTCCAGAGTAACTGGCACCACAAGTGCACACCACCATGCCTGGCTAATTTTTTTTTTTGAGACGAAGTTTTGCTCTTTGTTGCCCAGGCTGGAGTGCAGTGGCATGATCTTGGCTCACTGCAACATCTGCCTCCCAAGTTCAAGTGATTCTCCTGTCTCAGCCTCTCAAGTAGCTGGCATTACCAGGCACCCACCACCATGCCCGGCTAATTTTTGTATTTTTAGTAGAGATGTGGTTTCACCATGTTGGCTGGGCTGGTCTCGAACTCCTGACCTCATGATCCACCCACCTTGGTTTCCTCAAAGTGCTGGGATTACAGGTGTGAGCCACCGTGCACAGCTGCTAATTTTTTTTTTTACTTTTTGTTGAGATGGAGTCTTGCTATTTTGCCCAGGCTGGTCTCAAACTCCTGGCCTTAAGTGATCCTCCTGCCTCAGTCCCCCAAAGCACTGGGATTACAGCTGTGAGTCACCACACCCAGCCTTGTTGTTAGTTTTTGAACCTCAGATTCCCAGAGGCAGCAGGTTGATTAAATTATGGCCTTAATTTCTTAGTATACTGTCATTGGCCCATGCAAGATGCTTCTCCTTCACTTTATTTTGCCCTTTCTTCAATTATTTTATTTTCCTCCATCAAAGACTTGCCCATTTTAAAGAGATTGATGTGTATCTTTTAATGTGTACAGAATTAAAAAATAGTTATGGTTGTTTTGTAAAGAATGATGTGTTTTCTATTTAAATAAATAGCACTTGTGGCCAGACCCAGTGGCTCACCCCTGTAATCCCAACACTTTGGGAGGCCAAGGTGGGTGATCACTTGAGACCAACAGTTCAAGACCAGCCTGGCCAACATGGCAGAACCCCGTCTTTACTAAAAATACCAAAATTAGCCGGGCGTGGTGGCACATACCTGTAAGCCCTCTCCAATACTTGCTATTATCCACCTTTCTAACTGCTGCCATTCAAATCCATATAAAGTGATATCTCATTGTTGTTTTAATCTGTGTTTTGCCTCTTTATCATAAACTTTAGCAACTCACGATATATTTGTTATTTATTTGAACCTCCTCTGTGAACTGTTTACCCTGTTAGGAATTTTTATTTTTGTTTCCTATCTTTTTCTTGTTAATTTAAGAAGTTCTCACATGTTTTGCATATTATCCCTGCTAGTTTTTAAATATTGGAAATAATAACATGTTTGTTAACTTTATCTATGTTACTCACACTGAACAAAATTCCTTAATTTTGGCGCAGCCAAATTCAACCATACTTTTTGACTTATAGTTGGTGCTTTTGAGATTTTGTTTAAGAAACTTTTCCCCACTCCTTAGTCACAAAAACTTTATTTCATATTTTCTTCTATCATCTTTATAGATTTATCTGTTACATTTAGGTCTTTCATCCGTCAACAGACAACCTTTGTGTGAGTTAGAAATCTGTATTTTTCTTCACATGATGAGACATGTATCCTAACATAATCTATTATGCTAAACAATTTGTCCATTTTTAATTCCTTTGTGATACAAATGTTTAGTGTTAATTTTTTTCTTTTGTAGAGATGAGTTCTTACTATGTTGCTTAAGCTGGTCTCGAAGTTCTGGCCTAAAGTGATCCTCCCACCTCAGCCTCTCAAAGTACTGGAATTACAGGCATGAGCCACTAGATGTTTATCATATAACAAGTCCTCACATTAACTTGATCTTCAGATCTATTTCTGAGTTCTCAATTCTGTTTTCTCTGTTTGTTTGTTTTGTTTTTTTCAATTCTGTTTTATTGATCTATTTATATATTGCTGGGTTAACAACATTTATCATCATTATCATCATTTATAGTATGTGTTAATATCTGATGAGTGAAAGTAATACCATCTATTTGGCCCATCATTTTTTATGCTATTCTTTAGACATTTTGGGCTTCTAGCCATCCATATAAATTTCAGAATTTGTTGTGTTCTTTAAAAATTCAATTAAATTTTGTATTGGAATTTTATTTACTTTGTATGTATACTTACACAGAATTGGTAACTATAGTAGGTTACGACATACCAACCGTAAACATAGTATATTTCATCACTTATTCAAATCTTATTTATATCTTTTGCTGTCTTTCTACTAAAGGAAACAGTAGAATGAGGATTTTTTTTATTTAATTTTAACGCACATTTTTATTTAAAAGAGGTTTAGCCGGGCGCAGTGGCTCATGCCTGTAATCCCAGCACTTTGGGAGGCTGAGGTGGGCGGATCACAACGTCAGGAGTTCAAGACCAGCCTGACCAATATGGTGAAACCCCATCTCTACTAAAAATACAAAAATTAGCTGGGCATGGTGGCGCACACCTGTAGTCCCAGTTACTCAGGGGGCTGAGGCAGGAGAATCTCTTGAATCCAAGAGGCGGAGGTTGCAGTGAGCCGAGATTGTGCCACTGCACTCCAGCCTGGGTGACAGAACGAGACTCCGTCTCAAAAAAAAATAATAAAATAAAATAAAATAAAATAAAATAAAATAAAAGAGGTTTAGTAGATAGCAAATCTGGTGACACCAATTTCACTCTCAGCAATGGTTTTTCCCCCAAAAATGAGTAACATACTGCCTAATAGGAATTATATAATAAGGAAGACACTTAGTAAGACACTTAAGAAAGAAATGGAAAAATATAGCTGTGATTATTAAATCACCCAGAAGGAGCTAATGCAAAGGAGGAGGAGCATCAGCAAAACTTGTTCTGGGATTGCAGTTTACTTTTATCTTTGTCTTTTAAACACCTATGCTTTGTATAAGGAAGAAAAGATGTCTCTTAGTAGAAGCCACAGAAAGAATGCAATGTCAGCTTGGGTAAACTTCTGATAGTAAGCTTGTCGGAGGCACTTAGTGTTTGTTGAATGGATAAAGAAATATAAAGGAACAACAAATAATCCTTCTTGATTTGTCCTGAAATGTAATTACAATTCTTATTGGGGGGTGAGTAAGAACATTTAACATGAGATCTACCCTCTTAACAAAATTTTAATTGTACAATACGTTATTATTGACTATAGATAGTGTTTTACAGTAGATCTCTCGAGCTTATTCATCTTGCTTAGCTGAAACATGATGCCCATTGATTAGTAACTCCAATTTACCCCTCCTCTAGCCCTTGGCAACCACCATTCCACTTTCAATGTATGAATCTAACTATTTTAGATTCCTCTTATAAATGGAATAATATGGTATTTGCCTTTCTGTGATTGGTTTATTTTACTTAGAATAATGTCCTCAATGTTGTTACATATTGTAGAGTTTCTTTTTTTAAGGCTGAATAGTATTCCATTTAGGTATATACCACATTTTCTTTATTCATCAATCTGGTGATGGACATTTCAGCTATTTCCACATCCTGGTTCGTATGTATAGTGCAGCAATGAACATAGAGATGCTAATATCTCTTTGAGATCCTGATTTCAATTCTTTTGGATGAATTCCCAGAGTGGGATTGCTAGATTGTATGGTAGTTCTTTATTTTAAGGAACTTCTACGCTGTCTTCTATAGCAGCTACACCATTTTGCATTCCCACCAACAGTACGTAAGAGTTCTAATTTCTCCACATCCTTGGCAATACTTGTTTTCTTGATAATAGCCATCCCGACAGGTGTGAAGTAATATCTTATTGTGGTTTTGATTTGCATTTCCCTGATGATTAGTGCTGTTGAGGATTTTTTTTTCTATGCCCATTGTCCATTTTTATGTCCTTGGAGAAATGTCCATCCAAGTCTTTTGCCCATTTTCTAATGGGGTTATTAGTTTTTTTCTGGCATTGAGTTGTAGAAGTTCCCTCATATTTCGGAGGTTAACCCCTTATCAGATATATGGTTTGTAAATATTCTCCCATTCCACAGGTTGCCTTTTAATTCTATTGTTTCCTTTACTGTGCAGAAACTTTTTTAGTTTGATACAGTCCCATTTGTTTGGTTGGTTTTTGCTTTAGGTTTTTGTTGTGGTGGTGGTTGCCTGTGCATTTGGTGCCATATTCATAAAATGATTGCCAAGACCAATGTCATCAAGCGTTTTACCTACAGTTTCCTCTAGGAGTTTTATAGTTTGGGGGCTTAGATTTGTCCTTAATCTGTTTGGAGTTGATTTTCATGTGTGATGTAAGATAAGGGTTCGATTTCATTCTTTTGCATGTGGATATTCAGTTCTCCAAGCCTCACTTATTGGAGACTATCCTTTTCCCCATTATGTATTCTTGGCACCCTCATCAAAGATCAATTGACTCTATCTGCATGAATTTATTTCTGGGCTATTATGTTCCATTTGTCTATTTGCCTGTCTTTATGCCGGTACCATACTGTTTTGTTTACCGTTGCCTTGCAATATATTTTAAAATCAGGCTGTGTGATGCCTCCAGGTCTCTTCTTTCTCAGATTGATTTGGCTATTCATTGTCTTTGGGGTTACCTATAAATTTTGGAATTTTTTTTCCATTTCAGTAAAAATTGCCACTGGGAATTTGATAGAGTTGCCATTGAATCTGAAGATTGCTTTGAGTATGGAGACATATATATATGTATATGTTTGTTTGTTTGTTTTTTGACGGAGTCTTGCTCTGTTGCCTAGGCTGGAGTGCAGTGGCATGATCTCAGCTCACTGCAACCTCCACCTCTGGGGTTCAAGCAATTCTCATGCTTCAGCCTCCCAAGTAGTGGGCATTACAGATGCCTGCCACCACACCCGGCTAATTTTTGTATTTTTAGTAGAGACGAGGTTTCACCTTGTTGACCAGGCTGGTCTCAAACTCCTTACCTCAAGTGATTCACCCACCTCAGCCTCCCAAAGTGCTGGAATTACATGTGTGAGCCACTGCTCCTGGCCAGATTTATATTTCTTATAATAATACTGTATCTTATTTTTATTTTATGACTAAATTGGCTATTCCTTTTTAAAGTGCTTTCTTGGGTGCTTTGTATATTTCTATCAATCTTGCTGAACTTTTGTTAGTACTCATAGAATGTTGATTCAATAGAATTTTCTATATAGGTAAACATGTCATCTACCAATAATAATTTTTTATATCTTCTTATTCAATCCTAACATGACTTATGCCTTTATTCTGTCTTTAAAGATAGACAGGGCCTCTAATACTATGTTGAGATGGTAAACATGTAAATGGATTGTAACTGGAAATTGTAAACATTCTTTTCTTCTTTGTTTTAAAGGAAATGCTTCTAAATTTATTCTTGTCAGTTTATTTTCTCATAAGTTTTTTTGTAAATAGTCCAGGAATTTCCCTGATATTCTTAATATTCTGTAAATTTTATCATAAGTACTTTTATATTTTATTTTGCCTTTTTATCATGAATAAAATGCTTTTTCTGTGTCTTTTGAAATCATCATATGTTATGTCTTCTTTGGCCTAGTATTAAAGTGAAATATATTGACACATTTTTCTGATGTACTATCCTTTCAATCTTGGGATAAATAAATACTTTTTTTCTTTTTTTTTTTTTGAGACAGAGTCTCGCTTTGTTGCCCAGGCTGGAATGCAGTGGTGTGATCTTGGCTCACTGCAAGCTCCGCCTCCCGGATCCACACCATTCTCCTGCCTCAGCTTCCCGAGTAGATGGGACTACAGGCGCCCACCACCATGCCTGGCTAACTTTTTTTTTGTATTTTTTAGTAGAGACGGGGTTTCACCGTGTTAGCCAGGATGGTCTCGATCTCCTGACCTCGTGATCCACCCGCCTCGGCCTCCCAAAGTGCTGGGAGTACAGGCGTGAGCCACCACGCCCAGCCGGGGATAAATAAATACTACTTGATCAATATGTGTTATCTTTTCATGAACTGTTAACTTTGGCTAGCTAATATTTTATTTAGGACTATTGCACTTACATGTATAAGTGAAATGGGTTTATGGCTTTCTTATCTAGTTTGAGAATCAAGATTATATAGCCGTATAAAATTAGCTAGGAAACTGGGCAGCTTTTCTTTTGTTCTTTTTATTCATTTTCTGAAGCAATTAATACAAAATAGGTATTATCTCACAAAAAATGGTATGTGAGGTAATACATATGTTAATTGGCATGATTCAACTATTCCACAATGTAAACATATTTTAAAACATGTTGTACATAATTATATATAATTTTATTTGCCAATTTTAATAAAGAAATAAAATAAGATACATACCATCAAACTCTTGAAAGTTTTGTAAAACTCCACTGGAAAACTCTGTAAGCTAGGGGCTTTTTGGTGGGGAGGTTATAGCTTCTTTTTCTTCAGTTATTATTTTATATACTGCTGTACCTTACAAAATTAGGATGATGTGAATGCATAAACCATGCAGAAAGTTACATACACATACATACACACCTACACACACCCCTTTTAGAAACCAGAGAAGAGGCCAGGTGTGGTGGCTCATGCCTGTAATCCCAGCACTTTGGGATGTTGAGGCGGGCAGATCACCTGAGGTCAGGAGTTCGAGACCAGCCTGGCCAACGAAGTGAAACCCTATCCCTACTAAAAATACAAAAATTAGCCAGGCATGATAGCGGGCACCTGAAATGCCAGCTACTCGGGAGGCTGAGGCATGAGAATTGCTTGAACCCAAGAGGCAGAGGTTGCAGTGAGCCAAGATTGTGCCACTGCATTCCAGCCTGGGTGACACAGCAAGACTCTGTCTCAAAAATAAATAAAATAAAATAAAATATTAAAATTAATAAAATCAGAGAAGTAATACATAATTATTTATTTTATTGATTTTTTTTAATTTTTATGGCTGTATAATAGTTTTACATTTCTATGGGGTACATGTGAAATTTTGATGCAAGCATACAATATGTAATGATAAAATCAGGATAATTGGAATATTAATCACCTCTAACATTTATTATATCTTTGTGTTGGAAACATGCCAAATCTTCTCTTCTAGCTATTTTGAAATATACAACAAATTACTGTTAACTATAATTGTCCTACTGTGCTATCAAACGTGAAATCTTATTCCTTCTATCAAACTGTATTTTGTTGTACCTGTTGACCAACCCCTCCGTAACCTCCTCCCTGCCCACTACTTTTCCCAGCCTCTGATAACCACCATTCTACTCAGTACCTCCACAAGAGCAATTTTGTTAGCTCCTACATGTAAGGATATGCAATATTTGTCTTTCTGTGCCAGACATATTTTACTTAACATAATGTCCTCCAGCTCCATACATGTTGCTACAAATGACAGTATTTCATCATTTTTTTAGCTAAATAATATTCCATTGTGTATATATACGCCCTATTTTCTTTATCCATTCATCTGTTCATAGGCATTCAGGTTGATTCCATATCTTTGTTATTGTGAATAGAGCTGTAATAAACATGGGAGTACAGACATCTCTTTGATATGTTGATTTATTTCTTTTGAATATGTATTCAGCAGTGGGATTGCTAGATTGTGTGGTAGGTTTTATTTTTTAGTTTTTTGAGGAACTTCTATACTGTTTTCCATAGTGGCTATACTAATTTACATTTCCACCAACAGTGTATGAGAGTTCTCCTTTCTCTGCATAGTCGTCAGCATTTATTATTTTATTTTTGCTAATATCATTTTAACTGGGGTGAGATAATATCTCATTGTGGTTCTGATTTGCATTTCCCTGATCATTAGGGTTGTTAAGCATTTTTTCATATATGCATTGGCCATTTGTAAGTCTTATTTTCAGAAATGTCTATTCAGATCTTTTGTCCATTTTTTAAATTGGATTATTTGGTTTTTACTTTTTTTTTTTTTGAGACGGAGTCTCGCTCTGTCGCCCAGGCCGGACTGCGGACTGCAGTGGCGCAATCTCGGCTCACTGCAAGCTCCGCTTCCCGGGTTCACGCCATTCTCCTGCCTCAGCCTCCCGAGTAGCTGGGACTACAGGCGCCCGCCACCGCGCCCGGCTAATTTTTTTGTATTTTTAGTAGAGACGGGGTTTCACCTTGTTAGCCAGGATGGTCTCGATCTCCTGACCTCATGATCCACCCGCCTCGGCCTCCCAAAGTGCTGGGATTACAGGCGTGAGCCACCGCGCCCGGCCTGGTTTTTACTATTGAGTTGAGTTTCTTATATATTCTGATTATTAATCCCTTGTTGGATAAATAGTTTGCAAATATTTTCTTCCATTTCTTAGGTTGTCTTGATACTTTGTTGATTGTTTTCTTTACTGTGTAGAAGTTTTTCAGTTTGATATAATCTCATTTGTCAATTTTTGCTTTGGTTGCCTGTGATTTTTAGGTCTTGTAAGCCAGGGGCTTTTTTACTCAAGATATCTTTGCCCAGAACAATGTCCTGCAGAATTTCCCCAATGATTTCCTCTAATAGTTTTATAGTTTCAGGTCTTACATTTAAATATTTAATCCATTTTGATTTGACTTTTGTGTATGGTGAGAGAGAGGTCTCATTTCATTTATTTGCATATGGATATACAGTTTTCCCAGTACCATTTATTGCAGACTGTCCTTTCCACAATGTACATTCTTTGGTGCCTTTGTTGAAAATGAGTTTGCCATAAATACGTAGATTTATTTCTGGGTTCTTTATTATGTTCCAGTGGTCCATGTGTCGGTTTTCATGCCAGTACCAAGCAATGTTGGTTACTATGGCTTTGTTTTTAAATTCACATAATCCAGTTTGTGCCATATATCTTCCATTTACCAATCCAGACCCTTGCCCTCCCTGTTCTGCC
Source organism: Homo sapiens (assembly GCF_000001405.40). Lineage (NCBI taxonomy): Eukaryota > Metazoa > Chordata > Mammalia > Primates > Hominidae > Homo > Homo sapiens. Next base: position 181,683,283 of record NC_000003.12, read on the forward strand.
TCAGAAGCATGTATATATGTATATACATGTTCCCTTGAGAGCTAGCTTTCAACTGTGTTAGACCAATCTCCAACAAGAAATCCAAGAAACAGGGGAGTGCGGTCAGGATATGTACCTCCCTAGTTCCCTTCCTGGAAGTCCCTTCAGACTTGTTGTTTCCTTGACCAGAGTCAGAAGCCTGGCCAAGGAAGCAACCTCTACCACTTGGCTATATAATAGGTGTGCTTGTCTGTGGGGTACATGTGGTCCTCCCTCTACCACTCATTCTCTCTGAGTTCCAAATATTGCTTCCTCTGCTCATCTATTTGGACCTAGGGATGTTAACTTCTGCTATTCCTGGCACTGGGATACTACATTATCTTTTGTGGTTTCCCTGCACTTTGCCTACATATTCGTAAATAGTTTCTTTACTAAGCCCTTGTTAGGTTTAGTAAAACCTAGAATTATCTCAGTTTGAACATGCCATCTGTTTCCTCCTGGGACCTTGACTAACATACCTGACTAGTAGAGAGAAAATCTGACACTGCCACTTCCCCACCACACACACTCTTCCAGTTTAATGATTACTAATAGTTTTGTGTGTGAATGCCTTCAAACACAGAACATTATTTGTGAGACATATAACACCAAAGACATATGGAAGAAACATAGACAATGTTTTTAACATGAGAACTTTTTTGAAAAAGTGAAAATTTCTGGTTGCTACTGACCATGCCTCATTTTGTAAACTCCTTTCCTGATCCCTATAACCCTTCACAATTTTAGTATTCCTTTGATCTTTTTGATGACTCATTGTCTCCCCTTATGGGCTTATCTTCTTAAATGTAGGTGTCTGGGTTCTCCATTTTTCTCTTCTCTCACCACCCCCCTTCTCTCTCTCTTTGAGATTTTATTTCCTTGAATAGCTTAAATTATCATCACTATGCCAAAGATTCCAAAATCTCTACCTCCAGCCCTGACCTATCTCCCAAATTCATCCATTTTCATTACTCTCTGACAGCTATCCCCAACTTGAACATTCTAACAGTAATTCAAATACAACAGGATCAAAACCAAATTCATATATTTCCCACTAAATTAGTTCTTCCACCTGACTTTCCCGTTTCTATTCTCAACACCCCCAATCTCCTCTTCTCAGCCCAAAATTGTGGTGCCATACTTGACTCCTGTTTGTTGCTTTTCAACACTCCTATTTAGGATACTCCAATAGCTACACTATTCATCCAGTATTCATCTTCTCCTTTCAATTGCCACAGCCAAAATCCAATATAATATTCTCATCCCAGAATTTCATAACACCCTCTCAACTCAGCTTCCCAGAGCTAGTTTTTCCTCCCCTTACACCTAGCCATCTAACAGATTGACAGCCTGATCTTCCCCCAAAATACAATATTTCTATTCTCTGATTTCAAAAATAACTGCCCAGTGTTCCCTGAATTTAAGTCTAGACTTCATGGTCTGTATATAAATGTCTCTACTATGTGACCTTAACCTATGCAAGCCCCCATCCCAGTATGTCCCCCAGGTTCCAGTCAAGAAAACTTAACTAGCACATCATACTGTTTTCTCTGCTTATCAAACCTTCCACACATCTCTGCAGATTTACATTCTTCAAGGTCCAACTCAAATCTTACCTCCCTAATGTGCTTTTCGTAAAACTTTAATTATATTCTGCTTTACAATACATTATTTTTGTATTGTCATCTTATATACCAGATTCAAAGTTCTCTGAGAGCAGGGACTATTTCTTACTCATTTTTTTTCCTCACAGCACCTATATAAGCCCCCTTCACATAATCCGTGATCAATAAATATTCATTGAATAAATTAATAAATGAAAAATCATCAGAAATATCTCATTTTTAATAAAGATTTGGAAGACATTTCCTTTGTTTCTTAGGATTTTTTTCTTTTTAGATGCATGCATAGCTATATTCTGTAGCATCTGTTTATTTTTAGACTTTTTAAAGGTTTTAGATTCTGTAAACTATGTACAGAATATTCCGTTCAACATAGGGTGTGAGATTGATCACAGCATGACCCATAATTGTATAATTTCTAATCAAAAGTAAGTGTGACTTTGGCATAAGCCAAACTTTAAGAGGAAGTAAGAGTAGAATAAAAATTCTGGACCGGGCGCGGTGTCTCACGCCTGTAATCCCAGCACTTTGGGAGGCCAAGGCGGGCGGATCACGAGGTCAGGAGATCGAGACCATCCTGGCTAACACAGTGAAACCCCGTCTCTACTAAAAATACAAAAAAATTAGCCGGGCTTGGTGGCGGGCGCCTGTCCCAGCTACTCAGGAGGCTGAGGCAGGAGAATGGCGTGAACTCGGGAGGCGGAGCTTGCAGTGAGCCGAGATAGCGCCACTGTGCTCCAGCCTGGGCGACAGAGTGAGACTCCGTCTCAAAAAACAAACAAACAAACAAAAACCTCAGTCTATTGGGCCTTTTACTGAAGTACTTCTTGTGGTTACTTCCTCCTTAAATACACCATCCGAATCTATCTTAACAAAACTATGTTAATTGTATTTTTACAAATAATCAGTGAAAATAAAAAATAAATATGATACTTCTGGATATCAGAAGTTGAACATATTGAGTAACCAGCTCATCTTAGAAGCTAATCTATGAAGTATTATGTATAAAATAAAAAAGATGTGTTGTTAAAGATAGAGATAGAGTGACACAGGTGGCTGAGTAGATCTGTTTTCTACTTCCATATGAAGAAAAGCTTAAACATGTTTGTTTATTTATTCCTTCATTCATTCATAATCCTATACTATGTGCCAAGCACTATGTTAGGCATAAGGGATATCATAAAGCATAAATGTATGATCCCTTCTTTAAAGAGAAGAAAGAACTACAACAAACGATAGGAAAATAATTCAAATGTAAAGTTTGTTCCAGGCATAGCAGTAGCACAGAGGAGAAAAAAACTTGTGACAGTTTCATCCTTGAATGGCTTCACTAATCTAGCTTTCTATAACTTACTGTAAAATATCACCCACTGGACAAAGCCAGGAAGAAAGAACATATTATAAGACTTAAGTATTTGAATAACTTATAATGGTTTCATTGCTTGGAAAACTTCAATTCATTTTGGCAACATATGAGATCACTGGTCTCAATGTGGAAGATAAAGCATACAGCATTGCAGGGCCTGAAAAAGAATATCCAATTGTAATTACAGTATTTTAAAAGGGAATGCTAGTCATTATTATTTTCAGTGGTCAGGAGTGAAAATGCTTGTTTACTTCAAGTTTTAGCAGCATATTTACCTACCTTAGATTTGTTATCTCTGAGCTAAACAAACCATTTTAATTTCAAGCAAAGCCACAAAGCATTATTTCTCAAAATATGCATTTAATTAATAGCTTATTTGCTTTCTTCTCACTTGACTGTGAGTTTCATCTAGGACAGAAATTATTTCTTATTGATCTTTACATTTCATGCCTAAGCATAATTCCTGGCACACAGCAGACAATACTTGCTAATAGAAATACTTGTTAAATAGTTGTTAAAAGAAAAATGTAAATGTAGACCTTTAGCTCCTTACCAACTGTCGATATTCAAGTGTTCTAGTGCCCACGATTTGCAACCTTTTCTTGTTTTTTTCTCCTGATAAGATCAAGCAAAGGAGAAGGATTTCCAAATAGCCTGATAGTGTATCAGTGTTTCAACAAGTTAAAGCCCCAAGACTTACCAGGGAACTTTAATTCTCATAAAAAGAAAATAAACCTTATATTAACCTTTACATGTAAACTCAAAATGGTGCACTCCCTGAAAGTATTCCTCTTGTTGGATATTTACGAGATACCTTTGCAAATAGAAAACTGCAGACATGACCCCTAAGCTTCATGTAAAATGACTGTATTTATTATTTTTATTTTGATCTTCACTTTTGCAGTAGTTGCTGTAAATGGCTTGGAACATGCAAAATATGCTAAACAAGAAACCTAGCCCCTACCTGAAGAGTTAGCCGTTGAAAGGCACAAAGAAGTACAATGGATATAAAAGCCTCTTGAAGAACAGCCTTTTGCTGCATAGATGCTAGGCAAGACAGTATGTGGCAGGAAAAGAGTTGGGGAAACTGCTTTAAAAACCTATTAACTAGGAATGTGAAAAGCAAGGAACAATTGGGAAAGGAGGGAGGTGCTCACTGTTTAAAAGCCTTTTAAAGGTGACCATATTTTTGTTGGCTTTTTGCCTGCAACATAAAATGAGGATGATGTACTGAATGGCTAGCTGGCTGGTGAAGGTAGAATGAATGGCCTGGGCTAGGAAGTCAAGGCTGAATTTTGAGATGCTACTCTGGACTATGTGCAGCTGTTGAAACAATTCTCAGCAACGACCACTTAGACTTTGAAGTAAAGACAAAATTCAGTCAGCCTCCTCAATCACCCTTTCATTTTTGTGTGTTTTTCTCGGTCTCATAAATATTTGCCTGTGCTGTCTTTGCTGCAGATATTAAGGAGTTAATAAATTAGACAGCCAACAAGCAGGAATTGGGAAAAGCCACAGAACTTAGAATTGAACAGCTGACAGCAGATTCTGCAGGTGCAAGATGGGAATCAGCTCTGCATTTTCTATGTAGCACAGTTTTCTCTGCCTGGCCTGTGGCCTGATTTCCTGGCCTCTTTGGGATAAGCTGAATTATAAGACAGAGAATTCCAGAAGATCTAGCTCTGTGATCCTATGAACTCTAGCGCTTCAAAAGGAAGCAATCTCCTTCTATGTTTAGACTGACAATATTACATATTGGTGGCAGCCTTGTAAGATTTTGGTTTCACGTTAGGAAAGAAAAATGCTCTAAATGCCATCCTACTTAAAGAAAAAATGGTTGATTAAACTGCACTGCATAACAAATTAGCCTCCTGCAATTGGGTGTCTAGGAATGTGTAGTGTGTGTGTGTGTGTGTGTGTGTGTGTGTGTGTGTGTGTTATGTTAAAGGGAATCACTACTTATTAAATATATAAGTACCACAGTGAATATTAAGGCCATAATAGGGTATGGGAAAGGAGAGAAATGGGCTGCATTCAAGTGCATATTTCTAATCAACTACTTTTTTGTATTCTTCTAATCATTGTATTTGATAGTAATGGACATTCAAGGCTAAACTCTGCATTGTGGCAGTTCTTCCAAATCTTTTTGGCTCTATAGTGGTAAAAATATTAATTCCATTACACTTGAAAATGTCCAATATGATCCCTTGATTAACAAAACATTCCGGTGTTTCTTCTGTGAAGGACTTTGGGCTGCCTGCAAGGGTGATGGTAGGAGTGGCTGATTGAATTGATAATAGGAAAATTAATTTTTTTCCATGCTGGTGAATATGGCCTACACATCCAAACCCTTTTGACAAAACTATTTTGAGGAATATATTTGTAATAAGGACAGAAAAACTTGGAGATCTGGGATTTTTTTTTACCTAAATGGACTCCAGGAAGGACAGATAAATACCTCTAGTTAGCAACGGTTAAAATGGGAGCTAATACCAACTATTAATTCCCAGTTTGGATCTTCTCTTTCTCTCAGGACTACTTTAAGTCCCCAAAATTCCATGCTTCCAATTTCCCCTTCTACAACTGAAGATCCTATGATTTAAATCATAAAAGATTAGCTATATTTGGACACTGGCCTTGTATTAGTTTGACAGAAAATTCTGAAAAGATCTCCCCATTCCAAAAATGTCTTTCTCAGACTTTTTGTGGAGACCTAAAATTCCACCACTAGAAATTTTAATATTTAGAGTAATGCTGTGTCCCTTACTGACAAATTCAATTTCAAAACACAGTAAAATTAAATAAACATAAAAATAAATGTATTAAATAAATATAATTTTTAAGTATTTGTGGGCCAAAGATCAGGAGGGAATATAGAAATGTTATTTGTGGCGTGAAGGTAGTAGTATTACAGATTACATCTTCATTTTATAATTTCTCTTTACTATGCTGATAATAAACATCAATAGGGAAAAAAATAGTGTTACTTTTGAAGGCTCAATTCTACCTGACCACTGTATCTCTAGCTAGTGGAACCTAAAATATAAGTCACCAAAATTTTAAAATAAAAAAATTAAAGAATACTCTCACTTAGTGATTTACAACTAGATTTAGGGAGAAAAAAACAAAACTCAACAAATATTCACTTAAAAGTTAATGAGTATTTGCTATGGAGAAGGCATTTTGTTGAGTGATACAGAGGATACAAAAATGACCAAGATCTGCAACCCCCCTCTTTCAAAAGCTTATGGCATAAGGCTAGTAACTTTGAAGAAAAAGCACATTGTTATCAGTCATCAGTATATTTTGGTGAATCCATCTATTAGCCATTTGTTTCAGATTTTGAAAAGCTGAAGGATGGGGCAAGCCTAGGATACTACCTAGGAAAGATCAGCCTGGATTAAGACACTTAATGAAAGAAGATGAGGGAAGTAGGCACAAGCCGGGGGAGGCGATAGCACAAAAGAGGGTAGAAGATGAGAGCACGCTGACTGCAAACTGTGTGTGTTTCAGAGGGTGGATTTCCTAGCTCTGACTTCTAGCAAATAATTTTCAAAATGTAAAGTGGACCCTAACAAAGTACTATTCTTATCAATCCAAGAGTGCCAAGCAATCAAGGAGAGAGATTTACAGACAATGTACTTTCAAATTCACAATGCAAACTCTAAAGTAATATGTATTTTCTTATAAGCTTAACTTTAGTAAAGAATGATTTTTGAAGTTCACTCAAATATCTAATATTTGCAGATATCCTTATTTCATTACTTTGCTCCAAATATTTAAAACCAGATGAAAAAAAGTAATGTCCTTAAGGAGTCAAATTCATTATTAAAATAAGATATTTTCCAAGTTGTTTGGAAAATGGTTTACTTTCTTTTTTTCCCCCTTTACTAGACCTCAAAATACACTGAGTTTTCCTCACTGGTAAAGAAATAAAACATTGAGAAGTATCAAGTGAATCCACTTGAACAGGCTTCAAAACCATACCACTAACGTATTATTTTAAAATGTTTCTCTAAGACGCATTTATTACAAGGGAACACTCTTTAGGAAGCATTAACACTCACAGTCCCTAAATTTTAAATTGGTCCCTAATATTCCATTTGGTAATCAATATCCTCCTTTGCTCCTCCCCCACCCTCTCAGATGGCCTTATTCTCTGTCAGTATCTATCACATTTTCTTTTTTCTTTTATCACCTTCTTCATTCTTAATCCTTCCTTTTGGGCCAAGCTGTCTGCCCTTTATAGCTATATTTACTTCCTCCTTCTCTTTCCCCTTTAACTCTTTGTAGACCTTTAGATTATGAATGCTGAAATTTGTGATTCATTGTTTTTGCCTTATTGACCTCCTATTAATAAAATTTGCCTCCTCCACAAGATTATTCTAAGAAAGCATACTTTTAAGCATCCACAACTATTGCCCAAAGAGAGACAACCATTTGGTTCAACTTCATATGTGTTAAGCCAAATGTATTCAAAAATGATTTCCTACTCCGATTCTTATTCAGTATTTTCTGTGATTCTCCTTTATTATACCTTTCTAGTGCAATGGAAACTTCAGCTATCTGTGGTCTAGTCTGAACTGTACCTGGGGTAGTGACAATGGCCTTCTGACCCTATGGCTCTTCCTGACTGTGGATAGAATTGATAGCACTTTTTCAATTTCTCCCTTGTCTTTGCTTGAACATACTGGAATTACAACCTCTGACAAAGGTAACATCCCTTTTGTAGTGGAAACAAAAGGGGTGTGTAATGAATTGGTTAAGATTACATTGCATGTTTAGATGATGAAATCCAACTGCAGCTCAATTCCTTTATTTCCTCTCGCTGGACCTGGTCTTTCAATAAGACATTATTGACTGGCATCTTCCCCAGAACAGGTGCTTAGGAATATAGTCTTGCTGCTTTGAGTCCTTTAGACTGGAAAACAACTATGGAATAGGTCAAGAGAATCAGGTATGAGACAATAATGCCCAGTATCTTAGGACATCCACTGTAGATGATTCATATCCAGGTGGTATTAATGGAATAAAGGGTCCTTAGACTTATATGGGGAGCTAGAGCTTTTCAAATTAACTAAGGTGGCAGGATATGAGTTACAGGTTTATTTGCCATTTTTCTGCAAAAATTCTATGACCAGGAGGAGATAGAGGAGGAAGGCAATTTTTAAAATAATTCACCACTATAGATTGTGCTATAATGATATTATAAAAGGAATTTTTAATTTTTATGAAGATGAAATCAATGCCACAATGTGTGGTATTAACAAATGCTATCTTTTTACCACAAATCATATCACCTTTGGTTACTCTGGATAGCAAATTATTGGCCTCTTTCTTCTTTTTCCCTTAAATTACTTTGGCTTGTGGTTTGTCTTTTTTTTTATTTTTCAAAAACAAGATCGCTTACAATTTTTGCTTTTAAAAATGATATAATACCCATATTGGCTGCAGAAAATATTTAAAATGTGTGCTTTTCAAAGAATGATCAGATCATTTATTCATCTTTAGATAAAGATGATTATATTCATCTCAATTATTTTTGCCAAGGACTGTAACACTAATTTTACTCTTTCTAAAAATTAAAATAGCAAACAGTTTATATAAGGTGTTGATAATTACCTATATTATTGTACTGCTGTGACAGATGTTGGCAAAAAAGCCTAAAATGCCTACAGCTGTGCACTCCATGACATCTAGTTTATACTCAGACAGAAGGCTAACAGATGTTCTGAACTGTCACTTTGCCTAAATGTTTTTAAAGTCTAAGGACCTGCTTTATAATTCGCCGGAGTCTGGTTTGGTTTCACAGAGGTTCTCAGAATTCCCATCTGTGACAATTAATGCTGAAGACATTGATAAATCAACCCTTGTGTTTTCTCTCTTCTTTAACAGACATCAGTTTATACATGGATGGTAGATTGTGAAGGCTGTTTTTATATACATCCTGTTTGTAAAATTATCTCCTTAAACACAGATAGAATTGGGCTATAAGAATACATGGAGGTTTGTTTTGAGCCATGGAAAGGGCCAGGAAATCACCTATTATTTTCTTTCTGCTAAATTTTATGCACCTTGGAAGTAAAATGTTAACCATTTCCAATGACAATTTTCCAAAGTTATATTTGTTCTAGTGAATAAAAAAAGTTTTTATTTTTATTCAGCATGTTAACAGTTCTGCTCATAACAATAACTCTTAATTGTGCAGCCTGTTAGAAAAATGAAAGAAGACAATAAATGGCATTGAGAAAGGACACAGCACATCTTCTCCAGCTTGACACCCTAATACTTCCTCTTCCCAAACATACCTTCAGATCCCTCATACAGAATTACTGCCCCGTGCAAAGGCCATCAATGCCTTATTTGCTGTTGCTCTTAATTTTAACAAGCTGGATTCCTGTAGTACACTTGCTTAATAGTTTAAACATTCTGTTAACAATCAGGTGTTTGGCCTATCCTGTTTCTCCTCTATTCTGTAAAGAAATATAACTCCAAATAGTACATCTTTCTGGGTTTGTTTCTAAATTAGTCCCCACACTTAATTATGAGGATGAGAGGGATGCCTTATTCCTCTTTGTTATAGGCTAAGCTCTCAGTAATCCCAAACAAAAGAGCCAGTTCTGGAAGATATAGGATTTGCTAGCAGGATTATGGTCTCATAGATAATGATGTGCAGTCAGCAGAAGCGAAGCTTTATTTTAATTCAAATAAGCTAGTAAACAAACCACTGACAAGTCTGCTGGTGAGAGTAACTGGCTGCTGTTGCCACATTGGCAGCAAAATTATAGAAAATCTATTATACCCTGTTCACCATATGTTTAATTTAATACAAGATACAAATTAAACTATTCACAGTGCCTATTAAAATAACAATACTTTTTTATATTTGAATGTTTTAAAATAATTTCTACTGACCTTTTAAAGGGCAGTTTCGATATAGGTGACTATCAGGGGTGGAGGGAGGTAGTTAATAAAAGGCAAAAAATTGTAATTGCCTTCCTGAAAAAATAAAGTATAAATGTTCACTGGTTTGCATATGTTAATAAGGTTAATTAGCAGTCATGTGTTCTGCTACTACTATATTTCCCTCCCATCCTTTGGGTTTCTGAGGCTAGAGTTTTAAGAGTGATACTTAGTTTGACCTATGTGAGTCTGTCCTCATGAAATCATTACCTGGATCAAGCCAGCCTATGGGTAGCCTTAGAAGTAATGCCAATTGAGACCTATAATCTGAAAATTGAGTTTAAACTCTAGGCCCAACTTTGGTATGGAAAAAGGCACAGACTTTTATATTATTGCTTTTAGTCAATTTCTCCGTAGCCAAAAGATCCTAAGGGGAGCCAGAATTAAGAGGCTTTCTTCCAGAGACAGGAGAGAAGAAAAAGACAAGCCCACAACAAATTTGTTTATAACAAATTTTTCTCTTGTACCCACAACAGTCAGCAACCAGTGATGCTTGCTTGAGTCTATGGGGACTCAGTCTACCAGATTCTAAAGACCAGACTGGGTTTTAAAGTTATAGAGCTAGATTTGAATATCTATTATTTCCCAGCTGTGAAACCACAGATCTTTAACCTAGCTGGATCTTCCTTTATTCTGTAATGAGGGGACGTTGGGGTGAGGGGAAGTATAATAATTCCAATTTTATAGTATTATTATGAGAAGTAAATAAGAGAAAGTATCTGGTACATAATAGATACTCATTAAAGATTGGTTCCTTTCCTCTTTCACTCTCAAGCAAATAGACATGTTGCCCTTTCTTCAAAGGTGAAGGGAGAGTGTTAGGAGGAGGAGCTGGAGGGGGAGATATGAACAAAAATTCGTGGAATCAATTTCTTTGGATCATTAATTCCTTTCTACCTCCAAAACCCAAAATGGCATTCTCCTTTTCTCTCAAAATTCACCATAATACTTACTCTCTTTAAGACTGTATTGGTAAGCCACCCAAACCAGCTCCCTATTGTTGGGCATATGAATTAGAAAAATAAAATATAACCATTGCACTTTGAGATATCTTTTCCAACTTTTATGTACAGATTTTGCACTGAGTCTACAATTGTGTTCATGGGGTTGCCTCATGTGAATTTTGGTTCAGAGAATAGAAGTCTAGCAGATCCAACTACGTACTGGTAATTACAATATGCATAAGGTGTACACTTGGAAAATGGCCTTAGTTTCAATTGTTCTTGAAGTCCAACAGATGATATTAATATTTTACCCAAAAAACTAGTAAATTTATCTCAGATTGATGCAAGAAGCGATTTTCAAAGCATGGTCCTGGTAAGGATATGCCAGAGAAACACCAGACAAATATCCATGGTCCCTTCCCCTCTCTCCAGTAACCTGTTATTCAGAGGTTGAGAGATCAGAGATATTTCCATTTATTGAAACACTGGATATATAGTTAAATTAAGAAACTGAAAAAAAAAAAGGGTCACAAAATTTGTGGCATATTTTAAGTGTTTAGCATTTTAAAATTAATACTTTTAACACATGAAGACAAAACACGATTGTACGTATAACTTCATTTTGTATATAACAAAGGAATTTAAATGGATTTAAAGGCTCTCCACAGGCCTTGCTTCTACCTCTAAATTTCCACTTAGTTACATCCTTCTCTAGTCCCTGTTGTCAGGTCCCAGAGCATAAAACAGACTGAGGGAGCCTCAGAGCTCCAGAAGTGTGAGAAGGGTGAGAAGGCAGGCCATGCTGGCTAGGTACATGGCCACTTAGCAGACAGGCCGCCAGCGAGCCTGCACTGTCACCTTCCCCACCTCAGGTTTCCAGGTCCGTGGCTCCTGACCTGAGAGCCGCTCTCTTCTGAGAGGGTCTCCCAGTCCCTTGCTGGCCCAATCTCGGTTCCTGACTTTCCACCCCCGAACCCTCCCCGCTCTCCAGGGAACCACGATCCAGCCCTCCAGAGAGGTTCTCCTGGGCTCGCCGTTTCGCCCACGGGGTGCGGGGAACGAACCCAACTGGACACACTGTGCACCCGGAAAAACAGACGGTTCCAAATTCATTTCCGCATTTGAGTCTAGAGTCAGCAAGATCTTGGCCGCCCGCCTGCGCCTCGGAGCAGCCCACGAGCCCGTGAAGGCGCGTGGGGAAGGGGGGCCTGGAAAGCCCGGGCTTCGACTCACTCGGCCAGTACCGCTCCGAGGAGGGGCCTCAGCCTCCTTCGGAGCCAGGGCCGCGCCCGAGCCGCGCTAGGCCAGGGGGCCGGACGCGCACGGAAGGGGGCTGGCGGACACGGCCGGGTGGTGGCGCAGTTCCTGGGGGCACAGGGCAGCCCAGCCCGCCGGCCCGCGCCTCCGCTTCCCCACTCCAGCGAAACTGGACAAGGCCGACCCACCCAGCCGGGCCCGATCCCTCAAGACACTTTCAGCCTCAGCCCCCGTTTCTCCTCGGGTTTCCACAGACCCAGGAAAGGACAGAGGCGGCGAGCAGGCTGACAAGTTTATTCTAGAGGCTTTGAAAAATGAGGTTTCCAGGTCTCTTCGCACGCGCGCGCGCGCGTTCTCGGGCTAAAGGTTCGAAGCTAGAGTTTGAATTTAAGCCACGTCCTGGGACAGGTCGCGTTCAGCGTGGGCGTCGGCCCCGCCGCGGCCCCAGGCCTCTTCGAAGTGCGCGTCAAGTGGGGTGTCGGGTCGTTTTGTTTTTTCTCTAAGTGAATAATTCAATCGTGTTAGGCCAGATTACATGCTCATAATACCCAGGTGTATTTAAAAGCACCCGCGTTTCTAAACCTCCCGCAGAAAGTGGGAAGCAATCGCCCCCTCGGACCTGGCGCCGCTGCGCCTGCTGGAGCCTCGCTTCCCCACAGTCGGGCGGCCAGTGGAGGGCGAGGAGCGCGCGCGTCACGAGAGGCGGCCCCGGCCTCCCAGAGCCCGCACCGGGAGGCCGAGGGCTCGGGACTCGAGCCTTCTGAGTCCGATTTCTTTCCACGTGCAGAGGGTAGAAAGTGGCCAGTCAGGGCGTGATTGATTGCTTAAGGAAAGAGAAGCTACAGCTTTCACGGTAGTTGATAACTAAAGCATGACATGATGCCATCTGTGTGAAACTCGTGATGTGTGTGGTCATTGGCTCCCTGGAACATCCAGACCCTGATCGTGCGTATCGTGTTTCCTTATAAGCAGCACTCGCGATTTAAAAACAGGTCCCGGTGCCCCTCTTGCTGATCCTCTCTGCCATTAGCCCGCTTAATTCCCTTTTTGTAAATTCCCCTCTTTACCTTTCTTTCGTCCCTCCCTCCCTCTCTTTCTTCTTTCCTCCTCTCCTTTTCCCCTTTCTCTTTTTCTTCCTCAATCTAGGTCGTTTCTGCTGAATGATATTTATTCACCGAAGTCCCAATCTGAGGGTGAGGGGAAAACCCCACCCTCCACATCTCCCCAGCTAGGCTTGCGCTTGTAAAATATGGGGTTCAGCTTTGGCTCCAGAGCGCTTTTGAACAGTAAAGTTTCCAATTCAGAGCCACCTCTAAATAAATGCCCATAAATTTCCCAACCCCGTGAGAAAGCCATTTCTACAACCCAGCATCGTCTGGGTGATGTGTGTTTGTTCCAACTAGAGAGGCACTGGTCAGTCACCTCAGTTTCTGCCCTCCGGATACAGAAAGTGCTTTTGTTTGTGTTTTTTGGTTTGTTTATTGTTTGTTTTTTTAAAAGCAGCTTTCCAGTTGTAGACTACTGGTTCCTGATTCCCTCATCTATCAAGACAGTTTGTCAGTTTGGCCCTGCACCTTGCGTTTCACATTCTACATTTTTTAGTTAAACGTTGAAGCCTTTCCCTATGTCAGATGGGATGTCATTGCATTACAGTTTTTGAGACAACTTTTGCGGACTTGCCTAAAAAAATATGTCGTCCTGATCTGCCACAGGAGAGCGAGGTCAACTGAGGGATTTTTCAGCTTTCTTATGGCTGGGATTGAATAGATCCAAGTAATAAGATATCTCAGGTTTCCTCACCTTTAGTCACCTTGGGCTACTCATGGATGCACTCCTATCTTACAGTCTTAGATTCAGCCCAAAACCCCTCAGTGGAAAGAAGACAGCAGTTCAGATTCTTCTTTCAGGTTGTTGTAAAAAAAATGAAATGGCTTTTTTTCAGTTAGGAGCATCCTTTGTAAGTTTTGATATCCAAAAAATACATATGACACAAGAAGCAGGAAGAGATCTTCAGTTATTCCAGTGGATTACTTTTTTATGAAAACACTGGCTAAAACATTTTACATTCACCCTTCCTCATTCCACTTTTAGTTGGAAGAAGTTTCTAGTATTGATTTAATTTTGTATAAGGCCCCTACCCTCTCCTACAATACCATTAAGTAACAAATTCACCCACCTTAGCCTTTTCTGGTGAAAGTCACTCTTGATTTACTCTCTTCACTTCCCTTCTACCCCCAATGCACTCACACTTTTACAGACACATTTTTCTTGATCCAGAGAGTATTGGGAGGTACATAACTTTTTAGTATTGTCTTGACTTTCATTCTTTTCTAACTGAGATTGGACTCTTTATCCTGTGATACAAAATGAATTTTTGAGAAACAACCATGTGAAAAATTACTTAATTTTCTGTTTTGATGTATTTGTTTTTCAAGCTTCATAGGAAAGGCTTTAGTTGGTGTTTAAATGATAGTCCATAAAAATTCCTTATTAGATGACTCCAGACCAATTGTAAACCAATAACATAATTGTTTCCAAAAGGGAAAGTGGAAGTTGAGATCAGTTAGTCGAGGGATTCATTTGAGTGTGTTTATCTTTAAAATGGTTTATGAGAAGAAAGGGAGAAATGAACTGGGTGGAGGACAGAGGTAGAGAATCCAGTGAAAACATGTTTTTAAGATTAAAGCCATTTTTCCACATTATTTTCTTGCCACAAGTGACAACACAGAGCAGGAGTCATGAAAGTGGATTACTGTCACTCTGGGCTATTGGAGGCCCAGAGAGCCCTGGCATTAATTCCTATAGAAAGGTAGACAAACCTAGTCAGTAACTAACACTGTCCCCCACAGCGCCCTCACTGCCAAGTGTTCAGGCTCTCTCAGAGTTGATACAGACCTCAGGGGGGTCTAGGTGGCAGGGCTTCCCTTGTGAGAGGAAGCGGAGGCTCTCTGTGGAACTGAGAGGGAGGAAGCCAGGTGGCTGTAAGAGCAAGCCTGAGGGGATAGGGTGCTGTAATAGGAAGGCTGTGGCCACCAGTCCCTCACATGGCTGCAATTAGTGAGTCAAAGCTAGCTAATGATGAATCAAAAAGAGCCAAGAGTAGGACTTTCTGGGTGCTAAAGACTAACCTTTAGCTTGTTCCACTCCTCCCACTGGGCTCCCATCCTAGGTTTTCCAGGATTGGAGACCTTACTGGAGGAAAGGGCAAGTATGTTAAGAAAACATGCCTAGCCCCTGTCTAGCATGCGCATACTGGCGGGGTCTTGCAGAGATGGGGAGAAACACCTTGGGATGAAAGAAGCCCTCAGTGATCTGTGTGTCTGGCTCATACAGTTGTGCACGGCCAACCAGAGAGTGGGGGAGAGTAAAGCCTCATTTTTTTTTCAGTCACTCTATCTGGGGTTGCTTATCTCCTCTCCCCCAACCCTCTGCCTCACCCCACCAGGACCAAATAGAATTGAAACTTCATTGCCTTTGCCTGTACTGAGCCTAAAAACTCAGGGTTTGATAAGGTTACTGCACCAATGATACAATTGTAGATTTTTAAAAGCCTCCTCAAAGAGACAGATGTTTGGGCTGATTAAGAATTGAGGAGGAAACCTGCAGCTGCACCAAGGAATAATCTATTGGACAAATATTGTAATAAAAAAATATGAAGAGATCAGCCCGACCTTGCAAGGTCTTCTGCTTTAAAAAAATCTTTATCAAACCCCTATTCTATGGCTTCAATAAACAGAACCCATTACCTCACGGCATCTTTTGTTGGCCCCATACAAGAGAGAACAAAATGGTTATTCAGGGGAACGCTTTCGATTTTTATTGTGGGTAGCCTGCACAAAGAGCCGTGTTATTGTATTTAAAAGAACCATCTGTAGCAGAAACAATGGCATCAAATTATCTTTGAATACCCACTGAAAAAACATAAAGCTTTTTTTTTTATTCTTCTTCTGTACGGTGGGGGGATAGAGCAGTGTTAGGATAACTGACTTTTTTGTTGTTCTCTGGGTGCATTCTTCTCGCTCCCCCTCTCTCTCCCCCTCACCCTCTCTCTCTTCTCTCTCTCCCTCTCCCTCTCTCTCTCTCTCTCTCTTTTAAAAAATCAGCCATTTGGGGTTTTAAGCCATAAACGATTTTTCTTGTTGCAGGGGATTGCAGTGGCAAAGCTAGGCTAGGTCTTGGAGGCTGGTGTAAGGCGATGTGGGTGAAGGCAGGAGGCTGATGGAAAGACTGGGGGGAAGAAAAGCCGAAATGGATTCACGGTGCCTTGGATGAAGGACGAGAGGGGAACTGCAAGCTCCTTCAACTGGTTCTGTCCGGTGAGAAGTGATCAAGCTTGGGCTGACAAGAGGCTCAGGGAGCCCTCACGTTCTTTCGCTTTTTTACCTGCCAATCAAACTGCTACAAGACAACACCCTGATCTGGCATGGACATGTAAGTAGCTTGCAACCCAACTTTGACATTCACTGCTAGCTCACTCCTCCCCCCACCTCACTTTCTTCCCCACTCATTCTGTTTTTCTTTCTTTTTTTTTTTTTTCTTTTGACCTTTAAGAGATCTGGAAATACACCCTGTGTGGCAGTCATTTAACACTGGTAGATTTAAGTCTGAAAGCGTTAACTTTTGGAATTAAATTCTAATTTAGATTTAACAAATGCAGAAATGAAATGACATTATTTCATCCTATTTTGGACGGTTTTGGTACTGAACTTAATCAGTTGTCTTACAAGGGTGTGTTTCTTTTACTATGAAACTGAAGAAATAGATCTGTGAGCCCCCAGAAAGAAACCCACTAATGAAAAATTCAGGCTTCCATCTTAAAAATGTTAAACTCTAGCATTTCACCCCCATAAAGAACCTCTTCCAGACCAATGTTACTAAATGGAAAGAGTGATTTGATTCAAAAGGTACATATCATTAAGGGGTTGCTACTACTTCAATCGGCGTCTTAACTATTTTGGTGGTGGTTACGGGTAGGGGGAAGTTGCAAAACAAGAGGAAGGGGACATGGCGATACCTCGTTTTTTATAAGAGATTGACATAGAGGAAGATAGAAATGCATGGGGGCAGAATAAGCAGGAAATATTACCTGAGAGAAGGAATTACAGAGCATGGCGAAGCTGGAAGGTGGGAGGGTTTCTGCGGGAAGTCGAGCGAGGGGTGATGGGGCTTGCTCTTTGGCGCCCTCTAATGGCAACTTGAACCAATGTTTTACTTTCGTAATGCAGTACTGGGAAAAGCAGCTGGGTTTTTGTTATTGCTGTTGGTTTTTTTCCTCCGCAGACTTAGAAACTAGAGACTATTAGTGGAGTAAATTGATTGTTTTCAGCCTAGGAACTTATATATATATGTCTTAAACTCACCAGTGTTTCCTCCTCAAACATCCCCTCCTCTCCCTAAATCTTGTTAGACTAATAGAAGAGGACAGGCTAATGGCAAATTGACTTATGGAGGGTGGTCCACGCCCAATTAGCCATTGCGGGCGGGGGAGAGGGTGTAGGATTCGTTTCCTACCTGAACAGCATTCTGACTCTTCTAACATACTCGAGAGGTGTAGGGGGTGGAGTAGGAAGGGATGATTTGGAAATTGCAGATTCTGACATGGGCTCATTATAATACACTTTTAAGGGGGCTCTTGGGAACCTCTGTTATTGCGACATGTGGTGGTCAGGGGGCTTTCCTTCCCGCCTTCTTTTTCTTTTTTCTTTTTCTTCTTTCTTTCCTTCTTTTTTCTTTTCTTTTTTTTTAATTTGATAGATAAAGGTTAATCTTGGGCTGAATGATAGAGCTATGATTGACAAGAGAAAAGGTGTTGAGGGCAGGTCGCGCTGTCTTATTTACAGCCCACTGCTTGCTGTAGAGTCTTTGTTAGGACTGGAAAGCTAATTTAGTGCTGATCAAAAGCACCACAGAGTTAAAGGACTGGTAATGACTGCTAATTTCATTTCAGCCTCATGCATCCCCAACTGCTGTAATTAAAGACACGCTATTTAAATACAGGTGAAGGGTTTTTTTTTTTTAAGTTGGGTTGGGGGGGGGTGGGTGGGTGGATTACAATTTTATTTAGATCTTCTACTCTACTTGGGTGTTATGTAGTCCCAAATTAGATTTTATTATTATTATTATTTAGAGCCGCTCCTTGTCATTTATACCTGGCTTTGCAGAATCGGAAGTGTGAAATGTGTCACTCACATAAAAGCCCCTGTTTAAAGAAAGGGTGGGACGGGGGAGTGCAGAGGAGTAACTATTTAGGGGTGATTTAAATATTTAGGTCTCCTTTTTTTCTCCTTCAAATTAATAGAAAGGCCTTCGATATAGTTAAAAGTATTTGAAACTGGGGGCAAGGTTAACAGGCCAAAGGGATCAGTGTCAGCTTTTTAAGTACTTCTAAAAAGATCATGTGAACAGATGGAAAAATATATTTTTAATTAAATAATTTCCCCCACACTATAGCTGCAGTGTTGGCTCAGAAACCGTGTAATTTCTCATCCGATAGGAGTTTCTTTATGAGAACATCAAAGGATAAAAAGCTCTGCATTTTCGTAGTTGGTTAAAATTGATAACCACCCCCCCATGCGCGCGCGCGCACACACACATACACACATATACACACACACACACCAACACACACACACACACACACACACACACACACACACACACATATCCCCAAAAAAGAATTTAGCCTTTAATCTCTTTTTATCCACGAAGACTAAAGCTCTGTACTCGACCCCGCGAGCGGCTCTCGCCTTCCGGGGCTGGAACCCGACTCAGATGTGAAGCGGCACTGAGCCGCTGCGCAGGTTCGTGCCCAGCGCCCCCTGTTGGACACAGTAGGAGCTGCGCAGCGCCAGTCCCAGAAATCGCTGGAATCCTGCTCTGGGGTTAGAGAAAACTCTTTTATTGCCCTCCAAAAAAGAAACGGGATGCGAAAACAAATTTTTATATCCTTGAAAAATAATATAATATTAACTCAATAAAAAACTAAAGAGGCGATACTACAATTTTAATTCAATAAAAAATAAAGACTGTCCTCCTCACATCCCAGCCATCCCCCACCCGGTTTGGTTTTGTAACTCTTTTGAAAGGTTCTGCGATGGTAAAACAGGTAAAGAAAAGTGACGAAAAACAAAGCATTTTTCTGTAGCCGTGGAGAATCAAGCAAAGTATACTTCCTCCGTTTTGTCCACATTTCAAAAAATTAAACGGAAGATGCTGCTGCTTGCTGTTTTGACGTTGTCAGCAGCGTCTTGAATGCCCTCAGAGGTCCTGCAAGTATCGTAACTGAGCCTTCGAGTAAACGAAATAACTTGCTTTTATGTGTTTATTTCCAGAGTATAATTAAAAGACCAGTCTCTTCTTTGAGTGTTTCCCATCCCCTAGACCAATCCTGGTCAAAGTTTTTCCTTCCCAGATACTGGCTAAGAAACACATACTGGCTAAGAAACAGGTGCCTGGTATCTTTTTTCTTTCATCTTAGCCGTAGGATTTCGGGGAAGGTGTGCCAATGGTAGGGAAGGTTTTCTTTGAAATTCAGCATTTCGTTGACCAGGAATCCAAATTATCCTAGGGAAGGGGGAGTATTTTTACACTTCCAAAAAACTACCTGTCTACATAATAAAGAGCTTTGCCTTTTTTATTATTATTATTTCTTCTTCTTCTTTTTGGTCAGCAAGTGAGGGCAAAAGTAGCCTTTGAATTATTTCAGAAAGAGAAACTGTAAAAATGGCACATCCTCTGAATTTAAAACAATAGGGAAATGTGGGTTTGCTTAATTGTTTAAAATCAAATAGAAATAATTACTGTGCTAAATGAACAAGATGTTTTAAGATTTACATCTTCAGGGTTATGGTTATTGATTTTAACTTTACCCTTAAGAAGTTTAGAGATCGCGTTTTTAAAGTTTGCTTATTGACGGAAATCGGCTTAATTTTTCATAAAAGAATGGCTTTTTAAAATATTGAATACTATGGCTATGCAAGGTTTATGATACCTTTATGTTTATTCTTCCCACCTCCCAAAATTAGCGAATTCGAGATAACATTTCAAGGGGAATTGCTATTTAGTGCGATGAGAGATGACTTCTCCATCTGGTTCCAGAATTAGATCTCGGCTTAGGTTTTTTAGTAAGTAGGTTCAGATGCAATGGAAGGAGAGAAGAATCAAGCCTTTTGATAAAATCTCTACCCCGAATTCTATGGAAAAGACAGGCAAGCGGGATTCCAGCCACAGCACCCCCACCTTTTGCTCTACCAAAAGGCTTGTCCCCATTACAGAAATAATATAGTCGGTGCTAGTTTTGTGAACCCGCGCCAACCGATAAGGTAAGAAACGGTGCGCTGACAGCCGAGGTCCGAAGGCTGCTCAGTGGTTCCCGCAGCCCGTGGGGTAGGGAGGCCAAAGCCAGCAAAATGTTGGAGGCGACGCCAGAAAGAGAGTATATGCCTGCTATTCGGAAGTGATGTCGAACGTGCAATAGCAGAGTCCTGGAGATTTCCACCCCGTTCCGCACCCAGGGATCCCAGCCTGTGGGGTAGCAGGTTGTTGGGTGAAGGCAGGAGGGAGAAGCCGCACCTGGCTGAGGGCGGGTGGGCGTGCCGGGAGCGAGTGCCCAACTTTCTAGGGCCCATGGAGAAAGCATAACCCCTAGTTGAGGAAAGAGAGCTAAACAAGTGGGTGGCCCAGGCCTGGGAATGCCACCCAGCTCTCCCGACGCAGTGTTATTTCTGTGGTCCCAGGGGGCCCCAGCACCTGCCCGAATCCCACTCCCCAAGGCCGCCAGCAGGAAGGCAGCCCCTCCATCTTTGAGGGCTGAGGAGGGGGCAGCGAGTGACTTGATTCCTTAGTAGCAGGGAAAACCGCAGCGGCTGGCAACGGGCCGCGTTTCTCCGCGGCGGCAAAGCGCCCTTTAGGGGCGGGGCGGGCATTTTTGGTCTCCTGTCCCAGCGTCCAGGCCTGAGCCCGCGCGGGTTGGCTGGGCGCCCTGCTTTGTAAGTAACCAATCTTGCTGGATTCTGAGGACTATCCAGGCGGATGGGCCCACTTAGCTTAGGCCCACTGAGACCCTGCCAACTCCTCAGACCCTTTTCCCCTTCATCCCTCACACCTTTCATGATGAACCCAGGAAAGAACCCGAACTCTGAAAAACAGTACATGTGGTTTGAAGTTTGATAGTTATTTGGGTGTGAGGGACATGACTCTATTAATAAAGACTAAGATTCAAGGCTGAGCTCTCATTTATTAAATTTGCTCTTTCACTCTGTTTTCAAACTCTGGAGATCTTTCAGTTTCGTTGCTCCAACCCTGACACAGACAAAGGCGCCAGGGAGAAAGCCCAGGCGGGCTTGAAGCAGTTGAGGTATAGACTGATACTCATCTCTCCATCACTCAGACGGGCAGATAAGCACTGCCAGACTGGGGGTCCTAATCCAGGGCCCAGCGGCTACGTGGGTTGCTGCGGGGTGTTGAAACCACAAGTACAACTTGACACCATTGAGCCCACGGTGCTTGTCAATAATCTGTGAATTAGGTGCAGAGATTGTCACTGTAGATCATAACAGTTTCTGAAGGACTCATTACAGCCTATCGTGTCAATGATCTTCAAATTAAGGAGGGGAGGTGGGGCGAGACGAAAAAGGAGTGGGGAGAGCCAGCAAAAAGGGAAGAAGGGTGGGAGGGAAGATAAAAGTCAGAGCCCCAGCTCCGAAGGAGCCTTTAAAGATTATCAGGCCAGCGATCTGAGAATTCCATTGGGATGGGTTTGGAAACCCAACTCCATCTGAGCCAGGACTGGAAGAGGGGCGCTGGGGGCAAGCAGAAGTGGGCCCCTGGGAAGGCCGACTTCTCAGGCATTTCTTTTGAGGCCGGAATAGCTTTTGGGAGAGGGTTCTAGATGTCAATGGGAGGCCTTGAGGATGCCAGCCCGCCCAGGATGGGTGTACACTTTGATTTAGAGCACTTTCCAGGGCAAGCCGCAGCTGCAGATCTTTGAAAAAAGTGGTAATAGTTTCGTTTAGGGATGATGGTGATTGTAGGATGACTTTTTTTTTCCAATGGTTTGCTTTAACTTCTTTTCATGCCACAGGTGAAAGCTTTCTTCCTTTTCCTCTGATAGTATTCCTGTCTGTCCCTCACATGTTACGTAGATCTAATTTCTTTCCCCAACTTGTTTTTTTGGGTGCCAAACACATCAGCCCTCTGAGATTTTATCACTTTTGTGGTTTGTATTGAGTCCAACTGTAATTCTGGAAAGGGAACTTGTGGATAACACAGTAGCAGTATGTTCCATAAGATTCCAGAAGAAAGAAGACTAAATTCCATTTATGCGGTGTGGCAGGGGCCAGGCTAAGGGAAAGAGGTTTTCCCTGCTTGGTAAATTGTCCTTGCAGTGAAAGGGTAGCCCAGCCTTCACTGGAGTGTCATTTAATACTGGCTAGAGAAAGGTTAAGGAAAGTGTAGGTTTGTTTTTCCCACAAAAGTTGTGGTCACAACTAAACGAAGTAATCACAGTTGGAGAATTTAAAACAACTGTTTTTTCTCTAAAATGAGGGTAATAACCCTAGCCACTGGAAAATTGGGATTCTAAGGAAAACCTTTTCCTTTGGTATAATTAATTGCATAAGATAGTGTGGTCAATCAGAGACATATGTATTTAGACTCAAGCAATGATTTACAGGTGTAAAAGGTCCAGTGGCTTTTTGGGCTACCTGGAGTTCCTACTGATCATTTTGCCTTTTAAAAAATTTTCTTCTAATTTTAAAAATAAAAGTCATAGATTTAATGCAACTGAAAACCACTGATGGCAGCTCTTCAGGTTTTCAGTTTATGTTTTTAAAGGGAATTTATATTTAAAATAATTAAATCATTTAATGGTCACACTACATTTTCTCCTGGACAACAGCTGTAGTGCAGGGATAGAATCTTAACTTACATTAAAATTGCTTGATAATTCAGAAATGGAAATGAAATTGTGAATTAATTTCTCCAGAAAATATTTGAGCTAGAATATAAGAAGGATGTTCATATATAATACTGTAAGTAACATGATGATTATTATATGCAGCTTGAAAGACCTACACAAATGATTATATACTACTTCTGTTGCTATAATTTAAAGTAAGGGGAAATATATTTAGTTTTATAACTATTGAATTCTTTTCAAAATGTATTTATTTCATCAATGAGAATTAGATGAGAGAGAATGAGTAAAAAGGGGAGCTGAATGCAAAGCTGTTCTGCATTCCTTAGGTTTCAAGGGTACTTACAGCTCTTGAGTGAAATTATTTGGTGAAATTGGGTCTGGACTGAAACAGCAATTGTTATCCCTTGTTCATTTGTTAAGTGTAATACCACTTCTGGAAATTAAAGGCAAGGTGCTGAAGGGACAGACAAGAAGAAAAAAATATGATTAAGCAATTTGAAATTGCCAATGTACCATGCAGCCATATGCATATCTCTATCTTAGTAAATAGAAAGGGATAGAGATATATGTTTATTCTTTTTATCATCTGGAAACATTCATTATAGTTACTGTCACTAATCCTTCACACTTCCAAAATCTGACAAGTTTGACATAGGAAAAAAATGGGGGAAATGTAGATGAAAGAGTTTCTATCATTTTGAAAATTGTGTTATAAAAATTAAGATGTCTATCCCCTCTAGGAATTCCTATGAGGGATCCTTCACAGTCTAAAGGAAATGAAGTTTGACAATGGTACAATTCAGTTTTGAATTTTTGCTCTTACTTTCTATATCCTAACCTTTTCCAGCTTATTTCTTGTTAATTGTTTTTGGAAAGTATGCAATGCTCTTTTAAGGGAAAAAAAATCTTCTAATGCACTTATTTACCTTCATTTATATGTGTTTGTTTCTGAAATGAAGAATCAAGCTTTGGTCATTCCGGAAGTCGTGTAGCATGCTCCAATTTGAAGTGACTGAGATCTTTTGTGACTTACAGAGGAGAAGGAAATGTTTTAAAAATTGGCTTATGCCAGTCTCCTTACTCTGAAATTCTCAATTTTCTTGTATTACAGGATAAATATAAATATCATCTCACCAAATTGTACCAGCATTGTCCTAAACATTTAAATTTTCCTTTATTTTTGGCCTTTAAAATTAGAAAATTTTCTCCAGTTGCTGCACTTAGCTTTTTAATTTTGTTTTCTTTTCACTTACCAGACTACTGGTATGATCTCTTTCACTGCAGTATGATTGCTGCTATGGTCACTTTTAGAGGAGATTGTGGGAAGGTTAGGATTTGGAGGAAACATGACAAAAAAGGGAAGAAAAAAAAAAACCTTCATTTGACCACATCTGGCTGCTTGTATATTTAACCAGTTCTAGAATTAGAAAACCTTTCTGTACATTTTCTTCTATTTTTCTCACTTTTTTCCTTACATAATGAAATTAAAACTTTTGGAGCCTACAGTTGACATTTTTCAGAAAATTGAGTTATCAAGGCAGTAATTATTTCACGGGGAGATAAAACTCTCATAGCCCTAACTGTCAAATAGGGCCCTTTTCAGATTTTAATTACAAAATAAAATTAGTCTGCTCTTCCTCAGAATGGTTTGTGAGTGGTTAAACAGAGCTTTCCCCCAATACTGGTGGTCGTCAAACTCTGCTAATTAGCAATGCTGAGAAATTCCAGTTAACAAGGACATTCTCCAAGACTCTGCAGGTTCCCTGCCGTTTGCCTTCATTTCCATAAGAAGATTAAGAGAGGAGGGGAACACACTCAAATGCAGATGCAGAAAAGAAGCGTTTTTTAACAAGCATCATAATAGTAAGATGCTTGGCTAGTTCTCACCTAATTACTGCAAGTTAAACCTCTATTTGACACTAAGAAGAAAAAATAAGTCTACAGTCCCCTGTCTCCACAAAATTGTTAGTTGGTTTCAGATATAATACTTGAGGAGTGCTGAGGAGACTTTAGGAGAGAAAAATCAATGTGCAAGATTTTGAAATAAAATTGAGTTACACTTAACAGTTAAGGCCTTTTGGCTAGGGCCTATAATAGAACAAAATAAAATCAGAATATTCCAGGAGTCATGCATTTTTGTTACTAACTACTAATCTTGCTCTAAAAGTATGTAGCTTTTTGTTGCCCGTGGAAGGGAAGTGTTACACTCCCTTTAGATTAAGCACTTTCAATTTTCGTAAATTGTGCCAATGGCAACATTTTAGATTCTCAGAGGATGAAGCATCCTGTTCCAAGTCTTTTTTGATTGTCTAGTAGTCAATGGTATATTGTTGTTAGTACTGTAGCTGTCTATTACAAACCTAAAACAGTGTTGCTTCTGTCATCTATTGGAATCGTTATAGTTATTATATTTAGGGATCAGTGATGGTGCTGGATTGAAATAGAGTGGGCAGTGATCTGATTTTTTAAAATGCATATGTTCTAAAAAATCTAATGAGAAAATGTTCCTGCTATCACCATCTTCTTTAATCTTATTTTCATAGCACATTATTATGCATAATCGCCAGCCACAGTTAGTTTATTGTCTCGATAAGTACAGCAGGCTTAATTAAAATAAAGCTGTAAATAAATGCAACCAATGATAACACAATTGTAACGTAATTCCATAGCTTATTAATGTGATAAAAGCAATTAATAAAAGACCTAGCCAACCCCTTTAACCTCTTAAATACATTATTATAGAGTTCATGCACAAACACATGCATCTGAGAATGTGTAAAAGTTGTTATATATCCTCCCAAGGAAAAAAATTGTGCCTTGAGAGAAAGGCAACGAGATTTAAAAGATTTGTGTCTATAACCGTCTGTTATTAGTATTTATTTTAACAAATATACACCACCCTTATCCACACCAATTCCTTGGTTGTTTCTTCAAACAATTATCCACAAGCTTTTTAAAGTTTTTAGAATAATGCTATTAAGCAGACCGATGCATACACAATCATAAAGTGAATTCTTGGTCTGCCCTTTGTGGCGTCTGGACAATCATAATTCATTCACATGTTGAATCTCATAATTTGTACCTATTTTTTCCCATGGTCTAACCTCCCACTTACCTCGAGGTTGTATGTATATTTCTAAGTTAGGCAAATTAAATCTGATTCTTATGATTTGGTTCCGCAGCTTATAAGATATGTTAACTTTTCTTTTGTTTAGATTATGTATAATTAGTCTGATCTTCCATCCCCCTCTTTTTTTTTTTTTTACTTTAATTATTTTCAAATACCTTCTTTTAAAGGTAAAAGCAATAGTCTTGGAAAAGCGAATCTACCAGCAGGGGGCGCACCAGCCACATCCCTGAAACCAGCCGCGCTGAAAAGCCGGTGGCCGCCTTCTCTTCCCCAGATCTTCTCAACCTTTTCTCTTTCCTAATCTCCAGGTCCGTGTTTACCTTAATATTACACCTGGATTAAACAGAAAACAGTGCTGTATTTTGAAGAGCGCCGAATATGTATGCATTTTGAGAAACCCAATCTCACCCTTTCCGGGTTCCCAAGAACTAAAACAAGCCATAACTTGAGAGAAAAAGGAGAACCTTCGGGGGGCAGGAAGGTTGATTGGAAATAACTTAAGGAAAGTCTGCAGAATTCTTTTTTTTACAACTTTTCTGAGTTTCCAGTGGGTATATTTAGTGTGAGTTTGACAGTAACAGGCTAGGGAGGGCAGAGATTGGAGAAATTGGGGGTCGGGGGAGTGATTATGGGAAGAAGGTTAGTAAGGAACAAAACAATGCACCGTTTTGTAAAGATAATAAATGGAACGTGGCTGGTAGATACTATTCAGTACATTTTCTTAGGGTGAGTAAGGGTAGACCAGGGGAGGAGGGGGCGGAGAGAGTGTTACAGAAGAAAGAAAATAAGTAACCCTGATGGTTTAAGCCCTTTATAAAAAAGAAATGGCATCAGGTTTTTTTTTCTTTATTCCCCCCCACCCCACCCTTTGTAGTCAAGTGCATTTTAGCCACAAAGATCCCAACAAGAGAGTGGAAGGAAACTTAGACGAGGCTTTGTTTGACTCCGTGTAGCGACAACAAGAGAAACAAAACTACCTATTTGTAACGGACGTGCTGCCATTGCCCTCCGCATTGAGCGCCTACCTATTGAAATCTTTACGTCGGGACAATGGGAGAGCGGCTAAAATTACCCTCTTGGGTCCTGGGCGGGCAAGATTCCTGAGCCCCTACCCCCGCCCCCATCTCATCCTCCTCTAACCCGGGCCTTGCTGGGCTCCCCCTTCCCCAGTCCCGGCCGCCTTCTCCCAGTGTGCGCTGCCTGCACCTGTGCCTGGAGAGCATCGACCCCGCCTCCCAGGCCTTGAGCCCCTTTGCGGCGCAGCCCCAGCCTTGCGCGGCCTGGGCTTTGCGGCCACCACAATGGAAATCTACGGGGAAAATGCCAGGGCTGGTTCTGCTGGAGTCCTGGGAACTCTGCGTGGGAGGGAGTTTGTGACTGCGGCCCAAAAGCCACCTCCATACAGTGCCGTGGGATGCCAGGAAGTTGAAATCACCCTCCCCCATCGCCTGCACTTTTGAGCGCCCTTCCGTCTGTGTCTTTCCCCAGCCCCCATTTGAAAGCCGCACGACCGAAACCCTTCTTACGGGGAGGCATGGGATGGGAATGGGGAGTGGGGGCAGACAGTAGAAGCATCCCCTTTGCTACGGTTGAATGAAGACAGTCTAGTGGGAGATGTGGCTGGGGCTAAGAGGAAGAGCTGCAGTTTCCTGGGCCAAAGAGCTGAGTTGGACAGGGAGATGGCAGCTTACCAAGGCCTGCTGGTTCTCAGCTCTAGAGTCTGCCTTATGGTCCGAGCAGGATTTATTTTTAAGAACAGAGCAAGTTACGTGGAAGCAAGGAAGGTTTTGAGGACAGAGGTTTGGGTCTCCTAACTTCTAGTCGGGACTGTGAGAAGGGCGTGAGAGAGTGTTGGCACCTGTAAGGTAAGAGAGGAGAGCGGAAGAGCGCAGTACGGGAGCGGCACCAGAGGGGCTGGAGTTGGGGGGGAGTGCTGTGGATGAGCGGGAGAACAATGACACACCAACTCCTGCACTGGCTGTTTCCAGAAATACGAGTTGGACAGCCGCCCTGAGCCACCCACTGTGCCCTGCCCCACCCCCGCACCTTAGCTGCTTCCCGCGTCCCATCCTCATTTAAGTACCCTGCACCAAAAAGTAAATCAATATTAAGTTTAAAGAAAAAAAAACCCACGTAGTCTTAGTGCTGTTTACCCACTTCCTTCGAAAAGGCGTGTGGTGTGACCTGTTGCTGCGAGAGGGGATACAAAGGTTTCTCAGTGGCTGGCAGGCTGGCTCTGGGAGCCTCCTCCCCCTCCTCGCCTGCCCCCTCCTCCCCCGGCCTCCCCCGCGCGGCCGGCGGCGCGGGAGGCCCCGCCCCCTTTCATGCAAAACCCGGCAGCGAGGCTGGGCTCGAGTGGAGGAGCCGCCGCGCGCTGATTGGTCGCTAGAAACCCATTTATTCCCTGACAGCCCCCGTCACATGGATGGTTGTCTATTAACTTGTTCAAAAAAGTATCAGGAGTTGTCAAGGCAGAGAAGAGAGTGTTTGCAAAAGGGGGAAAGTAGTTTGCTGCCTCTTTAAGACTAGGACTGAGAGAAAGAAGAGGAGAGAGAAAGAAAGGGAGAGAAGTTTGAGCCCCAGGCTTAAGCCTTTCCAAAAAATAATAATAACAATCATCGGCGGCGGCAGGATCGGCCAGAGGAGGAGGGAAGCGCTTTTTTTGATCCTGATTCCAGTTTGCCTCTCTCTTTTTTTCCCCCAAATTATTCTTCGCCTGATTTTCCTCGCGGAGCCCTGCGCTCCCGACACCCCCGCCCGCCTCCCCTCCTCCTCTCCCCCCGCCCGCGGGCCCCCCAAAGTCCCGGCCGGGCCGAGGGTCGGCGGCCGCCGGCGGGCCGGGCCCGCGCACAGCGCCCGCATGTACAACATGATGGAGACGGAGCTGAAGCCGCCGGGCCCGCAGCAAACTTCGGGGGGCGGCGGCGGCAACTCCACCGCGGCGGCGGCCGGCGGCAACCAGAAAAACAGCCCGGACCGCGTCAAGCGGCCCATGAATGCCTTCATGGTGTGGTCCCGCGGGCAGCGGCGCAAGATGGCCCAGGAGAACCCCAAGATGCACAACTCGGAGATCAGCAAGCGCCTGGGCGCCGAGTGGAAACTTTTGTCGGAGACGGAGAAGCGGCCGTTCATCGACGAGGCTAAGCGGCTGCGAGCGCTGCACATGAAGGAGCACCCGGATTATAAATACCGGCCCCGGCGGAAAACCAAGACGCTCATGAAGAAGGATAAGTACACGCTGCCCGGCGGGCTGCTGGCCCCCGGCGGCAATAGCATGGCGAGCGGGGTCGGGGTGGGCGCCGGCCTGGGCGCGGGCGTGAACCAGCGCATGGACAGTTACGCGCACATGAACGGCTGGAGCAACGGCAGCTACAGCATGATGCAGGACCAGCTGGGCTACCCGCAGCACCCGGGCCTCAATGCGCACGGCGCAGCGCAGATGCAGCCCATGCACCGCTACGACGTGAGCGCCCTGCAGTACAACTCCATGACCAGCTCGCAGACCTACATGAACGGCTCGCCCACCTACAGCATGTCCTACTCGCAGCAGGGCACCCCTGGCATGGCTCTTGGCTCCATGGGTTCGGTGGTCAAGTCCGAGGCCAGCTCCAGCCCCCCTGTGGTTACCTCTTCCTCCCACTCCAGGGCGCCCTGCCAGGCCGGGGACCTCCGGGACATGATCAGCATGTATCTCCCCGGCGCCGAGGTGCCGGAACCCGCCGCCCCCAGCAGACTTCACATGTCCCAGCACTACCAGAGCGGCCCGGTGCCCGGCACGGCCATTAACGGCACACTGCCCCTCTCACACATGTGAGGGCCGGACAGCGAACTGGAGGGGGGAGAAATTTTCAAAGAAAAACGAGGGAAATGGGAGGGGTGCAAAAGAGGAGAGTAAGAAACAGCATGGAGAAAACCCGGTACGCTCAAAAAGAAAAAGGAAAAAAAAAAATCCCATCACCCACAGCAAATGACAGCTGCAAAAGAGAACACCAATCCCATCCACACTCACGCAAAAACCGCGATGCCGACAAGAAAACTTTTATGAGAGAGATCCTGGACTTCTTTTTGGGGGACTATTTTTGTACAGAGAAAACCTGGGGAGGGTGGGGAGGGCGGGGGAATGGACCTTGTATAGATCTGGAGGAAAGAAAGCTACGAAAAACTTTTTAAAAGTTCTAGTGGTACGGTAGGAGCTTTGCAGGAAGTTTGCAAAAGTCTTTACCAATAATATTTAGAGCTAGTCTCCAAGCGACGAAAAAAATGTTTTAATATTTGCAAGCAACTTTTGTACAGTATTTATCGAGATAAACATGGCAATCAAAATGTCCATTGTTTATAAGCTGAGAATTTGCCAATATTTTTCAAGGAGAGGCTTCTTGCTGAATTTTGATTCTGCAGCTGAAATTTAGGACAGTTGCAAACGTGAAAAGAAGAAAATTATTCAAATTTGGACATTTTAATTGTTTAAAAATTGTACAAAAGGAAAAAATTAGAATAAGTACTGGCGAACCATCTCTGTGGTCTTGTTTAAAAAGGGCAAAAGTTTTAGACTGTACTAAATTTTATAACTTACTGTTAAAAGCAAAAATGGCCATGCAGGTTGACACCGTTGGTAATTTATAATAGCTTTTGTTCGATCCCAACTTTCCATTTTGTTCAGATAAAAAAAACCATGAAATTACTGTGTTTGAAATATTTTCTTATGGTTTGTAATATTTCTGTAAATTTATTGTGATATTTTAAGGTTTTCCCCCCTTTATTTTCCGTAGTTGTATTTTAAAAGATTCGGCTCTGTATTATTTGAATCAGTCTGCCGAGAATCCATGTATATATTTGAACTAATATCATCCTTATAACAGGTACATTTTCAACTTAAGTTTTTACTCCATTATGCACAGTTTGAGATAAATAAATTTTTGAAATATGGACACTGAAATTATTCTTGAGTCTTTCATTTATTTGGATAACACTGTGATTATACATAACTTTTCGGGGAATTATAATACTGTGCTCAGCCAAGAAAGCAAAATACCAAAAACCTTGGTATTACTAGTCCAGCATCATGTGCTAATGTTAACTGCAAAAAAGAAACGGCTGGATGATTAATAAGTACTGGAAAAATTGAAATTTCTGTCATTTCTAAAATAGAAACTAGAGACATATATTGTAAATCCGCCCCCTCCTTTTCTAAGCAGCATGAATAAGCATGATGGGGACCTATACTTAAAACTGATTTATGCCACTTGTTGCCAGAAAGGATTCAATTCTGAAATTTTTCATGTAGTTTAGCAGATGGGATATTGAGCCAAATCAGAACCAGGTTGGCTGGTTTTGTTTTCATTTTCTTCACAGCACAATGGCCCTTTGAAACCTGGCTATAGAGAAAAATGATGCTTCTTGTATCAGAATAATTGCAAACTAGACATGCAAAGTGTTCATCTGCTGGGTGGGTGTTTGGATTACTCTGGCCCTGCTATTGTCTGAGAGGAAACAAGTGGTTTGCTTTCTTTGTTCCTTGACTTCATAAACTTTCTCCTCTACATTTTCCTGTTCGGGGAGAGGGAAAGAAAAGAACATCTTGCAAAACTCCCCGGCTTATCATAAACATAGTTTTTTTTATTATTTATTTTCTTTTTTCCCCTCTCTCTCCCTCTCTCCCTGAATTCCATTTCTTAAATTGGCAGCGCGGGTCCAAGCCTGTAGCCCCAAATCGGATAATCTCTGCAGCTGATAACAAGCAAAAGAGAAGCCAGGCAACAGCCATATTAAAGAAGAAAACAATCAACTCTGAGGTAGATATTTTACTTTGTCCGGTCTAATCACATTTGGAGATGATTATGCTTTTGATCTGTTAACAATGTTTTACTACTGTAGTAGAGAAGTGGGGGAGGGGAAAGGGGTGGGGAAACAAGATTGGATTTGTTGTGTGGTGGTTTTTTTTTTTTTTTTTTTTTTTTTTTTTTTTTTTTTTTTTTTTTTTTTTGCCCTAGGAAAGGTAAAGAAAGGCTATAGTTGTCCTCAGTGGGAGTGGAAAAGTTGAGACATCGCCATGGTCTTTGAATTAGCGATGCTTCTGCATCACCACCCACCCTTGCTTTGGGGCAGCCGGATAATCTGTTACCTAGTCAGGGACTTTTCTACTTTATTTACTACTTGATTCGCTCGTCTTCCCCCACCCACGGGGACCAGGAACCAACAATCGGGCACTTTTAAGAGCACGGGTTTGCTTCCCACAATTTCAAGAGCTTGTGTCAACTTGCTACAACTTTGGAGAAGTTGGAATCCGGCAGCGTCTTCCACCCTTGAGTAAAGTACCCGCTGCAGCCACTAAGTTAGCTCATCCCGTTGGTTTGCATCTTCTCATTTCCAAGAAAGTATTTCTTTCTCATGGTGTTGCTAATGTTAGTTCTGGGCTGAACTGAGGATATCTCATATTTTCTGTACTTTCTATTTTTTTCTAGATTGCTTTGTTTTAGATATGTACTGGTTTTTATTTATTACTTTTTTAATCCTCATTTTTAGGATAACATTGTACTGGGAAGGGACAATTATTATTCCAGTTCCCAATTCTAAGCAAGGCATTTTCCCCCCTAATTAATGCAGAGACTCTAAAAGAATTTCCCCTAGCCTGGCCAGCCATTGTAATGCATATACGGATTATTCACGTGGTAATGAGCACATTCGCCAGTTCTTGCTCACACATACGAATAAAAGAAACTTTGAATAAAGATCCAAATGATCATCCTGGGGGAGTGGGGAGGATATTCCCGGAATTTGAGGCAGTCAAATATATAGATTATATATATTTTGAAAATAGAAATATATTAGAAATATGTATAGAGGTTTACAGTAATTGCACTGCACTCACCTCTCATTTTTTAAAAAAAAGCCCACAGGGTCAGCAACTTTCTGGCAAAATGGTCAGGTTCAAATATTTAGCAAAAGGAAAGGGAGCACAATATTTTGGGAAGTAGAACTAGCTTTGAATAATTGTCACTATCTGCATAAAACAAGAGAACTCCCGTTCCCCCTTCTACCCCTTCATATCGCCGAGCCAAATAGTTGAAAAATGAAAGTCAAAATATTTTGTTTGCAAATATAAATGCTTTTGATAACTACATCTGAGGGAAATGATATATATCTTGTACGATCATTCATTTGATTAAATTAAATGGTTACCTGAGATATGTAATTTCATGGCTAGATTAATATCGAACATATAATATTTTAATAATAATGTGATTTTCAAGGAGAGTAAACCCATAAACTTGCCCAGAGATGGTTATCTCATGGTGCTGAAGATAGTTGTTGTTTAGTTCTTTTCCTCGGGATATTATTCTGCTCAATGAAACCACTCAATTTCCAGTCAAATAGGGTGAATTTAAATGTTTTGTTAACTATATACACAGAATAGAAATGTGCAAAAGGATGAGAGTACAGTCTGTTCTTTCTGAAATTTTTTTCTCTCCCCAAACCACCCACCCCCCCCCCACCACATACTTTAAATAAAGAGCGTTAAAATATTTTGCTGAGCTGTAGTAGATTAGCAAGGTTTCTTGCCAATGCTGGGAAGCTGGTATTACAGACCATCCCAGGGGAAAATGGCTCACATTAACCACTAAATGAATATTTGACAAGGGCTCATTCGGAGGTATTATTGCTATAAACGTGTCCCTACTGGACTTTTCAAGGGTCAAAGAGCAATGCTTCAATTAATTATTTAGACTGCTAGTAGATTTGGTGGTAATAGCTGTACTTATTTCTAGAAATCGACACATTCTTACAGTAGGAAAATCTCAGGAGAATCTTCTCCATCAGCAATACCTTGGATTGAAATACACACGGAGCCCTGGCATTCTAAAGCTGACTTTTTCATAAAACCTTTCCCTGGGCTGGTGGGGGGTGGGGGGCACAGAATTATAGTCTCTTTTTCTGTTTCACTGGCTGTTTTTTTCGGTTTAAAAGAAAAAAAACAGAATACAGTAATTTATCTTAATATCCTCATCATGTGTGGCAAGGTCTTTTAGGGATTTGCAATATGGGGCAAAAGGGGAGGGTGCTCATTTACAACCTTTGCCTTTTCTAAGTAGAGATGTCACAGGATTTCAGAGACTCAGAGAGGCCCTGAATTTAGACAGGATACACATTCCTGTTTGCCAATAAAATGCAAGTTTGAAAGTGGAAGGTTCCATAAGCTGAGTACCCTTAGTTCTAGTAGTCTCGAGTAAATTGGGGTACAAGGTAGTTCCTCCTTCTCTCCCCACCTATTGGTCTGAACACTGCAAGGTGCAGTAGGGGGGCCAGTGTTCCATTTCTGCCATGTCATAGGTTCCTCTGTGGCCCTAGGTAAAATGGTAAGGGAATGATTTTGAGGGTAAGATTCCTCGACAATAATATAAATTGAATGAATAAGAGATAAGCTGCAATGGTGGGGGGGGTGGCGGTGGGAACAGTAATTACAAACCCAATTCATTCAGCTTTTCAGAACTTTTGTTGTGGGAGCTCCATTGACGGGTTTTGAGCTGCCAGTTTTCTCACATTAAAAAGAACTGATCAGCGCCTCAGGGGGACAAGAAATACCGCTTAACTGCATAGTGATGGGGTCTTCATTTAGAACCATTACAAGATGAAAATTAAACAGTGCCTTTGTGTGCATGAGGTTTACTTTTCAACTGCTAACAGTTTATAGCTAACTGCTCTGAGATTGAAGTTTGACTATGGTTTGATCGCCTGCTGATTGACGCTGCTCATTTATTTATTTATTTATTTATCTGTTATAATTAAGAGAACTTTTCATCACCTCACCCCAGTTTCATTTATTGATCTTGGAGAATTTTGAAAAACAGATCCTCATATTTTTCTTTGTGGAAGGAGTTTCCTTTGCCATGAGCTTTAGCAGAGACTTCAGTTCACATTCCCCAACGGACAACCCCCACCCCACACACCCACATTATTCCCTTAAAATAATTTGCATCTCATTCTCTGTTTTTTTTTTCTGCTGCATTTTCTTGCTCTCCAAGCTAGAGTTGCTTTTCGGGCAGCAAGTAGGGTTGGAGATAGGGGTTAATTTATTTTTTTGCTTTGCTTTCTTTTTGTGACCTAAATTGGAAGAGGGCTGGATGGATTTCCTAAGGACTTCACCTATGAGGTGAATCCCTCAAAGAAGGAAGAAGGGGGAGAAACTCTGACCTTTACTGTGAAAATATGGATACAGTCCAAAAGGACATAGTTTCCGGAGTTCTAGAGTAAGAAAAGCTGTGGAAGGAGCTTCCCAAAGACAGGAAAGTTGCCCAAACCAGATAATTAGTTTAGTGTCTTTCATAGTTATTTTCTATTAAAACTTTTCTGGAAACCCGACATCTGTTACCACCAAGAGACACTTGTAACCTCCTCTCTCCCTGCTAACAGTGCTGTCCAGTTTTATGATTCTTGTTTTCAGTTTGTCTATTTTGCTTCTGTGGCCTTTAGAAAATAATGGACTTGACTTTCTTATTTTGACTAAGGGGATTTCTCTTTGGAAGGGTGGAGTATTAAGATAAGTCTAAGATTCTTGTCTGTGGCAGAAAGCTCTCTTTCTCTATTCGGAGTTCAGATGGATTTTATTTTATACTTTGGTATAATGGTGATATTTCTGATTCCTTGAGCACTTTGCTCAGTTTCTCTCCTAAAGCAAATAGAATGTCTTCTCATTTCGGGATGCAAAGATATTTGCTTCACCTAGGCGTTTGAACTTGAGATGCTTGTTCTACTCTGCAAAGAAGTGTCAGGTGATTTGAAAGCTGGAGGTGTCCTTCGTTTTATTACCCTAGTCTGCCTGCGTGTACAGAATGAAGGGTGCACTGTTTTATATAGAGTTCGGCGCTTTGAACTATCATTTGCCTAGCTCTCCCAGCTTCCGCGCGGGCCACGGCTCCGGGCTGTGAGCGCGCCGGCCTCCCGCCGGCTGCCCTGGGGAGCGCGCAGTGCCCAGTGCTGAGAGCCGACGCGCGGGCAAATTGAGGCCGAGCTGACGAGCTCCGGCGGGTGGACCTGACGTCACCGCGGCCCGGGTCACCTCACCCATGGGGCTCCCCAAGAAGGTGCTGTGTGGGGCTCGAGTTCTCTCTGCCCGGGCTCTGCTCAAACGGTCGCATTCCCTCTCCCTCAGGCACCGACCCGCGTCAGACAAGTCTAGAAAGTCTCCCGAGGCGTTGGGGCCCTCACCACTCCAGAGTCCTCTGCCTCCTGCGCCCCAGCCCAAGCCCTCTCCATGTTGACCTCGTGACACGGGAGACGGTGTCTAGGCCCCAGATTCCCACCCACATCAGAG
Organism: Homo sapiens; assembly: GCF_000001405.40. Classification (NCBI taxonomy): domain Eukaryota; kingdom Metazoa; phylum Chordata; class Mammalia; order Primates; family Hominidae; genus Homo; species Homo sapiens. The sequence continues at coordinate 181,719,810 of NC_000003.12, forward strand.
ATTGTCTACCCAAGGGGATGTTTGTCCCTGTTTGTGGCCAAATCTCAGTATTAGTGATCTCGCTCGGTTCTTCCCGATTAGAGGCCGAGGATTGGCAGGGCTGGGGGAAGCCCCCGGAGCAATCTGGGATCCCTGGAATATTGGGCCCCTCTGGATTAGAGCAGGTAGGGATGGGAAGATACAGACCCTTCACTTTCCCACTTGTGAGATAGGGATAATATATAGTTACCTCGAAGAAGATGAATACAGAGTGCCTGACAAAACAGGCTTAATTGATAAGCATGACTTTACTTACTGCCCAGCAGAATTAGGGAAGGGAAGCAGTTCTCACGTTAGACTACAGAGAACAATACAGAAACCCCGGTCCTTTCTGGCCTTCCTGGCTCTGGACAGTGAAATTAGTCTTGTTCATACCACCCTTCTTACTTTTCCAGTGCTCTCTCTGACTTAAGATTTGCCTAGGAAGTTATCTTGCAAACTTGCCATCCCTGGGCATCGTCCTGAAGGGAGGGATCCCGGCATTCCGGGCAGGACCCGCCCCCACCCGCAGAAGGCAGAAAAATAATTACTGTATTAAATAAGGAGCGGTGAATTCTTCCCAAGGGTTCTTATCGCTGGCGGCCAGGCCAGAAGCGGGACTGCGCCCCCACCCCCACCTCGTGACGTCAGGGCCTGCAGGGCTCCGGGGATGAAATGATTCGTTTGAGTGTTCCAGAAAGGGCAATCCGAACGCTTACAGGGCGAGGCCAGTGCAGCCCAGCTCCATCACCACTACCAAGCCCCAGTTTGGGAGGCTCCCGAGGCCCCTGGCCGCCCCCCAGACCCCGTCTCCAGAACATAACCACATATACAAGTAACCATAATCCTAAGTACGTATATAGTCACGCGCACAACTCTCGTCACAGGACCGCCCTTCTTCCAAATATATATATGTTATTTAGTTTGTTAGCCACAATTTGTTGTGGGATCTGAATGAGTTGTTTCTGTTGTGTTTGTATGTTTTTGTTTTTAGACGGTCGACAAATTACGACAAATGCCTTTACAAAGCACACCATAGCTTTATTTAACCCGGTGCAAGTTTCAGCGGCGATTTAAGAAATGGACTTAGAAGAGTTTTCTGGCTCTCATATCCAGCCATGGTTAGGACAATTGCTCCAGGCTTACCATTGCTGCACTAGTTCTATTTTCTCTTTCCCCTCTATTCCTAAGAATTTGTATAGCTTTTAAAAATCTTTTTAGAGTCATGTATTGCTGAGAGAATTTCTTAGAACTGTGATTTAAATTGTAGATAAGAGGAAAGATTATCTGGTCAGTGGAATGTGTGTAAGTGGCATAGAAGTATTTGTTAGGGAAAAGCACCTGGGCATTTCTGGATTTCTGGGAGATGCACTTCTCAAGTTTTCTTTCCAACTCTCAAATCAATTTGATTTATTGAATGCCCTTCCAATGGAAAGGATCCTGGAAAGCAGGCCTTATGTTCTGATATTGGTCCAGGATCTCACAGAGTAACGATTAGCCAATATTTTGCATGCAGTCAGTTTAGTATCAGCTCACATCCAGGTCGATTTTATCACACTTAACAGCTCAAATCGGGGTTATTGCATAATATTAGAGTTTAATCAGTCTGGAATACTAAATGGCAAACCTGTCTTCTCCTTCTCAAGGCCCTCCTCCCTTTCTCTATTTCTCCTTCCTCCCACCTCCAAGGAAACTATCTTAAAATCAAGTTTCCCTTTGAGAGTTTGTTTACCCCAACTTCTGTTAAACTAGACTAACACGCTCTCATCAGCTTTCTAAACACTGTCTCATCAGCTTTGTGAAATGGTGCAAAAACATCTTGGAATCCAAGATGGCAAAATAAACTTGAGCATATGGGGGGAAGACTGCCTTGTTAAGAAATTGATTTAAATGTTTAGCTTACACTTCAGCATCAATGCTTCCCTTACTACCCACTCTTACTTCCCTCACTGCCCACTCCTGGTTCTTGGGTACCCCACCTCTATTAGCAAGCTGGTTCCCCCAGCATAAATTATGAATGCATATCAACAGGCTCATCTGCTGTGATAAATCAGAGGCTTTTCTCTTTTGCACATTTCTGCTTTTATTCTCATCGAAATGTCTTTCTGCCCCATGCTAGCAGTGTCTTTCTACAAACTTACTATCCCCGTATAAACTATGGAGATATATTCTCAATTGGAAAAATCAGGTAATTTCAACCGTTCCCCCCACCCCCAGGAAGCCTTACAAGTTAAGGATACAAAATATTTCATGGTTAGTTGTATGAGCTTCCAAATTAGCTGCATATAAAGTATTTAAGATTTTTTTTTTTTTTTTTGGCTGTCACTGGCTGGCAATACTCATTTTGTGTGTGTGTGTGTGTTGGTTTGAAAAGCAGGAAGAAATGTAATGAATTGAGTGCTGTCAGAGATGTCTTCTGTTTGAACAATCTGCGATGGGCTGAATGGCAGGGACTCCCTCATCCAGTGCAGGTGCAGTAGAGCTGGGGAAGGGGGGAGGGGGGCTCCCTCTGTTCAGTCAAAAAGCACCATTCTCCACAATAGACCACACACTGACAGCCAGCGTGACATCAACTCACACTTTCATACTTTTCCCCCCATCCATAGTTCTGAGTTCACAAAGTGGCCATACAGTAGCCTTGGTTAGGTTCCTTTAATGAACATTTTGCGGCTCCTATGACCAACATTGAAATCCGCAGAGCCCTGGGAGGAACAAATAGATTTTTAATCGTGAGTTCCAAACCAGAATGTATAGCTATAGATATTAAAAGTAAGCTGGTCTCCACATCCTCTCCCAATGCCAATGCCCACAGCAACCCCAGATGATGTGAAAACTCTGAGTTAAAAGTTCTTCTAAGACTTATTAGGTTCCAAGACACTGTTTTCCATGTCCTGAGAGAGATCAAACAGGAAAGGAGAGAAGGCACAAATTTTATGTATTTATTTAAAGGTAAGAGCACCTCTAGTATTTTATTATGCTTCATGAGATGGTTAATCCTACAAATTAACAAACATTAATCTTGTGGAGTGGAGTTCTGCCCCCTTTTGAATTGGTTTTACTGGGAAGAGGGGTGTGGAGGAAAACAAGAGGGTTAGGAAAGGCAGCAACTGTTTTAAAACTCTGAACAAAGATGCGACCACCTTTTGGCTGTCCTGCTGCTGCAAGGACTGGACCTTCCAAGAGTTCGTTTTACATTTGTTGAAGCCCAGGCCTTGGTGCCTCAAGTTTTAAATGGAATTACTCAAGGGGGGCACACTACTAGACAAACTATTCTAGCCAATTCCTTCATCCCCGACCCAGTCCCTACTCCTCTCTGCCCCCGCCCACTTCGCCACTTCTTAGTCCCGGATCTGAACATTTTAGCTGAAAGAGGGAGGGGTGAGGAAAGGGCCAGGACAGTTCCCTCAGTGCCACCACTGCGGGCAAGGACAGTTCCCTCAGTGCCACCACTGCGCCTGGAGAGATCCCCGCGGCCCTGCCGCTGGCTGATTCTCCCCTGTGCCTTGACTTGCTGAAACATCTCTCTGGGGAAAATTACTCCCTACTTGCTTACATGTGTGTATTAAAAAACACATGTAGCCATACACATGTTTCATCACGGCAACAAAAAATATCAACATTCTAGCCCCAGGAGCAAAACGTATCAATCATTCGCCTAAATATTGTTCAGTAGATGGGGGCGGGAATAGGTAGACCTCCTAGGAGAGCGGTCACAAGTCCCCTCTCCTCCGCATGGACACCAGGAATGCGGGGTCTGGCGGTGCTGGGCGCAGGGCGAGAAGATTTGATGTGCAGGGTAAGTAAAGGACAAGTTATTTAAAACCTCAACACAGGAAAAGATGGTAAGAGTGCTGTGTAGCCCTTTGCTTGCTTGTGACTACGAGTCGCTAGGTGGCCCGCGTTTAGAGTATGCCTACGGCGCCTACTAACGTCTAGACCTAGGAGAGGCGTCTCCCGCCCCTCGACCCACAGCCAGCCGCCACTTGATAGCTAACGCGTCTTCCGGCCGGTACACACCCACAATTAATCTTTCTTATTAAAGCCTCCATTCTGTACCCATGGGGCGACTCAAACCTATTTAGATTTCCGTGGTTGGCTGCACAAATTTAAGTGGGCAACGAGTTATAAACCTAATAACAGAGGACGAGAGAGGGTGATTTGAGTAGAGAAGACGCAAGATTCACTAGGGTCGTGAAGATGCTGCGGGCCTTGCCCACCACGGCATCTACCTCGGGGTGCACGCCAGGCTCTGAGAAAGGTAGTGAACCTCACAATCACACTCACCACACACAACATGCGTACACACACTTGCACTCCTACCCCCTTTGCTCACAGGTACACTTGTGTGGAAATTGCCTCTTCCGTAGTTCTTATAAACTCCTCCCAGACAGGCAGAATTCTCAGAGCATCGGAACCAGGGAACTTGCAGGGAACCAGGGAAGGTTTGCACTGTTTGGGATTAATTGAGAATAATTAACACTGGAGCCGTTAATCACCACTTTGCTGCTCTCTCCCTCCTTTCGGGTCTGCGGCGTCTGCCTTTTTCGCTCCCGCTGCCGGCGCGGGTGTACTGGTGAAAGTGAAGACGTCGCGGTAGCTGTCACCCAGTTCGGCTGTACTTTTTTAAACGCTCGCATATTGTTTGATTACTAATTCGAGTTAATATGATCTTTATGGCAACATAACAGTGGATAATTGGCCTTTTTTTCTGAACAACAATGTAAATCACAATCGCTTTATTATTTAATAACGTCAAACGCTTCGTTGGATTGGCCCCGACCGAGAAGACCTTTTCTTTCTAGACAGTGTTGTGGAGGAAGAACAATGAAGATCTAATTGTGGAGATTTCATAAGTTGGCTCCCGTAAATGAACAGCTTAGATATGGAAGTTCCAGCAGATGTGGGTACTATTCGCCTCTACAAGCTCTACCCCCCACCCCCATATACGCAGTCCAAACACTCTATTGGAGGGTTTTTTTTTTTTTTTTTTTTTTGTGGTGGTGGTGGTCCTCAGATCCTAGCAACCACCTAAAGTTTCCAGTAGTAATTAGAGCTTTTATCGGGCTTGCTCTTCAGCCCTTTATATTGCCGATTTAGCGTTAAGGCATTAAGTCCACACACCAAATTAGCGCGACTCCCAAATAGCCACAACCACTTATTCTCCCCTTCCCTCATTTTGGTGGTTGGACACCAAGAGCATGGGCCTGGGACTTTTTTTTTTTTTTTTTTTTTTGGTTTTACTTTGTTTTGATTTGATTTTTAAAACCTATTCGCTACCGCACTGTCTTGGAATATACTTGTTTCAGGCAGAGTTTTGCAAGGGACCTGAGCCATTATTTTGCAAACGCCTGGAAGAGCACATGAAACTCAGAGAACTACAATGCAGACGACAACGCCTAGAAGGAATGGGTCCCCGCTGCTCGAATGAAAGATTAATTACATTTGCCCCAAAAGCCCCAATTCTAACGGTCTCTATCGCGGCTTTTGCCGTCACTGAAGGACCGCTGTCTCTGGGGTCTTCAGACATCGGAGTCCTTTGCAAATGAAGAGCCCCCACCATTTGGAATTCGGGTCAAGGAGAAAGACTCTGAGCCTGCAGCAGTTTTTGTTTTTGCGTGTGCCCGCCTCTCCATTTTATTCAACTTCTTCTGCCTGTCGGGAAGCAGAACAATCGCTCCCCACCCACCCCCCTCCGCCCCGTTTCTAAGATAAACAGGAGGTGCAAAATGCTTTGCCTGCACACGCGCCCTCGTGGCCCAGTCTTCCTGCAACCCCCAGCGCACCGGCCATGCATCTGTCTCCCAACCAGACGTGGGAGAAGACATCCCCCCTTCACTCTTCCCACCTGCATTTAAAAACCATCACATTGACTGCTCTAGAGTCAGGTTCACATTTTTGGCCCTCCATGCCACCTTCCAGTTTCTTCCCGGTCCACTCTCTTTCTCAGGACCTAAAAAGTGACGGGGAGAGGGTGAAGAATTGGAGAAAGCAGCGGATTTTCAAAACGTATCCCCCCCGCCCCCCCATCTTTTAAAGTAGTATGTTACCACAAGGAGTGCATTTGGGAAACTTTCCCTAACAGGAGCTGGGCGCAGTGTTATTCTTCTCCATGGGTCTGCTGGCCTCCCCGCCCCCGCTGGACAATGCGTGCTTTGAGACTCGGTGGCCTGCAGGCAGCGGGAGACGAGGGGACTGGGCAGCCTTCCTCCAAGGGGCCCGCAGCTGGGGGAGCGCCAGGCAGGGAGCAGGGACAAGGAGGCGAGCCACGCAGGAAGGAAAACCATAAAAGTGCCATTTTTTCCCTTAGCCCTGCACAGAGGCAGGCTTTGAGGACCTAGGGGCAGGGCAGCTGGGGCGGGGTGGGGTGGGGGTGTTGAGAGGTTTTGCGTGTTCTTTTTACCCCCTTTCCCCCCACTGAAACATTTTATTTCGGCACATAATTATGCACTGCAGATTCTCCAGCCTCCTCGCCCTCAATCTTGGTAACCTGGTCTTTGGTTAATAATATCGCAACTCGGGACTTCAACGCTCAGACCCCCTCCAGGCCCCAGCCTCCGTATTCTCGGAGCCCTCCACTACTGATACCTCTCGCGGAGTGCGGCGCCCCGGGAAAAGCCTCTTGGCCAGGGACTCTGGGACATTACTTTCTAGTTTGTTTTGTTTTTTGTTTTTCTCCCAGAGACCACCACCACCCTCATCCTCTTCAGGCAGCATTTAGGAGAGGACCTCTGAGATCAGCAGAAGGCCTCAGACGGTCACCATATTGGTGGAAGCGTTTGTCTGATGTTTTAAAACGTATACCAAACGGGGCGTCAGGGCCACGTGCTGTGCCTTCGAAACGCCGCCGCGGGCCCTGCCTTTCAGAGCTGCGGCAGCCGGGGCTGGCGTGGAGGGGGCGCTGAAACACCGGCGGGCGTCAGGGGCCAGCGCTGAGCTGCAGATCTGGCCGCAGCGCTGAGTGAAGCGAATTATCTGGAGCGTGTTTGATCTGGGACTGCGTAGTCAGCTTCTGCTTTATTTGTTTGTTTGTAATCTCATATTTAGCAAGCCGGGACGGTGGCAGCAAGGGAGAAAGGACGGGATGGAGGAGGGGGCTTCGCGGTAACCACACCCCTTCCTAATGAGTTAATTTCCATATTTGCGCCTCCCGCATCTAGCGCCCTCTTTTTTTTTTTTTTTTTTTTTTTTTTTTTGCCTGACGCCACTGTGCTGTTGCGTCTTGCGCAGCGCAGACACCTCCACTCTGGATTGAAACGAAAAAGCTCGCGGTAAGAGCAGAAAATTGGTCTATTGATACATTCGCTCCGAGTGTTGATCTTGGCATCACCGATAGCCGGTTAATTCCCCCACCCCGCCCCCGCCAGTGGGTCGCACGCGGATTGCCGAGGGCTTGCAGGCACTCAGGCAGACGCAGACAGAAACCCACATCGACCCCCCCCCTTTCCCCGCCTCCAGCTGTCCGACCCTCAAGTCTCTTTCTTTTTCTTTTTTACCCAACTCCGGATTATTTTCCCCCTCAAGGTGAGGGCAGTGAGAGCAGCGAGGGCACAGTCCGCACAAAAAGGGGGAAAATAATCGCAAACCAAGGAACCAAAAGTGAAAGTTTCAAACTAGATACCAACCCTGATGGAGGTTGGGTGCTGACCCGACTGTGGGTACTTAAGAGAAGGAAGGAGGGAAACTGAGGTGGTGAGATTATGTCCACAGTATGGGTCGGTTAAAAGTTGTAGTAAAGAAGTTTTGGGAGGGCCCTCACTAGAAACTCAAGGCGGGTTTCAGCTGATTTAACCTGGTTTCCTACACATTTTTGCGGTGATTCTGCTCTGGAAATTGGCGAAAGAGACAGACCTTTGCAATTGCTCACCCCTCCCTGCCCCCAACCACCCTGCTTACTTTCGCGAAGCGCATTAGGATGTGGGCTCTGGCTTGAGCTCCAAAATAGCTTGCTTGTCAATTGCGAGCTGCAGCAATATCAAAGTGAACTGTCCCAAGTAACTCTTGTCTAGAAGCTGGGAAGAAGCTTAAGCAGCTCGCTTTAATGATGATTTGTAGCTCGGCGAGGGGCACGGACAGCAAACACCCCGCAGGTGTGTGCCGTAACACCATCATCCGGACTTGAATGTAGATTACTCTGGCGATCGTTTGATCGGCCCTTTGAAACCCTTTACAATTGCCTGTGACGAACGGCCAGTCTCAGTTTTTCTCTGAATAATCCCTGAGGGTAAGTCCTCCGGGCTTTTAAAGAGCTCTAGTATTTTTTTTTTAAAGAATAAAAAGAAAAACGTTCGATTTTAGTTTAGACCTCGTCAACTTTTAGTCGCTAACAGGCATCACTCAAGCCAGTCAATACTTAATGACCGTTAGTTACCCTTGCTGTCTTCCTAGAAACCATATACATATGTGTGTATATATGTATGTGTGTGTGTATGTACCTACATACATACTTTGTGTTTATAAAAAGGAGAACAATGTTATTAATTTCATTTTCTTTAGTTTCATACCTCCTTGCCTGTTTATAGAGGTGTGTGGGGGTGTTTATTGTAAACATGCATTATTATTATTAATGCCATTGTTAATCTTGTCTTAATGCCTTCTCTGTTCTCTCTGAATTATACCTACTCAGTGGGAGTTAACGTAAAGGTTAAAGCTTTACAAAGTAAAACTAGAGTTTAACCCCCCTCAGCACCTTCACACCAACCGCTGTCACCAAAATGAAAATGTAGTGCTGTTCAACCTTTAATATTTACTTAGAGTATTTACATAAGGGGAGGGAAATGAACTTTTGTCTGAAACATACAACAAGCGGCACTTTGATTTTATAAAATAAATGTCAACAATTGCTAGGGCTTATCAAACTGGGGTAGGGAGTGGGGTGGAAGTGCAGTTGGATTAAAGGCCCATTCCTGCCACTTCAGACTACAAAGGGTTACACATAATAAGTGCCGAATTTGCCTATTGCAAAAGTTTTCTTGGTGCTTTCTAAGTCACAACAGGGGAGGGGGAAAGCTGTCGTTTATTATCCAGTTCTGGGCAGGAGCAGACCCCAGTACCAAGGGGCTCTTAGCTTTGCCCGGCAGAAGAGGGGTAGCCTTTCAACAGCAGCCCCCTTTGTTCTCCTGATCTCTTTCCCAATTTCAAGCTTCACTTGCACATCCCAAGTTTGTGTGTTAATGACGCTATTACCATCTGGCTCGCCCTACTTTCCAAAAGATATAAATCTCCCAGCTCCATTGCCCGCATTATCATTTAAGTGCCACCATAGCCAGAAGAAAAAGATGCTTTCAAGACTCCAGATTCTCTTGCACTTACTACCCCTGGCATGGCTCTTCCACTATATTTATAGACTATACGTTGGGGGTGGGAGTGCTCCTTGAGAGACCTGATTTCCCAAGAGCTGTCCCTCCAAGCCAAAGAAAACATGCTTTTGGGTGAAAAGAAAGGCATCAAATGAATTTTCCCTGAAAACATTTTTGTTTTGTTTGCAGCAAGCCGAATAGTATGTGCCAACATACTTTTACGTGCTTGTGGCTTCCTTTCTCTCGCAGGTTTGTAAAAGTTTTGGTGCAACTCCCCGACATTCAAGATGTGCCACTCTTCAACCCTATTTTGAGCGGGAGAATAGATTTGTTTCTCTATAGGAGTGGGGGCAGGGGTGAAGGGAGATAAAAAGAGCCCTGTGAAGCAACTTTTGGGAGCTGGGCATCCCTTCTAAACCCTCACTTTTATTAGTGCCTGCATAGATGTGTAGGTGTTGTATGATTTACACACTTCTGGTTGTAGATCTAGATCCACCTCTCTCCTTCGATTCTTTCCTGGGCAAAGTAATCAGTGATTTGCGTGTTTTGAGCACAAAAGCTGAGAAAATACGACAAAAGGAGTGGGGCTGGCTTGTGCATGGCTCCACAATGACTCCATTTAACTGGCCAGGTCCGAGTGAATAGAGGAGAGCAGAGTCTGCCTCTAAACGCGTGGGCTTTTGGTTCAGGCCCCTCGCTGATTTGAACAGCTAATTTCCCCTTTGCGGGTTTCTGAACTGTTTGTGCTCTTGGTCCGTCATATGTGGGTGCATCTTTCTCCGTGTGATGCCTGCTCTTCTTCCCACTGTTATCTTCACAGAGGCAAGTTCCACTAAGATAAGCCAACCCAACAGGTTGGAAGAAGAATTGGAAATATGAACCTCCCAGGATCTTAAGGGAAGCTCTTAAAATCAACAGGATTTGAGCAGCAATACCCCTGCCCCCTTAAAAAAAAATGTCAAACAGAGAAAGCATCTTTAAGGAAAAATATATTCTTTTTGAGGAATAACAAAATCACTTATTATATATTCCTAATACTTTGTATGAACTGAGCACAGAAGGTGTCCACAACAGTGATTAATTTATATCACACTCATGTAGCTGTCTGCATGCAAAAGCCACATTTTTCTTTCTAGTTCACTTTCCTGCTTTTTTCCCCCAAACTCAAACAAGATCTTGTTTAGAAATGTGTATCCCTACTTTTTCCTCTTGAGAACATTATCAAGTTGATATGAACAAATTGCAGAGGATATACCATTTAAGTAAGATGCACTTTTAATCACTGATCATTAAAATGGTTATGTTAAATATACTCAATTACATGCATGACTTAACTCTAACAGTACTTTCTATTCTCCCAGCTGCTCACGTATTCCTTAACGATAGTCTGTGGTAGAAACTTGATTATGCTGAATCCATACATTTCGATGGATTTCATCAGCCTAATTAATGCCTCAGTGTGGTCCTGGGGTCTGAATGAACCCTTTACTATCGTTTGAGGTTAAAGGCAGTGGTGGAATGTAGAAGGATTTTTTTTTCCTTAGTTACTCCCGGGGTACTTAGGGATTCCATTAAGCAAGGTGGATAGCAGTTGTTAAACAGACTATGTGGAACAAGAAAACCCATCCAAATGGCAGAAAAGTGAGGCTAATTCTTCATTCTTATTTCACACCAACACTTTCGGATTCCATAGACAATCTCCAAATATTTAGTAAAGTGGAAATTACCATCTTCCGTTGTATCTTAAAACTTCACTGAGAAGGAAGAGTTGAAAATAGATTTACAACTGATGGCTAAATTCATTTTGTTTTATTCATCAAGGCTGTCCCTGCTCCTTCTCTTCCTGTTCCCATAACTTTCAGACTACTTGCCCCCTCAATTTCAACTTTCATCTTTCACAAGGAAGCACTCATGGCTGTTATTCAGCAGAAACTCAAGTCACCCCCAATGGGGTGACTACATTTTGTCTTTTCAGGTGTAAATTAACATCTGAATACATCTCAATCTTACTGACCCCTACCACCACCACCAATCCTGCCTCAGCAGAGTTGCGGCTAATCTGTACCTCCACAAATGGCAGGGTAGATAGAAGTCAAATTTCCCAAACTCCATCCCCCAGCAGGAAGACCAAAAGTGCTTGTATTGCCTATGAGATAAATCCTGATATTTGCACATGTCTAATGAAACACCTGTGGAAGAATACCTTTCAAGACATGTTTCCTTGGTGGTCAAGAAGAAATAAAAAGAGGAAGAAAAAAAAAGAGATGAAGGTATCTTGATTCTTTAAGAAATGTTCCAACTCTGACTTTGAGTCCCTAAGGACAAACTGTTCACCCAGCAGAACTTCCTTCATGCAAGAGATCCACTGACCCAGCCCTTAGTTGCAGAAGGGCAATACCATACGTCCATAGAAATCTGATGGAACTGGAAGGATTTTAGACCTATAACCAAATTACTACCTTGGAACTTTGTGCTTGTTATGCTAATGTAATGATTTCTGTAGTAAGGGTATATTGTAAGGTTGCAAATTACGTTTTTATAATGCTTTGTGTAATGACAGACGTTACATAGAAGAGACACATGTGCCAGGATTGGTGGCATAGTACTTTTTTTTTTTTTTTTTTTTTGAGATGGAGTTTTGCTCTTGTTGCCCAGGCTGGAGTGCAATGGTGCGGTCTCGGCTCACTGCAACCTCCGCCTCCCGAGTTCAAGCGATTCTCCTGCCTCATCCTCCCAAGTAGCTGGGATTACAGGCACCTGCCACCATACCTGGCTAATTTTTTTGTATTTTTAGTAGAGACGGGGTTTCACCATGTTGGCTAGGCTGGTCTTGGACTCCTGACCTCAGGTGATTCTCCAGCCTCGGCCTCCCAAAATGCTGGGATTACAGGCATGAGCCACCGCACCTGGCCAGTGGCACAGTACTGACAAACACTGGAGGACATTTAAATAGATAAATGTAGACCTAGATATGTTTCTAAAATTAAGCTGAGAATGAGCTCACGGAACTAGGTAACAAAGCAGATGCTGCTGGCCAGACCATTGCAAGGGTTAAGATGGTCTTGCAGCACCCACCTTTTCACTCAGATCTAGTGGAGTAGCAGCACAGCACATTGCTCAATCCTTTGGGATAGATTCCTAGGGAAGAAAAAAAGAGACTGTTTCATAAATAGTACTGCAAGCAAGCAGTTATCTCCAGCTCATGGTTTCTGTAGTGTTAAGGTTAGATTGCAGAGGGTCAGAGAAAGCAATATTTCCTGTTGGGGGTAGAGGAGAGAGAAAGTGAGTGCAAGTATGAAGTATGTAAAGAAATAAACCTTTTTTTTTTTTTTTTTTTGAGGCGGAGTCTCGCTCTGTTGCCTAGGCTGGAGTGCAGTGGCACAATCTTGGCTCACCACAACCTCCACCTCCCAAGTTCAAGGGATTCTCCTGCCTCAGGCTCCTGAGTAGCTGAGATGACAAGCTCCCACCACCATGCTCAGCTAATTTGTTTGTATTTTGTATTTTTATTTTTATTATTATTATTATTTTTTGAGACAGAGTCTCGTTCTGCCGGCCAGGCTAGAGTACAGTGGCATGATCTCGGCTCACTGCAACCTCCGTTTCCCGGGCTTACGCAATTCTCCTGCCTCAGCCTCCCGAGTAGCTGGGATTACAGGCATGTGCCACCACGCCCAGCTAATTTTTGTATTTTTAGTAGAGACGGGGTTTCACCATGTTGGCCAGGCTGGTCTCGAACTCCTGACCTCAGGTAATCCACCCGCCTCGGCCTCCCAAAGTGCTGGGATTACAGGCGTGAGCCACTGCACCTGGCCTAATTTTTTTTGTATTTTTAGTAGAAACGGGTTTTCACTATGTTGGCTAGGCTGGTCTCGAACTCCTGACCTCGTGATCTGCCCACCTCGGCCTCCCAAAGTGCTGGGATTACAGGTGTGAGCCACCACGCCTGGCCTGACCCTAAAATATTAGAGCCATATATGCTGGGGTTGTCAGTACATCCCTTACATTCAGTGCTTCATGTCTCTGTGCTATGTGATTAAGAATGCAGGCAAATCATCAAACTTGCAGTATTGACCTTATGTGATTTGTATCTTGGAAATCAAGGACAAGATAGCTTAATACAGCACATTTACAAAAATTAAATACAACTCTTCAGTGTTTAAGACTGGGCTGGGGTTTAATCATTTCCCTTAATTGTAAACAAGGCAAATTCACACACTGATCAAGCATCCAAGAAATGAACGTGTTTTCATCAGTCACCTCTCCTTGATAGATAATCAGAGGTCAGCCACTCCCAGCCCGGATATTATGTGCCTAGTTCTTACCTTCTCTGTTCCACCTCCACAATTGACAGCTGCCTCAGAAATAAATAACTTGGTTCCTGGATAGGTTTGGGGCTCTTTGGCGTGACATAATTTCCAAATGTCAACTTACAGCTATGGAGAAGCCTGCGGACTACGATAATGGATAAACTCTCCTGTGTTAACAGGAGAGTTTGGAGCTAGAATAAGGTTGCCAAAAAATAGCCTCAGTGGGTTGGGAGCTTCTAAGATCTTGAGAAATGAAGCCAATTTGAAATGTTGGCTTTTTATATTAGTCCAAGTTGTCCCATTTTCTTCTAGAGTTGAATAAAAGCAAAATACCTGGCCTGATGCAGTGCTTCCCTGATGACAGTTGAACTAATTAGAGGTGGTGTTTCTTGGTTCAGCCCAAAGATCCTACTGATGGTAGACGTAGGAGATGCAGCCTCCAACAGCTTTAGTTTTAGACAAGTTTTACACAGCCCAAGCGCGGTGGCTCACGCCTGTAATCCCAGCACTTTGGGAGGCCAAGGCGGGTGGATCACGAGGTCAGGAGTTCAAGGTCAGCCTGGCCAATGTGGTGAAACCCCGTCTCTACTAAAAAATAAAAAACTTAGCCGGGCGTGTTGGTGGGCGCCTGTAATCCCAGCTACTCAGGAGGCTGAGGCAGAAGAATCACTTGAAACCAGAAGGCGGAGGTTGCAGTGAGCCGAGATCGTGCCACTGCACTGTAGCCTGGGTGAAAAAGCAAAACTCCGCCTCAAAAAGAAAAACAAAAAAAAAAGTTTTACACATCCATGCTTTGAAGTTATAAACTGAATCTGTGTCACTTAGGTTGCTATCATCTGATTCCCCTCTAGTGCATTTCTTTGTATAGATGAGCCCATGCAGGCAAAGTGTAACTAACTGTAATATTTAATACATAAACTCTCTGACAGAGCAAATTGATAAATCAGAATATTTTTACATTTGGTGTGTACATGATTCATAGTATGACAAGGTCATAAGCATTTTTAGCAAGGTTCTTCTGAACTAAATTAAGATATTTACTACATAATCTAATCTACCAAGTGGGGTAGATTTTAGGGTAGGGCCACCCAGTGACACCTTAAAAAATGCCCTCGGTGAAATGACTCATTAGTTTAAGAGTAGCTGAGTAGTGTATTATAGATAAAAATGGAGAGGATACAGATATGGATACATCTTCCTCATGCTCTCTTGTGATATGGCAACATATGTGTGTGGCAGATTGTAGAGACAATGCTGAGAGTTCAGCAAGAAACAGTGGCATTGAGGCAGAGAAATGGCTTGCTGTCATTTTATGGGTTCACGTTATTTATTATCAGATGCCATTCAGTTTCTTCTGAGCTGAAGGATTTATCTACTGCAGAAACCCTGCTCATGTTGATGGGAATGATCTAAAGCTTCAAAGGACAGGTTTTAAGATTGTTGGGCATTAGTTTCAGATTTGGACTCAAATCCAAGCCTGAATTTCTTATTGGTTTGGGGAAGAAAACACTTAATTTGAAATTCTGATACGAACTGTATGGCAGCAAACTTAGTTGAGCTTAGAAACAGCTTTGAATCTCAGATACCAATACACTGGCTCTTGTATTACTTATTTATGGAAGAAAAAAAGGCAACACCTGGTCTCTAACCAGGAGAAAAGCCTATTTGAAGTATTTCAGTCATTCTCAGCAGGTCAGTCCTCAGCAGTTCTTAGAGACCACAATATTTAAAGCCGTCTGGGTAGTTCTGGTCTCATGTCATCCAAACAACACATTTTCAAACTCAGAAATGCCAGGTCGTGTTATTTCTGTGGCAGAGGGTTGCTTAGGATCTGTGACAGCTGAGATTTTCCTATCGATTATGTGACAATGTAGTTCATCTATAGAGTTCAGAGAAATTAGAAAAGCCTCCAGTTTAACAAGAAGACCCTTAATTCAATTGCTGTGTTGTATTTAAATGCAGAAATCAAAATTCAACTTACAGAAAATGGAATAGTGAATTAAATTTTGAACCCAAACTTCTGTAGCTAAATCAACCTCCTAGGAGGGCTGTGACTAATAATTTAATTTGAAGCATTACGATTGGGTAACTGGATTTGTAAACTAGGCAAGAAATCATATCTTATATAATAAATGCATATTTAGATCCATATATGTGTTTAAAATTGCTCCTAAATTTAAAGCACGGAGTGAGTCTAAAACAGGAAAGATAAATCAAAAAGCACTCTTGTGACTGTGTGTGTGCTGGAGAACAGACAGAGGCGGGTAATTATAGAAGCACTAACCTGCAAACACCTTGAAAGATGTCTTTCAGATGTGTCTTAAGTTCTTAAATGATAAAATATGCATGCATTTTTCAAATGCATTCACAGGTAAAAATATTATTTTTTATATCATCAATTCTTTATCTGTCACAGAATATGTACAGGTATACAGAAGTAACTAGATGTCCAATACATTCTAGGGGCCCAGGATTTCAATCAAAAGTAAACCTGGGTAATGTGACTGTAAATCAAGGGTGCTTGAGACCATAGACACACACACGCAGAAGGGTTAACTGGAGGAGAGGGAAGAGAGACGCTCCTCTGTGCAGTTTACGTGAGTGACAGGAAGAAGGGGAGCAAGAGCTAGAGCAGGCAAGCAGGCGCCCTGCAGTCCTCACACTGAACACATTCCCTTGTTGTGGAGGGACACAGTGGGAAAACTGCAGCCTAGGCTGTGGCCTGCACCTTGCCCACCCAGCCAGCAGCTCTTCTCGCATCTGCTTATTTCTTGCCTGAAAGTCATTCAGCATGTTGAAGGTGCGATTATCGACAATTTGTCAGTCTGAATTTGTTGCTGGCAATAACTTCTTTGTGAAGTTTCACTCTCAGGCACTTGAGTTTTGGGATTAGAAAACTGGTGATGGGAGAGCATTATCCTGTGGTCTGCTTTTCATTTAGACACAGCCCAGGCAGACAGAAGGAAACGGAGCATTAATCCAACTGCAGTCACCCCAAAGTACAGGCCATTTGGATCCAGAAGAGAAACTGGTTCCTTCTACAAGCTCTCCCGTTCTCCCTGGGGCCCTTCACAGCCTCCTTGTCTACGTTGTGGCTGTGCTTTCCCTGGTGAGCAATTATGTATAAGAAGTAGGGGATCCTCTGTATTCTGCCCAACCACCCCCTCATCCTTCACAAAAGTTAATGTCTTGGGCCTACAATTCACTTGGGCAGCCTGGAACTGAGACTCTGAAGTTGTAAGTCTTTTGTTTTGTTTTGTTTTGTTTACTTTTAGTTTTCTGTTTGTGGATGTGGGTCCTGAATCGGCGCCCTCAAAGTTGAAACCTTTACCTTTTTGTCCAACCTCTTCCCTTCCTCTCATCGGGGGTGGGGGAAGATGGTGGCCAAAAAGCAGGCCGTCCCTTGGATAGGGCAGCTGGGACAGCTGCTCCGGAGCAGCTGCTGTACCTCACCCTTATTTCCTGACAATCATTAAAATTCAATTTCAAAGTTTCTGTCTTTAACAATTTCCTAAGGGGCCTATGAAGGATGCCAAAAGGGTGGGCCTCCTTTCCAGTGGCAGTGCTTTGGCAGCAAGTAGACACTGGTCAGGTTGCCTGAGGCTGTGCCCTTCTCACAATAGTCCTGTGGAGAGTGTCTAGAATGGAACACTGCAGGAACAGCTCTGGGAAAGTTTTAAGGTGGGCCAAGAAGTGGACAAGACCAGCACCTCTTCCCTTAATCAGCATTGCTCCTGAAGTACAGCCTTCCTGGTCCTAGGGTGGAGCTCAAGTACAAACCTAGGGGAAATTTCTCATACTTTAATCTCATAATTCCTCATTTTCTTTTTTGCTCAGCTCACCAACTTCTCAAACCTTGATTCTAAAAAGAAAAATAGGCCAGGCGCAGTGGCTCACACCTGTAATCCCAGCACTTTGGGAGGCTGAGGTGGGTGGATCACTTGAGGTCAGGAGTTCAAGACCAGCCTGGCCAACATGGTGAAACCCCATCTCTACTAAAAATACAAAAATTAGCCGGGTGTGGTGGTGCATGCCTGTAGTCTGAGCTACTCAGGAGGTTGAGGCAGGAGACTCGCTTGAACTTGGGAGGCGGAGTTGCAGTGAGCGGAGATCGTGCCACTGCACTCCAGCCTGAGCTACAGAGTGAGACTCGGTCTAAACAAAAAGAAAAATAAAAAAAGATTTGTATATCTGAAATTTCCCTTCTATCAAGAAGCTTTCCTTAACACCTCTTTTCCCTTTGGTTGGGGAAGTCTTCTATTGGGCCAAGGCAAGACAACTAAGATATTTTGAGAAACGGAAAAATACATGTAAATGTACAGCCTAGGTAGCTGAGCCTCATCCACACATTTTGAGTGAAGGTTGCCCATCAAATGCTATTCAGACTCACCCTCAGAGGAGTTTCTCATTCCCTGCTCCCAAAATTTAACATGTGATTAGTACCAAAACATGCCACCCTTAACTAATACCCTCTTGAATCTATGGAAAGGAAACAGCATTTCTTTGAAATTCTAGATGGGAGTTAAGGACTACCTGACTACTCTTGCCTTCACCTCGTAATCACATATAACTATCTCAAACACCCCCCTCCTTCCCTAGAGAGCCACTGATTGGCCCCTCAGCATACCTAGTACTTTTCCTTCTCTTCTCAAATTCTCATCCCTTACCCTTTTCTCCTTTGGAGGCCCCTGGAAAATTTTCAGAATTAAATTATGATTTTTTTTGAAATGCCATGACAAGTTAGAAAGGGAAATTTGAGACAGCACTAGAAATACACTAACAGAGAGTACTATTACAAGGCCGGGTGCGGTGGCTCATGCCTGTAATCCCAGCACTTTGGGAGGCCGAGGCAGGTGGATCACCCGAGGACAAGAGTTTAAGACCAGCCTGGCCAACATGGAGAAACCTCGTCTCTACTACAAATACAAAAATTAGTTGGGCATGGTGGCACGCACCTGTAATCCTAGCTACTTGGGAGGCTGAGGGAGGAGAATCGCTTGAACCCAGGAAGCAGAGGCTGCAGTGAGCCAAGATCATGCCACTACACTCCAGCCTAGGCAACAGAGCTACACTCTGACTAAAAAAAAAAAAAAAAAAAAAGTACCATTACAACTGAATGCAGTAGACAAGTCACAGTTTGGGGTATCAGCAATTAATTGCACATTTTTATACAGTCTTTTTTTTTAACTTCATTTTTAAGATCCGTTGATCCTAACAGATGCAAGTTAAACCTGAAGTAAATTAGAGCAAAGTTAAAGAAAAACTAGATCAAGCCCTTCCTGGACTGGCAGCCCTCCTATCTCGCGTAGCTCATGGTTATTTGGATAGACTCTTTCATAATACTGGTAGCAGAGACAGACCAACACCAAAGCCCCACTTCTTGTTACTTAATCACAAACCTGGCAGAATGGCGACTCCATACCTACAAAAACTAGTCAGTGCTTATTAACCACAACAGATCAATAAAAACAATTATCTGGAGAAATAATATTAACAACACGCCCTTGTTACCATAAGACATAAGTTCCTGAGAAATTTGGAGCTTCCAATAGCACATTTCTGCTTATGTGGTACCTAAAGTTGTTTCCTGGAAGTGAAATTTGAATCATTTGCAATCATTTTATATCCTTGCCCCAGAATGACTCTGTCTCTAAGGCTTTGAATACGTTTACTACTATGGGCTTTTAATATTCTCTACCCTAGTGAAAAGGCTACATATTATAGTAGAGAAGATACTGGGTTAGAAATGCCAACCAGAATCTAGGTTCTAGTTCAGGCGTCTAACTAGTATTTTGTATGTAAGGCAGTTCATGCTTCTGGCCTTCAGATTTTGCATATGTAAAGTAAAAACATGAGAATAGATAATCTCTTAGATCCTTCATTCTGTACTTTTGTAACATTTGTGAATTTTGAACCTAAGAGAAGATCCAGATCCATACATTTCTGAATAAAATACCTATTTATTTCATAGTCCTTTTAGTAAAAATTTATGCAAAAGACTGAAAAAATGATTTTTGGTCTTCTCTGGGAGAGATTCTGAACTGGACTGGAGGAAACCAAGCTAAGAGACTTGGCATTGTTTTCTTTTGTACAAATGAACCATTGCCTTATACTTTAACTTTTTTTCCTTTTCAGATCCAACTTAGAAATAATGTTTCATTCAAGATAAGGCTCGTGGCTTAGGAGATTGTGACCTGGCTTGCATCATTCTAAGACTTCTATCGTCTGTTTTCAAAACCCAAGGAGGACCTCCTTTTCTGTGTGATAGTTCCTCATGCTTTGCCAGCCACTGGGTCTTTAAGGAAGCTTGCCAAGAGTTCCCGGCTGGGAAGGACAGTTCGAGTTCATCATAGACAATGAGCTGGCACCACAGTTTAAGTGACTCACCAACCTGGTTGCCCACTTCAAAATGTCAAGAACCACACTATCTAATTGAAAGAACTGTGTTTTAGCAAAGTGTAATTGGATCGCCTGGCAAGATCATCTCAAACTATGTCTCTGACCTTGCCTTTCAGTGGCTATTTTGAGCACAAGAGGAGAAAGGAAATGATTCCTGAATTATATCTTGTTTTTAAAAATTAAGATTAATTAATACTTGGTTTTATGTTCATTCCATTGTAGGAACTTAGTGATTATTACAAAACAGTCAAAATAGGTCATAGCAAAATGAACGTTTAAGATTAGGTTAAAACATTCCTCTGAAATTTTAGTATTCACTTTTGAAGTGTCAATTACTATATTTCTGTAATTTCTCATTTTTTTCTTGGCTTAGAGTCAAGATGAAAAATGATATTTGAATCAAAGACATTGTTTTGTTATATAGCCACTCCTTTCTAAAATGCAAATCCACCCTCCCCTCACCAATGCTTTATTCTTTGTGCGCGCACACACACACACACACACACACACACACACACACACACACAGACATACACAGAACCAGCACCCAAATGGTAGAGGAGGTCCTTCCAAGACTTCTAGGACCTGGATCATGTAAGCAGTAGATGAGAAAATGAAGTAAGAGATATAGAGTAATAACAATAAAAGTCAATGATTTCATTTTACAAAAAAGTCATTGTGTAGTACTCAGATATTTTTAAGAGCAAGTATTATTATGACTAAAGTATATTATACTTCTAAATTATTATGATTCTCATCTAATTTCAAGCCACACATAGGCGCCATTTGAAAGCATTTTGTGTTACAACCTATCAACAAAAATCAACTAATAGTTTTATAACGTGCATAGGTTTACCCCATGGGGAATTAAAATTTTTATCTGCAAGTATTTCTGTTGTTGTGAGACTTTAGGACAAGACAACATTTGGTGTTAACATAGAAGAATATTCTATGGCTTTTTTAGCTTTAAAGTTCATTACTCTAAAATAAAGTACACGTGGTATTTTTTTCTTCCTAGTGTTCTCTTATTATATGTAGAGTATTTTCGGTTGTTGTTTTTAACGTATACATTATTTTTATTAAGTCATTTCATAAAAGATAAGATATATACTAATAGACCCTTGGTTTTCTCCTAATTTAATTATTTCAAGTCAAGCAAAATTGGGCAATTTTCTTTCAGGAAAAAAAAAATATTGAGCATGATTTTGAGGTAAAACTGATTATTTACAGCATCTTTTCTCTAATAGGCTAACATTTATGATGGATCTTATTTCAAAGTTGATTATTCTCAAAGAAAAGTGGAGATATTAGAATTTCCGAGTAAATTGCATTGTTTTAAAAAGTACTTTAATGCATTGTTCACATTGTTGCCAGCTATTGACCAAAAAAGAGAAGAAGAAAAAAGAAATAAAAAAAGCAGTATCTGCTCCAAACGTCAAGTTTTGCAGTTTGAAAGACTTGTACATTATAATTGTTTTTTTCTTTTTTGGAAAGCAGTAGTAATTAATACCAAAGGCATAGACAATTTAGGGCCATAACCTCCCTTCCCCCCTCTCCACCTTTTTTTTTTTTTTTTTTTTTTTTTAACTTTAACCATGATAGGCATCTCTGCAAGGTAGGTTTTAACATATTTTTTTCCTAATTTTTTTCCCTCCATTCAGTAAGAAGGATAAGCTTTTAGAGTACCCAGTCACCGTGGTAACTGCCAAAAAAATTCTCCTGAAGTTTGAAGAGGTCAGCTAGCAGGGTCAACAACCCTGGCCTCTCTCTGAGCTCGGTCTAGCATGCCCCAGCCTGCGGTTGGAGTGTCAGGCCAGATCTGACCCTGGGAGGTGGACCATTCTGGCTCTGATATAAATTTTTCGAGTCAGTTCATGGCCTGGACTCTCCAGGTGGCCTCCAAAATCGATTTTGACCCCCTGACCCTGTCTCACGGAGGCATAGCATCCACCCTAAGTAAGGATTTAGCCAGGAATGACAGCTTTCCACTGAGTGTTATTGGGGACAGTATAAACAGTTTGGAAAGCAAGTAAGGAGGTGTGAGGGCTAGCAATCATTAAAAGCACATTAAAAAACAATTTTTAAAAATCTTTATTAGAGAAAGTTGTAAATGCATATCTGTTACAGAATTCCTGTGATTTGTAGAGTTTTCTAGTCAGTTTTGAATATAAATAGGTCACATATCTTTATCTTTTTGCATACTTTGTTACAAATATGCAAATAAGATAGGCATACTTGCTACAAAATAGGTACAGCAGGAATGTAATATGTTCAGAAAAGGCAAACTGGTTATTAAAACACATTAACAGGTAAGGAGTTTCTAATATTTTAAATACTAAAATTTTACATGTGTATTTTGAAGTTTTTAAAATGGAAAAATAAAGAACCTTTAAAAAACCCAACAGTGTGGAATAAAGATAAACTTGTTGCACTCAAGGTACATTTCTACTTTGTAAAGCAAGAAGCCAATACACTCAGTTGGATAAAAATGAGAGAAAAATTGTAAATATAGAGAGTTACAGCTTATAGAGCTGAAGAGGAATAAAACAAAAAAAAGTGTCTCTGAATAACTTTATGTATTTTCAACAGTTTAAGATATCAGAAACTTGGAAAATAAATATGATATATATATAAATCATCAGTGATTATTTCCTTTTCATTCCCCCCCGCCCCCAGGATGCCACCGTGAGTGTTTGATTTTCTCTAGGAAAGTAGAATTCTCTTTGAGAGTTCTAGCCTGTGAACTCAGTATGTAAATGTGGCCATCAAGAAGACAGAACTGCCAAGAGGAAAGATTATGAATGTTTTTCTTCCTTAAAACCATTCACAGTGTTTCTTCTTCCAGTGCTTTACTCAGACTTCTCCCCTTTTCCCAGCTCTGTTGAAAATGGCTTCAAAAGCAACACTGCAGTGGCTAAACCAATTGTACTGTGAAGTTGTTGAGATGCCATTTCATCTGAATCCTTCGTAAAAATTAGATTTTTAAGTAGGGGTGAATATCCTTTTGGGAGAGGGAATGGGAGGGTAGAAGAAGGGGGGAAAGGACAGAGCAGTTTATATATATATATATATATATATATATATATATATATATATATATGAGTATATATATATGAGTATATATATATATGAGTATATATATATGAGTATATATATATGAGTATATATATATGAGTATATATATATGAGTATATATATATATGAGTATATATATATGAGTATATATATATATGAGTATATATATATGAGTATATATATATATGAGTATATATATATATACTCTTTGTGTTTGAAGGCCTCTGTGTCTTGGCTTCTCACTATGTTAAATCCCTATTATAAAACTTATCTTCACAAAGCCTATTATAGTATTCTGAGAACAAATTGGACCATGAATAACTTAGTTGGAAGTGTAGATTATTTTCTACTCAGGGGAAGTTAGAGATGACAACAGCTTAACTGAAAGAATAGTGATTAATCTTAAATAGATGGATTTCAAAGTTTCACTCTTGATAAAGAGTACCTTTGATATTTCCCCTCTTCAGAATCACGTTTCCACTCTCTTTGTATTAAGAATTGTCCTAGTGATTACACTCTCCCCCTAATACAGCTCAAAGTGTAGATCATTTTTTTTCCAGGTTGTTAATTTGTCAGAGAGGTGACCAGAAAGACACTCTACTTCCTGTTGGTTAAATCGATGATTCCTAAGTGGTACTAGGCTTAGATACAAAAGTCAATGATAAGAATATCTTGCATAAATCATAGCTTCTTACTTAGATAAAATTCTTATTTAAAAATTTTTAATTTGCTTAATGCCCTATAGCTTACAAAGCACTTTTTAAATCATAATTTTGTTTAATCCTTAGAATAATGTTATAAGATAAACAAAACTCATCAATCCCATTTTACCTGTGATTGCACACTGTGATTGAGCTAATAAATGGAAGAATTGAGATACCAACTCAGATTTTGTAGCTTCTGTTTCAAGTGATTAACCTGTAGCAACAGGCTTTTGAATTATTTTTGTGTTCTATATCCCTGAAGATAAAGATTCTGTATTAAAGAGCCAAGATTTTATATCTCACAAATTAAAAACTTAAAAGACATGACTGAAAAGAATTCTGTTTACTTTAAAGTGAATTTTACCAGTTATTATTTTTCTTTCTATATATATGCTTAAATGGTCTTTCAGAACTGACGGTTTTAATTTCCAAAAGTTAAACATGGGAAGCTCTATATAAATTAAATAACTATCTGGAATTTAAACCACGTATATAAGAAACTTAGATTCTATATTTCAAAGTAAAATATAGCATAAGACTTTAGAAGCAGGTTCTACATATTAAGTAATTATTTGAGAATATGCCATTGATAAAGCTCTTGAGTGTTAGAGGCGAGATTTCCCTTCAATTTTAAAAAACTTTTAAAATCTTTTAACATCTTAGCAAGTCTGGATAAACAAAGTCAAAGTCATATAGAACTACTTTTGTTCTCTTAGGCTTTTACTTTTTGTGTTTAATAAAAAGGTTTGCAAAATACTCTAGGAAAAATAATAAAAGGATTATTAACTTGACATTAATGTAAACCATCTAAACATTACAGAAATCAAGAAATACAAATAGATGACATTATTTTATTCTTAGGTTTTTAATTATATTGCTTTAAACATGTAATGTGGGCAGTGTAGATGTTAATATGGAAATTCTTATTTTTTATTTCTTAAATTATATAAAATTAAATTAGTCATTTTATATATACTTAAATTAATGCTTTTGCCCTTGAAATATTCTAGCAGCCAGAAAAATCTAGTTAAGCTTGTTAGCATTAGACAAAATGAAAAAGTGTAGAGAAAAAGAAAAGCGACTGTTCTGGTATCAATAATGACATATGATAACCTTTTTTTGTACTGAAGTTTTTCTACAAAAACATGACATTAGACTGAGGATTTTTCATTCTGATGTGCAGGTTAATGTTCAAGTCTCCAAATACAAACTTCTAGTGTCTCCTCCACTTGTATGCAAATTAGGAAATGCAAAAATAAGGTCTCTTAAATTGACAGCTATGTTTGTTTAGATATTCTTCAAAATTTTATAATTTCTTATATTACCAATCTCACTCATTTTGGTCATGTGTGTCTTTAACAGCTGTTCAAAACAGGTTTTCTTCCCTTCCTCCTTCCTTCCTTCTGCCCTTCGTTCCCTTCCTTCTCTCTCTTCCCCTTCTCTTTTTCCTGCTTTCTTTCTTGTCCCTCTTCCCTATCCTTCCTTTTTTTCTTTCTCCTCTCTTTTCATCCCTTCTTCTTTCCTACGTTACTCATTAGTTTTTAGGTGTTTTTGTTTTAAAATGCAGGGCAGCTTGGGTTAAGGGGTTATCTAATGCAATATATTTTGCCAAACTGAGGTGCTGAACAATGAAACATTTCAGTTTAAACTTGCATCAAGTCAGAAAACCCTCAAGTATGGTATCAAGACTTTTCTGACAATGAAAATCCAATACTGAATGATCAACTTTTAAAATGTTACAGATTCTGGCAGTTTCTCTCTTGCTATCTTTGTAGTCTTTCTAAGTCATCTAAACTATTGGTTAGTTATGTTAGCTTCTTGTGTTGCAAAGAAAAAGAGCATTTTTAGAAATCTGACAAGAAATTTTGTCAAATTGCTACACATAATTTGTATATAAGTACATAAAAGCACAATACTAGCTAGCATTGAAAAATTTGAATAAAGATCAGAGATTTCTCACTTTTTTCCCACCCCTGTCCAATATACTGTGGTATTAAATATTTAATATATGTTCATTTTTTCTCTTCCTTTCCCCAACCCCCACAAAGCTGTTATCAATCTGGACAGATGAATAAATTTTGGCAAAATAAGATTTGTTTAGAATGGTAAGAATTCTTCCTAATAAAGTTTTTAAGCAAGTCAATAAGGCATAAAAATGTTCTGTATTCTTCTAAAAGTAAAAGTTTGTATCCATGTCTATTTAGAAAATCATAATGCAGGGTCAGGCGTGGTGGCTCACGCCTGTAATCCCAGCACTTTGAAAGGCCGAGGTGGGCAGATCACCTGAGGTCAGGAGTTCGAGACCAGCCTGACCAACATGGAGAAACTCCGTCTCTACTAAAAATACAAAAATTAGCCGGGCGTGGTGGCTCATGCCTGTAATCCCAGCTACTCGGGAGGCTGAGGCAGGAGAATCACTTGTACCCGGGAGGTGGAGGTTGTGGTGAGTCAAGATGGCACCATTGCACTCCAGCCTGGGCAACAAGAGCGAAACTCCATCTCAAAAAAAAAAAAAAAGAAAAGAAAAGAAAAAAAGAAAATCACAATGGATAGTAAAACATTTGGTCAACTACTTGGGTATTGGTTTTTATTATACCAGATTTTTCTCTGTCTTTTGATATTGTGACTATAGTATATCTGAGTGCTGACAAATACAATTTGTGGTTATAGGACTTAATTTACCAGCAAAACCTAGAGCTGTTCTGTTTCTGGTGAGTATTGTCAGGTGTCTGCCATTCATAGAATAAGCATAATTGACAGCCCTCTATAATAGGCATGATGCATTTCTCTAAGTTGTTCACAGATGAATAAAACCAACTGCCTGCCATCATGGAATGATGTGTTAGGTTCTGGGAGGAAGTGTGGATGGGAATTTTAAAATCAAAACAAAACAGAAAAAAAAAAGCTCAAGATTTGGTACCAGCTCTCCAAGAAAGAGAAATTGGCATGTGTACAAGTTTCTCTTCAGAATGAGCTATGGTAAAGGTGTGAACAAGCAGCCGTAAAAATACGGAGAGGTCTATAGAGAGTTGGAGAAAGTGGGGCTTGAAGAATGGGTAGGGCTGTGATAGACAGTTATGGGACCTTATTCCAGGTGGAAGGGAAAGGCAGAAATGTGAGATTATGCAGAATATTTCTTAGAAAATTATTTAATGAGGCTGGGCGTGGTGGCTCACACCTGTAATCCCAGCACTTTGGGAGGCCAAGGTGGATTACCTGAGGTCAGGAGTTCGAGACCAGCCTGGCCAATATGGTGAAACCCCATCTCTACTAAAAATACAAAAATTAGCTGGGTGTGGTGGCACACACCTGTAGTCCCAGCTACTCGGGAGGCTGAGGCATGAGAATGGTGTGAACCTGGGAGGCGGAGCTTGCAGTGAGTCAAGATGGCGCCACTGCACTCCAGCCTGGGCGACAGAGTGAGATTCTGTCTCAAAAACAAAAAAAGAGAATTATTTAATGGATTTAAAATAAAGTTTCTAGGGCAATATAAGATGGGTCTGAATATTATCTACTTTAATAGGTTATCCTATAGCTTTATTCACTAAGGAAATACTATCATCATAAGTGCCATGAAAACATTTTACTACTGATAAAAACATTTAAAGAGTTAAAATTCAGTGAAGAGAAGCAAGTTTTAGAAATCTAGTATTTTGTTCCTAGATCTGGCTGCCTCTGTGTGCCTCCATATCCTCTTCTGGATATATATTCTCTTATTTGTGAAATAACATTTGCAGTATGTTTAACATTTTAAACATATTAAAATGAAGACTCTTATGAAAAAGCAATCACTCTTTTTCAAAGATATTGCATGAGTCACTTCTTATGTGCCATATGTTGCCAGAGCCCCCTTAAAGAGTTACAAATAAGCACTGCATCTTAAACATGTACTTCCCTACTTCCCCCCTTACAGGCCAAGGATATGGAAATAAATCTTCAGTCTAAGTGAAGAAAAAAAAATTTTAACTCTGCCTTTCCTTCAGAAGCCCTACATTAATACTTATGCAAG
This sequence comes from Homo sapiens, assembly GCF_000001405.40. NCBI lineage: Eukaryota > Metazoa > Chordata > Mammalia > Primates > Hominidae > Homo > Homo sapiens. The sequence continues at coordinate 181,747,621 of NC_000003.12, forward strand.
TGAATGAAAAGTTTAGAAATACATTTAAATATGTTTAAAGCCCACAGAGATATCTTGCGATCAGGAAGTATCAGCCAATTATACAAAGAACCTCAGAATCTTTGATAAAAAGATAGTAAAAGGCAAAGAAGCAGAGAAGCAGGAAATAAAGACACACTAAATACATTCTAGCAACATCAGAGTCATCCTGTAATAATCAAAATAGTAAACTAATACAAAAGTTTCTGGTGATGTAAAAGCACAAGACCCCAGAACAAGGATGATTGTTACAAATGCCACTCTTCTTAATATGAAATCTTAAATCAAGTGGAAACTAAATCCTAGGCCTAAAGCTTGGAAATCCAGGCCTAAGTAATATTTTATAGGGAAAATCAGTTGAAATACATTGAACATCAAATTAGAATAAAATTTGAGGCAAATGATGGGGATGAACCCAAAGGTTTGGGAGAGTAAAATAAACACTTATTTTTATTTGATTTTATTTTTTTGAGATGAGGTCTCACTCTGCCACTCAGGCTGACGTGTAGTGGCATGATCACAGCTCACTGCAGCCTCATACTCCAGGGCTCAAAAGATCCTCCACATCAGCCTCCTGAGTAGCTGGGACTGCAGACGTGTGCCACCATGCAAAGCTTTTTTTTTTTTTTTTTTTTTTTTTTAATAGAGATGGAGTCTCACTCTGTCACCTAGGCTGGTCTTGAACTTTCAGGCTCAAGCAATCCTCCCACCTCAGCCTCCCAAAGTGCTGGGATTACAGGTATAAGCCACTGTGCCCATCTAGAAACACTTGTTTTTATCTGTGGCTGGTTAATCAAGTTGGGAAAAGCACTGGCTAGTTGTTTGGAATCGTATATTCAATTTCAATTTAACTTTGCTCTGCTATGTATCCTCAAACTATAGCTCTGCCCTAACAGAAGTCTTTTACTTATAGGCTTCTTTCAGGCGGTAAACAAAACTTTTGAGCACTCATATGGGGTGGGTTCTGTTGAAAGAAATAGGTGTTGCAATTAAAAGAAAAAGGTGTCAAAGGTGTCATACCTCTTGCCGTCAAAGATACAACAATATGCATCCAATAAGACTCTACCTGGCCGGGCGCGGCGGCTCACGCCTGTAATCCCAGCACTTTGGGAGGCTGAGGCGGGCAGATCACGAGGTCAGGAGATCGAGACCATCCTGGCTAACACAGTGAAACCCTGTCTCTACTAAAAAACACAAAAAATTAGCTGGGCGTGGTGGCGGGCACCCGTAGTTCCAGCTACTTCGGAGGCTGAGGCAGGAGAATGGCGTGAACCCAGGAGGCGGAGCTTGCAGTGAGCAGAGATCGCGCCACCGCACTCCAGCCTGGGCGACAGAGCAAGACTCCGTCTCAACAACAACAACAACAAAAGACTCTACGCAAAAGAAGTTATTGACATTGCCTTCGGTACCCACTTAAGGACCACTTGTTTCTAAAGCTTTTTCTTTATAATTACTACAGCTGTATATCAGATATCTGCAGTACCATAACTCTAAACTTAACTAAAGCACTTCGAACAATACAAAAGTGTATACGAACAGAAGTGAAAATGATATGTAGAATCAAAAGTGAAAGTGCCCTTCCCAGAAGTGTATATCCTTCCAGATTTCAGATAGAAAGATGAATATTATGAAAGGAAAGATAGAAAGATGATAGACAGATAGTAGTTAAGAGCACAGACTTTTAATCTAGACTGTCAAGGTTTGCGTCCCAGCTCTACCATTAATACTTCTACATGTATGACCTCAGTTTTCTCATCTATAAAAGTGAGAATGACAACAGCACACAGGACATATCCCTAATCCGAAACTCCAAAATCCTAAATACTCCAAAATTTGAAACTTTTTGAGCACCCACGTGACACCACAAGTGAAACGTTTCATACCTGATCTTGTGATGTGTCACAGTCAAAACTTTGTTTCATGCACAAAATTATTTAAAATATTGTAAAAAGTTACCTTCAGCCTACGTGTATAAGTAAATAAATTTCATGTTTCAGACATGGGCCCCATCCACAAGATATCTCATTATGTATATGCAAATATTTCAAAATCCGAAAAGGTCTTAAAGTCAGAACACTTCCGCTCTCAGGCATTTCAGGTAAGCTATCCTCAACCTATAGTATCTCATTAGGTTATTGTAAAGATTAGCTAAGTTTATATGTGAGCTACTTAGAGCAGTGCTTGTCACACAGTAAGCATTTTATAGGGGTTAATGACTTTTTTTTTTGAGACAGAGCTTCGGTCTTGTTGCCCACGCTGGAGTGCAATGGCGGGATCTCAGCTCACTGCAATGCCTCCCAGTTTCAAGCAATTCTCCTTTCTCAGCCTCCCGAGTAGCTGGGATTACAGGCATGCGCCACCAAGCCCAGCTAATTTTGTATTTTTGGTAGAGACGGGGTTTCTCCATGTTGGTCAGGCTGGTCTTGAACTCCTGGCCTCAGGTGATCCACCCACCTCAGCCTCCCAAAGTGCTGGTATTACAGGCGTGAGACACCACGCCCAGCCAACTACTCTTATTATTGTGAATATACATGTATACTCAGGGTTTTCTTTTAGGCAATGAGATTTTACTGTATGTATTTTATCATTTCACAATACGTCAGAGGGAATACATCAATAGATCGATTTTCGTTTTCGTAACTGCTATGTAACATCCCACAGTAGGGTTGAATGAGAATTTATTTAACCTTTCTCCTGTTGATGGTCATGTAGGTTGTTTCCAGGTGCTTCCACTTTAAAGCAATTGCTAATATCTTATTTTGTCTTGGAATATAAAATAAGGGATGCAGAAAGGGATATATTATATCCTATACATATCTTAAAAATGATCAAAATGAGGCTCACAGAGGTTTACTAAATTGCCTAAGGTCATATAGCCAGTAAGTAAGAGATTCTTATGTGCCATATGCTCCCAGACTCCCCTTAAAGAGTTACAAATAAGCACTGCATCTTAAACATGTATTTCCCCACTCCCCGCCTTACAGGCCAAGGATATGAAAATACATCTTCAGGCTAAGGGAAGAAAAAAAAAAATTTTAACTCCTAGAGATTTCAGAAGAGAACCAGTTTAACACAGTTCCATGCTGTCTCACCTCAAATTTTCCCATTTGATGTAGAATAGTTTCACAAATACTGTGGTCCTTATGTCACAACAAGACATTCTTCTGCTTTCTGAAATAAGCACCAGGCAACTACAAGTTAATGTGCTGCCAAAGCAGGCATGAGTGAAGAGATATAAAGGAACATAATAAAAGAAGGAATAAAGTAGTAAGCCTGGCAATGTCCTAAGTGCTAAAGATAATCATAAAATTAAGATACCATGCAACCACAGAAAAGAACGAGATCATGTCTTTTGCAGGAACATGGATGGAGCTGGAGGCCACTATCTTCAGCAAACTAACACAGGAACAGAAAACCAAACACTGCATGTTCTCACTTATAAGTGGGAGCTAAATGTTGAGAACTTACGAACACAAAGAAAGAAACAACAGACACTGGTGTCTACTTGATGGGGAGGGTGAGAGGAAGGAGAGAAGCAGAAAAGATACTGGGCTTACTTAATTCCTGGGTGATGAAATAATCCGTACAACAAACTCCCATGACATGAGTTTACCTATGTAACCTATGTAACAAACCTTCACATGGTCCCCCAAACCTAAAGTAAAAGTTTAAAAAAAAATTTAAAAATTAAATTAAGACACCAATTTTAAACGCTTAAATGGTTTGAAATCAGGATAAATAAAATGTTGTGCTCTAAGAACATATAGTCCATTTATAATATGATATGGTTTCAGCCAACTATACTCCTTTCTCTGGACAATGACTACTGTATAACTACTTCAAAATGCACAGGGCTCATTGTGAGAATACTCTTTTAATAATTTATATTTCTAATTCTAGCAGTATTTGGAATCCAAAAACAGAGGAAATCATTTTTCTTAAATCCCTTATTATTATTATTTTTTTATTGCTGGTCTTGCTACTCTACCATTATTGACTGGGAAAGTATAATGAAACGACTAGAAGGCTGAACTTCAGAAATTTGTTTTCTGCTAGATTATTCAATGACTTTAGGACTGAGGCAAATGACTTCTCCAAGTTAACCTTTCTTCTTGTATAAAACAGGATTGTGTGTTTGCTTTGTTGGGAAAAAAGGTGAATTTATTTTGTTGATGTTTATCTGAAAGTTTGAAAAAGCCTAGAAGATGCAAGTTGTTCTATTTTACTGCAATGAGAAAAATGCTAACGTTTAGAAATGTGAAGGACATATTATAACTTTAAAGCAGAGGACAGAAAAAAAAAAAAAAAAAAAAAAAAAGAACCACCATGGCTTTTTCTAGAGATATTCCTTAGATATCACTGCTTTTTTAATCAGTCTGTTGTTTACCTTCTGCTTCTGTTTCTGAATTATAATAATATGTCAGAAGCTTACAAAAATACTTATCAAAATCAGTTGCACACAATGCAACAATTTAACTCCTAATGTCAGCTACCTCTAACTATGAATGACATATAATAAATTATGTTTGAACTGGATTCTCAGCTGCAGATCCTTATTCTGCCACCCAGACAGCCCTATAAAGTTGCACTGTGGCCTTAATCCCACTTGGATATGTGCCCTACTGCCTCTACTTTCCATCATTCTGGTGCTTTAGTCTTCTTGAATAAGTGAACAATCTTTGTTTCTGTACCTTATTAGGCCAAAGACCATAACAGCTAGTGATGGCATCAGCAAGCCCTGCGGGCAGGATTCTCTGCAGACCCAGCCAACCTCCAACAAACCCCTTTTTATACTCCTGTTTCTAGGAAGAATTATGATGGCGGTGCCCTGCTGTTGATCAGTCAAATCTGTGGTAGGCCTAGAGATAAGTCCTGTAAGTGTGGTGTACTGTAAAACAGCGGCTCCCATTCATTAGTAGCTTGTGTGTAATAAACCACCAAAAAAGGGGGGGCGGGGTGGGGAGGCAGCTGCAGTGTGCAAGAACAAACAACGCATCTCATTCTTGGGAGCCAAAACTTTGTAATTTGCTACTGGGCAGCCTGCTCTCTCTAACATTCTTTCTGATAACATAGTAGTGTCCTATCTATATTCACAGTTTGACTGCTAACCCAAGAAATGCTATTTTGTAAGTATGTATATATAGTATAACAATGTTATTAAGGAAGAGGTGAAAAATACTATCAAACAACTGACCCTGACAACCAAAATTGCTGGGTTACAGGGGCACTTTCCTCTACCAACTAATCATCTTAAAAAATTATGTTAGTTATTGTTTAATAGTACTGGTCGTATGAGGATGATCCTTCAAAAGGTATCAGCTAAAATGCACACAGTGGGACTATTCCCTAGGAATGAATTATGTCTCTTTGGTAATATATTTTTCAGACATAAAAATAGTCATAGAATAGAAAGGTATTTGGGGGATGCTTGCCTTTTTAAAATTAAAAGATGTCTGTTAAAGTGGAAAATAAATTTTACTTTTTGGCTATTATCTAGGAAACACTACTTTGCAACAGTACTGCATATTGCTCATCTCCCTAAACCAAAATGTGGGAAGCAATTTAATTTTGAAAGGAAAACAATATACCTGTTGGGAAAGGGAGGGACAGGAAAAAAAAAAAGAAAGAAAAGAAAAAACACCTCTCAATAGGCCCTTTTAATTCAGGATGGTTTAACCTAATAAAAAGAAAACACACTTGAATTTGCCCACGACTGCTTAATGAGAAGCTGAAAAATGCTGCAGTTTCTGTAATAAACTCCTTCTTTTTACATCCAAAGCAGGTGCATGGCATTGTGATATCAACACTGTACTTGCTCCTCATCAGCCCCCCACTGCTCTCCCAATTGGAGTGGAATACTGTACATGCTAGGCATTTTTCCTTTACCACTCCGAACTCAGGGTCAGGAAAGTGGCTATGGCAGAGTGGAAGGCATGCCCGTTGTTTTGGAATTCTTGCAGGTGTTTCAAAAGCAGAGGATTCTTTTCAGAGCCACATCTGCATCTGTCATATGCCATTTGTGCTAAAGCCTGTGGTGTTTTTGTTTGTTGGTTTGACAGATTGACATGTAATGGCCAGGACTGTTGGGTGGCCGCTCCCAACAAAGTCATTCTCATAGCTGGAGTTCTCTAGAAATCAACTGGCCTGAATTACCCATGATTTTTCTCTGCCCTTCAAAAAGGAAAATGTGTTGTTCTAATGTTCTGATTTTTGTTTGCTTTCATGATTTTGGTGGGATTACATTGTTTTAAGCTCTAAGTTAAGATGAAATAAGAACTTTGATAGTATAACATATAAAAAAAGTTTTCAAAACCAGTCTTTACAATTTACTTAGAAATAAAGATATTTGTAGCATTTAAATAAATATTGGGGTATCAGAAAAATGTAAAAATGAAGAGAATACATCTATGTCAGTGATGAATAAAGGAACTTAATAGAATAGAGGCAAAAATTTCAACTTTTAAACTTTTGCCATTTTTAAAGACTAAAATAAAATTCTCATTTTATTCTGAAGTCTTTTTATTTCTTATCAGTTAATAGCATTTATGAATTTATATGTAAGCATGTCAATTATGAACCATGTTACTACAAAGCCAAGTAAATATGTGTGAAAGCAAACTTTAGTATGCTCTCTTTTGTTGATAAAGTTAAGTCAGAAATACTTATTAACATCCTCTGCACATAAGTAGCCACTCATGGATTAAAAGCTCAAAGCTCATGGTACAAAGTATTAACTTTATGTTGATGAAATTTTCTGAATTTTATTATACTGTAATTTCTACATTCAATATTGAAGTGATAAGGCCTTCACTCTGTCACCCTATCTGGAAAACACAAAATAACAAAGGAATATCAAGTGTTAAACAAATGCAAATGTCATACACATGTTTGTAATATCATTTTACATTTATTCCATTGACCTAAACATTTTCTGAGCAGACATATTCCCTTACCTACATAAAACCTCTTTGCTAGAAAGAACCTTTCTTTTTGATAAAGTATCTCAATTTGGGTGTCTTATTTGTCAGTATACAATCAGCTCCACAGGTCTCTCTTTTTAATAATGTTTTCTGTGGAGCTCTGCACTGGAGAAAGGAAAGGCAAAACAAAACAAAACTCATTTCAAGACCTGGTAGTAGTCAGATTCAGAACCGGCCAAATGAACCTACAGACAGCACGTGGCTGGAGTTTGGGTGAGAGATGATAAAACAACCAAAAGTCACTTTTTAAACTGTCACATGGAAAATGGCAGTTGTTTTTATCTCTTATATTGACAAATTATGTTCTGGATATGTAAAAAGTTTTAATGATATTAATTTCTTTTTTTTTTTTTTCACTTTCTGAAATAAGGATTCCTTTCCTGTTACCTCACTCAATAGGGACTTGGGCTAAAGAAGACAGGAATTAAATACACTCAGGTCTTTACTATTTATACTTAAGTTGCCAGATTTAACAAATAAAAAGCAAGATGTCCGGTTATGGAATTTCAGGTAAAGAGCAAACAATTTTTTTCATATAATAGTGCATGGGCCATATACTAAAAAGTACTTGTTTTTCATCTGAAATTCAAATTTAATTGAATGTCCTGTTCCTTTTCCGGCAAACCTATTTGTAGCAGCGTTTTAATAATAACACACTCATGATCAGGAGCCTTAAGGTTTGAAGGGCTTAAAATTTTAAATTAGGCTTTATTTTTCTGTGGTTCATATTTTAAGAATTTCTGTTGCCTATTTAGAGTAACGGGATTAGTGATGACAACTATTATGATTATATGCCCAAACACACCCAGGTGGTTTCCATTTATTATTTTCTCTAATCCTCACAGCTACCTGAGGAGGCAGGTGATGGGATCCCATTTTACAGAGAAGAAAACTGAGACCCAGAAACATTAAGCAATTTTAAAGCAATTTTTATTGCATTACATAACCAACAAGTGGAAGAACTAGAATTGGAAACCACCTCTGTCAGATTCCAGAGTTGAGGCTCTTTCCTCTTAGCTGTATGCATAGCCTGTTAAACATGAAAGTTCCTTAAAATCACAAATGTTTGTAATCAACTGATTAGAGTTCATATTAAACAACATAATAGCACTAGTCATCTTTTTATGTGCACCTGTCCTGTCTTTCTTGCTAGTCTTGAGGGTAGTGTCAGTGTCTCATATTTCTTAATACCTCCCTTTAGGCAAGCAATCACATTATTTTACAATGTCACTTTAAAACAATGCCACATTTTTTAAGATAATCAGAAGTTTGTCTTTTGACTGAAACAAGTATGTTTTCATTATCATTTAAAAATTAAAGCCTATTGAAAGACAGCATCTGACTCTATTTGCCCACTGTTTATATAGTCTGTGTTGTTGCACTTCCAAAGTTTTGCTTGCTTTATAAACCACTCAGAAACCTCAAACATCAGTGTTTCCCTTGCCGAAATACCAAAATAGAAACAATTACTGCTCAATGCCTTACCCTTCCTTGCGTTAGATAGGTCACAGCCACAGAGTATTGAATTGTAGGCTCTTGTCTCCCTGGAAATACAGTACTTCAACCCTAGTTTACCTTTGCCTGCGGAGCCCTGTATGATGTAAATGTTATTATGCAATGATGGCCCTCCCCCAACTCCTTTCCATAGTTCTTTGATATTACTTAGAAGGTGATTACATAGCTTCATTTATTTCTTTGAATGCATAGGTTTCATGGTCATTAAAATAATCACAGACTCATCAGTTCTCCCCATGCTTAAATAAGATCAATACGAACCAGAACAAGAGGCTTCCTTACTTCTCTATTCACCAAGATTTCTCTCTTCCTTCTCTCTTTCACTCTCCCTCTCCCCCTGCTTCTCTAATCCCTTCCCTCATTTCCACCCTCAAACCCCACGTAAAGAAGAATACAATAATTTTTTAAATACCGTAGTTCTTTCTGTAGTGAATCATAACATTTATTCAGCTGTTATCCAAGACACAGTGAAGTGTTGCCTTATATATACTGTCAGAGGCAGCTGTAGCAATTTTGGAGTTTGCTAGAGGAAAAAAACCTGCTGGTCCTGCCTTACAAGCCAGTTCAGCAATGAAATGGTTAATAGGATGAGTAAAGGCTATTTTTAAGTCTGGCTCCCCTCTCTGATACACTCTTGAAAATTCACCCTGTACTGCAGAAATCCTAAATTGCAGTGCCCTGCACCCCACTGAAACTCTTCAGTCTGCTGTAAGTAAGCCTCAGCATGGGCAAGATTGGGGGTGAACAGCTGGAGGAGGGGCTCAAGCCCTGGGCCTTTGTAATGGAGGGGCGAAACACTGAGATCCTGCAGAGAAGGAACACAGAAACCCTCAAGGCACAGAGAAATAGACCCAGACAAAAGCCCCGTTACATGGTTGCAAATCACCCCACTGCTGTTATTTTATTTACTGTGGTCTGCAGGAGGATTGTTTTCTCTTTGCAAAATTTTTAAGCTTCATGGGCTTTTCTCCTCCACAACAGCGGTCACTTATACCACAGTGCCACATAGAGACAGTCTTCACCTTCAGCTTTCTTAAGGAAAGGGGGAAAAATTCTTGCCTAGTCAGGTTGCAATAGACATAGAATGAAATAGATGAATTTCCAGTCTTACAGTTATTTCCCAGGGATACAAGATTGAAATATGGCTTCTATTAGTGGTTTTGTTTTACATTTTTGTCTTGGTTTTGTTTTAGTTTTATATGATTATTTTTCTTAAAGATGACACCTACATTCATTCCTTTGAACTTAAATTTATTTAGGTGTGGGAAGGAAAGAAAAGGCAACGTAACTTGTGTTTGAACCAACTATACACACACACACACATATGCATAAACATTTTTCCCCAGTAAAATAATTCTTTTCAAAATTGATAGAAATATCATCTTATTACTGTGACAAATCATATGCTATGACTTTGAGATTTTCCTTTGGGAAGTTAGGATAGAAGGATGGCTAACAGAAATATTTATTTTAAAATCTGAAGGGACAGAAATATCTGTAAGTGTAAGTTCTTTTTTGTATAAGTTTCTTAGGGTATTTGTAAAAATACGTTCCTGCCTCACTGGGGAAAGAGGAAAAGATAGAGAGAGAGAGAAAGAGACCTGGAGGAAGAAAAAGCAACTTACTTCTCTATAGAAATATGTGGCTTACTTTGGTAAACTTTTCTCTACAGCTGAGCCTGTAAGCTATGACTTAGGGTAGCTGAGGAGGAATAAGAATCACTTCCCAGTGACCAGAGGAGCAAGGGCTCCTCTACTTAGAAGGCGTTTATTGTCACGACTAGGAAGGTGAAAGGGAACTTGTGATAAATGTGCTCAATTTAAGGAAAATAAAAAAGTGAAATTTTCCTATGACAAATCCACAGAGGTATTTACTAGGTGTTTGAGCAGGTAATTAGCACCCAAACCAGGTTTCAGGAAATAGTTCTGGTCACCTCAAATGAAGAATATATAATGAGCTGAAGAGCTTGATTTTCAATGGATGATTTACTCAGGACAATAGCCCAAACAGAACTGGGTAAAGGGTTTACAAATGGTAACTTGAGAAGCAGTGGGCTTCCTTCCCAGAAGCTTAATACTGTCTCCTCCTCTTCAAACTCTCCCCTGTCTTCTTCCAGCACCTCCAAAAAATACACACATACTATAAAACTTTTCTCGAAAAAATGAACATAGTCCTTAAATAAATTCTATCAAAGAAACATACAGAAGATCAAAAAAAAAAAAAAAAATACAGAATAAATGTGCCTGTTGGCATCTAGACCTAACCTGGGTTAGTTCAGGCTGAAACTTTTGTGATCGCATTTTAGCTTGCTTTATGAGGCTCAGTTATGGAGCCTTTTCTTACTGGAGTTGCTTATACTAGATGATAAGCAATGATTAAAACATTGCCCATTCTTTTCCAAGTCTATTCCAGAAGACTGACAACACTAAGGACCAAAGATGGCCACGTAAAAAATAGTTCAACATTTTTGAACTCACAATGTTGCATGTTTCTGTTGATTTAAGAAAGCCTTCCTACCCAGAGCCACTATGATTTGCTGTGTTGTAAGCACTAATATTTCTAGTTAAAAAAAAAAAAATCACCTGCCATATTAACTCTGGTAACAAAATACATGATAGTCGTTAACTTTCACCAGCTGAATCTCTTGATATATATTGAAAGATGATTTTTATTTCCTCATAATCCAAAATGTTTGGTCATTTATAATTAAGCCCCCTGACCCCCATCCCATTGCATTCAGTATACACTTAAGCTAAAGGTAACTGGCTGGGCGTGGTGGCTCACGCCTGTAATCCCAGCACTTTGGGAGGCCGAGGCAGGCAGATCACCTGAGGTAGGGAGTTCGAGACCAGCCTGACTAATATGAAGAAACCCTGTCTCTACTAAAAATACAAAAGTAGCTGGCCGTAGTGGTGCATGCTGTAACCCCAGCTACTCAGGAGACTGAGGCAGGAGAATTGCTTGAACCTGGGAGGTGGAGGTTGCGGTAAGCCGAGATGGCGCCATTGCACTCCAGCCTGGGCAACAAGAGCAAAACTCAAGTCTCAAAAAAAAAAAAAAAAAAAAAAAGGTAACTTAGACATCATTTTGGAGAGCAGGAAATAGATTCAGAGATTTCAAATTACTACCCAAGTTCACCCAGTGTCAGAGTTAAACAAAAGCAAGATTTTCTAATTCCTAATTTTGACTATTTTGTTTTCCAGGGCATTAAACCATCTTCTTAACTGGTTAATAATTTGAGAGCAGCCTATGAATACCAGTTTCTACCGAGGCATGCTTTCTGTCATTAAGTGTTCCAGCAAACTGTTAATTAAGATTGTTTTGAGCTGTTTACCAATTTAGGTGATGTCAGATACTTCCCTTGGATTCTGTTAGCCTCTTGGGATGGGAGAAAATATTGTTGACTCTGTTCTGTGGTTTGACCATCTGTTCTAAATCACAATTGTGACCGTCATTTGGAAATCTATAAGCTGACACTGTTACCAGAATTGTACATTAAAAATGCATTAAGCTCTTTATGGGTCATGAGCCCTTTCATAAGCTCTCCTTAATTTTATAGGAAGTTCACAGAGAGCACTACATTTTGTAGTTGGAAGGTATAGGTTAAAAGAATGAAGCAGTTCCACTCTTGTTCTCATCCCCAGGCATTATAAAAGCTATCTTGTTAAAGAGGTCTGAGTTGGAAATAAAGCACTGGAAGGTGCAATGTGATGGCCAAGCACAAAACACTCAGAAAGAGTTGCAAGTAGGAATGATACCATTTGTGTTGCCAGTTATGCTTACAAAGTTCCCCTGTAAGGCACACTGGGTGCCCATCCAAGAAATGATTCAATAATTCATGAAACTGTGAAAGACTTTCAAGAGATAATATCCCTAATATCATTTTTCTTCTGGGCTTGTTATGCTCCTGAGGGTTAAAAACTTTTCTGAAATAGGCCAGGTACGGTAGCTCACGCCCGTAATTCCAGCACTTTGGGAGGCCGAGGCGGGCGGATCACAAGGTCAGGAGTTTGAGACCAGCCTGGCTAACATGGTGAAACCCTGTCTCTACTAAAAATACAAAAATGAGCCGGACGTGGTGGTGAGCGCCTGTAGTCCCAGCTACTCGGCAGGCTGAGACAGGAGAATCACTTGAACCCGGGAGGTGGAGGTTACAGTGAGCCGAGATTGCACCACTGCACTCCAGCCTGGGTGACAAAGCGAGAATCCGTCTCAAAAAAAAAAAAAAAAAAAGCTTTTCTGAAATAAGGAGCTGAATACACAGAAAACATATGTAAAGTTCTGGGCACATAGTAAGTGCTCTGTAAATGTTTGCCATTTTTACTTATTTGATCATGAATCTTTTGTTAAGCACCATTCTAGGCACTGGACACAGGCTAAAGATGAGGGTCATGGGTCCTGCTCCCAAGGAATTTAAAGTCACCTGAAGCAAACAGATCAGCAAATTGGGCATAATAGAGAGATAGTTACTTGTCAAAATATGCAGAAGATGTTGTGGGAACAATTAGGAGGGGCAAACAGATTTCCTGGGACACACCCTAGATTTTCTACATCCCAAAGGTTGGGTGATAGGGCCCAGGAATCTGTTTTTTTGTTGTTGTTTTGTTTTGTTTTTTTTTCCGAGACAGGCAGGGTCTGGCTCTGTCACCCAGGCTAGAGTGCAGTGATGGGATCTTGGCTCACAGCAACTTCTGCCTCCCAGGCTCAAGCCATCCTCCTACCTCACCCTCTCAAGTAGCTGGGACTACAAGGCACATACCACCACACTCAGCTTATTTTTGTTTTTTGTAGGGTTTTGCTATGTTGCCCAGGCTGGTCTCAAACTTCTGAGCTCAAGCAATTCACCCATCTTGGCCTCCCAAAGTGCTGGGAATACAGGTGTGAGCCACTGCACCCAGCCAGGAATCTGTATTTTTTTTTCTTTTTCATTTTTTCTATAGAGATGGGATCTTACTATGTTGACCAGGTTGGTCTAGGACTCCTAGCCTCAAATGAGCCTTCCTCTTCAACCTCCCAAAGTGTGAAGATTACAGGCATGAGCCACCATGCCAGCCTTTCTTTTTTATTTTAAAATTTTGTTTGTTTGTTTATTTATTTATTTATTTTTGTACAGATGGGATCTTGCTATGTTGCCCAGGGTGGTCTTAAACTCCTGGCCCCAAGCAATCCTCCTGCCTCAGCCTCCCAAAGTGCTGGGATTAGAGTCCTGAGCCACCTCACCCAGGAACCTGTATTTTTAAAAAGCTCCTCAGGCAATTCCAAAGTAGCCGTGGGGTGTTTGCCTAATCTGAATTACATGGGGAAAGTTCTGGGAAAGCCTTTCTAGAGGAGTTGATGTTAGAGTTGGAATCTGGAAGAAGGAAGTTTATCCTAAGTTGAGGGAAAGTTGCTCAAAGAAAGGTATAATAGAGCCTCTTCATTCTGGAGAGCTGCCAAGACATGGGTTTGCCCAGAATGAAGGTTTTCCGGAAAAGGGACATACAGGTGGGGTGACCATATACATTATTTCTCAAACCAGGACACTTTTGAGAGTAAAAGGGAAGGCTATTCATAATTATGTGGAGGCCGGGCATGGTGGCTTATGTCTGTAATCCCAGCTCTGTGGAAGACCGAGGTGGGCAGATTACCTGTGGTCAGGAGTTCGAGACCAGCCTGGCCAATGTGGTGAAACCCTGTCTCTACTAAAAATACAAAAAAAAAAAAAAAAAAAAAAAAACCCAAAAAAACCATTAGTTGGGTGTGGTGGTGCATGCCTGTGACCCCAGATATTCAGGAGGCTGAGGCAGGAGAATCGCTTGAACCCAGGAGGTGGAGGTTGCCGTGAGTCAAGATCGCACCACTGCACTCCAGCCTGGGCAACAGAGCAAGACTGTCTCAGAAAAAAAAAAAAATATGTGGAGAAACAGGCACTCTCTGTAGGAGATGATGATAGGAGCCTGCAAGGGACTTTTAGGGTGGAGCTCTCTGAGAATTGCCCAAGGCAATGGCAGCCACTGAAGAATGGGACAGACCCATGACAAAATCAGATCTGTGTTTTAAAGTTCTCCCTGCTGTCCTGACGTGAACATTCGTCTTTGTAAGTGAAATGTGACAATTTTAGAGAATAGTTCATATTTCTGCATTTTGTTTGAATATGTCATTTAGTTTCACGCTTTATAAGCATCCTAATGCAATGCCGAAAGTACACTTAGCAATTAAAATAAGACGTAAAGGCTGGGCGCGGTGGCTCACGCCTGTAATCCCAGCACTTTGGGAGGCTGAGGCGGGTGGATCACCTGAGGTTGGGAGTTCGCAACCAGCCTGACCAACATGGAGAAACCCCGTCTCTACTAAAAATACAAAATTAGCCAGGCATGATGGTGCATGCCTGTAATCCCAGTTACTCGGGAGGGTGAGGCAGAGAATCGCTTGAACTTAGGAGGCGGAGGTTGCAGTGAGCTGAGATCGCGCCATTGAACTCCAGCCTGGGCAACAACAACGAAACTCCGTCTAAAAAAAAAATACTTAAAGACAGCAGTCTGAGGAAACCACAGTGCTAATAACTGATCTTAGATAGCATCATTCATTTACATAACAATATCCACATTCATTCATTCATTATTTATTTATTTATTAAATACCTAATATTTGGTATTCACTCCTCTAGATATTGGGGAAACAGTGAACACAGCAGATGAGACCCTTGTCTCTCTTTTTTTTCTTCCATTTTTGTTCTTTTAAAAAATTATTGAGACAGTCTTGCTATGTAGCCCAGGCTGGCCTTGAACCCCTGAACTCAAGTGATCTGCCTGTCTTGGCCTCCCAAAGTGTTGGGATTACAGGCGGAGCTACTGCACCTGGCCAGATCCCTGTCTTTATGGAGCTTATGTTCTAGCAGAAGAGATAGACAATCATATGTAATATACATTCAGGTATTGATAAGTGTTAACTTACAGAGTGTAATTGGATTGTTTCTAACTCAAAGGATAAATGCTTGAAGGGATGGATACCCCATTCTCCATGATGTACTTATTTCACATTGCATGCCTGTATTGAAACATTTCATGTACCCCATAGATGTATACACCTACTATGTACCCACAAAATTTTTTTAAATATTAAAAAAGGAAAAAAAATCAAGCCAGACATGGTGGCTCATGCCTGTAATCTGAGTGTTTTGGGAGGCTTTGGCAAGAGGATTGCTTGAGCCCAGGAGTTTGAGACCAGCCTGGACAACACAGGAAGATCTTGTCTCTACAAAAAAAAAAAAAAAAAAAAAAAAAAAATTAGCCGGGTGTTGTGGCAGACGCCTGTAGTTCCAACCACTTGGGAGTCTGAGGAGGGAGAATCACTTGAATCCTGGAGGTAGGCTGCAGTGAGCTGTGATTGCACCACTGCACTCCAGCCTGGGCAACAGAGCAAGACCTCATCTCAAAAAAAAAAAAACAAAAAAACAAAAACAAAAACAAAAACAAAAAAAACAGAAGGAAAAATGTCTAATCAAGATAAAAGGTTGAGGATTTGAGGAGTAGGAGGTGACTAGTAGTTAAAGAAATGGTATTTTAATTAATTCAGATAGAGATAGCCTTCAGAGACCTGAAAAAAGTGAGAAAGTGAGCCAAGTAACCATCTGAAGGTCAAGTGTTCCAAGCAAAGTAAACAGGAAGTGCAAAGGCTCTGTGGTAGGAACAAGCCTGGTGAGTTGGAGAAACAGAAAAAAAAATGGAATTCCTTTACTGACCGGGCTGCTCTTAACTCCACATGATCTGGCCACTGCTCATCTACCCTACTTCCTATCTGAATCCTACACTTTGGGAGGGAGCTATGGTCTGCAAGTAGGGTATCCTTGTGGGGGATGAGGGAATCCTAGTACCTCAGCTTTTCTTCACCTTCGTCTCCTAACTCTGTGACTCTAACAGCAATTTTTTCAAGAAGAAGGAACTCAACACTTTGAGCATCTACAATCTACTGGCAGAGTGCTTTACAAATATTTATTTAATTCTTATACCAGTCCTATGAGATTGGCCATATCATTACCATTTTGCAGGTAAGGAAACAGACTCAAAGGGGTTAAATAATTTTTCCATGATTATATTCTATTAAAAAGTTATTTCAGTTTATTTATTTATTTATTTATTTATTTATTTATTTTTGAGATGGAGTTTTGCTATTGTCGCCCAGGCCTGAGTGCAATGGCGTGATCTCGGCTCACTGCAACCTCCACCTCCCGGGTTCAAGGGATTCTCCTGCCTCAGCCTCCCCTCCTGAGTAGCTGGGATTACAGGCATGCGCCACCATGCCTGGCTAACTTTTGTATTTTTAGTAGAGACGGGGTTTCTCCATGTTGGTCAGGCTGGTGTTGAACTCCCGACCTCAGGTGATCCACCCGCCTCGGCCTCCTAAAGTGCTGGGATTGCAGGCGTGAGCCACCAAGCCTGGCTGTTTTTTTTATTTTTTTGAGATGGTCTTATTCTGTCGCCCAGGCTGGAGTGCAGTGGCATGAACATGGCTGGGACTACAGGCATGTGCCACCATGCCCGGGTAATTTTAATTTCTTTTTTTGTAGAGATGGGGTCTCACTATGTTGCCCAGGCTGCCCTCAAACTCCTGGGCTCAGGTGATCCTCCCACCTCGACCTCCCAAAGTGCTGGGATTACAGGTGTGAGTCACCATGCCCAGTCTCATTTCACGTCTTTTCATCACAAAATGTCTTTCAATGCCTTGGAGCCATAAGTCACATTAAATAGGGTATGCAAATAGTACATTCTGCCTAAAAGTCAGCTCCTGTGACAGCAGCTTCAGGGCACAATTTGTAAAATAGCACATTTTTTTTCCATGGAGATATCTCAAAGACTAGGATATAAACCTTATATATAGTATAGTACCAAAACAAAAGCCTATGGTGAGTAAAAAAGGCAGTATTCTAATTTTGATGCTGCAATTAACTAGCCTCATGCTCTTAGCATGCCCCATAATCTCTGAGGCAAGTTTCCCTATCCACAAAATGGGTGTCATCATTCAGGCCTAAAAATGTACAAGTGAAAGTGCTTTATAAGTAAAATTATATACACATAAAGGAAATGATTAAGTTCCCAGAACTTCTTGCAAATATATTTGGCCAGTAACAAAATGCCCTGGTGAATGATGGGCTCCATTTTTGAGGTTCAAAATATTACAACACACACAACTATAGGAGTGATAAGTAACTGTAAACTTCTCTCTGTTAGCTAAACGGGATCATTTTATCCCTGAGAACTTTTCATCCTTGAAGTTTAAAGACAATCCTGAGAGAAGTTAGCCTAAAGAGCTGTTAAGACTACTGCCAAGTGAGATGAACTGTGGGGGATCTTCTTTTCAGTCACCAGATAAAAGACAATTATTTCTGGATATTAAAGGGACAGAGAGAAGGAAAGGAAGAAAGATGGAGGGAAGGTAAGAGAAAATTTTCCACTTATATATGGCCATTTGGTCGTCTGCGGAGTGACTTAATTTTAATCAGCTAGTTTGGGCCAGCTGTGACCTAGCTATGCTATAGACAGGGGCTAGGCACTGCATAGAACTCAACTGGGCTCCACGTGGCAATGAGAGTCCTTGGCAGGAAATTGTTAGCGCAGTGGAATTCTGCTTAACACCCTAAAAATGCTAAGGAGCTGTCTTTTTAGGCCTCTCCAGCAAATAAGTCTTTCCCCTCTGTAGGCTTTTGGGCTCCTGGGTTGAACTTTCACGTGTGATCATCATTGTTCCTGCAGTCCAGGGAGGGAGACTGAACCGAGAGCAGGAAGAGTCCACTTAGGAAGACTGTTATTCCAGGAAGGCTATAACATGTAGAACTGGTGCGGAAAAAAAAATCAGTTAACCTAGAGGGTGGCTGTAGCCTTTCAAAACAGGGTCAGTATGGTGTAACCTTCTTTCCTAACTTTTCAATTCACAGTTTTAAACTCTTGTATGACTTCCTTCCCAAAAAAGGGTAAGTGTTATGGAAAGAAAGGAAAGGGAATTCAAAGTCTTCAAAAACATCCCCATCAATAGTAATCTTTTAGAACTGAAAAAGGAAGGTTCTACCTGGAAGAGTTTAAATGGAAAGGAAAAAAAAATCTCACTACTATATAGTACTACTATTCACAAAATTGAGTGAGAAATTAATTATTGCAGAAAGTTTTTATCTTAAAAACTTCCCCTTTACGTTTAGAAGATCTCAAACATCTCTTGTATTTTCCAATGAGGTTTTAGGATCTCTCCCCATGGGACCTCACAGGATGCATGGGGCAAGCTGGTGACCGGGAAGAGAGTATGGGCTCTGAAATAATATTACCTGGTTTAAATTCCATCGTCTCCACTTCCTAGCCCTGCGGCCATGGGGAGAAGCCTCAGCATGTCCATTTGGGATATGAGACTGTTAATGCCTGTCTATTAATTAGAATTTGATGAGATTCCAATTAGAAAAAATGATGCAAAATCATTGAGATTTTATGTTTAGGGAGTCACTAAGTGTAAATTTCTTTTCCCTCTCTTCATTTCTTCCTTATTTGGCAAAGCACCCCCATGTTCCTAGTAACTATTTCTTTTCTTTGTTTTTTGTTTTGTTTTGTTTTGACATGGAGTCTCGCTCTGTTGCCCAGGTGGGAGTGCAGTGGCGTGATCTCGGCTCACTGCAAGCTCCGCCTCCCGGGTTCACGCCATTCTTCTGCCTCAGCCTCCTGAGTAGCTGGGCCTACAGGTGCCCGCCACCATGCCCGGCTAATTTTTTGTATTTTTAGTAGAGATGGGGTTTCACCGTGTGAGCCAGGATGGTCTTGATCTCCTGACCTCGTGATCTGCCTGCCTCAGCCTCCCAAAGTGCTGGGATTACAGGTGTGAGCCACCGTGCCCAGCCTGTTCCTAGGAACTATTTCTAAGAGGCAATCACTAGGAAAGTATTTTGATGTGAGATTTCCATAGCTAAATATTTGAAGCTTCCCAAATTTCAGGGTGTTTTCAGCACAAAGGGTAGAAGTTTCAAAATAATAATTCATCAGGCTGTAGACCCCTTATAGTTGAAGATACTTTTTTTCACATATACAGAGAGAGCTATTCATTCAGTGTTTATTATGTGCCAATAACTGGTTTTAAGTAATTTACATTTATTCTTTCACCTAATTCTCACATACTGTGAAAAGAAGGTCTCTAGTCCCATTCTAGAGGGGAGAAAATTAAGGCTCAAGCTCCTAAGTATTGTACAACCTCCTTGGAACCTGATACATAGTAAATACTCAATAACTGATTGATGAATTAATGAATAAATTGGTCTGTTACATTTGTAAATCATTTTCAACTTACACATCCTTTTCACATATTAAATCTTGTTTGATCCTTTCTTTAGATGAGCACATCATTCTTTCCTTCTTCTCTTCCAAATTGAAAGGGACCTCATTGTCTTTAGTTAGATAGAACTATGTGCCTTAAAATAGTCATGGTTTTTGAAGGGAGGAAGAAGTGTTTTCTGGTTCAGTCATCCTGGTGGGTAAAGCCTTCCAAGGGTAGGAGGGAGAGACTGGCAGGAGCAGGCCCAATTCTAAATAGCCCAAACCTGCTGCTTACTATGCCATGTTCCTTGCTAAGAGTAAAAAGCCAAATGACAAGACAAAAGATGAAAGTCAGTTTTGATGTCAAAATCTGCTTTGGTGTTCTCTTAATCTTGTCATAGATCATTTATATTAACTTAATATACTTATTTTAATAGTGGATGCATATGACAAATAGACTAATCATTCTGAATGCAAACTGTAGAAATTAAACAAATTAAAAGTGTTTAGCTCAAAGGTTCTGTGTTTTTGTTTTTTTTATTTTCACTTCTTCTCCTCTTCTTCTCCTTCCTCCTCTCCTTCTATGTCTCTTCCTGAACACAGGCAGCCAGAGATTCAGGCCCCCAGATTTTTCTCTGCAGAGTGTACTTTACCTTTTGGACGGGACTTTAAAGACTTTAAACAGCTTGAGACTTATAGTTTGCCACAGGAGCATGTAGCAAATTCCTGTTTCTACTTTTTGAACCAGGAGCTGGAGTATAAGAGCCCCGCGCAGGAAGTCGCAGGTGGTGGGAAAGGGGAAACAAGGTCATTTTCAACCATGTACATTGAGGTTGTATCTTTAAAGTCAATTCTAAATTTAATTGAAAGCCGAGGGCAGAGAAGCCAAGATCGGAGCAATGTGGTGATTTATTCTGAAGCCTGTAAGAAGTCATGCAGCTGAATGTGGGATGAGCTGGGGCTTTAATAAAAATGGCACCGGGGAAGCCAGCGGGAAGAGACACAAGAATGGAACTGGGTTAGATGAAGGATCTCCAGGTCTGAAAGGGAGCGGGGGTCTGAGAGAGCGGTGTTTGCCCAAACTCCGCTGTTTTTTACCATGATAGATGCACATAAGTAATCCGCATCAAAAGGAAAAACCAAGATCAGACAGAAGCCACCAAGACTCTTTAGACAGTGAATTTTGCATGAAATCATTAAGGTTTCCAAATTGCAGAAAGGCTATGGAATGAACGGCAATAAAAACTCATCTAATATTATTTCTAGCTGAAATTTAGCTGAAGAAAAATGACATGTTCCTTTATTAAAGTGCTACAGGACTTGACAGCAAAGCTCCCACACATTTCTATGGGTGTTACTCTCTACTAGATTCTATTTGACCATTGCTACAGAAAATCCTCAACATATTCTCAGAATCAAATCTTCTCTGTTGACAAATGGTTTTGGAACAATATTTCCAAGTTAAAAAAAAAAAAAAGGAGCAGCAGCTCCTTAGCAGGTGTTATACAAGAAAGAGAATTGGGCTAGAACTTATACCTCCTAGGTTCTAGGCTTCCTGACCCAAGAAAGGGGCTGGCTGTCCTTCCAGTGGTGTGGACTACATGATCTGTCCATGTGACTCCAATGTTTACAGGATCTTTTCTTTAGATCATTTTCACATCGTATTCAATACCATTATTATTAATTCTAATTTTATTACAAACATATGTTCATTGTAGAAAGTTCAGAAAAGGCAAAAAAGAATCAACAAGAATGTGAACATCACCTGTAAATCTCACCACCCAGAGATAACTAAAGTTAACATTTTGGTCAATGTCACTCTTATTAAGATAACATTTGAAAGACCAGGAAAGTTTGCCTCAGAAAAGCAGGCATTGAATCCTATTGAGGAATAATTGCCATATTCAGAATTTGGATATAGCAGTGGTGACTCCTTAAAAACAAATCTTTACAGAAATGGTCACTAACTTTGAGTAAGTCTTTCCCTTGTTGCTCTCTCTTCTTTCTATTTGCCTAGTTTACGATATCAGGATCGTGCTGTTTCATTATTGCATGTTCTTACTTATATGTGGGAGCCTAAAAACAATTGAACTCATGGAGAGAGTAGAATGGTGGTTACCACAGGCTGGGAAGGATAGCAGGGAGGCAGGAATACAGCGGAGATGGTTAGTGGGTACAAAAATTCAGGTAGAAAGAAGGAATAGGGTCAGGCATAGTGGCTTACACCTGTAATGTCAGCATTTTGGGAGCCTAAGGTGGGAGGATTGCTTGAGGCCAGAAGTTCAAAACCAGCATGGACAACATAGTGAAATTCCATCTCTACAAAAAACTTTAAAAATTAGCTGGGGGTGATGGGCACGTCTGTAGTCACAGCTACTCAGGAGGTTGAGGCAGGAGGATCACTTGAGCCCAGGAGTTTGAGGTTTGAGGTTTTGAGATTGTAGTGGGCTATGATCACGCCACTGCACTCCAGCCTGGGGGAAAGATCAAGACCCTGTCTCTGGAAAAAAAAAAAAAAAAAAAAAAAAAAAAAAAGAAGATACAAGGAATAAGATCTAGTATTTGGTAGCACAGTAAAATGATTATAGCTAACAATAATTTATTACATATTTTAAGAAATTGATCATTTATTTTAAAATGAGGAAATGATCAATGCTAAATGTTATGGATAGCCTAATTACCCTGATTTGATCATTACAAATTGTATACCTGTATCTGAACATTACATGTACTCCATAAATATATGCAACTATTATGTATCCATAATTAAATATAAACAATAAGAAAAGGGCCGGGTGCAGTGGCTCACGCCTGTAATCTCAGCACTTTGGGAGGCCGAGGTGGGCGGATCACCTGAGGTTGGGAGTTTGAGACCAGCCTGACCAACATGGAGAAACCTTGTCTCTACTAAAAAAATACAAAATTAGTCGGGTTTTGTGGCATATGCCTGTAATCCCAGCTACTCGGGAGGCTGAGACAGGAGAATCCCTTGAACCCAGGAGGCAGAGATTGTAGTGAGCCGAGATCGTGCCATTGCACTCCAGTGTGAGCAACAAGAGTGAAACTCCATCTCAAAATAAATAAATAAATAAATAAATAATTAATTAATAATAATAAAAAAGAAATCGAAAAGAAATAAAAGGTTATTTATAGATGCAATGATATTATGATGCCTGGGATTTGCTTCAGGATAATCTATCTGGAAGAGAATAAACAGTGGTACAAGTGATACAACATTTGATACATGTTGATAACTGTTAAAGCTGGGTAATGGGTACAAAAACAAAAACCAGGCCAGGTGCAGTGTCTCACGCCTATAATCCCAGCACTTTGGGAGGCCGAAGCAGGGGGATCACCTGAGGTCAGGAGTTCGAGACCAGCCTGGCCAACATGGTGAAACCCCGTCTCTACTGAAAACACAAAAATTAGCCGGGTGTGGTGGTGTGCACTTTTAATCCCAGCTACTTCTGGAGGCTGAGGCAGGAGAATCGCTTGAACCTGGGAGGCAGGGGTTGTGAGCTGAGATTGCACCACTACACTCCAACCTGGGTGGCAGAGTGAGACTCCATCTCAAAAACAGCAACAACAACAACAACGACAAAAAGATCTGTGTTGTCTCAGGGGAAACAACATATGTATAAGAATCTGTTTGGATTCTGTGAATCAGGTGCCTGTGACCACCACCTTTTGATCAGCACCGAGTTTCAAATAACTTCCCAGGGAAATTTTAATATTTATTGGTGTGTGTTTATATTTGTAAATGTCTGTGTGTATGTGCTTTTTTGTGGTATATGGATAAGGACTGGAAGAAAATAATAGAAACCTAAAAATAACGGATGAATCAGGGTACTGGAATTATGAATGAAATCACTTCTAATTTAAAAATGTGTTGTTACAATATTTGTGCAATGAATGAACATCATAAGGAAAAAAATGTGTCAGTGGAGAAAGGTAGACGAGGAAGAGGAAGTGGCATGAGCCAACTCTTTAGAAACAAGCAGACTTTCAGCTTTATAGGTTCAAAATACTCACAACACAAATGTTTTTGCATATAAGTTTATGAGCGTCCTGGGTTCCAATGCTATGGTTATCAGCTGCTTAGTTTCCCTGAACTTCAATCTCCTCATCATAAATGGAATCATAACACTGCTTTTACTTGTTTTACAAAGATGTAAAAGGAAGGTTTAAATGAGGTAATTATGTAAAAACAAATGTTATTTTAGGATTCTAAAACTGAGTTTTACAATTGCATTTGATAATCAGAATTACCTTGACTTGCCATAGAATTTCCAAAGGTTCATAAGGGATTTCCCTTATGATAATGTTGGTTCTGTTATAGCTTATAGTGTTTAACTTGCGTCTTTCAGGGAATCAGGGAGAGCCATGGAAATTAAAGCATGGCCTTTGGAGTCGGGTATTATGTGTGTTTGGGAGGCCTTGGACAAGTTACTTAGGCTCACTGAGCCTCAGTTTCCTGTTCTATAAAATGGGAATAAGAAAGATAAGTAAGATCTACTTTTCAGGGCTGCTAAAAAATTAGAAATAATGCATGTAAAACACCAAGCACAGAGTTAGCCACACAATAAGCTTTCAATCTATGGTGGCTGTTATTGTTATAAAAGGATTCATTTAAAAAATCTACTTCCTCTTTTTTCTCAGCTCCCAGTTTGTGTATGTAAACCCACAAGGACATACTGCTTAGCCGCTCCTGCCACACTGTTCTTCCATTCCTTGGGAAAATTTTCTAACCCTGCTCTAGGATCAAGGACAATACCATAGTCTTCTAAGGGATTCTGTTTGCTGATGAGTCTTTTCTGAGAAGCCACTTAACAAACACAGTCAAGACAAAGTTTAGTTTTACCAGCATCATGGAATGTGGCTATAAACTATCAGCCTGAAGATAAGGCTACGGAAAATCAAGGCCACGTACCAACCCATACCAGAACAACATATGCATAGTCAACAGATTTTTGTCAGCATATTATTCTTCTGGTTGTTTATTCAGAAAGATGTCTCAGGCACCAGTTATGCATTACCCAGAGTGAGGCCATCTCTTGGGACATGGAGCTGAGAGGCAGTGCCCACTGTGGTTACTTTCAGGGACTTGAGAGTTGGATGGACATAGGTTTGAATCCTAGCTCCACTGCTAACTAGCTGAGTGACCTTGTGCAAATTGACCAATCTTTCTGAAAATCAGTTTTCATGCATTTACTTTGGATAAAAACAAAGTGCTTCATAGAATTAATTGAGAAAATAAATTAATGGAGCTAGGTCCGGCACATAATAATACTCAGAAAATGACAGTGGTGATCATTACTAATAATAATGATATGAAGTCTGGCCGGGCGCGGTGGCTCACGCCTGTAATCCCAGCACTTTGGGAGGCCGAGGCGGGCGGATCACGAGGTCAGGAGATCGAGACCATCCCGGCTAAAACAGTGAAACCCCGTCTCTACTAAAAATACAAAAAATTAGCCGGGCGTAGTGGCGGGCGCCTGTAGTCCCAGCTACTCGGGAGGCTGAGGCAGGAGAATGGCGTGAACCCGGGAGGCGGAGCTTGCAGTGAGCCGAGATCCCGCCACTGCACTCCAGCCTGGGCGACAGAGCGAGACTCCGTCTCCAAAAAAAAAAAAAAAAAAAATAATAATAATAATAATAATAATAATGATATGAAGTCTTCATCTTTGAGGAATGCTCAGTATAGCAGCAGGAAAACAGGTACAGGAATAAAGTTTGTGCTCACATACTTTTGCTGTGTTTCAGTATTAAAAAGGCAAAATTGATGAAGCCTACATGAAGAGAATAAGATCAGGGAAGTCTTCGAAGAGAAGTGGTTGACTCTCATCTTGAAAGATGGGTAGAAATTCTCCAAGAGGGAAAGGGAGAGGAATGGTTCAGGCAGAGGAGGAAGCACAAGGCAGGCACACAGGTATGGAAGTGTGAGGCTTGGGCAGGGACACTGCCTTATGTCTTGAGCATAGCACTGTCACATGGTGAGAATGGTGGGAGATGGGGTGGAAAGGTAGTGCGCTTCAGATTATAAATGGCTTTGTACACACAAATGCCACTGGTGGTGGTTTTTGAGCCAAAGACAGACAGTGCAGTTGTCCTGTACCTCTTCCATTGTCCTCTCAGAGTCACTGTTCATTCACCTCCACCTGCTTGTGACCTAGAGGGACGACCTGTTGTAGACAACATCAATGAGCTTCTTTGGCCTTTGGCTTCCAGCAGGGTTTGGCCAATGAAGACAGAGGGAAGAAATCAAAAGGAGGGAGACTGAAATTAGGATATATATTCTCTTGACAGCACCTGTCAGGCAGCCCTTCCCACATGGCTCTGACTCCCTAGGATTGGGACTCACTCCCGCTCCTTGCAGCTTCTGACAGAGAGGTGGCAAATGTGCCTCACCAATACCAGCACCAAGGGATAGAACCATCTTCTTGATGTTTACAAATATTCCTTTTATGAACTTTCTCCAAACTACCCAATTTGAGGTGCCCAATGTTATGTGCCAGCCCCCTGATTGACGCATAACTTAAATAAATAATAAAATAAATGTGACTGTGGGGAGGGCTAAGGCAAAGAGACCTTAGCACAAGTGGCATAAGACACGAAGTTCCAGGGCATACGGTTTATATAAAAAACAATGGTCTGTTGATTGCTTTGTGGCTGTTAGTCTGAAACCAGCTGGAGACCTGGCATGGCTTCTTGGAGAGTGTCCTCAGTTTGGTCTCAGAATGAGTCACTCATGAGAGGATTGAAGGGCAACACTGTGAAATGCTGTTCCCCATCTTCATGGGTAGATTGGCCTCAAGGAGAAGGCCTTGAAATAATCTGTCTCATGTCAAGACAGTTATTCTTCTTAGGATGGCTGCCAGGGAATAGATGAAAGGCAGAAGTGGCGATGGGTGACTGATGTGGCACACTTATGAAGAAAAGCCTCTTTTTCCATGCTTGTTTTTCCTCCCCAAGGAGCCAACAGAGTTTCTATTCTCCAACTCTGCTCTTCACCTTACCCAAGGTATGTGGGAACTGGTTACTCTCTCTTCTTTCACTCCTGTCCATGGTGGGCTCTAAAAGAATGAGATGCAACCATTTACTTTTTATGGCTGTCCTCAGGGGGTTTGGATATTGAGCCTTAGTTTTAATTATATAATGAAAATGCATGTTTCTTATTGCAGGAGTTTTAGACAGCAGTGTAGAGGAGGGAGAGATGGGGTGAAGATGTAAGGGGAGAGAGGACTAAGTGACTTCCACTGAGCAGTAATTACAGTGGAGAGTAGAAGACCATTCTCAGACCTTAGAGGCATAGCTGGAAGCATTTCATTCAATAATCATTTAGTATTGCGAGCTGTGTATGCAGGGCACTGCTGGGATTTGGGTAAATATAAAGTGAAATGGAGGGGGGATAGTGTGGGAAGAGGGGTGAGACCCGTAGACAAATATGTGAGTAGATGAAGGAAGAGGCATGGGAGTGTAGAAGACAAAGAGATGAGATCATGTTGTGGGAACTGACCCTTTGAGACAGAATTTGAATTGGGTCTTGAAAGATGGGTAGATATGGAAATGGCAGGGGATTTCTTGGTCCTGTTCCCCATCTTTACTGCCTCTCTTGCCCTGCCTTTCCAAAGCAATGAACCTGCTTCATTGTTTGTAGAGAACAATGTCAAATATTTGATAAATAAGTAGATACAATATAACAAGGACATTTCTCAGAGTGTATGTGGGATCTGAGACAAATCATAAATTTTGCAAAGGCTACCTTCATCACCTCAACCACACCAGCAGTACATAAATATTTACTTTTAATTAAAGAATTAATATATAACTAAATTTTGGTTGTAAAAAGAAAACTCAAACTTTATTTTTATTTTTATTTTTTGAGGCGGAGTCTCACTCTGTCGCCAGGCTGGAGTGCAGTGGCATGATCTCGGCTCACTGCAACCTCCGCCTCTTGGGTTCAAGCTATTCTCGTGCCTCAGCCTCCTGAATAGCTAGGATTACAGGCATGCGCCACCACACCCAGCTAATTTTTTTTTTTTTTGGTAGAGACGGAGTTTCACCATGTTGTCCAGGATGGTCTCAGTCTCCTGACCTCGTGATCTGCCTGTCTAAGCCACCCAAAGTGCTGGGATTACAAGCGTGAGCCACTGTGCCTGGCTGAAAAATCAAATTTTATAGGCATAACAGAAGTTCCCTTTGAAACCACCACACCCAAGCCCATATTTACCTCTTAAAATACATTGTTCTGTGTGTGAGCCTGTGGCTACATAATGGTATCATACTGTGGGTTCACCTGTAGTCTCTGTTGATCACTCAATATATTTTGGGGCTCATTTTGAGTTGCTTCACACAAATGTACCTGCATTGTCTTAAATTCTTGTCTAGTATTTGTGGAGATAGTTTTGGAAACACTTTCCTTAACTGTTTCTGAAAGTTTCCTAACGCTAAGAGTCACCTAGAAATAAATATTCAGCTCTCACCCCTAAGAGAGTCTAGTTTCATGGGACTGGGAAGGGGGTTGGAGAAATTCTTTTCTTTTTCTTTTTTTTTTTTTGTGTGTTTGTTTGTTTGTTTGTTTTTGAGATGCGGTCTTACTCTGTTGCCTAGGCTGGAGTGCAGTGGCATGATCTCAGCTCACCACAACCTCCGTCTCCCAGGTTCAAGTGATTCTCCCCTCTCAGCCCCCCGAGTAGCTGGGATTACAGGCACCCACCACCATGCTTGGCTACTATTTTTTTTTTGTATTTTTAGTAGAGACGGGGTTTCACCATGCTGGCCAGGCTGGTTTCGAACTCCTGATCCCAGGTGATCCACCCACCTTGGCTTCCCAAAGTGCTGGGATTACAGGCGTGAGCCACGGAGCCTGGCCAAGAAATTATTTTCTGTCAATATCCTAGATGATTTTTATTATTCAGCAAGTCTGGAAACATTATCATGGTTTTTTGAATTATTTCCATATTAAAGATAATTTAAGTAGTTTAAATTTTTTATATTACAAACAATGCTACAATACGTATCCTTGTACATTCTTCCTAGTGCACATCTGAGGTCAATGCCAAGAAATAGAATTGATTGGTCATGTGGTGTGTGCATTTGGTATTATATTAATACTGAAAAATTGCCTCCTGATGGGGATGTGCCAATGTGTGGGACCATCACTGTCTCATCAACATTTGTTCTTCTTATATTAAAAAGATAAATCATGTCCACTCTTTCATCACTTCCTAACATCAAGTTTTACCAGAACTCATAATTACACCCTGCCTTTCCCAATCTAGTCTTTATTATTCTAGTTAAGGGAATTAAAACTCACCCAGAAATTCGTGCCAGAAATCTAAGAGGCTTCCAAGACTCTTCTTACTTCTCACTCCCCAGCACTAATTGATGGCAAACTTGAGCAATTCTACTACTTAATGACTCCTGCATGTATTGTCACTACCTAATTCAATTCTGTCTTTTTTCTTTTTTAAATTTTTTAATTTTTTAATTTTTTTTTTTTTTTTTTTAGATGGAGTCTCACTCTGTCACCCAGGCTGGAGTGCAACGGCATGGTCTTGGCTCACTGCAACCTCTGCCTCCCGGGTTCAAGTGATTCTCCTGCCTCAGCTTCCCGAGTAGCTGGGACTACGGGCACATGCCACCACACCCAGCTAATTTTGGTATTTTTAGTAGAGATGGGGTTTCACTATGTTGGCCAGGCTGGTCTCGAACTCCTGACCTCGTGATCTGCCTGCCTTGACCTCCCAAAGTGTTGGGATTACAGGCATGAGCCACTGCATCCGGCCTATTTTTTTTCTTCGTTTCAGACAATGTAATAAACCCCTGCATGGGTCTTCCTGCTCTTCCTTCCATTCCTTCCTAAAATTCGCACATGTGAATTATATATAATTATATCAGCTCATTATTACAACTCTCCAATGAATACCAACTGCCATTAGAATCAACTTTAAAGTATCTGCAAAGATTATAAACTCAACTACCTATTGCTTAATTCTTATCAAACTCTTGTTTGATAGAAATGTTATTTATGAGGCTGGGTGTGATGGCTCATGCCTGTTATCCCAGCACTTTGGGAGGCCGAGGCGGGCAAATCACGAGGTCAGGAGATTGAGACCATCCTGGCTAACACGGTGAAACCCCGTCTCTACTAAAAATACAAAAAATTAGCCGGGCGTGGTGGCGGGCACCTATAGTCCCAGCTACTCGGGAGGCTGACGAAGGAGAATGGCGTGAACCCGGGAGGCAGAGCTCGCAGTGAGCCAAGATCGCACCCTTGCACTCCAGCCTGGGTGACAGAGCAAGACTCTGTCTCAAAAAAAAAAAAATGTTATTTATGAAGAATTGTTTGAAGGACATGCAGTTTGTCCATTTGCCTAACTATTCTAGATTTTACTCATTGAAAAATCATACCAAATACTTGATCAATGTTATTGTGGTTCTCTGTAGACTTGCTTTCCATGAGTTATTACTTGCTTTATATGTCATGTCCAAGTTTTCCTTCTGAGAAACACTGCAAAAAAGTATTTCTAGATTTGCAATATCTGGAACAGTGCTTTGTTTACATAAATATTGTCATATATTTGTATATACACCTACACACACATACATCAAATTGAAACTATGGGGAAAAAGTCAAACTTAAACATCTGTCCCATGTTTTTTCTGGTTTATTTTTATCTACTATACATTATGTAACCCCAGACCTACTTACTTTTCCTTGCATGAACTAAGTTTTTTTTTTTTTTTTTTTTTTTTTTTTAATATTTCTGTGCTCTATCTCCTGCCTGGACTCCTTTTCCTATTCACCTTTTATTAAGCTGAGAAACTCTAACTCAGCCAGAAGACCAATTCAGAGTCAGTCCAGGCAAGCTGGAGTTGCTCCTTCCTCTATGTTCCCATAGCACACCGCATATCAATCTTTGCAGTTATTTGTTTATGTGTCCACCCCCTCCTCTAGATTGTGTACTTTTCTAAGTAGGACATACGTGTTCTTCAACTTTGTATCCCTTGTATCACCTAATAGAAAACGTGGAATCTCACATAGTAGTTGTTTAATAAATATTTGTTGAAAACATGTATATATAGCTGGAGGTATTTTGGGTATGAGCAGAGGCAACTTCTTTTACTTTCCTTTTAGTCATTGCAGTCACCTGGAGTCACGGAAATGACCATGATTGCCTGAACTTTCATGACTTCTGTGGATAACTGTGGTTGCAGAAAAGAGAAAACCTGGACCGTGAGGGACATTTCACTCCCTGGGCTTTGGTACATGGTACATGTGTGGTTGGATGTGTGTTGCCAGAAAACAGCCTGCCATGTCTGAGGCTATGCTCCCAGACTAGCAGCCTGGGTTACAGGGGAAGAGCTGAAGTTGGGTTGGGGAAGTTTAATATACTATACTTTTAAAATTTTTTTACTTTTGGCTAATATTTATCTATTTATTTATTTTTATTTTTTGTAGAGACAGGGTTTTGCCATGTTGCCCTGGCTGGTCTCAAACTACTGAGCTTGAGAATCTGCTTGTCTTGGCCTCCCAAAGAGCTAGGATTACAGGCATGAGCCATCGAGCCTGGCTCCTTTTATTCTTTTCATGACACTACCTCTTCCTAGGAGAGGCTTAAAAAACCTTGAATAGTTCTCGCTTCGGCAGCATATATACTAAAAAACCTCCCAAAAGTGCTGGGATTACTGTGCCCAGCCAAAATATCTTAATATATATTTTGAAAAAGAAGGCAAAATTTTAAAAAACAAATAAAGCAAACAAAGGACCCATCACAACCAATACAATAAAAAGAGGAATGATTGTGTGTAGAAAGAAGGAAATCATCATTAGATGTCCCATGGGTATGGTCAAAAGCAGAATGAAACTAGTAATTTTGACTGGACATGTGTCTTCACATTTGGAAGGGACGGGGAGAGAAAAGGAAAGCAAGAATGGCATCTGCTGACTGGAAAGGCCTCACTCTTTTTTTTTTTTTTTTGAGACAGTGTCTTGCTCTGTCACCCAGGCTGGAGTGCAATGGCGTGATCTCGGCTCACTGCAACCTCTCCCTCGGCCTCCCAAAGTGCTGGGATTACAGGCGTGAGCCACCATGCCCTGTCCCAGGCCTCGCTCTTGACTCTTGGTTATGGCTCCCCAGGAGGGCTTAGTTAACCTCCAGAAAGTTTCATTAAGGGATTCTCTTTTAGGATAACTGTGGATTTCTTTCTTGAAATATAAGTACATGTGTCAAAACTCAACATGTAATTGTTTCTTAAAGGTTAGTTGCAAAACAGCATTGCAAATTATTTTAATGAACTTTTCACATACTGTAATATCAAAATTCGATGGCCTGTCTTGCATGTTGAATGAGTCTACCCGTACATGATTTTGTACATTATATATTCTTAGTTTAGAAAATGTGGGTACACATGTTCTCACTCATAGGTGGGAATTGAACAAAGAGAACACATGGACACAGGAAGGGGAACATCACACACCGGGGACTGTTGTGGGGTGGGGGGAGGGGGGAGGGATGGCATTAGGAGATATACGTAATGCTAAATGACGAGTTAATGGGTGCAGCACACCAACATGGCACATGTATATATATGTAACAAACCTGCACGTTGTGCACATGTACCCTAAAACTTAAAGTATAATAATAATAAAAAAAAGAAAATGTGGGTTCAATGATTTCTGATGATCTTTTCATCATTGACCTAATATAAAAAAATCACGTACATCAGTATCACCACTGATCTCTTGAAAAAATCATTAAGTATTGTGAATCTATCAGTCTCATCACAGCAGATAAAAATCTCTAGCATTCTACTTTTCACTTAAAAGCATAGATTAGGCCTGGCGCGGTGGCTCACGCCTGTAATCCCAGCACTTTCGGAGGCCACGGCGGGCGGATCACAAGGTCAGGAGATCGAGACCATCCTGGCTAACATGGTGAAACCCCGTCTCTACTAAAAATACAAAAAATTAGCCAGGTGTGGTGGCGGGCACCTGTAGTCCCAGCTACTTGGGAGGCTGAGGTAGAAGAATGGCGTGAACCTGGGAGGCGGAACTTGGAGTGAGCCAAGATCACGCCACTGCCCTCCAGCCTGGGTGACAGAGTGAGACTCCGTCTGAAAAACAAAAACAAAAACAAAAAATCCCCCAAAAAAGCGTGGACTATATCACTGGCAACAGATATGCCTAATACTTAAGTGTGAATAACCTCTTCCTTGTTTTTTTTCCAAATATGCATCTGTGTAAGAATGGATTTTCTCCATATACTTAGCCACAACATAGAACAACAAATTAAATACAAAAGCAAATATGAGAATCCAGCTATTATATCAGACATTAGAGATATTTGAAAAAATGCAGAACAATGCCATTCTTCTCAATATATATTTTGTTTTAGAAAATACAGCTCTTTCATTAAATATAATTTATTTATAATATTTAAAAAAGGGATTCTCTTGTTTTCTATATAAAGATTTTTAATTTGGGATTCTTCTCAATTTTTGAGCCTGAGTTTCTGTTTCTGATTGAGTTAGTGCCAAGTTGTGTTATTTCACTTTATTGGACTAACGAGAAAAGATTATTGGTAGATCTGACATGTAAGAGACATGCTAGAACCATGCAAAGGCCAAGGAGATATGCAGCTATCTTTGAAAGAAGGCTTTACAGAAAATCAGTGAGAAATTGGGTCATCAACCAGCACCAAGTAACCTGGGCACAGAGACCCATGAGAACGTGCTATAGCATGCACTCCTGAAGAGCTGTAATTTGGTTTCAGCGAAATGTTACCAACTGTCACATTAAATTAGTGTTCATTTGAATTTTACTGGTCTTGTTATTTGTTTTGTGTTTATATTTATTTTGACTGTATTTATTAATTTAGGCTTTTCCAAGTTCTATGTATTTAAGAAATTAATAAATAATTAAATAACATTATAATAAAAATTGTCTAAGTCAACATTAGACCCCTAAGAGTCTGGTGGGGTTTTTTGTTGTTGTTTCTCCTTTAAAAGGAGTCTATACCTTGTTCAAGATTGAGAAGCATTGATCTAAAGCCTCCCACCTCAAACAATTGGGCAATTGGTGTAATTAGAACTCTGCTGCAACAGCAGAAACACTTTGGCTTGTAGGCTCCCACAATGGCCAAGTAAGCCTTGGCCATTTGAAATGGAAACTGACATTAATTGTCCAATATTGGCAAAAGGCCTTACACATTAAACCTCATTTAATCCTCACAACTGCCATTGTCCCAATTTAACAGATGGAAACAAGCAGGCTCCGAGAGGTTAAGGAAGTTACACAAGGTCCGATCCAGGTTACTGCTGCAGTGAGATTCTAACCTAAATATGTAGAGCTCCAAAAGCCAGCCACTCACTCCTTTTTACACTTTTTAGATTTTTTTTTTATGCTTGCATCAAAGTAATATATGGCTGCAGTTTAAAGTACAAAAAGGGGTCAGGTGCGGTGGCTCATGCCTGTAATCCCAGCACTTTGGGAGGCTGAGGCGGGTGGATCACGAGGTCAGGAGTTGGAGACCAGCCTAGTCAAGATGGTGAAACCCCATCACTACCAAAAATATAAAAATTAGCTACGCATGGTGGCGGGCACCTGTAATCCCAGAGGCTGAGGCGGAGAATTGCTTGAATCTGGGAGGCGGAGGTTGCAGTGAGCTGAGATGGCGCCACTGCACTCCAGCCTGGGCGACAGAGCGGCGGTCTCAAAAAATAAAAAATAAAATAAGGTTCCACAAGGTTGATGAGGAAAAGCAGTGATTCTCTACCTCCCTGTCTCCTGCATCCCCCTCTCCAGAGGCAATTGCTGTCATGTATCTGTGTGTGCTTTTCATGTTTGCTTTTATGTTTCTATATAACATGTCTATATTGCTAACTTCTTCATTTTTCAGTTTTAGGTGCCAAAAAATAACTTCCCACTGCAGAAGAGGAGGTTAATTCTCTTTCTCCCTGCCTCTCCCACACCCCTGTCCATACCACACTCCCTGTCCCCCTCTCCTTCCAACATTCTTATGTCATAATTTTTGCCTGGTCAGCATTAGGGTTTACATCACAATGATTCTTCACAGCTGAGTCATACTGTAAACCATGACATTGCTTTTTCTTTCTTATACAACTTTTGTTTCCCTGATAATTATTTTATTTTTTCCTTTTGCTTTGTTTTTCTTTTCTGGGTTTTATTTTAATCATTAGTTCAATGTGTGCTCTTTGGTATTTGTATTCTCTTAGGATGTTCAGACACATCACATAGTCTCCCAATTTTATCTCCCTGAAGATTCTCTCCTGGAGCTTTATGATGTGTCCCACCTTGGACTAGCTGCTCTCAGAGATTCCCTTCACTATCGCTCTGGAATTTCCCTTTAACAGTCCCTGTGTGAATTCTGCTTCCTGTATCCATTGCTTCCTCTTTCTGGTTTACTGACAACATTCTAATAGCTTTCTGAGAAAGGGAAGAAGACAAGTAAATGTTTTGAAAACTTGTAATTCCCAAAATGTCTTTTTTTTTCCCTACCATCATACATGATAAAAGTTTTGTTAGATATAAAGTTCCGTGTTAGTAATCATTTTCCTTTAGAATTTTGAGGACATTATTCTTTTGCTTTCTAACTTCCAGTGTTGTTATTAAAAAGTCTGGATATCTTTTGTTGTGACTTTTTTTTCTTTCTCTGGAAGCTTGTAAGACCTTTTCATCTCCATGATATTATATTTTTCTATGATATGCCTTAGTCTGGGTTTGTTTTCATCCTTTTTGTTGGATACCCAGTAAATCCTTTTGAATCTGAAAACTCATATCCTCTGGACTAGGTATAATTTTAAAATTATTTCCTTGTAAGTTTCTATTTTATTTATATTTATTTAGTTTTTGGAACTCCTGTTCTTTGGATATCATATCTTCAGGGTTGTCTTTTAATTTTACCTTTGCTTTTCTATTTTCTAACTCTTTGTCTTTTTGCTTTACTTTCAGGACTAGTTTTATTGTCCAGTCTTCTATTGCCTTTTTCATATTTTTTAATTTCCAATAATTCCTTTTTGTTTTCTAAATGTTCATTAAAAATAATATTTTGTCCTTGTTTCATAACTGCAATATTTTACCTGATGGTATTCAAATATTTTGGGTTTTTATTTTTATTGTATAATCTTTGTTTCACTCAAGTTGCTTTCTTCTATTCATTTGATTCACTTACTGTTTTAATGTTAAAGGCCTTTTTTTTTTTTCAGCCTTGGTTGTTTACTTGTATCTAAGACAGAGGTGTCCAATATTTTGGCTTCCCTGGGCCACAATGGAAGAAGAATAGTCTTGGGCCACACATAAAATACACTAATGCTAACAATAGCTGATGAGCTAAAAAATAAAAATAAAAATACGCCGGGCACGGTGGCCCACACCTGGAATCCCAGCACTTTGGGACGACGAGGCAGGCGGATCACAAGGTTAGGAGATCGAGACCATCCTGGCTAACACGGTGAAACCCCGTCTCTACTAAAAATACAAAATAAATAAATAAATAAATAAAACTAGCCGGGCATGGTGGCGGGCACCTGTAGTCCCAGCTACTCGGGAGGCTGAGGCAGGAGAATGGCGTGAACCCAGGAGGCGGAGCTTGCAGTGAGCCGAGATCACACCACTGCACTTCAGCCTGGGCAACAGAGTGAGACTCCGTCTCAAAAAAAAACAAACAAAAAAAAAAACAAAAAAAACCCACGTCAACTCCTGCCCATGTCCCTATGTATACATTTTATTATTTTAGTTAGTAGGGAAAATAAAATGTTCAGTGAAAAGAAATAAAATGCCCTTAAACGCACTAAAGAGTTTCAGGAAAAGTAGTTGAATTTTGAATCCAGTTATTTTCACTAGCAACACAAATAGTTAGAAGTGTCAGGGACTCACTGTGAGAGAGAGAAAAAAAAGAATTAATTTTTTTATCAGAAGGTAATAGGATGAAGCCTTGCTAACTCAATTCCATTACTCTGTAGAATTAACTTCCGCAGGTCAGATGCTGCTTGCATTGACTACAAGCCAAATAGGGTCAACACAGATTGGGCGTAAAATACATGAACATTTCCTGATACAAGAGAATGCAGGTTTAGACTTCCTTTTTTAGCTTTTCTTTTTCTCTACATTTGTCTACTCCCCTCCAAAAAGACCCACCAAACACCTGTCTTGCTAATGTGCTAGTAGAAAAACTCACTAAAAGAGATACTCCAGGTTAAATATCCTTCTATGTATTAGTTGCACAAAACACGACTACCCATTTTTGAGATTTTGGCAAATTGTGTTTTCCAACCAGGGCTACTGGGACCTGTTCCTCCTCATGCTTTGCTTCTGCTCTTCACTAAAGTTATTTATTCTTTAAGCAATTGTGTACTGCCTTCTTTTTATAGATAATTAGATCTGTCAGGTATGTCCCCCATTGAGAATGAGGTTCATCATAAATAAGTTTATTAATCTCAAGGAATAAGAGAATGGTTGCATTTACTAAGAGTCTCAAAAGCACACTGTTCAAAATGCAAACTGTTTAAAATGACTGTGATGGTGGTTAGCACAGTGTCACGTACGGTGTGAATACCACAGCGTGTTATGTTCTGGAGACAATTGGCGAGGGAATTTGTCAGTCTCCTCATCTTAGAACATTCTTTGGGCCTCCAACTTTCTTCTTTTCCACATTTTTCTTTCTCTTGCCTTTTCCTTCTTGATCACCTATGCTCTTGATCAGGCAAAAATGAGGAGTCATCGGGGATACAATTGCTGATACTAAATCTAGCATTGTTTTGAAGTGTGGCCTGACTCAGCTGTGGGAATTACAGTTTGTATCATGGAAACAGAGTGATAAGAAGTCAAAGGTCCTGGGTTCTAATTCTGGCCTTAACATTTCTTATCCTTTTCACTTTGGGCATGTCTGTTGTGGCATGGGGAAACATGCCCAGACTTTGCAGTCAGATAGACTGAATTTGGATCCTAGGTCATACTTTCTACCTGAGTGGTACCTGTGGAGAGTTGTCAGTACAATGAAAACATCCTTTGCTTTGTCAACATGACTTCTTCTTGCCATCGGCCTACTTCTTCTCTCTGTCTGAGTGTTAAGAAGGTAGAGTTAGAGAAGCACTTTGTCCTTTTGCCTGTCCTTTTTCATCCTTCTTTTTCCTAAACTCTGCATCACATACCACAGTGCTCCATGGCATCTCCTTTTTTTTTTTTTTTTTTTTTTTTAAATGGAGTCTCGCTCTTGTCGCCCAGGCTGGAGTGCAATGGTGTGATCTCAGCTCACTGCAACCTCTGCTCCTGGGTTCAAGCGATTCTCCCGCCTCAGCCTCCCAAGTAGCTGTAGCTGGGATTACAGGCATCTGCTACTATGCCCAGCTGATTTTTAGTAGAGACAGGGTTTCACCATGTTGGCCAGACTGATTTCGAACTGCTGACCTCTGTTGATCTGCCTGCCTCGGCCTCCCAAAGTGCTGGGATTACAGGCGTGAGCCACTGCGCCCAGCCAGCACCTCTCTTTTTGACTGTGCATGCAGCATGGACAGCCACCCCTGTCCTTGGCTACCGAGCCTTTTCCCCATTGCCTAGGTTGGACCACCCCCACTTTCTCTCCCAGGGCTTTCTTCTCCCAGGCCAAATGATTCCAGTGCTAATTGTGGGACAATTATCCCAGCTCTAAATGAAAGAATAAATAGAATGTTAAGGAGAAGAAATGGTGGAGTGGTGGCACTGGCAGTGACTAAGCAGGAAAGGACAAGAAAAAGACAGTAGCAGAGAGGCAGTGGTGAAGACAAAGCTTCCACCAGTACATATGGAAAAGTTAAAGAGTCTGAAACTTTTCATAAAATGTATTTAATTATTTTACTCTGAGATTATGGCCTCTCAACAGTTTTTGTGTTAGCATGTTCTTTCTTTTATGAGTTGATGGTAATACAATAAAGAGTTAGTAAGTTGGTTTGTAATGTGATTATCATTAGTTTTAATGACATTGTAGTGGTCTGGGAAATCTCAATGGCTGCCCGAGAGGTTAAGAACCCTTATTGGCTTTGGAGTCAGAGTCTAGGCTTAAACACTACTTTGTGTCTTTGGGCAAGTTACTTAAACTTCTGGGTCTTAATTTCCTCATCTGAAAATAATAATGCATGCCTCATAGAGATTAAAGAAGATAATGAAAGGCACATGCTTAGTAGAAGGTTGAGAACACAGAACTCAATAACGTTAGCTTTTATTTTTATTAATATAAAGATAAAAGGAATTTATTTGTATTTGGATACCGGTTAAGGCGAGTAGTAAAAGCCTAATGTGTGGGAGTGAGTTTTAAGCATTGGCAGTTTGGCAAACATTTAGGGGGACTGGGTTGATTTTTCTCTAGTGTAACTGGCAAAGTGATGGACTTGGTGGCAGATTCATGTTTAAATCTCGGCTCTGCAACCTCCTAGCAGAGAGACCTTGATGGTTGACCTTGGACCCTCATTTGAAAGATGGTAATACACCGGGTTCTTTAGAGGTACTATGTTAAGTCATGAGTAATAGTAATGACCCAGCACGGTGTAGAGATGTTGGCATAATTAATCCTTACAACAACCCTTTAAGGCAGGTTCTATTAATATTATTATTCCCAGTTAAATATAAAATGATCAAAGATAAGCTTAGTTGAGAGAGTGGCCTTTGAAGCCAACCTGGGTTCAAGGTGCCACCTATGTGACCTTCTGCAAGTTACTTGACTCTCTTTGAGGAATAATGATCCTCTTATGGAGACATTCTTTTTTTTTTTTTTGAGACGGAGTCTTGCTCTGTCGCCAGGCTGTAGTGCAGTGGCCCGATCTCAGCTCACTGCAACCTCCGCCTCCCAGGTGGACCTCGTGATCCACCCGCCTCGGCCTCCCAAAATGCTGGGGTTACAGGCGTGAGCCACCGCGCCCGGCCTGGCCCTCTTATGGAGACATTCTGATGATGCTCATAAGTGAATTAAATCTGGGAGGAGATACAATGTGCAAAGATAATGGCATCTATTTGGAGATGGAAAACTTTTTCCTAGTGTTTACATTCTTAATTTATGTTCCTAACAGGCCACAGTTTGAATTTGTTGAAATTTTTTTTCTTTTTTCAGAGACAAGAGTTTTGCTCTTGTTGCCCAGGCTGGAGTGCAATGGTGTGGTCTTGGCTCACTGCAACCTCTGCCTCCCAGGTTCAAGCAATTCTCTTGCCTCAGCCTCCCAAGTAGCTGGGATTACAGATGCCCACCACCACACCCAGCTAATTTTTTTTTTTTTTTTTTTTTTTTTGAGACGGAGTCTCACTCTTGTCGCCCAGGCTGGAGTGCAATGGCGTGATCCTGGCTCATTGCAACCTCTGTCTCCCGGGTTCAAGTGATTCTCCTGCCTCAGCTTCCCGATTAGCTGGGATTACAAGCGCCCGCCATGACGCCCGGCTAATTTTTTGTACTTTTAGTAAAGACAGGGTTTCACCATGTTGGCCAGGCTGGTCTCAAACTCCTGACCTCAGGTGATCCGCCTGCCTCGGCCTCCCAAAGTGCTGAGATTACAGGCATGAGCCACCGCACCAGGCTTTTTCTATTTTTAGTAGAGATGGGGTTTCATCACATTGACTAGGCTGGTCTCAAACTCCTGACCTCAGGTGATCCACCCACCTCAGCCTCCCAAAGTGCTGTTGAATTTTTATATATACACATAGTAAGAATTTATTTATTTATTTATTGAGACAGAGTCTTGCTCTTGTTGCCCAGGCTGGAGTGCAATGCTGCGATCTTGGCTCACCACAACCTCCGCCTCCCGGGTTCAAGCAATTCTCTTACCTCAGCCTCCCGAGTAGCTGGGATCGCAGGTGTGCGCCACCAAGCTTGGCTAATTTTGTATTTTTAGTAGAGATGGGATATCTCCGTGTTGGTCAGGCTGGTCTCGAACTCTTGACCTCAGGTGATCTGCCCACCTCGGCCTCCCAAAGTCCTGGGATTGCAGGTGTGAGCCACCGTGCTCAGCCCATAGTAAGTATTTAATGAACATTTGTTTGCTGAGTTAGTATCCAGTTTGGAACTGACATACATTCCAAAAATAAATGTGCTAAGACACCATCTCAGCCCTCCAGTATCAGGCAGTCTCTTAGGGGAGACAGACACACATCACACTGGAGGGAAGTAAGCTTAGGAGATATACTTGAGTGCTCAGAGTTGGAGCAGCAGGCTAGGGGTAAAGGGGTAGTGTCGAGGAGGGGTGGCCAGGGAAGTTTTTTCAAAGGAACTGTCTCCAGAACTGAGTGTTGAAAGCTGAGTAGTCATTAGCTGAGTGAAGATAAGATGAAGTGCCTTCTAGGCCAGAAGTTGCAGAGTGGCAGCTTCCATTTGGTTGGCAGATGTGTTTTGATTACCCACAATTTAATTACTTGCCAACATTAAGAAACTGGAAATTTCACATAAAGATGATGATTTCTGGTTTCTCTTGAAAAAATGGGAAGATCTGAAGACTCTGGGCCCACATTCCTGCCTGGCCACAATCGCTGGTCCTGTGTATGGGCTACTCTCTTTGAATGGGCCATCTCACTAGAGTCAAACCAGAAAACTGAGTTTTCCACTCCTCTTCGGTAGCAGGCCTAAGAGGCAAGGAAACAGCATGACATTTATTCCCACACCTGTTTGGTGTTGATCGGATGTAAAGTTTCTGATGTCTACCATCCAAAAGGCAGAAAAAAAAGTGATTACAAATCATCACGAAATACACGGGATGCGGTGACTGACACCTGTAATCCCAGCACTTTGGGAGGCCGAGGCAGGCGGATCACCTGAAGTCAGGCATTAGAGACCAGCCTGACCAACATGGAGAAACTCCATCTCTACTAAAAATACAAAAATTAGCTGGGCGTGGTGGCACACACCTGTAATCCCAGCTACTTGTGACACTGAGGGTGGAGAATCACTTGAACCCAGGAGGCAGAGGTTACAGTGAGCCGAGATTGTGCCATTGCACTCCAGCCTGGGCAAGAAGAGTGAAACTGCATCACACACACACAAAAATAAATCATGAAATAAATAAATGGCTAGTCAATTGTTTTAAATGACAACAGAATAATCAGGAACATCAAGAAGAACTCTTCCCTTTTTTCAATTAATTTTTCAGCTCAGATGAGGTGTTGTTGTTGTTGTTGTTGTTTTTCTAGACAGGACCTTACACTATCAACCAGGCTGGAGTGTGCTGGCACAATCATAGCTCATTGCAGCCTTAAATTACTGGGCTTAGGCAATTCTCCAGCCTCAGCCTTCTGAGGCGCTAAGACTACAGGTGAACAACTACCATGACTAGCAATTTAAAAAAATTTTTTTGGGGGAGGCCAAGGCGGGTGGATCACGAGGTCAGGAGCTCAAGACCATCCTGGCTAACACGGTGAAACCCCGTCTCTACTGAAAATACAAAAATTAGCCGGGCATGGTGGCAGGTGCCTGCAGTCCCAGCTACTTGGGAGTCTGAGGCAGGAGAATGGCGTGAACCCGGGAGGCGGAGCTTGCAGTGAGCCGAGATCGCGCCACTGCACTCCAGCCTGGGCGACAGAGCGAGACTCTGTCTCCAAAAAAAAAAAAATAAAATAAAATTTTCTTTTTGTAGAAACAGGGGTCTCACTATGTCGGCCAGGCTGGTCTCAAACTCCTGACCTTAAGGGATCCTCCTGCTTCAGCCTCCCAAAGTGTTGGGATTAAAGGTGTGAACCACCGTGCCAGGCCAAAGGGCAATTTCTTTTATCATAATCTGTCTAAGGCCTAAATTTGAAATTGGCATGCTTTAAAACAATGATCCTCAAGCTCTGCTGATTTTTAAAAATACTGAGACCCAAGCCGTATCCCAGGCTAATGATAGAACCTCTGCAGGTGAGACCCGGCCATCAGAATTGTTTCTTAAAAGTCCCCAGGTGGCCGGGCGCGGTGGCTCACGCCTGTAATCCCAGCACTTTGGGAGGGTGAGGTGGGCGGATCACGAGGTCAGGAGATCGAGACCATCCTGGCTAACACGGTGAAACCCCGTCCCTACTGAAAATACAAAATGTTAGCCGGGTGTGGTGGCGGGCGCCTGTAGTCCCAGCTCCTCGAGAGGCTGAGGCAGGAGAACGATGTGAACCCGGGAGGCAGAGGTTGCAATGAGCCAAGATCGTGCCACTGCACTCCAGCCTGGGGACTAGAGCGAGACTCCATCTCAAAAAAAAAAAAAAAAAGTCCCCAGGTGACTCTAATGAGCAGCTAATTTCTGAGAACCAGAAGTCTAATATGTCTGCCTTTTCCTCTAGGCCTCCCTACAGCGTTGGCTCAGCTCTAGCTACTTGGAAGGTCGTGGCAATGCTGTCTCAGAATGTCCGTTTCTAGAGTACAGAGAAGAAATTCTAGCTTGACGTCCACGTGCATTTGTCTGTGTTTCAGAGGAAATTCCAATTCTAAACTCTTGGAAGAAACAATTTCTCGGCATGCTGAAGAGAATTGCTGTTTTTTGGCACCTGAAACACTTTTACCCAAGGGTTCTGATTATTTAAATAATTGGTATGCTATAAATATTCTGGTTGACAGAAATGTGGTTTAATGTAGATGAGTTGTAAAAACATGAGACAAACATGCTCCAGGCTAAAAATATCTGGATTAAAAAAGAAAAAGAAAAGAAGAGGTGGGAGAAGAGAGAGAGGAAGGGAGAAAGGAAGAAAAAAGGAAGGAAGGAAAGGAGGGAGGGAGGGAGGGAAGGAAGGGGAAAAGAGGGGAAAGCAGGCAGGCGAGCAACTAGCTCCCTGATTTTATTCCATTGACTTATTTAACATTTTAATCAAGTTTCTTCCTTTGGAGTAGCAATTTAGTGAATATGGCACATTTTCAGATGTCTGGGTTCTTTTGGCTGACTGACTTACATAAAACTTTCAGTTACTGTGCACAATGTGTTGTTTCAGCATAGACCAAAACAATTTTTCATACAAGTATTTCTTTGAAAAAGAATTGCTGAAAAATATCCCGACTACCTAAACCCAATCTATACTTTTAACCGAGGACACTGAATTCTCTAGGCCCTAAGAGGAAATATCAGTGAAAACTGTAGCCTCTGTCTGCTTATAGTAATTCGTTGTAACAACACTTTTGGCCATCACACAAATGGATCATTGACTACAAATAAGGAACAGTGAAGACTTCCTGAACTTTTTTTTTCCTTTCTTAGTCATTTCATGTCTTAGAGCTAAAGTTTCTTTCTGTGAGATTTAAAACTAAAAATATATGAGTTACAAATTTAGCAACTGTAACTTTTTTGCTAAGACATAATATTTGGATGCAGCTCTTATCCTGGGGCAGATCACACACTTTGATACTTGAAGAAAATGAGTCAAGAACATGTTTTACATTGGGGAAACTTGGCAGTCGTTGGTTAACTAAAGAACTTTTGAAGCGAATCAGAATGTTGGCTTGCCTTTAGCTTTAAAAATGATTTTGTTTTAACATATGTTAGCTGAAGCAAAAAATAATACAGTAGGAGCTATGCGTCTATCAGAGTGACTGACAGATTGAAATTCTCTAGAAAAATAGATTATTTTCCCTCAAAGAGAGTAAAGTTTTGGTTTTCAAAGTCAATCAGAAAACTAACAATTTGGGCAGAAGAGGAATCAGCTTCTCTTTTTGAGACAGT
Organism: Homo sapiens; assembly: GCF_000001405.40. NCBI lineage: Eukaryota > Metazoa > Chordata > Mammalia > Primates > Hominidae > Homo > Homo sapiens. The sequence continues at coordinate 181,792,040 of NC_000003.12, forward strand.
ATATTTCTAATGATTTTTATGGAGACTATAATAAGGATCAGGAAACAAAGCTTGATATGGACATGTTTTTAGCTAGCAGATTGAAAGGAAATAATGGCATGAAATAAAGTTTTTTTTTTTTTTAAATACTGACAGAGTTCTTATTTCTTTTATATTGTCTGGAATAAAATTGATAAATGAAAAAAATCTGTAACAGTTTGGTTCTCCAATACTAGTCATTTTTTTTGGTTAAAACTTTGTCATAAGGCCAGGCACAGTGGCTTACGCTTGTAATCCCAGCACTTTGGGAGGCCGAGGTGGGCAGATCATGAGGTCAGGAGTTCGAGACCAGCCTGACCAATACGGTGAAAGCCTGTCTCTACTAAAAATACAAAAATTAGCCAGGTATGGTGGCACACACCTGAAATCCCAGCTACTCAGGAGGCTGAGGCAGGAAAATCGCTTGAACTCGGGAGGTGGAGTTTGCAGTGAGCCAAGATTGCGCCACTGCACTCCAGCCTGGGTGACAGAGCAAGACTCTGTCTCAAAAAACAAAAAGCAAAAAAATACAAAAAACTTTGTCATAAACATGTTTATATGTATTTTTTTATATATATAGGAAGATGCAAGGTTTTATAGCAATCTTCTAAATACTGATGTATGCATATATGGTATTAAAATTAAATTTCAATGATAAAATTTTCTGATATGCAGGTGTCAATACAAAATTTGAAATGTGATAAGCACCATAGTTTATTTTAGCAATGCCACTTCTAAGACTACAGAGGCAAATTACTTAAGAAGTCACTTAAGACATTTACATACGTAAATATGTTAGCATTTTTGATAAGGTAAGGGAAAACTCCTTTGCGAATCTTGCCTGCCTCATAGTCTTAAATTGCTCTTTTTAAAAAAAGGTATTCATGGGCTCAAGTCAAAAATGATTTCATACGTGAAAGAAAGTTTCAAATGCAAACAACACTTTTTTATTCCTACACTAGGTGTGGAATCTCATCTGGATGTTCTCTGAAACACCTGGATAATTTTTGTGTCATTTCTATGGCAGCCTTCCTTAAATGTCCTGGGGATACCTTTGTCTTCTCTCGTCTCCCTGAGAGCACTATGCACTTTTTAGGAATGATACTGTTGCCCCTATTACGCAATGTTCTTGTCATGTCAAGACTCTAAGCTTTTTTTTGCCTACATGGAATCACCTCGCTAGAAAACCCTCTTTCTCTTTTCTCCATCTGGCTAACTCCAGGCTCAATTTAGGTGTCATGAACTGCTTTTCAGGGGAGCCCTCCCTGACCACCCCTCCCTGAGAGACGCCTGGATGAGTACTCCCTCTCCGGTATTTTCGTAGCACCTGGGTCTACTTTGTGCACGTTCTGCACTTGTCTATCGTAATTCACTTTATTTTGATAAAGGCTGTCTTGTTCACGGTCATATTCACAGTGCCCCAAAAAGTGCCTGGCATTAGTAACACTCAATTAATATTAGTAAAATGAATAAATAAATGAAGGGTCTAAAAATCAAATTCTCAGATGATAGAGGTATACCAGAGCCATTGATTTAAAAACATGAGTGAGGCTGGGCGCGGTGGATCACACCGGTAATCCCAACAATTTGGGAGGCCGAGGCAGGTGGATCACCTGAGGTCAGCATTTCAAGACCAGCCTGGCCAACACAGTGAAACCCCATGTCAACTAAAAATACAAAAAAAATTAGCTGGGCCTGGTGGCAGATGCCTATAATCTCAGCTACTTTGGGAGGCTGAGGCAGGAGAATCGCTTGAACCCAGGAGGCAGAGGTTGCAGTGAGCTGAGATCGCGCCATTGCACTCCAGCCTGGGCGACAAGAGCGAAACTCTGTCTCAAAACAAACAAAAAAAGCATGTGTGAAATCCGGCCAGCGATGCCAATTGACGGTCTAGCCCCCATCCATGGGAAAGGGAATGAAGACACATCAGCGGCCTGCACATTTAGCTTTGGAAACGATTTCCTTTAAATCTATCTCTCCCTTTCATCTCCATTAAAGAGACTCCCTGGATCCATAATAGACAAGAATATAAAAGCATCATTCTCTTTCTCATCCCATCCTGTTTACTCAGCAAGCCCAGCCCCTGCTTTTGCCTCAGCCCACATCTTCTCTATTAGTAAGAGTTAGGAGAGGCCAACCTCACCCAGCACAGTTTTCCCCCTTTCTTTTCTCCTCAGGGAGGCCTCAGCCAACTGCCACAACTCCTGAGTGAAAGGGATTGCCTGCTCTTCGGACATTCTGGGGGAGGGTGAAGACAAAGGTGAAGTCTCAGCCTCCAGTGTCTCTGAAACTTAAATTGCCTCAAGTGCTTTCAAACCAGCAAGGAGCTCATTTAGAATTTGGGGATAAGCCATGGCCCTCATTTGGGGAAATTTAGAGGCACATTTGAAGGAGTAAACTCATGTACTATAACTGGACATAGGGCCAAATTCTGTCTTTGGAAAAGTCAGTGAAGCAGACACACCCTGTGCCCTCTAAGTGAATTAATGTACTGTGTTCCATTTGAGAATCATTCTCTCTTCATCTTTAATTCCTGCCCTGAGGAGCCATCTGTACTTTGAGGGTATGTGCACAGGATCACTCACTGAGGACTGAGGACCTTCATGCTCAGCCCTCGAGATGAATAACCCTTTCATACACTGTGGGCTCCCTCTGATTTTCTGACTAAACCAGACCTTAGTGGGGCGTAGAAATCTGTAACAGCAAAAAGGTTCACACAAATGTAAAAACAAAAAGCAATGGGTGATTTTCTTGTTGTTGTGGTAGTGGGGGTTGTTTTTTAACTCTAAAATGGCATATATTAATCCAAAACACAATACTATTGTCCTCAGGATCTCATGATTACCTTTGACAAACGAAGAGTAAACATTCAAACTGTTTTAGGATTTTGGGGGTTGAGGAGAAGGGATTGGATTAATTCTTTCAGTGGTTGTGAAGTCCTAGAGTCTAGGAAGAATTAGTGAGGTAATGGTATATCTCCTTCTTTTCAAAGGCTAAGGCCAAATGTTTGATTTGAAAAAACAAAAAACAAAAACAAAACCTAGGCTGGGCGTGGTGGCTCATGCCTGAAATCCCAACACCTTGGGAGGCAGAGGCTGGATGATCACTTGAGGCCCTGAGTTCAAGAACATCCTGGGCAACATAGTGAAACCACATCTCTACAAAAAAATTACAAAATTAGCCTGGTGTAGTGGCATGCACCCATAGTCCTAGCTACTTGGGAGGCTGAGGCAAAAGGATCAGCCCAGGAGTTTGAGGTTGCAGTGAGACATAATTGGGCCCCTGCACTCCAGCCTGGGTGACAGAGAGAGACGCTGTATCAAAAACAAATACAGAAACAAACAAACAAAAAATAAAAACAATTAAATAGTTGGTTCTGGGAAGAGGCTTCCTACAAAAAGAAAAAAAAGAGGAAAAAAAAAAGTTAGAACCATGCTGTCCATCAATATGATTGGCAGTCCACTATACTAATCAATGGACTTATTTACATTTGAATCTCTCTTCCTTTTTCCCCTTTTTTTTTTTTTAAGACGAAGTCTCGCTCTTGTCCCCCAGGCAAGAGTGCAATGGCGTGATCTCGGCTCACTGCAACCTCCCTCCACCTTTCAGGTTCAAGCGATTCTCCTGCCTCAGCCTCCCAAGTAGCTGGGATTACAGGCATCTGCCACCACGTCTGGCTAATTTTTGTATTTTTAGTAGAGACGGGGTTTCACCATATTGGTCAGGCTGGTCTCGAACTCCTGACCTCAGGTGATCTGCCCCCCTCCGCCTCCCAAAGTGCTGGGATTACAGATGTGAGTCACTGCGCCTGGCCTCTCTTCCTTATTTTGTATAGTCTTTTGGAGACTTTTTCCTTTAAGATTTTTCTCTGCTCGACACAGTGGCTCATGCCTGTAATCCCAGCACTTTGGGAGGCTGAGGCAGGAGGATTGCTTGAGCCCAGGAGTTTGAGACCAGCCTGGGAACAAAGTAAGACCCTGTCTCTACAGAAAGTACAAAAATTAGCCAGGTGGCTAATTTTAGTGGTTTGTACCTGTAGTTCCAGCTACTCCAGAGGCCAAGGTAGGAGGATCATTTGAGTTGAGGAGGTTGAGGCTGCAGTGAACCAAGGTCATGCCACTGCACTCCAGCCTGGGTGACAGAGTGAGACTTCATCTCTTAAAATTTTGTTTCTTTATTATTTTGTTTATACAAGTTACATATACCTATTGTAACAAAAAATGAGAAGTATGAAAAAACTAACAAAGAGAAAAACTACACAATGTTACTACCCAGAGACACACAGAGACCATTAACACAATGGCCTGTTTCCTCGGATAATTTTTTTATTTTTTATTTTTTTTAAGACAGAATTTCACTCTGTCGCCCAGGTTGGAGTGCAGTGGCATGATTTTGGCTCACTACAACCTCTGCTTCTCAGACTCAAGCGATTCTCCAGTCTCAGCCTCTCGAGTGGTTGGGACTACAGGTGGGAGCCACCAACACCCACCTAATTTTTGTATTTTTGGAGAGACAAGGTTTCACCACATTGGCCAGGCTGGTCCAAACTCCTGAGTTCAAAGCAATCCACCCGCCTTGGCTTCCCAAAATGCTGGGATTACAGGCATGAGCCACTGTGCCCGGCCTGGAGAAATTTTTCAAGCCTACTTTTTTATTTCTGCCTGCCCTGCTTAGATGCTTTTTGTTTTTTCCTTCAGTATTTTTGCTAACAAAAGAGAATCCTTGTTGTGACCCTTCTGAATGTGAATAAAACCTCCCAGCTGCTGACTGTCATGTAATCCCAGCACCTGGGGAGGCAGAGGCTGGATGATCACTTGAGGCCCTGAGTTCAAGAACATGAACATAGTGAAACCACATCCCTACAACCCCTGCTTCCCAGACTCAAGCGATTCTCCAGCCTCAGCCTCTCGAGTGCTTGGGACTACAGGTGACTCTATAGTAGGTGCACAGGAAAAGTTTGTTTATTAAATATGACTGATTATTTCCAGGGACCTAATGAATTCATTCTTGCCTAACTGGCCCTATTCATCAGCTAAATCACATGAGATATGAAATTAAATGTACTTTAGAAAGTCCACCACACTATGAAAATGTTAGTAAGTATGGCTTTAACAGTTACTCAGCACTAAGGATGAAGAAGCTAATGTAAAGGAGATGAAAGTTGCTGAACTCACCTCTCTTTCTTGCCAGTACAGTTGTAAAGGATCAGCTCTGGAAAGCCATGGGACCCCAAACTATTCTGAAAACCAAGCTTATGCATTTGGTTTCCACATTATATGTCACCTAAACCTACTCAAATTCTCTATTAAGGACTGAGAAAATAGCCCTTACTTTATGTACAATAAAATTTGGGGTTCTAAATTTCTAATTCTTGTCTTTTATTTAAGTTCCCACACAAAGCCTCACATCCAGTTTTTGCAGCACCTCCACTGTTTCAGCATATCCTTTTCAGATCATTCACCAGACAGCGTCCTACAGCTCTCATTCATAAAGTCCAATTATAAGACAAGAAATGTCAGGAATATACACTTTGAGAGTGGGAGGCAAACAGAACAGTACATTGTAACTTTGTAAGAACAGCCATGCATTTCCTCTGGGCTTGTTTTCAGTTCCTTTGTCAGCTGATTACATGGTCTTTTATAATTTCTCATGTACAGAATGAAGCTATTTGCTTGTGGATTATTTGAAAGACACAGGCTTATGCAAAAGAAAAACGAAATCATCATGAGGTAGAATGATATTTCTGACTTGCTTTTTTTTCTTTTCTTTTTCTTTTTTAACACAATATGACTACACAATTTAAAATTGTGGCTCTTTAGAGATATGAAACAAGTAAATATTCTGTTAATTCAATCTTAATGTATATGTAATGCTATATATGTATTTGTTTTTCATATAATTGCCTTTATCAATAATATTATTTATGTTTATATAAAGAAGAATGCTGTCTTACATTTTGTTTTCAAAGCACACAAATTTTCTAGGCACACGCATTGTGCTGCTTAATTCCTACGTTTCCTTTAGTTGTTCAGGACAGTACTTTACAGTTTAGAAAGTGGTTTCATATACATTATGCTACTTAATTCTCATAATACTCCCCCAATGTAAAACTAGTCAAAGTACTTTGGGCTTTAAATCTTGTCTGTGGCTTTATGCTTCTATCCAGCCCCGTAAGTTTCCTCTTTCCTCTGGTGTATATCCTTTACTTGCTTATCTTTAGAGACTTAGCTCATGGTCACCTCCTCTATGAAGCCTTTCCCCAATAAAATAAGTGACCTCCTCTCTCACTGTATCCCTTCACTGCTCTATAGATAATGCTTTTAAGGAAAGGTTTTTAAAAATCTAGTTATTTTTAAAATTCACGTAGCATATTCTATTTATTTATTTATTTATTTTTGAGGCTGAGTCTTGCTCTGTGGCCCAGGCTGGAGTGCAGTGGTGTGATCTCGGCTGACTGCAACCTCTGCCTCCTGGGTTCAAGAGATTCTCCTGCCTCAGCCTCCCAAGCAGCTGGGACTACAGATGCCCACGACTACAGATACCCACCACCACACCCAGCTAATTTTTGTACTTTTAGTAGAGATGAAGTTTCACCATATTGGCCAGGCTGGTTTCGAACTCCTGACCTCGTGATCCACCTGCTTCGGTCTCCTGAAGTGCTGGGATTACAAGTGTGAACCACTGCGCCCAGCCCAACAGCCCAACATAGCATATTCTTAGAAAATTACTATAATAATCTCTTAGGCTTGTGAGTCAATAATCACTCCAAAATAAAAAGTTAAAAACAAACATGTATGTCAAGCAAATATGTCAGCATATACAGATCTTCCAGATCACTTTAAAATACCATATATGAATAGTATTTCACACCATGAGTGTTGTATACCCACACTGTTCAGTAGAACTTTCTGTGATAATGGAAATGTTCCATATCTGTACTTTCCACTATGGTCATCACCAGCCTCAGGTGGCACTTGAAATGTGAATAGTACAAATGAAGAACTAAATTTTTGATTTTATTGAATTTAAATTTAAATAGTCAAATGTGGCGTGGCTTGTGGTTACCATGTGGTACAGCAGATTTATGCTTTAATCTATTGATAGTCATTTAAATTGTTTCCAATCCCCTCCCCCGCTCCACACTCAGTACAAGCAAACTAAGTGTTATCTAGTAAAGTAAACCATGAGAACAAAAAGGAATTTTTTATCCCTTCTTATATGTATTAACTCTCTAGAAGCCTGTATTCATTCTAATGCTGCCCCCTTTGAAGTTCTACATGAACTTACTGAATCAGGTAGGTAAAAGGACATTTATAGTAAAGGTATTTCCTATATGAAAGAATGATTTAAAATGTGCAGCAAATAAAAATATTTTTCAAAAAAGGAAAAGATGCAATAATTTTTTTTTGAGACAGAGTCTCACTCTATCACCAAGGCTGGAGTACAGCGGCGTGATCTCAGCTCACTGCAACCTCCACCTCAAGTGGTTCAAGTGATTCTTCTGCCTCACCTCCTGAGTAGCTGGGATTACAGACGTGCACAGTCATACCTAGCTAATTTTTGTATTTTTAGTAGAGATGAAGTTTTGCCATGTTGGCCAGGCTGGTCTCTTAACTCCTGGCCTCAAGTGATCTCCCTGCCTCGGCCTCCCAAAGTGTTGGGATTACAGGAAAAATTATTTAATGCCAGCATTGATTATAGCAGTAAAATATTGGAATCAATTGAATATCTAACCATGGAGAGTTGGTTCCAATATTTTATTTTATTATTTTTTTTGAGACAGGGTCTCACTCTGTTCCCCAGGCTGGAGTGCAATGGCACAATGACAACACACTGCAGCCTCGACCTCCCCAGGCTCAGGTGATCCTCCCACCTCAGCCTCTCAAGTGTCTGGGATCACAGGCACACACCACCACACTTGGCTATTGTTTTTGTATATTTTGTAAAGACAAGGTTTTCTCATATTGCGCAGGCTGGTCCAATATTTCATGATCCTTCATACAATGGAGGGCAATATTGTCATTGGAAATGACAATGATTGCAATTTATTAACATGAAAACAAGCCTATGATATATTTTCAAGTGAAAAAAATACAAAACAGGCTGGGTGTGGTGGCTCATGCCTGTAATCCCAGCGCTTGGGGAGGCTGAGGCAGGTGGATCACTTGAGGTCAGGAGTTCGGGACCAGCCTGGCCAACATGGTGAAAGCCCATCTCTACTAAAAATATAAAAATCAGTCAGGCATGGTGGTGTGCCAGGAGTCCCAGCTAGGTGGGAGGCTGAGGCAGGAGAATGGCTTGAACCTGGGAGGCGGAGGTTGCAGTGAGCCAAGATTGCACCACTGCACAGCCTGGGTGACAGAGCAAGAATCTGTCTCAAAAAAACAAAACAAACAAAATACAAAACAGATTTCAAACCAAAAAAGATCAAAAAAGGCAAAGAAGGGCATCCCATAATGGTAAAGGGTTCAATTCAACAAGAAGACCTAACAGTCCTAAATATATATGCACCCAATACAGGAGCACCCAGATTCATAAAGCAAGTTCTTAAAGACCTACAAAGAGACACAGATTCCCACATAATAATAGTGGGAGACTTCAACACTTCACTGACAGTATTAGACAAATCATTGAAGCAGAAAATTAACAAAGACATTAAGGACCTAAACTCAACATTTGACCAAGTGGATCTGATAGACTTTTACAGAACTCTCCACCTAAAAACAACAGACTATACATTCTTCTCATCACCACGTGGCACATGCTTTAATATCGACCACATAATTGGACATAAACAACCCTCAGCAAATTAAAAGAACTGAAATCAGGCTGGGCGCGGTGGTTCACACCTGTAATCCCAGCACTTTGGAAGGCTGAGGTGGGTGGATCACCTGAGGTCAAGGGTTCGAGACCAGGCTGGCCAACATGGTGAAACCCCAGTAATATTAACTACTTGAGAGGCTGAGGCAGGAGAATCACTTAATCCTGGGAGGGGGAGGTCGCAATGAGCCGAGATTGTGCCACTGCACTCCAGCCTGGGTGACAGAGCAAGACTCTGTTTAAAAAAAAAAAAAAAAAAATCATTCTACCATGAAGATACATGCACACAAATATTCATTATAGCACTATTCACAATAGCAAAGACATGGAATCTACCTAAATGCCCATCAATGGCAGATTGGAAAAAGAAAATGTGGTACATATACACCATGGAAAACTATGCAGCCATTAAAAAAATGAGATCATATCTTTTGTGGGAACGTGGTTGGAGCTGGAGGCTATTAGCCTCAGGAAACTAACACAGGAACAGAAAACCAAACAGCTCATGTTCTCACTTATAAGTGGGAGCTAAATGAAAGAACTTATGAACACAGAGGTGGGTGGATCACTTGAGGTCAAAAGTTCAAGACCCTCCTGGCCAACATGGTGAAACCCATCTCTATTAAAAATACAAAAACTAGCTGGGCGAGGTAGCAGGCACCTGTAATCCCAGCTACCTGGGAGGCTGAGGGAGGAGAACCGTTTGAACCTGGGAGGTGGAGGTTGCAGTGAGCCGAGATTGTGCCATTGCACGCCAGCCTGGGCAACAGAGCGAGACTCGGTCTCAAAAAAAGAGAACTTAAGACACTGGAGTCTACTTGAGTGGGGAGGGAGGGAGGAAGGAGAGGAGCAGAAAGGATAACTATTGGATACGGATTTAATACCTGGATGATGAAATAATATGTACAACAAACCCCGGGACGTGTGTTTACCGATGTAACAAACCTCCATATGTACCCCCAAACCAAAAATAGAAGTTAAAAAGATGAAAAAAAGTTACTAAATAATATGCATAATATGGATCTTTTTTCATAAACATATGTGTGCATGTATAAATTTTTGTTTAGTGGTGAGTCAGTATAGCTGGCTGAGAACATAAACTTTTGAGTCAGACTGATCTGGGTTCGAATCTAGGCCCTGCCACATATCATCTACGTGATTTTGGATATATCTCTAACCGTTCTGAATTTTGGTTTCCTCATTGCTAAAATTGGTTGATAAATTTACATCTGAGGGTTGATGTTTAAGTAATGTATGTAAAACAATTGGTGCATATGTAGTGCTTAATTATTGGTAGTTGTTTTTCTAAGACGAGTATGAATGGGCATGGAAAGAAGAATGATATTTACCAATCGGTTGAAAGCGATTGTTTCTGGGTTGTAAAGTCATTGTTGAATTTGTGTTATTGTTTAATTAAATGGATCAATGACTTCTTAAATATGAAAAAAAATCCATAAAAATTATGTGAATATAAAACTAAAAAAGTCAGCAAACCCTGTATGTTCTAATGTAGAAATATGCCAAGATACTACATTGCAGAGCAGTATAGTTAATGCAATCCTATTTGTGTTCAACAACCTTTTTTTGGTAAAGAAATATAAGGTTACCCTTGAGAAGTAACTCTGGATGATCTAGCAAGGAGCAGCAAAAAAAAATCTTTTTTCATTCATGCTTTTTGATACTAAGTTTTTACTGTGATTTTCTCGTATTAAAATTTTTTTTTATTATTAAGTAAGTCCTGTAAGACCTGGAAAGAGAAAGATAAATAAGTTGCCTTTCACTTACTTCTATCTTTGCCCAATCTGAAGAAATATCGTTTTCAAAGGCATAAGGAGGATTCTGAAATTTCTTCAATATTGGCAAATTTCTAATTCAGTTGAAGACTGTGACAATTCTGCCATTGTATGTAATTTCTTATTTTCTCAACTAAAATACTATCAATATTTATTGAACATTTATTAAGATAAAAGCAAGAAAGATGAGTAAGAATAATTTTATTAGAAAAGAGAGTTAATCTTTCACCATTTTATTATATTGAACAGCACTACAGAAAAATAAATATGGCACTCCACTCATGTCTCTTTGGCCTCTTGTCATAATTGTCTACTTTTTTTCCCTCGATGTAACATTTTATACAAGCTCAAAGAACTTTAAAACACTATTTTTCCTTAATACAGGAGTAATAGTTGCTCATTATAAAAAAGAAAAAAGAAAAAAGAGGCTGGGCGCAGTGGCTCATGTCTATAATTCCAGCACTTTGGGAGGCCAAGGCAGGAGGATCACCTGAGGTCAGGAGTTTGAGACCAGCCTGACCAACATGGAGAAACCCCGTCTCTACTAAAAATACAAAATTAGCCTGGCATGGTGGCACATGCCTGTAATCCCAGCTACTCGGGAGGCTGAGGCAGGACAATTGCTTGACCTTGGGAGGCGGAGGTTGTGGTGAGCCGAGATTGCGCCATTGCACTGTAGCCTGGGCAACATGAGCAAAACTCCATCTGAAAAAAAAAAAAAGAAAACATCTATAATGCCACCCCATTGAAAATCACCGTTAATTTATCGGTGTGAAATCACATCAGTATTTTTATACGTATACTATATTCCTTTATGCGTCATCTTTTTGTATAGTTTTACATTTTATAAACTGACTAGGATTTACATAACAAATCTCTTATTGCTAAACATGTAGATTGTTTCCAACTTTTTGTTATTATAAACACATTGTGGGCCAGGTGTGGTGGCTCACGCCTGTAATTCCAGGACTTTTGGAGGCCGAAGCGGGTGGATCACCTGAGGTCTGGAGTTCAAAACCAGCTGACCAACATGGTGAACCCCCATCTCTTCTAAAAATACAAAAAATTAGCCGGATGTGGTGGTGCATTCCTGTAATCCCAGCTACTCAGGAGGCTGAGCTAGGAGAATCACTTGAACCCAGGGGGTGGAGGTTGCAATGAGCCTAGATCACGTCATTGCACTCCACCCTGGGCAAAAAGAGCAAAACTCTGTCTCCAAACAAACAAACAAACAAACAAACACATTGTGGTAAAGATCCTTATGGCTGGATATTTGCTCATCACTGTGACTATATCCTTGGGATAAATTCCTACAGGTGTAAATCCTGAGTCAAAGCGCAAACAAGAATTTAGGATTTTGATGTATTTCAATAATTGTTGAAAAGAATCAATAAATGATCACAAGCTTATAGTAAAGAGGAAACCTCTGGGGAGGAGGCATCTGCAGTTCAGGCTCAGTAGCTGGGTTGGTGGATGGGATAACTAGGGAAGTTCCTAAGACATTTTTGGGTTGGGAGAGTAAAGAGGGTGGAAGAATCTTCACACTCTTATGAATACAGTGTACTGACTTGCAAAGAAAGGAGAGCTAACCTTCTTATTACAGCCAGCTCCTGGTTCTGCTCTACAGTGTATCATGTAAAAGAATATTTAAAACCAGAAAAAGAGCAAGTCTTCTTTCAGCTTTTCTCCTGCAGTTGTGACTATTTGGAATCTACTCATCTTTCAAGCAGTAATTTAAATCTTAGCTTCTTCATAAAATATTATTTGGCCCTCAAGGATTTGGGGGGTCTTTTTTCTCTTTATGCATAGCAGTTCTTGCCTTCTTTTCCACATTCAATAATCACTTTTGATTGGTCTATTTCTCCTTGCTATTACACACACACAAAAATCATTTTCGAAAATACTATGTGCCAGGCACTATGCATTATTATTGCATGAATCTTCACAAATATCATATGAGGTGGTTATTATCATTCTCATTTTACAGATGGGGTACCAGAGTTGGGGTAGATTAAATAACTTGTCACTGTGGTATAAGGAGGAGGCCAACCTAGATTAAAAAATGAGGTCTTTCGACCTGGCACGGTGGCTCATGCCTATAATCCCAGCACTTTGGGAGGCCAAGGCAGGCAGATCATTTGAGGTCAGGAGTTCGAGACCAGCCTGGCCAACATGGTGAAACCCCGTCTCTACTAAAAATACAAAAATTAGCCAGGCATGATGGTAGGCACCTGTAATCCCAGCTACTTGGGAGGCTGGGGCACGAGAATCCCTTGAACCCAGGGAGCGGAGGCTGCAGTGAGCTGAGATCGTGCCACTGCACTCCAACCTGGGCAATAGAGCAAGACTCTGTCTCAAAAACAAACAAAACAAAACAAAACAAAACAAAACAAAACAACAACAACAAGAAAATCCAAAAATGAGGTCTTTCTTATTGGAAATCACTCACCCTCACTTCGGTTTAAATCTATTTTTCCTAAAAAGAGAGGGAAGGGCAAAATGGGAAGAATGTACAAAGGTGGAGGGAAAATGGAAAAGTGATAAAGAAGAAAGAATATAATTTAGAGGATTGCTGGGAAGGGTTCAGTGTTTCTGGCATAGAGGGTCCCAGATAAATTGGTAGGAGATGCAGTAGGGAAGGAAGGTTGGGACTGGAGTCTTAATGAATGCAGAAGTACATAGAAGAGCACTTGGAATACAGTGAAATTCAATAAAGGGAGTTAATCTTATAACATGTTGAAGGTTTATTTATTTATTTGTTTGTTTAAGACAAGGGGTCTTGCTGTGTTGCCCAGGTTGTTCTTTAACTCCTGGCTTCAAGTGATCTTCCTGCCTCAGACTCCCAGAGTATTGGGATTACAGGTGCAAGTCACTCTGCCTGGCCATGTTGACAATACCTCTGTTTATTGTCTTCCCAGCTATACTGTGAGCCCTGTGAGGTCAGGGGTAGTTCTCCATCAAGTTCATCTTTATATCCCTAGGGGCCAGCAAAATGGCTACCATATGATAATGTTAAATACATCTCTGCTGAATAAGTGAAGTGAATTAATTAATAAGTGTTCTCTCAGGAGGCAGCATCGACAAAAAAAAAAACAAAAAACCAGAATCTGATTTTAGAATCAGAGGACCTTGTTTCAAAACTTTTCCCTCCAGCTTACAGATGCGTGACTGAATAAGTTACATAACCTCTTTGAATAGTTTACTCATATGATGATAATACTCACCTTAATGTGTTATTTTGAGAACTAAGTGAGATCATACTTTTGAATTGCTTAGCACATTACCTGACAAATTATAGACATTCAACAAATGTGAGTTTCTCATTGCCTCCTTCCCACCATCCAGTATTAAAATGTGCATTAGGAGAGTTTATGTCTAGATTGTAAGAGATAGCCTTCATTTCTAATATTCAGTCCTACTGTCAGACCATGGTTTTAAATTTAATATTTTTAAAAGATGACTACTAAGGCCAGGCATGGTGACTTATGCCTGTAATCCCAGCACTTTGGGAAGCTGAGGCAGGAGAATCACTTGAGCTCAAGAGTTTGAGACCAGCCTGGGCAACATGGCAAAACCCCATCTCTAAGAAAAATTAAAAAAAAGAAAAGTTAGCTGGGTGTGGTGGCTCATGCTTGTAGTCCCAGCTACTTGTGGGGCTGAGGTAGGAGGATTGCCTGAGCCTGTGAGATCGAGGCTGCGGTGAGCCGAGATCACACCACTGCACTTCAGCCTAGGTGACAAAGTGACCCCCTGCCTCAAAATAAATAAATAAATAAATAAATAATCAAAATTAAAATTAAAAAGATGACCACTGTTTAAAGCATCTGTGATAAAGTGCCACATATTGGTACTCAATAAAAAGATGCTGAATAAGTAAATGAATTGAATCAGGTTGAATATTCAGAATTTTATCAGATTATCTATAGTTTTCTAAGGATCCAAGATATGTAAACACTTCATTATTAGTTGATTGGGTTAGTATTTAGTTGGTTTGAGATATCCATCAACATTTCTAAATTCCTTTTGTTTGGTTCCGTCAGCTCTAAACAAATTTATAATGACAAATTCAATTTCCTAGTTTTCTTGCTTTTAGAATAAGAGGGTGCTGGAATCAGGGAAAATGAATAATATCCATTTAAAAATAGTTTGCTGTCATCTGGCTTAAATATTAGTTTTTTTTTTTTGAGATGGAGTCTTGCTCTATTGCCCAGTGGCACGATCTCAGCTGCAACCAGATCTGCAACCACCGCCTCCTGGGTTCAAGTGATTCCTTTGCCTTAGCCTCTTGAGTAGTTTGGATTACAGGTGCCTGCCACCTAGCCTAGCTAATTTTTGTATTTTTAGTAGAGACAGAGTTTTGCCATGTTGGCCAGGCTGGTTTCAAACTCCTGACCTCAGGTGATCCACCTGCCTTAGCCTCCCAAAATGCTGTGATTATAGGTGTGAGCCATTGTACCCGGCCTAGATTTATTTTTTTTAAAAAAACAGTTTCATTGAAATAAAATTTACATACCATACAATTCACTCATTTTAATTATACATTTCAATGGTCTTCAGTATAATGACAGAGCTGGACAATTATCACAATCTAATTTTAGAACTTTTCCTCATCTCCAAAAGAAACTGTTCCCATTAGTTGTCACTCTATCCCCCTCTAGCCTCCCAGGCCCAGGGAAACAGTAATCTACTCTCTGTCTGTATAGATTTGTCTATTCTGGATATCTCATGTAAATGAAAATTTACAGTACATATTTTTTTGTGACTGATTTCTTTCACTGAGCATAATGGTTTCAAAGTTCATTCATGCAGTAGTATTTTTGGCTATTACAAATAATACTATAATGAATAATACTGCTATGAACATTCATGTACATG
This sequence comes from Homo sapiens, assembly GCF_000001405.40. Lineage (NCBI taxonomy): Eukaryota > Metazoa > Chordata > Mammalia > Primates > Hominidae > Homo > Homo sapiens. Next base: position 181,807,546 of record NC_000003.12, read on the forward strand.
TTTTTAATGGATGTATGTTTTCTTTTCTCTTTTTTTCTTTTTTGTTTTTTTGAGTGCAGTGGTGCAATCTTGGCACACTGCAACCTCCACCACCCGGGCTCAAATAATCCTCCTACCTCAGCCTCCTGAGTAGCTGGGACTGCAGGCATGTGCACCACGCCCAGCTAATTTTTGTAGAGACAGGGTCTCACCATGCTGCCCAGGCTCGTCTTGAACTCCTGGACTCAAGTGATCCACCTGCCTTGGCCTCCCAAAGTGCTGGATTACACGCATGAACTACCGCGCCTAGCCCAGATGTATGTTTTCATTTATCTTGGGTATATACCTAGTCCCTTTCTAAGCTGATCCTACAGCAACATTTGAGTCTACTAGTCATTCCTTCACACTTGAAACATGTTCTTACCTTGACTTTCATGATGTTACATACTTCTAGTATTCTTCCTTCTTACTTAAGAGTTCCTTCTCAATGTCCTTCATGAGCCCCTTCTCCTATACCTGGCCATTAAATGTTGGCATTCTTCAAATATTTGTAATGGACTCTTTTCTCTTCTCTCTCTCTTCTGAAGAGGCAGAGTATCACTCGACAGTGGCTATTCACAGGTGTGATCATTGCACACTACAACCTTAAACTCCTGGGCTCAAGCGGTCCTCCCGCTGGGACTACAGGTGTGTGCCATCATGCATGGTTCTGTTTTCTTTTCTCATTCAGTAATCTCTCTTTTCTCTTCTCATTCTGAAAGCTTACCTAGGTGACCATATCCCTTCCCGTGGCCACGGTTACCATGTCTGTGTCAATGGCTGCCAAATCTCCAGTTTAGATCTCTCTTCTGAATTCAGACCTACATATCCAAATGTCTATTTGATATGTTTACTTGCATATCTTAGTCTTTCTATGTCCAACCTAAACTCAATCTTCCCCCTTCAATCTGATCCTCTTTCCATGTTTTTTCTTTTCTTTTCTTTTCTTTTTTTTTTTGAGACAGAGTCTCTCTCTGTCACTCAGGCTGGAATGTAGTGGCACGATCTCGGCTCACTGCAACCTCCGCCTCCTGGGTTCAAGCAATTCTCCTGCCTCAGCTTCCTGAGTAGCTGGGATTACAGGTGTGTGCCACCATGCCCGGCTAATTTTTGTATTTTTAGTAAAGACGGGGTTTCACCACGTTGGCCAGGCTGATCTTGAACTCCTGACCTCATGATCCGCCTACCTTGGACTTCCATGTTTTTTTTTCCTTAGGAAACACAGATTGTTGAATCCCAAGTGCAGAATTATGGAATTCTAGGAGCCATTCCAACCACCTTTCTTTACTGACTTATAGTATATACTATCTATTTCATGTACTTGAATCTATCTACTTTTCCCCATCTCCATTGCCATTGCCTTAGGATGAGGAGCTGTCATCTTTTATCTCAGTATCTGCAACAGCCTCCTGACTGGCATCCCCATATCCCCACTCACTCCTTTCAATAAACTTCCATATATCAGCCTGAGTGATATTTTTATAAGATATAATATGTCAGCCCCTTCCCCACATTTCCAATCTTCCAATGCCTTCCCATTGTTTTTAAACTAATGTTCCAGGCCAGGTGCAGTGGCTCACGCCTGTAATCCCAGCACTTTGAGAGGCCGAGGAAGGTGGATCACTTGAGCTCAAGAGTTCAAGACCAGCCTGGCCAACATGGTGAAACCCCGTCTCTACTAAAAATACAAAAATTAGCTGGGTGTGGTGGTGGGTGACTATAATCCCAGCTACTTGGGTGGCTGAGGCAGGAGAATCACTTGAACCCGGGTGACGGAGGTTGCAGTGAACTGAGATAGTGCCACTGCACTCCAGCCTGGGCAACAGAGCAAGACTCCGTCTCAAATAAATAAATAAATAAACAAGATAATGTTACAAACTCTACAGTCCTCAGCAAGTTTTAGCTCCAATGACTGCCCTAGTCTAGTCTTATATTATTTTACCCCCTGTTCTGTGTTCCATTCATACCATCATTCTCTCATTTCTTCAGAAAAGCTACCTCAACATCTTTGCATGTGTTCTTCCCTCTTCCTAGACACAATCACTCCCCTGCCAAACTTGCTTAATTCTAATGTATCCTTCCTATCTGAATTCAAACATTTTCTCAGAGAAGTCTTTTCTGAAAGCATTTCCTGCTTCCCCCTCAACCCCCAACCCCCAACCCCCACCTAGGTTAGGTTCCTCTTTCATTCTTTCTTTTTTCTTTTTTTTATTTAGACGGAGTTTCACTCTTGTTGCCCAGGCTGGAGTGCAGTGGTGTGATCCCAGCTTACTGCAACCTCCGCCTCCAGTGTTCTATCAATTCTCCTGCCTTGGCCTCCTGAGTAGCTGGGATTACATGACACCCGGCTGATTTTTTAATTTTTAGTAAAGACAGGGTTTCGCCACGTTGGCCAGGCTGGTCTCAAACTCCTGACCTCAGGTGATCCACCTGCCTCGGCCTCCCAAAGTGCTGGGATTACAGGCGTGAGCCCCCGCGCCGGGCCTTTCATTCTTTCTTAGCCCCAAATGTCTTTCCCTCAAAATATTTGTCTCAGTTTATAACTACATGTGCGTTTATATGATCATTTAATCAATGCCTATTTCTCCATGTAAATAAGTGTTGAAACTGGTTTTGTCCCTATTGCATGCTTAAGAATGAACACATTTACCTAAGCATTTAGTAGGTGATAAATAAACCTTCATTGACAACATGAGACTCCATCTCAAAAAAAAAGTTGAAGAATTCAATGAAATTTCACTTATTGTATTTGCTTATGTCCCTTTAGTCTAAAACTGTCCCCTGCCTTTTCCTTTTTGTTGTGCTTATTCGTCTTAATGACACTTGGCTTTTTGAAGAGACTTAGCCTTGCTGAATCCCTCATATTCAGGATTTGTCTGTTTTCTCATGATAATTGTACTTTGCTTCCTTATCACCTGTATTTCTTATAAACTGTTAGCTCTAAAGTTTGATTATATTGGCTTTTTTTTTTTTTTTTTTTTGAGACGGAGTTTTGCTCTTGTTGCCCAGGCTGGAGTGCAACGGTGCGATCTCGGCTCACAGCAACCTCTGCCTCCCGGGTTCAAGCCATTCTCCTGCCTCAGCCTCCGGAGTAGATGGGATTACAGGCATCTACTGTGCCACCACACCCGGCTAATTTTGTATTTTTAGTAGAGACGGGGTTTCTCCATGTCGGTCAGGCTGCTCTTGAACTCCAGACCTCAGGTGATCCGCCCGCCTCGGCCTCCCAAAGTGCTGGGATTACAGGCGTGAGCCACCGTGCCCGGCCAGCTTAAAATTTTTTTGACAAAAATGCTTCATAGGTGATACGAAGTTCTTACTAAATGTCTACAGGAAGAACACAGAGTTTGTTGTTGTTTTAATTTTTTTTTTTTTTTAGAACACAGGATTTTAAAAAATAAATAAGATTTTGCCTCAGCAACTTTAAGTTTGATCATTTGGATAAGTTTATAATTATCAGACTTTTCCATTCTAAGAAACTTTTGAGTACCCTGTTCTTCAACAACAACTTTTCACCTAATGGTTTTAGCAACTATTGGTGATCATTGGCTGAATCAGCTATTTTACTGGGAATTGCAGAATGGTATTTTTTTTTTTTTTTTTTTTTTTGAGACGGAGTCTTGCTCTGTCGCCCAGAGACTGGAGTGCAGTGGCGCAATCTCGGCTCACTGCAAGCTCCGCCTCCAGGGTTCGCGCCATTCTCCTGCCTCAGCCTCCCAAGTAGCTGGGACTACAGGCGCCCGCCACCACGCCCGGCTGTTTTTTTGTATTTTTAGTAGAGATGGGGTTTCACTGGGTTATCCAGGATGGTCTCGATCTCCTGACCTCGTGATCCACCTGCCTCGGCCTCCCAAAGTGCCGGGATTATAGGCGTGAGCCACCGCGCCTGGCGTTTTTTTTTTTTTTTTGAGACAGAGTCTCACTCTGTCACCCAGGCTGGAGTGCAATGGCGCAGTCTTGGCTCACTGAAACCTCCGCCTCCTGGGTTCAAGTGATTCTCCCACTTTAGCCTCCCAAGTATCTGGGACTGCAGGCACGTGCCACCATACCTGGCTAATTTTTGTATTTTTAGTAGAGATGGGGTTTCACCATGTTGGCCAGGCTGGTCTTGAACTCCTGACCTCAGGTGATCTGCCCACCTCGGCCTCCCAAAGTGCTGGGATTACAGGCGTGAGCCAACTGTGCCCATCTGCTGAATGGTATTTTTTAATTTTTTAATTAAAAAAAAATTTTTTGAGACGGAGTCTTGCTCTGTTGCCCAGACTAGAGTGCAGTGGCGCGATCTCAGCTCACTGTAAACTCTGCCTCCTGGGTTCAAGCGATTCTCCTGCCTCAGCCTCCTGAGTAGCTGAGATTACAGGCACGCACCACCATGCCCAGCTAATTTTTGTATTTTTAGTAGAGACGGGGTTTCACCATGTTGGTCAGGCTGGTCTCGAGCTCCTGACCTCGTGATATGCCTTCCATGGCCTCCCAAAGTGCTGGGATTACAGGCGTGAGCCATCACACCCAGCCGGACTGGTAATTTTTAAATTCCACCCTTTCTTCAGGAAAAATTTCTCCATCGTTTCTTTATTTCTTTATTTTTTATTTTATTTATTTATTTATTTATTCATTTATTTATTTATTTTATTCATTTATTTATAATATTCAAATATTATTATTTTTTTATTCATTCACTTATTTATTCACTCTGTCACCCAGGCTGGAGTGCAGTGGTGTGATCTTGGCTCACTGTAACGTTTGCCTCCCAGGTCAAGCGATTCTCCTGCCTCAGCCTCCCAAGTAGCTGGGATTACAGGCACCTGCCACCAAGCCCAGCTCATTTTTGTATTTTTAGTAGAGATGGGATTTCACCATATTGGCCAGGCTGGTCTTGAACTCCTGATCTCAGGTGATCCACCTGCCTCAGCCTCCCAAAGAGCTGGGATTGTAGGCGTGAGCCACTGCACCTGGCCTATTTATTTATTTATTGGAGACGGATTCTTGCTCTGTTGCCCAGGATGGAGTGCAGTGGTGTGATCTCGGCTCACTGCAACCTCCACCTCCTGGGTTCAAGAGATTCTCGTGCCTTAGCCTCCTGAATAGCTAGGATTATAGGTGTGCGCCACCACACCGGCTTATTTTTGTATTTTTCAGTAGAAACAGGGTTTGACCATGTTGGCCAGGCTGATCTTGAGCTTCTGGCCTCAAGTGACCAGCCTGCCTTGGCTTCCCAAAGTGCTGAGATTATAGGCATGAGCCACCATGCCCAGCCTGTTTACCATTTCTTTAAATTTCCATATCACTCTCAGGGAATTGTTTCATGGGCACCTCCCTGTTCTACAAACCCATTGCTGGGATATTTCACTCCTTGGGCCCTGGAAAACAAAAAGGCTCTTTCTTCAGAAGGTTGTAGGGAAAAGAGAATCTGTTGAAGTGAGATTTGCTAAATCTTTTGAGAGTATCTCCAATGGGATAGAGACTATTTTTTTTGTGGCAAATAATATGACCCTTATAGCCTTCTGCCACATCTATTTAAAAAAAAAAAAGGAGAGATAGAGAGATGTCATTTGCACAAGTTTACATACCACATCCCTTTAGAGCTACTCTCTAAATACAATTTAACTTCTTCAAACAGGTTTCTGTGACCATCCAAGTCTAGGTAAAGTCCCCATTATATGCATTTCTACAACACCTTGCCCTTCCCTCTCACATGGACAACAAGAATTATCACGTCCTTTCCCTCACTAGACCTCTGGGTCTTTGGCAGCAAGGACTGTGTCTGTTTAGTTCTATAGTTGTACGCCCAGCATTCATTCCAGGTCCCCACTCATAACAAGGCTCATAAAATGTTTGCTGGATCATGTAGTGATGGATGCTTGTAATCCAAGCTACTTGGGAGGCTGAGGCAGGAGGATCACTTGAACCTATGAGTTCTGGGCTATAGTGCACTATACCTGTTGGGTGTCTGCACTAAGTTTGACATCAATATGGTGACCTTCTGAAAGTAAAGAACCACTAGGTTGCCTAAGGAGGGGTGAACCAGCCCAGTTTGGAAATGAAGTAGGTCAAAACTTCTGTGCTGATCAATAGTGTGATTGTGCCTGTGAATAGCCACTGCTTTCCAGCCTGGGCAACATAATGAGACCCCATCCCTGAAAAAAAAAAAAATTGCTGGATGAACGAATGATTGATGATACACAAGAAAGGACAACTGTATTCTGGGAAGTATTGGAGCCTAGACAGTGAGGGGGCATTCGAGACGTGTGCATGCATAAACTTCCCAGGGGCATTAGATTTTACGGTGAAAGCCCAGAATAGTCCTTGGGAAACTGACTTTAGAAAAAGTCAGCTTTCGGCTGAGTGTGGTGGTTCATGCCTGTAATCTCAGCACTTTGGGAGGCTGAGGCCGCAGGATCACTTCATTCCAGGAGTTCAAGGCCAGCCTGGGCAACATAGTGAGACCTCATCTCTACAAAAAAGTATCGAAAAATGAGGCAGGAGGATTATCTAAGCCCAGGAAGTTGAGGCTGCAATGAGCTGTGATTGGGCCACTGCACCTGGGTGACAGAACAAATCCCTGCCTAAAAACAAAAGAGTCAGCTTTCTATCGGATTCAACATTCAGAAAGACCTCACTTACTCCTCTTCTTTTTTTTTTTTGTCAGAGTCTTGCTGTGATGCCCAGGCTGCTGGAGTGCAATGGTGTGATCTCTGCTCACTGCAACCTTTGATTCCTGGGTTCAAGAGATTCTCCTGCCTCAGCCTCCGAGTAGCTGGGACTACAGGCATGTGTCACCACACCCGGCTAATTTTTGTATTTTTAGCAGAGACAGGGTTTCACCATATTGGCCAGACTGGTCCTGAACTCCTGACCTCAAGTGATCTGCCTGCCTCGGGCTCCCAAAGTGCTGGGATCACAGGCGTGAGCCACCGCACCTGGCTTCTTACTCCTTTTAACAACTTGATGAGGTAGGTAGCTTTTCCTATCTTTATTTTACTGATAAGAAAATGGACCTCAGAGAAATTAAGCAACTGGTTCAAAGACATCCAGCTAGGAAGTAACTGGAGTCCGGAATCCTCAAATCCATCATCCTACCTCACCATCCTGCCTCTCACCCTTTGTAGAAATGAGAATAGGTTCAGTGGCAGACTAAGGACATAAACTAAATTGATCGGGACTTTGCCAGGCAAGTCACAGCCTGGCTTCTAGCACTAAATTTCTTCAGCGATTCAGAGATGAAAACAGATATGGACGTTTTACTTCACTTGATGAGCATGCTTGGAGGATTGCTATTTTAAAGTTTTTCAATATTCGCATCTTGCTGCACCTTTTCTGTCTGAAATCTCAAGGTATAAATAGGTTTATCTCGGCAATAAGTCAGAGGCAGAAAGTTCTGTATGGAGCCATGGCAGGTTCCCAAAGGAGGTTGGACCCCTGAGTTCTGTGCCAAAGAAAGAGTAAAGACTGTATCCTCTTCCTGAAATCCTCCTTTAAGGCTACTAAGGAAAAGGAGCTAAATTTTAAAAATAGCTATTATGTGTCATTGTGGTTGTTTCATTGATCTTGGATCCACTACTTGTTAGCTGCTTATCATCATGAAGCATCCGTGTATTCACATATAAAATAGAGTCAATGCCACCTTTCTCATAGGGTAGTGTGAGGATTAACTAGGAGAAGCATATGTAAAGAACTTTGTGGCCGGGCACGGTGGCTCATACCTGTAATCCCAGCACTTTGGGAAGCCAAGGCGGGCAGATCTCCTGAGGTCGGGAGTTCGAGACCAGCCTGACCAACATGGTGAAACCCCGTCTCTACTAAAAATACAAAATTAGCAGGGGGTGGTGGTGCATGCCTGTAATCCCAGCTACTCGGGACGCTGAGGCAGGAGAATCGCTTGAACCCAGGAGACGGAGGTTGCAGTGAGCTGTGATCACGCCATTGCACTCCAGCCTGGGCAACAAGAGCGAAATTCCATCTCAAAAAAAAAAACACAAAAAACAAAAACCAAAAACTTCGCGTAGCACTCAGCACATTAGAAGTATTCAACACTTGTTAGCTATTACTGTTATTATTATTCCTACTTAATCCATATACTAACCACCTCTTGAGGTAAACAGTATATTATTTCCTTTTAAGTAGGAAGAAATAGAGACTCTGGAAAGGGGATAATGACCCAGATTCACCAGCTAATAAAGCCAAGCTGCTAGAATTTAAATTAGTATCTGATTTCAAAGTTGTTATTTTTTTGTAAACAACAATATATTGGCTGGGTGCTGTGGCTCACACTTGTAATCTCAGCACTTTGGGAGGCAGAGGTAGGTGGATCCCCTTATGTCAGGAGTTCGGGACCAGCCTGGCCAACATGGTGAAACCCTGTCTCTACTAAAAATAAAAAAATTAGCCGGGCGTGGTGGCAGGCGCCTGTAATCCCAGATACTCAGGAGGCTGAGGCAGGAGAATTGCTTGAACTGGGGAAGTGGAGGTTGCAGCGAGCCGAGATTGTGCCATTGCACTCCAGCCTGGGTGACAAGGGTGAGACTCCATCTAAAAAAAAAAGAAAAAGCAAAACAAAAAACAACAATAGCAATATATTGTCTCCTTTAAGACGAAGGACAATAATGGAAAATGCTCAAGAATTCTTGATTTGGAAAGATGTAACAAAACAACGGTAAGTTTCCAGCTCAGAGTCTCTTGCTTAAATTTCTAGGAGACTTTTCTGGGGGACTTGCTTGGGCTGAGTCTCTGACTGCATTCTCCCATGGGGCACTCTGTCAACTGCAGTTGACAAATGGCATGTTCCAAACTCTCCTTGACCTGGCCAGAGCCTTTTCTCCTAGAGTTTAAAATCAATTATTGTTTCAGCTAAAATAGGTCTCTGAAAGTGTTTTAATTTTAAGTTTTCTCCTCTTATAATACAGGAGTGAAGAGTGAAAATATGATCTTATTACTTGTTTAATGTCTGATGCAGCCAAAGTATCTAACAAAGAATATGTATGTTTTAATCAAATAGAGAGTCTAGATATTATCAGGGTTGCCTTTGTTCTTTATTTTCAATTTTTTCCTCTTGTAAACAGCTCATCCAGTTTTTAGCTTTACATGTTAACAAAACAATAGATGCCATAATTGGGTATCCCATTACTGTTTGTAAAAGTGCTCTCACACACATGATTTACAAAAAAGTTGTGAGGTGTTTATTATAATTACCTTTTCACAAATGGAGAAACAATGCTCCAGGAAGTTAAGGGACTTCTTCAAGCCATTCAGCTGTATATTTAGAGCCAGAATCTAAGTCAGGTCTTTCTAGACCTTGGGTATGAGCATGGTCCTCAGAGCCACCTTCCTTCATTCCAACCTCAGCTTCATCCTTTACTAGAGCTAGGTGACCCTGTCTGCCTCAGTTTCCTCATCTGTGAAATAGAGATGACAATAGTATCTACCTTAATAGATTGTCTCAACAATTAACTGAGTTAATATGTTTAAAGTAGTGGAAGTATCTCCTGGTTATGACCTATATCAAGTCCTGGTCGTGACATAAGAAAAACTATTATTATTATGATTGCAAACTCTGATTTATTCCATTAAATTGTGTTATATGTATAGTATGTAGGCATGGAAATAGTACTTCACAAAGAGTAAGGGCTCTATGGATTAACGCAAATATTGAAGTATAGAAAAATGTTGACTCGGAATCTGAAGAAGAATAAAATTATTTTAAGAATACTTTTTGAATTAAAATTAAATACATCTGACACCTATAAGTTGACAAAATAGTAAACAAAGAAACAAATTAATGAAACGATGCTTTCACTGATTTAATGCAGCAGTGAGGTTGTTTTATTACTTTGCTTCGAAATCATACATTTCCAACTAAAAATGAATGTTAGAAATCAACTTTGCCATTTTGTAGTTCTGATTTTTTCTCTGTGGTCCCCAACCACATCCCACAGATTTACAAAATTCTTCCAGTCTTTCCTTACAGATAGACTGGCCCCTTTGCAAGTGAATCAATTTTTACACGTTGAGCCCATTTACAAATATCTCTGAAATTTAGTTATATTAAATTCCAGTGCATACATGTCTTGCCTTGTGAGTGTTATGTGTGATCTCACAGGAAATATTATCTCCGTATGAATTCAATTTGTAAGGTAAAGTAAGGAGCAAAATCTTATTTTATTAGTCTTGGGGAAACTAAGTTGCGTGCTGGATTCCAAGTTGTATTCCTAGGAAAAGATTCAAAATACGGTTACTCTAATTTTTGCATGGGTCATTTCCCAAAGTCCTATATTTTTCTCTTTCCTCCCCTCACCTCCCCTCCCCTTCCTTTGCTTCTTTCACAGGGTCTTGCCCTCTCTCCCAGGCTGGAGTGCAGTGGCACAATCTCGGCTCACTGCAGTTTCAGGCCGGGTGCTGTGGCTCATGCCTGTAATCCCAGCACTTTGGGAGGCCGAGGTGGGTGGATCACTTGAGGCCAGGAGTTTGAGACCAGCCTGGCCAACATGGTGAAACCCTGTCTCTACTGAAAATATGAAAATTAGCCAGCATGGCGGCTCATGCCTGTAGTCCCAGCTACTTGGGAGGCTGAGGCAGGAGAATGGCTTGAATCCTGGAGGCAGAGGTTGCAGTGAGTTGAGATCATGCCATTGCACTCCAGCCTGGGCAACAGAGTGAGACCGTCTCGGAAAAAAAGAAGAAGACGAGGAAGAAGAGGAAGAAGAGGAAGAAGAAGAGGAAGAAGAAGAAGAAGAAGAAGAAGAAGAAGAAGAAGAAGAAGAAGAAGAAGAAGAAGAAGAAGAAGAAGAAGAAATCTGAATGTCTTTACTCAGGGTTATATAGTCATTATAAACAGAAGCTCTATAACCAGACTATTTAAAGTCCCAGGTTTGTACTTCAATTTTGAAATCTATGAAATGGGAGTAATAATAGTTTTTACAAAGGTTAAATGAGTTTATATATCTAAAAAATTTCTAACAGTACCTGGCATGTGGCAAGAGCTCAATATTTAGCTTTTCTTCTTCTATTGATTATTCTGGATATTTGGTATAAATGGAATTATACACTACATGGCCTTCTGTATCTGACTTGTTTCACTTAGCATAATGTTTTCCAGGTTCATCCATGTTGTAGCATGTATCAGTACTTCATCCCTTTTTATGGTTGAATAATATTCTACGATATGGATATATCACATTTTGTTTACATATTCATCAACTGATGGACATTTGGGTTGTTTCCACCGTGTCGCTATTTTCAAAATAGAGTTGCTATGAACATTGGTATACAAGTTTTTGTTTTCAATTATTTTGGATATATACTCAGGAGTAGAATTTCTGGATCATATAGTAAATCTATGTTTAACTTATTGAGGAACCATCAAACTATTTTTCACATTGGTTGCATCATTTTATATATATATTTTGTGATGGAGTCTCACTCTGTCACCCAGGCTGGAGTGCAGTGGTGCGATCTCGGCTCACTGCAACCTCTGCCTTCTGTATTCAAGCAATTCTCCTGCCTCAACCTCCCGAGTAGATGGGATTACAGATGCGTGCCACCATGCCTGGCTAATTTTTTTTGTATTTTTAGTGGAGACGGGGTTTCTCCATGTTAGTCACACAATCTCCTGACCTCGATCCCTGAGCTTGTGATCCACCTGCCTCAGCCTCCCAAAGTGCTGGGATTACAGGCGTGAGCCACCGCGCCCGGCTGGTATTTTAAAATGTTTTATTGATCAGAATCTGAGGTACAAAGCTTTGAGAGAACCTATTCAAGGTCACACAGGGGTAAGTGGTAGAGACATCAACTGAACCCAACCTACTCCAGAGTTGCGTATTCTTAACTCCATCCCAGGACAGAGGTTATTTTGTTTTATTTTCATTTCTTTCATTTAAGATTGTGCCGGGGGAAAAAAGCTCAAAACAGTAAAAAAAAAAAAAAAAAAAAAAAAAAAAAGTTATTTTTTTAACCATGTATTTTACCTTTCTATTCCCAAACGTTTTGTACTATTTTCTAATTATACCTGAAAGAAAAAATTGCCAATTTGCATATACTTAGCTTAGTGTTTATGAGTCGGGCAGACTTGGGTGATCCTAAAATTTGGTACATGTATAACTGTTTTTAGCCTCAGTTTCTTTTTCTACCTTTTAGTTATTTACTAATTCTTGACAGCTTCTCTTGGATGTCTAATATGCATCTCCATCCAAAACAGAGCTTTTTTTTTTTTTTTTTTTTTTTTTAGACGCAGTGTTGCTCTTTGCCCAGGTGGAGTACAGTGGAGCCATCTCAGCTCACTGCAACCTCTGCCTCCCGGGTTCAAGCAATTCTCCTGCCTCAGCCTCCCCAGTAGCTGGGATTATAGGCACTCGCCACCACACCTAGCTAATTTTTGTATTTTTAGTAGACACGGGGTTTCACCATGTTGACCAGTCTGGCCTCAAACTCCTGACCTCAGGTGATCCACCCTCCTCAGACTCCCAAAGTGCTGGGATTACAGGCATGAGCCACCACGCCCGGCCCAAGGCTCTTAATTCTAGTCGCTACCTCTCCTCCAGCCCACTACACAAAACCTGGTCCCAAAGGCTCCCTCACCAATTTAATTCATACCACCAATGTCCCAAAACATCAGGGGTTATTCGGTTTTTCTTTCTTTCTTTCTTTCTTTCTTTCTTTCTTTCTTTCTTTCTTTCTTTCTTTCTTTCTTTCTTCTTTTTTTGAGACAAGGTCCTGCTCTGTCACCCAGGCTGAAGTACAGTCGCACAATCATAGCTCACTGCAGTCTCAAACTCCTGGGCTCAAGTGAACCTCCCACCTCAGCCTCCTAAGTACCTGGGACTGCAGGGGCATGGGATTTTATTTTTTTAGAGACGAGTTCTTGCCATGTTGCTCAGTCTGGTCTCAAACTTCTGGGCTCAAGTTATCCTCCTGCCTTGGCCACCCAAAATGCTGGGATTACAGGAGTGAGCCACCACGCCCGGCTCAGGGTAGTTCTTACTACTTCATTTCCCTTATCTCCCCCTAGCTCCACACACATTTAATCCATCACCCAGGGCTTTTAATTTGACCTTCAGATGACATCTCTCATCTATCTACTTCTCTCTATCCTCACCTTTGCCCTCCTACCTGCAAGCAATCATCACCTCTGGCTTACAATTCTAGAATAATCCCTTCATCTGTTCCCTGATCTTCTCTCTTGCTCTTCTTTAATCCACTCTCTACAAGGACAATTGTACATTTCTTAACATTGTAATTGGATCCAATCCACTGCCTTATTTAAAACCCTTGAAGGGCTAATACTGCTCAGAGTAAAAGCTAAACTCCTTACTGTATCCTAGTGAGGTCCTATAGCCTGGGGCCCATTTTCCCAACTTGATTTATACTGCTCAGCCCTGCTCACTCTGCTCCAGCCATATTGGTCTTTTTTTTCTTTTCCTTGAACAAGTCAGTCCCGTTCTGCACTTCTCATCTTTCAAATCTCAGCTCAAGTGTCATCTTCTCAGGGAATCTTCCTGACCTCCCTGTCTAGGCTGGTCTCTGCAGACAGACTCTTCCTCATCGGTCTGTTCAGATTTTTTTCCTAGCAATAATCTACACATGTAATTATCTTGTTTGTTTATTTGCTTGCTTTGGTTTATTACTCTGTTTTATGTCTCCTACATTGCAATGTAAGTTCTATGATGGCTGTGACCTTCTTTATCTTAGTCACCACTAACTAGATCCTGAGAGTTTGGAGCATGTGTTTCCCAAGAAATGAATGAATAAATAAATGAGTAAACAAAAGAATGTCTTAACTCATAATACTGACATAGCTGGGCACCATGGCTCACGCCTGTAATCCCAGCACTTTGGGAGGCCGAGGCGGGTGGATCACAAGGTCAGGAGTCCGAGACCAGCGGGGCCAAGATGGTGAAACCCCGTGAAATATGTATATAAGTATAGATATAAAGTAAGAGACATATGTAGATAAGAGAGTAATTATATCTGGAAAAATTAAAAAAAGGAGGAATGTCAGAGAAAATACAAAAAGGAAGTGACCTGAGCTGAGCTTTGAAGGATGAAAGCACCAGTTACACATGGAGGAAGAGGCATTCCAGGGCAGAGGTGACAGAGTGAACCAGGGCATGGAGTATTATTCATGGAGTAAAAAGTTTCATAATGTGTCTGAAGAGTAGCAAGCAGTTGAGCATGGCTGGGGCTTAGGGTGACTTGGAGAGTGGGGCTGAAGATGAGGCCAAGAGTGTAGGCTGGACTCAGTTACAAAGGGCTTTACAAGTTCAGCAAAGAGTTTGGAATTTGTTGTATAAGGTGAGAGTTTTTAGGCAGAAGAGAGACATCTTCATTTTAGAAAGATCTCTCTGCCGGGCGCAGTGGCTCACTCCTGTAATCTCAGCACTTTGGGAGGCTGAGGCAGGTGGATCAAGAGGTCAGGAGTTCGAGATCAATCTGGTCAACATAGTGAAACCCCGTCTCTACTAAAAATACACAAAAAATTAGCCCGGCATGGTGGTATGTGCCTGTAATCCCAGCTACTCGGGAGGCTGAGGCAGGAGAATCGCGTGAACCCAGGAGGCGGGGGTTGCAGTGAGCCGAGATCACGCCACTGCACTCCAGCCTGGGTGACAGAACGAGACTCCATCTCAAAAAAAAGATAAAAAAAAGAAAGATCTCTCTAACAGCACAGTGATGGCCTAACAGCAGAGTTAGGGTTAGGGATAGGATTAGGGTTAGAGTGATGGCCGTGCTTGGAGACAGGAATTTCAGTTAGGAGAAGTTCAGTTAGAAAATATGACAAAAGGCAGGGTGAGGAGACATGAGGTAAATTTCAGGGATAGAATCCATAGGACTTTGTCCTATTAGATATATTTAATGAGGGAAAAAGAAAAATTAAAGAAGGGTATGTCTGTAGAGTTTTTAAGTTTTTTTGTGTTTTTTAATTGATATAGTTGTACATATTTTGGGGGTACCTATGATACTTTGATACCTGTATACAAATCAGGGCACTTGGGATATCCACCAACTCAAACATTCTTTTCTCTTTTTTTTTTTTTTTGAGATGGAGTCTCGCTCTGTCGCCCAGGCTGGAGTACAGTGGCGCAATCTCGGCTCACTGGAAGCTCCGCCTCCTGGGTTCACGCCATTCTCCTGCCTCAGCCTCCTGAGTGGCTGGGATTACAGGCGCCCACCACCACACTGGCTAATTTTTCTGTTTTTAGTAGAGATGGGGTTTCACCGTGTTAGCCAGGATGGTCTCGATCTCCTGACCTTGTGATCCACCCACCTCGGCCTCCCGAAGTGCTGGGATTACAGGCGTGAGCCACCGCGCCCGGCCAACCCTACAGCACCCGGTATTCCCAGGCGGTCTCCCATGCAAGTGCTAACCAGGCCCGACACTGCTTAGCTTCCGAGATCAGACGAGATCGGGCGCGTTCAGGGTGGTATGGCCGTAGACTATTTTTTCTATGTGTTGGGAACATTGCAAATTTTCTCTTCTAGCCATTTTGAAATATACAATAAATGATGATGATGATGATGATGATGTTGATGATGATGATTTTGAAACAAGGTCTCACTCTGTTGCCCAGACTGGAGTGCAATGGTGTAATCATAGGTTACTGTAACCTCTAGTTCCTGGGCTCAAGCAATCCTCCTGCCACAGCCTTTAGAGTAGCTGGGACTATAGGTGTGTACCACCACACACTGCTGATTTAAAATTTTTTCTGTATAGGTTGGGAACGGGGGGGTCTTACTATGTTGCCTAAGTTGGTCTAAACCTGGGCTAAAGTGACCCTCCTGCTTTGGCCTCCAAAAGTGCTGGGATTACAGGTATGAGCCACCATCCCCAGCCATCCAGATCTTTAAAAAAACTTTCTAGCCAGGTGTGGTAGCATGTGCCTGTAGTGCCAGCTACTCAGAGGCTGAGGCAGGAGGATTGCTTGAGCCCCAAAGCTGGGGAAGTCATGGTGAGCTATGATCACATTACTACACTCTAGTCTGAGCAACAGAGTGAGAACCCTGTCTCCTAAAAAATAAATAAATAAATAAATAAGAATAAAAGTAAAAAATTTCCTAATCCTCAGCTGATTTATACTTTTGTAAAAACAAAGAAAGAAGTACATTATTAGAAATGTGATATTTTGAAAAGACGTCTAACTTTTAAATTATGATATACAAAAATATTCTGTGGGTTGCTATAAATGACTCTAAAGACCTACTCTCAATTTCTACACCTATGGCTAACCAGTAACAATCAGTTCACAAAGCAACACTGCTTCCAGATCTCACTTTGAGGTGCTCTGGTACACACAACTGTGAAAGACAAGTGGGATCTGAGTTTACAGGAGTGTTGAGAGTAAACAATGTTGAGATTAGCTTTGTTGGACTGCCACAGAGAATGGTGCAGCCTGTGCAGTTTACCTGTTACTATTTTAATCTCTCATAAAGGTGTTATTTGCTCTGCTCTCTCTATCGCATGGGAGGCCTTACTGTTGTGACTGCGCTGGAAGGGCCTCCTTAGAAATCTTCATAAAGAAATCGTTTCCAATAAGCTCCACGAGAACAGTTAGTGGCCATCCAGAATTTTAATCCCTAGGTTATTGGATACATTTCATACAGAGATTGGCAGTTTGGCAGCCTTCTCAGTTCAATATTTCTGCTTGCCAAGAGAAAGAAAGTTGTGACCCCTTGCTTTCTCATTCTATCCTTCTGCAAGGAAGTAAAAAAGATCTCAAATACAGCTTGCTGTATTAGCATTGAAGGGAAAGAGCTAATATGCACTTACACAATCCAATTTATACTCACATCATCTACTGAAGGAAACAGCAGAGTGACATTTGCGCCTAATCCTTCCATGGGGTTGTGACTAAGACTGCAAACAGCAGAAGGAAAGCATGTAGTTGCCTGGTACGTGGAGGCAAATGAAAGTTTCTTGATCAGAAAAGGGGTACCCGTAATAGGAGGAATATGTTTTAGTTTTTTTGTTTTTGAGATGGAGTCTTGCTCTGTCGCCCAGGCTGGAGCACAGTGGCGCAACCTCAGCTCACTGCAACCTCTGCCTCCCAGGTTCAAGTGATTCTCCTGCCTTAGCTTCCCGAGTAGCTGGGATTACAGGCACCCGCCACCACGCCCAGCTAATTTTTGTATTTTTTAGTAGAGACGGGGTTTCACCAGTTTGGTCAGGCTGGTCTGGAACTCTTGACCTTAGGTGACCCACCCGCCTCAGCCTCCCAAAGTGCTGGGATTACAGGCATGAGCCACCGCGCCTGGCCTGTTTTTTTTTTTTTTAAGGACCTTTGAGCTCTGTAATCCTCAAATGGAAACGCAATGAACAACCTAATTAATGACAAAGCTGGGATGTGAGGAATAGAGCCACATGCTCTAGGGGAGATGTAGGATAATGAGAGGTAAAAGAGAAGAGAGTTGGGGGGCAGAAAGTCACACGGGCTAAGACCAAGTGGACATGGCAGAATAGGGTTGTGCTTATTTTACACAAGTGACCGAGGCTTCTCTGCTGGCATCCTGTCACATCACATACGTGGTATTTCCTTGTTCCTTATTCAGATGCAAAAGGGGGAGGACAGTGGCTTTTTGAAAAGCAGACGTAAGCGCAGCAACTCACCAGAGTGGTGTCCTTACTCTGCGTTTGGCCACTTCAAGTCTGAACTGCCACTGTCTTCTCTTTGCTGATCTCTTGAAAACCAGTTTTTTTTTTTTTTGAGATGGAGACTTGCTCTGTCGCCCAGGCTGGAGTGCACGATCTCAGCTCACTGCAAGCTCCGCCTCCAGGGTTTAAGCGATTCTCCTGCCTCAGCCTCCTGAGTAGCTGGGATTACAGGCGCCCGCCAGCACACCCAGTTAATTGTTGTGTCTTTAGTGGAGACCACCATGTTGGCCAGCTGGTTTTGAACTCCTGACTTCAAGTGATCCACCCACCTTGGCCTCCCATAGTGCTGGGATTACAGGCATGAGCCACTGCTGCCAGCCAAAAACCCGTATGTTTTAATGACAGATTGATAACATTCTGGGGGCAAGGATTAATATTGGGACTTTTTTTTTTTTTTTTGAGACTGAGTCTCACTCTGTCGCCCAGGTTGGAGTGCAGTGGCGCGATCTTGGCTCACTGCAACCGCCACTTCCCAGGTTCAAGTGGTTCTCCTGCCTCAGCCTCCTGAGTACCTGAAATTACAGGCGCCCGCCACCACGCCAGGTAATTTTTGTATTTTAGTAGAGACAAGGTTTCACCATGTTAGCCAGGCTGGTCTTGAACTCCCGACTTCAAGTGATCCACCCGCCTCAGCCTCCCAAAGTGCTGGGATTACAGGCCTGAACCACTGCGCCCAGTGGGGCTTTTTTCTTGGTATCACCATCAGTGTTCATTTGAGTTCTAGTATTTGAGTGCTTTTTGTTTAAACCCAAGGTAGCGGTGATTCACCAACTATTTTGACTGGAAGAACTCTAAAGGGACTCTTTTTATTTGCTTGTCTTTGCCTTCACCACTCCCAGGCATACTGAAATGGATCACCTTAAGTTTCTTGATCCTCCACAATCTACTCCTTCTAACGCAAGACCTCTCTCATAAACACACCCCTTTCCCCCACTCCACCTACCTGGTTATCAAAGACAGAAACGTAAGAGACAATGTGGACTACTTCGTTTTTTTCTTTCTTTTTTCTTTTTTCTTTTTTTTAATGAGATGGAGTCTTGCTCTGTCACGCAGGCTGGAGCACAGTGGTGCGATCTCGGCTCACTGCAACCTCCACCTCTTGGGTTCTCGCCATACTCCTGCCTCAGCCTCCCGAGTAGATGGGACTACAGGCGCCTGCCACCATGCCCGGCTAATTTTTTTGTATTTTTAGTAGAGACGGGGTTTCACCGTGTTAGCCAGGATGGTCTTGATCTCCTGACCTCGTGATCTGCTAGCCTCGGCCTGCCAAAGTGTTGGGATTACAGACGTGAGCCACTGCGCCCGACCTTGCTTTTTTTCATTTCTGCCTCCATCCCCATGTTCAATCAATCATAGTCCTATCAATTTTAGCCTTTAAATATTTTCTACTGTCACTGCCTAATTTCTTTCCCTCATTATCTCTTGCAGGGACACTTCCTGTCCCCATCCATCTCACAGTTCTTTTCTATACCTATTTTTCCAATTTTTTTTTTTCTGTCGCCCAGGCTGGAGTGCAATGGCGCAATCTTGGCTCACTGCAACCTCCACCTCTCAGGTTCAAGCGATTCTCCTCCTCAGCCTCCTGAGTAGCTGGGATTACAGGCATGAGTCACCATACCTGGCTAATTTTTTTGTATTTTTAGTAGAGACGGGGTTTCACCATGTTGGCCAAGGTAATCTCGAACTTCTGAACTCAGGTGATCCACTCACCTCGGCCTCCCAAAGTGCTGGGATTACAGGTGTGAGCCACCGTGCCCGGCCTCCAAAAGTTTTTGAAAGAATAAATTGGTGTTGAATTTTGTCATAAGAATTTTCTGTATCCATTGATATAATCATGTGATTTTTTAGCCTGTTAATATGGTGGGTTATATTAATTAGTTTCTAAATTTTTATATTTTTAAATTTTTTTGAGATAGAGTCTCTGTCTGTTGTCCAGGCTGCAGTGCAGTGACACAATCATAAGTCACTCCCGGCTTGATCTCCAGGGCTAAAGTTATCCTCCGACTTCAGTCTCTTGATTAGCTAGGACTACAGGCACATGCCATCATGCCCAGCCAATTTTTTCGATTTCTAGTAAAGACAAAGTCTCATTATGTTGCTTAGGCTGGTGTTGAACTCTTGAGCTCAAGTGATCCTTATGCCTCAGCCTCACAAAATGTTGGGATTACAGGTGTGAGCCTCCGTGCCCAGGCAATTTTTAAACACTGTATCAGCCTTGCATGCCTGAAATAAATCTCACTTGGTCATGGGTCATTTGTATAATTCTTTTTATATATTACATTTACATTATATTACTTTTTTTTTTTTTTTTGAGATGGAGTCTCGCTCTGTCTCTCAGGCTGGAGTGCAGTGGTGCGACCTCGGCTCACTGCAACCTCCGCTCCTTGGTTCAAGCATTCTCCTACCTCAGGCTCCCAAGTAGCTGGGATTACAGGCACATATCACCACACTCAGCTAATTTTTGTATTTTTAGTAGAGACAGAGTGTCACCATGTTGGCCAGGCTGGGCTCGAACTCCTGACCTCAGGTGACCCACCTGCCTCGGCTTCTCAAAGTGTTCGGATTACAGGCATGAGCCACTGTGCCAGGCCTATATTACTTTTATATATTACTGAATTCTGTTTGTTAACAAAATTTGTTAATTCTATTTGCTAATATAATTAATTAAATAATTTACTTGTTTTAAAATTTCTATGTCTACCTTCGTAAAGAATCTGGATCTGGCCCGGCGCAGTGGCTCATGCCTATAATCCCAGCACTTTGGGAAGCCAAGGCAGGCTGATCACCTGAGGTCGGGAGTTTGAGACCAGCCTGACCAACATGGAAAAACCCCATCTCTAATTAAAATACAAAATTAGCCAGGCGTGGTGATGCATGTCTGTAATCCCAGCTACTCAGGAGGCTGAGGCAGGAGAATCGCTTGAACCCAGGAGGCAGAGGTTGTGGTGAGCCAAGATCGCACCTTTGCACTTCAGCTTGGGCAACAAGAGCAAAACTCTGTCTCAAAAAAAAAAAAAAAAAAAAAGAATCTGGATCTGTAGTGGGGTTTTTTTGTACAATTTTGTCTGGTTTTGATATTATTTTACTTCATGAAATGAATTGGAAATCTCTCCCCTGCCCTGACACACCCCTTCTATATTTTGGAAGAAATTGTGCAAAATTTATGTTAATTCTCCTTTAAACCCTTGGGAGAATTCTCCAGTGAAAACTTCTGGGCATGGTGATTTCTTTTTGAGAAGTTTTAAAATTATAAATTCAATTTGTTAATAGCTTTGGGACTATTTAAATTATCTATTCATTTTTGGTGAGTACTTTGTGTTATTTGAGGGCCTGGCACATTACGTTTAAGTTGTTAAATTTATGCATATGTAGTTGTTTTAGTATTCTATTATCCTTTTGTTGTCTGTGGGGTCTAGAGTGATAGTCAATGTTTTATCTCTAATATTGGTAATTTGAATCTTGCCTTGTCACTGAGGCTGGAGGGCAGTGGCACAATTATAGCTCACTGCAGCCTTGAACTCCTGGGCTCAAGCAATCCTCCCACCTAAGCCTCCTGAGTAGCTGGGAATACAGGCATGTTCCACTATGCCCAGATAAGTTATTTAAAATTTAAAAATGTTTTTAGAAATGGGGTCTGGGTATATTGCCCAGGCTTCTTTGTCAGTCTTGGCAGAGGTTTGTCAATTTTGTTGATCTCGTCAAAGAACCATCTTTTTGTTTCATTGATTTTTCTCTATCATTTTTTCTTTTCAATTTTACTGATTTCTCCTCTTACCTCGTTATTTTGCTGTTTCTGATTGCTTTGTGTTTATTATGCTCTTCTTTTCCTAGGTTTTAAAGTGGTAGCTTAGGTTGTTTTTTATTTTTAGTGGGGAGCTTAGATCTGTATTTGAGACTCCCTCTTTTCTAATGTATGCATTTAATGCTATAAATTTCCCTTTTAGTATTGCTTTAGGTAGGTCCCACAAGTCTTAGTATATTTTTCATTTTCATCCAGTTCAATTTATTTTTTGGTTTCCTTTGAGACTTTATCTTTGACTCATGGATTACTTAGAAGTGTATTGTGTAGTTTCCAAGAGTTTGAAGATTTTCCTGTGATCCTTTTGTTATTGATTTGTAATTTGATTATGTTTTGGTTGGAGAACATACTTTGTATGATTTCAATTCTCTTAAATGTGTTGAGGTTTGTTTCAAGGCCCAGGATATGGTTTACCTTGGTATATGTTTTATGGGCATGTAAAAATAATTTGTATTCTTGCCAGGCATGATGGCTCACACCTTTTATCCCAGCACTTTGGGAGACCAAGGTGGGAGGATTGCTTGAGTCTAGGAGTTTGAGGTTAGCCTGGGCAACATAGTGGGGACTATGTCTCTACTTCTATTAAAAAATATATATGTATAATATATATATTTATTTACATATATAGATATATATATCTCTTGCAGGGATATATATATTTATATATATAAATATATATATAATATGTAAATAAATATATATTATACATATAAATATATATAATATGTAAATAAATATATATTTTATATATATATATATATAGAGAGAGAGAGAGGCCTAGTGTGGTTGCTCACGCTTGTAATCCCAGCACTTTGGGAGGCTGTGGGCAGATCACGAGGTCAGGAGATCGAGACCATCTTGGCCAACATGGTGAAGCACCATCTCTACTAAAAATACAAAAAGTTAGCTGGCCGTGGTGGTGCACACCTGTAATCCCAGCTATTCAGGAGGCTGAGGCAGGAGAATCACTTGAATCCAGGAGATGGAGGTTGCAGTGAGCCAAGACTGCGCCACTGCATTCTAGCCTGGTGACAGAGCAAGATTCCCTCTTAAAAAAAGTAAATAAATAAAAATAAAAAATATAAATAAATAAAAGGAAAAAGAAGAAAATGTATTGTGCTATCGTTGGGTGAAGTGGTCTATGTCAATTAGATCTTGCTGGCTAATGGTATTGGTGAGGTCTTCTATATGCGTGCTGATTTTCAGTCTATTGTTCTATCATTCATTGAGAGAGTGGTGTTGAAATCTCCTATTATAATTATGAATTTGTCTATTGCTCCTTTCAGTTCTATCAGTTTTGTTTTACATATTTTCCAGCTTTGTTGTTTGGTGCACACATATTAATAGTTAGAATTGCTATCTGTTCTTGATTGACCCTTTTATTATTATATTGTACTTCTCTGTCTCTAGTATCCTCTTTGCTCTGAAGTCTACTTTATCTAATATTAATATAACTATTCTGGCTTTCCTTTGCTTCACATTTGCATGGTATATCTTTTCCACCCTTTTACTTTCAATCTGCCTGTATCATTAGACTTGAAGTGAGTTTCTTGTAGACAGCATATAGTTAGATTTTGCTTTTAATCCACCCTGCCAATCTCCATTTTATTTTCTTTAAAAACATTTTTTTTTAAACAACAACAAAAAATAGATGCAGAGTCTCACTATGTTGGCCAGGGTGGTCTTGAACTCCTGGCCTCAAGCAGTCCTCCCACTTTGGCCTCCCAAAATGCTCGGATTACAGGCATGAGCCGCTATGCCTGGCCCCAATCTCTGTTTTCTAACTGGTGTATTTAAAGCATTTACATTTAATGTATTTATTTATATATAATGGCACTTAATTTATATATAATGGCACTATGTTTTTTTTTTTCCTGTTTTTCATTACCTGCTTTCTGTTTTCTGCCTTCCTATGGATTATTTGAATATTTTTAGAATTCCATTTTGATTTAGCTATAGTGTTTCTGAGTGTATCTGTTTCTATAGCTTTTTAAAATGCTGGCCATATATAACATAATTTAGAAAATTCAAGAGGAAAATAAAAGCCTATTGATTTTACCCATATTTTTGGTTATTATGTTCTTCCTTCCTTCTTGATATCCCAAGATTTCTTCTTTTTTAATGCTTTTTCTGTTTATTTATTAACTGTAGATAAAGGCTAGTCTCAAACTCCTGGCTTCAAGCAATCTTTCTACCTTGGCCTTCCAAAGCACTGGGATTACAAGTGTGAGCCACCATGCCCAACCTTCCTTTCTGTTTAGAGGACTTTCATTAGATACCTTTATATTTTTTTGGAGACAGGGTCTTGCTCTGCTGCCCAGGCTGGAGTACAGTGGCACAATCATGGCTCCCCATAGCCTCAGCCTCCTGGGCTCAAGTGATTTTCCTGTCACAGCCTCCAAAGTAGCTGGAACTACAGGTGCACAACACCATGCCCAGATAATTTTTTTTTTTTTTTTTTTTTTTTTTGTGACAGAGTCTTGCTTTGTCCCCCAGGCCAGAGTGCAGTGGCACAATCTCAGCTCACTGCAAGCTCTGCCTCCCAGGTTCATGCCATTCTCCTGCCTCAGCCTCCCGAGTAGCTGGGACTACAGGCACCCACCACCACGCCCAGCTAATTTTTTGTATTTTTAGTAGAGATGGGGTTTCACCGTGTTAGCCAGGATGGTCTTGATCTCCTGATCTGGTGATCCATCCTCCTCGGCCTCCCAAAGTGCTGGGATTACAGGCATGAGCTACCACACCCTGCCATGCCCAGATAATTTTTAAATTTTTTTTGTAAGGCTGGTCATGGTGGCTCACGCCTGTAAACCCAACACTTTGGGAGGCTGAGGCAGGTGGATCACTTGAGGTCAGAAATTCAAGACCAGCCTGGCAAACATGGTGAAACCCCATTTCTACTAAAAATATACAAAAATTAGCTGGGTGTGGTGGCAGATGCCTGTAATCCCAGCTCCTTGGGAGGCTGAGGCAGGAGGATCACTTGAACCCAGGAGATGGAGGTTGCAGTGAGCCAAGATCACACCACTGTACTCCAGCCTGGGTGACAGAGTATCTGTCTCAAAAATACGTATATGTAAATATATATGTATATATTTATGTGTCCATATATGTATTTATATATTTATTTATTGTAGAGATGGAGTCTCGCTATGTCACCCAGGCTGGTCTTGAATTCCTGAGCTCAAGTTATCCTCCCATCTCAACCTCTCAAAGTGTTGGGATTACAGGCAGGAGCCACCAAAACTGGCCAGATCTTCTTTAAAGTAGATCTGCTAACAATAAATTCTCATAGTTTACCTTCTTCTGAGAATATTTTGATTTCTTCATTTCTGAAGAATATTTTTCACCAAGTATAGGGTTCTGGTATTTTTTTTTTCCAGTCTCAAGGCAGGAAAAAATCTTTCCCTGCTCAAAGACAGTCAGCTTTATTTACTATTTTAAATGATAAAATTAAATAGTATAGGGTTCTATATTGACAATTATTTTCTCTTGGTACCTAAAAAATATTGAGTCACTTTTTCTGGTCTGCATGGTTTCTAATGAGAAATCTGCTGTCATTCTGATGCTTTTTATTTATAAGTAAGGTATTATTTTTTCTCTAGATGCTATAAAGGTGTTTTTCAGTGGGGCTTACACCTGTAACCCCAGTATTCTGGGAGGCTGAGGCAAAAGGGTCACTTGAGTTCAGTAGTTTGACACTAGCCTGGGCAACATAGTGAGACCCTGTCTCCACAAAAAATTTAAAAAGTAGCTGGACATGGTGGTGCATGCCTGTAATCCCAGCTACTCAAGAGGCTGAGGTGGGAGGATCACTTGAGCCCGGGAGATTGATGCTTATGGTTTGCTCAGCTTGTTGAGCCCTTACGTTTATGTCTGCTTTCAAATTAGGGACTTTTTAGCCCTGCCCTCTTCCTGCCCGCCTTCTGAGATTTCAGTGACACAAATAGTAGACATTTTGGTGTAGTACCAAAGATCCCTGAGGGTCTGTCTCTTTTTTTTGGTCTATTTTTTTTTTTTCTCTTTACTGTTCAGACTGGGTAATTCTTGTTGGTCTATCTTTCAGCTTAGTGATGATTTCACCTGTCCCTCTCATTCTGCTGTTATGTCCATTCTCTAGGTTTTTTACTTTGGTTTTTGTATTTTAAAGTACTAAAATGTTTCTTTCACTCTTTTATCGTTTTGTTTGTTTGTTTGTGTTTTTTTTTGCTCAGGCTTGCTTTCTTTTATTTGTTTTTGTTTGAAGCATGTTTGTAGTTGTTGCTCACTGAAGCTTTTATTTATTTATTTATTTATTTATTTCGAGATTGAGTCTCACTCTGTTGCCCAGGCTGGAATGCAATGGCGCGATCTCGATTCACTACAACCTCCGCTTCTTGGGTTCAAGCGATTCTCCTGCCTCAGCTTCCTGAGTTGCTGGGATTACAGGTGTGCACACCACGCCCAGCTAATTTTTGTATTTTTAGTAGAGATGGGGTTTCGGCATGTTGGCCAGGCTGGTCTCAAATTCCTGAGCTCAGGTGATCTGCCCACCTAGGTGTCCCAAAGTGCTGGGATTACAGGGGTGAGCCACTGCGCCCGGCCTCACTGAAGCATCTTTACCGTGGCTGCTTTAAAATCTTTGTCTCTGTTACCTTGTAGACATAATTCTAATGTCTCTGTTATCTTGGAATTGGAATCTACGGATTGTCTTTTTTTCTTTTGAAATCTTCCTGGTTCCTGAGGAGATGAGTGATTTTTCATTGAAAATCAGATATTTTCATATTATGTTTTGAAACTCTGCATCTTATTTAAAAATTCTGTTTTAGTTGGCTTTCTCTGACATCTCTCTTGCTAGGGAAGGAAGAGCGCCACCTCATCATTGCCATCTTGACACAGAAATACAGCTTAACTATTAAGCTTCTGTTTATACCTGAGATGGGGGTGCTCCTTGTTACTAATAAAAAGGAAGTTCCAGCTCCCGGCATGTCTCCACTGACACTGCAGTGGCCTTGTTACCACTGGTGCTGGTGACATCATGACTGTCCACTAGGCTCCCCTCGACCCTATTCAGTGGCGATGGGAAGGAATGCATATTACTGCCAGGAGGGGGTAAAAGTCTAGAATCCTTAGATATCTCTACTGAAAACTGGAGTGGGAGTAGAGTCACGTTACTGGCCAGTAGGGATGACAATCCTAGCTCTCTGTTTGGCCTTCTCTGACACCATCCCAGTGTGGGTGCTGTGTCACTTCCCACAGCCTCACAAGGGTGAAATTCTAGGTCCCTACTTGGCCTTTGCTGGCCTGTGTGGAGGTGGTGCCATAGTTTTTCTGTGGTGTTTGGCTGCGGTGAAGCAGTTATTATCTAAAACTTCTCTGTTTTCCTAGGCTGCCCCTTTCCTGGTTCTTCGGCAAGAGAGAGCAGGTTTTTGTTGGGGTGGTTTTGTCTGCACTTATTAGCATTTCTGGGTTGCCAGCTCGCTCAGCTCTGAGTCTGAGATATATGAGGCAAAAAGAAAACCCAGGAAATTCACTACTGTGTTTTCCTTTGGGCCCCAAGTTTTCTTTTCTTTTCTTTTCTTTTTTTTTTTTTTTTTTTTTGAGACGGAGTCTGGCTCTGTTGCCCAGGCTGGAGTGCAGTGGCAAGATGTTGGCTCACGGCAAGCTGCACCTCCTAGGTTCACACCATTCTCCTGCCTCCGCCTCCCGAGTAGCTGGGACCACAGGCACGGACCACCACGCCCAGCTAATTTTTTGTATTTTTAGTAGAGACAGGGTTTCACTGTGTTAACCAGGATGGTCTCCATCTCCTGACCTCGTGATCCACCCACCTTGGCCTCCCAAAGTGCTGGGATTACAGGCCTGAGCCACCGCGCCCGGCGGGCCCCAGGTTTTCTAGCCGGCATGGCTTTTCTCTTCATCTTTCTGAGCTAAGCCTTGATATATGTGTGTGTGTGTGTGTGTGTGTGTGTGTATATTTCTTATCAATATATTTTACATATAATATCAATGTAAATATATATGTAATATCTACATATATCTATACATTAGATATATCTATATATTATATATAGATATATTTATATATAAAATGTCCAAAGTTTTTCATTGTACTTAGCAGGAGTAATAAGAAAAAGTAAGTCTATTTCATTTCTCAGAAGTGGGAAATTTTATTTTTTAAAAGATTTGACATTTTGTCAATAAAAATAATTCAGTATAAAGG
Organism: Homo sapiens; assembly: GCF_000001405.40. NCBI lineage: Eukaryota > Metazoa > Chordata > Mammalia > Primates > Hominidae > Homo > Homo sapiens. The sequence continues at coordinate 181,835,203 of NC_000003.12, forward strand.
GGAAACATTACAACACAGAATGGTGAGACAGAAAGCAAGGTCCTTGAGTTGGTGAGATGACACATGGAGGGGCTGGTTCTCTGATAGAATCAGGGACACCTCTTTCATTGGCACAAAAGGGAAGGTAGAGGGACGTATATTGCAGACAGGTCTAGAGAGTCAGGGTTGAGTAGACGAGGGGATTCTTCTACAATAGACCAGTGCTGTTCAATAGAAATTTCTGAGATGGTGAAAATGTCCTATATCTACACAGTCCAGTATGATAGTAAGGGGAGATGTGGCTGTTTAACATTTGCAATGCGGTTAGTGCAACTCAGGCACTGAATTTTTAATTTAAATTAATTTAAATTTAAATAGCTACATGTGGCTAGTAGCTACCATTGGACAGTATAGCTCTAGATGAAAGATGAGGTAGATTCATTGGTTGAAAGTGAAGCTGAGAGGTGAGAATGTAGGGATAAGTTGGAGGTTACAGAAGAGATGAAAAGATGTAAGACAGTCCTCTTGATGTGTGATCATGACTGGTCAACACAGTGGTGTGATTTTCTCCAGCAAATACAGTTGCAGAAAAATCATATTATAAAAACATTGGCTGGGTGCGGTGGCTCATGCCTGTCATCCCAGCACTTTGGGAGGCTGAGGCAGGTAGATTGCTTGAGCCCAGGAGTTCGAGACCCTGTCTCTACAAAAAATACAAAAATTAGCTGCATGTGCACTTCTAGTCCCAGCTTCTTAGGAAACCGGGGTGGGAGGATCGCTTGAGCCTCGGAGGCAGAGGTTGCAGTGAGTTGAGATCAGCCACTGCACTGCAGCCTGGGTGACAGAGTGAGACTGTCTCAAAAAAAAATAAATAAAATCCCTCCCCCCCACCACATACACATTTTGACACCAGAGTTGAACAAACCCCCATTCTCCTCTAGTTTTCCAGGGAGGAAACAGATGGCCATGAAAATAAATAACTGAAGTTACTGGCCCAAGGTGACTACTACCTGGCATAACCAGGTCCTTAAGTGTTTCATTCCCTCAAATTAGTACCCTTTCCTTCATTTTTCTGCCTCCTCTTGCACCCTCTATTTGAATAATTTAATACCTATGGGCAAATGTTTTAGTACTCTCTAAAATCAGACCTGGAATCCAGACTGATCTCAGGAAAGGTGTGACCTCCAATATTACTTATGTATAAAATATGAGCAAATATTTTGCCGCCTTTTGTATTTAATCATTTTTCTTTGGCTTCTTTTGTCCCCTATGCAGTCTCAATACCTTCACAGAGGTGAAGAAGCAGCAACCAAATGAATTAGACAGCAACATGATTCCTAGAGAATGGCAAGACCAATTCTTCAACTACTTCTTCAGCATTTCTGAAACATATGGAAGATGGCCCATTGTGCTCTCTTAATTCTTTGATAATCTGGACATTGACTTTTCCATTATATGACCTGGGCTTGTGGGCATCATGTCATAATGCACCTGTTCAGACATCTCCCTGTACCAATATGGATCACTTGAAGAGACTCCTTTGCCCCCATCAAAAAGGATACAGTTGTGTATCTCTTCCATTTTTGTTTACAGTGCCTAAAATTATTTGAGCAGTTTTTCACCTCTTCTCTGATAAACACCTTATTAGTCCTTAAAAAGAAAAGAAAAAAGGAAAATAAAACTTTTATTGAGATCCTAACATGTGGCAAATGCAATCATATAAATAATTTATTTATTCAACAAATAGTATATGCACAACCCAATGAAATAAATGAAGGATACATAGATGATGAGGACAAAGTTCATGCTTAAAAGAAGCTCTTAGTCTACTGAGAGAGACAGATAATGTCTAAGGATAAATTGCAGCATAAATAAATCCAACCCTGGGAGGTAACTATTTTTATTCTTGTTTTACAGATTCAGAAACAGGCCACTAAAGGTTAAGTGATGAATTCATGATCACACAGCCAGACACAGGATTTCAACTCAGATTCAAATACCGCCAGAACACCTCCCATTGGGGAAAAAAACCTGCCAGTAAACTACATTTAAAATTTTATTTTGAATGTCAAGCTTAAAAGGTAAGATATAATTAACATATATCACTAAAACATTTTTTTAATGCTCTGAAATATTACCAGGAAAAGTCATCAACTTTGATTCTATCTTTTTTTTTTTTTTTTTTTTGAGATGGAGTTTCACTCTGTTGCCCAGGCTGGCATGCAATGGCACAATCTTGGCTTACTGCAACCTCCACCTCCTGGGTTCAAGCGATTCTCCTGCCTCAGCCTCCCGAGTAGCTGGGATTACAGGCATGTGCCACCACGCCTTGCTATATTGTTTTTTTTTTTTTTTTTTTTTTTTTTGAGACAGAGTCTCGCTCTGTTGCCCAGGCTGGAGTGCAATTGCAAGGTCTTGGCTCATTGCAACCTCTGCTTCCCGGGTTCAAGCGATTCTCCTGCCTCAGCCTCCCAAGTAGCTGGGACTACAGGTGCATGCCACCATGCCTGGCTAATTTTTTTGTATTTTTAGTAGTGATGGGCTTTCACCATATTGGCCAGGCTGTTCTTGAACTCCTTACCTCAAATGATCTGCCCGCCTCGGCCTCCCAAAGTGCTGGGATTACAAGCGTGAGCCACTGTGCCTTGCCGACTCTATCAATCTTTAAAAGACATAGAAATGTAGTCTTGGAAAATGAGCCCTGGAACTGAATCAAGGACAAAGTCACTGAAAATAACTCCTGGCTTCTTGACATTCTAGCTGTGTGAACATGGACTTGTAACTTAATGTCCTCTAAACTTCAGATTTCACATACTTAAGGTGAAGATAAATAATACTTATTTCCCTGGGTGAGGATTATACAAGATATGTCTAGGGATGCAGTAGACATACATTCAATGTCAGCTGACTTTGAATCAAGCAGTGTCATTGTTCTGGTTTTTCCTAGGATTTGATTTTTACAGTATTCAGTTTGTTTACTTGTTGAGAAAAATTAAGGGGGGGCAGAGAAATGAAGCAATGGTTGGAGAGAGAAAGGAGGTGTGTTCACATTGAAGATGAGAGTGTGGATTTATAATCTATAAAACTGAAGTTTTCCTTTGAAAATTGCAAAGTGGACTTTGTAGAGGGTGGAGCTCCATGGCGCTTCACATCCTGGCAGCTGGGAATAACTTCCCAAGGACTTAAAAAATTAACAAATTAAAACCACTGTTACTCCTAACTCAAATTCTAACCAGTGTATCCAACACAGTAATGTGAGGTATTTATGTTTGGAACCACTGGATAGGCTAAAAGTTAACTCAGGCTTAAAACTAGTTGACACAAAGCAATTTTGGCTGAACCAAATTGACCTAACAAAATGCAAAATTGTTCTAACAGCGGGATTGTTCATTTCACTCTGTGGGTCCTGAATGCAGTGGAAATCCCCACACTGTCTAATGACATTTCTAGGTATACTGCTCCCCAAATTAGTGCTTTCCTGAATGATAAGGCAGCACTAGAAAATATCAAATGGCCAACACTAAGAAGCCATTCTCATATTACTGCCTCTAGGGTGATTGCATTTCAAAGATGCCAAGTTATAGCAAAGACACACTTTCAGGATGCCCAAGACTTCTAGACAATTTGAGAACACCAGAGTTGCTACAAAAACTTTACAGGAGGCCACTGATTCTCCATATCTATAGTCATTTGGGCCCAGGTAAGTATGGCCTTGAGCAGAAATGCACCAAATTTGTACTTTCTCTACCCTGGCACCAGGATGCTTTGTGTGCTGGAAAGTTCGCATCCATAGTAATTCCCTGTGTTGGACCTGACCTCTCCATCCCAGTTGACTATGGAAGGAAGCCAAAAAAGAGGGGGGTGTTGATGCATTTATTTGCATTTGCCATTTTTATTTGCCTTAGGAACTTCAGACCGCAGGCCTCCTTAAGCATGAACTGTTTGTTAAAGTCTGGTGTTGCCTTTTGTGGACTGGTCTAGCCAAGAGTTGTTTTAACCCAAATGGGGAGATGGGGGTGGGGCTGGGGTGGGGTAAGACATCTGCAGAGCCCAACAACCGTTACCAAGGCCTACCCTGGCTCTGCCCCTACCTGCCGAACGTTAAACAAAGCCCCTGGGAGAACTCGGGCAAGCTGAACACCTTGGTCAAACACGAAGCAAACCACCACCAGGTGTGCTTGCAGAACAGACTCTCCATCAGCGTCCTGTCATGCAGAAAATGTTTATCCAATTTGTCAAGATAATCTTTCCTCAAATAAGCTTTGGGCCTATTCCTTGGAACAGCCTGAATTTAGTCGGTATAATGTAACTCTATTTTTTTTCACCCATTTTCCTTTAATTGCTGTGTCAACTTTTCCCTGGCTTTAAGCAAACTGAAAGTAATTATATCATTCTTAAGTGAGTAATCTTCTGACTGGGTTAGCTGATTCGTGAGTTACTCTAAAATTCTAAACTGTGCTGTTCTTTTTCAAACACATTTTCTTAGATGTTTCGCAAAGTTTGGCTCATCGATGACCCACGGGTGTGTTTATTCTGTCACGTTTCGTGGCTACGCCGTGACTATATTAGGGCATTTGAAAAGAAGTTAAGTGTAGAAATATGAGAAGGGAGAAAAAGGAAACTTCACCTACTAATTTCAGTATTTCTTGGAAATATTACAGTCATTGTAAATAACTTGCAGCTTCAAGCATGAAGAACGTTTGATTAGTGCTTTGAATCATGGTGTAATATTAGAGGCTGGGCTTGATGGACTTAAAAAGCACTCACTTCTTTCATTTCATAATATAGTTTCCTTGCTATTTGACACCTTGTGTGATATTGTTTTGTTTAAAACACAGAAACGCTAAAGGTTACCACATTTTTCTTAGTTCTACTCATTGACATACTCCCACAGAACTCATGATATATTTAAAAATAGAAGGCTCAGCCATCTGGCTATTGGATGGTTTCTATTTTTGTTTCTCTTTGCATTCACAAAGTCTGTTGAGTCTGAAATTCTCTATGTTCTGCCCTATATGTAATTGTGTATACACACACACACACTTTCTCATTTAAATTTAGCCATTATCAATCTGGGTTTGTTTTACCGACCACAGTGACACTTTGGTGGGGACGCTAACCTTGCTTAATTTATGCATTAGTCAAGTCTGCATTAAATCCTAACTCTGAGGATTGTTACCTAAAGTCTAAAAGATGCCAAATCAAAGGCATTTCTTATTAATATATATCACCCATGTTTACTCAGGATTTTCATTAATAGAAATAGGCTCCTTGTCTTGGCTTTGACGAAGCCACAGGACTACAGGAAACTGTAAAGCTCATCTCATGAATCCCCATCATTTTATACCCGAGGAAACTAGGGTCTAGAGATGTAGAGAAAGATCAGTTTAAGGTCACATGGCTAATTAGTAGTAAAATTCCCTTTAGAATACAGATCTCCTGACTTTTTCTAATGCTCTATCCATTTTCATAAACTAGATAGGAGCTAATAAGGATATTTTTTGTGAAGTTCAGCAATGTATACTTTAATTACATTAATTATATGTTTATAACCTCTGTTATTTATAGGATTGTGTTTACAAGCAAAACTGAAGTGCATTGTTATGTTTTGATGGTTAAAAATAATATTTCCTCACCTCTCAGGTGTCAGTGACCCTCAAACTTTATTGCATGAATGAGCTGGTTACAAAGGCAGATTCCTCAAGAGAATGGAAAGACAAGCCACAGACTGGGAGAAAATAATTGCAAAAGATACATCTGATAAAGTATTGCTATCTAAAATATACAAACGACTCCCAGTCGGGTGCGGAGGCTCACGCCTGTAATCCCAGCATTTTGAGAGGCTGAGGCAGGTGGATCACCTGAGGTCAGGAGTTCGAGACCAACCTGACCAACATGATGAAACCCCATCTCTACTAAATACAAGAAATCAGCTGGGTGTGGTGGCACATGACTGTAATCCAAGCTACTTGGGAGGCTGAGGCAAGAGAATCACTTGAACCTGGAGGCAGAGGTTGCAGTGAGCCAAGATTGTACCATTGCACTCTAGCCTGGGCAACGAGAGCAAAATTCTATCTCAAAAAAAAAATAAATAAATACAATAAAAATAATAAAATATACAAACAACTCTTAAAACTTGACAATAAGAAAATTGAACAACCTGATTTTTAAAATAGGCAAAAGACCTAAATAGACATTTCACCAAAGAAAATAAACAGATTCCAAGTAAGCATATGAAAAGATGTTCATCATCATATGTCCTCCTCAGGGAACTGCAAATTAAAACAGCAATATGATACCACTACACATGTATTAGAAAAAACAAAATATAGAACACTGACAACACCAAATGCTGGCAAGGATGTGGAGCAACAGGAACTCTCATTCATTGCTGGTAGGAATGCAAAATGGCATAGCCACTTTGGAAGAAGCTTTAAACTAAACATACTCTTACCATATGACCCAGCAATCTTGCTCCTTGGTATTTATCCAAATGAATTAAAATTTTATTAAGATTTTAATAAGAGCTGGGTGTGGTGGCTCACACCTGTAATCCCAGCACTTTGGGAGGCCAAGGCGGGCGGATCATGAGGTCAGGAGATCGAGACCATCCTGGTTAACATGGTGAAATCCCGTCTCTACTAAAAATACAAAAAAAACTAGCCGGGTGTCGTGGCGGGCGCCTGTAGTCCCAGCTACTTGGGAGGCTGAGGCAGGAGAATGGCGTGAACCCGGGAAGTGGAGCTTGCAGTGAGCCGAGATCGTGCCACTGCACTCCAGCCTGGGCGACAGAACAAAACTCTGTCTCAAAAAAAAAAAAAAAAAAAGATTTTAATGAGAGCTGGGTGTGGTGGCTCGCACCTCTAACCCCAGCTGAGGCTGAGGTGGGATTTTGAACCTACGAGTTTGAGACCAGCCCTGGCAACATAGCATGACTCCGTCTCTACAAAGAAGTATTTAAAAAATTACCTGGGCATGAAAGTCCATGCCTGTAGTCCCAGCTACTCAGGCTGAGGTGGGAGGACTGCTTGAGTCTGGGAAGATGAGGCTGCAGTGGGCCATGGTAGTGCCACTGCACTCCAGCTTGGGCAACAAAGCGAGACCCTGTCTCAAAATACAAAACAAAACAAACTCCACAAAAATTTATGTCCATACAAAAAGTTGTCCATGGATGTTTATGCCATCCTTTTTTTTTTTTTTTAGATGGAGTCTCACTCTGTCACCCAGGCTGGAATGCAGTGGTGCGATCTTGGCTCACTGCAACCTCCACCTCCTGGGTTCAAGCCATTCTCCTGCCTCAGCCTCCTGAGTAGCTGGGATTACAGGCATGTGCCACCACACCTAGCTAATTTTTGTATTTTTAGTAGAGACAGGGTTTCACCGAGTTGGTCAGGCTGGTCTCGAACTCCTGACCTCGTGATCGGCCTACCTCAGCCTCCCAAAGTGCTGGGATTACAGGCGTGAGCCACTACGCCCGTGTTTATGCCATCTTTATTTATAATTGCCAAAACTTGGAAGCAACTAAGATGTTCTTCAGTAGGTGAATGGATAAACAATGGTACAGGCAGACAATAAAATATTATTCAGTTCTAAAAAGAAATGAGCTATCAAGCCATGAAAAGACATGGAGAAACCTCGAACACATATTATGAAATGAAAGAAGCTAGTCCGAAAAGGTTATATACCGTATGTTCTGGAAAAGGCAAAACTATGGAGACAGTAAAAAGATCAGTGGTTGCCAGGGGTTGAAAGGGGAAGGGAGGGATAAATAGGCACAGCACAAAGGATTTTCAGAACAGTGAAAGTATTCTGTATGACACTGTAATAATGAATCATGTCATTATACATCTGTCAAAGCCCATGGAATGTACAACACCAAGAGTGAACCCTAATATAAGCTATGGTCTTTGGATGACAATGATGTGTCAATATAGGTTTGTCAATTATAACAAGTGTAGGCCGGGTGCGATGGCTCAGGCCTGTAATCCCAGCACTTTGGGAGTCCGAGGCGGGTGGATCACCTGAGGTCAGGAGTTCGAGACCAGGCTGGCCAACATAGTGAAACACCGTCTCTACTAAAAATACAAAAATTAGCCAGGCCTGGTGGCGCGTGCCTATAGTCCCAGTTACTCAGGAGGCTGAGGCAGGAGACTGACTTGAACCCAGGAGGCAGAGTGAGCTGAGATCGTGCCATTGCACTCCAGCCTGGGTGATAGAGTGAGACTCCGTCTCAAAAAATAATAAATAAATAAATAAAACAAACATAGTGGCGCAGATATTGATAGTGGGGGAGGTCGTGTGTTATGGCAACAAGGGGTATATCGGAAGTCTCTACACTTGCTGCTCAGTTTTGCTATGAATGTAGAACAGCCCTAAAAAATAAATTTAATTAATTAATTTATTTATTTATTTATTTATTTTGAGACAGAGTCTTGCTCTGTCACCCAGGCTGGAGTGCAGAGGCCCGATCTTGGCTCACTGCAACCTCCACCTCCCAGGTTCAAGCGATTCTCCTGCCTCAGCCTCCCAGGTAGCTGGGATTTCAGGCATGCACCACCATGCCCGGCTAATTTTTGTATTTTCAGTAGAGACGGGGTTTCATCATGTTGGTCAGGCTGGTCTTGAACTCCTGATCTCATGATCCGCCCGCCTCGGCCTCCCAAAGTGCTGGGATTACAGGCGTGGGCCACCACACCCGACCAAATTTTATTAATTAAAAAAAAAAAAAAGATTCCTGCTCTACTCCACTTCACATGTCATCCTCATCCGACCTCCACCCCCTACCAATGCCAATGCTGATTTAGCTGTACTGAAGTGAGGCCCTGAAATCTGCATTTTTAGCAAGGATGCTAACAATTCTGATGAGGGGTAGAAAACAGCATTTTCAGAAATCTTGGTCTCTACCCTCCAGCCTGCTGAGGACGTAGCTCATATATGAAGCAGACACACTGTTTATTCAGTCTACAGACAGCCTGCTTCAAATATCCATTTGCTAACCCACAACCTCCTGAAGCAACCTACTGCTCAGGAACCCCTACTTTGCAATTAAAGTCATTAAACACAGAGGTCAAACTGTTTTGAAAAAAGGCAGCAGGCTAGGCAGGGCCACAGTATGGTTATTTCCCTCTACCTGCTGGAGGGGAGGACTCGAAAGCTTTTCCATCAACCAGACTGTTCAGTGTGTCTTGGTTAGCTGCACCTGCCTTCTGGCCTTTGCTTTTCTGTTCTGTGATAAGAGAACAAAGCCACCAGCTGAGGAATTGGTTGCCTGAACCAGTAGGAGCAAAGTATTCCTCGAAGACTTCAGCCCTAATCAGGGGCTGAGGAGTTCTCAGCCAGCTGCGGTCAATGTCAAGCCAAGTAGGAAAGTGTATATCAGCTGGAGAATTCCAGGGTCTTTCTTGAATTTTTTTTCTTTTCTTTCTTTCTTTTTTTTTTTTTTTACTGGAGACAGGCTGTCACTCTGTCACCCAGGCTAGAATGCAGTAGTGCAATCATGGCTCACTACAGCCTTGACTTCCTGGGCTCAGGCAATCCCCACATCTCAGCCTCCCAAGTAGTTGGGCCTGCAAGTATGCGCTACCATGCCCTGCTAATTTTTAAATTTTGTGTATTCTTTGTAGGGACAGAGCTTCACCATGTTTCCCAAGCTGATTTTTTCCTTTTTAAATTTTACTTTGTTTTAGAGATGGGGGTCTCTCCATGTTGCCCAGACTGGAAAGCAGGGGCTATTTCCAAGTGCGAGCATAGTCCACTGCAGTCTCAAACTCCTGGCCTTAAGCCATCTGCCTGTCTCAGTCTCCTGAGGAGCTGGGACTACAGGCATGAGAGGTCTTTGCATTTTTCAGTCATTTTGTGGGATATTATGCTTACTCTGTGCAGGACGCTCTTCCAGGCAGTGCGAATATATCAGGAAGTAAAATCCTTGACCTCATGGAGCTTATATTCTATCTATATATAGTGCTTGCTATGTGCTGGCACTTTTCTAAGCACTTTACTTGTATTGATTCTTTAATCTTCACAACATTATAATTTAGGTGGCATTATTATCCCTGTTTAAAGATGCTGATACTGATGTACAGAGAGATTTAGATGTTTGCCTAAGGTTGCATGCAACCCAATCTAAACCAAAAACTATGGTTGAGCGCTCCCACAGGGCATTACTTCCTTTTAGATCCTGGGGCAAAAATTGCCCTATCTCACCAGTATTACATTATTATTATTATTATTATTATTATTATTATTATTATTGAGACAGGGTGCCACTCTGTCACCCAGGCTAGAGTGCAGTGGCATAATCATGGCTCACTGCAACCTTGATCTCCAGGGCTCAAGCAATCCTCCCACCTCAGCCTCCTGAGTACCTGGGACTACAGGTAGCCACCAGCATGTCAGGCTATTTTTTTTTTTTTTTGGTAAAGATGGGGGTCTCACTTTGTTGCTCGGGCTGGTCATGAACTCCTGGGCTCAAGTAATCCTCCTGCCTTGGCCCCTGAAGTGCTGTGATTTATAGGTAGAGAGCCACTGTGCCTGGTTTTATTACATTATTCATAAGCGGGGAAGAGGACCGTCTTAGTCACTTGGGCTGCTGTAATGAAATACCAGACTGAGGTGGCTTAAACAATAAACATTGATTTCTCACAATCTGGGGGATAGAAGACCAAGATCGGGGTGCCAGGATAACCAGGTTCTGGTGAAAGCACTCCTCCTGGGTTACAGGTAGCCATCTTCTCATTGTATTCTGACTTGGTGGAAGGAAAGAGGGCTGGCTCTCTTCCTCTTCTTATAAAGACACTAATCCCATCATGGGGACTCTGTCCTTATGACTGGATCCTGTATGGGAGGAAAAAATCAATGCTATGAAAGATATCACTAAGTCAACTGACAAAATTGGAATAGAGATGGCGAATTAGATAAAAGCATATAGACCAGGTGTGGTGACTAACGCCTGTAATCCCAACAGTTTGAGAGGCTGAGGCAGGCAGATCACCTGAGGTCAGGAGTTCAAGACCAGGCTGGCTAAAATGGTGAAACCCCGTTTCTACTAAAAATACAAAAAAATTAGCCGGGCGTGGTAGTGCGCACCTGTAATCCCAGCTACTTGGGAGGCTGAGGCAGGAGAATCACTTGAACCCGGGAGGTGGAGGTTGCAGTGAGCCAAGATTGCACCATTGCACTCCAGCTTGGGCAACAAGAGTGAAACGCCATCTCAAAAAAACAAAACAAAACAAAAACAAAAAACAAAAAAGCATATAAATTTATGAAATTTATGTCTCTTATGATGACATAAGAGAATATCCTATTCTTGGGAAATAGTCATCAAAATATTTTGGGGTAAATAGCTAATATATGCAACTACCCTCATATTCTTTGGGAAAAAGTTTTATACACACAGATACACACTCATATACACACACACACGCACACACACACAGAGTGAGAATGGGCAAGCCAGAGGAATAAAATCATAAAACAAATGATGTTAATAGGTGAATCTGGTAAAGGATACATGAAAACTTCTTTCTTTTTTTTTTTTAAGAGACAGGGTCTGGCTTTGTAGTCACTCCAGCCTCGGACTCCTGGGCTCAAGAGATCCTCCTGCCTCAGCCTCTCAAGTAGCTAGGACTACAGGCACAAGCTACCATGCCCAGCAGATGTTTCTTTATTTTTTGGGAAAGGGGGAACACATATTTATGTTTAATAAAAAAAAAGAAATGTACTCCTACAATTGAGATTGAGGGTCATGCGTCATGCCTGCTGGTTCGTTGTTTCAATTCTTTTTCTTTGAGATGGAGTTTCACTCTTTTCACCCAGGCTGAAGTGCAATGGTGCGATCTTGGCTCACGGCAAACTTTGCCTCCCTGGTTCAAGTGATTCTCCTGCCTCAGCCTCTGGAGTAGCTGGGATTACAGGCTCCCACCACCATGCCCAGCTAATTGTATTTTTAGTAGAGACAGGGTTTCATCATGTTGGTCAGGCTGGTCTTGAACTCCTGACCTCAGGTGATCCGCCTGCCTTGGCCTCCCAAAGTGCAGGAATTACATGTGTGAGTCACTGCACCTGGCCCAATTCTTAAATATAAGCAGCTATTTGAATCCCAGTGAGAACCAGTTACTATTCATTCCCCTGAGACATGTTCCACTTCTTCCTCTATTCGTAGATTATATTAGTAACTAAAGAGAGTAAGAGTCTGCCTGAGACATGAATATATTTTCTGCCTTCAAAGGCTAGAGCCAGAGAAAGTGCTTCCCTCTGACTGTGAGGGAAGGAGGGTCTTTGAGTCACTGAGTGGATGTCTGAGTCTCCACACATCCTGCTGACAGCGCGTGACTACTGCCTCCAGGTCACCACACCTGGCACACCCAGATCACCTCCTTCAAGACCTTCATTCACTCCATGCTTTTGTTATTCATGGCCATAGCTGGGAGGACCACTTTGTTTCTGGCTTCTTGAGACACAAATGCACCAGTTTCTTTGCAAAGACATGGATGAGAGGCTTATCCTGGCTGAGAAGGAGATTTTGTGGTGAGTACTGGTTTGTTGATGTCACTGAGGCTACATTTCTGGGCTCTAGGGAGATCAGCGTACCCACCTTCCTGAACTGGGTCACCATCTCCAGGATGTGACTGCTGAAGGCTGTGCACACCACATTGGTGGGACCCCACCCACTACTTTACCTGTTTCACCAATGGTTTGCCTTCCATGGCTGAGTCTCTTTAATGGCAACTGCACCCATACCACACCAGTCTGTGGATGTTCCTAATGCTATTTTTATTTTTGCAACTTTTTGTAAGTTTGAAATTGTTACTCAATAAAAATATAAAATTGTACGTATTTGTCTGGATGTGTACATGTGCATTTTTCTGGGGAGAGGGTTGGTCCATGGGTGTTCTTAGGTTATCATGAGAGTATGACAGAAGTAAGTGACTTAGATGTGGCATCTTGATTTGTGAAGAACAGTTTATCTGGCTAGGCGTGGTGGCTCATGCCTGTAATCCCAGCAGTTTGGGAGGCCAAGGTGGGCTGATCACCTGAGGTCAGGAATAGCCTGTAGTCCCAGCTACTCCAGAGGCTGAGGCATGAGAATCACTTCAACCTGGGATGGAGAGGTTGCAGTGAGTCCAGATGGTGCCACTGCACCCCAGCCTGGACTACAAAAGTAAAACTCTGTCATAAAAAAAAAAAAAAAGGTTTATCCTTTATTGGAAAGAAATTTGCACTTTAAAAAGGAGAACTGTATTATTTTTAAGTTGTGGATTCCAATTTCTGGTACTCAAATCTGCATTCACCTTAGCAACACAGAGGTATGTAAAAACTAGTCTGTAGTATCTGGTTGACCTCTGTTCTTCATTCATTGAGCAGTCTTTAAGAACCTACTATGTAGCGCGCACACAGACACACACACACACACACAGACACACACACACACACACATATTTTAGAGACACGGTCTCACTCTGTTGCCAAAGCTGGAGTACAGTGCACAATCATGGCACACTGCAGCCTCAACCTCTTGGGCTCAAGGGATCCTCCTGCCTCAGCCTCCCCAGTAGCTGAGACTACAGGCACATGCTACTATACCTAGCTTTTTTTATTTTTTATTTTTATTTTTTTGTAGAGACATGGCTCTGCTATGTTGATCAGGCTGGTTTTGAACTCCTGACCTCAAGTGATCCTCCTACCTCAGCCTCCCCAAGTGCTGGGACTAGAGGTGTGAGCCACCACACCCAGCCAAGTAGCGTATACTCTGCTACAAATACACAAAGATAAAATATAGGTAATTGTTTTATCTTTGTGTAATTTGTCTTTTGAGAAGCCTACAACCTAGTAGAAAAGAAACCTACAACCTAGTAGAGAAGAAAATAACTGTGATTTTAGTTAGATAGTGCTGAATATCAGGCCAGGTGTGGTGGCTCACACCTATAAATCCTTTGGGAGGCCAAGTCAGGTGGACCCCTTGAGGTCAGGAGTTCGAGACCAGCCTGGCCAATATGGTGAAACCTTGTCTCTACTAAAAATACAAAAATTAGCTGGACTTGGTGGTGGGCGCCTGTAATCCCAGCTACTCAGGAGGCTGAGGCAGGAGATCGGGAGGCGGAGGTGCAGTGAGCTGACATCAGGCCACTGCACTCTAGCCTGGGCGACAGAACAAGACTCTGTCTCAAAAAAGCAAGCAAACAAACAAACAACAACAACAACAAAAAAAAAAACACAAAGAAAGAAAGTGCTGAATATCTCCAACGGAGGAACCAGAAAGCTATAAGAGTTCAGAGGAGAGAATATTTTAGGCTGAAAGATATTGGGTAGATTTCCCAGGGAAAGAGTCATTAAAGCTGAACTTCGCAACATAAATGAGCTCTGCAAAGGTAGACAGTGTGTTTATGTGTGAATGTTAGTGTGTGTGTGTGTGTGTGTGTGTGTGTGTGTGTGTGTGTAGAGTGGGCAAAAGGCAATGTTGGTAATAAGGAACATTGACGGTTGGGCTAAAAATTTCAAATTTTTGTTTACTAGAAAATAGAGTGAGTGTGGAATTTTGAGCTGAAAAATAACATAGCACTATCCTTTTGGAGGAGGCAGAAAAGGGAAACAGGGCCTGACTCTAGCATGTGCCTCTGAGGTACCCAAAATGGTGGCAGAGTGCAGAAGGCAGGGAGCCAGGGGTCCCAAGCAAGGCTGAGGGAGGGAGGTAAGCTGCCCAGCAACGGTAGATGTGTAGAAATGAAGGCTAAAACCTTCTTCAGCCTGGATGTCAAAGAGAAGAAAACTGCCACATGGCTCCCAGGCAGGGAGGCAGGAGGAGGCTGCTGCCAGAGTGCTACCTTCTCCCCATCCACAGATTTGTGCCACCTCTTGTGAGCACACCTGACAGATGGCAGGGTCATCTGGGTGGGGGTAAATGAAGGCGGTGATGGGGTGTAGCACACCCCAGGCCCTGGATGACATTACAGCAGTCCTAGACCAGGCCTCCATTTGGAGTGTTCCCAAGGCTGCCAAAATTTGAGGGCTCACAGAACCAACTCTTTTGTTGTTCAGCTATCACTGTCCCCTAATTATTCATGAATACTTCTGCATGGCAAGGCTATGGCTATGAGTTTTGTTTTTTTTTGTTTTTTTCCCCATGGAAATAAAAGCATAGCTCCAATTATCCAGGAGAAAGACAAATGCCAACTCACCTGATGCAGCCAGGCCTTTGATTTCAAAAGGGTATCAGGAGTGTTGAATCCACAGTCTCACTTCTCAGTTTTTCAAGTGCAGAATTGGATGAGAGTAACTCAAAATTCCCCAGAGACTTAGACCCTGCCTGAGTTCCTATTTCTCTTACTGTGAAGGAAGGGCCCACCAATCCACCCCAGGCCCTCCTGCTGCTGATCTTCATAAGGGATTTCTTCTGAGACAGAGAATTTTCAAACTGAAACAGACTTTAGAGGTCCTTTACTTCAATTGTCTTCAATATAAATGAGGAAATGAAGGTTCCTAAAAGATGAGTGGTTTGTCCAAAGTCATATGAACAGGGCAAATACAACAAGAATCTAGATCTCCTGGCTCCCTGTTCAGTGTTAACTAATAATAGTTGTAGCTTCCCCCAAAAGTTCCTTATGAACTCTTTGAACTCATCTTGTTTTCTGGAACTTTCTCTAGAGGGGGTCTCACGGGTAGTAGACACCGGAGGATGCTGCTGCCCTTGTGGGGTTCAGGTATGAAGTGATCAGGTATGATGACATGGCCTAAATCTCTGAAAGGCTTAAAGGAAATGGAAAGACCTGGTATTTAACAAGACCTGAAACAGGTGTCTTGCTTGTTCACAGAATCTTTCCAGAGAATACCATAATACATCCTGAAAGAGAAGAGAAAATCATAAAGTTTTAAGGAGATTAGATAGTTGAGATTAGCTTTTTGTGATCTTGCAATGTTTTCACTTATTTCCAAATCGTATAACGCCGAGTATGTTGAGCAATCTGGTGAAAATCACATGCAAACAGAGTCTAAGTACTGATAAGAATCCTAAAGGTAAACAATGAATTCCTACTAATGGCTAAGTCACTAAGGTAAGATCCAGTCTAAATACACACCCTTGGTTAAATAGGGTTTCATTAGCTCAGGTTACAGTGGCTCGGGGAAATTTTTCCTTTATGCTTGTCAAGTGAAATTAATTATATATCATCCATCAATCATTGCTGCCAAAGAAGTTATAGGTGAATACTAAAGAATCCACAGCAGCTCCCCCACTGGGCCCCCACCCCCACTCCCTACTCCTTTAGGAGCCCTCTGGGGCATATTTTGGTGCCTATAGGTAAAAGTTCCTGAGATTTTCTGGGAAGTCACAACTTACGTTTTTGGCTGATAACCTGTGAAAGTTTCCCTTTTCAAAACTTGACACTTGGTGTGTGCTTCAAGTTACTCACAAATATTTGACTTTGTAGAGTGTATCTCAGACTGCACAGCAAATTAGATTCTTGCAAGTTTCCAATGTCAAATTTTTCATATAAGTAATGCAAATAATTCAAGAACATTTAAAAATAGACAATACTTTTTAAAATTATAATCCACGTCCTCACCATTCCATTAAATGATTGTTTGAATTTTAATGTATTTCCTTCTATGTATTTAATATATTCCCTTCTATGTATTTTTCTTTTGTATTCACTCTTTTCTCATTATAAAAGCCATGAATGTGTAGCATAGAAAATTCAGAAAGTATGGATAAGAAAAGAACATAAAAATCGGCCATTAACTAATTTATTGGATGGACAAAGTGGCTCATGTCTGTAATCCCAGCACTCTGGGGGCTGAGGTCGGCAGATGGCTTGAGCTCAGCAGTTCAAGACCAGCCTGGGCAACATGGTGAAACCCTGTCTGTATTTAAATTAATAACTTCACTTTTTAAAATAAAAACCTTATTTATCCAGACATAATGAACCTTCCCAGTCTTTTTTAAATACACGTATTTTTTTGTTGTTTTTTGAGATGAGTTTCAGTTTGCCTCCCAGGCTGGAGCGCAGCAGTGCGATCTCGGCTCACTGCAACCTCTGCCACCTGGGTTCAAGTGATTCTCCTGCCTCAGCTTCCCAAGTAGTTGGGATTACAGGCTCTGACCACCGCGCCTGGCTAATTTTTGTAGTTTTAGTAGAGATGGGGCTTCACCATCTTGGCCAGGCTGGTCTCGAACTCCTGACCTCGTAATCCACCCGCCTCGGCCTCCCATACTGCTGGATTACAGGCCTGAGCCACCGCGCCCGGCCTAAATGCATGTATTTTATTTTACTTAATTCTAAGCTGCTTTTTCACTTACCTTTCAAAAAAACATACATGTTTTAAAATCTGTTCTTTTCAACCAAAGAAATGTGTATACATGTTTAAAACATCAAACGATTGGCTGGGCGTGGTGGCTCACGCCTATAATCCCAGCACTTTGGGAGTCCAAGGTGGGTGGATCACCTGAGGTCAGGAGCTTAAGACCAGCCCAGCTAACATGGTGAAACCCTGTTTCTACTAAAAATACCAAAAATTAGCCAGGCATGGTGGCGCGCACCTGTAATCCCAGCTACTTGGGAGACTGAGGCAGGAGAATTGCTTGAACCTGGGAGGCGGAGGTTGCAGTGAGCTGAGATCGCACCATTGCACTCCAGCTCAGGCCACAAGAGTGAAACTCCATCTCAAAAAAAAAGAAAAAATCAAATGGTCATTTTGTTGGTGATTCGGTAGCATCTTATAATAGAAATTCATTTGATAGTCTACTATAGATGAGACAATTTGATTTTATTAGCTTTGATATTTAAATTTCCCCTCTTTTCTCTTCCCTTAGAGTATTTCATTCATCACACAGTTTTTTTTTTTTTTTTTTTGGGACGGAGTTTCCCTCTCGTTGTCCAGGCTGGAGTGCAATGGTGCGATCTTGGCTGACTGCAACCTCTGCGTCCCAGGTTCAAGAGATTCTCCTGCCTCAGCCTCCCAAGTTGCTGGGATTACAGGCATGCGCCACTACGCCCAGACAATTTTTTTTTTTTTTTTTGTAATTTTAGTAGAGATGGGGTTTCTCCATGTTGGTCAGGCTGGTCTCAAACTCCCAACCTCAGGTGATCTGCCCTCCTCAGCCTCCCAAAGTGCTGGGATTACAGGCGTGAGCCACCGTACCTGGCCCAGCACACACTTAGTAAGCATATTTCTGGCCCAGGCTCTGGGTTAGGCATTAAAGATTCAAGCATATTTGCTTATTTTAAAAAGTAATTATTGAGTACCTAATATGAGTCAGACAGCGTTCAAGGTATTTGGGATAGAGCAGTGAACAAATGAGGTAAAAAATCTCTGCCCTTTTGAACCATAAGTTCTGGTGGAGATGAACAGGAGATGTATTATCCTTGCTGAGGTCAAAATTCAGCATTTTTAGGAAATGAGTGGCAGAATTTAATATCTATATTTAATACTTATCAACATCTACTCTGAACTCTTCTATCCTCAGAGATAAGCACACAACAGTGAGCAAGACATCAGCACCTAAACTCAAGTGGCTTATAGTCCAGGGCGCAGTGTTTCTAAGAAGTACCTGTGTGCCTGAAAAATTATCATCCCAAAATGGATATAGTGATACTTGTTCTGCTCACCCTATTGGATGAGTGTGAAATCAAATGAAATGAATCTGCAAGTGCTTTGAAAGCTTTAAAATGAGGAACCTCATGAAAGAGTTAGTATTAGTGTCCTTAGCAGTGGAGAGACATGTACCACATCTGAAACAAGGAGCTAGAATGCTGGAGACTGATCACAAGGCCAGAAAGTCAACGAGACTGGTGTGGGTTTTCCCAACGAAGGAGACACTTTTTAAAATATTTATTTATTTATAATTGAAAAATAAATATTGTGTAGTTTATAGTGTACAACATGATGTTTTGAAATAGGTATACATTGTGGAATGGATAAATTAAGCTAATTAACATATGCATAACTTCACATACTATTTATTTGTGGCAAGAACACTTATTAAGATGTTTTCCAAACTTCTTTTTTTTTTTTTTTTTTGGAGAAAGCATTTTGTTCTCTTGCTCAGGCAGGAATGCAGTGGGCCGATCATGGCTCACTGCAACCTCCCAGGCTCAGGCAATCCTCCCACCTCAGCCTCCCGAGTAGCTGGGACTGTATGCACTACCACACCTGGCTAACTTTAAAAAAAAAATTTGTAGAAATGAGGTCTCACTCCAGCCTGGCCAACATGGTGAAACCCCGTCTCTACTAAAAAAAAAAAAATACAAAAATTAGCCGGGCGTGGTTAATCCCGGCTATTTGGGAGGCAGAGGCCGGAGAATCGTTTGAAACCGGGAGGCGGAGGTTGCAGTGGGCCAAAATCAAGCCATTGCACTCACACCTGGGGGTTAAGAGCAAGATTTCTCTCAAAAAAAGAAAAGAAAAGAAAAGAAAAGAAAAGAAAAGAAAAGAAATGAGGTCTCACCATATTGCCTAGGCTGGTCTCAAAATCTTTAGCTCAAGCGATCCTCCCACTTTGGCCTCCCAAAGTGCTGGGATTACAGGTGTGAGCCACCGCACCTGGTCAAGACATTATTTTTTAGAGCAGTATTAGGCTTATGTCAAGATTGAGAGGAAGGTACAAAGATTTTCAACATACTCCTGCCCCGCACATGCATAGCCTCCTCTGTTATCAACATTCCCCACCAGAGTGGTACATTTATTACAATTGGTGAACCTACACTGACACACCATTATTACCCAAAGTCCACAGTTTACATTAGGGCTCACCCTTAGTACTGTATATGCTATGGGTTTGGACAAATGTATAATGATTTCCACTATCCCAGTCATACAGAGTATTTTCACTGCTCTGGAAATCCTCTGTGCTCTGCCTATTCATCATTCCCTCCCCTCTAATCCCTGGTGACCACTGATCTGTTTACTGTCAGGAGTCTCTCTCTCTCTCTTTTTTTTTTTTTTTTTTTTGAGATGGAGTCTTCCTCTGGCTCTGTCGCCCAGGCTGGAGTGCAGTGGCATGATCTCGGCTCACTGCAACCTCCACCTCCAGGGTTCAAGCAATTCTTGTGCCTCAGCCTGCAGAGTAGCTGGGATTGCAGGCGCCTGCCACCATGCCTGGCTAATTTTTGTATTTTTAACAGAGACGAGATTTCACTATGTTGTCCAGGCTGGTCTCAAACTCCCTGGCTCAAGTGATCCGCTTGCCTTGGCCTTCCAAAGTGCTGGGATTATAGGCATGAACCACTGCACCTGGCCCATGGAGACATTTTTTAACAGATGGACAAAGACATGACCATAATTGATAATTGATCATTTCCAGAATTAAAGTCATTTGGTAAATAAGGCCCTATGGTAATACAGTAATCATAATATTTTAGTAGCACTTTACACTTTACTGTATCATCCCACTAATTCTCCTAACAGTTATATATTTTCAAAAATCTATGCTCCGATTCTCATCCTTTCCCTAGTTCAGTGGTTCTTAACCTTTGGTCAGTATCAAAATCACCTGGGGAACTTGATACACTCACCAGAGCCCAGATCCTATCCTCTGTGCTCTTTATTAGCTCTCCAAGTCAATCTGATAACACACAAACATTTGTGAATCAGTACTTTTAGTTTACAATCTGACAGTTTTCAGAGCTGAAAAACATCTTAGAAATCATCCTGCTGATGTCTTTACAAGAAAGTTGACAGAGGTTTGGAGATGTTAAGTGGCTGCTCCAGGGTTGCAAAGCCAGCCAGGGCCTGAGCCATCATCACCCAAACATAGTTTTCGTACTGGATTGACCAAGGTGTCACTCCCTCCTTTCTGCTGTCTAGGGACCTCCAGGCGCATGAGTGTCCCTGCAGTGTTGGTGGCTCACAGCCACAGCTCTTGTTAGAAGCAAGTGTGATTTCCCAGAGAAAGCTGCTCTTGAGAGTTTCTAGCACTGCCTTACCTAACCACAAAAGTACTTACTCTGTCTGAGAACAATGTATTCTATGTAGTGGCCCCTGATATAAGTTTTTAAAGCACTGTAAATTCTTCAGTTGAGGTGAAGAAATTTCCAAATTAATCTCTCCACATTAGGACATTATCACTTTCCATAGACAATCATTTCTGCATGTATCTAGGACTTTCACTTCTTTAGCTTCCTACCTAAAACTAAACGCATTCATCGATTTTCTCTGACTTTTCTCAATCTGATGCCTGGATTTTGACTCATATCCTCACAACCTGAGTCTACACATTATAAATGATACAGATACAGGATGGCACTTATTAATATACTGTTTCTGTTTTGTTTTTATTTTGTGTAGGGGGTAAAAGGAGTAGAAAATGATGTGTTTTCTTCTTCTGTGAAAATACCTGGTTGCTCTTATTAAACTTTTGGCCCCCTGGAGCCTCAGCAACAAGAATATTTCTGAAATGCCCACTATTCGTCCTCATCCTTCTAGAGTGAATTGATTGGTCTAGTTAATGTGACTCCTTAGTAAACTGGTTGATAATACCTGGTGCAGTGAGGGGGTGGAGGCATTTTTATCCACTCAAATTGGGATGGACTTGGTGCTACCTTGAGAGGGAAAGCTGGCAATACAGATTCAGATTAAAATGTAGGCATTCTGGCTGGGTGCAGTGCTTCACACCTGTAATCCCAGCACTTTGGGAGGCCAAGGCAAGCAAATTGCCTGAGGTCAGGAGTTTGAGACTAGCCTGGCCAATATGGTGAAACCCTATGTCTACTAAAAATACAAAAAAAATAGCCGGGCATGGTAGCATGCACCTGTAATCCCAGGTACTTGGGAGGCTGAGGCAGGGGAATTGCGTGAACCAGGGGTTGCAGTGAGCCAAGATCGCGCCACTGCACTCCAGCCTGGGCAACAGAGTGAGACTCCATTTCAAAAAAATATATTAGCTGGGCATTGTGGGACGTGCCTGTAGTCCCAGCTACTCAGGAGGCTGAGGTAGGAGAATCGCTTGAACTCAGGAAGCGAAGGTTGCAGTGACCTGGGATCATGCCACTGCACTCCAGCCTGGGTGACAGAGGGAGACTTCGTCTCCAGAAAAAAAAAATTGGCATTCTTTGTGCAGTTCTTCTAGGAAATTATTCTATAAAATTGTTAGCACAAGTGTGCAAAAACATATGTACAAGGATGTTAAACATAGTGTGTGTGTGTGTGTGTGTGTGTGTGTGTATAATTTTTTTTTTTTTTTGAGATGGAGTCTCGCTCTGTCGTCCAGGCTGGAGTGCAGTGGCGCGATCACGGCTCACTGCAACCTCGGCCTCCCAGGTTCAAGGGATTCTCATACCTCAGCTTCCCTGAGTAGCTGGGATTACAGGCACCCGCCACCACTCCCGGCTAATTTTTGTATTTTTAGTAGAGACGGAGTTTCACTATATTGGCCAGGCTGGTCTCGAACTCCCAATCTTGTGATCCACCTGCCTCGGCCTCCCAAAGTGCTGGGATTACAGGTGTGAGCCACCGTGCCTGGCCTTAGTATATTTTTGTAGTAGTAATAAATAAGTAGGCCGGGCTCTGTGGCTCACACCTGCAATCCCAGCACTTTGGGAGGCTGAGGTGGGAGGATCACTTCAGTCTGGGAGTTCAAGACCAGCCTGGGCAGCATAGGAAACTCCGTCTTTAAAAATAATTTAAAAATTAGCTGGGCGTAGTGGTGCACCCTGTAATACCAATTACTTAGGAGGCTGAGGAGGGAGGATTGTTCGAGCTCAGGAGTTCAACGATATAGTGTGCCATGATTCCACCACTGCACTCTAGCATGGGTGACAGAGCAAGACCCTGTCCCAAAAAAAAAAAAAAAAAGTAAGTTTATATGTGAGTAAACAGCTGAAGGAAAATAATGATCTATTTTTGTGGAATTTTATTTTAAAAATAGAGTTGGCTGGGCACGGTGGCTTACGCCTGTAATCCCAGCACTTTGGAAGGCTGAGGGGGGCAGATAACGAGGTCAGGAGATCAAGACCATCCTGGCTAACACAGTGAAACCTTGTCTCTAGTAAAAATACACACACAAAAAAATTAGCTGGGCATGGTGGCACGTGCCCCTAGTCCCAGCTACTCGGGAGGGTGAGGCAGGAGAATTGCTTGAACCCGGGAGGCAGAAGTTGCAGTGAGCTGAGATTGTGCCACTGCACTCTAGCCTGAGTGACAGAGTGAGACTCTATCTCAAAAAAAAAAAAAAAAGTATATACATACTAGAATACTGTATGATACTATCTGAGAGTTAAAATGAGTGAAATCTACATACAGTTGTCCCCCCTTATTTGACGTGGATATGTTCCAAGACCCCTAGTGGATGCCTGAAACCTTGGATAGTAGTGAACTCCATATACATTTTATTTTTTCCTACAGATTCATATCTACAATAAAGTTTAATTTATAAATTAGGCACAAGAGGAGATTAATAATAATAACTACTAATAAAATAGGACAAATAAGGCAGGGCGTGGTGGTTCATGCCTGTAATCCCAGCACTCTGGCAGGCCAAGGCAGGCAAGGTCAGGAGTTCAAGACCAGCCTGGCCAACATGGTGAAACCCTGTCTCTACCAAAAAATACAAAAGTTAGCCATGTGTGGTGTTGCATGCCTGTAGTCCCAGCTACTCAGGAGGCTGAGGCAGGAGAATCACTTGAACCCAGAAGGCGGAGGTTGCGGTGAGCCAAGATCATGCCACTGCACTCCAGCCTGGGTGACAAAGTGAGACTCTGTCTCCCTTCCCCCTCCAAAAAATAGAATAAATAATAATATACTGTAATAAAAGTTATGTGAATGTGTTCCTCTCTTTTCCTCTCTCACTCTGAAAATACCTTATTCTACCATATTTACCTGAAACCATTGAAAGCAAAACCGCAGTTAAGCGGGACTGCTGGAGCTGGTGAGAAAAATGCAAAATAGCATGTGTTGTTTATTTGCTTATATGTGTGGATTAACGTTATCTGTTTATCCTCTTATCTAGGATCTAAAATTAGTCAGAACTAAGAAGTGATACATATACATACTGCTAACAGTGGTTATCTTCGGAGGGTGGGGTCATAGATAACTTATTCTCTAGAATACGCTGCATTTTTTCATTGCATTACTTTTGTAATCAGGCAAAATCAAAACAAAACTGTTAAGCATAAATTTTACTAAAAAGTGAGATATATGATTCTAAAGTCTACCTTGGTTTCAAATTCAATCAAACTCAGTTTGGCAATTCAGTTTCCTTACAGGTTCACGCCTGTAATCCCAGCACTTAGGAAGTTCAAGGCCAGCCTGGGCAACATACTCAGACTGTCTTTACAAAACAAAAAAAAAATCCCATAGAGCTTTAATCTTTCTTCAGCATTTTGCAGATGACAATTTTAATACATTTTAGCACCTTGAATGTGGAGGAGGCCAAGACTGGGTGAAGTCGGCCTGGAGTAGCTGGAGTTAATTTAATGCAAATAAGATAGAGTGGTTTGAGGGAAATATTTTGAGCCAGAGATTTCTGGTTCCCTGGAAAAGTTAATATGAATGAGAATGCAGATTTTTGGTGAAGAGGTGATAAAGGCCTTCATTATCTTCAATTAGTATTTACTGACAGTGAAAGGAGCCTGTGGCCTGGGGGCTGAATCGCCAACCTTTCAGCCCAGCCTCCAAGCCTTTCACCTTCCTGCCTACTCCGGGGTGAATTTGGCACATTTCTGTTGGATTGATTTGACTTTTGTCAAGTTCTGCCTCATTTGTGTTTAAACGTGTGTGCCTTACCTCCCTCACTAGACCATAAACTGGTGGAAAGCAGGAGTAATTGTTTAAATTCATGCAGCTATACCATATTACCAAGTACCTGGGGAAGTCACAGAATAGATGACTAATATTTAACTGGTTGTGTCACTTACTGTTCAGACGCCCTTTTATTTCTTCCCAAGTAAAGGACAATTTCCTGGGATCTGGTTCCAAGTAACTTCCCAGTTGTATCTTGCCTTGTGACCCTAAATGCATCCAGTGTTTTGGAGAAATGTGACTGTGAGCTAGTCCCCAAATAGAGTCAGGATCCTCCCTCCTCCGAGTAAAGCCTGACCCATCATTGCTCACAAAATAAAATTCAAATTTTGGCATGGCATTGAAGCCCTGTCATTAATAACAAGGAAAATACTTATTCACATGCCTCCAGAACAAGTTCAAGTCTCAGCTCCCCTACCAGGAGCTCTGACCTTTGGTAAATTACTTACCCAGGAAATAAGAGTAGGAATAATGCATACCTCATAGGCTGTTAGTGAGTAATTTGCTTTGCATAGTTCCAGGGCAAGGGCTAAGTACTGGATATTGTCATTGTCATTTCTTTAACACCTTTATGGTAATTATCTGTACCCCTCACCCAAGGTACAATGTTTGTTTGCCATCCATGAACCAGCAGGATTGAAACTATTGACTGCAGAAGGGTGGGGAGAAAGGAAGAACATCCGGCAGTGAAG
Organism: Homo sapiens; assembly: GCF_000001405.40. Lineage (NCBI taxonomy): Eukaryota > Metazoa > Chordata > Mammalia > Primates > Hominidae > Homo > Homo sapiens. Next base: position 181,860,600 of record NC_000003.12, read on the forward strand.
GAACCTTGAACTTCTTTTTTATTTATTTTTTACATTTTTTAAATTTTAATTTTAATTTTTTCTGAGATGAAGTCTCACTCTGTTGCCCAGACTAGAGTGCAATGGTACGATCTTGGCTCAATGCAACCTCCGCCTTGTGGGTTCAAGCGATTCTCTCACCTCAGCCTCCCAAGTAGCTGGGATTACAGGCATGCACTACCACACCCGGCTAATTTTTGTATTTTTAGTAGAGACAGGGTTTCATCATGTTTTCCAGGCTGGTCTTAAACTCCTGACCTCAGATGATCTGCCTACGTTGGGTTCCCAAAGTGTTGGGATTACAGGCATGAGCCACTGCGCCGAGCAGAACCTTGAACTTCTTAAAAGTTAGGTTGGAATTAAAGAATAAAGGACTTCGGATACCTTGCTAAAGATTTTAAGTTTGTGGTATAGCCAATGAACTTAGAGGAGTAATGATATATTTCACTTTTCCTCTTTTTATTTGTACAAATTTATGGGTTACCTGTGCAATTTTGTCACATGTATAGACTGCATACTTGTCAAGTAAGGGCTTTTAGGGTATCCAAGTAATGATAAATTTTAAACAAGGTAATTTAGGTACATAATTGGCCAACCTCCCCAACCTATCAGGTATTATTCTTCCAATATCTGATAATAATAATAATGAGTATTATTGTTAATAGTTACCACATATTAAATACCAATTTTATTCCACCCAGTGTATTTGGTGCTTTACATTTTCATTTATTAACTCACTTATTCACCTGCTCATTCACCTTCTCATTTATTCATTCAATGAACATTTGCTGAGCACTTCCTAGAGGCCGAGCATTGAAGTAGGCTTTGAGGGACAGTGGTAAATGAGACTGACAAGGTCCTTCCTAACCTAACTTTTAAGAAGTTCAAGGTTCTGCCAAGCGCAGTGGCTCACACCTGTAATCCCAGCACTTTGGGAGGCCAAGGCAGGCGGATCACCTGAGATCAGGAGTTCGAGACCAGCCTGGCAAACATGGTGAAACCCTGTCTCTGCTAAAAATACAATACTTACTAGAGGCCAAGCATTAAAGTAGGCTTTGAGGGACAGTGGTAAATGAGACTGACAGGTCCTTCCCTCATGGAATTTTCATTCTAGTGGGGATTCCAACAATAGATAGGGAAGTATGTACATATTGTGCCAAGCATTATGAAAGACAGAGCTTCACATGTGTTGTTTCATTAGCTATTGATATAATCAGTATCTGGCCCCAACTCACTTTTCCATTTTCCTTTCCCATGACATACACACTCACATACTCACAAGCACCATGCCCTTCATCTCCACTGAACTACTTTCTGGATTTTTCTGTCTTTGTGCTTGTGCCCATACAGTTCCCTCTAACAAAATACACTGCTATGTATTTGTGTTTTTTGAAGGCTCGAATATCTGTTATTACTCATTTCAAATACTACCTTCTCCAAGAGCCCTTTTTCAGCCTCCCTGTTGGGTCTAGTTTCTTCTTCCTCCATGCAGCAGGGATAGCCTTTGAACTTCACATCTAGCACTTACTTAACCTGTCTGAATATTTAAAATGATTATTTGTACATATCAGTTATCTGTCTTTCTCTTCCACCCTGTTGTCAGCTGTTTGCTTTCCACCTCTGTCACTAACATCTCTTGCCTGGATTGACACATCTGGTCTGGTATAGCCAGGCTTCCTCTTCTGTAATCTCTTTTCCAAACCAGGGACCCTCAATCTCCTTTCTACATTTTTCACTCCAGCTGATCCCACTCATGCGTCTGAGCACACAATTGAGAGGAGCTGCTGACAGTGATCTTATTGAAAGGCAAATCTGAGGATTTCACTGCCTTACTTAAAAACCTACCAATGGTTTTTCACAGTGAAAATACAATCCAAACCCTGTGACATGGCGCACATGGCCTTTTGTAACCTAGACCTACTTAAACCTCCAACTTCATCTCCTACTTGCCCACCAGGCCCCAACTATACCCAACTACTTGCCAGTCAGGATCTCGCCAGCCTTCATCTAGCCTTGACACATGCAGCATCCCCTGCTGTAAAGACTCATACCAATCTCCCAGATCTCAATTGAGATGGCACCCCCTTCAGGAAGCCATGCTTGATTTTTCGTTGGCCCCTTTAATACCTGATTGCTTACTCCTGGGCAAAGTGTTTTCATTCTTTATTATAATCACATGTTTAATGGTCTGTCTCTGCTGCTGGACTATAAACTCCATGAGGGAACCACCCCTGAAGTTGTTGTTCACTGCTGTATCCCCTACTGTCTAGTATCTGATGCACAGTAGAACCTGAATAAATATGTGTTGAATGAGCTCTCTTTGCATCTCATAGTCCTCTTCCAACTTTTATTTATTTATTTATTTTTTTGAGACGGAGTCTTGCTCTGTTGCTCAGGCTGGAGTGCAATGGTATGATCTCAGCTCACCACAACCTCTGCCTCCCAGGTTCAAGTGATTCTCCTGTCTCAGCCTCCTGAGTAGCTGGGATTACAGGCATGCGCCACCACGCATGGCTGATTTTGTATTTTTAATAGAGACGGGGTTTCTCCATGTTGATCAGGCTGGTCTCGAACTCCTGATCTCAGGTGATCCACCCACCTTGGCCTCCCAAAGTGCTGGGATTACAGGCGTGATACTCCACACTCGGCCCAACTTTTAAATATATATATATGTGTGTGTGTGTATATATATATGTATATGTATGTATGTATGTATATATGTATATAAGTATCTATATAACTATGTATGTATATATGACACGCTTGTTGTAAAAGAAATTCAAACAAAACAGAATATTTGAATGCAAATATAGGTTCCCTTTTACCCTACTCTCTAACCTTCTCTCTCCAATTCTCATTCCTGGGATGTTAACTTAACGTGTATCTTTCCATTTATCTATACTATACACACACATGCACATATACATAATACGGCTCCCACTCCCAAACCCATATGGAGTGTTTTGATAAACAGAAATGGGATATTATAGGTGATGTTTTGCTTCTTATATTTGCTTTTCAATATATTTCAGGCAGGGCATGGTGACTCACACCTGCAATCCCAGCACTTTGGGAGGCCGAGGGGGGTGGATCACCTGAGGTCAGGAGTTCAAGACCAGCCGGGCCAACATGGTGAAACCCCACCTCTACTAAAACTACAAAATTAGCCAGGAGGAGTGGCACACACCTAGAGTCCCAGCTAGTTGGAAGCCTGAGGCAGGGGAATCCCTTGAACCCGGGAGGCGGAAGTTGCAGTGAGCAGAGATTGTGCCATTGCATTCCTGCCTGGGCAACAAAAGTGAAACTTTGCCTCAAAAAAATTAATTAATTAATTAATTAATTAAAATAAATAAATAAATTCAACCTACTTTAGAGATTTTTCTATTCTCAATGTAGATTTACACCTACTATCCCATTTTTTAAATAGCTGTATATATTCTATAGTGAGGCTGTCTCACAGTTGATTTATTAGTCCACTATTAGTACACTTTGTATGTTCATATTTCACTCATGAATGCCAGTACAGCTGTAGGACAGATTTCTGGAAATGAATTTGCTGGCTCATAGAATGTAAGCATCTTTTTCTTTTCTTTTTTTTTTTTGAAATGGAGTCTTGCTCTGTTGCCCAGGCTGGAGTGCAGTGGCATGGTCTCCACTCACTGCAACCTCTGCCTCCCAGATTCAAATGATTGATTCTCCTGCCTCAGCCTCCTGAGCAGCTGGGATTACAGGTGCGCACCAGCACGCCTGGCTAATTTTTTTGTATTTTTAGTAGAGATGGGGTTTCACCATGTTGGCCAGGCTGGTCTTGAACTCCTGACCTCAGGTCAGGATCCACCCGCCTCGGCCTCCCAAAGTGATGGGATTACAGGTGTGAGCCACCAAGCCCGGCCGAATGTAAGCATCTTAAAATATAAAATTGTTTTTCACGTAGTTCTTAGTGGAGGAATTATCATACAAATTATCAAAAATGTTTTCTTTGTCAACCTGGTCCTTGACAAAACTGTGACAAGGGGGAAATTCATCTTTGTATTATTTCAATTCCTCTTAAAATTAAACTCTTCTGCTCCTCCCCTCTATCCCTCCCACCTTACTCAGTACACCCTACCCCACCTCATGTGACTGATACCTTTAGCAATTTAAAAAAGTGTTTTATTTATTTAGTTCGTTAGTTTTAAAAACCTATATTTAACTCAAATCAAATCTTTTCTACAAATGATAACTCTTTCCAAAAAGTTAAAAAGATGTCACAGAACACTATGATGTTAAACCAAAGACTCATCACAATAACAGCATTTTACTTTTAAGAAATATTGTGCAGTATTTCCTTTTTAACCTTTCATGCTAGATTTCAACTATGTATATCCTATGTAAACACACTAGATTAATCCTAGTCATTCATATTTATGCAGTAGACTGTCATATATGACCAGTTACCATACAAACTATAATACCATATTTTCAAAAATAGCAAAAGCAATCTTTACGGAAGCTTAAAAATCATTTAATAAAAGGCGACCAACATTGCCCTAATTTTCAGTAAAAATTACCTCTTTTTCCTACCTTTCCCCCTGCTTTGAATGGTACCTTTTATTGCATGTTAATACACAAAGATATTTCTAGCACTTCTACTTAAGTTAGCCTCTTACATGGCTGCCTTCTTTTCTGATACACTGACTTTTATCAGAAGGCACCAAGATTAGACTCCTAAGTAGTTTCAAATTTTCTGTCCCTTTTTAGGTTCCTCTAGAATAGTTTTCCTCAGAAAAGGATAACTTGAAAAACTTAAGGAACTAGAAGAAAATAAATGATGTAACACAGCAATTTGAAACTTACAGCATTCAAAAACTGTAAATATATTAATAGGCTCCTTGAACATACCACTAAGGACAAAAAGATAACTTTCTGAACATAAACGTAAAAATAGAGCACATTTATTAATAGTAGGAAAACTCCTATGCTTACAGTAACAACATATTAAATCTTACATAACACACAGCCAAAAGCATTAGAAATCCACTGCCAGATATCCTGATGCACCATTGTGAAAGTATGTCTGATACACACCACTAACATATATAACAAAGTATGGCATTTATTTCACAGAGAGAAAAGATAGTTTCATCACACAAACAGATTTGCAGATTTCAGCTTTAAGTTCTAAGGATATATTTTATTTATTATTTATTTATTTATTTATTTATTTGAGATGGAGTCTTGCTCTGTTGCCCAGGCTGGAGTGCAGGGGCACGCTCTCGGCTCACTGCAAGCTCCGCCCCCCGGGTTCACGCCATTCTCCTGCCTCAGCCTCCCGAGTAGCTGGGACTACAGGCATCCGCCACCGCGCCCGGCTAATTTTCTTGCATTTTTAGTAGAGACGGGGTTTCACCATATTAGCCAGGATGGTCTTGATCTCCTGACCTCGTGATCCACCCGCCTCGGCCTCCCAAAGTGCTGGGATTACAGGCGTGAGCCACCGCTCCTGGCCTACGGATATAAAGATAAAAAATAAAAACAAGATTCACCCTTCAAATAAAAAAGTCTCTCTCTCTCTATAAGCCATGATTAATACTCTTTATGCTCTTACAATGTAAAACATTTAGAAACTTCTGAATTCTAGAAATGTTCACCAGTTAACCTACTTGGCCTTAACATATTCTAAATTCCCTTTCAAGAATCACATTAATGTTTTCAGTCCATCGGTCTAACATGGATGGAGTAACTGTATTTCTTTTTCTTCTTCTTTGGTGGTTCATCGTCAGAGCTGCTAACTGTGCTGGTGCTGCTGCTACTGGAAGAGCTGGAATCTGAGTCTGAATCAGAGGAGGAGGAAGAGGTTGTGGAGGAGGCTGAGGATGAGGAACTAGAGGAAATTTCATGTGTCACTGTCCTCTGAGGAGGAAGAGGTAGATGTTTCTTCACTCTCTGATGAAGAATCACTTGCAGAACTGTCAGAGCTACTGGAACTGGTTACACTCTTAGGCCTTTTTTATTTTTTATTTTTATTTTTTCTTGAGACGGAGTCTCCTTCTGTCGCCCAGGCTGGAGTGCAGTGGCGCGATCTTGGCTCACTGCAAACTCCGCCTCCCGGGTTCAAGCGATTCTCCTGCCTCAGCCTCCTGAGTAGCTGGGACTACAGGCGTCCGCCGCCACGCCCGGCTCATTTTTTGTAATTTTAGTAGAGACGGGGTTTCACTGTGTCACCCAGGATGGTCTCGATCTCCTGACCTCGTGATCCGCCCACCTCGGCCTCCCAAAGTGCTGGGATTACAGGCGTGAGCCACCGCGCCCGGCAGACCTTTTTCTCTTGGCCTTTCTTTCTACATTGGTTTCTCCAGTGCTTTGTTGTAATAATAATCTGTTTTCTTTTAAAGCTTTCTTTAGTTCTGCTGTCCTTGAGGGCCTATGTAGGTATTTTCTTTTTCCTGTGCATTTATAAGTCCAATGTCCAAATTCCAAGCAATTCTGACATCTTACATGTTGCTTATTTGCTTCAGTTTGTCTCTGGGCTATGAGCTGATGCATGGGAGTCGCCAAAAAAAAGTGTTTTAAAAATTTATTTGGGCCGGGCGCGGTGGCTCATGCCTGTAATCTCAGCACTTTGGGAGGCCGAGGCTGGCGGATCACCTGAGGTCGGGAGTTTGAGACCAGCCTGATCAACATGGAGAAACCCTGTCTCTACTAAAAATACAAAGTAGCCGGGCATGGTGGTGCATGCCTGTAATCCCAGCTACTGGGGAGGCTGAGGCAGGAGAATCGCTTGAACCCGGGAGGTAGAGGTTGTGGTGAGCCAAGATCGTGCCACTACACTCCAGCCTGGGCAACAAGAGTGAAACTCTGTCTCAAAAGAAAAAAAAAATATTTGAATTAAATTTTCCTTTTTCATGAGAAGGCATATGAATGCAAAAATTAGCAATTTTTAGTAGTAGAGGAACATCTTCCCTCTGTGTCCACCTTTGTTTCAGTTCATGGGGTCTCCATGCAGCCACCAGGGAAACAGCCCTCATGACTAGAAACCCAGAGGTCTTCCTAGATGCTGCCTTCCTGTAAATCACCCACAGGTAATTACCAAATACTTCCATTCCTTCTCTAGTTCATTTTGGAATTCAGCCTTGCTCTTATCACCATCATCTCCAACTAGAGTCCTATTCACAGTCCTGGTCTTGGAAGTTCAGGTTGCCTTCTGCATATTATAGCCAGAGTAATTTTTTTCTAAACTATATTCTGTTCTCATGTACCTTCTGCTAATAACCTTTTTTTCTTGAATCGGGGTCTCACTCTGCCACCAGGCTGGAGTGCAGTTGTGTAATCACAGCTCACTGGAACCTCAACCTCCTGGGCTCAAGCAATCTTCCCACCTCGGGCCGGGCGCCGGTGGCTCACGCCTGTAATCCCAGCACTTTGGGAGGCCGAGGAGGGCGGATCACGAGGTCAGGAGATTAAGACCATCCTGGCTAACACAGTGAAACCCCGTCTCTACAAAAATACAAAAAAATTAGCCGAGCCGTGGTGGCGGGCGCCTGTAGTCCCAGCTACTCGGGAGGCTGAGGCAGGAGAATGGCGTGAACCCGGGAGGTGGAGCTTGCAGTGAGCCGAGATCGCGCCACTGCACTCCAGCCTGGGCAACGGAGCAAGACTCTGTCTCAAAAAAAAAAAAAAAATCCCACATCAGCCTCCCAAGTAGCTGGGACCTCAGGTGTGTGCCACCATGCCCAGCTGATGTTTTTATTTTTATTAAAGACGAGCTGGTTTTGAACTCCTGGGCTCAGCGATCCTCCTACCCCAGTCTCCCAGAGTGCTGGGATTATAGGCGTGAGCCAATGTGCCCAGCTGTTTATAATCTTTTAAAGGTTCCTTCAGGACAAATTCATGCTTCTTGGTACTCCAAGGACCTTCTCTCTCTGGCTCTAACCTGTTTAGCCTCATTTGCAGAAAACATTTCACTTATTTCCCTATCTCTGGTCCCACTGGCACCTCTACTGGTATACACTTGTGCTATGGCTTCCTGAAAGGCAATACCATCTCTCTTTTTGTATATTCTGCTCCAACTGACTGGAATGTTCCTCCCTCTGATCTACCTTTGCTGCCTATCTCGTATTCATCCTCCACGTCTCAACTGAGATAGCACTTCCTCCATGCCCCCTTCAGGTTGGCTCAGGTACCTATGTGCTATGTGCTATGTGCTCATGTGCTCCCACCCCATGCTGAACATCTCTCATGCTGGCCATTCAGGTCCTTAGTTACACTTTGAGTGTAATTGCCTCTTTACTTGCTGACTCATCCTGTAGAATATAAGTCCCCTCAGCGAGGGGATTGCATCGTGTACATTGCTGAATACCCTATGCCTAGCACAGTTCTTGTTGCAATACAAGTTTGTGGATTTGAGTGAATGTATAAATAAATGACTGGGTATATTAGATGTTTTCCAGCAGTCTGTACATTTAAACCCAGATCATAACAACAATTTCCATCTGAGAAATTTATTTTGTGCCAGGCAGGCTTAAGAGGTTGTAGGTATTATAAATTTAATTCTTAACATCATCCTATGGAGTAGACATTGTTAGCACCATTTAATGGGGATGCTGAGATGCAGAGAAGTTAAGCCACTCGCCCTCATTCATAAAGCAAGTGAGGGGCAAACTTAGGATGGTAAGATTGTCTGATCTCAGATCTTGTGCCCTTAAACTAACAGCTGCTTTGGGATTCTGCCTCTGCTGTTTTCAGTTGGTCCTGATGCTAATGGAGGGCTCTGCTGAGTACAGTGGATCTGCACTTGGTCTGGTGGAGATGTCTATATTCTCTGGTGGAGATGTCTATATTCTTCAGAAAACAAGAGTAGGTGCTTATCACTTTCTTTGTCAGAGTAGGGCCAGTCAAGAAGGGATCATAGAAGTACTTTTGCCCAGTGGGCCAGAATAAATATTTAGAATATCCAGTTTTATATGTAATGTTTAACTTTTTATTTTGAAATAATTTTAACTTAGTTGCAAGAATCGTAGAAAGAATTCCTATATACCCGTCAACCAGCTTCACCAATTGTTAATATTTTGCCCAATTTGTTTTACTTCTTTCTCAAAAAAAAAAAAAAAAAAAAAAGTGTGGCCAGGCATGGTGGCTCACGCCTGTCATCCCAGCACTTTGGGAGGCTGAGGTGGGCAGATCACCTGAGGTCGGGAGTTTGAGACCAGCCTGACCAACGTGGAGAAACCCCATCTCTACTAAAAATACAAAATTAGCCGGGCAGGGTGGCACATGCCTTTAATCCCAGCAACTCAGGAGGCTGAGGCAGGAGAATCACTTGAACCCATGAGGCAGAGGTTGCGGTGAGCCGAGATCGTACCTGGGCTCCTATAGCAAAACTGCGTCTAAAAAAAAAATTTGTTTTCTTTTTTGAACCGTTTAGGTTCCAGTCATCTTCCCTCTTTACCCCTAAGTACTTCAGCATGTATCTCCTAAGAACAAGGGCATTTTCTTCCATAATCACAGCAGTTATTAAATTCAGAAAATTTAACATTTATTAAATACTATTACTGATATTCGAGTTTCACAAAGTACCTCAACAATGTTCTTAGGCCAGGCAGGGTGGCTCATGCCTGTAATGCCAGCATTTGGGGAGGCTAACTCAGGATAGATGACTTGATCCTAGGAGTTCAAGACCCGCCTGGGCAACATAGTGAGACCTTGTCTCTACTAAAAAAAATTTAAAAAAGAAAAAATATATATAATGTCACTTATAGAATTTTCCCCCAACACAGAATCTAGTCTAGTGCATTTGTTATTTGTCTTTTTTTTTTAAAGCTCCCCCTCAGTGTTTTTCTGAACTCTTTTGAGCACGTGCCCTTAATCAAGTTCAGAGATGGCTGTGTTTGTTATGATCTAGTGTGTTTGGCCGGAGTTAGATACTGAGACCCCAGGTTTGCCCCGCTTTTGGCTTTGAAAAGTTCCTGAGGCCTCAGTTTTTTGTTTTTTTTTTTTACCTGCTAACAGGGAAATGGGAGAATTGGACTTAAGCATGTCCAAAAATCCTCTCACAGCCCTCAAGTGACCACAATAAATAAATAAACAACAACAAAAAATTTTGTGAAGCTTTCTTAAAAAAAAAAAAAGTGGAAAAAAAGCCTGCCTCCTTCAGAATCTGTCAGTTCTGAAAGCCTGCTAAATGATTTTATTTTCCGGATGTCTTACCTCTCTGATGTTGTCTTTTCTTCTGCCATTATCTTTTGCAAATGCTTGGCTGACAGTCTTTTCATCTTAGAAGTATTTTGAACATAATATGATGTTTATTTAATGTCTCATGTGCTTCAGGAGATAATGACCAGAAGAAGGAACTGTTTACCCATTTTTTGAGCACTATGGCTTATTCAGCTCCAGACTTTCCAGAGAGCCTGTATTAATTTGTCTTTATTTTGTCAGTTTGAAGTTAGATTAGCACTTGTGAGTTTTAATCTTTCTTTTCTGAAATCTGATGTGAATTTTTTTCCCAGATTCCTTGGCATTGACACTTCATGTTCATGAGTTTCGTAACCCAGATGCAAACATTTTGCTGGAAAATCCATAAGGTGGCTGCAAAGTGGTAAAAATTTTTTTTTTTTTGAGATGGAGTCTCACTCTGTTACCCAGGCTGTAGTGCAGTGGCACAACCTCGGCTCACTGTAACCTCCGCCCCCCGAGTTCAAGCGATTCTCCTGCCTCAGTCTCCTGAATAATAGGGATTACAGGCGCCTGCCACTGCGCCTGGCTAATTTTTTCGTATTTTTAGTAGAGATGGGGTTTCACCATCTTTGCCAGGCTGGTCTGGAACTCCTGACCTCGTGATCCACCCGCCTCGGACTCCCAGAGTGTTGGGATTACAGGCGTGAGCCACCGCGCCTGGCGCAAAGTTGTAAAATCGTGAGAATGACATTTTAGCCTCAAAATTTCAAAAATAATTTTTATTTTCTCCTCCCTGCCCCCTTAATTACTATTTCAAGAGAATGGCAGATTTTAAGGTGGCAGGTATTTGTTACGTCAAAAGTTATTTTTCCTCACGGAAATTACATACAGATCTAAAACATCTGTGACTTCAAACATCTGTGAGCATTTGCTGAGTGCCTGCTCTGTTCAGGTACTACTTTGGCCCTGGGGATGCAGCAACGAATTGGAGCAATGAGTTTGGCAGGGGAGAGAGATTGTATACATATAATTTCAAAGGTCAGATAAGTGCTCTGCTAGAAGTACTGACATGCGTAAAGGAGTGATCAGCTCTGCCAAGAGCAATGAGATGAGCCTGTTCCCATGTTTATTAGCTTTAAAGCCTTAATATGTCACTTTGCAGGCAATCCGTGAATTATTCCCTGAAGGATGTTTCTACTTCACCTTCCCATTTGATACAGGTTCACTGAACTCTGAGCTCTTTGAAGGATGTAACTGCTTTTTGTATCGTCAGTGAACCAGCAGGGTGTCTAAGCTTGAAGCTGGGCACATAGTAGGCCCACAACAAACATTTGCTGAAATCACAAGTCACATTGAGGCCTGGCGCGGTGGCTCACACCTGTAATCGCAGCACTTTGGGAGTCCGAGGTGAGCAGATCACTTGAGGTCAGGAGCTAAGACCAGTCTGGCCAACACGGTGAAACCAAGTCTCTACTTAAAGTACAAAAATTCCCGGGAGTGGTGGCAGATAACTGTAATCCCAGCTATTTGGGAGGCTGAGGCAGGAGAATTGCTTGAACCCGGGAGGCGGAGGTTGCAGTGAGTTGAGCCGAGATCACGCCATTGCACTCCAGCCTGGGCAACAAGAGTGAAATTCCATCTCAAAAAAAAAAAAAAAAGTCTCATTGATATTAATAGTTTTCTAATAAGGGCCACCCCATTTGGTATTGTCAGAAATAGAGTTCACTCCTCTGATGTTTTCACATTAAGGAGCCAGCTAGACATGAAATACAAGTTGGGAATGGGGGAATGGTATTCCCACCCTGTAGCATGTAAGGCATGAGAGGTATCTAAGGCATCTCCAAAAGGCTGTGAATCTTTTGAATTTGGAGAAAGCCAGGAAGTTCTAGAGTAGGCAAGTCCGATCCAGTCAAGACTTCTGGAGTGACTGTGTAAGGAAGGGGAGAGGGAATATGGGGAGAAGGGATATCTCAACACAGAAGTTCCCTCAATTAAGTGGGGTGGGAATGGGGCAGTTCTGGGCAAGTTTAAAAACTGTGTGCTCTCAATTTTTCAATAAAGGAAAATCCTGGCTTGTGAGATCGCAAACATTGTGAGCCTCTGTGTTTTTTCATATTTTCTACATTGAACTTGTACTGCTTTGCTAACTAAAAAAAGCTAATTTTAAATAATCTTGATATGCTTGGAACGATGAGTCCAAAAACAAGATGTTTTGGGATCTGGATGGAGGAGATGTGGATAAACAGGATCAAGTGTGAGAAAGGAGCACTTTTGGTTGACTAAAAGCTCAATATGATCAAGCAGTGTGTTCAGGCTGCTGCCCAAATGGTGATGTCATCTGGAGTATTGACAGCATGACATGTGGCCTAGTTTCTTGAGGAAATAATCAGAAATGAAGGCACAAATTTATCAACAAAGATGTTCATTGGCATTTCATTTATAAGAGTGGGAAGTGTAGGTAAATTGTATGCTCCAAAATAGGGGCTCAGAATTAAATCATGCAATATGAAGCTATGAAAATTTATTCAAAGAATAACTAAATGATATAGTGAATATTTTTATATTAATACTTTCATATAAAAAATAAAAGCAGAAGACTTTCACCTAGACAAATATTCTCCAAACGACAGATACAAAGGGGAATTAACAGACATAAAGTGTCCTGAGCAAGGGAGAGGATATTAGGTTTATTTTTATATAGTACAAGAAGACCTGGATAGATACTATGGATGGAAGTTATAATCCAAAACAAAGGTGGAGGCCAGGCGCGGTGGCTCATGCCTGTAATCTAAGCACTTTGGGAGGCCCAGGCAGGCGGATCACCTGAGGTCAGGAGTTTGAGACTAGCCTGGCCAACATGGTGAAACCCCGTCTTTACTAAAAATACCAAAATTAGCTGGGCGTGGTGGCACATGCCTGTAATCCCAGCTACTTGGGAGGCTGAGGCAGGAGAATCGCTTGAACCTGGGAGGCAGAGTTTGTAGTGAGCTGAGATCATGCCACTGAACCCCAGCCTGGGCGACAGTGCCAGACTCTGACTCAAAAAAAAAAAAAAAAAAGGGTTGGCTTTTTTGGTTTTATCTTTACTTTACTCATTAGCTATTATACCAACAATGCTGTAACAGTGGTGACATTTATTTTATTTTTATTTTTATGTTGAGACAGGGTGGTGCTCTTTTGCCCAGGCTCAAGGGCAGTGGGGGCCATCATGGCTTATTGCAGCCTCAACCTCCTGGGGCTCAGTTGATCCTCCCATCCCAGCCACCCTGGTAGATGGGACAACAGGTGCAAGTCACCATGTCCAGGTATTTTTTCTATTTTTTGTAGAGATGGGATCTCCCTATGTTGCCCAGGCTGGTCTAGAAATCCTGGGCTCAAGTCATCCACCCACCTTGGCTTCTTAAAGTGCTAGGATTACAGGTGTGAGATACTATGACTGGCGGAAAATTGTTCTTATTTATTTTTAGTTTTTGAGATGGAGTCTCCCTCTGTTGCCCAGGCTGGGGTTGAAAATTGTTTTTAATAGAGAAAAATATTAGCTATTGTTTGATCACCTTTAATGCCTCACCTGTCAGGCTATCTTGTTCTTTTCTGGTACTTGTCAATTTGTACACATACTTTTAGCATGCAGTCATTGTAAAGTTCACAAATGGTAGGTAGTCACGTGTTTCTGTGTTTCCCTACACCATGGCACATCCCACTAACTCATGGCTACTGGGATGCATGCTCAAAGTCATTTTCTTTTCTTTTTCTTTTCCTTTTTTTTTTTTTTTTTTTTTGAGATGGAGTCTTGCTCTGTTGCCTAGGCTGGAGTGCAGAGGTGTGATCTCGGCTCACTGCAACCTCTGCCTCCTGGGTTCAAGGGATTCTCCTGCCTCAGCCTCCCGAGCAGCTGGGATTAGAGGCATGTGCCACCACACCCAGCTAATTTTTGTATTTTTAGTAGAGATGGGTTTTCACCATGTTGGCCAGGCTGGTCTCGAGCTCCGGACCTCGTGATTTGCCCGCCTCGGCCTCCAAAGACTCAGAGTCATTTTCATCATACTTCTTTGAGATGCCACAACCAATCATAATAAAAATAGCCAAAATAGAGCCAGGCACTGTTCCACGTGCTTTACTTAAACTAAGTCATTTAGGTTGGTTTTAACAACCTTGTAAACTTGATCCTGTTATTCCTCATTTTACAGATGAAGAAGCAGAGGCTTAGAGAGGTTAAGTCACTTTGTCCAGTTGACAGTACTTGGCATGGAGAGTGAAACTCTTCAGGCATCTTACTATAGATTTTATTAAGCACTATTTTTTAAAAATAGGAAGACATCATTAACAATTTATTTAAAAAAAATTTTTTTGAGGCAGGGTCTCACTCTGTTTCAGGCTGGAGTGCTGTGGTGTGATCAAGGCTCACTGCCACCTTGACCTCCTGGGCTCACTGCCACCTTGACCTCCTGGGCTCAATTGATCCTCCTGCCACATTCTCCCAAGTAGCTGAAACCACAGGCACATGCCACCACACCTGGCTAAATTTTTAATAATTTTTTTTTGTAGAGATAGGGTCTGGCTATGTTGCCCAGGCTGGTCTTGAAATCCTGGGCTCAAGTAATGCCTTTTGCCTCAGCCTCCCAAAGTGCTGAGATTACAGGCATGAGCCACTGCACTTGGCCAACAATTTCCATTTTACTCCATAATTTCCAAAATTATTATGTGCAATGATTATGTAAAAGTAAAAGTCTTTATTATAATTAAGACTAGGCAGGGCATGGTGGCTCACGCCTGTAATCCCAGCACTTTGGGAGGGTGAGGCAGGCGGATCATGAGGTCAGAAGTTCGAGACCAGCCTGACCAACATGGGAAACCCCGTCTTTACTAAAAATAAAAAAATCAGCTGGGTGTGGTGGCGGGCACCTGTAATCCCAGCTACTGGGGAGGCTGAGGCAGTAGAATCGTTTGGACCCGGGAGGCCGAGGTTGCGGTGAGCCAAGATTGCACCATTGCTCTCTAGCCTGAGTGACAAGAGCGAAACTCCACCTCAAAAAAAAAAAAACACAAAAACAAAAAACTGAAACTGGAATAAAGATGTTCTGTCACTGGTTATTTAAGCAAAAGCTGGTAGTTACTTCTTAGGAATCTTAGATGGGTTGAGAGTTATACTTGGGGTAAGGAGTTAGACCAGGCTCCAGCTGAGAATTTTCCAGCTTTGTAATTTTATGAATCTGTAAGTAGGTAACTTTTATAGAACATAAAAGGGTCTTCTGCTAGGAACAAACAAAACACAAAATCAAAAACACTTTTCCTTGTGTTAAGTGCATTTGTAAGCAGCTGGTTGAAATTCTTTTTTTTTTTTTTTGAGACAGAGTCCTGCTCTGTCACCCAGGCTGGAGTGCAGTGGTGTGATCTTGGCTCACTGCAAGCTCCTTCTCCAGGTTCACGCCATTCTCCTGCCTCAGCCTCCTGAGTAGCTGGGACTCCAGGCGTCCGCCACCACGCCCAGCTTATTTTTTATATTTTTAATTAGAGACGGGGTTTCACCATGTTAGCCAGGATGGTCTCGATCTCCTGACCTTGTGATCCGCCCTCCTCATTGTCCCCTGCAATATTTTAAGAAAATAAAAATGAGAACAAAAATCAACGAAATGTGTAATGAAAACAATAGTGTTTCCTTCAAAATGAAAAATATTTATATAATTGATAAAACTGTACCTGGATTCAACAAGGAAAAAAAGACAGAAATCACCAATATCAGGAATAAAAGAGGTGACATCAGTAAAGATCCTAAGTATAAGCATTAAAGAATAATAGAATAAGAAAGGAATTTTATGGGAAACTTCATGTCAGTAAATTTGACACCTTAGATGATATTAACAAATTATTATTATTATTATTATTATTATTATTATTATTATTATTATTTTGAGATGGAGTCTTGCTCTGTCGCCCAGGCTGGGGTGCAGTGGCATGATCTTGGCTCACTGCAACCTCCACCTCCTGGGTTCAAGCGATTCTCCTGCCTCACCCTTCCAAGTAGCTGGGACTACAAGTGGGTGACCCCATGCCTGGCTAATTTTTGTATTTTTAGTAGAGAAGGAGTTTCACCATGTTGGCCAGGCTGGTCTTGAACTCCTGACCTCAGGTGATCCGCCCACCTCGGCCTCCCAAAGTGCTGGGATTACAGGTGTGAGCTGCCGTGCCTGGCCAAAATGAACAAATTCTTTGAAACACATTACTTACCAAAACTAACACAAGAAATAGAAAATATGAATACTCCTATATTTATTAAAGAAATTGCATTTGCAATTGAAAATTTTACCCTCAAAACAAATAAAACTCTCCAAAAAGTCACATTAGGTTAAAGCTGTTCAAATAAAATTTTGTTTTTAATTCATTCCTCCTTCTATCACTCTCAAATTTAGCAATTGTATTCCTCAATGTTAGATTTTATAAGTAAGACTCTACTACATTCCTCAGTTCTATTTCACAATGGCTTATTCTGCTTACATAGTCATTTGGTCTGCCTCTGTTCATATTTTGGCATGTATTTTAATTCGGGCCCAGTTTTTAAAAATAAACTTAAAAAAATTGATATGACAGCCCATCAGAAAACTACACAGGCCCTAAGTGCACAGTTTGATGAGTTTTCACAAAACAGGTACAAACTCTTGTAAACAGCATGTAGATCAGAGATAGAACACTACCAGCACCTCAGAAGCCCACCTCATGTTCTCTCTCAATCACCAAACCCTTTCCAAATCTCCCCAAAGTTAACTACTCTTCTTATTTCTAATACCATAGATGAGTTTTGCCTAATTTTAAACCTTGTATAAATGAAATCACACAGTATACGCTCTTTTGTATTTGGCTTCTTCCTTTCAAAATTGTGTTAAAGGACTGGGCGCAGTGGCTCACACCTATAATTCTGGTACTTTGGGAGGCTGAGGCAGGTGGATGGCATGAGTCCAGGAGTTTGAGACCAGCCTGGGCAACATGGTGAAACCCCATCTCTACAAAAATTACAAAAATTAGCTGGATGCGGTGGCGCATGCCTGTAGTCCTGGCTACTAGTGAGGCTGAGGTGGGAGGATCACTTGAGCACAGGAGGTCGAGACGCAGTGAGCTGAGCTGGCACCACTGCATTCTAGCCTGGGTTATGGAGCAAGACCTTGTCTCTGTTAATGACATCTATTATTACTGTATCGATTTTATTGCATGAATACATTATAATTTATTTATTCTATTTATTAGACCAAATTTTTACAGTGAAATGGATGTATTTTAGAATGCTCACTGCATTTTTCCTGTGTCCTTTATTGTAGCATTTTAAGGTGAAAAACCTAATAAATTGATGGCATGCACACAGGGCATGATGGCATTTCCCCATGTGAAAACACAGGTTTATTTGAGCAGTGGTGATTTCTTCGTCCTCCCCTGCAGGTTGTTACAAGTAGGTCTTGAGGAATAGGTATACAGATACTATGCAGTTTGTTACCATTTGCCTGAAGATCTTTAGCATGGCATAAAAATACATATATTTTAAAAAAATTTTTTTGAGATGGAGTTTCACACTTGTTGCCTAGGGTGGAGTGCAATGGCGTGATCTCAGCTCACTGCAACCTCCGACTCCTGGGTTCAAGCGATTCTCCCGCCTCAGCCTCCAGAGTGGTTGGGATTACAGGTATGTGCCACCACGCCCAGCTAATTTTGTATTTTTAGAAGAGATGAGGTTTCTCCATGTTTGTCAGGTTGGTTTCAAACTCCTGACCTCAGCTGATCCGCCCGCCTCAGCCTTCCAAAGTTCTGGGATTACAGGCGTGAGCCACCACGCCTGGCCTTTTGTTTTAACTATCATAAAATTGGTATATTTGAGAAATGGGAGCCTTTGGATCATAACATTTCAGATAGATGGTTCTTTAGATAATATAAATTGTTACATTATTTTGTGAAGATAATTGAATGGTTTACCAATAATTATCAAAAATTCTTAAAAAAAACCCCCACATTCTTGTGACTAGTAAATATCCCTGTAAGAGAGACAGTACAGTCCAGGTTCAAATCCATGCTTTCCTGCTTACTGGCTGTGTGACCTTGAGCAAATTCATTATTTTTCTCCACTATATTTCATCATTTGTACTTACCTCTTAGTGTTATTTTGATGACTAATTAATAAAGCTATTATTAAAAAAAATAAGGAATCAGCTGGGCATGGTGGCTCACACCTGTAATCCCAGCAATTTGGGAGGCCAAGGTGGGTGGATCACCTGAGGTCAGGAGTTCAAGACCAGCCTAGCCAACATAGTGAAACCCCGTCTCTACTGAAAATACGAAAATTAGCAGAGCATGGTGGTGCCCACCTGTAATCTCAGCTACTCGGGAGGCTGAGGCAGGAGAATCCAGGATGATTCTGTTGAACCCAGGAGGCAGAGGTTGCACTGAGCCAAGGTCACACCACTGCACTCCAGCCTGGGTTCCAGAACAAGACTGTCTCAAACAAACAAACAAACAAACAAACAAACAAAACCATATATATATATGTATATGGAATCTCGACAAAGATTTATGTTTGAAGATACTTGTTTCTAAGGTATTCATAATAGTGAAAATTTGAAACCAACCTGGAATTTGAATCCAATCCTGGAAAAGTGAGAAAATAAGTAGGAGTTTACTATTTATATAGTGAGATGTTAACAACAAAACAACATTGCCAATGAATTTATAAAAATTGTGGAGCCTGGGCATGGTGGTTCATGTCTATAATCCCAGCACTTTGGGAGGCCGAGGCAGGTGGATCACGAGATCAGGAGTTCAAAAACAGTCTGGCCAAGGTGGTGAAATCCCGTCTCTACTAAAAATACAAAAATTAGCTGGGCGTGGTGGTGGGTGCCTGTAATCCCAGCTACTCAGGAGGCTGAGGCAGGAGAATTGCTTGACCCCAGGAGGCAGAGGTTGCAGTGAGCTGAGATAGCACCACTGTACTCCAGCCTGGGTGACAGAGCAAGACTCTGTCTCAAAAAAAAAAAAAAAAAAAAAGATTGTATACAGTTTGATCACAATTATATAAATTATATAAAAACATTCATAGCAAAAAGATTTGGAGTATATACATAAAAATGTTACCTCTGAGTGGTGATATTCTGTTGTGGATTTAATTTTTTTATTATTACTATTATTATTTTATATTTTCCAGAATTAACCAAACTTCTTTCCTCCTTTCCTTGCTCTTCTCTTTCTCTCTCTCTCTTTCTGACTTTTTTTTGTAGAAATAGGGTCTTGCTCTGTTGCTCAGGCTGTCCTCATACTCCTTGCCTCAAGTGGTCCTGCCACCTAGGCCTGCCAAAGTGCTGAGATTATAGATATGAGTCACTGTGCTCAGCTCAGAATTAAGTTTCCGGAGCATTATCTTTCTAATCAGAAGAGAACACAAAACAAAAATTAAATCATCACTAAATATTATTTAAGGGAAAAGCAGGGCCCTTAGTTGTGAGCCAGCCTGACCTCTGGTGAGGCTGAGAAGCCTGAACCTTCTAACCATAGCTGTCCTCTTGGCCTGTTTTTCTATGGATGCATTATGTTAGTGAGTGCACTTCAGCAACTGTTTGCCAAGTTCTGGATTTTTTAATAATTCCACTTCATTCTTTTTTATATGAGAAGGTAGTGACCGTCCTGGAAATATATGTCATTTCAGCACTCCAGTTGGCTCTGGATCCTGAATTGTTGCAGCCTGTTTGCCTGGTAATCTCCTTGTCTGTGTAAGTTGTTAGGGGCAACCAAAGGCAGCTGATCACTTAATTGTTGAAGGCCAGAAACCTGGCTCTTTCATTAGTTCCCATCATGTTCTTGAGAGCAGCCAGTGTTCGGCCTCGCCAGGTTTTCCATCCTTTCTAATTGAAATGGTATACTTTTCTTTGGTGTACTCACTGAGACTTTAGCCTGATGAGTGGTATACAGAAACAGCTGCATACTAAAACAAATTAAAAATTTTCTATTGTTGATCATAGATAATCTATTTAAGGCAGATAAATGAAACCATCTTGGTGTGAATGACATACAATACAGTGTTTTTGTTTGTTTTTTGGGTTTTTTGTTGTTTGTTTTGTTTGCTTGTTTGTTTGTTTTTGAGACAGAGTCTCGCTCTGTCGCCTAGGCTGGAGTGCAGTGGCGTGATCTTGGCTCACTGCAAGCTCCGCCTCCCGGGTTCACACCATTCTCCTGCCTCAGCCTCCCGAGTAGCTGGGACTGCAGGCGCCCACCACCATGCCTGGCTAATTTTTTGTATTTTTAGTAGAGACGGGGTTTCACTGTGTTAGCCAGGATGGTCTCGATCTCCTGACCTTGTGATCCGCCCTCCTCGGCCTCCCAAAGTGCTGGGATTACAGGAGTGAGCCACCACGCCCAGCTTGTTTTTTTGTTTTTGAGACAGAGTCTCGCTCTTTTGCCCAGGCTGGAGTGCAGTGGTGTGACCTCGGCTCACTGCAACCTCCGCCTCCTGGGTTCAAGTGATTCTCCTGCCTCAGCCTCCAGAGTAGCTGGGACTACAGGTGCCCACCACCATGCCCAGCTAATTTTTTTTTGTATTTTTAGTAGAGACAGGGTTTCACCATATTGGTCAGGCTGGTCTCGAACTCCTAACCTCGTGATTTGCCTGCCTCGGCCTCCCAAAGTGCTGGGATTACAGGCGTGAGCCACTGCGCCCGGCCCAGTTTTTTCTTTGCTTAAAATTGGCATCACACTGTTCCATGTTTTCTTTTTCATTTTTGTTAGGTTACTGATTGAGAATCCTCAAATACATGGAAATTGTGGGTACCTTGTCTTTTTTTTTTGCAAGACGGAGTTTCACTCTTGTTGCCCAGGCTAGAGAGCAGTGGCATGATCTCAGCTCACTGCAACCTCTGCCTCATGAGTTCAAGTGATTCTCCTGCCTCAGCCTCCCTTGTCTTCATATCAAGCAGTGTTGACTTCCAATGAGTCTGTTTCCTTATGTAGTCTAGAGTATTGGTATTTTATGGGCAAGTGTAGTTAAATCAAATGTCCAAATCCAGTTATTTAAATGGGCAGTAGCGTTTTGAGGAGCTTAATTTGCCTTAAAAAAAAAAAAGATTTCCCTTTCTCTTCCTCCCACCAACCCCATGGATAGTTTTTCTAACACTGAGGCTTTGAGAACCTAGTGCCAAAGCAACCAGTTGGAAAGAGAAACATCCACGTAATGACTGGTTGTTTTGTCTATGCAGTGTGAAACAAGAAGTTGGCATGATTTTATTTTTCACCTAGTTGACAGTTTTGTTTTGTTAGATTTCTTTGGACTGAAATGATTTGTTGATTTGGTATTGTGTAAACCAAGCCCAATTCCACAGTACTTTTGTGACTATTAGGAAAAAAGAAAGAAAGAAAAAAAAAAAGCAGGTGAAGAGTGAAAAGAATAATTAAACTGCTAGCCAGGAGACTTGGTGATTTTGTTCCAGCTTTGTCACCCATCAGTTATGTGACCTCGGGCAGGTCATTTCACCTCCTCGGACCTTCGTGTCCTTAAATGTCCTAAAATGAGGAGTCTGGGCAAGACAAGTCCTTAGGTTCCTGGCAGTTCACCTTTTAATAATTTTTTTGACCTGGAGGCTGCAGAATAGAGCTCTAGTGTAATCCTGAGATCAGTTGGTGACTAACATTTGAGTAGCTCAGGGAGAGAATCACAGGTTTGCAGTTGTTTTTTTAGAACCAGATCAGTTTTTGGCTGAATTCTGACTTTATTTATTTTTATTTATATTTTTATTTTTTGAGGCAGAGTCTCACTCTCTCACCCAGGCTGGAGTGCTGTGGTGCAATCTCGGTTTACTGCAACCTCTGCCTCCTGGGTTCAAGCAATTCTTGTGCCTCAGCCTCCCGAGTGGCTGGGATTAAAGGTGCTTGCCACCACACCCGGCTAATTTTTGTATTTTTAGTAGAGGCGGGGTTTCACCATATTGGCCAGGCTGGTCTCAAACTCATGATCTCAAGTGATCTACCCTCCTTGGCCTCCCAAAGTGCTGGGATTACAACCCGCAATTCTGACTTTAAAAACATTTTTTTCCTATTTTTTATTACAAATGGGTAGATGTTACTTGAAGGAAACTTAGCAAATACAAATCAGCAGAAAGAAGAAAATTTAAACCACCTATAATCCGAGATATAACTGACGTAAACAGTAGGTGTACATACCTCCAGATTTATAAATATCATCTAAATACAGTCAGTTCTGGTAAAATTCTTGTTTTGAAAACATGAAGTTGTTCCAACACTATTGATAATAATAGGGAACAATTTGAGCATAATGTGAATTTTGTTTTGCTTATGCACGATTTCATCCATGGGAAATACTATGCAAACACAGAAAACTTCACCCAACTGAATCGAGCCTCATGGAAATACACATAACTTGCACACGTGTGCATACACACACACACACACACACACTCCTCACAAGGACATTGAGCCACACCTATTGACATGTGGTATTACAACCTTTTGTCTCATTTCAGATAACCTTCCTTCAATCACTTCACAGTAATTGACAGCTCTGCCACCCTTGCTGCCTCTGCCACCCTGGCCCAGCCACACCTTTCCCTGTCTTTAGTTTTCCCCTCTGTCCTCTCAACGTGTTTTATATTGCTCCTTTCTATTTCCTGATCTTTTTTCTATCTTTTGTTCTTATATTTTTAAACTTACTTTAATTTTAGTTTTTTTGAGGCAATATCTTGCTCTGTCACCCAGGATGGAGTGCAGTGGTGCTATCATAGCTCACTGCAGCCTCAAACTCTGCAGCTCAAGCGATCCTCCCATCTCAGCCTCTCCAGTAGCTAGGACTACAGGTGTCTCACCATGCTCAGCTAATTTTTTTATTTTTAAATTTTTTGTAGACACAGGTCTCATTATGTTGCCCAGGCTCATCTCGATTGCCTCAAGCAATCTTCCCTCCTCAGCCTCCCAAAGTGCTGGGATTACAGGTGTGAGCCACTGCACCCAGCCCTTTTCCCTCTCTGTCTCATTATTCTCTTACCCTTTTTCTATCGATTATTTTTTTCCATTCCCATACAAGGTGATGGGTGTGGGAACCTGGTGGGCAGCCTAGTAGACAGGGAGATGCTGGCTTCCACAAGCAAACTGCAGATTTTTTTTTTTTTTCTCAAGGTAAAGTGCTCTACAGTAAGTCCTCATTAATGTCATGCATAGGCTCTTGGAAACTACCAATTGAAACAAAACGAAGTATAACAAAACCTATTAATATAAACAAGAGTTAAGTTCCCACATCAGGTTTCTGGTCACAAAAACGTCATCAAACTTCTACATAAAGACACTAAACACTTCTAATACTCAACATTGAATTGAAATAAATATGAGCTATACACATATTTAAGAAAGATTAATCAAAACAAGTGAGATAATTATTTACCAAGTTTTTAGTCAATCGGTGTGTGAGGGTGGTCATAGAGGTGGTGTGTTAAATCAAGGAATAAATATTTGCAAAGCAAAAATTGTCAGAAACACCTCCTACCACCAGGCAGTTCAAAAACAAACAATAAGAAATATGGGGGTGCTCACTGAGCACTTTTGTGCTGCCCCATTTATGATTGTGCATGTGTATGATTATCATATACTTTATGAAATTTTATTTGACAATAATTTGTATTTACTCATTCATTTATTTTCCCACCCATTTATTCCAGTTCAGGGTGGCAGGTGGCTGAAGCCTAACCCAGGAGCTCAGGGTGCAAGGTGGGAACCAATGCTAGGCAGGATGCCATTCCATTGCAGGGCACTCACACACACTCCCACACTCACGCAGACTGGGACAATTTAGACACGCCAATAAAACTAACATGCACATCTTTGGGATGTGGGAGGAAATCAGAATATCCAGAGACAACCCAGGTAGACTTGGGGAGAATGTGCAGACTCCACACTGATGGTGGTTCCAGCTGGAAATCCATTTTTTCTCTTTAAAATTATAATAAAAAGACATTGATCCAAATGTCATTTGAAAACCTGCTGTATTTATAAAGTGCACATTTAACTTGTGTAAAACTATGCTGTTGTTTTAATTCAGCTCTTTTTTTTTTAATGCATCACTGACAAAATTTTTGAGTGTTATGCCCCAAACCCATACATAGTCATACATGGGTACGTCTATGCCCATTTAATTTTGACTGAATTTGCCAACGTCCCAGGCCACAGACCACTGAACGCAAGCTAGACTTGCAAAGGTGGAGATCAAGTTAAAGTTATCCCAACTTTTCAGAAATATTTAGAGCTTCTTTATTCTGATGTTTAAAATTACTTTGAGATACATTTATTGATGTACTCGTAAATTCATAGCAGAAGGTGAAATCTCGTTTTGTCTTCTGAGAGGGAAACTCTAGAAAGTAGGGATCACAAATCTCTATATGACTCAACAGTTCAAGGCTTCTTAAAAAATAAAGGATGTACCTTTAAATAGTGTTGTGGTCAAGCACACTGAGTTACAAGTTTAAAGTTTTTCTTTCATAAAATCACAGCCTGGAGGAAGTAGACCACTTAGGAAACAGTTTAGCCTCTTATAATAAAAATGTAAGGAAATTGCTCTCCTGGCCCTCCTGGTCTTCCTCCTGGCCTTCCCTTTACCTAACCTCTTCTCTTCCCCTCCTAATTAGATGGACCACCTGAGTACATAATCTTAGAGAGTCTTTTCTAACAAGCCCTAGTCTCTCCAAGAACTGAGAGGAGTGTGACAAAGCTGGAAGGGAGTTATAGAAACAAAGCTGGTCTTCTGCCTCTCCTGTTTTTTCATTGTTTACCTTAATTAACCAATATTTGAGTTTAAAATCTTTTCTAATTTCTTTTAGATGCTTTCTGGTTGCTCTTATTTTATAACATATTGAATAATTTTTTGTAATGGTATGGAACAGAATATATTTCTTAAATCATATCCATCTGAGAATCTCTAGAAATTCTACATGTATGACTTCACAAAACTTCCCAGTGTTTCTGGGCTTTCTTAACTTTTAGGCATTCTAAAGTGAAGCCATTTATTTCACTGTCAGGAAACAAACTGAAAATGAATAGTTTCACTACAAATCGGTGCATACTTAATCAGAATACCATGCAACTGAAAACAAGAATGAAGAGGTTCTTTTTGTACCAATATGGAACGATTATAAGATACATTTAATGAGTGAAAAAAGACAAGGTTTAGAATAGGGTGCCTAGGATGTTCTGTTTTATGTAAAAAGAGGAAGAACAGGGCCATGTGCAGTGGCTCACACCTGTAATCTCCGCATTTTGTGAGGCCAAAGTGGGAGGATTGCTTGAGTCCAGAAGTTCGAGACCAGCCTGGGCAATACAGCCAGACCCCATCTCAACAAAAAATAAAAATAAAAATAATTAGCTGGGCATACTGACATAACCCTGTAGTCCCAGCTAGTCAGGACGCTGAGTTGGAAGGATTACTTTAGCCCAGGAATTTGAGGTTACAGTGAACTATGATTCCACCACTGCACTCCAGTCTGGGTGACAGAGTGGGACCCTGACTCAAAAAAAAAAAAAAAGGAAAAGAAAAAAATGTAAATATATATTTGTATTTGCCTGTTTTTGCATATATTCTAGAAGGACATACAAGAAACTAAACACAGTAGTAATCTGTTTGGATAGGAAGAAGGGAACTGGGCAGATTGCCGACAAAGATAGAAGCAAAATTTTTACCTTGTATCTTGTTTGTTTGTTTTAAACATGTGAATGTATTTTCTTCATAAATATTAATAACAATATTTTAAAAGAGTTGCATTTGTATTCAGGAAACAGAATCATGACATATTAATAGCATATGATAGAGCCCAGTCCCTGATAGCGAGAAGGCACTTTCTTACAGGTTTATATTTTATTCATAATTCTGGGATTCTTCCCACTATTGAGATGTGTGATGGGCTTGACTTTGGGTCTTGGCTGCTCTTCTTAGTTGGAGGGTATCCCTGGAGAGGAGGAAGGGAACCTTTTCCTTTCCCCCAGGCAGACCCTCCTCTGTTTCCCTCACATTCTTTAGCTGTCTGGATCATGCTGGAACTGGCACTGCAGACGCTGGCAGGCAAGGGGAGGAGGCAGCCACGAGTTCTGGCACTGTCCCCAAGGTGAGCTGTCTCTGACTGTAGGTATCACTGAGAAAGCACTTTGAGGAGCTGGCAAAACCAACCCCTTGCTTTATTTTGTGGGATGATGAAGATGCTAACACTGGGGCAGTTGAAAACAAAGCATATGCTCAGAGGACAATGCTATTAACGATCCTTCGCCTGGTTCAAAATTTGCCAATATTCCAAATACCTGAGAATAGTTCAGCAGCACATATCTAATTGGAAGTAATTTATTCTGTTAATATTTTGGTTTTCTGCTGGCAGAAACTCTGGGCATATGGCATTTTAAGATGTGAAGAAGGAACCCATTATGGTTGACAATAAGAAATGCACATTCATTGTTATGTTTAACATCTTGGCTTGAAGATGGAATTCTAAGTCATGAATCCCAGTGGCTTTCTAGCTGTGTGCAAGTTAAAGTACATTTCCTGAAGACTGCTGTATTTATTCCAATAATGATGATTCCGGGAGCCACCCTGGGCCTTGGCTTTGTGACAGTGATAAGAATCATCTGGGATGCTTGCTAAAAATACAGATTCCTGGACTCTACCTAAGCCTTGCCTGGAAATCTGCTTTGTAAAAATGGTCTCAGATAATGCTTATCTGTCAAGTTTGGGAAACATTGTGTTTTAGAATCTTGAGAGGAAAGTGATATTTCACTGAGTTATCCTATCTTTAGGCTGACCTCTTCCACCTGGAATGACAAATGTCAGTCTCCAGAAAGACAAGGATCTCCATGTCTGGGATGTCATTCGGTATTAAACCTGAGAGAGAACCTTCGTGGTCTTCACTTGGCTTTTACTAGTGACTCACATGCTTAGAATATTTGGCTTTTCTTTTCTTCTTAGGACAAGGGAAATCAAATGTCTGCTGTTTCTGCACAGAAGTTTTCATTTTAATTGCAGAGTTCAGAAATCTGAACATATGTAACATTTGATGTTAAAATGAGTAGAGGCATCTGGTAACAGCTACATAATTCAATTACCTTACAATTTCACAATTCACCACACTCTATTTCCTCTATCAGATGCATACGGGCTTCTAAAGGGGAAAGACTAGGTTACAAGCAGAATGTATTTATTGGTACCCCTACTGGGCACAACAAAATACCCTTCCTACACAAAATGTACTCTCATTGACTGTAAAGTAAAAACCCCCAAATACAAGGTTCTAGTTGATGAAGTTTAGAAATTAAAGTTGGCTTCTTCTGTTCTTATGCAGAAAGAGATAAAAGTTAAATGAATCCTTCTCTGGGGTTCTCCTAGCAGTAGACAGAGTCTTTTTCTGTTGCCCCAGCTGGAGTGCAGTGAGGCGATCTCAGCTCACTGCAACCTCTGCCTCCCGGGTTCAAGCTATTCTCCTGCCTCAGCTTCCCAAGTAGCTGCGATTGCAGGTGCCCACCACCATGCCTGGCTAATTTTTGTATTTTTAGTAAAGACGAGGTTTTACCATGTTGGTCAGGCTTGTCTCAATCTCCTGAGCTCAAGTGATCCACCCACCTCACCCTCCCAAAAAAAAGTACCCAGGCATGCTCGTGCATGCCTGTAATCCCAGCCCTGTGTGCCTGTAGTCCCAGCTGCTTAGGTGGCTGAGGTGGGAGTATGGCTTGAGCCCTGGAAATGAAGGCTGCAGTGAGCTGTGATCATACCACTACACTCCAGCCTGGGAGACAGAGAGAGCTCCTGTCTCTAAAAAAACAAACAAAATCACATGTACTCCATAGATATGTATAAATATTATATACCAATCAATAAAATCTAAAATAAATCAAAAATGAAGTAGATTCATTTGTTGACACAGTCATGAGTTCTGTTGGTGAGGTTTTTAAAGCTACTACTAAGTTACGGGCACGGTGGCTCACGCCTGTAATCCCAGCACTTTGGGAGGCTGAGGCGGGCAGATCAGGAGTTCGAGACCAGCCTCAACATGGAGAAACCCAGTCTCTACTAAAAATACAAAATTAGCCAGGCATGGTGGCACATGCCTGTAATCCCAGCTACTCGGGAGACTGAGGCAGAATTACTTGAACCTGGGAGGCGGAGGTTGGGGTGAGCCGAGATCGCGCCATTGCACTCCAGCCTGGGCAACAAGAGTGAAACTCTGTCTAAGAAAAAAAAAAAAAAATCAAACTTTTCCTTCTTCTAGTCCTAGAAGGAAGGAAGGGGAAGAGAAGAGAGGAGGAGAGCTAGGAGAGGAAGGGAGGGGAGAGAAGAGAGGAAATTCATCTGTGAATATAGGGGTGGTTGCAAGTTTTATAGGTCCTCAGTCTTTTTTTGGACGGGGCAGGGGGGGCGGATGGAGTTTTGCTCTTTTTGCCCCGGCTGGAGTGACATGGTGCAATCTCGGCTTGCTGTAAGCTCCGCTTCCCAGGTTCAGGCAATTCTCCTGCTTTGGCCTCCCGAGTAGCTGGGATTACAGACATGCACCACCACGCCTGGCTAATTTTTGTATTTTTAGTAGAGATAGGGTTTCACCATGTTGGCCAGGCTAGTCTTGAACTCCTGACCTCAGGTAATCCACCCACCTCAGCCTCCCAAAGTGCTGGGATTAGAGGCATGAGCCACCATGCCCTGCTGGGCCTCAGTCTTACTGCCTTCTTTAAGGAAAAGAATGCAAAAATATCTCACTTTTGCAAATTTTATACAATTGTATGAACATATGAACCCATTGCTATGGTTCTCCCAGGATCTTGGAACAGCCCGTACTCTGAAGCTGTGGCTTCATCAGTTGTACTGTAAGCAGCTTCTGCCTGCACACCCCTTTTTGTCTTCTGAATTTGAACACTATCAATTCTATTTCCTATCCTTAAGGATTATGCGTTTCTGAGTGACTAAACGAGTGAAAGTATTCCCATGACCAGGTAAAGGATATTCTGAGAGATGCGTATATGAATTCTCAGACGAGTCTTCTGGGGCACTAAAATGGGCTCCAGGATAAGTCAGCTTCTACCATTTTTCTCATCTTCCTAGGACTTTGCAATTGGATGTGTTTCCTCAGCGTCGGTATTTCTTTTTGGTAGGGCAGAAAGAGCCCAGGGTAGGGGCTCAGGAGGGATGAGTTCTAGTCCCAAGTTCACAAACATAGAGTGGGTTAGAGTGAAAGAAGCAATAGTCGAACTGTATAATTCCCCAGGAAAGGCTGAGGCCTGGAGAGGTGTGGCCACTGACCCAGTGTGGCATAGTTAGTTCTTTGTAGAGTACAGACTCCCTGTCCAGTGCTCTTTCCTTCTTAAACTACGCTTCCTCCAGCTGTGCATTTTTGGGGAAATGACTTTTGACTCTTGTCGTCCTGGTCCTTGGTTTACTTATTTGTACAAGAAAGGAATAGAACCAGATAACCTGTAAATTCCTTTCAGTTGTATGTATTTTCTAATTTTTTTTTGACTCTCCAGTTGTTTTTTTTTTTTTCTTTTTCTTTTTTTTCCTTCCTGATGGAAATTCAGTTCCTGGATAGCCAAGGTTTTATGTCTAGCCCTAGTGTCCAGCACAGGGTTTGCTGCTGCTTTGGAATGGAGATTTCACATCTTAACTTTTCAAGGCAGGGCAGTGAGCAACATGGCTTTACCCTGGCTGATCATTGACTTCCAGAAGTTTGTTAATTTGATAGTTTTCAGAGAAGCACAGAACCAGAAGGCCTCTGACAGGGCACTCGAGGATTCGCTTCATTGCACAAATGAAGAAACAGAGGCCCAGGGACCCTCCTGGGACTGCTTTACAAACATTAATCATAAAAACATTGGAACTCAGGTCCCTGATGCTTTTCCCACTACATTATTCTCAGCCTTTGAGTTGCTTAAATAGTTAATACTAGTCCATAAGCACCCAAGTTAAGTTGTAATTAAACTGCTTCTGAAAGACCCAGGTTATCTTGCCCAAAGAACAGACTAAAGTAAGGATTCTACTTGGGATTCATGTTATTCTTGTTTCTTTAAAGTGAAAGTCTCTATTGTTTATATATTGAAATTAAAATGTGACTTAGCCTAAGGCCGGGCGCGGTGGCTCACGCCTGTAATCCCAGTACTTTGGGATGCCGAGGCGGGCGGACCACGAGGTCAGGAGATCGAGACCATCCTGGCTAACACGGTGAAACCCCTGTCTCTACTGAAAATACAAAATAAATAAAAAAAATTTAAAAAATTAGCTGGGCATGGTGGCGAGTGCCTGTAGGCCCAACTACTCGGGAGGCTGAGGCAGGAGAATGGCATGAACCCAGGAGGTGGAGCTTGCAGTGAGCCGAGATTGTGCCACTGCACTCCAGCCTGGGCGACAGGGCAAGATTCTGTTTCAAAAAAAATAAAAAAATAAAAAAGTGACTTAGCCTATTAACACATTTTCTTTCTTTTTTCTTTTTTCTTTTTTCTTTTTTTTGAGATGGAGTTTGGCTCTCGTTGCCCAGGCTGGAGTGCAATGGCGCAATCTCGGCTCACCGCAACCTCCGCCTCCCAGGTTCAAGCGTTTCTCCTGCCTCAGCCTCCCTAGTAGCTGGGATTATAGGCGTGCGCCACCACACTTGGCTAATTTTGTATTTTTAGTAGAGATGGGTTTCTCCACGTTGGTCAGGCTGGTCTCGAACTCCCGACCTCAGGTGATCTGCCTGCCACGGCCTCCCAAAGTGCTGGGATTACAGGCATGAGCCACTGCACCCAGCCCACATTTTCTTTTTCTTTTTTTTCTTTCTTTTTTTTTTTTTTTTGAGATGGAGTTTTGCTCTTGTTGCCCAGGCTGGAGTGCAATGGCACAATCTCGGCTCACCGCAACCTCCGCCTCCCAGGTTCAAGCGTTTCTCCTGCCTCAGCCTCCCTAGTAGCTGGGATTACAGGCATGTGCCACCATGCTCGGCTAATTTAATATTTTTGGTAGAGACGGGTTTTTCCATGTTGGTCAGGCTAGTCTCAAACTCCCGACCTCAGGTGATCCGCCCGCCTCAGCCTCCCAAAGTGCTGGGATTACAGGTGTAAGCCACCGTGCCCGGCCATCACATTTTCTTATATTGTTCTCAGGTCTGTAATTCTTTCTGGCCACTGTCATAAATATAAGGGACAACAGTTATTTTAATTTTGCTTCTAGAACCTTTTCCTACCTTTAGAAGATCACAGGTAAGTTAAGTCCTCCCTCTGTGAATTCTTCCACCAAATTATCTTCCTCCTCCTCTTCTTTATTATTATTATTATTATTATTATTATTATTATTATTATTTTGTGATGGAGTCTTGCTATCTTGGCCAGGCTGGAGTGCAGTGGCACGATCTCGGCTCACTGCAACCTCCACCTCCTGGGTTTAAGAGATCTCTGGCTAATTTTTTTATTTTTAGTAGACGGCATTTCACC
This sequence comes from Homo sapiens, assembly GCF_000001405.40. Classification (NCBI taxonomy): domain Eukaryota; kingdom Metazoa; phylum Chordata; class Mammalia; order Primates; family Hominidae; genus Homo; species Homo sapiens. The sequence continues at coordinate 181,892,211 of NC_000003.12, forward strand.
ATGTTGGCCAGGCTGGTCTCGAACTCCTGACCTCAAGTGATCCACTCTCCCCGGCCTCCCAGAGTGCTGGGATTACAGGCATGAGCCACTGCGCCCGGCCCTCTTCTTTAAAAAAAGTACATTTGTTTTTTTTTTTTGAGACAGGGTCTCACTTTATTGCCCAGGCTGGAGTGCAGTGGTGGATCATAGCCCACTGCAGTTACTAACTCCTAGGCTCAAGCCATCCTCCCACCTCAAAGTAGTTGGGACTACAGGTAATGCCACCATGCCCAACTAATTTTTAAATTTTGTGTGTGGGGCGGAGGCTGGGAAGTCTTATTATGTGGCCCAGGCTGGTCTTGAATTCATGGCCTCAAGTGATCCTTCAGCCTCAGCCTCCCAAAGTGTTGGAATTACAGGTGTGAGCCACTGTGCCTGCCCAGAAACTAGATTTCTTTCTTTGGAAGCCATCTTTGACAAAACACAAATCCTTTTGCCTTCCTGCTCTCACATTGTGCAGACTTTTGGCTGGCCCATCATTACCACAAACTACCTTATTTAAACCTCCGGGGCTCCTCTTTGAAGTGGACACAATTTCTTCATTTGTTGAAATGGGAGAATTGTGATTTTCCCACAGTTCTACAGGTAGTTGGTGGCAAGATCTGAATTTTAATCTAGGTTTTCTGAGTCAAATTCTGATATTCTTTTTGCTACCTCTTAGCTACCTGCAGATAAAATGTGAGGAATGCCACTAAGGCTTTTGAGACACCGTATGTGGGAATGTAGAGGAGGAAGAGGGTTCTTCTATTAGCTGAGGTCAGAGAAAGCTTAAGGCAAAGGCAGTATTTGAGTCTGAGCTGAGGCAAGGTAGGGGGTTCTGGGCAAACACGAGGAGTCTGTGTGTGCATCAGGGAAGTATGGCCCATGTCTGAGGGTGGAGTGTGGGCTAGTGATTATCATCAGCCGTGCCAGCACTGGCTGGGTTTGGGAGCCACTGAGTTGTGCCTGTTGGTTCCCTCGTTTATCACTGTGAGGACAAATGGCCTTTGCCACCAGCTCCTCTTGCCCTTTCTTTATCTATACATAATTATTCTCCTGTTCTTCTATGTTTGCATATCTGTTTTCTCCTCCTTTTGTAGAAATAGTCCTCATAAAGCATATACCATGAAGGTAAAGGTAATACTTATGTAACCTGAAAAGCAAAATTCCACCATTTAGCAGCCAGTCTTGGTCTACTCGTTAGGAACTCTTTTAATGAACAAGAACATTTTCTCCTCATTATCACCTCCTTAAGTTGAATAGAAGTAGGAGGCCTAGACTTGGCCTTGGGGGTTTTTCAAGGTGATAATGAGATGGCATTCTGTCCAACTTCTGCCTTATTTTAGTTCCTGGTTTATTTGCTTTATTATCTCTACTAGATTTTAAGTTGTTTTTGCAGGGACAGTGTCATTTTCAGAGTTGAATTCCTCACTGTGTCAACCAAGGTCATGCCTGTCATATAGTAGGTGTTCAGGTAGCCAGAGATTCAGAGTGGGGTTTCCAAAATTTCTCTAATGATAGAACCAAAGGGGTGAAAAAAAAATTAAGAGATTATTCTAGCTCTGGGCAGCAATAACTCCTAATTCATACAAGACTAATTTCTATATCTTGATAATGGAGAGCTTTCCTTCTAGGGCCAGAAATATTTCTGTGTACTCTACCAGGACACTCTTTGGGGGATCTAGGTATTAATCAGAACATTGCTCGGTAAATGTAGAATCTGAGCAGTACATGGTTGAGAGTTGCAAAGGTTATTTAACTTTTTTTTTTTTTTCTTTTTTGAGATGGAGTCTCACTCTTTTGCCCAGGCTGGAGTGCGATGGTACGATCTCGTCTCACTGCAACTTCTGCCTCCCAGGTCCAAGCGATTCTCCCACCTCAGCCTCCTGAGTAGCTGGGATTACAGGCATCCACCCTCATGCCTGGCTAATTTTTGTATTTTTGTAGAGATGGTTTTCACTATGTTGACCAGGCTGGTCCTGAACTCCTGACCTTAGGTGATCCACCCACCTGGGCCTCCCAAAGTGCTGGGATTACAGGAATGAGCCACCGCACCCAGCCTTAATCTAAACTTTGATGAAGTTTGAAAAAGCTCTTTTTGCCCCCAGCAAAAAGTACACCCCTTTAGGAACAGGCATGCTCTTGACTACCACATTTACTCCCTCTCAGCCCCAGGCCTGCTTTATTCTCAGACCATAGAAAACTTTCTAGGAGCTTGATGCCAAAAGCTTCAAGTGCAATCAATTCTGGGAATGCCATCCATTTACTTACTACATCTAATACATAGGATTATGTGTTTTTAAAATTTTTTACTCTGAGGCAAATATTATTTCTGTCTGGACTGCTGTGTAGTGTCCAATTATGTGAGCATGAATGGATTTAAACAGAGAAGGCAGGTGAGGTCCATTTGCACCATATCTTATTTAATCTTTTTAAAAATTTTAATATTTATTTTTTTATAGAGATGGGGTTTTGCCATGTTGCCCAGCCTGGTCCCGAACTCCTGACCTCAAGTGATCCTCCCACCTCAGCCTCCCAAAGTGCTGGGATTACAGGTGTGAGCCACCACGCCAGGCCAAAGCCCATATTCTTTACCCTACATTATAGTGCCTCCCCATGGACACTCAAGGTTCTCCCTAGCTTCACTCCCATCCTCAAAACAGTCTCATCTCTCTCCATTCACAGCTCCTTTTAGGAATGCCAAACAGCTTTTAGCTCCCTGTATGTGCCAAGCTATGTCTGATCTATAGGCAAAATGATACGATTGTTCTTTACCTGTTTGGCTGAGATCTGAGTATCCAAGACCAGGAAGTAACAATGTTACAATGGGACAGCACAGAATTTATTGTGTGCAGCATATACTACGTAATAGATCTTTAATATAGGTTGTTTTATTTAATGCTCAGAATTATCTCATGCAATATCAATAAGAGGACATGTAGTATAGGGGTTAGGAATTTAGGCTGGCTCACACCTAAAATCCCAGTGTTTTGGGAGATTGAGGCAGGAGGATTCCTTGAGGCCAGGAGTTAGAGACAAGCCTGGTCAAAATAGCGAGACCCCATCTCTACAAAATTTTTTTTTTTTGAGACAGAGTCTTGCTCTGTTGCCCAGGCTGGAGTGCAGTGACACGATCTCAGCTCACTGCAAGCTCCGCCTCCTGGGTTCAAGTGATTCTCCTGTCTCAGCCTCCCGAGTAGCTGGGACTACTGGTGCCCACCACTACGCCTGGCTAATTTTTTGTGTTTTTAGTAGAGACGAGTTTCACCGTGTTAGCCAGGATGGTCTCGATCTCCTGACCTTGTGATTCGCCCGCCTTGGCCTCCCAAAGTGCTGGGATTACAGGCATGAGCCACCGCGCCCGGCCCCCAATTTTTTTTTTTTTTAATTAGCCAAACATGATGGCACATGTCCGTAGTCCCAGCTGTTTGGGGGACTGAAGTGGGAGAATTGCTTGAGCGCAGGAGTTTGTTTCTAGCTGCATGATCTAGAGTAGGCCACTTACCCTTCTTTGCCTTAGTTTGTTTCTCTATAAAATGGGAATGATAATAATTGAACTTGCCGCATTAGATTGCATTGAGGATCAAATGAGCCAGTACAAATAAGACACTTACAACAGTGTCTGGCACGTGTTATACTCTATCCAGAGGTTCTGTTCAAGGGTTAGCTATTATTTTTAATGTTTAATTTTTATTTATTTATTTATTTATTTTTGAGATTGAATCTTGCTCTTTTGCCCAGACTGGAGTGCAATGGCACAATCTCAGCTCACTGCAACCTCTGCCTCCTGGGTTCAAGCAATTCTCATGCCTCAGCCTCCTGGGTAGCTGGGATTACAGGTGCCTGCCACCACACCTGGCTAACTTTTTTTGTATTTTTAGTAGAGATGGGGTTTCACCATGTTGGCTAGGCTGGTCTCAAACTCCAGACCTCAAGTGATCCGCCCCCCTCAGCCTCCCAAAGTGCTGGGATTACAGGCATGAGCCACTGCACCTGGCCAAGGGTTAGCTATTATTAGTGCTTCAAGTTTAGAGATGAGCAATTTGGGTTCTAAGAGATGTTTATACTACTTGTTCAAGGTCACACAATTAACAAATGACGGCACTAATTTTTAAACCCAAGTCTGTCCACTTTCAAAGACCATATTGTTTCCAGTACCTATCACTGCCTTCAGTAGGATAAAGACAGTTAACTTTTCCAAATGAGGGGCCATCTGTTAACACTTGTACTCACAAGAACAAGGCGAAATATTAAGGAGTTAAAGAGAGTAGGTCTTCAGACAAATTCACAAAAAACTGCCTTCAGTTTATGTACTTTTCATAGTCTAGTATCACTTTCTGGGGTCATGGAAGTAGGTGTTTTTCTGCTAGGAGCAATCAAGAGTTGTCAACATGCAAACACCATGTAAAGGTTAGCTGTCATGATTAGAGTGTGCCAATTTTATAGTGGGGAACCTGGGCTTAAAGAAATTAAGTGCAGGTCCCTGAGGGAATACTCTAAAGCGAGACATAAGTGTGTGGCACACACACAGCAAGAAGAGTTTTGGTGGGAGGTAGACTGCATGAATCAATGTACAGCCAAGAGGACTGCTTAGAACTGGCGCCTGACTGCTTAGGTTGCTTGCACTGGAGGAGGGCAAAGAAACTGAGGGCAAGCACAGAGAGTAGGGTGAAGATGTAAAAGGGAAGATAGCAGGCACAGTAAAGGTAAAATAGGAACTTTCACTTCTGGAGAGAGTGTTAATATCCTTTCTGATCAGGACTATGGCATCATATATCAAATACCTGCACCCCCCAACCCCCCCCCCCAAAAAAAGTCTATACTTCTTTGGTTTTTTTTTTGAGACAGTCTCACTCCATCGCCCAAGCTGGAGTACCGTGGCGTGATCTCGGCTCACCGCAACCTCTGCCTCCAGGGTTCAAGCGATTCTCGTGCCTCAGCCTCCTGAGTAGCTGGGATTACAGCCGCTCACCACCACTCCGGGCTAATTGGCCAGGCTGGTCTCGAACTCCTGACTGCAGGGGACCCGCCCGCCTTGGCCTCCCAAAATGCTGGGATTACAGGTGTCAGCCATCGCACCTGGCCCTTTTTACTTTGAATGCTCTCTCTCTTTTTTTTTTTTTTTTTTTTTTGAGACGGAGTCTGGCCCTGTCGCCCAGGCTGGAGTGCAGTGGCACGATCTCGGCTCACTGCAAGCTCCGCCTCCCGGGTTCAGGCCATTCTCCTGCCTCAGCCTCCCGAGTAGCTGGGACTACAGGCGCCTGCAACCACGCCCGGCTAATTTTTTGTATTTTTAGTAGAGACGGGGTTTCACCACGTTAGCCAGGATGGTCTCGATCTCCTGACCTCGTGATCCACCCGCCTCGGCCTCCCAAAGTGCTGGGATTACAGGCGTGAGCCACCGCGCCCGGCCTGAATGCTCTCTCTTAAAGACCTAATACTTACGGCCAAAGATTTGTATTCATCACAATGTTATTTAAAATAGAAAAAATCTGGGCGCTGTGGCTCACACCTGTGATCCCAGCACTTTGGGAGGCCGAGGCGGGTGGATCTTGAGGTCAGGAGATCGAGACCAGCCTGGCCAACACGGTGAAACCCTTTCTCTACTAAAAATACAAAAAATTAGCCGGGCATGGTGGCTGGTGCCTGTAGTCCCAGCTACTCGGGAGGCTGAGGCAGGAGAATGACGTGAACCCAGGAGGCGGAGCTTGCAGTGAGCCGAGATCGGGCCACTGCACTCCAGCTTGGGTGACAGAGCGAGACTCTGTCTCAAAAAAAAAAAAAAAAAGAAAAAAGTTGGAGATGTTTTGTTCCTAATAAACAGATATAATGGAATAGTATGCAGTCATTTATAATGATTTTAGAAGTTTTTTTTTTTTTTTTTGACAGGGTCTTTCTCTGTCATTCAGGCTGGAGTGCAGTGGTGCCATCACAGCTCACTGCAGCCTAAACCTCCAGGGCTTAACTGATCCTCCCACCTCAGTCTCCCATGTAGCTAGGATGACAGGTGTGTGCCACTATACCCAGCTAATTTTTGTAGAGATGGGGTTTTGCCCTGTTGCTTAGGCTGGTCTTGAACTCCTGGTCTAAGCAATCTGCCCACCTCAGCCTCCCAAAGTATCTGGGATTACAGGTGTGAGCCACTACACCTGGCAATAATTTTTGTTTTTTTTGAGACAGAGTCGAGTTCTGCTGCCCATGCTGGAGTGCAGTGGCATGATCTCACACACTGCAACCTCCACAGCCCCGGTTCAAGCAATTCTTGGGCCTCAACCTCCCGAGTAGGATTACAGGCATGCACCACCATGTCTGGCTAGTTTTTGTATTTTTAGTAGAGATGAGGTTTTGTCATGTTGGCCAGGCTGGTTTCAAACTCCTGACCTCAAGTGATCCGCCCACCTCGGCCCATCAAAGTGCTGGGATTATAGGTGTGAGCCACTGTGCCCAGCCATCATCTACTTTTGAAATAAACAGAAGTGTCAAAGAAACAAAACTTGCAAATGTATCTTCTAAACGTAGATGACTTTTTTCTTTTTTTTTTTTGAGACGGAGTTTCAGTCTTGTTGCCCAGGCTGGAGTGCAATGGCGTGATCTTGGCTCACTGCAACCTCTGCTTCCCGGGTTCAAGCGATTCTCCTGCCTCAGCCTCCCAAGTAGCTGGGATTACAGGCACCCGCCACCACACCTGGCTAATTTTGTATTTTTAGTAGAGACGGGGTTTCACTATGTTGGTCAGGCTGGTCTCAAACTCCCAACCTCAGGTGATCTGCCTGCCTCGGCCTCCCAAAGTGCTGGGATTATAGGCATGAGCCACCGTGCCTGGCCATAGATGACTTCTTCAGTCTCATATTTCCCCTTGGAATATCTTCCTTCTCTTCTCTCCTACCACATTTATTGAGCAATTGTATTAGACCCTTGGATTCTTTAACAAACAAGACAGGCATGAGCCCTGCCCTTAAGAATACTGAAAAACTAGCTTTCAACAGTCAGAGTAGGTATTTGTCCATAATTTGGTGCATATGCTCACCTTTAATGACCTCAGTGCTTGTTTTATTCTGTGTTGGCCTTTAACATGCTCTCCTAGGTCACAAGCAGGGTAGCCAATACTGCCTTGGGCTGGTACACAAGATTTTAAAGACTTTACTGTCTACTTTTGTGACTTTTTATCAACAGCTACTACCTCTGAAATTGGTGTCTTAAGGACACCTTGGAAAACCCATGGACATGTCATCTTTCATTTGAAAAGAATAGTAGCCACAGTGAGATGGCCATGGGGTTGGGGAGGAGCAGTCATTTAGCCTGTGACCATATAGTGTTGAGTTTCACACTAAGACTCCTTAGATTTGGCTTACACCAAATTGGCAGAGATATTGGCTCACGGACGTTCAAAGAGAATTCTTTTTGGGCCAGCACTCTCAGCTCAGCTCGCAGGCTCAACTGATGAACTGCTACCACTTTATTCTTTATGGTTCCCGTCTAGCATCTGGCTTCTCCTTACCTGCCTATGTGCCTAATCTGTTTCATCTGAGTAGCAAAGGCAGGATACTGATTCTTAGAGAGTTTCTTTGGTCAGTGTGGTCAGTGAGGTATTGTAGAGCACAGCACACTATTTCCCTAGTCCCCCACCTGCCACCTCTGGTGGTGATAGCCATGACAGAATGTGATAGAATCATATTTTGAGGTTTTCTTTGCCCACAAGATATTCCCAGTGTATTTTAGGAGGCATATCTAACTTACCACAGGCATCTAAACAAGGTTCAAACTTCTGATCTGTAGATAGGGCAAGACTGGTCTGTTTCTGCCTCTGACAGATAAGTTGGAACAATTTCTTTGAGTGCAGGCACTAAGAAGTTTCCAATGAACAGTCTGGGAGTGAGGAGCTAGAGCTGGAATGTGCAGAATGACTATGTGTAAGCCCCTAATACAGGGCTGACTTCATGAGCGTGCAACCTGTGAAGTCCTACAGATTCTGCTTAGAAGGGCCCTGCCGTTAGGTTTAGTGCTCTGCTGTCACTGTCTTGGAATGATTAATGATTTTCAAACAAAGGGTCTCCATTGAATTTTGTACTAGGCAAAATTATGTAGCTAGTCCTGCTCATGTGCAGTAAGTACAGGAGGACCAGACAGATTGGGGTTCAAATTCAGACTCAGATTTTTGCTAGCTGTGAGATCATAAGTGAATCCTCACTTAACTCTCTGAGCCTCAGTGTCCTCATCTGTTAAGTGGGGACAATTCCTCATTGTGAGAAATACTTAAATGGGAAAACATAGTTTAAAGAGCTAGTATGGTGCTAGGCACACTGCAGATATCTGTCTACCCAACCATTTATCTGTTTGATCATCTATCTACACATCCAACAAGCATTTACTATTTGCCTATTCGCATAAGGCACAATGCAAAGTTGAATAAAACATGCTTTCAAATAGCTTACAACAGGAGAGAGAAGATTTCTCCATCCACAATGATCCTGACCAAGAGAATTTAAATATGGCATAAATTAGAAGACTGGTTATTATTTGCAGAAAGGTAGAAAGGAGGTAAGAGGGAAGTGTGTGTAAAATTTAGGGATGAGAAGGTGAGTCTATAATCTGAGACAGCCTAAGTCTCAGACAAAAGTTAACAGGAGCTATGACAATTGTAGTCTCATTTCAACAAATTCCCCAGGAAGGAAGAGGATGATAATATGGATGAAGACAGAAGAAAAAATGTAGGAAGGGAGATGGCAGAGTTAAAGGTCTAGGGCTGAGAAAAGAACAAAATTGGATCCAATAACTGAATAGAATATACAATTTAACACTGGCCTTGTCAAGCCAAGCAGTTGGCTTTAAAATAATAAGAGATTTCTTGTTTTAACTGTAACAGTTTTTATCAGGTTAAGCATGTAAGCAGACTAGCAATGCACATAGATGGGGCAATTTACCATCTTGGTTTAGTAAACGAGTTTATGTGCTGTGTTGAAACAGTGCAACGTCCTTAATCCAATATCTGATGAAGGAGCACTGGTAGAAGAATTAATTTACCACACAGTAATTAAAGAGGGGTATGCACTATATATACTGTGAAAGTCTCTGAAATGAATATTTGATAAACAATTTCTGGTAAATTAAAAACCTGAAATGTTAAATTAAATGCAAATTAAAAATCTGGAATGTTAAATTAATTAAATACAGAAACCTGCATCAAATATCATTATAGGTCTCAGTTAAATCAGAGATGAAAAAAAAAAAAAGCCAAGTAATTCAGCATCACATCATGCCAGCGTGCACTCTTGACTCACCTGTTGGGAATAAATGACGGTGCCAGGAACTTCAGCTTTACTGGTGAATTTACATATCATATGCACAATCATTTCTGGGCACCTTTTACTTGTGAAACTAAGTAAGGAATGAAATGAACTTTTTGCTTTATCATGGAAAAAAAGGCTAGGAGACTTATTCACATCACTGGATCCTCTTCTAGTTTGAGCTAAGGACGGCCAAATTGCTACATAAAGGGTACCCTCAAGGCAGAGTAATTCATACTGCGTGCTGGCTGAGCTTATGTCTGATGGGCAGCAGAATAATCAGCTTGCAAAATCAGGCTCAGAATGTTCCTGGAGACGTGCCTTTTGCTGTGGTTTTGCTGTGGTTTTGTTGTGAAGCCCTGTTGCCCCAAAAGGGAATCTAATGGGTAGAGGTCAGTCATAACTTCTTGGATTTCTTGACCATAGGAGATGCCTATAAACCCTGACCTACTGTCATCTGACTCTTGGTTTGAACACAGAATCAATCCATCAGTCCCAGTTGCTTCTCTAGATTTGAAATTCTGTACCAGCCACTGATTTTTTTTTTTTTTTGAGATGGTGTTTCACTCTTATTGCCCAGGCTGGAGTGTAATGGCACGATCTCAGCTCACCACAACCTCTGCCTCCCGGGTTCAAGCGATTCTCCTGCTTCAGCCTCCCAAGTAGCTGAGATTACAGGCATGCTCCACCAAGCCCGGCTAATTTTGTATTTTTAGTAGAGACAGGGTTTCACCATGCTGGTCAGGCTGGTCTTGAACTCCTGACCTCAGGTGATCCACCCACCTTGGCCTCCCAAAGTGCTGGGATTACAGGCATGAGCCACCGCGCCTGGCTCCAGCCACTGATTGTTGAGCTATTCTGGGCAAGGCACTTATTTTTCCTTTCTCCCATTTCCTCACCTATTAAATGAAGCACAAAATGCTGACACGTCAGAAAGCTGCAGCAGGAATAACTAATCAATGTGAGTGCTTTATAATTTTGGCTCTAACTTCTGCAAATTAACCAGCGTCCTAAAGCTGTCATAAGCCACCGAAGTAGGTGGTTTTCTTGGTCTGAGTCTCTGGGGTCTATATCATGAACACTTGAGATATATAATTTATTTTTGGGAAAAAAAGATTAAAGACTTATTTATTGAATGGGAAACTTTACAGAATAGATTATTTTCACCTTCCCTTGGGACACATAGTACCTTGTACATATCTCTATTTTATTTTATTTTATTTTTTTGAGATGGAGTCTTGCTCTGTCACCCAAGCTGGAGTGCAGTGGTGCGATCTCAGCTCACTGCAAGCTCCACCTCCTGGGTTCACACCATTCTCCTGCCTCAGCCTCCCGAGTAGCTGGTACTACAGGCGCCCGCCACTGCGCCCGGCTAATTTTTTTGTATTTTTTTTTTAGTAGAGACGGGGTTTCACCGTAGTCTTGATCTCTTGACCTCGTGATCCGCCTGCCTTGGCCTCCCAAAGTGCTGGGATTACAGGTGTGAGCCACCGCACCTGGCCACATATCTCTATTTTAGCACAAATTCTGTATTGCAATTATTTTAAAAAAATATACTAATTTTTTATTTTATTGTTATATTTATTTATTTATTTATTTTATTTTCGAGACAGAGTTTCGCTCTTGTTGCCCAGGCTGGAGTGCAGTAGTGCAATCTTGGCTCACCGCAACCTCCGCCTCCTGGGTTCAAGGGATTCTCCTCCCTCAGCCTCCTGAGTTGCTGGGATTACAAGCATGTGCCACCACGCCTGGCTAATTTTGTATTTTTAGTAGAGATGGGGTTGCTCCATGTTGGTCAGGCTGGTCTCAAACTCCCGACCTCAGGTGATCCACCCACCTCAGCCTCCCAAAGTGCTAGGATTACAGGCATGAGCCACCGTACCTGGCCAAAATATAGTAAATTTTAAAAATTCATTAAAACTAACACCATTAATATATAAAAACATTCTCTTTAAAATATCCAAACAGGACAGATACAGATAAAGGTTTCTTAATGGCAGCAATCAACCCAAGGCATCCCCTGCCATTGACATGTATCCTTCTAGGCCTTTTATTTTTTAACATGCATTCACAAATATAGACGATTTTTTTTTTCTTTTTCTTTTTTTTTTTTTTTTGAGGCAGAATTTCTCTCTTGTCACCCAGGCTGGAGTACAATGGCATGATCTTGGCTCACTGCAACCTTTGCCTCCTGGGTTCAAGGGATTCTCCTGTCTCAGACTCCCAAGTAGCTGGGATTACAGGTGCCCCCACCACGCCCAGCTAATTTTTGTATTTTTAGTAGAGACAGGGTTTCACCATGTTGGCCAGGCTGGTCTCGAACTCCTGACCTCAGATGATCCACCCGCCTCAGCCTCCCAAAGTACTGGGATTACAGGTGTGAGCCACTGTGCCCAGCCAGAAACATGATTTTTAAACAAAAAATTTTGTTTACCTCAATAGTTTTGTGCTGTGCCTTATAATTCTGCAACTTGCCTTTTTAAAAAAATTGTGTAAAGTCTGGAAGAATTTTGTGTCACTGAATTATAGATCAACTTCATTCTTTACTGCTGCACAGCATGCTGCTGTATCATAAGTTATTAACTATTTTTATAACAATTGTATTCAGATTGTTTCCAGCTTTGTGCTAACATAAGCAAGCTGCACTCCTTGGCTGTGTCCTTTTGTCCGGTGTATTTCTAGAAATATAAAGAAAATTGGAGTCTATGATAAGCACCTTTAAAAAGTTAATGAATGTTGCTGATTCACCTTTGAAATTTGCCACATTATAGTCCCACTAGTAGTACATGGGAATATATGTTTTCCTACAAACTTAAAGCTGAATGTTATACTGTATCCTCCTTTTAGTCAATCTGACTGGGGTGGCGGTAGGCTGGGGAAGAGGAAACTCATTCTAATTTACATGTCCCTGAACACCAATAATACCAAACAAATTTTATATGTTTATTGGCCATTTTAATTACCTCTTTTATGAATGACCTTTTAATATTTTCCATTCGCCCATTAAAATTTTTTTTTCCTTTTTTTTAAAATAGAGATGGGGGCCGGGCGCGGTGGCTCATGCCTGTAATCCCAGCACTTTGGGAGGCCGAGGCGGGCAGATCACGAGGTCATGAGATCGAGACCATCCTGGCTAACACTGTGAAACCCCGTCTCTACTAAAAATACTACTAAAAATACAAAAAAATTAGCCAGGTGTGGTGGCGGGTGCCTGTAGTCCCAGCTACTCAAGAGGCTGAGGCAGGAGAATGGCGTGAACCTGGGAGGCAGAGCTTGCAGTGAGCCGAGATCGCGACACTGCACTCCAGCCTGGGCAACAGAGTGAGACTCCCTCTCAATAAATAAATAAATAAATAAATAAATAAATAAATAAAATAGAGATGGGGTGTCACTACATTGACCAGGCTGGCTTTGAACTTCTGGCCTCAAGCAATCCTCCCACCTTGTCCTCCCAAAGTACTAGGATTACAGGTATGAGCCACCACACCATGCTGACTTTACTTCTTGATGGGATAAATATCAACACATAGTAACAACAGCCTGTGGGATGGGAGATACTGTTGGAGCCATCTTCGGAAAATGCAGTCTGCCAAAATATATCTCCCAAAAAGAAACACTGCAACCTCTATGAGAAACCTGTTGCTAAAAGTAAAGAGGTATACCCCAGATAGCCTTCCACAGGAAGCCTGATGTGTAAAATATTCTATCAGAGATGGTATTGTGGAAGTTGGTCTGGGATTCAGGAAGCTTGGGCTATGGTCCCAGTTTTACCATTATGTAATCTTTTGAAATTAGGTATATTATGAATATCTTTGGGGTTGTTTTCTCACCTGTAAACAAGATAGTTAAACAAGATGACTACTGTTACTAAACACTACTAAAGCCAAATCACGTTTATCCCATATGTTCCAGATTGCTCTTTTCCCATTAACTCAAGACAGTTTGTGAACTCTAAATAACACATATATCTGATGGTAAGGGACTAGGGATGAAAGTCAGCAGTGTCACAATATACATTATAGCTGAAATAGATTTGAAATGTACTTTTGAGAAAGTTCCCAAGTCTAAGGTTCTGACTTACTGAATTTTTTTGAAAAGTCATGAAGAGTCCATCAAATGATGCCATGGAGAAAATATGAGTAAGAAACCATATTAGTATTGAAGTTGGTAATTTAAATTAGTTGAGGTAGTTACAAATCATCTCAGATTAATCCTTAAACTAATTGAATTACATAGGCTATGAAATCATATTCCAAGGATAATTTCTACACAATAAAATTAGACCTTTTGTAGGAAAAGAGGGGCAGCTGAATTAGTATTAATTGCATTTATAGTTTTTTTAAAAATATTCAATTTGTCCCAGGCAGTGAGCATCATGAGCCTACATGTTAAAATTAATACATCACATGAGACAAATGTTTAAACTGGAAGAACCAGTTAATAATTAAATTTGGCTCACTTCTTCAATGAAAGTCGAAGAACACAGACATGTCTTCAGCTAAAAAAAATTTTATTATATGTATATATATTTGTGTGTGTACATATCCACCTATTTATGTAAGTACATATATATGTGTATGTTATATACACATATAAATAATATTCTAAGGTATGTAAAATGAGGATAATACAAAGAAGCAAAACCTCAAGTGGATGGTAATGCTCATTGAAAGCTCAAATTAAACATGAGTTAAAGAACAACTGCAAGTGTACTGTCTGTTTGTTAAGCAGTCTTGTGTAAGGAAATAAGACATACAGAAAGACTTGTGGGTTTAAAGACATAGCCCCCCTTCCAGAGTGTGCAAGCGCACACATGTACATTCACAATGAAATAATTACCAGAATTAATAATAATCCTTTGGTTTCCTTTTCTCTTTAGTAAAATCCAATTCTATCTTGAAGATTTTGTTCATGGAAAAAAAACAAAAAACAAAAAACAAAACCCTTCATGTTTATTCACCCACTTCCCACACCTACCAAAGCACATATATGAGATTGGTCCAGAAATAGAGTTGCAGGTCTGTGTTCTGTAGTGATTAAAAAAGAAACTTCCTTTATACCAGTAGCATTTCCCGTAGGTATAGTCAATTTCCAACAGCAATAGACGATGTAATTATACTGATGTAAATCACAGCGAGATGAGTTGAGGGGATTGGCCTTTCACCTTCTTTAATTCATTGAAAGATCTTATCTTTTTGACAGCTGCTATCAGGCAGAGCAAAGGTCTGGGAGGCAGGATATTTTTGGGGGTAACTAATTTGCTTGAAGAAAATAAATTATTGCAAACATTCAAAATAAATGAGATAATCCAAGGCTGGGCGTGGTAGCTCACACCTGTAATCCCAGCACTCTGGGAGGCTGAGGTGGGTGGATTGCTTGAGGCCAGGAGTTCGAGACCAGCCTGGCCAACATGGTGCAACCCTGTCTCTACTAAAAATACAAAAATTGCCTGGGCGTGGTGGCACACAGCTATAATCACAGCTACTCAGGAGACTGAGGTAAGAGAATCGCTTGAACCTGGGAGGCAGAGGTTGAGGTGAGCCAAGATCGTGCCACTGCATGCCAGCCTGGGCAACAGAGTGAGACTGTGTCTGAAAAAAAAAAAGAAGAAGTAAAATAATCCAGGTTTAGCAGAGATTGTTTTTTTCTCCCCATCTTGTTGTTTTTTTTTGAGACGGAGTTTCACTCTTGTCGTCCAGGCTAGAGTGCAATGGCGCGATCTTGGCTCACCACAACCTCCGCCTCCTGGGTTCAAGCGATTCTCCTGCCTCAACCTCCCCAGTAGCTAGAATTACAGGTGCCTACCACCATGCCCAGCTAATTTTTGTGTTTTTAGTAGAGACGGGGTTTCACCATGTTGGTCAGGCTGGTCTCGAACTCCTGACCTCGTGATCCACCCGCCTTGGCCTCCCAAAGTGCTGGGATTACAGGCATGAGCCACCGTGCCTGGCCTCCCCATCTTAATCATTGTCCTTGTGTACTGTGCCCTCTTTATCTCTCTGTCCATAAGTCTCTCTCAATCTTTTTCTCCCTCATAAAACATTAGCTATTCTTTCAGGCCTCCCTGTTTCATATATGTGTGTGTGTGTGTATATATATATATATATATATATATATATATAAATATATATATATATACACACATATATATACACAAACTATATATACACACAAACAGACATACGCACACATTTTTTTTTCCTTCCTTGAATCCTTGCTGCCAGCTTGTGTGATTTGCATTGTTTGGACAGAAAAATCAACACTGCTAGAAGCCAGCATTCTGGGAACTACTTCTGCTCCAACCAAGTCTGTGACTTACTTTCACAGTTGCTTCCTGATTTGTTGCTTTTGTTTAAGAGACATTTCCTCTTGGACGAAACCAACTAAAATATAACATTAAATGTCCAGGATTGCGTGAGAGTCAAGGCAGCTCTAACGACTATGACTGATGGGAGTTGGTGCTGAGAAAACCAGAAGCCAAAAGAGATGTAGCATTTGCCACCCAACTGGAAATGAAAAGATGCCTGAAGTTTGGTGGTTTCTCTTCCCCTCCACCACGTTCCTTTTATTTTTGTGGCAAACCTTGAAACAAAGCTGGAAGAAAAGTGCTTTTTATTTGGTGGGTGGTGGAGGTTCTGACTCAGGCTTTACAAACATGACATTGCTTGAACCTCAAGATGAACGTTCCCACAGGATTCCAGAGAAACAAAGCTGCCTGCTGCATTGTGTGGTAACAACATTCACCTTGGGAATTCCGGCAGCACCGGGGAGGTGGCCACACAGGTGCAGGTTTTCTGAAGCACATGAATGGAGTTGCCAGAGTTCAAAGAGGTTTTTGAACTTTAGACCTAGGCTTTCTTGGTTGCATTTGGCCTATTTGGATGGTAGATTTAGGTCTGGAACTACTAAAGCAGAAATTTCCAAAACTCTCATGAATTATTATTATTATTATTATTATTTTGAGTCAGAGTCTTGCTCTGTCGCCCAGGCTGGAGTGCAGTGGCATGATCTTGGCTCACTGCAAGCTCCGCCTCCCAGGTTCACGCCATTGTCCTGCCTCAGCTCCACCGAGTAGCTGGGACTACAGGCGCCCGCCACCACGCCCAGCTAATTTTTTGTATTTTTAGTAGAGATGGGGTTTCACTGTGTTAGCCAGGATGGTCTCGATCTCCTGACCTCATGATCCGCCCGCCTCAGCCTCCCAAAGTGCTGGGATTACAGGCGTGAGCCACCGCGCCCGGCTCAATGAATTATTAAGAAATTGGGTTTTGTTAATGAAAAATTAGAAGCATCCTACTACCTAATATAAGGGATTGTTAAATGAATAATAATATGTCCATATAGCCAGTCATGGTGGCTTATGCCTGTAATCCCAGCACTTTGGGAGGCTGAGGCAAAAGGATTGCTTGAGCCCCGGAGGTAGAGGTTGCAGTGAGCCAAGATTGTGCCACTGCAGTCCAGCCTGGGTAACAGAACAAAACTCTGTCTCAAAAAGAAAAAGAAGTTCATATAATGAAATAGTACATAGCCATTAAAGATGATGCAGTAAAAGATAATGAAAAAGTTTTATAATATATTGTTATGTGAAAAAAAAGTATAGGTTATAAAGCTGTGGTAATATATCATGCCACCTGTGGGGAGAAAAGGAAGGGTAAAGAAGAGTAAAAGATAGATGCATATAGAAAGAATGAAAAATATATTCCAAAATGTTAAAATGCTAGCATTAGTAATTTACGGGTAGAGGAATAGTAAATAATTTAATTTTCTTCTTTTGGTTTATCTAAAGTTTAAAATACAGAGAATATGTGTTATTTTGGTAATATAATTGTAAAAAGGAAACCTTATACAGTGCTCTTGGAGGTTCCCACTTTTGTGCTTGGCTCTTGGCACTAACTTAACAAGAAGAACAAAACTTGTGGCTTCATTACGGAAGGATCAAATGATAGAAAGCCCCCAGAAATTCCCCTAGAAAGCCATAACCTTTGGGCTTGAATACTTAGGAGCTTGGCATCTATGCTCATTTCTTTCTTTCTTTCTTTTCCTTCCTTCCTTCCTTCCTTCCTTCCTTCCTTCCTTCCTTCCTTCCTTCCTTCCTTCCTTCTCTCTTTCTCTCTTTCTCTCTTTCTTTCTGTGGAGTTTCACTCTTGTTGCCCAGGCTGGAGTGCAATGGCGTGATCTTGGCTCACCGCAACCTCTGCCTCCCGGGTTCAAGCGATTCTCCTGCCTCAGCTTCCCTACTAGCTGGGATTACAGGCATGCACCACCACACCTGGCTAGTTTTTGTATTTTTAGTAGAGACAGGGTTTCTCCATGTTGGTCAGATTGGTCTTGAACTCCCGACCTCAGGTGATCCGCCCGCCTTGGCCTCCCAACTTGCTGGGATTACAGGCATGAGCCACCGCGCCCAGTCTTTGCTCATTTCTAGTTCCAAGCCCACATGGTGGTAAATGAATACATTGGCAGGGTACTGGCATAGGGGTGTAGGCTTGAAGTTTCATAAGCCAAAGTGAAACTGACTTCATCATGGAAATAAAGTATTTTAGACAAATATCTGTCACTGTCGAGTGTTCTGCTGATGTGAAAATTCTAGCCAAAATGTTTGAAGTGACGTAGCCACTTATTGCTGGTGAACATGCTAGTCCTCTTTAGTGTGTAGAGACATTCTAGGTTTGCTTGTGACCTTGGCCAGCTTTTCATCCTAGAGACTTGGAATAGGTAAATGGGCAGTAGAGTTTCAGATCTCATGGATGAATGGCAATGTTTTAGATAAGCCATAGAACCATGAATGCAGGAGTCCCTAGTGCCCGTAAGCCAAGTAATTGCTCATCTGACATCTTTGGTCTCTTTACATTAGCCAGCAAGGTCTTCGGCATTACTAGACTAACAGGCAGGTGACTCACTTGGTCGCCCAGGCTGGAGTCCTGTGGTGTGATCTTGGCTCACTGCAACCTCTGCCTCTCAGGTTCAAGCGATTCTCCTGCCTCAGCCTCCCGAGTAGCTGGGACTAGAGGCACACACCACCACACTCGGCTAATTTTTGTATTTTTAGTAGAGATGGGGTTTCACCATGTTGGCCAGGCTGGTCTTGAATGAGGCAGGTGGTGATTTACTCATGGCCCACTGTGGGCCAGGCATTTGCATACCTTGTGTCTCTCTTCTCTACGTGAACTCTGCAAAGTAGGCATGATTATCCTTTATTTTACAGATACGGAAACTGAGGCTCAGAGAACTTGAGTCATTGGGCCTACAAATGTGTAATGCCTAAGAACCCATATCTGACTGAAAACTAATGTTGCTTCAATCATCACCATCATGATTTGACTATAAACACAAACCTCTGGACTTACTTGATTATTTTTTAGTGGCCTGTTCAAGTCCAGGTAGTCCAGGTAGTCCATAAGCTTCCCTACTTATGCTGAGCCTTCCTTTCCCTTCCTTCTTTTTTTTTCTTTTGAGATGGAGTTTCTCTGTTGTTGCCCAGGCTGGAGTGCCATGGCACAATCTCGGCTCACTGCAACCTCCGCCTCCTGGGTTCAAGCGATTCTCCTGCCTCAGCCTCCTGAGTAGCTGGGATTACAATCATGTGCCACCATGTCTGGCTAGTTTTGAATTTTTAGTAGAGACGGGGTTTTTCCATGTTGATCAGGCTGGTCTCGAACTCCCGACCTCAGGTGATCCGTCCGCCTTGGCCTCCCAAAGTGCTGAGATTACAGGCGTGAGCCACCGCGCCCGGCCCCCCTTCCTTTTTTACTCCTTCTTTTCATCAATTTCATTTTCACTCTTTCTCTATTGTTAAAAATATCTTTTAAACAAAGAGAAGCAACATTTAAATTTAAGGAAAGCAACAGGTGATTTCATTCATTCTCCTCTGCTCTGTAGCCTCCCAAAGAGAACTCTTGCTCTTTTCAAAAAGTTAGGTAGCCATGGCTTTTCTATTTCAACTCAGGCTATTATATCAGACTTTTACTTACTAATGGGAAGAGGGAAAGAAGAGACTAACTTTAATTGATACAATTACTTAAAAAAAATTCCTTTGTTAGGAAGATTTTAAACAAATAAGAATAGGATGGTATAATGATCCCCCATGTACCCATCACCACTCATCTTCAAATCATGAACACATTTTTTTGGAGATGGAGTTTTGCTCTTGTTGCCCAGGCTGGAGTGCAATGGCGTGATCTCGGCTCACTGCAACCTCCGCCTCCTGGGTTCAAGCGATTCTCCTGCCCCAGCCTCCGAAGTAGCTGGGATTACAGGCTTGTGCCACCACACCCGGCTAATTTTGTATTTTTAGTAGAGACAGGGTTTCTCCATGTTGGTCAGGCTGGTCTGGAACTCCCAACCTCATGATCCGCCCGCCTCGGCCTCCCAAAGTGCTGGGATTACAGGCGTGAGCCACGGAGCCCGGCCTATAAAATTTTGTAAGTCAGAGTGCTAGTAATTTGTCAGCCATTGTCACATAACATTCTTAGGCATCTCTATCCTCTTTGTTTTGCTTTCCTCTTTTCTCCACTTTGGATTGTTTCTGCAAGGACACAGCCACATCAGTGATCTCTACAAGGTCATGAGGAAAGCTGGAAGTTCTGAATACACAGAAATTAAATTAGAGTGGTATTTTCCTTTTGGCTGTTTAAGAAAATGGAGCATTTCCCATCAACATTTACCACATGCAACTGAATTTACTGGCGATGTACCTGATTTGGACCAGTTTTACTGGAATCCCTGAGATTCAGAAGATAAAGCTCATTCTGAAATTTATGTGTTCAATTTTACCTACTTTGAGGTGACTCATTATAGCTTTCAGCCCATTTATGAAGTTTGTAAGTAGACCACTAAGCTGGTTGTTTTTCAAAGGGTTTTAATCAGTATTTTACTGCTATTTGTACAATACAAGACGCCATCCAATGCTAAATCAAAGAATGCTGTGATTTTCCACAAACTGCCCTTGGTCCTCAGAACCTTGGGTAGTTAAAAAATCTGTGTGGATTGGAGGCTTAGCCTTTGTTGAATAGGGGAGACCCAGATGTGAGTAGGAGGGACCTTTTTTAGGCAAATGAACTCCGAGAACAGCAGTGCACCTCAAACCTCAGTTGGGTGAAAGCACGTCACTAAAATGTGCTGACCAGCTCAGGCTAGAGGTATCAGTCTCCTTGAGGTGAGCCTAAAGGAGAGAATTTAGGGAAGGATCCTGGAGTCATGGTCAGGCAGCAGACTTAGTTCAAGCCCTGGGTCGGCTGCTTCTTAAAAAGGGATTCTAGATAAGATTTGAATCTGTCTGTTCCTCAGTTTCTTCATTTGTCAAATGGCAATGAATACGAGCACATGGTCCCTCACTACTGCCCCAGGATTGTTGTGAAAATCAACCCAAATAATGCCAGCATTTTGAATGGCTTAAAGCCCTACTCAAATGAAAAAATATTTCAATCAATATTTATTTCTTTTAATGGTAAAAAATAGTATCATTAAGAAAAAAGTTTGAAAAGTATATATCTTACCTTCTTAATACCTTATTTTAATTTTTGAGTATTATTTTTGGTCATTGTGCACATATCATATTTTTACAGACTTAAAGTCATGTTAGAATACTATCGTATTTATTTTGCTTTTGTAGCTTAACATTTTATTATAAATATGGTTCTGGGTTACTGCATTATCTTTATAATTATTATTTATGTGTTATTACCATGGTTGAACATTTAATTGATTTCGCTTTTATATATGAAACTGTCACGAACATCTTTGTGCATCAGTTACATCCTTAGGATAAATTCCCTGGGGTGTGATGAATGAGTGAAAATATATGGACGTTTTTATGGCTCTTAATAGATTTTGCCATATTGCTTTCCAAAGGTTAGTAACAATGAACCTGACACCAGCAATGAATGTGTGTCATTTAAAAAGATTATTTTAAAGCAATTATCCACCAGTCATATGTGAAGACATGTCCCAGGATTCCTGTTTGGCAGGACCTTACATTTCTGACTCATTCATTCATAAGAAATAAGTAAATAAACAAGAAGACTGTGTATGCTGACTAAATGAAGGGTTCTATTAGTTAGGATTCTAGAAAGGCTGGCCGATTATTGCTATTGTATGTGATACTTGCTGGCCCATTTGATTTTACAGATCTAGTGATATTTTTGCAAATTTTCTGGAACATATAGGGAACCAAGAAATATTGTAGTATCTGGAATCATTTGTAAAAAACTTACATAGAAGTAGGATTTTTTTTTCTTATGCTAGTTTTCAGAAACATGACTTTTTTTTTTTAAATCAATCAAGGTCTTTTTTGTTTTGTTTTGTTTTTTGGGGCTTTCAGATAGGTAATGCTTCAAAAGCATGCCTCAACCCTGAGTAGATATTAATATGTATGACTTACAACTATGGAATTATAATAACATTTATCATCTGTGCATATAGATCTTTCAACTTTTCAAAGCTCTTTAATATGTGTGTTTTTTTTTAATTTGATCCTCACAATCATTTCATGAGATAGGCTGAGATGGCATTAGACTCCATTTGACTGATGGGGGACTGAGGTACAAGGAGATTTGCCTAAGAGAGTACCACTTCTCAGGGTTGGCATAGCTACCTGTCTCTCAGCTCTTGGCTCTTTCCACTTAACTGTATACATTTAAAAAATATCCTTGGCCAGATATGGTGGCTCACGCCTGTAATCCCAGCACTTTGGGAAGCCAAGGTGGGCAGATCACTTGAGGCCAGGAGTTCAAGACCAGCCTGGCCAACATGGCGAAACCCTGTCTCTACTAAAAATACAAAAATTAGCCAGGCATGGTGGCACGTACCTGTAATCCCACCTACTCGGAAGGCTGAGGCAGGAGAATTGCTTGAACCTGGAAAGCAGGGGTTGTAGTGAGCCGAGATCGTGCCACTGCACTCCAGCTTGGGCAACAGAGTGAGACTCCATCTCAAAAAAAAAAAAAAAAAAAATCTTTCATATCAATTACTGTACTTCTTAATTAGCATTGTAAAAATATGTTTGTGTAGAATTAGCTTGCCTTTTTTGTTTGATTTTTTATTGAGATAGGGTCTTGCCCAGACTGGAGAGTGGTGGCATGATTATAGCTCACTGTAACCCCAAACTCCTGGCTCAAGCAATCTTCCTATCTCGGCCTCCAAAGTACTGGGGTTACAAGTGTGAACCACCATGTCCAGCCAGTTTGTCTTTTAAGAAGGCATTCTTGCACAATGGTATTTATTGGCTTTTTTGTTTATAAAAGTAGTGGGATGAAGGAGCTTCTTTAGTTAATGTAATGGCAATAGCTATCCTGTGTTCAGTGGCTAGTATGTATCAAGCACTTCTTACTGTTTTATTTCTTATTATAACTCTGTGAAGTAGGAAGTGGTATCCCTCACCATGTTATAAGGGAGAAAATTGCAGTGCAGAAAAAGCAAAGAACTTTTCCAATTTCATAGAGCTAGTAGGTGGCAGAGCTAGACTTGAACCCAAATCCAGCTCAAGTTGAATAAAATGATCTTTCATGTGTATCACACGGCTTTCTTCAAATATCACTTTTTGAATGGTTAGTATAACATTAATATATATAATCTCACATAAATTTTTTTATTATAAAGGAAATATACCTTCACCAAACAACATTTAGAAATATACAAAATTATATTTAAACAGCGTCTTTTCATGTATTCATATCTAAGATAGGGTAAAGACTACATTTAATTAGCTGTCATCTTAGAGATGAAAGCATGGAGCTTAAGCCTCCAGTCAGCATTGTTTTTGCTCCCCCAAAGTCTAGCTTTCTGTAAAGCTTAAAGATTTAACTCATCAAGTCCTACCTACCTGGTTTAGGTACTCTCTAGTTTCCGGTCTTGTACCTATTTAATTTGTTCACTTGGGAAGAAAGCAAACACAACAAAAAGAAATCAAGCCCTGACTTTGTACAGTAGCTAATAGAGCATCTTAAATCAACACAGCCAATGTAGCTTGTACTGATTCAAGTAATCATTTTCATCTGTAGCATTTCACATAGTCTCTGCTACCAAAACTTCCTGATACTTAGGGAACAATGGAAGGGCCAGATGTTTATTGGTACAGAGCTCATCTTTAGCTTATGAAAAGAAGATGCACTTTAAGTCTTGTCTCAGACCTCCAGCGTCACACCCCTTCTTTTCACTACATTAAAGTGGTAGTAGAAAGCATTCCTCGAGACACAATAGAGCAACTTAGCAGCCATCCTGCAGTTGGAGTTGGTATTAGGTTACTTTTTTTTTTTTTTCATACCATACCAGTTTACAGGAAAGTTGGGACGAGGTCAGGGAAGGTGCGTAATTGTTATCAGCTTTATTGAGGCCACACCTGAATGAAAAGTTTGGTGCTGAGACAAGATCAAACTTGAGTTTGGAACTTAAAACAGCAAACGTCGCTGTAGAAATGAGACTGCCTCATAGAGTTGTTTTAAAGGGACCAAAGCCCAGTCTGAACAATTTATTTTGATTTGACTGACATTTTTTGTGGGCTTATGATGTGCAGCTCTTTATACTACCTAGTCCAGGGTGTGCCTTAGAGCCCAGACTGGCCACAGCTGACAGCCCCAGCAGTCGGTAGCTCAAGTCCTAGCTACACACACTCTCATGCAATGCTACTTGTTATCACACCGATTCAGATCTAAAACAGATCCACTCCTGTTCCCAGAAACAAATTCCGTATAGGAAAAGCTTGAGAGAGCATAATTAACCTATATTCTGTTCTGTCCCCTGCCCCTGGTGATATACAGATCTTCCTTAACATTTTGCTCATATTCTAGCTGCTGGCATGCTGGCTGTCTTAATGAAATTCATATCTGGTCTTAGGAACTGTCATTAGATGAAAATTATTACTGAGCCTGCAAGCAACTCTCAGATGATTTTGAGAACCTCACAAATTAATTATGTTTAGAGACGCTGCAAGCTACATCGGGTCAATCTGTTTCTTCTCATTTCAATTGAATTTACCAAACATTCATTGCGTTCCTACTGTGTGCCAAGTACTGTGGTTACAAAAATGAATGGGACGTGGTTTGTGCGCCAAGGAGTTTTTTGATCTAGCAAGTGATGAATCTCATCATTTTTTCCTTGCTTCTCATAGCCATATTCTACTCTCCTCTTTTTTAGTAAAGGAGTCCTATTTCTTTTCTTTACACCACATGTGGGTGAATTCTTTTCCTTCTGATGTAGATAAACTCTCCTCCATCCTGCTCCTAACTCTGCGATAGTCTTGCTGATTCTCAGAGCAATAGAAGCTTTGGGAGGATTAACATGTACATCTGGATTTGAAAATGAGTCCGTTTGTCATTATCAACTAAGTAGAGGCACAACCTTGGTGTACCATGGATTTGTCAGGGGAAAAAATAGTTATGCTGTATTTTCTAAGTTAGGGGAATAACAGTGGTTGTGATTTTAATTCCTCCAAAACATTTGAAGGGAAGGGAGAAAATATGTACAAGTCTCCAGTCTTTTATGACTGTCTCCTATTTAGAAAAGTTTGCCAAGTCATCACAGACTATTCACCGGCCTGCCTAAGGACGGCTGTTTAGAAGTTTTAATTGAAAATTTGGCCTGGATTTTTCAGTTCAGACCTGCAGACGAGAATATACATTTTTAAGGCACAATTCAAAATGAGCAACTTGCAGTGAAAATAGGCATATTTTCCAGTTTCCTATGACTAATGGCACATGAAGAGAGTCTAGTAATCACATAATTACTTTGCCATTACTAAGAAATCATTTTCAGAGTCCATGAGATGTGGTTTGCAATAATTTCAGTGGTTCTGCACCAACAACCTAGACTTTGGAGGCCCACATTTGAAGACAAAGGCCCAATTTTCATTGATAGAGCTGTGGGGAATTCTTCTAACTGAGGAACAAAGCTCAGTTTAACTGATTTTCTTTGTATTTTGTTTAAAATCCAACTCTTGGACTAGGTTCAGGAAAAAACTTTTTAGAGGATTTGTAAACTTTTTACAGATCTCAGGCCCTACTCAATTAATATACTTGCCTGATTCCATGCTTAGTTTGAGCATTTGATGGATCATATATCTTTTGATCATAAAATGTTTGCAGCTTGTATTACTTTAAACCATGATATTGGAAAAAATGGGCCACTTTTTAAAAAAAGGATCAGCTAAAGGGAAGTAAACTGTGAGCAGTATTTATACATTTAAAAATTATTCTTCGGATATTAGAGATTTTAATAAGAGAAACTCAAAGGATCCTATATAATAATTAAATTGAAGAAAAAAGAGCCTTTATTTTTCTTATTTAGAGTTAACCTTCAGAAGGCTAGCTGCAAGTTGAAAGTTGCTAAAGCTGGGTGATAGTTATTTGAGAGTTTTTATTCTATTTTTTATATATGTTTAAACTTTTCTATAATAAAATATTAAACGTGAAGCTTCAGAGAAAGAAAAGACTGATAAAAGTATAAAAGAAAATTAGAAAGAGAGGGGAGGAGGAGGAAGGGAGGGAGACAGAGAGGAAGAGAAGGTGAAAGAAGTTAGATTTTGCAATTATGTGGTAAAAAGCCACAGGACCACCATCTCCGAAGTCACTGAATAATAATCATAGTTAATCATAGCAGCCCTTTACTGAATACTTATAAGAACTAGAACTTTTCTGTGAATTACCACATTTAACCTTCATAACCACCCTTTGACAGAAGTAGTGTCAAGATCTGTATTTTTAAAAATGTAAGCACAGGCCAAGTACAGTGGCCCACGCCTGTGGTCCCAGCACTTTAGGAGGTCGAGGCAGGAGGACTGCTTGAACCCAAGAGTTCAAGACCATGAGCAACATGATGAGACCCCCATCTCTACGAAAAAAAAAAGAAAGAAAGACGAAAGAAGAGAGAAAGAAAGAAAGAAAGAAAGAAAGAAAGAAAGAAAGAAAGAAAGAAAGAAAGAAAGAAAGAAAGAAAGGAAGAAAGAAGCCAGCCGAGCACAGTGGCTCATGCCTGTAATCCCAGCACTTTGGGAGGCTGAGGTGGGCAGATCACGAGGTTAGGAGTTCGAGACCAGCCTGGCCAACATGGTGGAACCCTGTCTCTACAAAAAATACAAAAATTAGCCGGGCATGGCGGCACGTGCATGTAATCCCAGCTACTCAGGAAGCTAAGACAAGAGAACCTCTTGAACCCTGGAGGCGGAGGTTGCAATGAGCCGAGATCATGCCACTGCACTCCATCCTGGGCAACAGAGCGACAAAAAGAGAAAGAAAGAGAGAAAGAGCAAAAGAAAAAGAAAGAAAGAAAGAAAGAAAGAGAGAGAGAAAGAGAGAAAGAGAGAGGAAGGAAGGAAGGAAGGAAACAAAGAAACTGAGGCTTACAGATTTCCTGTGACTTACCCCAGATCACACATCAATAAATGGCAGGTTATCTGCACCCAGAGTCCAGATCCCAAAATGCAGTACTACTTTTATAATTGCCTTCTAGAGAGTGAAGAAGCTTGGGTGGTAAAGAACTCTTCATTTAGAGCTGTGAGGTGCATTTCTGTAAAGCTACCTACCAAAGCAGTGGAAACACTTTGGAGCTAGACTGACCTCACCTTGAATCTTGCAGTTTATGGTGGTGTGACGTCGGGCAGGATGGGCATTTCTGGGCCCTAGTTCCCTCATCTGTAAAGCAGAGCACATAGTAGGCATAGGAGCACATAGAAGGAAGTCAATAGAGCCTTGCTGTCATTTTTTTCTTGCCTACTCTCCTCATGCCTGGCTCTGTTCCAGTAAGTGCTCATGCTGTTCCAGCTTTTTATGATAGAAAGGCCATATCAGATATACTTCAGAATACCTTTTAGCAATGAGAAGAGAGGCTTAAGAACTGAGCTCACCTTATATTAATATAGAGTCCAGGCCCACTTGAAGTGTTTTTTATTGGGTAGCCAAGGCAGAAAGATTGCTTGAGGCCAGGAGCTTGAGGATGCAGTGAGCCATGATCATGCCACTGCACTCCAGCCTGGGCAACAGAGTGAGACCCCATCTCAAAAATATATATATATTTTTACCACCCACACAGAGGTGCTGTTACAATTGCTTATGAGACAACAGTGAATCACCTTATTACTACTGAGTCATCCCACCAGTACTGGGACAAAGATGAGCAAAAGCTCATCAGGGCTGGTCCCAGCTTTCCTCAGAAGTCTGGAAGTTCTTTGCTTTGATTTGAATATTTTCTTATTCTTCCTAAGAGCCAGTGATAGCCTTGGGGACATCGTGGCACAGTCAGGGTTAGCTACCCTGAGCCTAAGTGTGCTTAGATTTGCTGTTCCAACTGGAAAATAAAAAACAAAAAACAAAAAAACAACCAACAGGGCCGGGCGCTGTGGCTCATGCCTGTAATCCCAGCACTTTGGGAGGCTGAGGTGGGCAGATCACGAGGTTAGGAGTTCGAGACCAGTCTGACCAACATGGTGAAACCCCGTCTCTACTAAAAATACAAAAATTAGCCGGGCTTGGTGGCACGCGCTTGTAATCCCAGCTACTCAGGAGGCTGAGGCAGGAGGCCTCCTTGAACTCAGGAGGCGGAGGTTGCAGTGAGCCGAGATCACGCCATTGCACTCTAGCCTGGGTGACAGAGCAAGACTCCATCTTAAAAAAAAACAAAAGCAAAACAAAACAAAAAAACACCCAAATTGGTCATCAGTGAAAAATCAGATTAGCCACGCAAGTTGTCTCAAAGAAATAACTAATATCATCAAAACACAATAATCCAGTGACCTTCCTTAACAGACCAGACCAAGAAATGTAAAGGTAACTTAATTTTCTTAAATGTGTCATGCTACATGCTAAATAAATAAGAACATGAAAAAAAAAGAGTATATGGAAACAGAGGATGAAGTTTCTAAGCGCACCATGCATGTATCTACAACATCACGAATCTCTTAACTTTTCTTCCTCCACCTTCCGTACCCTCCCTGACCCCTAATTAGGATTATGTGTACTTGCCTATGAGTTCTCAAATAGCTAATGATACAAGGCTTTTCCTCAAACTCCTCCTTAGAAACATAGAACTCATTGTCATGAAACAAACATTTTCATATACTTTCTTGGGCAGGCTTTCTTCCCATTTAAAGAAAGCAATATTTACTTTTCAAGTGCTGTGACTAATTTTAGCTGAAAAAATTGGCTTGCTATAACGTGGACATAGCCTGTGGTAATAGGCTAAGTATTTAATTCAGCTTTTGCATCATTCCAGGTAAAGAAGCTGGTGTAAGAATTTTTAAATTTAAAGCAGACTTTTTTTTTTTCTATAGGAAGACTTTCGTATTCATAGTCATTTATATTATAAAATAGCTTCTTATTTACAGCTCCTCTCTCAACATTGACAGGGTAGTAAAAAGAGGCAAAATAAAACATTATCCGGGAGGCTGAGGTGGAGAATCATTTGAATCCGGGGGGTGGAGGTTGCAGTGAGCCAAGATCACATCACTGCACTCCAGCCTGGGGGACAGAGCAAGACTCCGTCTCAAAAAACAAAACAAAACAAAAAACAAAACAAAAAACAACAAAAAACAGAAACAAAAACATTATCAGGTAAAAGCACATGGTGTCTCTTGAATATTATTCGGCAATTTTAAAAGTTTATTCTTTCTGGGAAGAGAGCCTTTAGTCATTTTGCAGAAACCACTCTGGTTTGTAAATTAACTACATAAAACATTTTTAATCTTTGCACCTTGATTTAGTAGTTCCTTACTTGATCAAATTCCTTTTAACATCATGGGAGTTAATGTCTGAATAATTATTTTAGACTTGGGCTCAACACAGATTTCCATATGGGCAAATTCTAGGTAATGGGTGAAAAGTTTTGGTCTTTGTGTGTCAGGTGGAGGAGGAGGAAGTGAAACTTCATAGCTTTAGAAACTAATACATATTTTATTTCTGTTCTGTGTTCGATGGGATTTATAAATAGAACCAGGGGACTACCTGTGGAGGCCACATGTTGTTATATGGAAAAGTGAGACTTTGACATGTGCAAAATCCTGAGCATTATCCTGAAAATCTGTGTTCAGAAAAAACAACCCTTTAATCAGCTGCCCTTCCGATACAGGTGGTCTCCCAGGCAGCTTTTTCTGTGTGAACAAATGAACAAGGAGAGGAATCTGACTGGTCCATTAGTGAATAAGCTGCTTTTGGGGAAAAATGCGAACTGGATTAAGGCTGGATTTTCTAAGAAAGAGGATAGGATCTAAGACCTGGAGATTGGTATTTGGTTTTTACGCACACAATACCCTTTTAGTGATTCTAGTAGATCTAGAAAGGAAGTCTGGCCAACTCTCATCCACATGGGAAGAGGACCTAAAACTAGTACTATGGGAGCCTGAGTAGGCTTGAGGGTAAAGGGTTTGGGCAGGGCTGGCCCAAGGCAAAACTGTGAAGAAGGGAAAGCTTGGTTTCCAGATGAACTCCCAGTCCCAGCCTTACCCCAAGTCCAGGCTCCCAGTAACTTCCAATGGGGGCACCACAATTGTCCTTTCCTGCTTGAGCCTGGATTGCTTGGTTGGGATCCAGATTATAAAAGATGTAAGAAACAGTAAAACAAGCAACAAAAGCCAACAATTTATGTATGTATTTGTGATTATGAAGATAGTAGATGTTAATTACAGAAAATTTGGATATTCAATAAAAAATAAAGAAAATGGGTTACTTTTATCCATCCCTCAGAGTGAATCTTAGCATTTCTGTACATTCTATTTCTATTATACACAAATACATCACACACATTTTGGGCGGGAGTAGGGATATCACAGTTGACCTTTAAGATTATTTTTTCTCTCCTACTCATTAACATTTTTCTGTTCTATATTTCATTCCTTTAAGATCTTGTTGAACACTAGAGGAACAGTCAGTTTTGTGGCAATGTGACATATGCACAACTATACAATAAATATCATAGTTACTATGGCAAAAATGAGATTGGGGAAACACTCAAAAATACTTTGTCAGTGACACATGAAATAAGAGAAAGCTAATAAAAGTGGTAGCACAGTTGTACCCATGTTAAACGGTTAAGCAAGACATAACTTGTACAATAAATATGGCACTATCTCTTGAGAAAAAGCTATTGTTTACTTATGAAGTGGGCATTGGAAGGGTTGTACCTTGTGAGTTATTGTGCAGTGGTAGAAAGAAGGTTATTTGAAATCAACGGAAAGTCGTAACACCAGATGTGAATGGATGTAGCTTACTGTCCTCCATTTGGTATTGGCACCAAACATCACGGTTAAGTGATCTTTCAGTCTTCAATCTTGGGACATGTTTTTCTGTCTTTAAGAGGTAGATCCCTTCAGCCAGGCGTGGTGGCTCACGCCTGTAATCCCAGCACTTTGGGAGGCTGAGGCGGGCAGATCACGAGGTCAGGAGATCGAGACTATCCTGGCTAACACGGTGAAACCCCGTCTCTACTAAAAATACAAAAAATGAGCCGGGCGTGGTGGAGGGCATCTGTAGTCCCAGCTACTCGAGAGGCTGAGGCAGGAGAATGGCGTGAACCCAGGAGGCGGAGCTTGCTGTGAGCCGAGACCGCGCCACTGCACTCCAGCCTAGGCCACAGAGGGAGAGTCCGTCTCAAAAAAAAAAAAAAAAAAAAATGATGTAGATCCCTTCAAGCATTTGTTTGGAATAGATATATTTTTCATCAAAATTTAAAATTTGATCCCATGAATAGCCTTCTTCTTCAATTAACTTCTGTATGACAACTGAAAATTTTTTTTTTGTAGCTTTCTCATTTGCACTCACAGCTTTTCTGGATAGCTGAAAGCTTTGGAAATTGTAGGGATGCTTAAAAAGGAGCCAGTACTAGCACTAAAAGGAGCCACTTCTGCAGGATTTGGTGATTTCCATTTAACATCTTTGCATATAGATAGTGCTTTCGTTTAAGCATGCACTGCTTGGCATTTTGAACCAGGTTGCTTAGACAGGTTTGGGATGTTGAATTAGACAGGTTTGGGTTGTTTACATAGAAAAGCTCAGAAGTGCAAAAGAATAGCAAAACTCAATCTTACAGCATGATATATGTGGTATATTAAAGTAGCTGGTAGATGTTTGAGGCGTATGTGCACTTTTTTTGTATTTTTATCCATCTTGGTTCAGTTGGGTGCAGTTTTCTAAGTTCATCTAGCATATTTTGCTCGCAAAATCGTGCATAGACAAATATGAAATTCAAGTTATGCTCCATTGTTCCCTAATATATCAATTATGTTGGAATACATTTGTGTTTTTCAAAACAAGTATTATTGCAAAGTTCACTGTAGTCTGATAATCACATTTATGGTAAGGCATGACCAGGTGGTAGAGATGCATAATCCTTTATCTGCAATTTTGAAACCTATAAAGCTCTGAAAACTGGAAGTTTTTTTTTTTTAACTCAGCTTAGATAAAGCTTGATCCAAAATAGGTTCATTTGTCATCAATCTGGCTTAAACTGATATAAGGCTCTTTTCCTTATTTATGTCACTTAATGTGGCTATGTATACACTTGCTCCAGAAATATTATTGCATTTGATAACTAAATGCTAAGACCCCACTATAGGTTTAAGTAATATATGGTATAAACAGCTTTCTAACATCCCCCAAATTCTGAATTCTGAAACACAAATGGTCCCAAAGGTTTTGGATAAACAACTGTTGATTTGTAATGGACAAAAATGTATGACTCATTTTGAGCAGCACATTTACATTTTAACGGGAACCTTCAGCATCCTGTAATATTTATGGGTGACCAATCACAGGAAGACTGTGGGGCCAGTAGCATGGCTGACCACTTCTTCCTTTGTTGAAGCTGTCTTCTTTGGCTCCAGAACCCCATATTTCTTCTAGTCCTTCTCTTTCCACTCTAGAACCTTCTTAATAGATTTCATTATGTGTTTCTCTTCCTTGTCCATTTCTAAAATCCATGCTTATAAAAGTATGGTCCACAGCACATCTGCATCAGAATCATCCAGGGAATTTGTTCAAAATACAACCTCCTGGGCATTAGCCTGACTTTATAAATTAGAAACTCAGAAACTGGGGCTAGATATATGTATTTTCAACAATTTACTTCATGATTCAGATGTGCATCAAAGTTTGGAGTCCACTCCTTTTAATAATAGTGTTCTTCAA
This sequence comes from Homo sapiens, assembly GCF_000001405.40. Lineage (NCBI taxonomy): Eukaryota > Metazoa > Chordata > Mammalia > Primates > Hominidae > Homo > Homo sapiens. Next base: position 181,924,615 of record NC_000003.12, read on the forward strand.
TTTCCCTACCTTTATTCATTTCTGAGTTCCACTTTGGTCTTATACTATCAATGATCATATATATGCTGACAACTCCAGTATCTTGCTCCCCACTCCTGGGACTCTTATATGCAACTGCTAACTGGATATTGCTAACCTGGAGGTCCCATGGACTCTACAAAATCAGCATATTCAAAACTGGACTATCTTCTCCATACATTTCAATGAATGGAACCACAGCCACCTAGTTTGCCAAGCCAGAAATCTCAGCCTTTCTTTCATTGTTCTCACTCTCAACTTTGACACCCTATCTCCATTTTTGAAATTTATCTTCAAACTTTTTACTTTTCTTTTTTTTTAACTTTTATTTTCAGTTCAGGGTACATGCGCAGGTTTGTTATATAGGTAAACTCATGTCATGGGGGTTTGTTATACAGATAATTTCATCACCCAGGTACTAAGCCTAGAAGCCAATGGTTATTTTTTCTGATCCTCTCTTCCCTCCCACCCCCTACCCACATGTAGGCCCCAGTGTGTGTTGTTCCCCTCTTTCTGGCCATGTGTTCTCATCATTTAGCTTCTACTTGTTAGGGAGAACATGCAGTATTTGGTTTTCTGATCCTGCATTAGTTTGCTAAGGATAATGGCCTCTAGCTCCATCCATGTTCCTGCAAAAGACGTGATCTCATTCTTTTTATTTTTATTTTTTTATTATTATTATTTTTTTAGTATTTATTGATCATTCTTGGGTGTTTCTCGGAGAGGGGGATTTGGCAGGGTCATAGGACAATAGTAGAGGGAAGGTCAGCAGATAAACATGTGAACAAGGGTCTCTGGTTTTCCTAGGCAGAGGACCCTGCGGCCTTCCGCAGTGTTTGTGTCCCTGGGTACTTGAGATTAGGGAGTGGTGATGACTCTTAATGAGCATGCTTGCCTTCAAGCATCTGTTTAACAAAGCACATCTTGCCCCGCCCTTAATCCATTTAACCCTGAGTTGACACAGCACATGTTTCAGAGAGCACGGGGTTGGGGGTAAGGTTACAGATTAACAGTATCCCAAGGCAGAAGAATTTTTCTTAGTACAGAACAAAATGGAGTCTCCTATGTCTACTTCTTTCTACACAGACACAGTAACAATCTGATCTCTCTTTCTTTTCCCATTTCCCACTTTTCTATTCGGCAAAACCGCCATCGTCATCATGGCCCATTCTCAATGAGCTGTTGGGTACACATCACAGACGGGGTGGTGGCTGGGCAGAGAGGCTCCTCAATTCCCAGACGGGGCGGCCGGGCAGAGGCGCCCCCCACCTCCCGAATGGGGCGGCTGGCCGGGCGGGGGCTGCCCCCCACCTCCTGGACGGGGCAGCTGCCGGGCGGAGACGCTCCTCACTTCCCAGACGGGGCGGCTGCCGGGCGGAGGGGCTCCTCACTTCTCAGACGGGGCAGCCGGGCAGAGACGCTCCTCACCTTCCAGACAGGGTCGCGGCCGGGCAGAGGCGCTCCTCACATCCCAGACGGGGCGTCGGGGCAGAGGCGCTCCCCACATCTCAGACGACGGGCGGCCGGGCAGAGACTCTCCTCACTTCCTAGATGGGATGGCGGCCGGGAAGAGGCTCTCCTCACTTCCCAGACTGGGCGGCAGGGCAGAGGGGCTCCTCACATCCCAGACGGGGTGGCGGCTGGGCAGAGGCTGCAATCTCCGCACTTTGGGAGGCCAAGGCAGGCGGCTGGGAGGTGGAGGTTGTAGCAAGTCGAGATCACGCCACTGCACTCCAGCCTGGGCAAGATTGAGCACTGAGTGAGCGAGATTCCGTCTGCAATCCCGGCACCTCGGGAGGCCCAGGCGGGCAGATCACTCACGTTCAGGAGCTGGAGACCAGCCCGGCCAACACGTCGAAACCCCGTCTCCACCAAAAAATACAAAAACCAGTCAGGCGTGGCGGCACGCGCCTGCAATCCCAGGCACTCGGCAGGCTGAGGCAGGAGAATCAGGCAGGGAGGTTGCAGTGAGCCGAGATGGCGGCAGTACAGTCCAGCCTCGGCTGGGCATCAGAGGGAGACCGTGGAAAGTGGGAGACGGGAGACGGGAGAGGGAGAGGGAGAGGGAGAGGGAGATCTCATTCTTTTTTATGGATTGAAAGTATTCCCTGGTGTATACGTACCACATTTTCTTTTTTTTCTTTGTCTTTTTTTTTTTTTTTTTGAGGTGGAGTCTCAATCCGTTGCCCAGGCTGGAGTGCGGTGGTGCGATCTCGCCCCACTGCAAGCTGCGCCTCCTGGGTTCACGCCATTCTCCTGCCTCAGCCTCCCGAGTAGCTGGGACTGCAGGTGTCCGCCATCACGCCCGGCTATGTTTTGTATTTTTAGTAGAGACGGGGTTTCACCGTGTTAGCCAGGATGGTCTCAATCTCCTGCCTCAGCCTCCCAAAGTGCTGGGATTATAGGCGTGAGCCACCGTGCCCGGCCGTACCATATTTTCTTTATCCAATCTGTCATTAGTGAACATTTAGATTGATTCCATGTCTTTGCTATTGTGAATAGTGCTGCAGTGAACATGAAAGTGCCTGTGTCTTTATGGTAGAATGATTTATATTCTTATGGGTGTATACCCAGTAATGGGATTGCTGGGTGAAATGACTGTTCTGCTTTTAGCTCTTTGAGGAATTGCCACATTGCTTTCCTTGATGGTTGAACTAATTTACACTCCCACCAACGGTGTTTAAGAGTTCCCTTTTCTCCACAACCTTGCCAGCATCTGTTGTTTTGACTTTTTATTTTTATTTATTTTATTTTATTATTTATTTATTTATTTTTTTGAGATGGAGTTTCACTCTTGTTGCCCAGGCTGGAGTGCAATGGCACAATCTTGGCTCATTGCAACCTCCGCCTCCCAGGTTCAAGCGATTCTCCTGCCTCAGCTCCCGAGTAGCTGGGATTACAGACATGTACCACCATGCCTGGCTAATTTTTGTATTATTTTTATTGTTATTTTTTAGTACAGATGGGGTTGCTCCATGTTGGTCAGGCTGGTCTTGAACTCCTGACCTCAGGTGATAGGCCTGCCTTGGCCTCCCACAGTGCTGGGATTACAGACGTGAGCCACCAAGCCTGGCCTTGACTTTTTAATAATAGCCATTCTGACTTTTATGAGATGGTATCTCACTGTGGTTTTGATTTGCACTTCTCCAATGATCAGTAATATTAAGCATTTTTTCAAGGCTTGTTAGCCATATGTATGTCTTCTTTTGAAAAGTGTCTGTTCATGTCCCCTGCCAACTTTTTCTATAGGGTTGTTTTTTTTTCTTGTTTAAATTTACTAAATTTAAACAAGAAATTTAAATTTTTTCTTGTTAAATTTATTTAGGTTCTTTATAGATGTTGGATATTAGACCTTTGTCAGATGCATAGTTTGCAAATATTATCTCCCATTCTGTAGGTTGTCTGTTTACTCTGTTGACATTTTCTTTTGTCGTGTAGAAGCTCTTAAGTTTAATTAGTTCCCATTTGTCAATTTTTTTCCTTTTGTTGCAATTGCTTTTGGTGTCTTTGTCATGAAATCTTTGCCCATTCCTATGTCCAGAATGGTATTGCCTCAGTTGTCTTCCAGGGTTTTTATAGTTTTGGGGTTTACATTTAAGTATTTAATCCATCTTGTGTTGACTTTTGTACATGGTGTAAGAAAGGGGTCCAATTTTAATCTTCTGCATATGGCTGGCCAGTCATCCCAGCACCATTTATTTAATCGGTGTCCTTTCCCTATTGCCTGTTTTTGTCAGCTTTGTCGAAGATCATATAGTTGGAGGTGTGCAGCTTTATTTCTGGGCTCTCTATTGTGTTCCACTGGTCTATGTGTCTGCTTTTGTACCAGCATCATGCTGTTTTAGTTACTGTAGCCCTGTAGTATAGTTTGAAGTCAGATAGTGTGATGCTTCCAGCTTTGTTCTTTTTGTTTAGGATTGCCTTGGCTCGTCAGGCTGCTTTTTGGTTTTATATGAATTTTAAAATAGCTTTTTCTAGTTCTGTGAAGAATGTCATTGGTAGTTTGATGGGATTAGCATTCAATCTATAAATTACTTTGGGCAGTTTGGCGATTTTAATGGCATTGATTCTTTCTATCCATGGGCATGGGATGAGCATGGGATGTTTTTCCATTCATTTGTTTTATCTCTGATTTCTTTGAGCAGTGTTTTGTAATTCTCATTGTAGCGATCTTTCACCTCCCTGGTTTGCTATATTCCTAGGTATTTTATTTTTTTTGTGGCAATCGTGAATGGGATTGCATTCCCGATTTTGGCTCTCGGTTTGGCTGTTGTTGGTGTATACAAATGCTAGTGATTTTTATACATTGATTTTGTATCCTGCAACTTTGCTGAAGTTGTTTTTCAGCTGGAGGAGCTTTTGGACAAACTTTCTGCTTTTCTCCTTTCCCTAACCTATGCTATCATCACCTCTTGCCTAGACTGCTGTTACAGTGTGATCTTCCCATTTCAGACTGTGTTTGTCAAGTCCATCCTCCATAATGGGACCTGATTGACCTTTTCAAAATGCAAATCAGAACATGTCACTATCAAGCTTAAAAACATTTAAAAGCTTCTATTACACTTGCTAAAACCCAAAATCCTTACTAAGGCCTGCAAGGCCCTGCTTAGCCCTCCAGCCTCATCACTATGGACCCATACCCTGTGACATCCCACCCCCTACTTCCATTTTATATAGGTGTCCCTGCCAAGTGTTCCAGTGGCATCTCCCACTTCTACCCCAGCACTCATCAGACTGTATGTAACTACTTGCTTAATTATCCATCTCCTCCATCATCGTACACTCAACTCTATGATAGTAGGACCTTGCTTGTTTTGTTTATTGTCTAGTATTCCCGTGGAAAGCACTCAATATCTGATGAGTAAATAAATAAATGAGTTACTTCGGCATGTGTGAATGTGTAGGCAGGGGTGGGGTCTTTTATGCTTCTCAAGCAAGACCAGTAAGGATGTCTGGCCAATTCAATTTAGTTCAAGACAACTCAGTCTAGCAAACAGTTATTAATGAGTATTTATTATGCACTATTGGGCATGTCACAAAGTTGGAGAAGACAAGGCCTCTGCCCTGAAAGACGGTTGCCCTAACCTAACCTGTCACTGGCTGGCATCCTGCTGTTCACGAACAGATGGTTCAAAATCACAGTGCCACTGATGTGAGGACTTCAGGAACTGCCTGATGCCTTCACTTCCCCCTTGATACCTCATCTGTCCTCACTTCAGGTGTTTGCCCAGATTATGCCCGAATTTGCCACATTCGTTAGTATGAGAAAAGAACCGCATAATGACAGAATTCTCTAAAGAACATTCCAATTCCCCACTGCTATGTGCCCTTAGCCACTGGGAAACAAGCAATTTCCACATAAGATTACATTTATAGCAGGAGGTACAGAAAAAGCAGGAGTTAGAAAAAAATCTCAATTCTGTCATGTAATAACAGTTCGACCTCGGGCAAGTCTTGTTTTTTTGTGTATGTTCGTATAAGTAGAGATAACAAAGCCACACCACAGGTTTTTGTGAGTATTAATGCTATTAACAAAAAATAATAATGGCTAAGATATATACAATGCTTGCTTTATGCTAAGTATTGTCTAAGAGCCTATCTCGTTTAATTTTCCTAACAGTCTTGTGTGGTAGTTACTAATATTATCTCTCCTGTTATGAGTAAGGCTGGTGAGGCTTAAGGAACTTTCCCTTAGTTCCTTTTAGTTAAAAAGCAGAGGAACCCGAGTTTTATGTGGGTGGCTTGGCTACATAGTCTGTGCCCTTAATCATCTTGTTACCGTATGAGGTTGAGGTTAATTGAAGATTTTCATAAAATTTCTATTCTATTATTGGGGAAAAACAGCAAAATATTTTTTAAAGGGACTTATTTTATTTCACTTTAATTCTCTTGTTTTCCAGGACCTACAAAGGGAGTGTGCTGTAAAAAGTTTTCTTATTCTATAGAATAAATGGGTGCTGTTAGAAATAACATGGCATCTTTTATGCTATTTTTTTTTTTTGGATGAAGTCTTGCTCCATCACCCAGGCTGGAGTGCAATGACGTGATCTCGGTTCACTACAACTTCTGCCTCCTGGGTTCAAGTGATTCTCCTGCCTCAGCCTCCCAAGTAGCTGGGATTACAGGCATGTGCCACTATGCCTGGCTAATTTTGTATTTTTAGTAGAGATGGGGTTTCGCCATGTTGGTCAGGATGGTCCTGAACTCCTGACCTCAGGTGATCCACCTGCCTCAGCCTTCCAAGTGCTGGGATTACAGGCGTGATCCGGCACCATGTCCGGCAACATCCACTTTTCTAACATGTTCCCACAGCCTTACTTCTGTGGGTCTCAAGCTTTCTTCGTACAAAAATAGGGTTCCACTGTAATGAAACACATTGGGGGATATGAATATTTGGGTCAAAGTCTATGGCATGTAATTGACCTCCCTGGAGGTCAAATAACCAAATTCCCTTAATTACACCTGCTTCTAGGTAACTGAGGCTATTTATACATTCATATTGTATTCTTTCAAAGAGAAATTGGATATAGTGGCAGGAATATAAGCAGTATGCTGTAACTTTAGAAATGTATGCATATTTACATACTTACGCACTCTATAGCTTATATTATAGTATGATTTATTACAGCAAATGAGCCCATCAGCAAAGGGCAATTTTTATGAAATGGCAGCAGCATTTAAAAAGCTTAAACACTGTGGTTCATATTTAGGCCTCAACCTGTTTGAAGGCACATTCTGAAATGTAGGCATAAGGCCCTAAAAAGATGTGAAAATAGGCTGGGCGTGGTGGTTCACAACTGTAATCCCAGCATTTTGGGAGACCTAGGCAGGGTGATCACTTGAGGCCAGGAGTTTTAGACCAGCCTGGCCAACATTGAGAAATACCGTCTCTAGTAAAAATACAAAAATTAGCCAGGTGTGGTGGTGCATGCCTGTAATCCCAGCTACTTGGAAGCCTGAGGCACGAAAATCGCTTGAACCCGGGAGGTGGAGGTTGTAGTGAGCTGAGATCATGCCATTACATTCCAGCCTGGGCGACAGAGCAAGACTGTCTCAAAAAAAAAAAAAAAAAAAGGTAAAAATAAACGTGCATTAAGTAAATAAGATTACACATTTAGTGAGATAAAACATGAACATTTAGAGAAACTGATATTTGGAGTATATGCAATCTATGGCTGAGAACATAGAGAGAAAATGTCTCCTAAGTGATGTTCTGACTGATTTGTATTCCCCCGAAATTCACATGTTAAAGTCCTAGCCACCAGTACCTCAGAATGTGACTTTGTTTGGAGATAGGGCCTTTAAAGAGGTAATTAAGTTGAAATGAGTTTATTAGGGTGGGCTCTACTTTAATATGACTTGTGTCCTTTTAAGAAGAGAAGAGATTAAGACACAGACAAGCACAGGGGGAAGATCATGGGGAGAACACAGTCATTTACAAGCCAAGGAGAGACAGGCTTCAGAAGAAACCAAGTACCGACACCATGATCTCGTTCTTCTAGCCCCCAGAATAGTAACAAAATAAATGTCTGTTGTTTAAGCCACCTAGTCTGTGGTACTTTGTTATGGCAGTTCCCAGCAAACTAATACAAGTGGTTTTACCACTTCCCACTCCTTGATCTTTTTGCCCTTGTTTTTGAAGACACAAGTATTGTTTCAAGTTTTTCTTCTTGATTTGCCGGTGAATATAACATGATTCTCAGAATAGCCAACGAGGAAGTCACAAGGGTTTCATTTCTGTATTGAAGTGTTGGCTGAGTCAAGTTAGAAGCTGGGAGACCTTATATATTAAGTTTATCCTTGAACGGGAACAAAGGATAGGATGCTTATTATATTTGTAGATGACAAGAAACCAGAGAGCACAGTCAACACAAATCATCTTGATTGGCTGAATAGGAGTTAAGCTGAAGTAGAGGAAAATTCCAAAGAGAAAAATCTAAGTTCTTGAACTTAGATTCAAAAAAGTCAATTGCATAAGTGCAAGATGGGAAAGAAATAAACAGTGTATGTACTGAAAACAGTGTGAGTCAACTGAATGATGAGAATGCCCCTAAATTCAGTGTGTTTATAATCCATCAATTATAGAGCCATTGTTTCCGGTGTGTCTGGTAATAAAATGAGCTGCTTTAGGAGGTAGTAAGCTTCCCATTGCTGGAGGTGCCCAAGAAATAATTGGGCGACTGCTTCTTAGGGATGTGGCAGAGGATACATAGATAGCTTGAAGACACACCTGTGGTTGAAGTTAAACTCACATTAATTGTTTCCTGAGAAATTGAAGACCTTCTGTCCCCATGTAATTCTGAGTTTTTGGTATTGCGATTTTTAAATATTAGTAATTAGGAAAACTGGGGGAAGGAACTGGAGATAGCTCTGAAAGCCGATACCACTATTAATTTGCTTTTATCTCGAGTTATTGGTATCTTTTTTGAGAGAAGTCATTTATTTAAATGCGGATTTGGAAACACTGGTCCTTGTATTGACAGTGGCCAGCCTGACAACTTCAGTTATTGACTGAATTTGATTTATTCTGAGGTTAGTGTCTTAAATGGTGATACGTTGATCTTGGTTTCCCCTCCGACCTTTGTTGCTTTTAAGATAATCAGAAGCTGATCTATAAAACATGTGTTTGCCTGCATAGACTAGTGAAATCTTACACTGGGAAAAGTCCCCATTTTAATAAGCTTTAAACAAAAAATTCTACCTTACATGCTAATTAGAATCTAAATTCAGGTGTTAACCTCTTTAACTGAAAGTGCATGTTGAGTAATTGCAGGAAAGGGGCCAATTTCAGGCACAGCAGTAATTACTGAATTAGTAGAAAAGTTCAAGTAGGGCTTCAGATTTCAGATCATTACTGAGCTTTCTGAGGAACAGCTAATCCTGGAGTGATTGGGCTTCTCACACCTGTGTGTGCACTTGTTTGTGTGTGTGTGAGCGTGAATAAGTATAAAGGAAGTTCCATTTAAATTTCAAAGAAATAATCTTGCAAACAACCACAGAATTAGATACTAATATTTCTTGTTATTTAAAAATATAATTTTAATGACCTCTGAATTGACCTTTAATGCTTCCCTACTGATTTTAAAAATGAGGGGAAGTCTGGGTGCGGTGGCTCACTCCTGTAATCCCGCCACTTTTTAGGCCAAGGGTGGGTGGGGGGGGAGATCACGAGGTCAGGAGTTCAAGACCAGCCCGGCCAACATAGTGAAACCCCGACTCTACTCAAAATACAAAAAAAAAATTAGGCAGGCCTGGTGGTGGGCCCCTGTAATCCCGGCTACTCAGCAGGCTGAGGCAGGAGAATCACTTGAACCCGGGAGGCGGAGGTTGCAGTGAGCCAAGATCGTGCCATTGCACTTCAGCCCGAGTGACAATGTGAGACTCTGTCTCAAAAAAAAAAAAAAAAGGAAAAAACCCCAGAATCTGTTCTATCTGATAAAATAACTTTGTTCTTAAAATTTAATCCCCGAATGTCCTGGGAATCAGCCTTTAATATGCTAAGAAGCATCTACCTCTTATATATACTCTACACTGAGGGCCTCATTGAATCTGGTTATCGCCAAAGGTTAATTAAGCTCTTAAACCTACTGTATACATTACATGATTTAATAATCATATGAAAGGACATCATGGGACGCAATGAGTAATGACAGGTAATGATGCTCCAGTGATATCCCCATCTTTGGTTGATGGTAGATGAAGCAATGTGAATAAGAGTTATGAACCTCATCACAGTATCAAGCTAAAGAAGTTAGCTGTGCTTTATCAGAATCAGAGAGTAAAGTAAGAAGTAAAGTGACAAAGGAATCAGTAAGCAGGACATTTTACTCAATGAAAAGGAGGAAGTTCCAAGGATGATGGTGAAGGGGGATTGTAAAGGGTGGATGACAGCTGTGCAGCAGGCCACAGGAATTATCCATCCAGATTGTAGCGGGCAGCAGGCTCTAAGAGAATGAAATTAAGATGAACTTGATAGCATCCATGATGTGCTTAAATACACTGGAAAAGATTGAGACAATAGGAGAGTGTGTGAAGATATATTGGTGATAAATATCTATAAAAATACACCAAGCTGAAACAAAAAGGTAAATGAAAAGAGAGAACCATTAACTAAAGAGAAAACAAAAAGTTATGAAAGATGCTATGGAAATAAATGAAAGATATCTTTACCTCCTACTATGGTATGATCAATATATCCAGGTTATATTGTTAAGTTAAATGCTTCCATTTTCCTATATATTAGTTCTTTCTCGCACTGCTATAAAGAACTACTTCAGACTGGGTAATTTATAAAGAAGAGGTTTAATTGGCTCATGATTCTGTAGGCAGTACAGGAAGTATGGCTGGGGAGGCCTCAGGAAACTTACAATAATGGTGGAGGGGGAAGTAGACATGTCTTATGTGGCCAGAGCTGGATGAAGAGAGAGAAGGGGGAGGTGCTACACACTTTTAAACAATCGTATGTCATGAGAACTCACTCATATCATGAGAACAGCAAGGGGGAAATCTGCCCCCATGATCCAATCATCCTCCACCTCTTCCAAAATTGGGGATTACAAGTCAACATAAGATTTGGGCAGAGACACAAATCCAAACCATATCACCCTAATAATATCCGTTTGATTATATTAAAATTAAAACAAGCAAAAACTCATCTGAGAGGGAGGTTAAAAATAAAAATAAAAACAAGAAAAATACAATTCATAAGATAAATTTAAGGCAAGGGAGGCAATAGCCAGAAATTTTAAAATATATATTGCTTTATAGATTTGATTTTGGAACCAAGTTAACATTCTACTTAATTACTAAACAAAATTAATTTTTAAAATACAATCCCTAAAAAGCAAAATAAAATGAAACAAATGAACCTCACTGTGTAGCCAGTGAATGGCATTATCTCACAGAGGAAAACCGTTCCGAATGGCTTTTACAACACAGTTATTTGTCTATGTGTTCTTAGTGGCATATATTCTAAGGAGAATTATTTTCAATAATTATAACTGTTTTCAATAATTATATTAGCAGTAGTAGTATTGGTATTGCTACTCTGAGACTATTGTATAATTATGTTGGTATCAACTGGAATATTCAGTTAAAAAAAGACAAATATGCAAGATCAATGAAGTTGAGAAAAACCTTGAATCTGTATTGACAGTATCAACATAAACTTGTATTTTATCATTATATATCTGTATCACATATATGTTACATATACATATCTTTTATCTGTTCACTGTTCACTAGAAAAAAATGATCAACCCAGTAGCAATAAGCACCACTCATGCTCATACCATGGTATCTAAATATAATTTCCCAGTAAAATGGAAGACCAGAGCTCTTTGGAGAGAAATGTCCTACTCCAGGTCTAAAGTAGGAAATGTACAAGATGACCCTGGAACATCTTGTCATATTAGAAAACAAGGCAGCTATCAGAGATTACTGAGGTTCTGTCAGGACTTAGGAGCCAACTTGAAGAGGCCTCTGCTGGCAGACATAGGAATAATTTGAGTATATACGATAAGGGTAATAGCAATAAATAGAAATATATCTAATATGGTCATGCTATGGTTTCATAAGCGGTATTATTATTATTATAGTAATTATTTAGTAGCTCACCTAGTAATCTGTCTCTCCATTGAAGTTCTATGATACTTACTGCCTGTAACACTCATTTGATAAGGAGTGATATACCACCTTTTTTTCAATAATAGTTTACCTGTTGTATGCCTTTTAAAAATTGGCTTATCTCTTAAAAATTGTATCTATTGCCGGGTGCAGTGGCTCACGCCTGTAATCCCAGCACTTTGGGAGGTCGAGGTGGGCAGATCACCTGAGGTCAGGAGTTTGAGACCAACCTGACCAACACGGTGAAACCCTGTCTTTACTAAAAATACAAAATTAGCTAGGCATGGTGGCGCATGCCTGTAATCCCAGCTACTAGGGAGGGTGAGGCAGGAGAATCGCTTGAACCCAGGAAGCCGAGTGAGCCAAGATCATGCCATTGCACTCCAGCCAGGGCAACAAGAGCAAAACTCCATCTCAATAATAATAATAATAATAATAATAATATCTATCTATGAAAAAAATCAAAATATGGCAAAAGGTGTTTAAAAAAACTATTTCTTCACTCACACATTCCTAATCTCTTATAATTATCCCATCTATCTTTAAAAAGTAACTACTATCATATTTCATATAGAACACTTTTTAAAAATAGTATCCTTATCTAAGTACAGTCATGCACTGCATGACGTTTCAGTCAACGGTGAACTGCACATATGAAAGCAGTCCTTTAAGATTATAATGGAGCTGAAAATTTTCTATTGCCTAGTGACGTCATTGCTGTCCTAATGCCATAGCACGACGCATTATTCACCTGTCTGTGATGATGCTGGTGTGAACAGACCTACTACGCTGCCATTCATATAAGAGTATAGCAATACAATTATGTATAGTACATAACACCTGATAATGATCAAAACAACTGTGTTCTGGTATATGTATTTTCTATACAATAGTTTTAATTGTTAGTGTGCATTTATTTTATTTTTTAAGTTAACTGTAAAACAGCCTCAGGCAAGCCCTTCACAAGGTACTTCAGAAGAAGACATTCTTATCATGGGAGGTGACAGCTGAACGCTTATTACTGCCCTTGAAAACCTTCCAGTGGGACAAGATGTGGAGGAGGAAGACAGTGATATTGATGATCCTGACCCTGTGTAGGCTGGGGTTAATGTGTGTGTTTACGTCTCAGTTTTTAACAAAAAATGTTTAAAAAGTGAAAAAAAAAAAAATAAATAAAAAATGCTTGTAGAATAAGGATATAAAGAAAATATTTTTGTGTAGCTGTACAGTGTGTTTGCAGTTTAAGCTAAGTGTTATTACAAGAGTCCAAGAGTTTAAAAGAATTAAAAAGTTTAAAAAGTAAAAATTTCAGCAAGCTAAGATTAATTTATTATTGAAGACAGATTTTTTTTTTTTTTTTGACATAGTCTTGCTCTGTCACCCAGCCTGGAGTTGCAGTGGCACGAGTGGCATGATTTCAGCTCACTGTAGCCTTGATCTCCTCCCAGGTTCAAGTGATTCTTGAGCCTCAGGCTCCCAAGTAGCTGGGATGACAGGCATGCACCACCACACCTGGCTAATTTTTGCATTTTTAATAGAGACAAGGTTTCACCACATTGGCCAGGCTGGTCTCAAACTCGTGGGCTCAAGTGATCTGCCCACCTTGGCCTCCTAAAGTGCTGGGATTACGGCTTGAGCCACTGCATGTGACCCAGTAAAATATTTTTTATAAATTTAGTATAGCCTAAGTGTACAGTGTTTGGAGAGTCTACCGTAGTGTACAATAATGTCCTTGGCCTTCACATTCACTTACCACTCACTCATTGACTCACCAAGAGCAACTTTGAGTCCTAAGACCTCCATTCCTGCTAAGTGCCCTGTTTAGGTGTACCATTTTAAAACGTTTTATACAGTATTTTTACTGTACCTTTTCTAGGTTTAGATAGGTTTAGATTCACAAGTACTCACCACTGTGTTACAATTGCCTATAGTATTCATTATAGTAACAGGCTACATCCTGTTGTTAAGTGACACATGACTATACACACGTATATTTATAGATCTCTATTTCTTTTAAAAAGGTGCACAAGTGTCGTTTTTGTAGAACAGTTCTTTCCTTGTATGTTCATTGCAGCATTATTCACAATAGCAAAGACATGGAATCAACCTAGGTGCCCATCAACGGTGGATTGAATCAAGAAAATGTGCAGGCCAGACATGTGGCTCACGCCTGTAATCCCAGCACTTTGGGAGGCCGAGGCGGGCGGATCACCTGAGGTCAGGAGTTTGAGACCAGCCTGGTCAACATGGAGAAACCCCATCTCTACTAAAAATACAAAAATTAGCTGGGCGTGGTGGCGGGCACCTGTAATCCCAGCTACTTGCGAGGCTGAAGCAGGAGAATCACTTGAACTCAGGAGGAGGAGGTTGCAGTGAGCCGAGATTGTGCCATTGCACTCCAGCCTTGGCAACAAGAGTGAAACTCCAACTCAAAAAAAAAAAAAAAGAAAATGTGGTGCATATATACACCACAGGATACTACACAGCCATGACAAAGAATGAAATCATCTCCTTTGAAGCCACATGGATGCAGCTGGAGGCCATTTTCCTAAACAAATTAACACAGGAACAGGAAGTCAAATATCGCATGTTCTCCTAAGTGGGAGCTAAGCATTGGATACACATGGACATAAAGATGGGAATAATAGACACTGGGGACTACTAGAGGGGGGAGAAAAACTACCTATTGGGTACTGTGCTCACTACCTGAGTGACAGGTTCATCTATACCCAAAACCTCGGCATCGCACAATAAACCCATGTAACAAACCTGCACATGTACCCTCTGAATCTAAAATAAAAGATGAGGCCAGGTGTGGTGGCTCATGCCTGTAATCCCACTACTCTGGGAGGACGAGGTGGGCAGATCACGAGGTCAGGAGTTCAAGACCAGCCTGACCAACATGATGAAACCCCGTCTCTACTAAAAATACAAAAATTAGCCGGGCATGGTGATGTGCACCTGTAATCCCAGCTACTCAGGAGGCTGAGGCAGGAGAATCACTTGAAGCCGGGAGATGGAGGTTGCAGTGAGCCGAGATCACACTACTGCACTCCAGCCTGGGCGACAGAGTGAGACTCCGTCTCAAAAAAATAAAATAAAATAAAATAAAATAAAATATGAAATTATTTTTTAAAAAATGAAATAGAAATAGATTTTTTTTTTTTTGAGATGGAATTTCACTCTTGTTGCCCAGGCTGGAGTGCAATGGTGTGATCTCAGCTCACTGCAACCTCCACCTCCCAGGTTCAAGCCATTTTCCCCGCCTCAGCCTCCCGAGTGGTTGGGATTACAGGCATCCGCCACAACACCCAGCTAATTTTTTGTATTTTTAGTAGAGATGAGGTTTCACCATGTTGGCCAGGCTGGTCTTGAATTCCTGACCTCAGGTGATGTACCCACCTTGGCCTCCCAAAGTGCTGGGATTACAGGCGTGAGCCACTGCGCCCAGCCAAGAAATAGACTTCATAAGACAAACAAAAATTGCACAAGTAAGCTAATTCTATGGCTACTATCTTACACCTTTTTTAATCTGAAAAATATATCTTGAGGCCTTTCACATACCAATATATCCAGAGCTACATAGTTGTTTTTTTTTTGTTTTTTTGTTTTTTTTTTTTGTTTTTTTAAGATGGAGTCTCACTCTGTTGCCCAGGCTGGAGTGCAGTGGTGCGATCTGGGCTCACTGCAACCTCCCCCTTCGAGGTTCAAGCGATTCTCCTGTCTCAGCCTCCTGAGTAGCTGGGATTACAGGCACATGCTGCCATGCCCAGTTAATTTATTGTATTTTAGTAGAGATGGGGTTTCACCATGTTGCCCAGGCTGGTTTCGAACTCCTGAGCTCAGGCAATCCACCCACCTCAGCCTCCCAAAATGCTAGGATTACAGGCGTGAGTCACCATGCCTGGCCTATGTAATTCTTTTTAATGAGTATAAAGTATCCCATTATACCGGTGTTCCATAATTTACCTAATTCCACATTGATGAAAAGTTAGTTAGATTTATTTCAGTTTTATGTGATCTTGTGTATTTGATATTACTGTTTAACTTTACACAAGTCTATACCTTAGTTGATTGTGAACTCTTCATTAGGGCATGAAGCCTATTGCAAGTTTCGTTATGTCACACACCGAAAGCTCTAGAAAATATGTACTTCAATGATGGTGTCTGCTTTGCCCTCAAATTGAAGTCTCCTTGAAAAATGTTCATACGTCATTTCAATACTGTAAATTTGCAGTTTTACTTTTGAGGTCCGTAAACAGATGCTAATAATTCATTATTATTGCCAGGGTAAACAAAAAGCTCTTTACAAAACTATAGACCACTTAGCACTTTATAGATCAAAGATAACACTTGACATTGTGTTCAGAGGTGAAGAAATAGTCACCACAACAAAAGAGGGCATAATCTAGTTTGAGCTCTAAAGACTGTGTCCTGGAGATTTGGGTTGATTTTGTCTTTATGGTTCTTGCTTTATCTTAGGACCATTAGATTTTGTTTGAAGGTGGAGGATGAACAGCACACCACGTACCAACAAGCAAGACAACTGCAGACTCCCACATATTTTCCTCCTATATGTCTTCGGTGATTCGGATTCCTTACTCAAGTAGAAGATGACTTAAGCCTATCTCCATAACAATTAGCTACAGAATCATTTGCTCCAAGTTCAGGAAGCTCCTTTACCTGCTGCAGAGCAGCTTCTATTGTAATAGAAGCAAAGCCTGGTAGCAGACTGAAAAGACTTGAAAGCCATTCTATGTACATGGTAAAAGTATGAAATGCACCCCAAACAAAGCCTTGAATGTGTCTGAAGATCTCAGAGTGTGATTGTTTGCATCAGATTTTCTATCAGTGCATTTGTGAGGAAGATAAGAATCTATAATAGGTATGGCACCCTAATGCCAATACAGCATTATTCCTTATATAGGTAAAATAATATTCTCATCATGAATTTAAAATGCTGAGGGGCATAAGCTACTTGTGTTTAAAGTAAGCAAACAAATGATAACACTGTCTAATAAAATCACTATTAAATGAGAGATGCAAGCATGCATGCATGAATGGATCCAGCAGAAAAAAAGAAAAAAAATCACTAATTCACTGGCAGTCTGTTGGTTTGTATTTCACTAATGTACAGGGTTTGTGGTTTATAACGTCATCAGAGTTGTACAACAGCATTATATCCCTGGGAGCTGTGCAGGTATCTCTCTCTTTCTCTTTCTGTTCTTTGCATACAATGGGGGATCTAAGCCTGGATTCATGCCCTACCCAGGACATTTCCTTTTTGTGGCATGTGAGCAGAGCCGTTACCAACGCTAAGATTTACTGCTTTGGGGATCGGTTCAGAACAAATGTTCCAAACAGCCGTCTGCCTCTGGCAAGGTAATTTTGGACAAATTCAACAAGACTTCAAAGGAAGCCACCTACTACAATGCCTAAGGAGGATAAAGACCTGATTTAAATGAATGTATTGCAATTAGTGGGTATTTACTTTATATGTTGCCAAGTTCTGATAGCTTTCTCTAACCCTCAGGGAAATAATATGTATGTCTACTTCTGGGGAGCTGAAGAAATGGGATATGGGCTTCCCGGAGAGACAGCTGTTGTGAACATACACAGATCTAAAAGAGAGAAAAGATAAAAAGTTCATGAAAGCTGGAAACAAAGAATAAATGCAATGTTTGCTTTGAGGTGAAAAAAAAAAAAGGTGAGTGTAAGTGTTGTTCTTTCAGTGTCCTCCTCCCTAGAAAAGAGACCCTCTGTTGTAAAAATCTGTTTTTTTTGAAAACAGTTTGTATTAACTAAAGAAAAGTAAAGAAAGTAAAGAGGAGGCAACATTTAATATTGATAAATGCAGGAAAGCCAGTTATCAATTAAAGGAGTCTTGGACCACCGAGCTGATTTAGGTACATCCTGAAATGCCGCGCTGTTAATCCAATCATTCAGCATGAAGCATTCCAGCAGTAGAGGAAATTAAGGATTAAACTGTGGTGGGAAGAATGAGAAAGCAAGATGCTAGATGTATAGTCTGAGTGGACTTTAATCAAATCAAGCCAGAAACAGACCAAAATGGAAATCTAATAGTACAGTGTTTTCATATTCATGTTCACAGTTTCATTCCAGACCTTACATTTACAAGTGAGGTTTAGTGTGAGAATTGTTACAGGAAAAGACCAGAATGTTCTCTTAGTATTTCTCAAAGAATGAATGAGCAAACCAGCCCAAATTTAGTCAAGAAACAGCATAGAGACTTCTATTTGATGCAAAAGAGAGGGCAGAAGAAGCTACATGCCAAACAGCTCCCTAATCTGATTTATCTTTGCCCTGAAAAGATCCCAAAGAGAGGGAAAGCAAATTACAATCTACTCTGTGTTCTTGTTTATTTCAGACAAAACACAATTGAGCAAATAAACTCTCAACGAAAAATCTACTCCAACACAGAGATTTAAAGACAGGACTAAAATGAGTAGGAGTCTGTTAATCAATAAGATTGCTTTAGTCAGATTTTAAAACTTGATTTATCGAGATAATCACCAACATTCTCTTCTGTTGGAGACGTGACCACATGCCTTCATCATATAGGTAACTAACATCTTCCTGAATTTTGGACTCAAAAACATATTTCGATGGTTAGAACTTATCAAGGGATTAAAACACTTTCTAAAAGTAGACTCCATGGAAAACTGCTCAAATATCCTTCTAGGAGTTGCCATCAGTAACATATTTTCCAGCCTTCATCATTAAATATTCTGTAAACCAGCTAAATGTTTTATGGCTGTATATTTTTTCCTTGATGTTGCAGCATTCCTAGCCTAGAAAATTTACCATTGCCCTATTATTTCTGAGATTTCTGAGACTGTTGCTATCTGATTACTCTTGTTTTACAGGAAGTAGAAAAAGAGAATGAAACTCTGTAGGGACGGGGAGTGTGGCTTCTTCCAGCATGGGACTATTTGTTTTAATTAATCTTAAACCATTTTGACATGTGCTAATGGTTGAATGTAGGTATCTGGTAGGTGTGTGGCCTGTCGTGCCTCTCCCCTGCTGTTTACTTTAGCGACTTGTCTGTCTGAAAGTTATGATACCACAAAGCCTCCTTAGGGTCTTAGAGCATGATGTAGCATGCAGACTTCAAAAAACAGCCCCGAGGGATACCCCTTTAAGCTGTTGCAGGTAGAACCACTGAGGTGAGGGCAGGAAAGCTTCAAGCGAACAATGAGGAGGGAAGCTGGTGACTTCATCCTGGCTTCACCTGGGTGCCCTGAAACAATTAGGCAACTTCTATCCAAAAAAACTGCTCTCCTTTGGAAAGATAAAGGGAAATCTGTTGTTAAGTGACTATTGTCACGTTCTGAATTGCCATGTGATGCTAATTTTTCATTTCCTGGGCCTGCCATTCCATCCAAATCACATTTTGCTCAGCACGCTTCTTAACAAAACAGATCCAGTTGATTGGTGACTTTTAAGTGAGGAAGCTTTCTGATTTTTAAAAACACATTAGCAAAGGAATTTATTCTGAGATAAGGAAGAATGAAGTGGCAGTGTAAAACATAATGACCGAGGGAAAGCAGCCTTTAAACTACACACACACACACACACACACACACACACACACACAGCAAATATGAGATTTGAAATAATCAATTTCTTTAACCTGGTGATCACAATTTAGCAAATATATTTTTGGTTTATCATTTCTGAAACAATTCCTTCTAACAAAATTTAAATTGTTTATTTTCCCTTGACAATCTTTTTGTCTTTTGTTATATAAGTAATATACAAATAGAGTATTATTGTAAAAGATTTAACAATACTTCCATCACCATCCTACCCCCCCCAGCCCTATGTACACAGACACAATCATGCACACTCTCTCCCATTTTCAGAGATAACTGGCTAGTGTCAGAAGTTTGCTCTGTATTTTTTGAATCTCCTTGTGTCACATTTACATACAAATATACCTACTTTGGAGGCTTTAAATATGAACACAACAAGAAACATAATATGCCTGCTTTTTTGCAATTTTTCTTTTTTTTGCTTAATATGTCTTGGACATTTTTCAGTCAGCAGATATTTGATTCTCTGTATTTTTAAAATGGCTGCATGGTATTCCTTAGGTGGAATTAGCATCTTTCACTTACTCATTCTTCTATTGATGGGCTTTAAGGTTGTATCTTTTATTTCTATTAAATTTTGAAATCCCCTGCCCCGTGTTAGGCTGTTCTTGAGTTGCTATAAAGGAATACCAGAGTCTGGGTAATTTATAAAGAAAAGAGGCTTAATAGGCTCATGGTTCTGCAGGCTATACAGGAAGCATGGTGCTGGCATCTGCTTGGCTTCTGGGGAGGCCTTAGGGAGCATTTACTCATGGCAGAAGGCGAAGTAGGAGCAGGCAAGTCACATGGTGAGAGTGGTAGCAAGAGAGAGACAGAGGGAGGGTAGGTGCCACATACTTTTAAAACAACCAGACTTCTTGTCAACTCACTTATCACCAAGGGCATAGTGCTAAGCCATTCATGACGTATCCGCCCCCAAGACCGAAACATTTCCCATCAAACCCCACCTCCA
Organism: Homo sapiens; assembly: GCF_000001405.40. NCBI lineage: Eukaryota > Metazoa > Chordata > Mammalia > Primates > Hominidae > Homo > Homo sapiens. The sequence continues at coordinate 181,944,826 of NC_000003.12, forward strand.
ATGCTGGGGATTATGTTTCTTTTTTTTTTCTTTTTTGAGACGGGGTCTCGTTCTGTCGCCCAGGCTGGAGTGCAGTGGCGCTATCTGGACTCACTGAAAGCTCCGCTTCCTGGGTTCACGCCATTCTCCTGCCTCAGCCTCCCGAGTAGCTGGGACTACAGGCACCCGCCACCATGCCCAGCTAATTTCTTGTATTTTTAGTAGAGACGGGGTTTCACCATGTTAGCCAGGAAGGTCTCGATCTCCTGACCTCGTGATCCACCCGCCTTGGCCTCCCAAAGTGGAATTATGTTTCAACATGAGATTTGGAGGGGACAAATATCCAAACCATATCACTCCCACACAGATGAGAATCTATTTTTAGCAGAAATTTCCAACAAGTAGAATTATTGGATCGAAGATGTCAACTTTGCTGTCCTTTTCCAAAAAAACCTCATTTTTTCATTGATAAATTAATTACTAGCATATTTTGCATACCCACTATGTGCATGGGGCTTTAGGCAAGACATAAACATATATATCTTAGTAGGGAACATGATAGATTCCCATTTGGGGCCTATGCCTTTTCAGACAAAAATTACTTTTAAACAAATCTTGCTTTCTTTGATCATAAGACTATCCTCTAAATTAATAAAAGACAGTGGGTCTTTGTTGTAAAGCTGACTGAAGCTACTTTATTATAATACAAAAATTTTCAGTTTAGAACCTTGTGCTACATTGCCACTGAACGTTTGAGATTGGCTTTTGATTATGTGATTCAAAAGGACCAATGACTGCTTTGGGAGGCCAAGGCAGGAGGATCACCTGAGGTCAGAAGTTCAAGACTGGCCTGGCCAACATGATGAAACCCTGTCTCTACTAAAAATACAAAAATTAGCCGGATGTGGTGATGCATGCCTGTAATCCCAGCTACTTGGGAGGCTGAGGCAGGAGAATCGCTTGAACCCAGGAGGTGGAGGTTGGAGTGAGCTGAGATCGTGCCACTGCACTCCAGCCTGGGTGACAGAGTGAGACTTGTTCAAATAAAAGACAGGATAACTGTTTTTGCCGGAGATTCCCAGCCACTGACTATCTAACTATCCCTGATATGCCTAGGCAACCCAACCCCTGGAATGCGTGTTAACCCACATCAGGTTTAGAGGGCTGGACTCTTTTTTTTTTTTTTTGAGACAGAGTCTTGCTCTGTCACCCAGACTGGAGTGCAGTGGCACAGTCTCGGCTCACCGCCAGCTGCGCCTCCTGGGTTCACGCCATTCTCCTGGCTCAGCCTCCTGAGTAGCTGGGACTACAGGCGCCCGCCACCACAGCTCGGCTAATGTTTTGTATTTTTAGTAGAGACTGGGTTTCACCGTGTTAGCCAGCATGGTCTCAATCTCTTGACCTCGTGATCTGCCCGCCTCGGCCTCCCAAAGTGCTGGGATTACAGGCGTGAGCCACCGCGCCCAGCCTAGGGCTCTACTCTTGACAGTGCAGCTGCAATGCACAGCATATGGGGCTAGCAGGCTTGAGTCTGATGGTCTCTCTGCAGGACAGCATAATATGATGGGACACCAACTCTGGGCAGAGACACTTACCTGTAGCTAGTGAAGAGTAGAGCAGAGACTTGAATTCAGGTAGCTTTACACCAGAGAATGAACATTTAACCATAGGTTATCTGGCAACTATCAGTGCAAAATTGAATTTCTACAGAAAGAGTTCAGAGGACAGAGTATTTGCTGTGGGCTAGGATTGCCCTATAGGGCTTTCAGGAAGAAGCTGGGATTTGAATAGTTTCGGTTTAGGTTATGAGGAGGAAGAAGAGGAGGAACATGAAAAGCAACTCAGGACCAGGCTTGGTGGCTCACACCCTGTAATCCTAGCACTTTGGGAGCCCAAGGCGGGTGGATCACTTGAGATCAGGAATTCGAGAACAACCTGGCCAACATGGTGAAACCCTGTAAAAATACAAAAATTAGCCAGGCATGGTTGCACGCACCTGTAATCCCAGCTACTCAGGAGGCTGAGGCAGGAAAATCACTTGAGGCTGGGAGGCAGAGGTTGCAGTGAGCCGAGATGGTGCCACTGCACCCCAGCCTGGGCAACAGAGTGAGACTCCATCTCAAAAAAAAAAAAAAGAAAAAGAAAAAAGAAAAAGAAAAGCAACTTAGAAAGGGAAAAATATGGATATGGAAAAGGGAAAGCAAAAAGTAAGATAGCAGCCAAAACAATAGCAATAAATTAACATTACTGATTGCTTTATTAATATTATGGGCTAGCACCCTGCTAAGTGCTCTACAGGAAACATTTTATTTAATCCTTAATAAATTGGGATGAGATAATGCTATTCTTTTTGTATAGATGAGGAAATGGGACTTAAATATATATTAAGTAAGCTGCCCAAAGCCATGGAGCCAATAAATATGTGTAGCCCAGTGATTGGAGGGGATGAAGGGCAAGGCACTCATGGATGTTAAGGGGCATCGTGGGAAGGGTAGAGAGGAACACTGGGACAGGTCATGGAGCGTCTTTGATATGGAGGCTGACCATGCCAGTAGGCAGTGGGGAATCCTTGAAACATTTTTGAGCACTGGAGTGACATATGAAAGGGCATCTATGAGAAAATCATTTTATTTTTATCCTTAAACTCTCCCCACTCTCTGATGAGAGGTGGAAACCCTGTGTCACTCCAGATTTATAGATGCATTCAGTGATGGCAGGTGGTGATTACAAAGGAAGATCTGAAGATAAAGCTGGAGCAGGATGACCTTCTCCTTTCATCCCTGCCTTGAGGGCCCCAGCTGGGACCTAAAATAGTCTAATATATATTGACACCTGGTTAGGTCCAACAGTGCTCCAGGGAAAAGAGCATAAGCTCTGAGACAAGAAGGACCTGGATTCAAATCCTGGCTCTGCCACTTTCTAGCTTTGTGCACATTCCTGAGTGTCTAGTTACTAGTCTGTGAATCCTAGTGGGAAGGGACTGTGCCCTGTTCACACTGTGAACAATGCCTGACTTAAAGGCTTCACAATCATTCTTTTTTGAGTAAGAAGAGAATGGAGCTTTCTGAGGCTTTATCTCTTCATCTGTAAACGAGGATTATCACAACTACTTCATAAAGTCTTGTCTCTCATAAACCTAGGAATTGCAAACAATCCAGGCCCTTTCTGGACAGGGAGGCCTATGTCTCTGCTGCCATGTTATCCTGATTTCCCATGTTTTGCCATCAGGGTGGGGGTGGGAAGAGATGATGATTCCTTGTTATTTTGGAAAGTAATTTTTTCTTGATTATTAAAGTAATACATGTTTATTTTATATAGAATTTGGAAAAAATTCAAAGAAATTTGAAAAAATAGAAAACAGAAAGTAAAAACATGTTCCTGTAAGATAATATGTATTAGTGTTCATGTTTTAGACAATTTTTTTAGTCTTTATTCTTTTCCTCTACATATACATTTTATGTAATAAAATTGTGATCATATTGAATACAACTTTCTAACCTGTGTTTTTCTCCAGTACCATTTTATCATGAGACTTTCCCTAGATCTTAAACCGTATTTCAAAATAGGATTTTTAATGTCTGTATAAAATTTCATTATGTGAACTTCCTTTACTTTATTAAAACTTTCTCTTACTTTCCAACAAGTGCTTGGTTTTCAGTTTTTCAGTATTGGAAAGGACATGGCAAGGCACCACCTCACTAGTGGGCGCTCAAAGGTTGCTTCCAGGCTGACTGATTCAGAATTACCTGGGTAGCTTTTAAACCAGATTTCTCTCTTCCACCCTAGATTCCTGAAGAGGGAGGTGGCTATTAAGAAAAAAAATAAAAGGACCCTCCAGGTGATCCTGTTGTAAATTAGGAACCACTAATCTTGAGTTCTCAGAGGACTGTTTTTTCGTTTTTTTGTTTTTTTGTTTTTTTTTCATAGCTGAAATCCTCTTGCCCCACACAGTGCCTGACACAGTGGGTGTTCTGTAAATACTTACTGAGTGAATTAACAAATCTTATATTCTGCATTTTAATTCTGGTTCTTGTTTCCTTAGCGGAGTCTTGAAGGTAAATTGTTGGGTTAAAATTTTCATTTTAAAAAACATTGATGGTACTTTTTAAATAAGTACTTTCTCTAAAAATCAATATATATTTCTTTTTCTTTAGAAATACATATTTTTCTTTTTTCTTTTCTTTTTGAGACAGAGTCTCGCTCTGTCGCCCAGGCTGGAGTGCAGTGGCGCGATATCGGCTCACTGCAAGCTTCCGCCTCTGGGGTTCACGCCATTCTCCTGCCTCAGCCTCCTGCGTAGCTAGGACTACAGGCGCCCGCCACCACGCCCGGCTAATTTTTTTTTTGTATTTTTAGTAGAGACGGGGTTTCACCATGTTAGCCAGGATGGTCTCAATCTCCTGACCTTGTGATCCGCCTGCCTCGGCCTCCCAAAGTGTTGGGATTACAGGCGTGAGCCACCGTGCCTGGCCCAGAAATACATATTTTTCTTATAAGAACAATATAGATTCATAATATAAAAATTTCAAAATGTAGATATGTAAAAAGAAAAAATCATATAATATGCACACACATATATGTATATGTATATTTCCATTCAGTTCTTTTCCTGTATATATATATGTGAATATATGTGAAAAATATATATTAGCCACATATCATGCAGTAAACAAAATGTTGTATAATCTGCTTTTTCTTTGTGGGTCTCACAATCATTATTTTAAATCCTGGTTTGGCAGTTTTTGCAATTATATTTCTAGCCTGTTAATAAATAATACCTAGTCTATTAAATCTGTGTGTAATAGGGATCTATTTTCATGGCTGAATTTAAACATTTCCAAAATCATTACTAAACACAGTTTAAAAATATTTAGTGAAACATTTTGTTTGGTGTGGTGTAGACTGCAAGTTTTCATACTTTTTGCATTTATAGGAACTGGTAAATATCTTTTGGGGAACGGCATGGAAGTGACATATTAGTAAAGCCATTTAAATAACCTAATTACCATCTACTACTATATCAGAGAAGAAATGATATTTTAATGTAGAAAATGTAAATGCATTTACTTTTCTAAAAATTAAAACTCAGTTTGAGATGTGCAGACCCTATGTCACTTTAGAAATGTAAAATGTCACATAGCAATTGTAGAGGATGTATTCTGGGTAAGAAGGATAAAGCTGAGAATAAGTTTGCTAATTTTGCCCCAGACTGATGAAAACATCGTCATTAACCAGCTCCAGTCCTTCAGTATCCACTAGATAAATGCATGTCTTGCTTCTTAGCCATTGTATTTTCCTTCACTTATTTGTGGGCTCCTAGAAGGGAGAAGTCATGTTTAATTCATCTTTGAAGTCCTAGTGCTTAAGACTGTGCAGTTAGAGTAAATGGAATGATTGTGAGAAAGCACACTCCATTTCTGAACTACTTTCTTTTCACTTTGTCACTCAACTTTCTCTAAGTTGCTCTTTAAATTGGTATTCATTATTTGAGCAAAAGATTTAGGTCACAGAGTTGGGGAACAGACCATTTTTATGCAGTTACAAACTTGATTTTCAAGATCTGGCAAGATTGAAGAAAGATGTTTAATATACATTATCTTTACATCTAGCAACTCAAACCATAGAGGAGCATGAACACAGGATTACTGTTGTACAGGTCATGTTAGAACTGCTTTGCAAATTTGGTCCCTACTTTAATGTCCCATTGCTATTTTGTGTTTCCTCTACCAGAGGCTCCATTCTCTTATCTGTCAAGCTCCTCCTCCTCCTTTAAAAGCCCAGGTCAAATGCTCCTTCCTCTACGGAGACTTTTCCCCCCTTTTCCTTCAATGTCTCTAAACTGGGCAGAAGCAGTCATTTCCATCTTCATGCTCCCATTATGATCTGTTCATGCCTAAATTTTATCACGCCATTGTGCTTTTCTGTTAAATATATAAGGGTCTATCTTTGGTGCATGTTGAAGTTCCCTGAGGGATGGGGAGGGTTATTATCTTTGTCCTCAGTATTTAGTACAATATATGATCTAGGGTAAGGAACTCATACACTAATATTTTTAGGGCCTTTTAATTTAGGATCATCAGCTATACATATATATATTTAAATCCTTTTTGTTCTCAGTGGCTGCTAAGCTAAATCCATGATGATATGCAACAAATCCAGGATGTCCTTTTGAATGGGTTCTTTTGGCTGGGTGGCTTCTCAGGCATCTTCAGCCATTGTTAAATGGCTTCTCATGGAAGCCATGAGAAGGCGTTGTGGGTGGGGTGGGATGGGGCTCTTGAGGCAGATGCAGTACCCAAACTCTCTCTCTCCACATACTGTTGTAAGGAGGGTGGCTTGGTTCTCAACCCATTGGTCTTCCAAACCCAAATATGTTTAATCACCTACAAGTACCACTCATTAGACTACCCCTAAAAACAATAATTAGGTACCACATTTCAATGTGAAGTGATCCATGTTACCATTGTTTCTTCTGCATAGTGACTCTCCCACTGCTGGTATTGTGACAGCTAAATAAAAAGGCCAGTAATATGTGGGTTTCTGTTTTTTGTTTTTTTACCTTGAGGAAACAAAGACTCTCCTGACGTAATGAGATACTAGGAATCTGAAAAGAGCCAAACAGAACAATAGATTCTTTTTTGTATATTATTATTATGAAGCCACTAAGAAGGAATTATTCAGCAATAACATATGGGAGACTGGTTATTGTTACAACTTTCAGCTCATCACTAGGGGAAACAACAAGTTGTTCAAAGCAACCTGTGAGGGGTGGATTACCAGAAATGCACATAAATTGTTAGAATTGACACTGTCTCTTGGCTGGGCACAGTGGCTCACACCTGTAATCTCAGCACTTTGGGAGTCCATGGCAGATGGATCATTTCTCTTGAGATCAGGAGTTTGAGACCAGCTTGGCCAATATGGCAAAACCTCATTTCTACTAAAAATACAAAAATTAGCCGTGTGTAGTGGTGCGTGCCTGCAATCCCAGCTACTTGGGAGGCTGAGGCAGAAGAATCACTTGAACCCACTAGGCAGAGGTTGCAGTGAGCCGAGATCATGCCACTGCACCCCAGCCTGGGCGACAGAGTGAGACTCTTGCCAAAAAAAAAAAAAAAAAAAAAAAAACCAACATTTTCTCTCAAAGGCAGAAATTAACAAGCAACAAAATGCTAATAAGAATCTCTCAATGCACCTTTCAAACAAAACTCTCTAGTGTTAGCCCAAAGTTTTAAAAAAGGGCAAACTTTTTTTATTAAAAAAGCGTTTGGCCGTGTTGCCTTGTACATGACTTTTGGAGCCCTCACTAAAAAGCTGTTTACCCTAATTTCCCAGTAATGTCTTCATTTCTTGGTCAGGAGATTTAGATTATCTCATTACCAAGATCCTGATTCATTGGCTTGAGGAGTTAGGTTCCCCCCACAAAAGGTCCTCTCTGTCCTCTGGGAAGTAAAAAAGCCACATATAACTCCATATAACTGCCATAGAATGCCCAGACAACTAAACTGACATCTTACCATGTGATTGGTCTGGTGCCCAGGAGCACCATGGGAGAGAATTTGAACGCTCTTGGCAGTTGAGATTCAGACCTTGACAGTTGTAACCGATAGACTGGGCTGGGGCAACGCTGATGAAAGGCAAATTCCTGAGAGAAAAATCACCCAGAGTAAGGAGTTTGGCACTGTAGACTAGATTCAGCTGCAGGAATTGTGCACTAGAAAAATGCAGTGTTTCTTTTTTTTTTTTTTTTGAGACGGAGTCTTGTTCTGTCGCCAGGCTGGAGTGCAGTGGCACCATCTTGGCTCACTGCAACCTCTCTCTCCCGGGTTCACAAGATTCTCCTGCCTCAGCCTCCTGAGTAGCTGGGATTACAGGCACCCACCACGATGCCCGGCTAATTTTTAGTAGAGACAGGGTTTCACCATGTTGACCAGGCTGGCCTCGAACTCCTGACCTCATGTGATCTGCCCGCCTGGGCCTCCCAAAGTGCTGGGATTACAGGTGTGAGCCACTGCGCCCGGCCAAGATGTGGTGTTTCTAATGGCAGGCACTTGAACCCAATTGAACCCTGAGAGCTCTCTGAGAGGGCTGTGTGTCTTGGGAATGAGAGAGTTATGAGGTAAAACAGAAAAAAACATCATATGGGGCCCCAGCCATTTGAGAATTGGGCCCTGGAAGAAAAAATGTGTTTCCCTGTTGGGTATTGGGTGGAGAGTGGTGTTAGGATTGGAGATTAGGAGGCAGAAGATAGGGAAATACAGGCAGGGGTAAGAACAGATAGCACAGGGCCCTGCTGGAGGGCAGGAGCGGGGCAGCGCTCCCCGACGGAGCTCTGAGGTCCTAGTGAGCCTCACATTATTAGGCTCTGAGTGCTGGGGGGATTTTTCAGAAACAAAAGAAAAGCTTCTAAATTTTAAAGAGTGACTAATCCATGTGAAAGGATGGGACATAATGACCAACAATACAGGGCAGTGGCATTTTTAAATAGTGCCAACAATAAGAGCACTTGTAATTCAGAGGGAGAAGGGGTTTCTGGGAAGATGGTTAGAAGGGGCTTAAAGGAGGCTTAATTGAAGAGCCTTAAAAGAAAGACCAAATTTAGGTAGCTGGAGGGAGGAACACTGGGGGCAAGAAAAATTCATAAGAGCTAAGGTGTGCCTTGATTCTGTCAGCTCCATTGGATAACTCTGGTATGCCACCTATTATGACCATTGTGTTTAAGTTTTTCAGTGCCTTCTCTAGCTTTCTAGAAGTTGTTATGAGTGGACCTGACTACCTAGAGAGAGTAATACAGAAGCTCCGTGCCGATCACAGCTACCTCATTACCATGTTCCTCCAAGATGGCCGCCCCTGAGGAGAATCATCAACTGGGCTTTACGGAAGAGAGAAATCCAAACGACCATCAGCAACAAATGAAAGACTGAAGTTGAAAGGCAAGTCTTCAGATTTGAAGTAAGAGCTGTATCCAGTGTGAGGTTATATTCTGGAAGGGAATGAAATTTCTGAGGTGGCAAGATATCAGTTAGTAAACTAATTTTGTCACTGTGGCTATTTGTATAACTCACATGTGTGTACATTTCACTGCCTGAGATGAATACCTGTATCTTGGTTCCCAATTGGTTCTATCTTAGTATACAGAGTTACTGTAAAATGAAAGACGCAAAAGAACGACAAGGTTAAGAGAATTTTCAGATAGATGATCAGATGCAGAACCAGGGATTCAGAGAAGAATGAAGTCTTTCTCCTCCCATGTCCTCCTCCCACTGGGATATCATTAAGAAGCAGTTGGAGAAATATGTCTCAATAACCTTGAACTCATCCCTGCCCTGATCCTTCTGGAAACTGAGAATCAGTATGACATGTATTGATGAATTAATATTCTAGGCAGGCTAATTCTATTATTCTGCCCAACTCGGGAGAGAGAGAAGAGTTTACTATGCAATGAAAATAATTTTCTCCCAATGTCATCTTCGCCCTTTGGACAAGTGTAGTGAGCACCAATTGAAGGGGTTGAGAAGTAAGTGGTCAGGTAAATGGCTTGACAGATACTCTGTTCCCAGTCACACTGCCTTTCACTGTTAAGTCTATTTCTCCCTAAATTATCCATGCTGGCTCTCAGTGCAACATGACTCACTGATTCTTCACCAACCCTTCAGTTCCCTTGAAGTAGCAGGTGGTTAAAAGTTTGCTGCCGATTATAAACCTCTGACCTTCAACAGCACCCTCTTCTTGACTGCTTCTGAATCTGGTGTTTTAGCAACTAAATATCAGAGATGTTGTTAAGTGAGTATTTTGGGGTTTTGGCTTCATGTTTGGTCCAAGACATTATGAAAGGATAAGGGATTCTATGGTTATTATTTTAACTATATTCTATGGCTATTATTTTTGCAATAAAAATACAACTACCACTGTCCCAACTTTACCACTCCCCACTAAAGATCAGCACCAAAAGGGCTTCTGGGGTTTCCAGGCAACAGGTTTATCAAAGATACCATCAATTTTAAACTTTAATTAATGTCTTCCTCTTTATTATTATTATTGTATATATATTTTTTTACAAAGTCCATAAGAATTTCATGGCTGCAGTCTCCTAGAGGAGTTCTTATGATTCATCCAGCCTGAAAGAGTGCCTCCTTATGAGGTCAAGGCTTTCAGAGCTGTATGCAGCCTGTCACCTGGACCTCCTGGCCCTGCCCCATTTCAGGTGGGTCACTGCATGAACTGCAGGTATTGAGAGGATCTTTGCTTTTCTACTTTAGCTGCTCCATGGACATAATCCCCCATCCCCGCTTTACATTTTCATTCTTTTACATCCATTGCCTGAATGTCAGATGCAGAACCAGGGATCAGAGAGGAATGAAGTCCTTCTCCCCCAATATCTTCCTCCTACTGGGATATCATTAAGAGCCAATGAAGGAAATACATCTCAATAACCTTGAACTCTCTGAAAATCATGGGGTTAAGGGAATTTAACAGGGGTGACTACTGGTTTCTCTGGAACTCTTCCCGCTTCGAGCTTCTAGAATGTGGGCTGAATAAAACATGTGGCTTTGCCTGCAATTGCAGGGAGTCCAGAGCCACAAGCTTCAAGCTCTGGAAAGAGCCATTGGCCTGGGATATTGGTTGTTGTTAAAATGTTAAGTGAAACAGGCAGTTTAACATGCAGCAATGAGTTTCACTTACATAAAGAGGAATATGTATAGATAAAAGATCTGAATTCAGTAAATTAAAGTATTCACAGCTGCATTGTAAGATTATAGTTGATAGTTTTCTTTGTTTTCCTGCACTTCCCAGCCCACAAAGAGCATGTGTTATTTTTATCAATAGAGTTTTAGCCTTTAAGAAGAAATAACGTAAGGGTAGGAATTGTGCTTCTTTCATTTCACTGTTGTGGTTAATGACTTCTATGGTGGACACCTGGCCCAGCACCTGGGTAATCTAGCATTTATTTCAGTGCTTCTTGGGACAGTTGAAACAGTGGTGACTAAGTGCCAGGAATGATACTAGGCGCTTTACATAGGTTATTTTTAAGTCATACTATCAAGGTAGGTACTATCCCCACCTTAATCTTGTAGACAAAGAACTTGAGGCATACAGATTAAGTAACTTATCCTAAATTACCCAGCTAGTAAGAGTCCAGGCTAAGTTTTGAGCCCATGTCTATCTGGTTCAAAATGGTTTCAAAATGGGCTTTCACTATTTCCAGCATGACTACCTGATTCCTAGTCTTAGAGCTTTATCTCTTGTCTCTGCATGTAAAACTCGGGTCTGTTTTTACCCGTGTCACTGGGTTGATTCACCCCTAAAAAAGCATTCCTCTTGCTGGGATAGTTTGGTGTTGTCATGAAGAGGCCCCCTCCCAAATTGAAAGCTGTGTGGCAGCCGGCCTTCAGCCTGAACTCAGACTTGCTTTCATTTACTCATTCACTTCCCTTTTGTTGTGAATGTTCCCACTCACAGGCCATGGGTACACCCAGACAGAGTGAGGGTGTGGTCACCAGGAGATCACTGGTGTCCCGCAGTAGGAGTGAAGCGGCGGGGACACAGCACCCTCAGGCTTCTGCTGGTAGTGGCTCAGGCAACCCTCACCTGACCCTTCTGCCCTCAGGCTGTGGGAAGGCTGGAGCCTGACCTAGATTTTAGGGAAAAAAGAATTGAGGGCTTTCTGAGGTGAGGGTGGAGGTGAGGCAGGGCAGATAAGGCGTCTTCTCTTTAAGAGGGAAGTAAAGACTCAAATAATGAAAGGAATCAATTTAGAGTAAGTTCTTCATGTTTTAGCTTGGCTGGAGGCATTCTGGTTAATCAACTATTCTTAACAAGGGTGGTGGTGTGTGCTATACGTGGCTGAACGCTTTTCCAGGGATTATAAACACAATTAAGTATGGGTAAAATCCAAACTTCACTAAATTTAATTAAATTTTTCTTTGATGATTCGTAAGACCTTCAGGATCCTGTAGTGCCTCAGGGTCACCATTAGGTTTATCATCATCCTTGATGAGGTGGGGCAGCTGAATAAAAGCAACAGATTTAAAATTACAGATCGCACTCCCACCCTGCCTACTTGGGTGGTATTGGACAGGTGACTTTGACCTCTGGAGCCTCAGAGTCTCTTCCAAAATAAGGGTGGCAGCATTACCTCATAGGGTTGTCATAGCAGAAAACTATGTGCATGAAGAATATTGTCCTTATCATCATTACTATTAAGCTACAAGGACATCAAACTGCCAGCTGATACAATGTCTTTTTTTTTTATTTTAAGCATGTTTCAAAGCCATTTACTTTGGTCTCCTTTTAAGGAAAATGACTTCCCCAGCAGCAGGAATTGCTGAGAAAGTGATATTTAGTCAAGTGCTAAGAAGAGTGCTATAAAACATTGTTTAACCTGCAGAAGCAGTATAAGTCTGTTGTTAAAAAAAAAAAAAAACACTAAAGAAAAACATGCTTTCTAAAAAGTTCACTTCTACTCTAATTGTTTCAATCTTCTCCAGAGGTAAGCCTTTCATAATTCAGTGTGTACATGAGATTTAAATTATACTGTTCATTATTGTTCTGTGACTTTGCTTTTTTTTTTTTTCAATTGACAACTTAGCTTGGGGATCTTTTTATTCTTTCTGAGAGCTGCATCTGCATAGTCTTTCATAAGATGGATGAATTTCATCTTGCTTATCTATTGCTCTGTTGATGGACAAACTGCCAGCTGATACTAATGATAGACATTAGGCTATTTCTAGTTTTTCTATGGCAAACAATGCTGTAATGAACACAGAATGGCATTCATGCACTAACTCCATTGTAGCCACTCATTAATTGTTTATTAACCTCAGGCTGCCTTAACCCATACTTCCTAAAACATGTTCTTCTTGATCTGTAGGTCGCTCCAAAGAGACAGTATCAAACATGAACACAACAAGTGATTTTTAAAAACAGTCTGGTGATTTCTAATAAGTCTGTACACTTGTGCAACTATCACCACAACTCAGTTTTTAGAGCATTTCCATGACCTCAAAAAGTTCCCTTACACCTGTTTGCAGTCAATGTTCACCCCATGCAAGATCTAGGCAACTACCAATGTAATTTCTGTCTCTACAGTTTTTGCCGTATCTAGAAAGTTCATACAAATGGAATCACAATTTGTAAGACTATGTATTGTGTTTGGCTTCTTTTCCTTAGAAAAATGTTTTTTGAGGTTCAGTCAATTTGTTGGATGTATCAGTTATTGCTAAGCTGTGTTACGTTACAGAGATGTACCACATATTGTTTGTTCATTTGAATTATTTCCAGTGTAGGCCTATTTTCAGCTTATGCCTATTACGAATAATGATGCTACAAACATTTGTGTACAAGTTTTTATATGGGTAGGTACCTAGGAATGGAATTATGAGAGCTTGTAAGTATGTAATTAACTTTTAAAAAGAACTGCCAAACTTTTCCGAAGAGGTTGTTTCATTTTACATTACTACCAGCAATATATGTGAGTTCTAGTTTCTCTATACTCACTAACACTTGTTCTTGTCAATCTTTTTTATTTTAGTTTAGTTTATTTTTTGGAGATGGGATCTCTCTGTGCTGCCCAGGCTGAAGTGCAGTGGTGTGATGATAGCTCACTGCACCCTAAAACTCTTGGGCACAAGGGAGCCTCATACCTCAGCCTCCCCAGTAGCTGGGACTACAGGCACATGTCACCATGCCTGGCTAATTTTATTTTTATTTAAAAAGTTTTTTTTTTTGGAGAGACAGGATCTCACTATATTGCTCAGGCTGGTCTCAAACTCTTGGCTTCAAGTGAAACTCCTGCCTCAGCCTTTCAAAGTGCTGGAAATACAGGTATGAGTCACCGCACCTGGCCAGTCTTTATTAATTAATTAATTAATTAATTTGTTTATTTAGTTTTTGAGACAGAGTCTCACACTGTCACCCAGGCTGGAGTGCAGTAGTGCGATCTCTGTTCATTGCAACCTCCGCCTCCCAGGTTGTAGCAATTCTCCTGCCTCAGCCTCCCAAGTAGCTGGGATTCCAGGCGCTCACCACCACGCCTGGCTAATTTTTGTATTTTTGGTAGAGGTGGGGTTTTGCTATGTTGACCAGGCTGGTCTTGAACTCCTGACCTCAGGTGATCCACCTGTCTTGGCCTCCCAAAGTACTGGGATTACAGGCATGAGCCACCATGCCCGGCCCAGTCTTTTTTATTATAAATATGCTAGTGGTTGTGTAGTGGTAACACATTGTCATTTAAACAGGCATTTTCCTAATAACTATTGATATTGGCTACATTTTCATGTGCTTGTTAGCCATTCATATACATTCTATGGTGAAGTGCTTATTGAAATCTTTTGTCAATTTTTTGCTTGGCCCATTTGTCTTTTATTTCTGTGAGAGTTTTTAATATATTTTAATACAAACTGAGTATATATATATATATATATATATGCACATTTATACGTTACATTAAACACATTTATACATGTTACATATATAGATACATGATCTATAAATATATTCTTCCAATCTGTGGCTTGTTTCCTCATTTGCTTAGTGGCGAATTAGAAGAACAAAAGTAATTTTGATGAGGTATAAATTAGTCAATTCTTTCTTTTATGGATCATGCTTTGGGGGCTATATCTAAGAAATCTTTGCTTAACCTCAAGGTCACAAAGGATTTCTCTTCTATTTTCTTCATGATTGTTATGATTTCGAAGACTAGATGAAGCTAAAGTTCTCTATAGGCCCTCCTGAGGCTGAAATCAGAAGGACCATGGAATGAAATCTACAGAGTAGTTCTTCCCTACCTTTTCAGGGTAGTTTTCACAGCTTAGCTAGATTCTGTACGTACAAAATCAACCAAAGTTGCTCTTATTATTGACTCCTCAAAAATTTTTACTAAGAAAAAAATGTAAGATCATGTTTATTTAGGAGGATTAGGAAAGATTTCCTTTGAGAAGGTCATATTTATGTCCTAAACCATGAATAGAATGTTCTTCTCAGTGTGTTATTTTATCAAACAACTGTAGGGCGATTTCTCTCAGGCAGTAAAAAGGCATTTCCTATTTACCATGGTTTTGACATGCCATAGTTTCACTTGCTTCTCTTTATTCCCAACAACTCACTTTATTTCTCTAGGTAATAAGAGTATTATTTATTAGCCTTTAACAAGGTTCTGTGTGTGTATGTGTGTGTGTGTATGCACATGAGTGTGTGTTTGTGTGTGTACTCTAGATGTACATTGCTCCTGATTTTTGGAACTCTTGTTAGCCATTCATATACACTCTATGGTGAAGTGCTTATTGAAATCTTTTGTTCAATAAGCATCTCATTTATTCCAAACCTTCATTGATTATAGCATATACAGGTCCTCATTCTTTATTTGAAATTCTTAGGGCCAGATGTGTTTTAAAATTCATGGTGTTTTGACTTTAGAAAGATAGAACAGTGAATATGCTGAATTAATATAATATTCTCAGGGAGTCAAGATGACTAATATTCCATACTATGAACATATTAATCTTTTTAAACATCCTGAATATTTACAAGATCTGAAATAAATAAAGACTATAAATGAATTCACATCAGTTCAGATTGGATTTTGTAACATGGATTCAGGTCTGGTCAGTTTCTGGAGGCAAGTAAGTTATTTAAAAAAAAAAAAAATCTGTCCATTTAGAGCACTTTTGGATTTCCAAATTGAGAGTAAGGGCTTCTGGATTTGTGTTTCCTAATGCACTACACAAGCTACCTGTTGTAGTATATTGGGTTCCTCAGCCTTAGTGGACCACTGCTGGAGCTGTGAACGGTGTCATGTTCTAGAAGACATGGGGAAGCATAGACATTGGTGAGGCTTTCAGTCTGAGAGAGTTTTCTGAAAAAAACGTTTTGAAGAGAAATAATTTCCACTGTAAACAGTGCTGTGGTTTATCTTGTCCTCTTCTGGGGGAAGATTTTCTGCCATTTGAGATCAATATGTGCTTTTAAAAATAATTCCTTATCTCCTACTAATTCTAGTGTAGCATTTGCTTCATGTCACAGACTCTCAGACACAGATGCCTAATACATTTTTCTAGGGGTGCCTGGATTCCTGGCTTGGGGTGAAATTATATCTTATAAAATGGAATTGAGTCAAGCTGTGGTATATTTGAATCCCATAGAGAGCTAGATTATACGATCAATGGCAGCTCACAAACACATTTTAATCAGCAAGCAGTTTGGTGCTGACCCAACAGCACCTGTGCAAATCTTTGGCCCATGTTCCCAGGAAAAACAAGAGCTTCCTTGGTACCCACTACTTCTTTCCTCTTGAATAGGAAGAATCTTGTCATTTCATCTAATGGCACTCCAAGAAAAAATTACAGAAGCAATACATACTTATAAACAAGTAATACATATAAAATATTTATACAAGTAAATTATATGCAAAAGTTTATGTAAATATATAGAGTTAAAATGTAAAAGCCCCTCATTGCAACTTTCCCACGTCATCTCTGCTACCCTCTTCAGAGGTCACCAGTTAGGGTAACTTGCATGTGTTACTCTATGCCGTTTTCTTTGTAACCGTGTATGTGCCCACACACACATACATTCACACAGTTGTGTTTATAGGCAAGTGGGTCATAGTCTTCAAATTGTCCTGTCACTTGCGTTTTTTTAACCATCTACTGGAAACATCTTTCCTTGACACTGTTATCCTTTTGATGGCTGCAGAGCATTATCAGGAATGTATTTCACTCAGTCCCCAGTAAAAAACCCGTAGGCAATTTTTTTTAATTACACAGTATGCTTCAATGACCTTCCTTATTCATATTTTTTGCACACATGTATTTTCATAGAATAGATAGTAAAAAAAAATTTTGTTGTTTAAGAGCCCACTCCCAATAGTTGCTTTAGTAACTCCAAATTTCAGCATTTACCATGTCCTTCTTTTGCTTCTCCAGAAAAGCAGTTTGGGGGCATTGCTCATCTTTCCTGGAACATGAGTTTCTATTGGGGTGCAAATGGGGACAATAAAGAGGTTTATTTTTGTTTACAAATTTGGTATACTTCTGGTTTTGCCTGTTAGCTATTAACTTGATGTCATAGTCTTTTATTTCCTCTCATATATAGGACAGGTCAGATAAAATAAAACAAGAGTTTGCCTTTAGCTGTGTAAATTGTTGCAACCTTTTTCAGAGGGCCCTTGACAATATCTACTAAAATTTAAGATGTTCATGCCTTTTGACCCTACAGTTCTATTGCTACCTGGCATCATGGAAATTATTTTGAGACCTGAAAGATTTTGTTAAGATATGAATCTCAGCAGGTTTTAGAAACCTGTTTAAATAGTTCATTTCATGCAAATGCTGCAAAACACATATAAAACTAAATGTTTTAATTCATAGAATCACAAAATTTTAGAGCCCTAGAGTTTAAAGCTATAAGGACTTTTTGGTACTTTGAAAAATGAGGGGATTGGATTAGATGATCTCAAGTTTTTCCTTTAATTCTTAGCATTTTGTGGTCTGTTGTTCCCAGAGAAAAGATAATAGTAAAGGTAGAACGATGACAGTGATCCGTGTAGTACTAGTGGAGGAGCCTTTGCATTTAGGACAAGCCCCTTTATTGCTTTCATTCCTGAGGTAGAAATTTTCTCTTCATTCTTTATTATTGTATGGTCTTGATCTTTTATGTGTGCAAATATTTCCGGCAGCTTAGAGCATTCTTTGACGTGGCTTTATTTTCATAATTTTTACCGAGGAAGGTTAATTGGTGGAGACGTAACCAAACTAAGAAACAGGTTATCTTTCTGAGTATGAAGAGTGGCTGCTAGTTAACTTTTAATTGCACATGTGTAGTATTTTCTTATGGAGTAGATGTTACCTGATGTAATTGAAGACCGTTCAACATTTGTTCAATATTATAGGAGGTATAGCAGGAATTGTGGCTGCAGAGATAAATGAGGTGGAGTCCTTGTCCTTAAATAGGTCATATTTTGGACTTAAAAAAATCCAGTGACACTGGGGACAGAAGTAGGGTCAAAGGGTGAAACTCCATGGTGACAGCTTTTAGCATAATTTAAATATAATCCAAATGAAGCTAAACTCCTATCAGCCTTGGAGTATAAATAAGGTCTTAAAGATTATGGACCTAATTATGATGATCCTTTGTGCCCACTTACATGATCATAGGACACCAGCTTCCCCCTCCATCTCTTCCAGTTTCTAGAATAGGATCAAGTGCACGCAAGCTCTCTCAATCTGGTAACCCATCATGTCACCTTGCCTCTGGCTTAGCTGTGATGACAGTGCTTCATTGGCACAGGTTTCCTCTGCTGAGCTGTTAGTGTTCCAAAGACACACCATAGTCTCTGACAGAGCTGGAGAGGAATGGTCCTCTTCTCAGCTCTCGGTACATTTTGTTTCCTGGGCCCCACAACTGCCCTGCTTGTTCCTCCAATGATGTTCTTCAAATTCTCCCTCCATAATCTTCCTCATCATGGTGGATCTAAATCAGTTCCCCAGGCTGTGTGACAGGGCTGCATGGGCTGATAGCATGCTGTCTCTCTGTTCTCCTTGCCTGTTTGTTTTTTCCTCATTTTTCCTCTGTAGTTTCTTGCAGGCACTACTGTCTCTTTTAGAGAAAAGCAGGTTCTTCATGCACATCTCTTCAGGCAAATAGATGCCCAGGAGCATGGCCGGCTTACTGGTTCCTCAACAGCCAAATTTCAACATAGACCATGTCTTATGTGACTTTGTATCCCTAATGTCAGCTAATTGCTTGCTACAGAATGGACCTCGAATTCTTGTTGAATTAATGAGTCAATGTTTGTTAAAAAGTACATATATTAATTCCATGAAGATAGAACAGAGGTTTCCCAACTTCATGGTCATGCCCACATTTGTAAAACACTTGCCCAAGATTAAAGCTATATATTGTCTTGATCTACAATATGGTTTAAAAAGATTAACAAACAATTATTTGGAAAAATATGCACAATTAAAAGCAAAACAACTTGTGCTACCCCCCAGGAAGTTATCAATATTATGGAGAGGAGCAGATACCTGGGTGAAAGGAGACAGGAAAACTGGGAGTAGGGGAGAGAGGGAAAATCGTTACTGAGGATTCCCACTGGAACTCCTGGCCATCTAGCTCCCAGGTTCTAACTCTGCGGTGAGCAAGTTAACTTTCTGGTTTTCTTTAAACGGAATGTTTCTGAATAAGCAGTCAATTCACATAGTCTGACAACCCCTACTCAAAAAAAGCTTCCTTCTATTCATTTCCTCTTGTCACCTGGCTCCTGGAGGGGCGTTTTATAACTACCAATGCAAATTTGCTTCAGATTGGGGCCAGAGAGAAGATATGGAGACTTAAAACTTTTAGTCCCTCAGGCAAGGTCAAGGCTGACTGACTTGTTTAGGGAAAAAAATCTGTGATCTTGGTCTTGTTAGTCTTATGTTCAAACATACTGAGCTTATCAGCCTGGACAAGGAGCCCTGATTGTTCACAAACCAGCAGACTCTCAGAGGTCTTGCCCTGTGCTTTAAAAGATTTCAGCAACAGTTGGATCTGGTGTTTGAGTTCTGAGGAAGCTATGCTTTGATGAGGACATTCCCATGGTGGTACAGAAGCAAGTCAGAGCCAAAAGCCAGGAGGGAGAGGGGGCACTCAAAGACTAGGAGACTGAGCATGAAGAGCCAGTACAGAAGGTCCCAGATGGGCCTGGAGTCAAGGTGCACAGGCGGGAGTGGGTCTGGAAAGAGAATGAGTTGGGAGAAAGCCAGGAGGGTCCAGCATGATGGCTATGAACAGGTGAACACCCCACCTCTTCCTAGGCTTGTGTTTCTTGCCAAATAAGTGGGCAGATGTGTGTGTAATAGATAAACTTCAATGGGCCAGAGGTTGGTGGGGAAAAATATACCTCCAACAAAATATAGCTTAACAAATGAAAGAGCTAATGAAACTGAAATTACTTCCAATCAAGAGACCACCTGGGTATTTCTTTTCTTTTCTTTCCTTTTCTTTCTTTCTTTCTTTTTTTTTTTTTTTTTTTTTTTTTTTTTTTTTTTGCGATGGAGTCTCTCTCTGTTGCCCAGGCTGGAGTGCAGTGGGGCCATCTCAGCTCACCGCAACCTGCACCTTCCGGGTACAAGCAATTCTCCTGCCTCAGCCTCCAGAATAGCTGGGATTACAGGCACCTGCCATCGTGCCTGGCTGATGTTTCTATTTTCGGTAGAGATGGGGTTTCACCATTTTGGCCAGGCTGGTCTCGAATGCCTGACCTCAAGTGATCCATCCACCTCGGCTTCCCAAAGTGCGGGAATTACAGGCATGAGCCACCTCGCCTGACTCCACCTCGGTATTTCTATGTGACCAATAAGATATTTGAGCTTTAATAAAACTTTTAGCAGATTTTATATAGTTGTTTAGAAAAATTGTCAGTTAAAAGAATTGACATTATCAGCAAAAACTGAGTGACATTTATCATTTTCTTTTAGTGAATACTTTCTTTTCCCTCTTTATGGTATGACATTTTATTATTGTTTTCCCTGGGTTATTTTCTGAAATAAAAATTTACTTAGATATAAAGTCACCTGATTTATGTTAATTTTTCAATTAAACATTTAAAATGTTAATGCTTGATTTAATTTAAAAAATCACTGTGTTCTTACTGTCAAATAGTTTATAAGATTACCCTCTCTCTTTTCTTGCTAGCACTTGTCACGTCTGTGAGTAGCTAATTTGGGTTTTGTTTTTTACTCTATACTATATATAGAGAGAAATAAATACTATATATATATTAGGATAGTATAGGGTATATATAGTATACTACACTATATATTTAATACTATATATAAATATATATAGTATAGAGTAAAAATGTATACTATATATACTATAGTATATATAGTATATATTTTATGTATTACACATATATGTGTGTGTGTGTGTGTGTGTGTGTGTGTACTATAAGCATCTTCAGGGCAGAACTATACTGATCTTGCCCATCTTTTTTATTTCTAGCACCTTGCACAGTGTCTGGTACACAGTAGGCACTTAATATTTTCTGAGTGACAGAATGAAGGAGATGAGATGAGATGAAGTGATTAAACCAATGAGCTGCACCTTGTAAAGAAGGCTGTGGGTGTTATCAGAGTACAGAGCAAAGGGTGCTGACCCTGGAGGTCAGGAAGCCAGCAGGGAAAGCCTCTTAGTGGTGGTGTTTTTTGACTGAATCCTCTGAGCCAGGTGAACAAGAGAGTGACAATAGTCCAAAGGAAAGCATGGGAATGTTGGGAACTGCTACTCATTTGACATTGGCTGGAAGAGGGAAACTTTCTGTGAGAAATGCCAAAAACAGTAAGAGGTGGGGCAGGGTGCAAGGTCACAGCATAAAGGAACCCATGTGTGCCAAGGAGTGTGGAGTTCTTTCAAAGATGGTGGGGAGCCCTGACGTCACTGTGACAACAATAGAAAGGTCAGATTGAGAAGGAGAGACTGTGAAGGGACTCTGCTTAGGACACCAATGCACTAAGCCAGGCACCCTCTTTTTTTTTTTTTTTAACTTTTTTCTTGAAAACTTTATTAAAATAAGGATTAAACCTGAAAAAAGAACAATCAGAATGCCAGCCCTTTGTATAAAATCATCAAGAAAAAGGAAAGAAAGAGAGAAAGAAAGAAGAGAAAAGAAGAGAAAAGAAAAGAAAAGAAAAGAAGTCAGGCACCCTTTTTAATTTCTTCTCATCTCTCTCTCACCGACGCTCTCGACAGGGGAGTGCTCCACCCCCACAGTCTCTTCTTTTTCTCTGTCCATTCACTTCCATTCATGCACTGCAAGAGGGCTCTCCGCCCTCCCATTGTAGACCCATGGTTCTTCATTCCCCACACTTCACAGTCACACTGCTTCCCCTGGAGCCCCAGTCACCTACTTACTCAATTTCAGTTTTCAGTCTTGGTTTTGTGAGACTTCTGGACCACTATATTCTCCTTAAAGTATTTTTTGAATTGGTAATTCCTTCATAGTTCAAACCGGGAAAGCACAAAACAGAGTGAACAGTCTCTTTTTATCCTTGTCCCTCAGTTTTCCATAGGCAGCCACTGCTGTTAGTTTCTTATATATCCTCCCAGAGGTTCTTCATAGATATATTAGAAAAAATGCAAATTTATTTGTATTTAAAACAAATAAGAATATAGGTTCTTATTTTTTCCCTTCCTAACAGAAAAAGTAGATATTGCTCACATCGTTTGGCTTTGCATTTTTTTAATTCAACAAATGAAAAAAATATACATGTGTAGACACTGGGCTTCTCATGGGCATCTGACACTCACTTTGCTCTGAACTGAACTACTTCCCAAAGCTGCTTTTCCTCTTATATTCTTTGATTCAGTGGTCCTGGTGAGTAGGGGTTATGTCCATTTATCTAATCTCTTAAGTCAGAAACCTGGTAGGCATCCTTGACCACTCCCCTAACACCATCTAAAATATCAGCAAGCTCCACCTTTTCCCCTTCTTCATTCCTACCATCATTGACTGAATCTAAGGCTTTTATCCTTCAGGAATCCTTTGCTGAAAGACTTCTCCCAACTCATCTAGTTGTTCAACGCTGCAGCATTTTATATATATACCTATATCATTGAAGTTGCCGTCACGACTGATTTATTAGTTTGTGCCTTTCACCAGGCTGGGCAGAGATGTACCAAATTCATTTTTACTGATAAGAACATAATGAATGCTGAATGAATGAATACAAGAATAAACAGAAGACGTTCAGAAGAAAGTTCACTTGGTAAACAATTGACAGTCTTAGTGACTATTTTTATGCATTGAAGCAGTGAGAGGGACCAAGGTATCTCAAAGGATCCAAGGTTTTTGGATTGGCTGCAATGAGCAGAGATCAGTGCTATAGGAAGGAGAAAGGCTTTCTTTCACTTTTAGACATGGCAATATGAGGTTTTCATGGGACATACAGTCAGTGGTTGTACATACGATTTGAGAGCTTAAAATAATCTAGAGAAGTAAGTTCAGAGAGTTATCAACACCTATGGTGGTTGATGTAAAAGTGTGGTGAGATCCCCTTAACATAATGTATTGTGAGAAGAAAAATGAAAAAAGAATCCTGGAGATGACCAGCATTTAGTGGGGTGAGGAAGAAGAGAAAAGCAGCAAGTAAAGAATAAAAGGTAAGAGTGTTGTGCTGGAATGCAAAGGAGGAGAGGATTTCAAGTAGGTGGTTTAGGGGTCAGGAGTGTCAACTGCTGCCAAAGTGTTCAGCAAGATGAGGACAGGGGTTTAACCACTAGATTGAACAACTCGGAGGCCTTTGGTGACACTGGCAATGCCCATTTTAGTGCAGTGGTAGGTAAAGAGGTGACTCAGAGTGAGAAAGTGGAGGCCGGGGGGTAGAGGACCCTTTCAGGAGGCTTAGCTGTAAAAAGAAGAGGCACAATAGCTACAGGGGCATGTGGAGTTATGGCAGGGGGTTATTTTTAAACTTTCTTGAAATTATAAGTAGAGTTCACATTCATTGTAGAAAATTGGAACAGTACAGGAAAGTATTAAAGCCGCAAGGGTCCAACCACGCTAATCCAAACAATGCTGCCCTTTTTTTTTTTAAACTATTCCTTCCAGTCTTTTTCTTGCATTTTCACTGAGTTGAGAAGAGACCAAATGGGTGATTGTAGCCTTTGCTTCTGCATGTACAGAGGATTTGGCTATAGCATCTGTCCCCAAATTAATCACCAGGAGTGATTTGGCTGATCTAATTGGCTAGATCCCTTTCCTCCCTGACTGCTCCCTGGATATTTCTCCATATGGAGTTATTTAATTAGACAGAAATAAAACTTCTTTCATAAATTCATTCATTAAAGATTTATTAGTTGTCCATCATGTGCACTGTGTTATAGCTGCTGAGGGATGGAGTAGTGAATAAGACAGACACTTATCACCTCATGATGTTTGAGTAGTGCCATTTGCAGACAGACTTCACTTCCGCCTCTATGATATACAGATATTGCACTCATCTGTTAGACAGACAAGGCTCCAATGTTTACTTGAATGACATTCTCACTTGACAATATTTTCCCCTGACATTAAAAACTGCAGAAATGTCCTCATCATAAAACTACCAGGAGCACCTTTGAAATTAAACTGGCTCCATATCTTAATACGATTTCCCTAGTACTGATTCCTAGAAGAATTCATTGGGTCAAAAGATCTGAACCTTTTAAAGGAGATTCAATATCTTTTGTCAGATTGCTTTCCAGAAAGGTCCTACTAATTTACATTCTTTAACAATGGTATACAAAGATGCCTTTTTTACCAGAGAGAGGATTAATTTGTTTATATGGTGAGTTGACTGAGCCAATAAAAAGGGAAGGGATAAAGATGAAGAAGATGGGCCAGGTGCGGTGGCTCACACCTGTAATCCCAGCACTTTGGGAGGCCGAGGCGGGCAGATCACTTGCGGTCAGGGGTTTGATACCAGCCTGGCCAACATGGCGAAATCCCATCTTTATTAAAAACACAAAAATTAGCCAGATGTGGTGGCGCATGCCTGTAATTCCAGCTGCTCAGAAGGCTGAGACAGGAGAATCATTTGAACCCAGGAGGCAGAGGTTACAGTGAGCCGAGATTGCACCACTGCACTCCAGCCTGGGCAGTAGAGCAAAACTCTGTCTCAAAAGAGAAAAAAAAAAAAAAAAAAAAAAAAAGATGAAGATGGAGCAAGATCCCTGAGAAGTAGTATTGATGGAATCTGGAGATGCTAGAAGTTGGTTTTGTAAAGGAAGCCAGATATCTCTCCCAGTGAGACAGAAGTCAAGGTGTGTGGACCCACAAAGAGTGTTTGTGTGTATGTGTAGGAGGACGGAGAGCCAAGGGAGTTCCTAGTTGATGGCCTTCACTCCCTTCCCATGCTAGGAGGCAAGATCATCTTGACAGAGAAGAGTAGATAAAGGGAAGTAGGCGCATAGCTAGGGGAGAGGAACTATGTAGAAAATGGGACACCGTCTAAAAGGTGCAGATGCCCAAATAACATAAGGTCTAATTGTGTTTATAATTATAAGCAAAAACATGATCAGTGTTACTAAAACTCTGCTTACAGGGTATAGTGCAATTGAGAATTGGCAATTATTTTATTAATTTGATGAATGTTCCAAATTAAAAACACCAGGTCAGCGTATGTTTCCGATCTAAATTATACAGTGCAGTTGACTACAGTGACCAAATTAACCAGCTGATTGCCAAATCTCTATTTCTCCCTGTCCTCTGTGGACATAGCTTAAAGAACTAATAACTGAACAAGACTCTGCCCCAATCTATTTTGGGATAATTGATGTCTTTGTATTCATATCCCTGCAGCTTGGTATTAAACACTGAAGCTTTGTGTAGAATATGTCAGTAGGCGATTTACTACCTCAAAAAGCAGTCTTTCTTTTGTAAAGGCTTATCAATCAGAACTTTGGAGAGAATTTTCCAAACTCCCTAAGGAAAATTATATTTCATTGCTATGAAAGATATTTGATTTTGTGCATTTTGCTTCATAAAATGAATTTGTTTCAGATTCTGAATACTTATGATTTTTGTTTGTGTCTTTATGAATTACTTTAAAGCAATTTCCCTTTTACATTTAAATGGTTTCAGTTCTTAAAAACATTTATGTTCACCAGAAGTTGGCTTTTTTTTTTTTTTTCTTAAATGAAAAGTATAAGGGATTTTAACCTCATAAAGAATAAGGAAAATCAATTATGGTGAAGAAACATTTCATTTCTTACCGTTTAAATATTTCCTTCCTAAATTGATGGTTGATGTAATGTAGGCTGTAAAAAGAGAGGAGGCAGTTCCTGAAATACCTTGGGCTCTAAAACCCATTTTGTGAAATAGCAATGTAATTTGAATATTTTAGGAACTGACCTCAATGCTTAGAGCTTCCTTTGTATGTTCTTAAACGATGCCTTAACATCGCATTTACTTATATGTTAACATGAAAGTTATAAGTTGTCTTATTGTAACGTTGACTTGTCCCTTCAGAGAATCAGCCTTCCATTATGCTCAAGTATTCATCAACCTTCAGGGCTGGGATGGTATAAAATAATGGCATGAGATATACCTAATGCTAGATGACGAGTTAGTGGGTGCAGCGCACCAGCATGGCACATGTATACATATGTAACTAACCTGCACAATGTGCACATGTACCCTAAAACTTAAAGTATAATTAAAAAAAAAAAAGAAAAAGAAAATCTAAAAAAAAAAAAATAATAATAATAATGGCATGACCGGGCCAGGCATATAAGGATTTCCCTCCTCTCCTCATTTTTATTTTTATTATTTTGGGTACACAGTAGGTATATATATATATGAGGTACATGAGATGTTTTGATACAGACATGCAATATGAAATAATCACATCATAGATTTCTCTTCTCTGGAAGAACTTACAACCTGTTGAGGTTTGCTAGCAAACCAAACTCTAACAAAGAACACTGTTTATTTTTTCTTTTCTT
This sequence comes from Homo sapiens, assembly GCF_000001405.40. Classification (NCBI taxonomy): domain Eukaryota; kingdom Metazoa; phylum Chordata; class Mammalia; order Primates; family Hominidae; genus Homo; species Homo sapiens. Next base: position 181,971,271 of record NC_000003.12, read on the forward strand.
TTCTTGAGATAGATATTTTTTATTTTAAGTTCTGGGATACATGTGCAGAACGTGCAGGTTTGCTATTTGCTGCACCTATCAACCCATCATCTAGGTTTTAAGCCCTGTTTTGATTTGAATATTATTCAATACAAATGAAGATTGAAATGTGGACATTTATGCTAAGAACAGCTTCTGGAATTATAGATTTGCCTTGTATTCTTACCAATTGTAAGACGGATAAACAAGCAGAAATTCAAAATGACATAATTATATTTCTTTGCATCTGGATTTTATTCTGTTCCTGGTTCAAGTTTCAAGATTGTCAAGAATGACGAGTTGGACTTGGTCTAGTTACTTCCACAGCAGCAGGAGGAACATGTGTGTGACTCAGGATAACTGGGGAAGCCTTGGCTAGGCTTTCCTCATGTCAACCTACCACTCAAAGGGAGAAAACCTCCTGATCAGAGGTGCCCAGAACCCAGGTTTGGTGGGGTTGGTTGAGGGGTGAGTCTGGAGAAACTAGAAATCTAAGGGGGTGTGTGTGTGAACATGTTTTTTGTTTTTGTTTTTTTTTGACAGGAAATCCATAATTTTTGAATGCTGGCCGAGGTCTGTGACCTCTGACTGAATGGTTTCCAAGCTCCGAATTCCTAGGTAAAAGCCCAGACTTTACTCTCCTTAGAAGTCAATTTTTATGTCACTTAATATGGAGCGTGTTCCTTTCCATCACTTAATCTTCCCAGCCTTCTTTTTAAGTTTTGAAGAAATAAGAAGATGCTTATATTTGAAGAAAGGGAAGGCAGCACTACCATTAGACTTACTATGCTGTTAAATTTTCTCAAAACTCTCCATTTCAAGTTTTTTTCTGGCTACATTATGCTTTCAGAAAACATTTGCTGAATATTCTGTGGTATTTTCTTTCCAATGAAAATATATTTTGATATTTATTGGCTAATTTCAAAAGTCAGATTTTTTTCTACTGTTTTAGTTTAAAAAAGGAAATAACTTATTTTGGATAGTATCTGTTTAAGCAGTAGTTAACTAAATGGTGATGAAATGTTACAAGGTGATGTTTTCATTTGTTTCGGAAGGTGATGTTTTCATTTGTTCACACTTGCTGAAGAAGGGAAAGGCTCTCTGATTTACGTGTAAGCAAAACAATCTAAACAGTAGGATAAAATCATGTTGGAATGGAGTTCTGTGTGGATGCTCCTTTGAACCAAATCAGTTCCACAACTGACCCTGTCAGGGACATATAAATGTATGTATTTGTTTCAGGTGGTGATATCTTTTAATGTTTGTTTCTCTCTCCATGAAATAATATAAAGCAGTTGTGATGCATGCAATAAAATTCCATTTATATGAGAATGATACGTTAGCTGTGTTGGTGAATAAAATCTGCTTTACCAACCTTCATTCATTTATTAAATAAGCATTTACTGGGACCCTATTATGATGTTGAGATGCAATGATTAATCAATAAAACAGTTGATAGCTGTTCAACTTATAGCACGTAAGTAACAATTGAAGTAGCACTTTCTCCCCTCTGCCACCTTGCTGATAGCAAGCTATAGCTTTGAGTTGCACAGTTTGGGAGTAAGAGAGACAGGAAAAGCACTATAGAGAAGAGGGCATTTGAATTGTGTGTACTTTGCCAGGAAGCTCTTCTTTCCTTTGTAAGCCTGCCTAGGACTGTAAATAGTACTTCCGCTGTCACTGGGAGACTGGTTATATGGTTGCAAGGGTGTCCTGAGGAAGTTTTCAGCATGGTTTTGGTAGAGTTGTTGCTACAGGGTGTCAAATGAGTTCATTCTGCCTGCAGAAATTTAGATAGCAGTGGTAGCAGTGAATTAAATCTTATAATTAAGTTTAAAAATCTTAATGTCTTATTCATTGCATTTTAAGCATTTCCCTAAAGTGCTACATGTTTTTTGGTTTTCCAGTTAGCATTTTGGTGTGGATACAGAAGACGAGATTAACACAGATCAAGTAACATGGAAATAAAAAAGGAGACAATGCTGGATGATACAGGGGCAGCCAACAAGAGGAGAAAACCCAAGCATTGGCAAATGCCTCATTATCCAAAGAACACTGTAAGTCTGTCTTGGCCATGATGCTCTTTTCACATCATAATAATGAACAATTATATAGCACTTATGATGTGCCAGGCAGTTCCAAATCTTTGCATATAATGAGTCATACATGAATGCATAGAAAATAGATGCACAGATAGATAAGTGAACTTAAGTTAATTTGCCAAGGATTATTTCCATTTTTTTTTTTTTTGTAGTAAACTCTACTTTAGAAATGGCTTAAAGACCCCATTCAGGTGTCATTGAAGAAAAACCTCAGTCCTCAAGAACAAATGGGCATTTGGTCACCAAGCTAGTACCAGATGAAATTAGCCAGGTTAGCATCCTTTAGGTAGAAATTGTCAGCTTTCACTTGGTTCAAATCCATCGACTACTGAAACTGCTCAGAAATCACTAAATTATTGCTATATCAGAAAGTACATTAATATCTTGCAATGTCATAGGCTCACCAACATGAATAATAATGATCACAAGTCTGTGCCAATAAAATAAATGGTCATTTAATACTTTTAGACATTTGATACCAGAAAATGGTTTATTATAGAGCTTGCAACCTACACATAAACTTCTAGTATCTGGTTATGCCAGGTGTGTGTGTATGTTTCTGTATATGTATTTGTGTGTTTTGGCATGTATGCTCACACATATACCAACAAGTTCATATGTACCTGTAGTTAATGACTTTATCAAAGATATAAAGATGAGAAAATTGCTGTATGGTCTTATAATCTTTCAAAAGTTGCTGTTGGCTTATAGAGAGAACATTAAGAAGAGATCTGTCTTGGAATTTTTTGTAATTGAGAGATCCCAGGAATAGAAGGCAGCAACCAAGCCTGCATGTAGGGATCAAAAGGTCATAAGTGGGATGAAAGGAGAAATACAGAGACCTAAAACCAAGCCATGTGTGACACTTTGGGTGCAATAGTGAGTGCCAGGAGAGAGTAGCAGGAGTTGGCAAGGGGTCTGAAAGTGGAAGGGTAACGTCGGGTAAGGAGAGAAATGGAAGTGGTAGATGGGCCTGACCTTCTCATGAGTCAGCTTTGCTTTGTGTTTCTGACTCATTCAATTCCTGGTCATGTCAGGGCTTGATTAGGTAGATAATGGCCCAGGTAATTTTAAGAATTCTCATGTGCACATTTTGAAATCAAGCATTACTAGGCAGAACCTCAATCATTTTATAAAGTAGACATTCATTACACATTGATTTGGATTTTGGGATTCTATTTTGATGTGCTGGGAACACCTCCTTTTCCCTTTTTCTCTGCTCTTACTTACGAGCTGCCTTTATTATTTTATTTACTTTTTAATGAAGTTGTAATCATACATATTTGTGGGGTACAATTTGACATTTTAATACATGTATTTGTTGTATAATGATGAAATTAGGATAGTTAGTTTATGCATCACCTCATGCATTTATTATTGTTTTGAGATGAATACATTCAAAAGCCTCTCTTCTAGCCATTTTGTAGTACAATATCTTACTGCTAACCATAGTCACCCTACTATGCAATAAAACACCAGAACTAGCCTGGGCGACAGAGTGACTCCGTCTCAAAAAAAAAAAAACCACCAGAACTAATTCTTCCTACCCAATCGTAACTTTTTACCCATTGGCCAACCTCTCCCCATTTTCCCCACCATCCCCTCCCTAGTCTCTGGTAACCACTGTTCTATCCTCTACTTGCATGATATCAACTTCTTTTTGGATTACACATATGAGTGATATCATGTAATATTTGTCTTTCTGAGTCTGGGTTATATTTAACATAATGCCCTCTGGGCTTATATATGTTGTCAAAAATGACAGGATTTTCTTCTTTTTATGGCTGAATAGTATTCCATTGTGTATATATACCACATTTTCTTTATCCATTCATCTGTTGTTGGATACACAGGTGGATTCCATATCTTGGCTATTGTGAATACTGCTGCAATAAATATGGAATTGCAAATATCTTTTGACATACTGATTTCATGTCCTCTGGATATATACCCAGTAGTGGGATTGCTGGATAATATGGTAGTTCTATTTTTAATTTTTTGAGGAACATCTATATAGTTTTCCAAAATGGCTGTACTAATTTACATTCCAGATAACAATGTGTAAGTGTTCTCATTTCTCCACATCCTCATTAACCCTTATTTTCTTTTGCCTTTCTGATAATAGTCATTTTAACTGGAGTGAGATGGCCTCTTATTGTGGTTTTGATTGCATTTCCCCGGTGATTAGTTATGCTGAGCACTTTTTCATATATCTGTTGGCCACTTGTGTGTTTTCTTTTGAGAAATGTTTATTAAGGTCTTTTGTCCATTTTAAATCAGCTTATTTGTTTTTGCTCTTAAGTTCCTTATATATTCTGGTTATTAACCCCTTGTCAGATGTATAGTTTGTAAATATCTTCTCTCATTCTGCAGGTTGTTTCTTCCCTCTGTTAATTGTTTCCTTTACTGTGCAAAAGCTTTTTGATATAATCCCTTTTGTCTATTTTTAGCTTTGGTTGCCTGTGCTTTTGAGGTCTTGTTTTTAAATCCCTTGCCCAATTTAATGTTGTGAAGCATTTCACTTATTTTCTTCTAGTAGTTTCATAGTTTCAGGTTTTACATTTAAGTCTAATACATTTTGAGTTGACCTTTGTATATGATGAAAAGAAGGCATCTAGTTTCTTTCTTCTGCATGTAGACATTCAATTTTTCCAGCATCATTTATTAAAGAGACTGTCTTTTCTCCAATGTGTGTTCTTAGCACTTTTGTTGAAAATCAGTTGGCTGCAGATATGGACTACCTTTAAAAAAAAAAAGCTTTAGGCCAGTGCAGTGGCTCATGCCTGTAATCCTAGCACTTTGGGAGGCTGAGGTGGGTGGATCACCTGAGGTCAGGGGTTCGAGACCAGCCTGGCCAACATGGCGAAACCCCATCTCTACTAAAAATACAAAAATTAGCTGGGCATGGTGGCTTATGCCTGTAATCCCAGCTACTCGGGAGGCTGAGGCAGGAGAATTGCTTGAACCCAGGAGGCGGAGGTTGCAGTGAGCTGAGATTGCACCATTGCACTCTAGCCTGAGCAACAGAGTGAGACTCCATCTCCAAAAAAAAAAAAAAAAAAAAAAAAGCTTTAAATTATTTTAGATGCAGAAGCCTAGATGCTACACATAAAATATACAAGTATAGAAGGAAAAGTTATGCATTTATTTATTAGTGCAATAAATATTTTCTCACACTTCTTGCCAGACACAAAGGACATGGCCATAAATGAGTCAAAAGGCTTGCCCTCATAGGGTTTACAATCTGGTGGGGGAGAGTTAACTTTCTCTTTCTAGTCTTTTACAGGTTATGTCAAGCAAACTATGTGAATCAACCTGGAATGTTTTAGATTCACTCACTTGTGAAAAGTTCAGAAGTTCAGTTGGGAGTAGCAATATGAGAGCCTGAATTTGTCTTTGGCTTCAGTTAGTCATTGGATTCCCAAAGGTAGTGTCTTCTTGATTCCCAAAGGTAGTGTCTTCTTGACAATGTGACAGGCTTTCAGGTCTAGATGTGAATGTTGATGAGCAAATAGGCTGTGGCCTCGAACAGCATCCTTCAAATTTATGTGAGAACATAAATTTTAATTTACTCTCCCATCTTTAACACATTTCATAGAATGAAGGCACTTTTTTTTGGTTTTGTTTTGTTGTTGTTGTTGTTTTCAGACAGAGTCTTGCTTTGTCACCCAGGCTGGAGTGCAGTGGCTCAATCTTGGCTCACTGCAACCTCCACCTCCCGGGTTCAAGCGATTATCCTGCCTCAGCCTCCTGAGTAGCTGGGATTACAGGTGCATGTCACCATGCCTGGCTAATTTTTGTATTTTTAGTAGAGACAGGGTTTCACCATGTTGGCCAGACTGGTCTCAAACTCCTGACCTCAAGTGATCTGCCCGCCTCGGCCTCCCAAAGTGCTGGGATTACAGGTGTGAGCCACCACACCCATCCAATGGTGTGTTTTTTAATAGCTAAGATAAAATATTATTTTACTGCTTAACTCAGCTTTCATAAAAAGTTTGAGTCACTTTTATCAAAGAACATTTCTTAGTGAAAATAAAAGCAAAGTATAGAAAATTCGATTTTTGAATATGATCAGAAAAAAATATAGTGCAGTTTCTGAAATCAGATGAGATTTTCCTGTTTCTGTCTCTCTAGTGATACCAACTCTTGTTTAAAAAAATCATAGAGGAAGACACTATAACCAACCTTGTATGAATTCATAGAAGACAATTTCCTTCTTTACCCTGTTAAAAATCTCTGACTATTGTTACTATTATTATTTTGAGACAGAATCTTGCACTATTGCCCAGGCTGGAGTGCAGTAGTGTGATCTTGGCTCACTAGAACCTCTGCCTCCTGGGTTCAAGTGATTCTCCTGCCTCAGCCTTCCTAGTAGCTGGGATTATAGGCATGCGCCACCACACCTGGCTAATTTTCTTCTTTTTTTTTTTTCTCTTGAGATGGAGTTTTGCTCTTGTTGCCTTTGGGTATAACCCGGTAATGGGTTTGCTGGGTTGAATGATAGATCTGTTTTAAGTTCTCCAAATTTCTTTCCACAGTGGCTGAACTAATTACATTCATACCAACAGTGTATAATTGTTCCCTTTTCTCCACAGCCTCACCAGCATCTGTTATTTTTTGACTTTTTCATAGTAGTAGCCATCCTGACTGGTATAAGATGGTATCTCATTGTGGCTTTGATTTTAAATTCCCAAATTTTCAGAGTTTACAATGTTTTGTTGAGTTAAAAATATGATTAAGACTATTAATGTGCTATTTAACCAAGATAGTGTTTGCTAAAACAACGTTATTTTTTTTTTCTTTTTTCTTTATGAGATGGAGTCTCGCTCTTGTTGCTCAGGCTGGAGTGCAATGGCACAATCTCGGCTCATTGCAACTTCTGCCTCCTGGGTTCAAGCGATTCTCCTGCCTCAGCCTCCCGAGTAGCTGGGATTATAGGCGCCTGCCATTATGCCTGGCTAATTTTTTGTATTTTTAATAGAGATGGGGTTTCACCATGTTGGTCAGGCTAGTCTCAAACTCCTGATCTCTGGTGATCTACCCTTCTCGGCCCCCCAAAGTGCTGGGATTATAGTCGTGAGCCACCATGCCCGGCCAGAAGGGTTAATTTTAAAATGTCCTGCACCTCAGGAAACTCCAAAGACTACAAAAGGATATTCAAAGAGAGAAGAAAAAAATGAACAACTTGGAATGTAATATTAGTAGAAGGTGGAAAGAAGACAGTCGTATTCAACTTCTTTTTTCTGTGTTGAGCAGCATGGTCTCTAGACTCTAAAATGTAGGGTATATATTCTAGGAGGATATATTTGACTAAGATAGAATAAGAATTTTACATTTAAATAAATCCATAGTTTCACATGGAGTCATGGCTCCATTTTTGAGTGAAGTATGTAGGATATGTCCATAGTCTACAGATGTAATGAGCAATCCAGTGCTCAAACTTAACAAGAGGTTATAGACAATGTGAGTGGAGACAGTAGATAGGAAATGAAGTGATGCTATTGATGTTACCAAAAGAAGAAAAAGTTGGACTACTAAATTTTAATGCTGATCTTAGGCAATAATTGAAAACAAATTATATATCTGATGGTTGTAAGTGCCTAAAAGAAAAGCAGAGACATTTGTTTTTATTGGCTTGATTGAAGAACCAAATGCATTGACTAACTGTATGTTAATCTCAGCAAGATGATAGACCTGTGAAAACCTGTGGGTATCCAGTGCAGATTAAATGGTAAAAGAGTGGAATGGATTAACAGTATAACTGTATGACCATGAGAAATTCTTTAGAAGAGGGAAGGGTCTAATCTTGATCCTGCTCTGTTCGGTGTTTTTATTAATGACTTGATGTTGGCAAATATGATGCTCCTCAAATACGCAGAGAAGTCTGGATTGTGAGGGAAGTTAATACAATAGAATACAAATGGAAAAGATAACAAATGCCTGAAATAATGGGTCTTCATTAACAGGATGGCCATTAACACAGATTACTATAAACTTCTGGATTTAGGTTGGGTGTCTGTGTGTTTTTAGAAAAGTTTTGTAACTTCTCTGAGCCTCGGTTTTCTTGACTGAAAAACAGTGATACAAATGCCTACCTTGTAGAGTTGTCATAGGGTTATAAATGTGTAAAAGACTTGGCTGAGGGCCTGACATATAGTATGTGCTTGATAAATGGTAGCTATTAGTATGATAATTATCATTTTACCAGTTCTTGAAGACAGAAGCATGTGTGGACTTTACAGAGTAGGATAACTTTAAGAGTCACTGGTCCCAATGAGCAGGGTACTCACAAGCAATATTAGGGGAGAATATGAGGACAACATCTTTATGAAGTCTGAGCTCAGGAATAGATTTTAAAATTTTGATAAAAGTGGCTTCTATTAGAAGCAAATCTTATTTAATTCATACATCTGGAAGAAGACTCCCAAACTGTGGAGTTTAAGGTTGCAAATAATGGAGACTAATTTGAAGCTAGGTGTAAATGCCAATAGAGATTAAACTGCTGAAGATTTTTGAAAGACTGTTAAAGTATTTGTTAGTGCTCTATTACAAAAGTTTCACAGATACTGAGTGGTCTGCCCAACCTTATTTTCCCCATAAACTCTATTACTCTTCATGTGCAATTTTGTAGAAGGCAAAGCTTTTTTCAGTTACATTGTACCATAGAAGAAATGCCCGTAGATGAAACATTTAAATGTAGATGAAAACTTATATTTACTTGATACCTTATTCTTAATTCCACAAACAACATGTAGCTAGGAAAACAATATAGACAGAGAGGTACAGTGGAAGAGAGTCTTGAAGTAGGTCTTGGGGTTGCTGGGTTCTAGTCCTGATTCTTCACTCATTAGCTGTATGTTATGGGCTGAATTGTGTCCCTGCTCCCAAATTCATATGCTGAAGTCTTAACCCCAGTACCTCAGAATGTGACTACATTTGGAGATAGGTCTTAAAGAGGTGATAAAGACAAATGGGATCATTGGTGTGGGCCCTAATCCAATGACGGGTGTCCTTGTAAAAAGAGGCAATTAGGACAAAGATACACATAGAGGAGTGCACATGAAGACACTGGGAGAAGCTGGTGTCTTAGCTCAGGCTACTACGCAAATACCATAGACTGAGTAGCCTGAACAGTGAACATTTATTTCTCTCCATGTTGGAAGCTGAAAGTCTGAGATCATGGTGCCAGCTTGGTCTGGTTCTTGGTGAGGGCCTTCTTCCTGGTTATATCCTCGTGTGGTCTTTCCTTGGTACCTGCATGCACAGAGGGGGGGGGGGGAGAGAAAGAGAGAGAGAGAGAGAGAGAGAGAGAGGGAGGGAGGGAGAGCTCTTCCTTCTTTTATAAGGGCATTAATCTCATCATGGGGACCTTGCCCTCATGACCTTATCTAAACCTAATAACCTCCCAAAGGTTCCACCTCCAAATACCATCACATTGGGGATTAGGGCTTCAACTTATGAATTTTGGAAGTATACAAACATTCAGTCCATACCTGATGGCCATCTACAAGTGAAGGAGAGAGATCTCAGAAGAAATAAATTCTGTTGACACCAGAACTGTGAGAAAGTAAATTTCTCTTCTTTGAGCCACCTAACCTATAGTAGTTTGTTATGGCAGCCTTTGTAACCCTGGGTATTTAACTTCTCTGAATTTTCATTGTCTCATCTGTGAAGTGTGTTGATATTTTATGATATAAAATGGATGATATTTTAAAATAAGTAAATTCACCTATTTTAAACTGGGGGAAAAGATGACAAAAAAAGGAATAGTATTGAATAATGGTAGCTTTCTAATTTCATTTATTTTTCTAAAAGTCTGAGAGTAAAATATAGATACATCCTGATTTGAAAGGACCAAAAACTCTACATAAAACTAACTAAATAAATAAGTAATTATTTACAGGAAAATTCCCCAAATCATAATACCATTACTTAGAGAATACTCCAAGGGAATTTTAAATAAAATTTGATTCTCTCTCTCCAAAAATGTCAATTTACATTAACTTTCCAGAGGTATACCTATTGCATAAATTAGGACACACCGTACTTGTTAAATACTTAAGCTTTGATTTCATAAGAGATTTCAGGATGCTGAAAGCAACCTAACCCTGCTGTTGTTATTGTAATGCATGCATAGACTGCAGTTGATAATCAGAGCTGTGTTGGGCATTCCACTTTGCACCTCCTATGGCACCAATTTTCAGAAACTGTTAGAACTCAATGGAAAAATCTCACCTAAGATTCATCTGTGAGCTAAATTACAGGGGAAGCCATTATCATTCATTTTACATGCACTATTGGTTCAGGTTGTCAGCCAAGCACCTCTGGATCACAGGGGAGGATTTTGCTAGCTTTGAGAATCTGAGAATTGAAATGGTCAACCAAGTTATTTCACTGTCCTTCTCATCAACAAATACTTTTTAATCTAAGCAAAATGGTGTCTAGGTCTTGTCTGAGTTCTGTGGCAGGGTTGGGATAGAGGAGTAGAAATTTAAAATCTTGTTAGAAGAGACCAAACAAATATTAAACAATTAGGAATCAATTAAATGTTAAACTCTATGGAATTAAGTAGAAAAGTATTTTAGAGAAAGGCAAGGTGAATATCAATTTGAGGAAATCTGTTAGGCTGATGGAAGAGGTGAGACTTGGACCAGGGTTTTGAAGTGGGAAGCTTGGAGTAGAGGATACGTGGGTGCACGTTAAGGGGAAGGGTGTGTTTGTGTGTGTGTTATGCATGGTGCTCAGGCACTGTTTTCTGGGGTCGTGGTTGGGGGTAAGTGTGAGAGGAGAAAGATCATGAGCAAAGACATGTAAGTAAGAACCTAGATACCATGGGTAATACACTTAGAGAAATGTGACTGATGAGAGGAAAAAATGTGCCCATTTGCTGTCAGGATTAGGAGTCTTATTTCTAAGTCCTTACAACAACCTACAATATAAGTATTACCATTGCCATTTTGGAAATGAAGAAACTGGGATTTTGAAAAATGCATTGCTTTACACATACTAAATGCACAAGCCACCTGAGTCTTCATGAGTTTGTCTGGCATAGTGGGAAATAACAGGTCCACATGGATATCACAAACTAATAGAGACCACTTGCTAAAACTAGGGCTAACATTATAATATACTTTGTGCTCCAGAGTTTCCTGATGGGATCAAACTGAAGGTCATCTGAAACTGAGATCACATCTTGCTTAATATCTCCTCCCCTCCCCACATATTCTCTCCTGTATCCCTCATGCTCCCTCTCCAGAAAACACTCCTAAAAAATCACTTGAAAAGAATCCCCATCGAAGTCTCTGCTTCTGCGGAACACTACCTAAGACTCCAGCATTTGCCAAATAAGGCTCCAAATTGTGATCAATGCATACAGCATATCATTGCTGCAAGTGAGGACTCATTGTGTAGTGGAGCCGTCTATCAGGCAGCATTGTGCTGAGTGGGATGTTGGTGGGAGGTAGTCATAACCATTACCATTAGCCAGTGTGGTTGTAATAAGCACTTTACCTGGATCTTCTTTCCTAAAGCTGATTTCTAACCCTATGAGTTAGGTTCTATGATTGTCTCTGTGCTTACAGATATGGAAACTAACATTTGAGAGAGGAGATATGATTTGCTCACGGCCACACAGCTTGTCAGTGGCAAAGTCAGGATTCCACTACACCTGTGTTTAACATTGCAGCTCCAAAAACGAGTTTGTGCTTACTGGAATATGTAATTTACTAAACATGTAACTTATTAGAATATCTAAGAATTATGGCTCAGGACAGTAAAGAGTTCTACTCAACTTGCAGGGGCAACCTATAATGGTATATATAGTGTAATCCCTTTAAATGAGCACAGAATTATTTGAGAACTCCTGGGCATAAAAGTGAATGGCAAATTGGGCAGAGAAGTTTGAAGTAAGTAGAAGATATGGTAACCACATGATTAATCAACGAAATGGAACACTATTGAGGGCAATAGGAGATGCCATTAATAATTACACAAGGATAATAAGTGTAAGACAGACTGAGCAAATCAGGATGTATGATCACTTCAGTAATAGGAGGCAACAAGGAGCTATAGTAAGTTCTTGAGCAGGAGAGCGAAATAATTCTTCTGTAAATGGTGTGCAACATGATTTGGAAGAAACCTTGGAAAGTAGGAGAGCAGGAGACAGGAGATTGTTCTACAGATACTAATGTGGTCTGTCTGAGTTTCTGTCCTGGCCTCTGGTTTTCTTTCTAGTTCACTGCTAGAAATGGTGGTTCTTTCTGGACCTCAACAGCTTTCCAAAGGCTGTCAGCCAATCCTTTTCCCAGGACATCTGAACCCTGTTCTGGTATTCCCAACCACTGGTTAGATCCTTTGTTTAATTCAGAAGGACTTTGCCCTGGAACCAAATATCCTCATTCTTTTTTTTTTTTTTTCTTTTTTTTTGGTGGTGATGTTGTTTGAGACAGGGCCTCACTCTGTTGCCCAGGTTGGAGTGCAGTGGTATGATCTTGGTTCACTGCAACCTCTGCCTCCCGGGTTCAAGCGATTTTCTTACCTCAGCCTCACGAGTAGCTGGGACTACAGGCAAGCGCCACCACGCCTGGATAATTTTTGTATTTTTAGCAGAGATGGGGTTTCAGCATGTTGGCCAGGCTTGTCTCAAACTTCTGACCTCAGGTGATCCACGCGCCTCAGCCTCCCAAAGTGCTGGGATTACAGGCATGAGGCACTGCGCCTGGCCCAAAATATTCTCATTCTGCTGGTTCTACTTTCCTGAAATATCTATATCTTCATGGGGTATCCTGTGCCCCAGGGGCCTTGTGACTTTTCCCATAGAAAACAAGGTCTGGATGAACAAAAAGAAAGAGGTGCACATTTCCCACTGAGAATCTCAGACATTTTGCCTAGATAGATTTGTCCTAAAACTTACTTCCCTCTGCTTAATGTAAGTAAAATGAAAAAGGTCATTTTGTATAAGTGGTCCTTTTTTTTTTCAGCCTTATACTCCTGAGAATTTGTGGCAGTCCTGGGTTAAACGATGAAGGCTTCTTATTCTCATGTAGGTCTCACAGCCTCTTGTCTCCCTGAGTTTTAAACACATTGCATTACCTTTCCAGAGGTAAGATTAGGGTCAATAGTTTGAATTTGGGTTTCAGAGGGGAAAGACAGAGGACCTAATATTATTGATGGAGAGCTCCTTTGCAAAAAGGGGGTGGGAGGGAGAGAATGGTGTATCCAGCAAATCTCCAGGGTCTGCAGAGATTTAAAAATATGTAAAAAATATATATTTATATATATATTAAGCTTGTAGCTTATGTCCTTTGGAATTGAAACACATGTTCTTTCACAAGGCAGCTTCCTGTGTCCCTGTCCTTTGGAAAATGCTGCCTCCTGGTCTGCTTGTGTGGAGAAAGAATGAGGAAGACAAGGAAATTAAGGAAGGACCCCTCATTATGTGAATATGGGATTTTGTTTCTAAATACAGATAGATTGTCCAATCTTAAAAAACCCAAACTTGTGAAATGGGCTTTGACTGTATTTTTCTTTCTTTCTTTCTTTCTTTCTTTCTTTCTTTCTTTCTTTCTTTCTTTCTTTCTTTCTTTCTTTCTCTCTTTCTTTCTTTCTCTCTCTTTCTTTTCTTTTCTTTTTTTGAGATGCAGTCTTGCTCTGTCACCCAGGCTGGAGTGCAGTGGTGCTATCTCAGCTCACTGCAACCTCCGCCTCCTGGGTTCAAGCGATTCTCCTGCCTCAGCCTCCTAAGTAGCTGGGATTACAGGTGCATGCCACCAGGCCCAGCTAATTTTGGTTATTTTTAGTAAAGACAGGGTTTCACCATGTTGGTCAGGCTGGTCTCGAACTCCTGACCTCTTGATCCTCCCACCTCGGCCTCCCAAAGTGCTGGGATTACAGGCGTGAGCCACCGCGCCCAGACTCGAGTGTATTTTTCTACCTTTACAACATAGTGAAAAGCACCCAAACTTTAGAATTACATAGATCTGGGTTCAAATTCTAGATTTATTGTTTAATAGTTATATGACTTTGGATAAGCTCTATAACCTCTTAGCTTGATTTTCCTCATTTATAAAATGTCAGAGAAAAATAGCACCCCTTGAGGTTGTCATGCAGTATAAATGAAGTACTATTTATCAGGTCTCAAGCATGAAGCTTGGCACACAGTGAAGTGGAACTGTTGCTTCCTCAGACACGGTTCACATGGGCTAATATCTGCACTTTGCATAGCCCACTCTAAAGGAACGTATCACATTATCTTATATTTAGTTGTCCATGTGCCTGCCTCCCCACCAGAACACCTGTTTCTTTTTGTAGTTCAGAGCCTGACATACAGGTGCTCAGAATATAGTCATTGGATGGAAATTAAAAATAAAATAACCTTTAGTAGTAACCTAATTTCCAGGCAATATTCTCTTTATCTGGAACCTTGACAAAACTTTTTTCTTTTTTTTTTTCTTTCCTTCCTTTTCTTTTCTTTCCTTCTTTCAGTTGTACATTTCCAATGCTGTTTTTTCTTTGGTAAAATGGAGTCCCTCTCTAGGGGCTGCTGTGAGGATTACATGACTCAAGTCTGTGAAGGGCTTTGCACAGGACCTGGTATAGTGCAGTTGCTTGGCAGGGGCCATGGAAGGGTGTTGAGACAGGGTCTCACTCTGTTGCCCAGACTGGTTTTGACCTCTTGGGCTCGAGCAATCCCCCTGCGTTAGCCTCCCATAGCACTGGGATTACAGGTGTGAGCCACCATGCCCAGCCTAGTGCAGATAATTGTGTAAGTGCTTCTGATAATTGTGTCCAACTTGTGTATTTGCTATTACAGAAGAACAGCTTTTGAGGTAATTTATGTTGAAATTTCTATCTCTTAAAAACATGTTTTCATTACAAAACTAATACATGCTCACCGTTAAAAATTTGGCAAATATAGAAAATAGAGACTCCTCAGTCTAATGATTGGCTCCTTTCTGAGGCTTCTGTGGAGCAGATTTATGGTGGGCAACATTCTTCTTGCAAGGCATGAGAAAATTAGAAACCTGGACTGGAATACTCGCACAGAACCGCAGATGTAGAAATTCTCAAGCTTGGGCAGTCTAGACCTAGAGCACATGTCCTGGTAAAGCTCCTGAATTGGTTTGGAGAACCTAATCAATGATAGGCTTACCTACATGACACCTTTCATTCCAGTCAGCGTTTCTGAAGCCTGCCTTGGTGAAATCACAGCGTGGCTGCAGAACTGACATGGGCCCAATTGTCCTACCACTCGTAGCATCACCACCTGGACTCAGACAGCTTTGGCTACTGGTCCAGACACCTGGCTCTCAAGCCCTGATTTTGGTGAAGTTTGTCTAGTGTTGGTTTATAAAAGCCTATAGTGTCAGTAAGGTTCTGCCCACACTAATAACCCTACTCAACTAGTTACAGTTGTCTCATCAGCTGCTTTAAATACCTTCTCTCATTTTGGAGCACCTAACAACACAGAAACCCAGCCCTGTCTCTCACTCAATGAACTGACCCTTTAGTGGTGGATCTAGTGACTGTGTATGGAAATGGCCCATATTAGCAGTGTGGCCACACACGTGCTTATTGTCTTCTCTTTCTTTCCATAAGTGAGGAGCATCACTAAGGGTACACCAACAATTTTATTCTTTTGATTCAACATCAGAACTTCCAAAGTGGCCCTTCCTGTCCATCCCCGTTGTTTCAGTCTTCTTGAGGCCCTAACATGTGCTATCCTATAGGGTACTTCAACCCCGTTACAATCCACATTTTTCAGTCCAACTTCTTGGAAAAAAAGATGTAGCCAATACCCAGCTGCTGCAGTTTGCTGCCCAGGAGTTTATCACCATTGTCCATAAGTCCATGCTTCTCCAATGCTATTTTCTTTGCCAAGAATATTCTATCTCTTGGAAAAGTCCTGCTATTTTACCTAATCTGAATGTTGCTACGGTAAAATCTTAGTTGATTCTGGAAAACAGTTATCCACTTCTTTCCAATGCTTTCAGAGCCCACAGTTTTGCCTCTTTTACTGCCCTTATAGTATGTTGTAATTATCTATTTATACATCTGTCTCCTCCCACTGGAATGTGAGATTGTGGAAGCCAGCAATAGCTCATATTCGCGGGTGCATCCCCAGCCCCTAGCGCATAGTAGGCGTGTAGTGTTGATTGGAGGAGTGACTAGTGACTAGAATCAATGTTCTTTTGCTCATGGAAAATGGCTTTTAGGCTAATATGCTTTTGTGATTTAGCAAAAAATGATAAAGTTCAAAGTGGAAAAAAGTTTCCTAACCTGTTGTGACATACAGCAAGAGATTTTATTGCATATTTCTGTTTTTATCTGCCATATGGCTTTCCATTCACAAACTGCTCTAGTGAGAATTAGTTTTGCAGGTAATTTTCTAATGATTGTCTTGGGATAAACAAATTTATCAGACTTGTTTGGCTAATGTATTCAAGGAGGTTCACAGGGGAAAAGATTAATCATCTAAGAAGCAAGCGGGTGTCTGTCATTAGGCGGAAGGGTCCAGAGAGATGATCGGAGCTGAGCGAGTGGTTGCTATGACTGCAGATACCTTTCTCTCCCTTTGTGAGGTCAACAGCAGCTCCCAAGCTGATTGGCTAAAATTAGATTATCCTGCTGACCAACTATGGGAAGTTAATTTCATCAGAAAGAGAAAAATGGTAGGAAATCCTGCTGTGATGCTACAAAGGAATTTTCTTTAGAAACCCAGAGTCCAAGTTTGCTTTCATTATAATTAATATGTTCCGTCTAATAAAATAATTTAAGGGAAGCAGACAATAGCATTAGTCTATTATTTTGTATATCCATATAAGCTTTAATCTTGTTTGTCCTAAAACCAACTCTCAAAGTTAAAGTTACCTTTATTTTCCTGTAAATACCTTCCATAACCAAAGACTGTAATCGTGTATGTGTTTATATAATTGGAGATAGGCTAATTGTGAAAAATACAAAAGGAGCTGGCACAATTAAAGGTATCTGCTTACAGGGCTCTTGCCCTAGGGAAATAGTAGGCACAAAAAACTTTAAGCAGAATCATTTACCTTTGGATTGAGAGCATAGTTTTAATTGAATTTGAATAGAATTCTGCCTTCCAAAGGGTTCTGTCCCTGTAAGTCTTATACTGCCTACCCTCTGGCTTTCCACCTGGTAAATCCTTTGTTCTGGAAATTAATCACCACTGACCTGGCTTATTACATTTATTTCTGTACAGAGAAAATACAGACGTAGTTCATCTTATGAAAAAGAATGTTGTCTGTTTGCAGGCTCTACTGAGTTATAAAACTAAGTGGATGTAAAACACAAACCAAAGAAAACCAACCCAAAGATTTAAAAAAATTTTTTTTTGTTCTTTTGTGACTATGGAAATAAAATATGATTAAGAAAGAATCTGAAATAATTTGTACCTCAAACAACGATGTCACAAGTTTACCTGTATAGCAAACCTGCACATGTACCCCTGACCCTGAAATAAATGGTAAAAAAAAAAACACAAAAAACAGAAAAACAGCTAACATTTATGGAATTCTGGAATTCTGGATACTCTACATGCTTCTATCTATATGATTGCCAAATCAACATGTTTTAAAAATTAAATCAACCTATTGAGATACATTTGGTTGCATGCTGAAGGGCTAATGAGAGGGACTCAAGATGCCCCTTTCCTGAGAGCCATGGTCGGGGGATTGGAGATGAGCATGTATGTATAAAAGGTAGTGATGCACTCCAGGCAAAATAAAAACATTACTAACAATCATTTCAAAAAGGAAGCACTATGGGAATTCCTAGGAAGAGAGAGTGAGACTACAATGGCTGAAATGATCCAGTTTCGGATATTTCTTAGAGAAGACTGGGTAGAGAGATGAAGAGATCACCATCACGATGTATATTAATGTTACACATCATTGAGGATTTGGGAAACAAAGACAAAACACCATAGTTCCATTGCCCTCATAATAATCACTATATTAATCACATCTATTGAGTGCTTATCCTATTTCAGCCACAGCACTCATTTACCTCCCCACAATACTCCTCTGAAATGAGTTATTATTTTTATCACTATTATTGCATTGTAATTAATGTGAGGAAGTTGAGCCATAGAGATTAATCCATCTAAATTCACACTGTTAATAAACTGGGGAGCCAAAATTCAAATCTAGTTCCTCTTGTTAGCATTTTTTGCACGAGTCTCTGCTTGTTTTGCATGAGTGTTATTACAATCTTCATTTTTTGTTACTTTTTCACTTATGTTATTGTATAAATCTAATGATCATTTTTGATAGCTACATAATATTTCATTGAGTTATTTGTACCACCAGTTACTCAACATTCCATTATTGCTGAACTTTAGTATTTTCAAATTTTGACATTTTCTGAATAAGATATTTTTCTGTTTATATTAAGGCTATCATATAACCCATATTATAGGGTTAATTTATAAAGTTGAAAGGACTCTTTGAAAAACAATGTTGTCAAATTCTCTTTTGTCAATAATACCAGGGCACTCAATGTACTGCATTCTTGACAGCTTGGAAGAATCATTAAAAAAGCAAAAACATAAAAAAAAAAATTAAAAATGTTGATTGATAGGCAACAATAAGCTTCCTGTTTTATGCTTTTCCTGGTCACTAAATAATTTATGTATTTGTTAAAGCATATTTATTGAGCACCTCTTGGTCTTGTGATATATTAGTGGGCAGCATAGATAAGTGATGATATATCTGTTTCCTAATTCTATTCAAATATTTTTTTTCAGATAGGACATTTTAAGTATCACTATTATAGTATGTGGGAGGAAGATGATTAGAAGGGAGAAAGATTTCAGGGAAACCAAGTTCAGATACTATCTTAATAGAATGGCTAGATAAGTATTCCACGACCAAACAATTTTAAAAAGGGAAAAGTGGGTGCACAAAACATATAGGATCACAAACTCTTATGAGTTATCTCAATGTTCTAGTGGAATTTCCTTATAATGACATTATTAAAAGTCTCCATCCCAGGCTATTGGATTTAATAAGAATTTTGTAGATGCATGTGAGAAACTTTCAGCTCGCATTTTCATGTATTTCTTTCTCTTCCTATCTTTTAATACTGTGGCTGTTGGGTAGTGGTGTTGTATAGCTTCACATTTGGGTTACATTTTCAAGTAGGAGTGATGTGGTTGTGGTGAGAGATGTTGAAATTTGAGTTGTGATGGCATATGAATAGACCTAAGATAGCTTTATCTCATGGTCCCTTAGGGTAGAAGGGGAGAGGTTGTCATCCATCCTCCCACTACTTGCAATAATGCAAGCATCATATAGCCAGATAGTTTGGTTCTAGAGTATGGCTGTCACACAGCCAAGGGCTGTTTGAAAGTGGGTGTATGGTCACACAATTGATTCCTGTCGTTTTAGAGAATGGATTGTATTGAAACCAACCATAGTCTATGTTTCTGCAGATCATTATTTGAGACAAACATAGCTTGCAAAACAAAATATTTGTTCATTCAGAGGTCATGCATGCTAGGTTATTTAGCTCAGTACTTACTGCAAAGTAAGTGATCAATAAATATTTGTTACTTTTGTCATTTATATTTTTATTCATGTTAAATTTGCTGAAGTGTGATTTTTTTCCTCTTCATATTCCAAAGGCATCTAGAAGTGAAAGGGAAAAAGGAATAGCATCAGAGATGAAAGAGAAGGAAGGATCAAGGGGGGAGCTATTTTTAAGACTGGGCTGCTGCTCTGAAGTGCATAGGAAGAAACAAGAAGAATAAAGAGACTGATGATGAGGGCAGAGGAGAGATCAACGGTTAACTGTGTAGAGTTGTGGGAGCAGGTGGAGGGTCCTGGACAGGAAGAACAGTTTAGTGGAAAACTAAAGAAATGTTAGCAAGCCAGGGCTCTGAAATCATGATGAAATTTAGCATGCCTTAGGCTAGGCACTATTCTGTTTCTAAAGCCATGAGGTATGGAAGGCCATACTTGCTCTCTATTGCATGCCAGGTTGTGCAAGGATTTGCAATTGAAAACAAATTGCCTTATTGCTAGAGAGAAATTAAAGACTGGAGTGAGCTTGGGAATGACAGGCTGATAAACAATTATTTTGTTTCCTTGAAAGCAAGATTACTGGCTAAATGTTGAAATTTCAGTTAACTAACTGCACAGTGGGCCACATGGCTTGTTATGCATAAGAAGCAAATGGAAAGGTCCAGCCATGATTGTGATCCTGGTCTGACAAGGTGGCAAAGGCCAAATGGACTCCTTTTATGCTGAGCACTTCCTGGAAGGAAAAGGCTGATGATTTCTCTGTCCTCCTCTGAGAAGTTTGCTTAATTTTGTCTGAGCCCCTAAGGAGGGAGGGGCAACATCTAACTGGTTTGTGGGCATACAAGTTGATCAGGGCCTACAAAGAGGATTGGCAGGCAGAGTCTCCACAGACCAAATTGTGTCTCAGCCGATACAGAGCACTACCAAGTCACTGCGTGTGTGGTTGTGTCAGTGTCTGCTACAGGAAGGGACTCTGTGGTGGGCTCAGGACTGGGACATTGCCAACCATCCACGTGGCTCAAAGCAAGTCCCTTCATCCTGCAGGGGTCCAGCTTTATATATATGTAAGGTAAGGGCACTGGACAAAGAGCCTTCTGGGTGCTAAGAGTCACGACCTAAATATACCTGTAGTACATGGGCCTTGAGGATTGTTGGGTCCACAGAAATGTTGGCTGAAATGGGAGGAATAAGATAATTTCCAATTGTATTTTCTCTGGCCCAGAGAAATTTTTTAACCTTTTCCTTGCTTCTGTGTTGTAGCCTATTAGATAGTTTCAATTAGTTCTTCCCTATTGTACAGTAATTGTTTATCTGTCTTGACTGTGAGCTATTTAAGAACAGGGACAGAATTTTTCTTGTAACTTATTTAGTTTTGAAGAAGTAGTATATTTACATGATTCAGAAGGTACAAAAGGGAAAACAGTAAAGTCTTCTTCCCTCAGCAACCCATTTCCCCTTCCTATTGGCAATCAAAGTTATTGTTGTCTTGTGTATACTTGCAGTTGTCTTATGCATGCACAGACAAAAATATATGTACTATATTCACCTTCCTTCTGTTCCCAATACCTTTTGTGGACAAATACTAGTTAGTACTTGTTCCACATTTTCTGCTTTCTGCTTAATGCTATATAGTGAAGATATTTTTACATATTATGTAATGAATTACCTCAGTCTTTTTTATAGCTGCATGGTATTCCATTTTGTGTATATGTCACAATTTATTTAAAACAGTCTCAATTTGATATTTAGGTTGTTTTTAATCTTGTGATATTATAAATAATACTGTAATAAATAATCATGATTTTGCAGGGGTATGTGTGTGTGTGTGTGTGTGTGTGTGAAAATTTCTAGTAGTAGAATTTTTGGGTCAGGTATATATGCATTTTCAATTCTAATAGATATTGTCAAATTGCTTTTTATAGAAGTTGCCTCAGTTGACAGCCTTACCAGTAAAATTCAGAGTGCCTGTTTTTCTACGCTTTCACTAACATAATTGTGTATCTCGATGGGAACCTGAACTCTTGCAGGGGCTTGGGTTCTTCGATTAGGAAGATCAGCCAAATCTATCCACTTGCGATTAGTACGTGTTCTCCAGCATTGCTGCCTCTTATCCTCCCACCTCCTACTTGTGGCAAGGGGGAGGGGGAGGGGGAGGGAGGGAGAGAGAGAGAGAGAGAGAGAGAGAGAGAGAGAGAGAGAGATTTTGTGCTAATGAGACAAGTGGCAGATAAGTTCCTAAAATGTGATTTGGGAAATGCCAATGGGGTCTCTCCTTCACAGATACTTATCCCATCAATTTAATTTGATTTTTTTAAGATTCCACATTTGAATTCATTCCTTTGCTTAAGATTTTGTCTCTTATCAAAACATAACTGATTAAGTCTTATCAGTCATTTGCACCCTACTATGAATTATTTCCACCGTAAGCAGTTTTGCTGCGCAGGAAGTCAGGGAGAAAGATGGGAAGGAAAAGATTCTGAAAAGGCAGATGAGAGAATATTCAAATGTCACCTATTTAACAATTTTAGCTACGTCTACTGTCTCATTAGAGACATCTCTCTAAAACCAATTTTGGTCATGTCATTTTCCTGCTTAATGTACTTCCACGACCCTCACCACTTTTAGGATCAAAGATACATTTAGCATGGCATGCAAGGCCTTTCACAGTCTGGTTTCTGTTGACTGTTACAGCTTCTTCTCTTTTAGTCTTGGCCCTTTGAACCACAGTTACAGTTAGCTTCTTGCTACCTCGGAAGTGAATGATTACCCTGTGTATCCTTTACCACCTTTCCTAATTTGAACTCTGAAGGCCATTCTGAGGGCTTCCTAAAACATTTGTGCCTACTTCCATCCAAGCAGAACTTCTTCAGCATTATAATTTCTCTTAAATTAATTGTTGTTAGTTTAATTCCTATCTCTTAATAGACTATAAGCCTCTAGTAGGCAGGAAGTTTTTTTTTTGTCAAATCTTTTTTTTCCATAGGTTATCGGGGTACAAGGTAGTGTTTGGTTACATTAGTGAGATTTTTAGTGGTGATTTGTGAGATTTTGGTGCACCCATCACCCGAGTAGTATAGACTGCACCCTATTTGTAATCTTTTATCCCTTGCCCCCTGTATTAGTCCGTTTTCATGCTGCCAAGACATACCTGAGACTGGAAATAAAAAGAGGTTTAATTGGACTTACAGTTCCACATGGATGGAGAGGCCTCAGAATCATGGCAGGAGGCAAAAGGCACTTCTTACATGGCAGCGGCAAGAGAAAAATGAAGAAGATGCATAAGCGGAAACCCCCAATAAAATCGTCAGAACTTATGAGACTTATTCACTACCATGAGAACAGTATTGGGGAAACCGCCCCCATGATTCAAATTATTTCCCACTGGGTCCCTCCCAGAACATGTGGGAATTATGGGAGCACAATTCACAATGAGATTGGGGTGCGGACACAGAGTTGAACCATATCACCCCTCTCCCAACCTTCCTCCCAAGTCTCCAAAGTCCATTGTATCATTCTTATGCCTTGGTGTCCTCATAGCTTAGCTCCCACATATCAGTGAGAATATACAATGTTTGGTTTTCCATTCCTGAGTTATTTCAGTTAGAATAATAGTCTCCAATCTTATCCAGGTCACTGCAAATGTCATTAATTCATTCCCTTTTTATGGCTGTGTAGTATCCCATTGTAAATATATACCACAGTTTCTTTATCCACTCATTGATTGATGGGCATTTGGGTTGGTTCCATGATTCTGCAATTGCAAATTGTGCTGCTATAAGCATGTGTGTGCAAGTATCTTTTTTGTATAAAGACTTCTTTTCCTCTGGGTAGACACCTAGTAGTAAGATTGCTGGATCAAATGGTAGTTCTACTTTTAGTTCTTTATCTTCTTTTAGTTTTTCTTTCTTTTAGTTCATTGTGGTTTTGATTTGCATTTCCCTGATCATTAGTTATGTTGAGCATTTTTTCATATGTTTGTTGGCCATTTGTATATCTTCTTTTGAGAATTGTCAATAGCTGTGACATAATTAAACTAAAGAGGTTTCTGCAACAAAAGAAACAGTCAGCAGAGTAAACAAACAACCCACAGAGTGGGAGAAAATGTTCATAATCTATACATCCAACAAAGGACTAATATCCAGAATCTACAAGGAACTCAAACAAATCAGCAAGAAAAAAAATCCCATCAAAAATTGGGCTAAGGACATGAATAGACAATTCTCAAAAGAACAGCCTTCATCCCTAGATCTTCCCTCTGACAGAGCCTATACAAATGAGAAGGAACCAGAAAACTAACTCTGGTAATATGACAAAACAAGGCTCTTCAACACCCCCCAAAAAATCACACTAGTTCACCAGCAATGGATCCAAACCAAGAAGAAATCCCTGATTTACCTGAAAAAGAAGTCAGGAGGTTAGTTATTAAGCTAATCAGGGAGGCACCAGAGAAAGGCGAAGCCCAGTGCAAAGAAATCCAAAACACGATACAAGAAGTGAAGGGAGAAATAGTCAAGGAAATACCCAGCATAAAGAAAAAACAATCAAAACTTCAGAAACAATGGACACACTTATAGAAAGGCAAAATGATCTGGAAAGTCTCAGCAATAGAATTGCGCAAGTAGAAGAAATAAATTCAGAGCTCGAAGACAAGGGACCAGTCCATGTCACAACTCTTTAACCATCTTTTTCCAAATATTATTTCCTGTGATCTTTTGAAAGTTGATGGATAGTTCACCAGACTAAGCTCAAATTGATTTGGCTTTCAGTTGAAATGAGGCAAGCTAAAGAACAGAATATCTTTAATTAGCAATATCATGGTTTATATAAACCCAACAAGGCCTCATATCATTTTGGTACTAGGATAATGTTTTTCTTAACGTCATAACATTAGTAAAATTGATCCGTAATGGTGTGTGTGTGTGTGTGTGTGTGTGTGTGTGTGTGTGCGATTTATGTAATTTGAGTGTTGGCTAGGATAGCTGCCGAAGTTTATAGCAATGTCAGGGTAGGATTAAATTGGTATATAGTCCAGACTGCCCAGTTTTGAATCCTGGCTTCATAACTAGCTTTATGACTCTTGATGCACAACAAGACATTCCTTGATCTCCTCAGAGGATTGGTTTCAGGACCCCCAGCAGATACCAAAATCCACAGATACTCAAGCTCCTTACATAAAATGATGTAGTGTTTGCATATAACCTATGCACATCCTCCATATACTTTAAATCATCTATAGATTACTCATAGTACCCAATATAATGTAAAATATAGTTATTATACCATATTGTTTATTATTTGTATTGTTTTTGAAGATTGTATTATTATTTATTTATATTTTTTCAAATATTTTCGATCCATGGTTGGTTGAATCCTTAATTGTGGTACCCATGGATACAGAGGGCCCACTGAACTTAACATTTCTGTCATTTGTGTTATCTTCTGTAAATGGGCTGAAGATAATAGTAAGACCTTCATGGATTTTTTTAAGGATGAAATGAGTTAATATATGTAAAGCGCTTTCACCAGAACTTGGCACATAGTAAATGTCCAATATATGTTAGCCACTGTACATGATACTGGGAGCAGATGAGAAATAGTGGTGTTTATGCATCCTGGGTTGAGGTTTGGTGTGGAGAATATGTGCCTGCTCTTGGCCTTTTCTCACATTATCAGGAAAGGCTAGAGAGGGAGTAGCTAGATCAGGGTGCTGTAGGTGTCCCTTACAGAAGAGCAGCCCCTGGGGAATAAACACAAGCTATGGAAGGAAGCTTGACCAGGCAGCTGAGTAGGTTTCATGATAGTTAGAGTAGGTGTATATGGATCAACATTAAAATGGTCAGGTCCCAGGCGCTGGTGCTACCATTTTGAGGCTGAGGTTCTTAGTGGAAACTGACAAGACAAGGTAGATTCTAGGGCCTGTAGAAACTCGGCAACTCATGTCTCAGACAAAGGGCTAGATCTGTTCTCCATAAAGAACTCTATAAGACAATTAAATAAGCCCACCACCGTATTAAAGGAGAGCAAAAAATAGAAATAAACAGTTTGCAGAAAAAGAAGTAGAAATGGCTTTTAAGCACATGAAAAGCCACTCAGCCCCACTCATAAAAGAAAAAATGTGAATTGCAACTACAGCAAGATTCCATTTTTCACCTATCAGATTGGCAATGTAAGAGTTTGATAATACTAAGAAATGGCTCTCTGCCAATTGGCGCAACTTTTACAGAAAGACATTTGTTAATATCTATCCAAATTAAAAATGCATATGCCTTTTCACCTAGCAGTTCCACAGGTAGCAAAATGTCCCACATATATATTCTCAAATGTGTGAAATAATCCATGAAAAGTTTATTCATGTAAGCATTGTTTGTAATAGCAAAGTTTTCAGAACGTCCTGAGAGCCCACCAATAGGACTGGCTAAATAAATAAGTTTGCGTCAATTTAATGCAACTGTAAACAAGAACAAAGAAGTACTTTTTGTGTAGACATGAACTCCAAGATTTTTTGCTTTTTTTAAAAAAGGCAAAGTGCAGAAAAACATGTCTAGTGGGCTACTTACTCCTTGTGTTTAGAAAGGGAAAACAGGCTATATACATACTTATCATCTTATGTTTATGCATATGCATAAATAGGTGATATAGATTATCTGTTATTTGAAATGCTTGAGACCAGAAGTGTTTTGGATTTAGATTTTTTTGGATTTTGGGATATTTGCATTATGTTTACCAGTGGCGTATCCCTAATTTGAAAATCTGAAATCCAAAATAGTCCAATGAGCATTTCCTTTGAGGGTCCTGTCAGGGCTCAAAACATTTCAGATTTTGGGGCAATTTGAATTCTGGATATTCAATTATGGGGATGCTTAACCTGTACATTATTTGCCTGTGTGGAGGAAAATTGGGGGATAAGTGAGAGAGAAACTTTCCACTTCATACCATTTAGTAGTGCTTGAATTTTTTTTTTTTTTTTTTTTTTTTGAGACGGAGTTTCGCTCTGTCGCCCAGGCTGGAGTGCAGTGGCGCGATCTCGACTCACTGCAAGCTCCGCCTCCCGGGTTCACGCCATTCTCCTGCCTCAGCCTCCCGTGTAGCTGGGACTACAGGCACACGCCACCATGCCCGGCTAATTTTTGTATTTTTAGTAGAGACGGGGTTTCACCGTGTTAGCCAGGATGGTCTCGATCTCCTGACCTCGTGATCCGCCCGTCTCGGCCTCCCAAAGTGCTGGGATTACAGGCGTGAGCCACCGCGCCCGGCCTAGTGCTTGAATTTTGAATCGTATAAATTCATTACCTATTCAAACTTTTAAAATAGAAATATTGCATCCTGATCTCTAATATAACCATGGAATTTAATGTGAAAAGTGTGTTTTGAAATACTGATGAATGCAATTAATCATATACCACCCTACTCCTGTTCCTTTTGATATCCAACAATATTTGAATAAATTTGATGCCCCAGGAAGACACTATGGGCTTATCCTATAGCTCCTTACATCCTGGTGTTTAGATCAAGTACTGCTGAACATGCACTTATCACAGTGTGAGATGGTTTTAGTGGCATGAGTAAGGCTTTGGAGGAGGCAGAGCTGAGCATAAATCCTGTTTATATTATCATTGGCTACATTAACTTGATTGAGTTGCCTAATCTCTCTATACCTTGATTTCTTGATCCGTAAAATGTAAATAATAACTATTCAGTGCTTTATCATGAAGTTGACCTTCAGTCCCCTCATATGCCATGGGATTTCAAGTTGATTTAAGGATGAAACTCATTAACAAACAGCTTTCTGCATTAGTGTCCCAGCTTTGCCTCTGTTAGAGCCATGGTAAAGCTGACCAAACTTACCTCTTGCCCCTTGTTTCACTAAGTCCCTTGTAAATGACTCCAACCCACTGTTTTCTGGTTCCTGCCGCCTCTTTGAAGTTGGTCTCCATTTCTTCCTGGTCAGCCAATTCTCTTTCTAAGGTACACTCAACTTAGCACTAAGAATGTGCTTCTTACCCTCTTTCCTATCCAAAGCCTCTGGAGGCGTCTTAGATAGTTGTTTTGTCACGGTTGAGAGAAAGGGAATTCCTTTCACAATGGGATTTGGGGGCCAATCTATTGTGTCTGGATCCCCAGGGACATGGTGGCAATCATACTTATCTTGGAAGGATTTGTGCCAGGGGTGCAGGGGTAGGTTAGACTCTTCTGTCTTCCCTTCCTCTAACTGCAGCTCCTACTTACCTGTGGCAACTTTCAGACGTCTATGCTAACTGTTCATCAGAGTTTGGCTTGGTGTAATTTACAATCAGATGTACATAAAATGTGTTTGTGTCTTGCAAACTGTTTACTTAAGCAACTACTAGGACCTGTTACTACATGACATCAAAAGCTCTGAGGTAGTTGTTTTATGGTCAGTCCAAAAAATGATCGAAGGTTTGGGTTTGTATGTGTTCATGTACTTTAATGGGAGAGAAATTCGCATATGGTTAATAGATTGGTTGCTATGATGAGATAGAATGCTTTTTGAAAAAGTTTCCCTTTAAAGTCAAACATTAATCACTTTCCAGGTGGAGGGAAAGCAGAAGTGAGAAAAACCCAGACTGTCATAGGCTAGATTTCCCCCAGATATTATTGCTGCTTCTGTCTCTACAGCCGAACATAACAGCTGGTGAATAGGCAGAAACTGGAGAAAGATCTTTTCTTGCCTTTAATCCAGTATGCTGTTTTCTTGTGCCCGTTTTACTGTAATTCTCGGCGGCCATGGGACAAAAGCTGTTGACTGATACATGCAATTACCTCCTCTAATATTGCTCTCAACTGTCGGGCCTGACTGACAAAAGTGGATGAGGTTTAGTTAAGGTCTGGGAAAACACTCTTAATAAAAGACATTCCCATCTGTATGATCACACCCTCCCTCAGACCTTTTCATCTGTTTTCTAGAAAGATAAGGTCTGGTGATGGAAAGTTAAAACGTGGTGCTGAACTTGGATGTTAGCAACACCACCATTTACCTCAAAAAAATTCTCCACAGTGTGGTGTGTGTGTGTGTGTGTGTGCACAGTTTGCATTTGCAATGATGGAAATCAGTTTGGATCATTGGGCAGAGTTTCCCCAGAAAGAATAAGAGGCTCTTTTAGAACGTTAAACCAGATCCTTATTGGTTTCAGCCCTCAACTGATTATTTTGTAGGTAAAAGAAAGCCTGAGGAGGCTTTCCCCTCTGAGTTTTTCCGTGGATTGCTGGACTCTGAGGCCCTCATTCCTCTTGCAGGAGGTGTGGAGCAAAACTGTGTTGAATGAACTGTAGATGGAAATTCTCTCCTTCCCACCGAGGAGCCGCTGCAGGTTGCAGACTCCCAGAATGCCACACTGAGAAGAGGAGGGCTAAAATTCTAGAGCAGAATCCCTGGGGCAGCCCCTGCTGAAGAAGGGTGCATCTGTTGAGAATCTCATCACCGCCCCCACCCCGCCCAGCCTTCAATTTAGAGGAATTTCTAGTTCACGCAGAATGAAGACAAGATCACATAAGTGAGGACGACGCCCCATTTACAAGTGTGATTTGGAAGACTGAAGTGGAAACCTTGGGAAGGTGTTCTTATAAAAACAAAAAACTGTGTGGGTTGGGTTGTGTGCCTGCCTTTTGAAAGGCCTGCTGGTCGTTCTGAATGCAGACTGCTGGCCATGGTGCAGATGGAAACCAATTCTTTAGGAAGGCTGGGCAGCACTTGGCAGAGCCTTCTCCCTGACTGCTTTGATTTGTGTGCGTGTGTGGGGAGGGGGTTGGGACTGAAGAGGTTGCAGTTTATTCATACACCCAGAAGGGAGCTAATCCAGGTCAGAAGGAAGTCTGCTCCCTTATCAACAGTTAGGTAGCTTTTCCTATCAGTTTTCCCTTGTGTTGGCACTCAATTTTCATAATACGATATGTAATGTGATAAGGCCTACCCATTATTAATAGTAGCAATAGCATGGCAAGGTTATTCCTATGCAGTTTTCTTAAAGAACAAAGGGCCAAGCTACTGATGAAGCGAAATTACCTATGATTTTAGAACCAGGACAAAACAAATTATTCTCTTTCAAATATCTGCAGACTCTACTTAAAAAAGGTTTCTCTTAGTGATAAGCCCACCTTCCACCTCCACCCTTTCCTCCTTCATGTGGAAACTATACATCAAGGTAACACCTGTTTGCTTTCTGCAGGGGCCTCAGAGTATGTCAGCTGGGGTCAGACGGGAACAGGAGTCTGGCTCAACACACATTTATTGCACTCCTGTTTCATGCCAAGAAATGTACCAAAATCTGGGACTGTGTAACACAGCAAAGGAAAAGACTCATCTCCAGGAAGCCCCCTTGTCTAGGAAGAGAAATTGAATATCAGCATAAGGTGGTGAAAAGCTGTGAAGGAGATGAGTGCCAGGAGTCCATGGAGGAAGGATTCTAGCCTGGACAGGTGAGGAATGGCTTTCTGGAAGAAGCAGATGCCCCAGCTGAACTTTAAAATGCCCATGTGAAATGAACTGTCTGTATCTTCAATCAGCAAATGGAGTAGGTGGCCACTGTTTAATTCTGGAATGGGGAAGTGTAAAGGTGTGGTGTGTGTGTTTACCCCTACTTAGGGATTCAAAACAGACAGTAAAGAACAAAAGTCTAGCCCTTTGAGCATTCTCCATGGGACATTTGAGGTCTAGCTGGCCCCAGAGAAAGAGAGACAGAAGCAAGGTCATATCCATTTGAGAAAATCAAAGTGTCTGCTCCAATTGAGTCTGGTGTCCTTATTCCTGGAATAGCCATCCCTACTGCTCTGGTGCTGATTTACCTCCGGCAGTTCAGTGCTTCCTGGAAGGTAGGCTGGGCTTTTTAACAAAGTGACTCCTTACTTGACATGTTTTACCCAAACACAGAGGCCACTGCACTATGTGCAAGAAACAACAAAAAATTAAATGAGACTCAATGCCTTCCTTAGGGATCTAAAACCCCAGTAACACAGATAAACAGGTAAACAAATAATGTGATGGTGTGATTCTATAGCAACAGGAATAGAGCACTGCAGGGCCACCGAAGGAAAAGGTGATGACCTGGCTTGGATTCAGTGATAAAAAGGGGCTTACCTCCTTTCTCTGTTTCTGCTAAAAGCCAGTGATTACCCCCTGCTTTTCCCATGTTGGGCATAGCTGTAAGTACTTTAGACATAGCGGCACATTTAATCATCATGCAACAATAAGAGGAAGCTGAGGCAGACAGAAGTGCCCAAAGTCACATACTTGAAGCCAGGACTTGAACCTGGGCTATCTGGCTCCTGAATCCATGGCTTTCACTAATAATGACTTACCCTCCAATGAGGAACAAGCTCCATTCTGGCCTTTCTTTAGCGAAGGCAACTGCCTGAGCTCATGGTCTGATCTGGCTTCTGGGAAAGAGAAAGCAGGGGAAACGTCTAGAGATGGCATACTGGGAGAAGAAATTTCTTGCTGTGGAATCCTGCCCCCATCTCCCTCCCCACCATACACAATCCCACGTGCATTTACACCTACACGCCGTGTACACACGAACATTTTTTCTGCTACTCCCATGGGCCCCAACTCTGCCTTTTCATCAAAATCACCCAGAGTTTTAAATAAAATGCAGATGTTGAGGCTTGTTCCTAAATTATAATCTTGGGCATCTAAATTTTTTGATTAAAAAAAATTGACATGCATGCTTAAAGTAAAAATTTAGACAATACAGCAAAGAATGTGTTTGTACCCCTCCCACCTAGCCCTTAGTTCTTCCGAAAGGCAAATACTTAACCGTTCCTTGTTATCCTTCCAGAAAACAATATATGCATATATTCATCTTTTTTTTCTTCTTCCTCTGTAGGTGATTGTGGTGAATAGTCATGAGAATCTGGGAACTGGCTCCTGCTCTGTCTATCTTGGAGATGCATCTTTTGTGAGAAGCCAGGGCAAGAATAGGGAGGCTTAGGCAATGGGAAGTTTCTGAGTAGATAAAGCAGATGGCAGAGCAAAGGGACAGAGCCTGGCGAGAGGCTACTCCCTGTAGCAACCTGCCTAAGAGTGAGAGGAAAGCAAGGCATGGCTATGAGCACGTGTAGTCTCAGCTACTTGGGAAGCTGAGGCTGGGGGATCACTTGAGCCCAGGAGTTCAAGACCAGCCTAGGCAACATAGTGAGACCATGTCTCTTTAAAAAAAAAAAAAAAAAGAAAAAGGGAGAGAGAGAAAAAAAGGTGACAATTCCCCCAACACACATAAAGTACATAAGAGTTAACAAGGACACAGTGGCAGAAAATAGTCAGAACTGAGCAAGCATCAGTGAGGAAATGTTTTCCTGAGGAGACTTGAGAAGTCTCAAAAATGAAAAGAAAGAGTATTTGGTGTAGAAAGAATGGCATGAGATGTGAAAGCTCATTCATCCATTTATTCCAGGTATATCTTTTTCTTCAGTACTTTGGGAGGCAATAGGTGTAATAGCAAGAACATTCAGGTTAGTGGGTTAGTGTGAGTCTGCCATATGTATGAGGGTTGAATACACATTAGGTGTGGTGACTGTCATATGGGAGGCACTGCAAGGTGAAGGAGACATGTCCTCACATTTGGTCTTTGGGAAGCGAAGCAGGCAGAAACCCAAGTGCAAAGTGGCCATTTGTTTTCCTAATGCTAGATAAGTACCTGATGTGTTGGAAGGGTGGAGTAGAACTAGAAACTCCTGGAAGTTCTTTTAAGAACGAATGCAGGACCTCATCAGCCCGAGTCTTTAAATAAGTCACACATTTTTGGTCACCACATTCTGGAAGGGGGACAAAAAGATCTGTCACAGACAAAATTTGGAGATATTTAAGGCTTTGTTGACTTTGGCAAATGCTTGATTATAGTTCTGTGGTCTGTTTGTTTTCTAGAGTCTCCATGAATTGCAAGGGAAAACAAGTGGTACACTGGTATTTCTATTTGATAACCTGTTCTCTTTGGAATTCCGGTTAGAAATCAAAGGCTTACTTGAGTTTTAATGCTTTCGGGACTTCAAATGCTTTTCTATCTTCCTAATAATATATTAACATTTTCTGAAGACAACATATATGTGGAAAACAACATTATTTACTCAAATAATTTTTTTTGAAAAATGGACCAAAAAAAAAGAAAAACCAACAAAAACCTTTTCATGTTGTATCTCAGACTAGCCCATGTTGTGTTCCAAAATTTTTTTGCTGAATGGTTGTTTCTGTAATTGAAAGGCCCATGATTTTTTTTTCACAGCACCATTTTGCTTTTTAAAATTTCTACTGTGTGCCAGGTATGGTTTTGGCATTGCATCCTTGCAGGAGCACTGCAAGGGAATGATTGCGCTATTATCTTCATTTTACAGACAAGGAAAGTGAAAGCAACAAAAAGTTTCATATCTTACCTAAGGTCTTCTTGTTCTGATAAGTGATCAAGCTGGTATTTGAACTTGGGTGCCTCAACATGAAGGTCAAGCATCTCATTTTACAGATGAGCCAACTGAAGTCCCAAGATCACTCACCTCATTGGTTACAGATCTTGGAGCCCAGGGACTCTCAATTCAGGACCAGTATGCTTTGCATGACATGCAGGATGTATCTGAGACACAAACTGTGGTTTGTTCTCTTTTCTTCCCAATGCATCCTGCGTACAGTATGCTTTGCATGACATGCAGGATGTATCTGAGACACAAACTGTGGTTTGTTCTCTTTTCTTCCCAATGCATCCTGCGTACAGTCTCCCTACCCCCTTCCCCCATGAATCCATGTTTGTTGTTTCCCAGGAGATACAGATGATGGTCCCAGACTCTGTCCATTCTGATCTTTGGCATGGACCCCTAAATCCAGCCAAATGCAGCACCCACAGTCCCTTGCCTGAACAAGATATGGGCTTTTCTATCTCTGTCATTATTCACCATTTACTGTGGTTGGCATGCCTTCTTCCTGCCAGCTCCACAGTTCGAGGTGCCACTATTCTTTCAGATGCATCACACATGCTACTTCTTTTATGAAACTTGCAGAGTCTCAGAGTTGCATGAGATTTGTCACTCTTGTTGAGAGAAAGAGGACAGAGTGGAGAAGAAAAGGGAAGGGAGAAAATGGGTGGAATTTATGGCCCTAGATATGAAGCTTGGAGATGACTGAAGTGATAGATGACTCCAAGGATAATCAATAGCCATGAGAGTTATGGCTTATTGAAAGCTTACTATTTCTTGGGAGAGTGCAATGTTATCATCTCCTTAAATTCTACTGCAAGTCGTCAGGTTTCTGCAGCTGGGATTTAAGCCCAATTCTGCCTGAAGCCAAAACTTGTGTTCTCTTTCACTGTTGTCTCCTAAGACAATTGGTTGTGAGGTAGAAAAAGAACTGGATAATCCTCAAAATGGAAAATTAAAAAGATGAAACTAAATTGGGGTCATGGGTTGAGACAATACAGTGAGAGACACTGGAATTGGAAGAAATGAGGCATGAGGCCAGAGTGGAGCTCCCTTAGGACAATGCTTTTGGCTTCTGGAGCCTTTATTACAATGAGGCAGCTCAGGACTTACAGTGTTCATCTGAGTGCCGGGAATCGTACTGTCATGGTGCTTCTCATGGCTTTTTCATCTTGCTTTGTGTTATAGGGCTTTGGGTTCACAAGCTCTCTGAAGGAGCTGACTGTGAAGGCAAGGACTGTGTCTATGCCTTTTTTAAGGAGACGCACAGTTTGTCTTAACCAAGTGGACACATGAGAGGCACAGAGAGGGGTGCACCTCAGTCTACCCAAGGATATGGAGTGGGGGCTTTATGGAGACCTGAGGGGCCCAGGCACAGAAAAGAGACAAAGTGAGGGAACACTTGAGGCAGATGGCAGGGCACATGCTTAGGGAGGAAAGCTTGGAAAGGCACAGGCAGAGTGTTTAAGGATGTGCCCAGCATGTAATCTAGAGAAAGCAGTCAGAGGAAATGAGACTGGAGAGGCAGCTCGAGGCAGGGCATATATGTGAAAGTCACTCGCACCCCCTCTTATCATATGACTCCAGGCAGTCCTCCAACCCGTCCTCCAACCCACCCACTCGAGCTTCCTGCCTTCTGACAGGTTTCCTTATTTCTGAGCCTCTCGTAACAGGCCCAGTATATCCTTCCTTGCTCATGTAAAGAATTCCACTCATCTTTCAAGACATTTTAAACAGAAGTCCTGTGAGGCCTGCCTTGAGACACTCACACTCAATTTACTTTCTTCAGAAGTGTCTTTTCTACTTCTCTGTTCTAGCACAGCCACAATGTTTCATCTGTTTCCCCTACTATTGTGAGGGCTTCTTCCACAAGAAGAATTTTGTCTTCTCTTTGCACCCCCATTACCAGCACATAGTAAGCGCTCAGCACATTTGATAATGGAATGGCTCTGATTTTACATTCCTGTATTTTTCCGGCAGATAGTGAGTAGTCAGCGGGGACTCATGCATGACTCTGGGAAAAGTAGAGGGTAATTTTTTTATTTGCTTTTCGAGGGCTGATCAGGGCTCCTTATTTTTATGGCGGCCAGCATCCTGCTCACCCTGACTCCCTCCAGCTTCTGGTACCTGCATATCCAGGCTATGTTAATTTCCCTGCATTTTTCCTCTTTGTCACTTTTTCTTTTTTTTCTTCAAAGAGCGTCGCAATCTCTCAGGAGTTTGATTATATTGCAAGATGAATAGGATATTTGAATTATGCTATTTAAATGAGTCATCTCAACCCTAGTGTAATTGTTCACCCCCTGTCACACTAAACGTGACCTACATTTTTAAAAGAGTGCTTTTGGCCTGAATAGAGGATTGCTGAAATTGTTGGGTTCCAGTTCTCAGCAATTTATCATTTGTTATCACCGAGTGTGTCTTTTGTTTCACATCTGGGCAGATGTGAACTTTTAAAACTGTCTCTCACTAGACCTATCAAAAGAAGCTGCTTTTATTTGCAAAAAGAAGGTGAACTGATTTCCTGGGTGTTTATGTGTGTGTGGTATGTGGAGGGGCACAGAGGAGCAGCAGAGTTCATTAAACAGAAGATGTCTGGTCTTGGCTAAGCAGTTTAAAAACATATAGGAGTACTTATGCTGAATTGATTCACATTTTGGTTCTGTGGCCTGAAACTTGCTTGTTTCACCCTTCTTTTTTGAGAGTTTTGGTTGCTCTAAAACTAAGCCTGTATTAATGCTCTTGAGATGGATCAACTGGGGAGCCCTGTCATGCCTTACCATTTTTTCATCTTGGAGTCAAGCTGCAGGACAGGATTCTTATACTGCCCAAATGATTGGAGGCACATTTCCCTCCATTGTCCATTTCTTTGACAGGCTGTGAAACATAACTAACTCCAAAGCCACCTATCAAAGTTCATGAAGGTTTTAGTTAGGAACTGGTGGTTTTGTTGTTACAGATACTTCAGTTATTCAGACTGTGAATTTGAGTCACAGCCTACTAGGCAAGGCCCATACTGAGATACAAAGGAACTGAACTTTCTAAATTAGAGGTGAGCAGCATTTCTGAAGTGATAGATAAGGTCCTTGTACTACATTCATTCAGCAGATATTGATTGTGTGCCCATGAATCAGGCATATGTGTAGGGCGTTAATACAAAAGAAACTGGCCCCTACCCTCAAGAAGTTCACAGTCTAGTGAGGTTGACAGGCATGCAGATGATAACATAATGGAGGCATGCAAGAAATGCTGTGGAAAATTAAGACAGCACAGTCTGCCTGAGGAGAGTGGTCAACGTTTAATAGAGGAGGATGTGCTTGTGTTGGAACTTGTAGGATGAGTAATGGTGAAGGCAAAGGCTACTGTGGCTAGAGTCTAGTGCACGATGATGGAGATGAGGTGGTCAGAACACGAGGGTTCTTGTATGTCAAAGTATGCTAGTTTTACACCATACATTTATTATTATGAATTCAGCTGCGAGGAACAGAAATCTGCAATTCAACTGGCTTAAACACTGAGGAAAATTTATTAGCACATGTAATATGTTCAAAGGCAGTTCCAGGATGACTGAATTCAGTGGCTCGACTCTGTCATTAAGGACTTAGGTTCTTTCCATTTTTTTTGCTCTGCCATCCTTGGTATGATGGTTTGCTCTCAGACTTGCTCTTCTCCTGATCGCAAGGTGACCAAAGAGGAAGAGAGATTTGTTTCTTTGTTTTTGAGGTTTGTTGGTGTTTGTTTTGTCTTGATTTGTGTCTTTTCAATCAGTAAGGAAAATCTTTCCTAAGGAGCTCTCCTGCCACTCCCATCAGACTCATCCTCATGCCTCAGTGGCCAAAAGTGCATCACGTGCCCAATCCTAAACCATTCACTGGCAAGGGGAATGCAACCACCATTACTGGCTCAGACCAATCTTGATTCACTCCCTGGAAGAACTGTCCCACTTCTTCTGGATTATATGGCCCAGGTAGAGGATACTGGAACAAAATTGGGTTTCCGATAGAGAGTAGGAGAAAGGGAGACAATTGATTGCTGAGTTGGCAACCAACAGCATTTGCTATGGTAGATGATGAGAAACCAGTATAGATAATTGAGCAGGAGTGGCATGATCAGTTATGTTTAAAAAAAGTCCTATCAGAAATGTAGAGTTGAGCTTAATAGACAGAAAAATTGAGAACACATGGAATAGTCTTGTGAGCAGCCAAGGAACTGATCAACACACATGTGGAACTGGAGCTGAAACTTTTCTGGAGTCATTCTTCTGTAGTGGTAGGAGGGGGTATTTAGGGGTAGAAAGGCAACTAATGCAGAACAGAGATTTACCAAGAAGTTCCTTATGGTACTGTGGCAAACATGCAAGTTTTTAAAAAAAGGTTCAGATGATAATGTGGTCCACTCAGAGGAGCCACTGTGGCGACAGAATGCTAGCATTTTGGAACTGGTAGTGATCTTGATGTCATCTAGTTCAAGATCTTTATTTTACAAGTTACAGAACTGGGACCCAGGCAAGCAAAGTGATTTGTTAAGTTCCTATGTGTGGTCCATGGCTGAACTAGAACCATGCCCAT
The DNA here is from genome assembly GCF_000001405.40 of Homo sapiens. NCBI lineage: Eukaryota > Metazoa > Chordata > Mammalia > Primates > Hominidae > Homo > Homo sapiens. Next base: position 182,008,912 of record NC_000003.12, read on the forward strand.
AGATTTTCTGACTTTCAGCCCAGGGCACTTTGTAATGGATTCTCAGGGCCCTCTCATGGGGTTTAATGTGTCCATTCGGGAGTGCTGTAGAAGCTCCACAGGCCCTCTTCCTATGTTTCTCTTATCCTTGACAACAATTCTATTGTTGGAATTTTGTTGTTGTTGTTGTTGAAATATGGTTTTGGTTTCTATAAAAATGCAAATAATACTGATAAGTATAATGTTTTAAGCTCTTATCATTCATTTGGATCTTAAAGTGAATGTGTCCTTCTTGTTTTTTCTTTGAAGCAGATTTTAATGGGGGATGGGAATAAGAAATTCAGGGTACTGGAAACATAAAAGGAAAAAGGAGGCCCTAAGAAGAATCCCGAAGAAGAGAAGCTGGAGGCTGAGGGTTCATTACTTTGTTGAGGGTGTTTCTTATGACACCAAATAAGACCCATGGTGCCTGAGATACTAATGAGAGGCAATTGCCGTCCTAGTGTGAGGTGGGGCCTCTGGCCCACTTTTCTTGACAATCTAAACATCCATTCACAATGACCCAACTACACTTCTTCACTCTTTCCTTTGGTCTTCAATGTGCCTATGCCTATCCTCCCCAGAACATATATAGTTTTGGCTAAAATTGCTATGCAGAAATTTTTGGAAATTCACCCTGGTAGACAGAGCATGACAGCAGGCATTAAAAAAAAAAAAAGTTCAGTTAAAAACAAGAAAATGGTTTGAGAATCAAGCTCTTACTGAGAAGGAATCTTAGCATTTTGGAGCTGGAAGTGACCCTGAAGTCATCTGGTTCAAGACCTTTATTTTACAAATGAGAAAACTGGGACCCAGACAAGCAAAGTGAGTTGTTAAGTTCCTCCTGTGTGTGGTCCATGGCTGAACTAGAACCATACCCATAGATTTTCTTCCCTTCAGCCCAGGACTCTTCGCAATGGGTTCTCACCAAGCTTAAGTAAAGATTGATCTGTAAAATCAATTTATTTCAACTTTACTTTTGAAAATAGTCCAAAGTATTAATATATTAGTTTATTTTTTTGGTGGTATGCCAAACATTATAAAACTGCTAGTTTTAGATGTAGACAGTGAGTAAAGATTGAGCTAAATCTTTATAGATTGTGGCCTTTTGGGGCATTTGGTAAAAGATAATCCTATTTCTGTAAAACAAATACTGAAAAGAGAAAAAAAAAAGCACATATGTATGTGTATGTCCATCTAAGATTGTTTAAGCCTGGAAAAACATGGAAGGATATATATGAAGTTGTTATCATGGGTTTGCCTGACAGTGCTGATGCGGGTGGAAGAGGAGGGATGGGAGAAGCTGTGCAAATGTATGAGAAAGGGACTAAAAAGGGATGTCTATTATGATATTTATATAAATTTATTTCTAGGTGTGGCTGTATATTGAAAAAATGAGTAAAATACTTTAAAAAGTGATCTGGAAAATGAGAAAAGAAAAATGAGTGTAATTCTCATGTGCGTTTAAAATTATAATGTGTCAAATGTTTGTCTAAATTGGATGATCACTAAGAATAAAATTAAATTGGAAATTTTAATTAAAGGTGCTAAATTAAAGGTGCCAATATGTAGCTGGACATACTCTTCTATTTTCAATTACATTTTGTTTTACTTTCACCCACTTGCTATGTAGTTTTTCATCTCATGCATTTTTTTGATACTTTATGTCAGTAGTGGCTGAATTGTATTTGAAAAATATGTATCATATATAATTACATACACACAATTAAAGCTAAGTTTATTTCAAAATTGTGTATCGTTTATTCTAAAGTGTGAATTTGATCCATCTTAAAAAAAATCCTTTAGTATTTTTACGATGCTCTTATTTTAAAAAACCCTCAAAGTATTAGGACGAGAACTCTAAATAAGCTAGTTCAGTTGACATTTTTAATCGAGATCTTGTAAACCCTTTTCTAAAATTGTGCTTAACGAACTGTAACTGCTTCTGGGTTCACTCAGTACATCCATTGGCACTTTTAATTGTGGAGAGACTAAGTGCATTCATTTATACCATCCCTCCCTCCACCTCCCAAATACCTCCCAGCGCACACAGGTAGACCAACAGCATTTCTTAAGCATTTATCAGGTATCAGATACTCTCCTCACAATAAACTAGTAAAGGCAAATATTTTATGCCCATTTAATAGATCAGGAAACTGAGTCCAAAAGTGATTAAGAATTTACTCAGGTGAATGAACTGAGCCAGGTTTTAAATCCTGGTCAGCTTTGTATTTTTTGTTGTTGTTGTTGTTTTTGTTTTGTTTTGGTTTTTTTGCCATTTGTTTACTACACAACCTAAGCCATGTAACAAGGAAAACTGGAAGGGTTTTCTTACTCCAGAGACTTTACCCAGGCATTGTTTCTGAGATGTGGAAGAGGAGATGGAAGAGAAAGAACAGGAAGGGAAAGATAGGGACAGTCTCTATTCACTTGAATGCCAGATTTTCCTAGGAGAAATGACTGTCTTGGAATAGTTCAGTCTTGGGGTAACCGTCCTCTAAGAACCTCATTCATTTACTCCTAAAACCAATACCTAACATCACTCACCTGGCTTCCAGAATATTCTAACGTTCTTAAGGCCATGTCACTCCTACCATGTTCAAGCAGAGAGAAATGGAGCTTGGAAATATTCAAAGGCACCAAAATTAGAATAAAATGGGGGCATGGGGTCTTGATTTGAACAGGCTGATTTTTTTTTTCCAAATCTTGGCACCCCAAGGGTAAGCTTTCTTTTGTTAAGTAGCAAGAGTTAAAAGAAAACTCCAGGAAAAGGAACACTCACTGTAATCTCCTATGGCCTACAATAAAATGAAAATGAGGCAATGTGGACTTTTTTTCGCCACCACTTTGGACCCTCTACCAATCCTAAGATTCAATTGAGTGAAAAATGTATTTGTTATGTTTATTTTCCTCTGACACATGCACTTTAAAATTAAACTGTTCTTTGAGTTGGTTAACGGCGATAAATCCAGGGAGCATATTTGACATTTTAAGTCATTAATTGTTGCGTAGGCTTCATCAATTGTTTTAACAGAAGGCTTTTGTTTGCTTCCTACGTATTTAAGATTTTTTTTTTAACTTTTAAATAGGACAAAATAGCAGAGGATTAATATTTTCTTTCTGTTGGCTCAAGCAGGAATCCAAGACAGATTTCGATTCTACCATGTCTGATTGATAACTTTGAGAGCACCTAGCCAGGTATTCTGTGATCAAGTGTGTAAGCGCTGGAGAGTGTGTGGCAAAAGAAACCACACAGGAAGGGGCCAAATCACTTTTTTTTTATTGCCAGATAATTTTAGAATAAGCTGATGCTTAACACAATGTAATCTGACATCTCACACAGTGTATAGTATACATTGCTGTGTGTATAGTCACACAATCACGTTCTGGGTATGATTGCTCACATAATGTATTACAAATTAAATAAATATAATTAAAGTCTGTCTTTTGAGTTTCTCGCAGAAAAATTATATTTGACACAGGTTAATACAAATTAAATACAAGATTAGAGTATGTATAGTTGTTTTGGGTATCTGATACCCACCATCTGCCCATTTCACAGTGATATAACTACATTCTGCGATAATAAATTATTAGTTCAGGAGTTTTCAAAACTAGGAGGAAGATGACCCAAGATATTTCAAAGGGCAGCATCAGAAATAACAATCAAAAGTAATTATATAAGGAAATAAGTACAGTTACACCGGTGGTGTTCCAGCCTTCACTTGCTTTATTTTGCCTTTTCATTGGATAATTAGAGGATCCTAAAAGGCATCTTTACTGTCTTTATCCAAGGAATTATGAGCTTTCATGTGCATGGTATTGGGAAATTGTGATCTATTGCTGCCTACTTAGGAAATATGCTCTAAACAGCTCCTAAGACACTGCTGAGCATTAAACAGATACAAGATAATTAAAAACAGTAATTTTTATACCCTTTAAGTTCAAGGAAATTAATAGCTAATTTTAGGGGTAGAAAAGAATAATTAACTTGAAGATGCTCACATTCTCTTCTTGATGATAGGGGCAGCTGATACGAAAGCTTTTTTTGAACTAGTCCCCTAATTTCTAAGTTTGGGACTCAATCATATGGAAAATGGAATATCAGAGCTTTTGAATGGATTCCTTAATCTTGCCTCCGAACTTGCTTATTTTATAGATTCTAAATTATGAGCCACAGAAAATAATGTTTTTCCAATTTTTTTTGTTGAGATGTTATTCACATACCATAAAGTTCGCCCTTTTAAAGTGTACAGTTTAGTGGTTTTTAGTATATTTACAAAATTGTGCCACCATTATCACTATCTAATTTTAGAATATTTTTATCACTCTGTCAAAAATCCCCAACCCCATTAGCAGTTTACTTTCAATTCTTTCTCCCCCAGGTCCTGGCAATCACTAATCTACTTTCTGCCCCTATAGATTTGTCTATCCTATATTCTCCTGCCCTTCCAGATTAAGTCATACTGATTATTCTGTCCCTCCTATTCTGTCAAGAGTCCTTTGCACTCTTCTAGTAAGTACTATTTCTATATTGAAAGACTTTCTATATTGTAATATTTCTGTATTGAAAGACATGCTTTCTGGATTTTTTTTCTTTTTTTTTTTTTGAGACGGAGTCTTGCTCTGTCACTTAGGATGGAGTGCAGTGGCATGATCTCGGCTCACAGCAACCTCTGCCTCCTGAGTTCCAGCGATTCTTCTGCCTTAGCCTCCTGGGTAGCTGGGATTACAGGGATGCACCACCGCACCCGACTAATTTTTGCATTTTTAGTAGAGACAGGGTTTCACCATGTTGGCCAGACTGTCTCAAACTCCTGACCTCAGGTGATCCACCTGCGTCCGCCTCCCAAAGTGCTAGGATTACAGGCGTGACCACCATTCCCGGCCAATTTTTTTTTCTTTTGAGACAGAGTGTCACTCTGCCAATCACCTGGGCTGGAGTGCAGTGGTGTGATCTTGGCTCATTGCAACCTCCGTCTCCTGGGTTCAAGTGATTCTCCCGCTTCAGTCTCCCGAGTAGCTGGAACTGCAGGTGTGTGCCACCCACCACACCTGGCTATTTTTTTTTTTTTTTTGTATTTTTTGGTAGATATGGGGTTTTACCATGTTGGCCAGTCTGGTCTCGAACTCCTGACCTCAAGGCGTTCGGCCACCTTGACCTCCCAAAGTGCTGAGATTACAGGCATCAGCCACTGCGCCTGGCAGCACTTTTCATATTGGGACTTGGTGAAGTAACACATTTGTTGGGCACCTACTGCATGCCAGGCATTGTGCTATGTACTAGAAATACGATCTGTACCACAGGATCATTTAATACTCAACACAATCTTAGAAGTTTTTTATTATTACAATCCTTATAGACAAGAAACTTGAGGTCCAGGATTTCCAAGCTGGTAAGTGGAAGAAAAATTATATGAACCCAAGGTTGGATGGCCTTTTCAATCCACACTTTTGCTACTATGGTCACCATCAGGAGCTTTACATGAATATTCCTCATGTATACCCAATTCAGTGCCTAACACTCACTGTGCGTTTGGTCCATGTTTAGTGTTGGTGTTGGTTCTCCTTACACATCTCTATTGTAGATAATTTAAGAGTTAGTAAACATGTTTTCAAAAGTAGAAGAAATGTTTAGCCTCACTAATTATTAGAGAAATGCAAAGTTAAAGAAAAAGGAGGCACTGTTTTATACGTGCTAATAAACATTTTTAAAATGGCAATATTCACGTGTTTGCAATATTCAAGTGTTTGGTATAGCCTTACATTTCAGGTGGAAGTGTGAACTTTAACAGTCCGTTGAATGCAATTCCAGTTTAAAAAAAAAAAGTTCAGTCTCCATGACCTGTTGCAGTAATTTAATGTAGGGAATGGAATAAAAAATCATATATATATATATATATATATATATATATATATATATATATATATAAAGAAAAAAGGTAGAGATTTATTTACAAAGACATTCACAACAACATTATTTCTAATGCCAAACCATGATTCAAATTCCTGAGAATGGATTAATGAATGGTAAGGTATGGCAGATATCTTCAAATGTAACATTAGGGAGCCATCAGAAATGATAATCATAAAAACCTGGAAATTGTTTGAAAAAAATGAAAAGATTAAATGCAGACTTAAAAGCTTTGAATATAACTATTTAACAATTTACATGTGCAAAAATGTTTTAAAAATGTAGGACAATATCTGGCACACAGTCAACAGTAAGTATTGATTGAATGAATGAATGACCAAACAGAAACAGAATAACACCTGCATGGTATGTAATCTCATTGCTAGAAGTTACAAGATTCAAATAATATGCTATGATTGAAGCAAGGTATGTTTAATAAGACTAAATGTTACATAGTGACTCAGGAAATGTCAATTGCTGTAAATGATTATTGCAGGTCTAGGAAAAATTTAATATTCTTGGTGATATATACATGCAAATAATTTATAACAAATAAAACTTTAGAATGTTTAGAGAATTGTGTAATTATCAACAACAGTGTAAATAACAATTATCATAGCTTTTAAAAATTTTATCTTATTTTGTTTTGTTTTATCATAGCCTTTTAAAGATGGTATAATAGCATCATTTTACGTACTTGTTTATAATTTAGTATCCAGTTCCAAAAATAACATAGGTTAGCTAATAATGATAATGAGTAAAGTTTAAAAAACACCTATTTTGAAGAAAAGATCCACATAGGAGAAAGAAACAAAGACAAAGGCCGTAGTGGGTAAAAAAGAGAGAGAGAGAGAAAGAGAGAGAGAGAGTGAGAGAGAGACAAAGACAATTGTGCAACCTCCAGAGTTGAGCTGGTTACTATAACTGGCAGTGGCAACCACGGGTAGAGAAGCCCATGATGGGTTGTATAACAGTCCTTACAATTTCTTGGATGATGATAACTGCCTGCCTCAGTGCTATAAACATTCCATATCTCTTTTGTATCCTCAGAGAAGAGTCGAGTAGCTACGGGGGCTGCCAAACTACTGGAGTTCATATTCTAACTTCATTGCTTACTATGTTATTATATTACCTTGGGCAAATTCCTCAATCTTATCTGTAAAATGGAAAAAATAATTGTATCCCCTTCACAGGGTTGTTTTGAAGCCCAATGCTTGACACACAATAAAGTACTCAATGTTAGCTATTCTTATGATAATTCTGAGAGATATTATTATTCTTTTCTTACAGAGAAGTAAACTGAGGCTTACAGATATTAGAGGCAAGATTCAAACCCAGTCACATTTCAAAGCCTAAATGCTTTTTCCCACATCTCATCAAGTATATTGTTGACAGAAGAGGATGTCCATTTTGATGAGCTATCAAAGAAAAACAAATTCTTCACTCACCATTTCATACATCTGATGAACTGAGAAATTTTTTACAGACTACCTTCTACCTCCATGCATTTCAAACTGTGTTTCTTCTCCATTATAGATATACTTTTGGGACCAATTTCCTGTAGGACATTTGTATTGTGGTATAACATCTGGTCTTGTATCTTTGTTTCATGATACTGGGTGAATTAGCACATTAGAATGGCAGGCATAATCCCAAAACCCACTCTTTATACCGGAATGGCTAGCAAAGCAGATAAATATATCCTATTAAATCTAAACTAATATATCCCCAGATTAACTTCTCCTTAATTGGATCTCAAAAATACCTCCACTTCAAGGCTAACTGACACAAGAAGTGTGACAAAAGGAAGGTCAGAGTGGAAAGAGACCAGAATGTTAACTGATTGAGATGAAAATTTCTTAATTTTCCAAAATTTTCCAAAGCATATGATAATGTGCACATATTGCCAGGGCCACTCCCAGAGCCTTGGAATGGGCCTGTACAAGTGAGGGGATCTGGAGCTTAAGGCTCATTAGCTTCATGAAAAATGTGTCTTTGATTGTCACATTCCCAATGTAAAGGTTACCAATGACTTTTCGCTTTGTATCTTCTTAATATATAGTCAATGCATAAATCTGATGGCTGTACAGAGTGTAAAAGAACATACACACACATACGAATTACATACAAGGCAAAAATAAGACTTGTGTCTGCACTTCAACTAAAAAAAGCATTTTCAAGATAGTATAATTTTGAGTGGCATAATCTAAAAACATTTTGTTGTATATATGAAAAGGCATGGACGTATAATCCATACTTCAAGGAAAGTACCTTATTTTCAATGTACTGGAAAGATTATAGCCCATTAATTGGCTCTGGTAGGAGGGAAAGTTTATTGATCTTCACAGCTCCTGGTTCTTCTATCCCACATCTTGAAGGTCTGCTCCTGAGCCTCTCCCCACTGTCACCACTGAGGAACGTGTCTCCACATCTCTTCAGGCCCTTCGTCACTGCCATTGCTTGGATGCTTGCCATCCACCTCAGACACTGGAAACAACCACGAAGTCACTCTGCCTTGCTTCTCCATTGTACTTTTACCTCCCCAGGGCTATAGCAATCTACAGCTGTACCTTGGCTCCCTTGCTCCTGGCTTCTTTCAGAATAGAAATTAACTCAAGTTGTTAGAGGGGGAAGAACTGCAAATTGTAGCAGAAAAATAGGCTGTCAAATCAAAGGAGAAGGAAGGTGTTCTAATTTTGGCCACCTGCAAATACATTAAACCACTTATTGAAGTTTTCTTGGTGCCTTAATATTACATGGCCTCATGGCCTTCACTCCAGGCACCTGAGATTAATCAGCTTTGAAGGAAGGTAGACAGTCTCAAACAACAAAACAAGAAATAGGACACCCCAAATCTGGGGCCAGTCACTGTGAGACTAGAACATAACAGACAGCACATCTGAATTTTGTAAGGTCACAGAATAGCTGTTTCTATTCAGGAATTCTTTGGTATCCAAAGAAAGAAGGCTGTGAGAGCCAAGTGGAGGAGGAGGATAAAGTGGATAAAATTCTTTGCTTACATACATTAATTGGTAAGATAGATGAACTCTGGGAGTAAGTTATGTCTACAGTAGTTCTTTGAGGGGAACAGTTATCTCTCTAAAGTTATGGCCTCAGGAAGAGAGGAGAGTAGGAAGTTTTGGCTTAGCTATTTGTAACAGTGGCAGTTAATTATGGCATTTCTTATACCTAGAAGGGGGGTTTTAAAGACTGAATTTTATTTGTACTTAGTTATTCTTAAATGTAAAGTGCCTCTAGACTTTACTGGAATATTACAGAAAAGGCCTTTATTTATCAACTGTAGGTATTTCATTTTTTAGATGCCAACAACATAAATATTATTAAAATGAAAATCCTCTGGTTTTAGCCCTCAGATGGATTAGCAGAGGAGATATTTTCAATAACTTTTGGCATCTGGCAAGATACCCACACATACTCTCTTTTCTCCAACCCCAACCTAGAGAAAAGTTTCAGCTAGATTTGCTTATTTGGTTTGATATGTGGATATATAGCCATAGCAAGTCTGGAAGCCTGTGGCCTGCTTGGTTCCTAGGGGAGCAGACCATCAGTTCAGCTCAGTGCCCATCAAGCTTTAGGATGGTGAAACTGTCTTCTGCACTGAAGGCCAGCACTTTACTTTTTTGTACTTCATCATCCCACAGCATGTAAACCACACCCCTACTCATCATGCTCAGCTTCTACCCATCCTGCGAAACCAGAACATCTACTCTATGTCAAGCAAACATTTGTTTACAGCAGTTTCAGCATCATTGATGGAATTAAACATGACACTACTACTCTCTACCAGCCATATCCAGAGAGGAGCATGGTGGCACTTGTTATGCCCTACAGTGGGAGCTATCCTTCACTGCCAGCTCCTATAGACCTTGGGGTCCAGAAGGAATGTCTAACGTAATGGTGGCTGGTGTGGAGTACACTGTACTTCTGTACTTCGGGCTGATTTATTTCTCTTTTCTCTCTCCCTCTTTCTTTTTCTTTCTTTCTTTCTCTCTCTCTCTTTCTCTTTCCCTCTTCTTTCTTTTCTTTCTCTTCTTTCTTTCTTTCTTTCTTTCTTTCTTTCTTTCTTTCTTTCTTTCTTTCTTTCTTTCTTTCTTTCCTTCTTTCTTTCTTTCTTCTTCTTTTTTTGAGATGGGGGTCTCACTCAGTCACCCAGGCTAGAGTGCAATGGCATGGATCTCAGCTCATTGCAACCTCTACTTGTGAGGCTCAAGCAATCCTTCCACCTCAGCCTCCTGAGTACCTGGGACCACAGGCACACACCACCATGCCCAGTTAATTTTTTGTATATTTGTGGAGACAAGGTTTTGTCATCTTGCCCAGGCTGGTCTCAAACTCCTGGACTAGAGCTATCTTGAGTCTTGGCCTCCCACAGTGCTGGGATTATAGGCTTGAGCCTTCGCAGCTGGCCTTGATTTCTTCAACAATCTGTTCACCTTACAGATGGCTGTTTTTATCTGTTTAAAATCTTCTTGTAGAAGATTAAGCTTGATCCCCAGACCATGAACTAATCTAGCAGAATTTGCTTTTTCTAAATTGGTCTATTTGGTCATGGAGGCAGCAGAAGGAAGGCAGTAGAAAGAAAAGGTGAAGAAATTGGTCTTCCTCCATGTGAAGGGGTCTTGGTCATGCAGCCTGGTATGGGTACCATGGCTTGGACCATCAATTATTATCCTTGGCAGACTCAGGACATCATTTGGTGGTTGCCAGAAAGATCATATCTGTGAGTTCAGGGAAAGAAAATGGTGAATTGGAAAGACCACGATCCATGTAGAAATTGAGATGGTGATGGAAACTTTGACCGAAAAAATAAAATAGATTTGTTGTGCTCTTTATAATTTATCTTGAAACTTTCTACCAAGTTCTACTTGTTCCTATTCAAGGGATCTTATTCTTGTGCAGGCGTTAGTTGCTAAGCTATTCTCAGAGTCCCCTAAACACTGGTGTCAGGACCAGTGGGGTGAGACAGCTTCAACTGTTAAAGAGCCACAAAAAGAAAGAATGCAGCTCTTCCTGTATGTCAAACCAAAAACAGTGGTGTCCAGAAAATGCAGTGTGTGTGTGTGTTAGTGGGGGGATCATTTCCAATGAGAGACAAAGATAATTCAAGGATCCAAATTTGTTCCCATTTTGTTGTCATTTTAGAAGGCATAGCAGAAAGTTAGGTCTAATTTCTATTTTTATTTACTAATACATCTCTTCCTGAAAACACACTGTTTGATCTGAGTTCTCTGACTTCAGGGTATAGAGATGGCAAATGCAGATTAAATTCATCTGTCAACAGTGCCTGGAGGTGTTCTTGACTTTGGCAGAGCCTTCTTCTCTACCTCCATACTCGTCCCCATCTTAAACCTAACAAGTTGAGAAGGACACTTAGACTGATTTGAAAGTTTGCAGTCTTTGATCCTCCTCAGTTTGAGGGGAGGAAGGAAAACTTATATACTAATTGCCTCTATTTTAAATTTTATTTTAATTACCCACTTTTAAAGTCTGGGTGAAAATGTCACTAATCAAAATAATGGGTTTTTCTGATCACAGTACAATCTTTTGTCCTAGTTTTCCCATTTCTAGGATATTTCTGCTGTACGAATGAAAACCTTTGATTTTGGAATAGGAAACAAGATTCTCACAGCAGGGCAAGTGCTAGGCTGGCTGCTCTGATAAAACAGGAGCCATGCTTGGGAGTATGGAGAAAGGAGGACATTTTCTCCAGTAATGTGTGGTCAGAACCATGGGGGAAGGCGCACATGTCCTGTCTGGGACTGGAAAGAACAAAGGCCTTTGAAACAAACTGAGTCTTGGTTTCATTTCTTAAAAGCTGTATAACTTTGGATAAGTTGATTCACTAAACTTTGATGCATTACAGTCCCCAGAGAGCTATCTTCATACACATTTGAAGAATCTACCAAACTTTCTAATTCAGTGTCTTGGGTTGGGCTTGGAAATTTGCATGTCTTCAAAAAATTAGCCAGCCATGGTGACACATGCTTGTAGTCCCAGCTACTTGGGAGGCTGAGGTGGGAGATCACTTGAGCCCAGGAAGTTGAGGCTGCAGTGAGCTTTGATAGTGCCATTGCACTCCAGCCTGGGTGACAGAGAGTCAGACCCTATCTCAAAAAAAAAAAAAAAAAAAAAAAAGAGAGAGAGAGAGAATTTGCACTTTTAACAAGTTCCCAGAGGCCAGACTTTGAGAACTTAGATTAACCCATCCCAATCTTTTCACTTATGAAATGGTGCTAATGTCACCTACATCACAGGATTGTTGGGACAATAAAACCCACCTTGCATTGAGCACATACCAGCCAGGCATTATACTAAGCATGTTACAAGCTTCCTATCACTCAATTCTCACAAAACCCTCATGAGGAAGGAGTTGCTTTGGAGAATTTGCTGAGTCAAACAGCTAAGAAACAGTAGAAGCAAAATTTGAACTCAGACAGTCTTGGGACCACAGCCCATGCTCTTAACCATTCCCCTAGGCCATCTTTGAAATTAAATGAGATGATGTGTAAGGTATCTATTACGGTGTCTGGCACATGGGTGCTTAATATTTGAGTGACTTCTGGTAATTTTGAGTTCTTTCTTGAAATGACACAGGGGAAGAGGAAAAATGGAACTATATCTAAGGTGCTATGCCTGAGTGCCTGAGTTCCAGTGGTTTCTTCTACTTTTTTTTTTTTTTTTTGAGACAGAGTCTCACTCTGTCGCCCAGGCCGGAGTGCAGTGGTGCGATCCCGGCTCACTACAAGCTCCGCCTTCCAGGTTCACGCCGTTCTCCTGCCTCAGCCTCCCGAGTAGCTGGGACTGCAGGCACCCGCCACCACGCCTGGCTAATTTTTTGTATTTTTAGTAGAGATGGGGTTTCACCGTGTTAGCCAGGATGGTCTCGATCTCCTGACCCCGTGATCCGCCCACCTCGGCCTCCCAAAGTGCTGGGATTACAGGCGTGAGCCACGGCACCCGGCCTCCAGTGGCTTCTTCTGTTACATGCTGCCAGGCTGCTGCTGGTGGCTTGGCTCCTTGAGCCTCTTTGCTTCCTTTTGCTTGTATGTCAGAGAAAAGGGATAGTCCCAGGAGATGCACTTTCCAGGGGTTTCACCACACTATGGTGTCCGGTGTGATTCATCATGCTTCTGTTTGTTTGTTTGTTTTGAGACAGGGTCTCGCTCTGTCATCTGGGCTAGAGTGCATAGAGTGCAGTGGCGCGATTATGGCTCACTGCAGCATCGACCTCTCCAGCTCAGATGATCCTCCCACATCAGCCTCCTGAATATCTGGGACTACAGTCATGTGCAACCATGCCCAGCTAATTTTTCTTTTTTCTTTTTTTGTATTTTGTGTAGACATAGGGTTTCACCATGTTGCACAGGCTGGTCTCAAACTCCTGGGCTGAAGAGATCTTCCCACCTCAACCTCCCAAGTGCTAGGATTACGGGCTTGAGCCACCACACCCGGCCCTTATCACGGTTAAAGCCCTCAGATTTCACTCTCTCAGGTTCAGACAAACTCTCAACTCCAAAGCAAGTAAAGTTGTTACACACACATCTTCCAGATTGGCTCAGGTGTGACCAGAGGGAGTGTAATCCAGGGCCAAGCTTTGGCATTCTCAGTAAAACTTGAAACCACTGAAATTCAAACATATTACCTTGAGCCAACTTTGACTTTCTGGCTGATGTAATAATAACACTTTAAAAATATCACAAGACAGGACATACAGAACATGAGAAGCTACTGCTTACTTGTTGCATCGTTTTGCCTTTAATGAAGGTCTGTGGGATGACTCTGGGGGGACTGGAAATTGCTTCCAGGAGAACTGACTCAACTTATCACTAGCTTTTCTAAAAAAGAAGCCAGAGCCTTAGTGTTTAAAAGCTTGTAAGTCTCAGCAAGCCCCAAACCAAGCCTCTAGTTAAAAAAAAAAAAAAAATCCCCCTGGTTCAATGCTTTAATAAACATCATTGTTAACAGAAAAAAATGTTGCTATTATGGAAGATATTGTAACTGATAACTTCTCTATTTGGCTGTATTTGGAAAATAATGTCTTGAAACTCAGACAAGATCTTCAACTTTGCCTTTCTGATATTTTTTCATTTGTACCTTGAGATATATTAGCCATACAGCTCAAACAAATTCAGTAAAATTTATACTGCAAAAATCTGACACTTTGAAAATTTAGAGGGATTTTTTTTTCAAAGTAGGAAATACAGCAAATCCAATTATTTATGGTTGCAACTGGAACTATTCCATTTACTCTGGGTTTAACAATTATTTCCTTGAGAAGGCAATAGGGATTGCCAAAGGATAAGGGGAATAAATGGGGATATGATTTTACTTTTGTAACTATGATCATTAAAACCATATACATACATATATCTACATCATATATTTTTCCACACGTTATTACATATTGAAAACTAAGACTTAGGAGAAATGCAGAGTAGAAAACATAATTGACAGAACTGAACACCTTTCATCAAGAAGAACAGTGCATTTTTCTGGCCCTGCAACAAATGGTCTGAGCAAGTTGTCGAAGCCCTGTTGTAGACTACATTTTTTTTCCCATCCATGTTCCTTATTTCCAGAATGAGATGTTATGATAATTACTGGGACAAGGTTAGCAAATGAATCTAGAGCTCTGTGGTAGAGGGTGGCACTGGAAATCAAAGTATGATTCTGTTTTGGAATTTTGACATTCTAAGATTTATCTAACTTCTCTGACTAAAGCTTCCTATACAGACATAAATACCAGACCCTAGTGCCTGTAAAAATTCCATTGCTGGTTACTGCTCTGTGGTCGTTAGCTGGAGACCTTTGATGTTTTCTATCTACAAAGTTTCTAAACTTTCTGAGAAATAAATAAAGCATTCATTATTTTACCCTTTACATTTAGCGCTTTAATTTTCTAATTCCACCTTCCCCTTCCCCCATCTTTCCCACTTTGCAGATCTCACAGGTGTCTGGTCAGACCCGTCAGGTGGGTCTCTGTTTGCCTGTCATTTGGGAAGCTGATGGTCTTACCTGGGCATGGCTGATTGCACAGAGCAGAACAGGGGTTAGTTTGAATTGCAGGTGTGAGCAATCAGTGTAGATCAGCACTAATCCATCAGCTATTAGAACAGCCAAGCTGCAGCAGACCCAGCAGAGAGAGCCAAATGCTGAGTGTGAGTGTGTGTCTGTGTGGATAGTCAATGGTTTCCAGTGCTGAGGGATTTTGCATTTGCAGAACGTGGTCTCCATGACTCTTATAATGACACTTCTTCATTGAGGCCTCACCCTGTTCATGCTGTATGAGAAACCATGGTGATCGGAGACAATAAAGAAACTGATCACATCTTCAGGTGGCTTATAACCCAGAAGGGACACAATGATATATAACACAAGGGGTAACATCTCAGGCTATAGAATTCTGGGTTCAGATAACCATTCTGTTATTTATCGTCTGTTTGATCTTGGGTAAGTTTCTTGTTTTCACTAACTCTCATTTTCTCATCTACAAAATAGCGATAGTACCTATTTCAATGAGTTGTCTCTGGCAAATAGTATGCACTAAGTACATGCTAGTTGATGTTAATTGTACTATTATTATTAGAGAGCAGTGCATGTTAAGGGATATGGAGTAAGAAGAGGAAGATACTCCTCCTGCTCTGGGAGGCCAAGGAAGATTTCGGGGGGGCGGAGTGGGATGTGAAGAACTTGAACCTTGAAGATTCACACATGATCAGAAGGAAGTGGCATAAACAAAGACTGTTCTGGGGCCAGCAAAGAGTTTATTTGGGTTGATTTGACAGTTTGGAGATAAAGGTCTATGGGGCCCAGTTTGTCAAGGACTATGCTCTCTCTGTAAGGTTTTTGTCCTTTCAAAGCAAATTCTGTGATATGAGAGGCCAGGCATCCATTTATCAAAAGATTCCCTTGCAAATATTGTCACTGTGATCCACCTGTCAAGCAAAAAGCCAGGGCACATAAGAAGGCGCACTTTTCTCTTTTGTCAGTAAGGTTGAGTGGCTCAATATGCATTCCTCGAAAAGTATATTAGAAGAACTTTCTATGTCTGGGAGCATTTACTTTTGATTAATTTTAATACCGCAAACCTCAAAATAGGAGGAGGTTGCCCTTGGGATGCTCTTGTGCCTTTAAGCTTCATATCAAAATATGGAACATAGCCTGTGATTTCCATGAAGCTGAAGGCAGCTTAAGGCTGAGATACTCAGAAAGGTGACTTGTTGGCAGAATTGATCACATT
The DNA here is from genome assembly GCF_000001405.40 of Homo sapiens. Taxonomy (NCBI): domain Eukaryota; kingdom Metazoa; phylum Chordata; class Mammalia; order Primates; family Hominidae; genus Homo; species Homo sapiens. The sequence goes on from NC_000003.12 coordinate 182,025,105, forward strand.
GTCAGGTAGATGGAGCAATATATGAAGTAAAAATCATTTGTCATTTATTAGTGGGGAGACTTTGGAGCAAGTCACCTCTTCTTCCTATTACCCAGTGGCTGCATTTGTAAAATTAGGGTGTCACACTGATCATCAGTAAAAAATCAAATATTTCTAAGTCTTTTTCTTAGGCAGCAAAAGCCCTTTAAGTCAATCAACCCAATGCAGAATCCCAATATATAAAGGAAATAAAAGCAGGGTGGAGGATCCTGCTGAGGCCTCAGAGTACTCTGCCTTTTGCCCTACCCTGAGAGTGGGGCAGAGATGGACAACTGGGCCTCTGTGGGTCTGGTGTCCAAGCTGATGAACTTCAGGACTGCTGAGATTCCTCATATTTCAGACATGCTACAATCCTGTAACAGTGTAAATTACCATGACACAGAGGGCTTGGAGGTTTCAATTTTTCCATTAACTTGATTGAAAAGTTTTAGAAAATAAAGTCATCTTCCATGGGCCTCTCTGTTAAAAATTTGCTTAATATTTATTTATACAATGGTTTTTCCCAGACATATTTCACTTGAATATACTAGAGCTCAAACACCAAGTGCCCTTTGAAGAAGGGCATTGAAATACAACAGATTGTATGTATGTTGGAGATATTCAGCTAGGAAGCTATCTTTATTAGAAATGATACTGAAGTGTTTGCAGTAAAAGTCTTGTCTGGCATTGGAACAGAGGTGAGGAAACTTAAAGGAATAGGTTCTCTGAGCTGTAGAAGAGGCTTCCTCTGGAGCTGGTTGACCCTTGTCTATTGATGATCCTCCAAGTGAGAGTAGCTGTGGTCATACAGAAGGGCAAATGCTCCATTCCTAAGGAATTTGAGGAAATAGGAAAGCAGCTGAAAGATGCTGATATCCTAACCCTTCAAAAGTATCCCTGTCCATTCCTGCTGTGTTAGAGCAGTTAATACTAAGTTGGAGAAGATAATGCCTTAAAATAAGGGCTTTGCAAGCCTCCTAGTATTGTTATCCTCCAGCAGCCAACCTTAACTGGAGAAGAAAGTCAAGGCCTTGACTGTCTCTAATGCTACCAAAACCTTGGACCACACTCTAAGCAGGACGATTATGCACAAACCGCAGAATTAATGCATCATAGGCTTAGAAATCATATCCTATACCCAGTCACCAACTACTATCTAAGAATATCTGTGGCCAGGTGGCATGCTCCATCTCAGAGAAGCAGGTGTACAGGCCAGAGGATTCCCATGAGCTTCTTGAGCCACTCAAACTTCACCTTAGTGGCTGGGAAGCCCTGGAGCTAGCAAGGGGACGTGGTTGTCTCCTCTGTAACTCATTTACAGTCATGTATTCAATAACTAGGTTTTATCCGGAAGATTTTATCTTCAGAAAGTCTCAGATTCATCAATAATTCCGTGAGAGTTACACTTGAAATTCTATGATAATTTCAAATTCTATGCTAATATTGTATTACTATGCTAATATTTCTATGCATCTAAATCTAAATGCACATTATTATACACTTTTTGAAAGTAAAACAAAGAAACAAGCCCTGACAAACAGAGAAGTCAATGGCAAGTTGAATTTTGTATGGTGACTTTACCAGAAAAGATAGCTAATTATTCCTGCTGTGTAGGGTTATTCTAATTCAAACTCTAATACTTTGAAAAGTCCCTTAACCTCTCCAATCCTCAGTTTCCTCTTCTGTAACATAGATTTAATAAAATTTACTTTGCAGAATGGTTGTGAGAAGCAGAATGTATATATTTTTTACCTTCTTAGAATGGTAGTGGCTTATTATAACTAATAACTAGTAACTTTATTATTGTCACTTTTAGTTTCTATTTGCCAATCAAATGATTCTGTTGATCAATTGTGTCTGAACCATGAAGCCATTAAACACAAACTACTTATTTAAACTTGTCTGAAACACTTACCCTGCCAACGATTGGAGATTAGACAAGCTATGTCCATACCTAGAGCACGTGAGCTATGGTCCGTGGTCAACTGTCTAATGATATGTTGACATTCTGTAAATGGGAAGTATGGATTCATTATAAACCTTAAAGGAATACTAAATAAGTTACCATAATAGTTTAAGTTACTACTAGTACATGGTTTAGTCTTTTTGAAGGCAATTCTTATATAGTTCAGTTCAGACCAATTTCTCAAACACACAGGATTAATATTAAATAAACACATTGACAAAGTAATGTTAGGGAAGACACTCCAGACTTGCTAGCTTAGTGCTAATGTGGACAAAGCTTAAATGGCTAATTCTACCTAGAAAGAAAGGTTTGAAGAGCTATCTCCTCTCTATTCTTTTGACTAAGGCTATGCTGTTTTTCTTAGCTCATGTGAAAAAAAAATACTCAGAAAAAGATTGCTAGGTATTTCTTTCCTTTGGTGTATTTTTTTTCAGCCAAAGTGTAAGACCTTGCTTAGATGACTAGCAATTAAGGAATTTTTGTGGTTTATTTCCTGATCTAACTGCTTACTTCTGAAGAAAGCAATTCTGACAAGCTTCAGTTAACCTGGATCTTACCAAAACCATAGTGCCAAAAACATTTTTGAAAGATTCAGATAGAAAAGCCAGGCTGGAACTTTAACAATAAAACGCTTCTTAAGGTTCTGTTTCCTAGGTCACATGGATGTTTTTTCCCCCTTGGATACTGATTTTGTAGAAAATAATATATTTTTCTGTGCATTAACTTCATGTTTTAATAACATTGGAGACCTGCAGCTGAACAAGAAGTGAGGCAAATAGTCAAATCAATGATGATTATTCTTACAATAATACTTTGAATTAATAAAGCCTTTACTTAGAAATATTTCAACACTTTTTTTTATAAATTTTACCTCTTTTCTCTGTAAGCATTAGTTGAATATGGATTTGAATTTTAAGTCTCTTTCAAGAATTGTTATAAGGAAGAAAAGAACTTTTAAAATCCACTTTCTGGGAGAAACTCAAAGATGTCACATTCAGTGTCAAGATGTAGAATTGCATCCTCCTGATTACCGGTAAATGCTGAGTAGTGCTAGCATCAGGGGGGCATGAATCAGCAGCTCAAGTGTGCCCCCAAGGATTAGATATTTTCATGTCTCTGTCTGCCATCTGTGGTGTTGACTTCATCTGATGAGGCTTTACTTAATGTTGCAAAATGACTGCCAGCAACCGCTAGGGCTGTTTGCTGTCTGGTTGGCCCAGTAGGTGCACATGATCATTTTTGCTCCAGTATTCTCTGCAGCTGTCCTGAGGTTCACTCTGATGGTACTGGCTTAGTTGTGGCTTTGGGAGGCCCATGGACTGTGTCTGTTGGCCAGGAAAACACAGCCAGGCTCCATATCTGGAGCCCTGAGCATATGGTCCAACAGGCGAGGATACATTCCTCTGGAGTTGCTGATAGTCAGATAAAACCTAGACTGAAACACAGAAATGTCCATGATATTGGTCACCAATTCACAAAGCTATGCTTTGGGAAAATACTGTTGATGGTAAAAGTCCGGTGAGAGTGGAGCCGGTGAGTAGAGACAAGAGGGTAGAGATACTAAGGACTTTTGAGCAGGAATATGACAAAGCAAAATGGCAATTTAGGCATTTAGGAATGGTAATGATAATGACAGTAATATCTTGCGGGACTAGTGCTTAATATTCTCCAAAGCACTTTCGCTTACTTGAGAGCTCTGGATCCTTTTGTAAGGTAGAAGGGGCAGGGCATATACCTATTTTGCAGATGAAATAGGGGTCCAGAGAAATTATTTACAGCTAATAAAAGAGCAAGGATGATGATTCAATCCTCTTAACTTTTTGTATAGTTCTCTTTTAACTATATTATCATGTATGATACAAATTATTATATTAACTACACCAAAGAAGATTACTGATATAGTAATTATTCACAGAATATTTAGTGAATGATTATAATGTACCAGGAATTATGTTTGTTGTTGGGGCTGAAGGACTTTACTAAGAGGTAACACCACATAGCCAAATTATTGATCATCAGCTAAATAAAAGCACAGAGTGATACAAGATTAATGTAGTCTTGAAAGAGGTGGAGGTCCAGTTAGGGAAGTTTCCTGGAGTAAGAGCATCTCAACTAAAACCTTCAAGACAAATAGGGGTAAGGCAGATTCACAATAGAAGACCAAGAGTGTAGCAAGAGCAAAGCTTTCCAACAGGAAACAGCATGTACAAGGGTCCTGGGGCGAAAGCATGCGATGTAGAAAAACTGCACAAAGTTCAATACGGCTGGAGCACCAAGTGCCATTGGTTGAGTCATAGAGACGAAAGAGGTTGGAGAGATGGGCTGTGGCCACACCATAAAGTGCCTTGAATGCTTTAGTTTTTTACTCTGAGGGAATGAGGGAACATGGAAAATGTTTTACAAAAGTCACTCAGCTTAGAGAATGGAAAATGGGTGAGAATAGCGGGAGGAAATGGGACAAGAAGCCTATTATGACTGTTTCAGTCAACAAGGAGTGAGGTAATGATGGCTCAGACTAAGGTAGTGTCAAAGGAAGGGAAATAAGTATGTACATGGGTTTTTGAGGTATTAAGATTGCAAACATACAAAATATTATTTTACTTCAAAGAAATAAGTAATGTCTATTCAGAACACTTAGTTTTATCTTTTCGTTCAAGGTTCACTTAAAATTTTTTTTCATTGAATTTTCTTTATTCAGCAAACATTTATTGAAGCAACTTCAACAAGCCAGATATTCTAATACTCCAAGTGCTGGCATTCTTGACATCTAAGTTGTTTAGAATACATTTGCTTCTTTCAGGCATATCACAAATTGGTCAGTTTCAGCCTTATTATACTTTATTTTGGAACTGTTCTGAATTAATTTTATTTTGAGTGTAAGACAGTTGTGAGATAACACTTTTTTTGCACATATTCCTAAGCTAAAAAAACATTATTTTTCTAATGATACCTGGGAGAAAGTCAAAGACATGTCTTGAACAAATCACTTTACCACTTGATATATAACTGTAAAAATCACTACAAAAATTACTCGCACTGCATTTTGTGGGGCTTGCTGAAATTTCAAAATTAGGACAATTCTATATCCAACAGATGCAAATGAGAAAAGGTATTTAGCTCCTGCAGGGAATAAAAGGATGTAGGCAAACATGCAGTATTTGTTTACTAATTAATTCAGCTAAATTTTGATGAAGTCCAATGTTTGAAAACACTCTATTTATTTATGGAATTAAAAGTCCATACGCTCCTCCATTATCAGCAGGCTGGGCACATTCTTCACCCAGGTATCAGCTCCTCTAGTAATCTCTAAGCTGTTGTGGCGCTTTACAACTCTGGCTGATAAAGGCAATTCTAATTTAGTGCACACGTTAATTATCAGTAATATTAAATAAATATATTGGAGCTATTTACATGTGTCATTCGTAGTTGCTGTATGCTAAGGAAAATGATTATAATTGTTCTTATTAGTTATCGTATTTCATGTTTCTGCAATGAAATTCTTTTTTGGGGGGGTTGTTTTGGGGAATATCTTAGTGAGGAAAAAGGGCTTAAAATATAAAATGTTCACAAGGCACTGAATAGGCTTTTTAATTCATTAGTCATATTTTATTGAAAAATTCCTTTGTGTTATTTGTTTCTGAGCACATGTAAACCAGGTTAAAAAGCAGCAGCCAGTCAATCTTCCTTAGTAATAACTGGGAAAAGAAATTATAATAGAGAATAAAAAACAGAATACCTGTGAGATTTGAGAAAGTTTAGATTTCTCTTTATTTTTGTACACAGTTCTGTTAGGAGTTGAATATGAAAACATGAAGCATACCTTTTGTTGCCTGAACATTACCCAACTGGAATCCAACTCATAGTAACCCTGCAGGATAATTTGTTTCCATAGCATCTTTTCCTAAGCTGAAAGCATTTCACTCTACCCCATATTGAATAAAAACTTATATTTCTAATATGTGGATTACCTGTCTGCTGTAGACACCTGATTAATTTTCAAAGTTGATTCAGTATTCTAAACTTTGCTATGACAATAAGAACTGCCAGATGTTCACTTGAATTGATTTATATAGAATGATGCCTCAGTTATTTAGTGCAATTGTGGGAATCAAATATTTCAAAAAATGGATTATTTCCAAATAGCTGAAGTTCAAATCTTTAAATCGTTTTCATCCTGAGCACTATGTATCATCCAAAGCTCAAGTCAACATTGCCTTTTTTGAAAATCCTTCCCTAATCTCTCTACCAGCCCCAGTTAGAGTTTATGCTCCCTTTCTTTGTACTGCCACACCATTTTGTATTGTAAGCTCCTGTTCTACTTATCTGTCCTTATCAGCCTCCTTCCTTCTCCCTCGCCCTACTAAATCACTGAAAGTTGGAACTCTGTCATACATTAATACTTCCAGTGCCTTATGCCACGTCTCATATACAGTAGATAGATTTTCACCACGTACTTGAAGCTATTTGAAAATAGAACATACACTTTCCTTTAAATAAAGTTTATTTAAAAATAATAATCAAAGTTTGATCACTTATGTTTATCATTATGGTCCAGAGGTCCATACACCTTCCAAATGTATATCTACTCATCTCACTGCTGTTCGTCTCATGGTTGAGCTGCCTAGGGTTTGTGTTCCCTTTAATGAGTTTCTAGAATGAGGTGAGTTCTTGGTGTCAGATCTCTAGAGCTGTTGCAAAATGCTTTGGGGTCCTTTGAGCTGACTCCAGACATCAGGGTGTCTGCCCCTCCATTCTTTAATTGACCTTTCACTCTCTTCCATTTCCAATGACCCTCCTCATCTCTTTTCCCTTTAGTTTTGGCAATTGTTGGCTATTAAACCAAGTGCCATGGTTTTCAAAGCAATCACTATCTTTTTTTTTTCCCAGGACATAAGCCAACTCATCCCAACACACCTTATGACATCTTTTTGGCTAGTGTCGTTACTGAACTCTAGATTTAATCACATTCTGAATGCCTAAACTGAATATTTAATGTGTCCAGAAAGCTGCTTTCTAGAAGATTGAGGTATTAAAATAATTGATTCCCATTTCGAATGACTCAAAATTTGTTTTGTGTCGAAAAAAAAAAACCCTCTAGAAATGTAATTTTAACTTAGCAAGCAAAAACCAGAATATGTACAGGTATTACATTTATTTCAAGTAATTCTATAAAATTTTTTACTTTAAATTACTTTATGGTAAGATTCTTCATCCATTTCCTTTAAATTTTTCCTAGACTCTTACTAGTCTTTTAGTATCACATGACTCTTACTTTAGGACATGCTTCTTTCTTTCTTTCTTTCTTTCTTTTTTTATGAGACGGAGTCTCGCTCTGTTGCCCAGGCTGGAGTGCATCGGTATGATCTTCGCTCACTGCAAGCTCCGCCCCCCTAGTTCACGCCATTCTCCGGCCTCAGCCTCCCGAGTAGCTGGGACTACAGGTGCCCACCACCACACCCGGCTAATTTTTTGTATTTTTAGTAGAGACGGGGTTTTACCGTGTTAGTCAGGATGGTCTCGATCTCCTGACCTTGTGATCTGCCCACCTCAGCCTCCCAAAGGACGTGCTTCTTTCTGAGAGCTAACCTAGATACTTTCTACAGTGATTTTTGTCTCTTTTTTGCTGCACCATTTCCAGTGAAGGCACAGGTTTTTCACTTACTGACATAGTCCATCTCTTGAAAGAATTGGTGACTACTCTAGAATTTATGTTTTTCCCTTAATTGTTGCTCCTTTCCAAGATGCACATTAGAGCAGCATTTCTCAAAATGTGATCCATTGGCCATCTGCATCAGAAGAAGGCTTATTTAGTATTTACTGTAAAAGTTCCCCAAAACTCCACTCTATGTATTCACTTATTCACTATTCGGCTTTGTATAAAAATAAAAGTAATACCAATAATAAGGTGAGATTAAGTAAATTTAGATTATGGTCCACTCTGAACCCCTGATTATCCTCCTTGTATGTTCAAAGCCAGCCTGTTTAATTATGTGTTATAGTGTTTAAAAGGCCCTATAGAGGTCAAATAATCTTTCTCAGTTACATTTGAGAAATTCTCCTGTGTTTCCAATCCCAGGTTGGATTCTCCTTTCTATCCATCCTCACTCCAGGTGAGTGCATCCAGTCTCATGGCTTTCAATGACATGTATGCGCTGATGGCTTCCAAATTTATAACTCTGGTCCAACCTCTCCCCTGCACTCAGACCCATATATTCAATTACCTATTTGTCACCTCCATTTGAGTGTCTAATGGGCATCTCACACTCCATGGCCAGCAAATCTTAAGATAACTGAAAGATAATTCTTGACTTCCATCCTAACATCTAAAACCCATACTACTTCAAATCTTCCCCATTCCAATGAGGATCACTACGTTTATTTATCTTCTCAGGCCAAAAATCTAGGAGTCATTTCAGATTCCTCTCTTTCTCTCATTTCTTACATCCAGTTCATTGGCAAGTCCTACTGGTACCACATCCAACATATATCCTAAATCTGACCAGTCTTTGCTCCCTTCGCTACTATCATGCAGCTTCAAGCCACTATCCAGTTGGCTTGAATAGTTCTTGTAATAGCCTTGTCACTGTTTTCATGGCTGTCACTGCTATCCTCTACCCAGCAGCATAATCAGCTTTTTATAACGTTAGTCAGATTGCATTATTCCACTACCCAAAACCCTCTGAGCCCCCAGCCATACTCGGAATAAACCTAAGGTCCCTACCATGGTCTACAGAAAGCTTACATGATATAGCCTGCCTGCTTCCCCTACCTTCTCTCCTACCGCTCTGTCCTTGTTCACTAAGCTCCTGGCATGTTTCTACCTCAATGTCTTTGCATGTGTTGTTTCTTCTGTCTGGAATCCCCTTTCCCCGTGTATCACCCTGAATTTTTCTATCACTTCCTTTAGGTCTGTGCTCCAATCACCTTATTTGAGAGGGCTTTCTCATTTAAACTGCTATCACTCTCCATTTCCTTACTCTGCTTAACTTTTCTCCAAAACATGTACACTATCTGGCATTATATTACATACTTATTTTGTATGTTTACTGTCTATATTATTCCTGTCTGTGTTACTCTACTGGGAGCAGCACTTCTCATGCATTACTGTTTCTTCAGGGCCTGGAACAGTATAAGCACATAATATCTTTTGAATGTGTGAATTTAATCCATGTCCCCTCTTCCTACAATACTTTAGTTAAATTGTGGCTTAGAGTTTGAAAGAAAACATTTTGAAATTTTTCTATGGCCTAAAGTGACAATGACATCACTCAACTTTGGGTGGTCATTAAATTAGTCTGTTATTTATTTATTTATTTCTGAGACAGAGTCTTGCTCTGTCACCCAGGCTGGATTGCAATGACATCACTCAGCTTTGGGTGATCATTAAATTAGTCTGTTAATTTTTTTTTTCCAAGACAGAATCTTGCTCTGCCACCCAGGCTGGAGTGCAGTGGCACGATCTCAGCTCACTGCAACCTCCACCTCCTGGGTTCAAGCAATTCTCCTGCCTCAGCCTCCTGAGTAGCTGAGATTACAGGTGCAAGCCACCACACCCAGCTTTTTTTTTTTTTTTTTTTGGTATTTTTAGTAGAGATGGGGTTTCACCATGTTGGTCAGGCTGGTCTCGAACTCCTGACCTCATGACCCACCCACCTTGGCCTCCAAAGTGCTGGGATTACAAGCATGAGCCACCAAGCCCAGCCTAGTCTGTTAATTTTTACTTTTTTGTTGTTTGAAATTGTATCCTTAAATCTGATCACACTTATTTTATTATTGAGACCTCTCTTTTTCTTGGCTGAGCATTCCTAGAGCCTCATAGCTGGGCCCTCTATATCCCCAAATCTAAATTATAGCACGACCATAATTGTTTTTATCATTTGATATCACTGTGAATCTGCAAGTATAAGTAATCCACAGAATTTCTTCTGAGACATTTCTTGATTTTGTGTTCTTATTTATAAGTTAGATATACTTTGGACATGTTTAGTTATGTTTTTGCTCTCCAAGTGGCAATGAAAATATGTTAAATTGGATATCAGAAATATTAAAAGCTTCTTTTTCTTAGCTTGGCATCATCAATTGTGCTCATGTAGGTAGTTGAAGATACTATGCCCAGAATTTAGTATATGCATTAAATGTGATAGAGTTCACTAAGAAACGTAAAAATAGAACAAAATGCAACACTTTGCTCACAGATTGGAGGTGAGGTGATTGGTATGTTAATTAAAGGTGACCTCAACACTCTTAATATTAACCTCCTGATTTTCTCCAGTGTTTCAGGTGGAAAAAAATTATTCTTCAATATTCGTAAGAATGAGATTGGATAAAGGACACAAATGAAGTCCAGACCAAGTACAAAAACATGAGCTCCTTCTCCTGGCTGCTCAACTAATGCAGACTTAGCCTGAGGATGAGATAACTATCTCAACAGCCATTCCATTGCTCAGACTTCAAATTATAGTAATTATGACAATTTGTGCCAATAGCCACGAGGTGGGATTTTTGATGTGGTTAAAAATAACATCTGTAAAACCCAATAAAAATTACATTTTGCTAATTTTCTGATAAGATACTGTTTTAACTATACTGTGTCTTCTGCCGCTGCCAGTTTTCAATTAGAGCATTCCTTAAAAAAAATTTTTTAACCCATTTTGTTTCCTGGATCCAATTCCATCCTCAGCAATGCATTTGTTTTAATGCTGTTAATTAATTGTTTTGTGTGAATTTTGCCTTTCATACTGATAGTAATCTTCGAGACTTTATTAATGTGCTGATTGCTAAATCTTGATACAAAAGGACCAATAGCACGACTCAGCTTGTTCTTTCTGGCTTAGAAAACAGAGTTCCCATAGCGGCCTGCTCAGCCAAGTCAGTGCAGAAAAGGACAATGATGAAGCGAATAATGGGGCTATTAAACAGGTTGGGTCTGCAATTCTGTTGGACTTGGAAATTGCTAGCTCGCTCTAGGGGCACAGCCATTGGTGATATTTCACAAAGAGATGCCCTCAAATGCATTGTAACAGTGCATCGTGTCTTCCTGTGTTATGTTTCCTTACACCCCTTTCCTCTTGATTAATTTTTGATGAAAAAAATATATATTTTCCCATCTCTTTATTTCACAGGTGATAAAGTTGAGGTTTCGAGAGCTCAAGTGGCCTACCCAACTTAGCTCAGAAGGTGGATGAGTACCAAAGGCAGGACCTTTTGATTCTCCTCTCATTGGTCTTCAATTTAACCATGTGGCCTCCAAACCAATATGTTTGTGTGTGGGTAGCGCCAACTGCTGCTTCCTCAGAAATCATTTTCTCATCTTTGCCCTTTGTTTACTTCATCTTCTCTCTAAACAAACAAATAAAGCTCCTTCTTGATCTAGCAGCCTCCTCCAGCCATCACCTCATCCCTTTCCTTTCCTTTTCTTCACATCTATACTTTATAAAGAATAGACTACTCTTGTTGACTCCATGTTTTCACATTCACTCAACAACATGGTACCACTAAACTGAGACTAGTTGGTGACAATATTACTCAAACCAATCTTCTCTCTTCCTTTCTGTATTAGTCCATTTTCACATTGCTGATAATGACATACCTGAGACTGGGAAGAAAAAAAGGTTTAATTGGACTTACAGTTCCACATGGCTGGGGAGGCCTCAGAATCATGACAGGAGGCGAAAGGCACCTCTTACATGCTGGCGGCAAGAGAAAATGAGGAAGATGCGAAAGTGGAAACCCCTGATAAAACCATCAGATCTCTTGAGACTTATTCACTACCACAAGAGCAGTATGGGGGAAACCACCCCCTTAATTCAAATTATCTCCCACCAGGTCCCTCCCAGAACACGTGAGAATTGTGAAGGTACAATTCAAGATAAGATTTGGGTGGGGAAAACTGGATAAAGCCCGGTAGAAAAGTGGATAAAGCCCATGTTTTTCATCATTCAAATCATGCATGCCTCACCTGAAACCTTGCAGGAGCTGAGCTGAGTGGGTAGAAGGGGACAATAAAGGACAAGTGGGAAGGGAGTGCTTAGCTACTTAGGATATAAGGACCGAGGGCAGCCAGGCCACAGAGCTGTGAGGGCAAGGGCCACGTCTGTTTTGCTTAGTATCATGATCCCATCATCTGCTGAATACTCATCAGTGAGAGTGGTTTCAGGTAAATATTTTTGCTCTAATTACTATGGGTTGCAAAGTAAATGGGAAGTGAAAAGGTAAAGGAAAATGTAGTCTATTCAAGAAGTTTGGTTGTTAAGGAAGAAAAGAGATAGGGTGATGAGTAGAGGAACTATGGAATCAGAAGTTTTTGGTTTTGGTTTTTGGCAGGGGGTCATTTGAAGCAACTTAAATATATTTATAAGAGTAGCAAAGAGGTAGAGGAGAGATTGAAGACAAGAAGAAGATATTGATAGATTGAGATCCAGGAGGAACAATGTAGGATACACTCACACACACTCTCTGCCACACACACCTTAACAGACATTTGGCTTTTTGCCATACAGTATAAGGGCACCAGAGTTTTAAATCTTTTGATCTTTAGAGGAAAGTCTTTCTCTTGCTTTTTTTTTTTTTTTGACAGAGTCTTACTCTGCCACCCAGAGTAAGACTGGAGTGCAGTGGCCCGATCTCAACTCACTGCAACTTTTGCCTCCTGGGTTCAAGTGATTCTCCTGCCTCAGCCTCCTGAGTATCTGGGACTATAGGCGCATGCCACCACGCCTGGCTAGTTTTTGTATTTTTAGTAGAGATGGGGTTTCACCATGTTGGCCAGGCCGGTCTCGAACTCCTGACCTCAAATGATCTGTCCTCCTCAGCCTCCCAAAGTGCTGGTGTTACAAGCATGAGCCATCATGCCCAGCCTCTCTTGCTTTTATTTCTGAAAACTTTCTGGTATAAAATGCCTAATTCTGGAAAAATGTAAATAGAAGAAAAGAGAATTTCATCAAAGTATGGAAACACTAGTCACACACACATGTTTTATATATATATATGGTATATACGAATTATATATGTTATATAAAATATGATCTATATATTTAAGGAAAGATTAGGGAAGCTAGGAAGGGTCATAAATGAAATAAGATTGACCACGAGCTCTCTCTATTTTTTTATACATTAAAAATTTTACATAATAAAACATTTTTATAAAGCACTAAACAGTTGCCAAACTCAAATGCTCATTATTTACTCACTCATTGAGTTTTGAAATGACTGTAAGACCTTGGGTGGTCTACAATGATAGTTAATTGAATACGTTAATATCTTTAGTGAAAACTGCATTAGATAATTTTTTTAAATTCTGTCTCTTTAATTTTTTGATCTGATAGGTAACAAATGAGTTAACTAATTGCTTTATTGAGAGTTATTTTAATTATTACTAACATTGAGCATCTCTCATATGCTTATTGGCTATTTATTATTCTTCTTCCGTGGTTGAATTTTAAAATATTCTTTGCCAATTATATTTATTTCCTGTAACAAATTACCACAAACCTGATGGCTTAAAACAGCAGAAATTTATTCTCTCACAGTTCTGGAAGCCAGAGTGGAAATCAGTATCGCTGAACAGAAATCAAGGTGTCAGTAGGGCCACACTTCCTCTGGAGGTTCCAGGCGTGAATCTGTTCCGTGCCTCCTCCATCTTCTTGTGGTTACCAGCATCCATTGGATTGTAGCCATATGACTCCAGTCGCAAGGCTAGCATCTTCAAACAGCTCTCTGCTCCATCTTCACATCAACTTCTTCTCTGTGTATACAAAATCCCTTTGCCCTTTTGATCTGATCTGAATGTATCCCGCCCAAAATCATGTGTTAGAAACTTAATCCCCAATTTAACAAATGTTGGAAGGTGGAGCCTAAAGGGAGGTGTTTAGGTCATGAGTGTTCCATCCTCATGAATGGATTGATGCTGGTTATAAAAGAGCTTGAGGCTGTAAGTTTGATTTATTATTCTTTCTTGTCCTCTTGCCCTTCCACCCTCTGCCACGGGCTGGTGCAACAAAAAGGCCCTCATCTGCTGCCAGATCCTCGATCTTGGACTTCTCAGCCTCTAGAACCATAAAAAATACATTTCTGTTTATTATAAATTACCCAGTCTTAAATATTCAGTTGTAGCAACATGGAATGAACTATGACACCCCTTCTTATAATAATACTTGTGAGTATTATTAGGGCCTAGCCAGACAATAATCTTCTCATTTCACTCTATTCCCCCAAAATCTACCCAGGAGATCCAGAGTTAAGGACAGCTAGGCCACAGAGCTGTGAGGCTGTCTGTTTTACTTATCATAAAATCCCATTATGTGATTAACTGAAACACACCTTCATAGCCTCTTTATCCTTTTTTTTTTCTCCTTTGGTCAAATAAAGTAACATTCACAGATTTTAGGGTTTAAGATCTGGATATCTTTTGGTAGGCCATTTTTTAGTCTACCACACTCATCTTTATACTGTCCTTAAAAAAAATAAATGTTTTATATTGGAATAATTTTAGATTCAGAGAAATGTTTCAAAACTAGCACAGTGTTCTCATTTATCTTTCACCCAGTTTCCCTAGGATGATTTTAAAGATGTTTTATTTCTCTAAAATTGTATTTCAGGATTTTTAGGTGCTAATAAATTTGGGTATAGTGTTTATTTTTAGAATAAAGTGTTTTGAAAAAAAAAATCTATGTTGTCCTTTTTAATTAAAATGAGATCCCCATTATCCATCTCCTACTTTTCCAAAACAAGGAGGCAGAAGAGGACCATGATTCTGGCTAAAAAACAAATTGATATGTATAGCAAAGTCACACAATTCCACTTGGACCAACAACTGGAAAACAGCCATGACTGTCAAATATAAGAGAGGATTTTAGTAATATTAATGTGACAATTCCCAAAGTTTCTTTTATACCTTGTCAATACATTTCCATATAGATTTTGTTTAATTTGCTCAAGAACAGCTTGGCATATTTTAAGATTTTATTATTCGAAGGAAAAATTGAAAGTAGTAAATTTCAATTTTGTGTGTCACTGTGTATTGAGAAAAAGGGTATAGCCTAGTTGTCCCATTCACTAGTCCCATGCTATGTCATCAAATAAGATATTGAATATATTGAATTAATTATATACAGTCATGCATCAAATAATGATAGAAATACATTCTGAGAAATGCATCATTAGGCTATTTCGTCATTGTGCAGACATCACAAAGTGTACTTACGCAAAGATGTACTTATGCATAGCCTGCTGCATATCTAGGCTATGTATGTGATATATAGCCTATTAGGCTACAAACCTGTACAGCATGTTAGTGTACTGAATATTATAGGCAATTGTAAAACAACGGTAAGTATTTGTGTATCTAAACACAGAAAAGATACAGTAAAAATATGGTATAAAATAAAAAATGGTACACCTGTATAGGGCACTTACCATGAATGGAGCTTGCGGGACTGGAAATTGCTCTGGATGAGTAAGTGAGTGAGTAGTAAGTAAATGTGAAGGCCTAGGACATTACTATACACTATTGTATACTTTATAAATACTGTACACTTAGGCTACACTATAATTGTTTTAAAAGGTCAATAATAAATTTACTTTAGCTCACTGTAACGTTTTTACTTTATAAACTTTTTAATTAAAAAAACTTTTCTACTCTTTTAATAATGCTTAGCTTAAAACACATTGTACAACTGTATAAAAATGTTCTTTATATCCTTATTCTATAAGCTTTTAAAATTTTAAATATTTTTATAATTTTTTATATTTTTTCACTTAATTTTTTAAATTAAAAGCTAAGTCACAAACACACACATTAGCCTAGGCCTACATAGGGTCAGGATCATCAATATCACTATCTTCCACCTCCACATCTTGTCCCACTGGAAGGTTTTCAGAGGCAATAATATGTATGAAGCTGTTATCTTCCGTGATAATAATGTCTTCTTCTGGAATATCTTTTGAATGATTAACTGCAACTGTTTTAAAGTTAACTTTTTAAAATAAGGAGTACACTCTAAAATAATGATTAAAAATATAGTATAGTAAAGATATAAGCCAGTAACTTAGTCGTTTATTATCATTGTGAAGTGTATACTGAACATTATTGTATGTGCTTTACATTTGTATAACTGGCAGCACAGTAGGTTGTTTATACCAACATCACTACAAACAGGTGGGTTACGCATTGCACTATGGTGTTAAGGCAGCTATAATGTCACTAGGCGATAGTAATTCTCAGCTCTATTATAATCTCGTGGGACCACTGTTTGTTGTCCGTTGTTGATGGTAACGTTATGTGGCTCATGACTGTATAACTTATTGAATATTATGGAATGTGATTTGATCTAAACTCAAAACAATGTCAGTATATCTAGGCGGTTCAGGTAAGCCACTCTAAATTTCACACACTTTCAGGCATTTGGTGGGAGGGGCAAATGATCGGTGGCTACATTTTCACATCCTTTTGTATTTGCTTTCTGAGACTTGATGTTTGTCATCAAATATAGATTTGGCAATAGAGATCTGTGGACTGATTTGTTGGGATTAAGGAAACAGAAGGTAAAATTCTATTTAAAGACTCGATTTTGTGATGACACATTTTTAACTTCTTTATGACCAGCTGGGTTAATATCATGAAGAATCAAGCTGACTCTTAGTATAGGCAGCAGAACAATCATCTGTTTTCCACTACGCCATCTGGAGAAAGCTGCTGGTTGAATGACATTGTATATGATGTATGAGAGACTAATGAGAAAAGCAAACCTTTTATTAAAGTTTGAGATCTCAGAACTCCTCAAGCCACCAGTCTTCAAATATTGTTTTCTCAATGGCTTTGAGCCAATTACTTAGCCTCTTTACCTCAGCTTCTCAATTGGAAAAATGGGAACTGTTATAGTGTGATTAATTTATCTCCTAAGGGGGTTGTTTATATTAATTAACTGCTGTTAAGAGCTTTGAAGATGAAAAGTGCTAACTGCTTATGTCATGATTACCCATGGAATAGTGGAATATGATAACTGCTTCACTAGATAAATTACTAAACCTGATACACACAAACTGTGAAATCAGGGAAGGGGTTAAGAACCAGGGCAATGAGACAGCTGAGGAACTAACCTCATCAAGGAATATATTAGTTATGCTTTAGCCTTGATTTATGCTGTTTAAACTACCTTCTGAAATATATGTTTAAAATTTCATAATGCAGGCATCACATTTTGCTTTGCCAGTGCCTATAATGACATTTATTTCCTGGATATATTTCCTCTATAAACCTAAAGAAATCTGCCTCAACTCATATTCTGAAAAAATTTTATTATTTCAAGTTACTCCTTTTGAGTGTGCTCACACCCACCCACAGACAACAAACAGATTGTTACTATTGATAGGGTAGAACATTCTGCTTCTTATTTGCATTGTTCGAAGCAAACCAAACACATTAGTGGTGCATAAATGGCTATTTCTTTGAGCCAGTGGATTTTTTTTTTATTATACTTTAAGTTCTGGGATACATGTGCAGAATGTGCAGGTTTGTTACATAGGTATACATGTGCCATGCTGGTTTGCTGCACCCATCAACCTGTCATCTACATTAGGTATTTCTCCTAATGCTATCTCTCCCCTTGCCCCCAACCCCCCGACAGGGCCCAGTGTGTGATGTTCCCTTCCCTGTGCCCATATATTCTCATTGTTCAACTCCCACTTATGAGTGAGAACATGCCGTGTTTGGTTTTCTGTTCCTGTGTTAGTTTGCTGAGGATGATGGTTTCCAGCTTCATCCATGTCCCTGCAAAGAACATGAACTTATTCTTTTTTATGGCTGCATAGTATTCCATGGTATATATGTGCCACATTTTCTTTATCCAGTCTATCATTGATGGGCATTTGGGATGGTTCCAAGTCTTTGCTATTGTGAATAGTGCTGCAATAAACACACATGCGCATGTGTCTTTATAGTAGAATGATTTATAACCCTTTGGGTATATACCCAGTAATGGGATCGCTGGGTCAAATGGTGTTTCTAGTTCTAGATCCTTGAGGAATCGCCACACTGTGTTCCACAATGGTTGAACTAATTTACGCTTCCACCAACAGTGTAAAAGTGTTCCTATTTCTCCACATCCTCCCCAGCATCTGTTGTTTCCTGACTTTTTAATGATCACCATTCTAACTGGCGTGAGATGGTATCTCGTTACAGTTTTGATTTGCATTTCTCTAATGACCAGTGATGATGAGCTTTTTTTCATGTTTGTTGGCCACATAAATGTCTTCTTTTGAGAAGTGTCTGTTCATATCCTCTGGACACTTTTTGATGGGGTTATTTGTTTTTTTCTTGTAAATTTCTTTAAGTTCCTTGTAGATTCTGAATATTAGCAATTTGTCAGATGGACAGATCGCAAACATTTTCTCCCATTCTGTAGGTTGCCTGCTCACTCTGATGATAGTTTCTTTTATACTGTGCAGAAGCTCTTTAGTTTAATTAGATTCCATTTGTCAATACTGGATTTTGTTGCCATTGCTTTTGGTGTTTTGGTCATGAAGTCTTTGCCCATGCCTGTGTCCTGAATGGTATTGCCTAGGTTTTCTTCTAGGGTTTTTATGGTTTTAGGTCTTACGTTTAAATCTTTAATCCATCTTGAGTTAATTTTTGTATAAGGTGTAAGGAAGGGATCCAGTTTCAGTTTTCTGCATATGGCTAGCCAGTTTTCCACATACCATTTATTAAATAGGGAATCCTTTCCCCGTTGCTTGTTTTTGTCAGGTTTGTCAAAGATCAGATGGTTGTAGATGTGTGGTATTATTTCTGAGGCCTCTGTTCTGTTCCATTGGTCTATATATCTGTTTTGGTACCAGTACCATGCTGTTTTGGTTACTGTAGCATTGTAATACCATTTGAAGTCAGGTAGTGTGATGTCTCCAGCTTTGTTCTTTTTGCTTAGGATTGTCTTGGCTATATGGGCTGTTTTTTCTTTCCATATGAAATTTAAAGTAGTTTTTTTCTAGTTCTGTGAAGAAAGTCAATGGTAGCTTGATGGGAATAGCATTGAATCTATATATGACTTCGGGCAGCATGGCCATTTTCATGATGTTTGTTCTTCCTATCCATGAGCATGGAATGTTTTTCCATTTGTTTATGTCCTCTCTTATTTCCTTGAGTGGTGGTTTGTAGCTCTCCTTGAAGAGGTCCTTCACATTTCTTGTAATTTGTATTCCTAGGTATTTTATTCTCTTTGTAGCAATTGTGAATGGGAGTTTGCTCATGATTTAGCTCTCTGTTTGTCTATTATTGGTGTATAGAAATGTTTGTGATTTTTGCACATTGATTTTGTATCCTGAGACTTTGCTGAAGTTGCTTATCAGCTTCAGGAGTTTTTGGGCTGAGATGATGGGGCTTTCTAAATATACAATCATGTCATCTGCAAACAGAGATAATTTTACTTCCTCTCTTCCTATTTGAATACTTTTTATTTCTTTCTCTTGCCTGAATTGCCCTGGCCAGAACTTCCAAAACTATGTTGAATAGGAGTGGTGAGAGAGGGCATCCTTGTCTTCTGCTGGTTTTCAAAGGGTATGTTTCCAGCTTTTGCCCATTCAGTATGATGTTGGGCCAATGAATATTTAAGGATATTAATTTACTTCCTCTAATAGTCTTTAAGAAATTCAAAAAATAAACATGTGGAACAAAGAAATAAAATGTCAAACCTTAAGCTTCAGCTCTTACTGATGAGGACTGTGTTTTGGCATTGACCGTATCATTACCTACCTAGTTATGAGGTCATACTTCTGCATAGTTCATTAGAATTTATCTTTAATTTTATAGCAAAGCACAACTGCAAAGCCAACGTGTTTTGGTCAACATTTATTGCATGGGCATTTTTTTTTTCAAGGGCATATATTAAAGAAAACTAAAGGGACAGAGTCTCTCCAAAGTTCTTTGGATTAAGAGTCTTAATGATACTTTAAAATATTTCATTCAGGGTATCATTTTGGGAACTTTCTCTAGCATTCTAATGATTCACAAATTATATGTAATACCATTTCATTTTGAGACAATTAATAGACTTTAAAATTTTTTCTCAATTTTTCTTTCCTTACTTATACATATGCCACTTTGTTTTTAAAAAGGATTTAAGGCAGCCTCTTTTATTAGAACATGCCTTCTCTATATTGCAATATAGTCCTCAAAGCTGAGGAACATATCTGGAGTGGGATATAGGAAAGCACAAATTTAAATTAATTCTCACTAGAATGCTTAATATTCATACCTAAGAGATACCACGGTATAGTGAAAAGCATATCAAATTTTTAGTCAAAAATCTGATTTTCATTCTCTGGCACTTACTTGATGGTGCAATTTTGACAAATCTTTTGGCTTCAGTATTCCCACCTATAAGCTGGAAATAATTTCTTCATCATTGACTTACTATAAGGATTAAATGATTAATGCTCATGAAAGAGTGTCTGGCATCTGGTAGGCACTACACACAATTTATTTATCTTTTTTGGACAGTAAAAATCCCTACAAAAGGGCCATTTTATATTTTTATCTAAAAATAGTGCTTGCATCAGTTTTACTTCTGTAAATAGTTCATTCATGAATAATTCCTACAACTATAATGTGGTTGTAGCTTTCTCATGCCATAATATTTATATTAAAAGCTAATTTTTTTTTTTTGAGACAGGGTCACCCAGGCTGGAGTGCAGTGGTGCAGTCATGGCTCACTGCAGCCTTGACCTCCTGGGCTCAAGCAATCTTCCCACCTTCTGAGTAGCTGGGACCACAAGTGCACATCACCATGCCTGGCTAATTTTTGCATTTTTTTGGTAGAGACAGAGTCCCACTATGTTGCCCAGGCTGGTCTCGGATTCCTGGGCTGAAGTAATCTTCCTGCCTTGGTAACCCAAAGTACTGGGATTACAGTCATGAGCCAATGCACCCAACCGCTAATTTTCTTTTAAAGAATTGAATTTTAAGGGAAAAAAAAGGCTTGCCCTTGATTATTTTTCAGTTGAGAAATCAGTGGTGTGAAGGAGGTATCCTATGGCTTCATTTTAAACACAATCTTTCAGAGTGATGAATGAGGGTATATTTTACGACTTGAGTTTGCTTAACAATTTAAACTTTTACAACCTTTAATTTATGTGTCCCTGAATTCTCTATTTTCAGGCTTCAGCTACTACTTCAATGAATAAGGCATCAGTCCCTTAGACAAATGACAAGGAAATCCTCATATAATCTTAAAAAGAGAGAGAAAGGAATGAGGAAGTGCCTAAGCCTAACAGGAATAAGTCTTTTTCAGAATCCAAGTCCAAATAAATATTTGAATGAGAATGGTGTCTTCATATGTGTAGTGGAAAATAGGTCCTTTTCAGGCTTCAGATTTTGGCAGGCTGGCATGTTGACTTTATCACCTCGGGATCACTGGGGTTTCGTACGCCTTGCCGCAGGCTTCATCATGCGCATGCGCACACCCCCTACCTGTTGGGCGCCAAGACCAGGCCGCAGGCCCAGGCCTGTGAGCCGCTTCCAGGAACATCACCTGGCTGTCTTCCGCCTTGGACCCCAGCCTTCAACTTCCCCTCCCTGTTGTTTAATCAGTCTTCATCAAATGTCATTTTAGCTATATCAACTTAATATCCCTGGAAGTCAGAAGTCTCTGTGCAACAGATAGAACCAACACATCTCTATCCGAAGATAAGTTCCGCTTTCCTCATTTCAGTTTGATGATAAACTCCATACGTTTGGATTAATTGAGAGGAAAGGCAAGAGGCCATATAAAAATGTTTGCAAGTTTGGGTTGTAGACCTAAAAAACGTTTTAAAAGGTCTAAGAAGAAGTGTAGACCACAGCAGTCTGGTAAATATAGATCTTTAACAAGTTCAGTTTGTTCATACAGTGCAGTGGGCAGTTTAAAATGCCATTTGGGAGGTATTTTAACAGTCGTAAAGGTGGATATTGCCCAGGTTGCCCTCTTTATTGGCTGATGTATAAGAGAGGGATGGACTCGAGAGGCCATTTCTGGGGCAGAAGACTCTGCTTGGTACCCAGTGCTCAGGTTCTCACCACCAGTGGTCCCCAACCCCATGACCTGACGAGGCAGATACCCAAAAGTTAGCTTGAAGAATGTCATCACACTCTTATAAGAAGTAAGAATGCCAGAAATAATATATTATCCAAATGAGAGTCATCTGTTGTTTGTAAGTATTTTTAAGTATTTGCAAAGTTTTCAAAAAATAAATAGCTTTGCTTGCTTTTTGAAAGTCACTCCATGAAGAAAATGGTTATGTCACATGCCTTTTCTTAGTTCACTTCAGGCTTTATCTTTGAGAGATTAAAAATTTTAATTATTACGAGTATTATATTAAAGTAACAAATTATTGTTTATCATTAGCACTTTGATCTGCTTGCCTTTTTGAACTGGATCTCTCCCCCTTGCCATAAGCTTTGTTCTTTCAGCCAGACTTTTGTTTGTTTGTTTCAATAGGTTATTGGGGAACAGGTGGTGTTTGGTTACACGAGTAAGTTCTTTAATGGTGATTTCTGAGATTTTGGTGTACCCATCACTTGAACAGTGTACACTGTACCCATTGTGTTTTCCTTTATTCCTTCCCCCCACACTCTCCACCACCGAGTCCCCAAAGTCCATTGTATCATTCTTATGCCTTTGCATCCTATAGCTTAGCTCCCACTTATGAATGAGAATGTATGATGTTTGATTTTCCATTTCTGAGTTACTTCGCTTAGAATAATGGCCTCCAGTTCCATCCAGGTTACTGCGAATGCCATTATTTCTTTCCTTTTAATGGCTGAGTAGTGTTTCATGGTGTGTGTGTGTGTGTATACATATATATATTATTTTATTTATCCACTTGTTGATTGTTGGGCATTTGGGCTGGTTCCATATTTTTGCAATTGCAAATTGTGCTGCTATAAACATGCATGTGCAAGTATCTTTTTCATATAATGACTTTTTTTCCTCTCAGTAAATACCCAGTAGTGGGATTGCTGGATCAAATGGTGATTATACTTTTAGTTCCTTAAAGAATATCCACACTGTTTTCCATAGTGCTCGTACTGGTTTACTTTCCCTCTGACAGTGTAAAAGTGTTCCCTTTTCACAACATCCACACCGACATCTATTATTTTTTGATTTTTTTATTATGGCCATTCTTGCCGGAGTAAGGTGGTATCGCATTGTGGTTTTGACTTACATTTCCCTGATAATTAGTGATGTTGAACATTTTTTCAAATGTTTATTGGCCATTTGTGTATCTTCTTTTGAGAATTGTCTATTTATGTCCTTAGCCCAGTTTTTGATGGGATTGTGTTTCTTGCTGATTCATTTGAGTTCCTTGTAGATTCTGGATATTAGTTCTTTGTTGGATGTATAGATTCTGAACATTTTCTTCCACTCTGTGGGTTGTCTGTTTACTCTGCTGATTGATTCTTTTGCTGTGCAGAAGAGTTTTAGTTTAATTAAGTCCAATCTATTTATCTTAGTTTTTGTTGCATTTGCTTTTGGGTTCTTGGTCATGAAGTCTTTGCCTAAGCCAATGTCTAGAAGAGTTTTTCTGATGTTATTTTGTAGAATTTTTATGGTTTTAGGTCTTAGATTTAAGTCCTTGATCCAACTTGAGTTGATTTTTGTATAAGGTGAGAGATGAGGATCCAGTTTCATTCTTCTACATATGGCTTGCCAATTATCCCAGCACCATTTGTTGAATAGGGTTCCCTTTCCCCACTTTACGTTTTTGTTTGCTTTGTCAAAGATCAGTTGTCTTTCAGCCAGACTTTGAGAGAATTGGCAAGGCCCAGGCTTTCAACAGTCATCAAGAAAAGGAATATGATGTTGATACTAGTACTCAGCTTACTCCTCGGAGCAAAGGCTGGAATAAATAACCAATTTTAAAATAAGAAAAATGGTCTGGGCTGGGCTCAGTGGCTCATGCCTGTAATCCCAGCACTTTGGGAGACCGAGGCAGGCAGATCATTTGAGGTCAAGAGTTTGAGACCATCCTGACCTATATGGTGAAACCGCATCTCTACTAAAAATACAAAAAAAATTAGCTGGGCGTGGTGGTGCACGCTTGTAATCTCAGTTGCTTGGGAGGCTGAGACAGAATTGCTTGAACCCAGGAGGCGAAGGTTGGAGTGAGCCAAGGTCACACCACTGCACCCCAGCCTGGGAGACATAGTAAGACTCTGTCTCAATAAAAAAAAAAGAAAGAAAGAAAGAAAGAAGAAAAAGGAAGAAGAAAAGTGGTTTGATTCTTGTGAAGCATTCACCCAAATTTGTAAAGCTAAGGGTCTAATGAACCTGCCAATGACTTTGTGGAGAATTTATGAGCTTTTTACAGAGATTGATAGGATTAAATGAGATAATGTTTGTAGAGTGCTGGGCACAGAGTCTGGCACACAAGGAAGCACTAAATTTTAAAAAGCAATTATAACGCTGATAATACTGCTTGTTATAACAAGTCTCCAGAATTTATTGAAATCAAAGAGTGGGAGAAGTGGAAGATCATGTCAACCATTGCTCATATAGCTCTTCTACAGTGCTCCAGTATGTGATATATGATGTACTCGGGAACTTCTTGGATTCCTATGGAAACATCTCCCTTTTTTATAGTCAGATTTACTCTGGAGAGACATTCTACAACACTTCTCAAACTGCATTGGCTTGCACTCCTCTGGCATTAACTATATGCCAGTAAGAATAGTCTGGGTTTTATTGACAGAAGGATAAAACTCTGGGGTCTTATCATTTGAGTCCCCAGACAGTCAACTCTGGCCTTGGCTAACAACTTTCCTCCAGACTTAGGAATACATCCTGGGTTTCCCAGGATATCGTCATCAGTTTGTAACTCATTTCATTGCCCTGACTCTGTTCTTGACCAACCTGCTGTGTAAGAACCATGGCTTCTAGTGGTTGTTCAAGACTTGGCAGGTGAACTGAACTCTAAAATGATGTTTTACAGTAGGACAAATCTTACTCTGGCTGGATCTGAATGCAGCAGCTTCACCTGGGAGGTAGATTGCATGTGGAGGAGGAGAGGCAAGAGTATGCCAGCTCAGTCTGAAACTGGCTTAAGTCCCAAATCACCAATAACTTTTCCGAAAGTGAACCCCATTTCAATGACCAACCTCAAGCTGACCTTCAGGACTTGGCTTCACAGTCAAAGGGCCAGACCCCCACCAGGAATGGGAATGTCTTCAGGTGCACTTGGCCTGCAAACTCAGTGAGTAGCTGTCCACTGTTGTGGCCTGATATGGTTTGGCTCTGTGTCCCCACCCAAATCTCACCTGGAATTGTAATAATACCCATGTGTCAAGGGCGGGACCAGGTGGAGATAACTGAATCATGAGAACAATTTCCCACATGCTGTTGTCATGATAGTGAGTGAGTTCTCACGAGATCTGATGGTTTTATAAGGGGCTTTCTGCTTTGCTTGACACTCATTCTCTCTCCTGCCATCCTGTGAAGAGGTGCCTTCCACTGTGCTTATAAGTTTCCTAAGGCCTCCCACCCCCAGCCATGTGGAACTGTGAGTCAATTAAACCTCCTTTTCTTTATAAATTACCCAGTCTTGGGTATTTCTTCATAGCAGTGTGAGAACAGATTAATACATGGCCATTCTGATTTCAAGAAAGCAAATTCTAAAATTTTAGAATTAATGTACAAAGGTCTTACTTTGCCCTGAGGATACCAGATGCCCCCTAACAGCCTCTTTTCAGAGAACAGAAGCAGAAAGTTATTCTCCATTACTTGTCACTTTCTGTTTTTCTGTCTTTGTGCCCTTGTGGATGATTGGGTTGTAAGTGACATTGTGTGGGTGGGGGGATAGGGATTTCATAAGCCTACACCAGGACAAGTGGGGCAATGAAGCTGACCTAGGGGAGACTGAAATCACAGCCTTCCCTACGTAGAATTTAGTCTCCTGGTTATGACTGCGGCAGGTTTGAGGGCAACTTAGGAGGGATGGCTCTCCCTCCCCTTTTCTTGAACCTTAATCCTTTTCCTTCCTGCCTCACTTCCCACACTTCCACCATGCTCTTTATATTTCCTTTGTGGCTTTTTAAAAGCCCCCAAAGATATGCATCAGGCTGTTAGTACTGGTTAATCTCAGTGAGGATATTTTCACTTTAAAAGCTCTCTCTACATTTTTGGATAATACTACTTGTTGCTTTAAGCATTTATTACGTTTGGAATTAAAAGAAAAAGTTAATCTGCTCTGAGAAACAAGAAAAAACTAAAATAAAAAAGAACAAAAACCAAATTAATAAATATATGTATTTTTTCCTTTATCACTCCCCTCCTCCAAGGCTTCTGGCTCAAAACTGATTCTTCCTTCTATCCCTGATCAAAATTTTTATTTCCAAAATGCTGCCTTTTCAGCTAGATAGTGATCAAGCTATTTGGTTAAAGTAATTCCACTAATGTGTGTGTGAGAAGTGTTGTTGGGTGATGTTGATGTTGACGATTATCCAAAGAGTGTCCGGAGGGCATTTGCAGAGCACGTTGGCCTGGGTGGTAATCCCCCTGCTGTTGGCTTCATTTAGAACCTTGAGCATGTCACTTCAAATGCCTGTATCTCTGGCTTAATTCTTCATCTAACATGTGAAACTAAGAAAATAATACTGCTATGCTTGCTAACCTTACAAAAATACAATTTTTTTCTTAGTCTGTGATTATCCATTGCATTTTCTCCTAGGTCCGGTGGAGATGGTGGTGGTGAGATGCAGGGAGATGGAGAGAAAAATGGGAGCACCACCTTTCTTTACAAAGCCAAAAGCTACATCCCCATTGACCTAGATGTCATAAGAGTTTTTTTTCCCCAAAGGTATATGCACCCTCAAGAGTAACTTGTAGTTAATAACCATCAAAACTAAAATACAAACTGCTTTGCTTTGTATACTTTTTAGACTGACATGACCAAAATATGATTTCTTGATTGTCATTTCATTTTTCATAGGGCACCATGATGGAGAATCGGCTTTCCCAAGGACACACATACCTTTGTCACACCAAGCACCACCTTGTCCTCAGACTGTTCTTGTACTGGCTTTGTTTACAAGCCAGATTTTTTTTAAAATGAGAAAAATCAAATGTTCACTTAAGAAGTGAAATTTGAATAAAATTACAGTTTCAGGCAAAGCCTATATTATTTTTAAAATCAGCGAATAAAGCAAGGGATATTAAATCATGATCTTCACCTGAACCAGTTCTTTCTCTCTCTTTTTTTTAAATAGTATTCCTATAGTAGGAAAATAATTCATCTGGTTTGATTGTGTTCATTACCACATAGCTGGCATGGTTGTCTCACGCAAGCACCAAGAAGATATAGAGCTAAATCAACAGACCATGATTTGTTGGCTCTACCAAGTATAAACTAGCCACTGGAAAATCAAGTTGAAAACATAGGACAAATCTATGAAAGAAACAAGCCACAGCTTGCAGGAAAGAAAATGTTTGCAGAAAACTCCAGCATTACAGGTTTATCTAAGGTGTGGTCTCCAGTAAGCCTCAGTAATTACCCAGGATACCACAGCTAGTGGCTGAAAAATGTACTTCATGGATTTAACCCTTTCACCCTACCCCTAGACAATTTCTTAGAGGCAATTGCACTACAGCCAGATTTAGCTTAAACAAGAAGACTTGTTTTTACTGTAATTGAAGTTGTTTTTAAACATTGCTACTACGGTCTACTACAGATATTTCTTAACTGTGAAATTTAGCTTGTTCTTTCTATAATAACATAGGTTTATGAGTGGGTAGGACTTCATTTTATGATGTATCATGGTTGAGAATCTTATACCACTTGGGGGCTTTGTGGTTGAGGGGTAATATGGTTTAGGAAGAAAAAGGAGCTGAAAATTGCATTCTGGTCTTGTCTCTGGCCTGAAGCAAATTTCTTCATAACTTGAATCTCAATTTTCTTATCCTATCCATGGCATTATGTGGTCTCTGAGGAACCTTTTAGCTCTAATTCTCCATTTTTCTATTCTGTGAAAGTGTGACATCAAGAAGCAGTTCTTTCTAACTGTATCCACAAAAATACGTCTAAGTTATTGATTGTCACATCTGGATTCAGAAAAGCCATAATATTTGGAGATTGCTTTATTTTGTTAAATAATGATAAAACTGAAAAAGCACTTGCTTGGTTTGAATTGTACCCAAGTTAAAAAAAAAAAATCTTTACTTATTTTGCTTAACTTGAAAATGACCTGATTTGTCTCACTCTGTGTTTTGGAGTTTTACATCAAATTAACATTTATATTTCCCCTGAGTATATTTCAATGTTTTCTTGCCGAAGGATTTTAGTTTTGCATAAAATTTAGGGTTTTAGGTAGAAGATGCCTGGATCTACACCTGTATTCCTTCTAGAAGCTACTGCTTTACTTTGCTTTTATAATACAAATAGCCCCTTTCCCATAGAAACTGTGCAAATACCTATAGCTAGTGGTCCAACAAATCCTATAGCCAGAAGAAAATTCAGGCATAATCTCATCCAGCCCCTCACATTTTTGATGATCATAGTATTATAATAATTAATAACTATCATTCTTTGGGTACTTCCTGTAAAGCCAGATATTCTGCTGGGCATGTTATGTTCCTTATCGCATTCAGTTCTTAAAACAGCTTTGCAAAGTAGGAGTTATTATTCCCATCCCTGAGCAAGGAAAGTTTAAGTAACTTGCCTCCAAGTCCATACACTTAATAACTGTTGGAACTGAGACTCAAACTCAGGCCTGTAAGAATTTTGATCAAATTCTTTGATCAAATCCTTTGATTTTAAATTCTAGTGTACAATGACGATATCAAAATCAGAGACATTGTAGACAGCCTCAAGTTAGAGAACTCTGCATGTCGTGTTTCCTCTGCATGGAAAACTCTTCTCCTCCCCATTCTCCATTCCATCCTCCAAACTCCTACCTACACCTCCTTTAGAGCAAATGGCCTTTCAGCATTACTTTCTGTCTTAAGAGATGAGATCAATCTCCTCATCACAATTTTCTTCTTTCATGGCCTCAGTACTTTTCTTCCATAGTACCTTCCTAGCATTTACAAAATGCAAAAAAAAGTGAAACTTTTTTTGATTATTTGATTAGTATCAGCTCCATAAGGACAAGGGTAGTGTCTGACATTTATTTTTCATTGTTGTTAAATTTAAATAAACTTTAAAAAAGAATAAGTTTACATTCACAGAAAAGCTGAAAAGATAGCACAGGCAATTCCTATATATTCTGCATGCAATTTCCCCTACTGTGAGCATCTTACATTAATTACTACGGTAATTACCTTGCCACAACTAAGGAAGGACGGTTGGTACGTTACTATTAACTAAACTGTTCTTTCTTCAGATTTCATTAGTTTTTATTTGATGTCCTTTTTTCATTCCAGGATTTCATCCAGGAAACACAGTATATTCAGATGTTATGTCTCCTTAGGCTCATTTGTTCTCAGACTTTTCATAGCTTTTGATGACCTTGACAGTTTCGAGAAATATATCTGTATAAAGTCCAAAAGTTTGTCTGATGTTTTCTTGAAGTTATACTGGAGTTAATGTGCTTTGGGGAGGAAGACTTTAAAGGTAAAATGCCTTTCTCATACATCGTATCAAGGGTGCATAATATCAACATTACTTATCACAATATTAACCTGGCTGAAGTAGTGTTTGACAGGTTTCTCCTCTAAGGTTACCCCGTTTTTTCTACCCCATACATGCTCTACTCTTCAGAACTACATTACTAAGCATATCCCATATTCATGGTGTTTTTGTAGGGAAATAAGCTCTACCTTTTTTAAGAGGTTATATCCACAAACATTATTTGGGATTTTTCTACACTGGAGATCTATCTCCTCTCATTTATTTATTTATTCAACTATCTATTTATATCAATATGAACTCGTTGCTATTTATTTATACTTTGGGTTATAATCCAAAACTGTCATTTATTTCGTTGCTCAAATTGTTTCATCTTTGACCATTGGAAGCTCTTTCAAATTGGTTCCTATGTGCCATTGATATGCAACCCCTATCCTTTGATCTTTTAAGCAATTCCTTATTTTTTTTGTCATTAAAAGATGCTCCTGGCTGGGCATGGTGGCTCACGCCTGTAATCCCAGCACTTTGGGTGGCTGAGGCAGGAGGATTACTTGAACCCAGGAGTTTGAGACCAGCCTGGGCAACATAGTGAGGCTTCATTTCTACAAAAAAAATAGAAAAATTAGATGAAAGGATTGCTTGAGCCCAGGAGGTTGAGGCTGCAAAGAGCCATGATCGTGCCACTGCATTCCCGCCTGGGTGATGGGAGTGAGACCCTGTCTCAAAAAAAAAAAAAAAAAAAAAAAAAAAAAAAAAAAAAAAAAGATTCTCCACTTCCAGGCCTATCTTGTATATTTCCCGCCCCAGCTTTAGAATCAGTTAATTTTTCAAGAACATCTGATCCTTTTATTGAAAAATGGTATTAGAAATCAAGATCGCTAATAGCCTGTCATTACTTCCAGGCCCTCTCAGTGGAGAGAATTAGGAAATATATTTATATGTGTGTGTGTCTATAGCAACCCATGTATATGCACATAACTGTAATTTTTCTCTATCAAACCATCTGCATCTATATAAGCTAAACATGAGTTCACACTGATGTCTCTGAATCTAGTCCAGTACCATGTGGTTCACTCTAGACTTCCCTCGTGGCTTATCTGTAACTTTCTATGCCAGCTGGTAGAAATCTGGTTCTTGTCATGCACCATCCATTTGCTCACTTGTTCAATCTTAGTATATATGTACAGCAATTTCATAATTGTTAGCCTATACCCCCATGAGAAAAGTCACCAGCTAGAGTACAGTAAGCACAGTACAGTTTTGTTTAGTCTTGCAGTTTCCAGTAAAAACACAATTTTTCAAAGTTACTTAGGTCAACACCTTCCCCAGGCCCCCCGCTGACTTATTCACTTTTTATATTTATTTATTTATTTATTTTGAGACAGTGTCTTGCTCTGTCACCCAGGCTGGAGCACAATGGTGAGATCATGGCTTACTGCAGTCTCAACTCGTTGGTTCAAGTGATCTTCCTACCTCCACCTCCCAGTAGCTGGGACTACAGGTGCATGCCATCATACCCAGCTAGCTTTTTGTATTTTTTTGTGGTACAGGGTTTTGCTATGTTGCCCAGGCTTGTCTCAAACTCCTGGGCTCCAGGAATCCACCCACCTCAGCTTCCCAAAGTGCTGGGATTACAGGCATGAGCCACCATGCCAGGCCACTTATTCACTTCTATTTGTTCCAGAACATAGAACAATATTTGGCATATAAAAAGCATTTAAAAAATACTGGCTGAATGAGTAAATGACATAAAAATCATGAAGGAAGGGTCTCATATTTTTTCATTTGTTACCTTTTAGTGAAGATGACCTTGACAACCAATATATATTGCAGTCCGACCCCTCATTCCCTATATGCCTTTGCTGATTTACTTTTGTCCATAGAACTTATCATCATCTACATATTATCATATTTGGGGCATGTTAGAACAGCAGTGATTATTGCAATACAGTCTACCATTTATCCATGAATACTTCTTGCCATGAGCTTTAATGAGACATTCAACTGCTGCAATATATTTCATATGTCTATCTCTCACTTAAAAATTAGTATGCCTGTATCAAACATTTCCTGTATCTTATAAATATACACACCTACTCTGTACCAACAAAAATTTTTTAAAAATTAAAAAAATTTTTTCACACATAATCTTATTTAATCCTTCCAAGACCCTGTGAGGTACGCAGGGTAAATGCCTAAAGATGACAAATTGAGGTTCAGAGGAATAAATAATGTGACTCAAATCACACAATTAATCAGTGATAAAGTTGGGATTCTTCTGTTAGCCACTATATCTCCCGGGAGCATAAGCAAAAGATATCTTGGGAATGGGGATGAGATGGCGCTGATCGAGTTAGACATGGCAACCAGGGCCCTGAGATACCCTTCTACCCCTTCCCCCCACCCCACACACCCACCTGGGAGAATACCTGTTACTGGAACAGAATGAGCATGACTTCATAAAGAATAGTTCATGTCTTTAATAAAATTTACCTTCCATCACTGGTAACTATGGCTGTGATAAAGAGAAACAAATCTAAAGATTTTTTTGCCTTTTATCATTTACCATTGGAGAATCACTTTAGAGCAACTCAGAAACACACACAGTTGGGCCAGCTTTGTTTCTTGGCTAATGGGAGAGTATGAACTGAGCCCAGATGACCACTTTAAGGGGCTGTCATAAGAAAAATTTAAGCAGAGAGGGCATGTGGATGAAGAAAGAAGGAAAACCAAGTGATCTTACTTTTATTTAAAAGTAAAAGTCAACACTTTCCCCTGACCCCCCCACTGACTGACTGACTTTTTTTTTGAGACAGGGTCTTGCTGTGTCACACAGGCTGGAGCCCAGTGGTGAGATCACATGCAAATAAAAGTCTTTTATTTTTAAGGACTGTTCCATGAGCTGTTATGTTGGTTATTACGCTGGAGAGCAGGGTCAGGGAGTAACTGTGGAATGATTTGACCAGCAGCATGTATTCAAATATGTGGAATGACAGATTATCTTGCCTTTTGCAAGGCAAGTTTACGTTTGGTATTGTAAAGCACATTAATGCATAAATATGACTTTGTTCAGACTTTCCTTATATAAATACTAAAATGGTATTTGAGTCAGTTCCAATGAGAATATATGGTTCTTAAAAGCCTAAAGTGCAAATTAAAACTATCTTTCCAGCTTCCACAGCACCCCTCAGCCTCTCACCACCACTTATAAGTAAGTTTATAGCTATTTTATGTTAAAACATTTTAACATAAAATTTAACATAAAGTATTCCCTGGAACATCTAGGCTTGGCCTAGTAGCTACTCTGATCTTGACGAATCTATAATCTGACTTTCACAAAAGTCAGTTACCTAGTTTCTTAAGTAGCTTCTTTTAGTTCTCTTCTCTTCAAGATAATGGGAATGGGAATGATTTATCTGCCAAAGGAGGCTGTAGTGGGATAATACTGAGCACACTCCACATGTTGTATTTTGGTCTATATTTACTACACACATACACTTGGGGATTTTCTGACAGGAGGCAGGAGGGTTGGAGTAGATGGTATAAAAGGGGAAAGGTGGGAGACAGGATTAAGAATTGGCATTCCTCTCTGAGACTGGAGTATTGGTTAGCTATTGTTGTGTAACAAAGTACTCCAAAATGTTGTGGCTTAAAACAACAAACATTTATTATCTCAGTTTCTATAGGCCAGAAATTTAGGCGAAGCTTATCTGAGTGGTTCGTGAGGTTGTAACCAAAATGTTGGCCAAGGTGTGGTCATCTGAAAGCTTAACTGGGGCTGGAAAATCTGTCTCCAAGATAGTCATGTACATGGCTTACATGTTAGTCTGGGCTGCTGGCAGGCAGCCTCATTTCCTTCTATGTGGGCCTTTTCACAGGGCTGCTTGAGTATCCTCATGACACGGCAACTGGCTTTCCCCAGTTGTAAGTGATTCAAGAAGGTGAGGCAAAAGCCTCAATGCCTTTCATTATACAGTCTTGGAAGCCATACCTCATCATGTTTGCATACTTTATTGGTGATACATATCAGTATTATTCAGTGTGGGAGGAGACTACACAAGGGTGTGAATACTGGAAGCCTGATTACCACCACTTAGTTTCTATATTCATAAACTTAAGATAATATTTGCCCAGCCTGTCTCAGTGCTATTGGGAGAGTCCCATGACATAGTGGATATAGAAGCTAGACATGAAAGAGCATAGAAGTATAATGCTTTATCATTATGCATGTCATTTTTAAGTTATTATGGAGAAAATATTTGCTGAGCACCTGCCATGTCTCAGGTACTGGGTAACAGTGATGAACAAGACAGACAAAGTCCTGCCTTTATAGGCCTTACCTTCTAGTAGAAAAAAGATGCCACAGGCAAGTAAAAGAATAAACAGTAATGATGAAAGTGTGTTAGGTTTACATGTAAGAAAGAACAGTATCCTCTAACAGAAAGAAGTTGGGCACTGAGGCTAGATAGGGGGAACTACAAAATTCCCCTCTGAGGATTCAATTTCTTAGCCAAGATCTAAAGGATAAGATGGAGACAGCCACATAAGGAGAGCTCAGATATCACTGGAATAGGGCTCATTACCAAACAGATTGTAGAGCTCCTAAATTGAATCCCACAAAACACCAAACTATGTATTTTAAAGGCCCACAGGAGTCCAGCTTGCCTGTAATGCAGGTATTAGTCATTGTCTCGAATCCTAGAATTATAAAGGTTGTCCATTGTGCTTCCCATTCAGGGAAAACTGCCTATTGACCTGTCTATAGAGGGGTGGTACCTAAAAGAAGGAATCTGAAAGATAGTTCACTTAGCAAACATCTGAGTATCAGGATCCACGGCTCCCTTCCTAGCTTCACCCCTGCCCCATCACCATGCTGCCAGTCTTACAGTTTGCCAAAAAGTAGATAAACCCCTGGAAGGGCCAGAGGAGAAAACAATTAGACTTTTCTGCTCCTCTTGCTTCTATTCCAGGTGTTCATGGGGGCCAGCAGAGGATCGGAGGAAAGAGATTAGAAGATGAGAAGTGGAAATAAAGCTCCACGACAGCCTTCCCTGCCATTTATTCAGGACCAAGCCTCTTACACACATTTTTATATCTCTTAGTTTGAAGAATCTTTCAGAGCTGAAGGGATCATTAGACACAAAGGAAGTTTACCTTAGCAATGTTGGTTTCAGGGTTATTTTCTACTTAATTTTTAAAACCATACTCTTGTTTTAGTTATTTCTTATTTTTGGATCAGAGCAGTAAAGGTAATTCTTACAATTCTCAGCCCTACTAAGTAAACATAGACCTGAGTGGAGAGAAATCAGGTAGCCTTAGTTTTGGGAGTGAATACAAGATAAGGCAAAATATGTCATTAGGTCCTGGCTCTGAATCCTTTTCACTGAAGTCTAGCAGGAGTGTCTTTTGCATGAGAAGGTTTTACAAAGAGATAATTGAACGCAAGAGACATTTCCAGATCCCTTGGGGGTGTGTACCCCTTCCCTTCACCCCACCTGTATCAGAACAAGCCAAATGAGAATACAGTACAACACCCAAGCAGCTGGCAAAAGGCAGGCTTTGAGCCTGCAGAGGCCTTAGAAAGAAAACTAAAAGCCGGCAAACCCCCCAAACCACTTTGTTTTAAATATGTTTTTCATGTTAATTTTAGTCATAATAGATGATGAAAATTAAAGGAACACTCTATGGAAAATCGCTGTAAAGCCCAATACAACAAGTCGCTTCTTGGCCAAGAAACGTACCTGACAAATTGCTTCAGGATCATGCTGGATGAAGCCTTATTATGGTTATTAGCTATATGACTTAGGGCCGTTTGCTACCTTTGATCTAGCCCACTACCGTCAATGTTACAAAAAAGAAGACGAGGTTATGGCTACATAAGACCCCTGAGTTCACACTCAGAAGCCTGGCACTCTGGCATCATAGATACAGGCATGGGCATTGATGTCAAGTGGGTCTGAATCTCAGCTTTGCTGCTTCCTGTCTTTGGAACTTTGGGCAACTCAAATCTCCCCAAGACTTCTTTCCAATGGGAATGAAAACAGTATATGCTTCCCAGGCATGTTGAAGATTCAATAAGATAATGCTCATAAAACAAATTTCGTAGTAAGTGCTCAATATATATTCGTTATTTTTATTATCATGTCTTTTTACTTATCTTCCTTCATTTGAAAAGGTCACTTTTGGCCTATTGGCAAGTGGATTCTACATGTATTATCAATTGCATCTCTATTATTTTTTCCATAACAATTTTATTGTTTTAACAACAAATCCATCCATCCAGAAACTGTAGTATTTACTCAAACCTATATAGGCCATATTTCTGGAATTATACTGCTTTATGTATTTGGACAACCACAACAATACTGTTAATGAATGAATATAGAGCAGTGCTGAAGTTGAAGTTATGACTGCCAGTTAGGTGGGATGTGTTTAAGACAATTAGTGCACAATTTTGGGAAATCATTTTAGCCATGTGGCAATCTTCCTATGAGCCATTATATTAGTCTAGGGATCCTTTTTAGAGATGTTAGCTGAAGATTTTATTCTTTAAAATTCATCTTAGAATATCTGGGAATAGTTGAGCTGATTGGAAAAGGCAGTGGGAACTTTAAGTTCAATGTAAATTATCAATGTGCTTTAGAAAAATTAAAGACCTCTTTAATTCTCTGGTGCTTGATATGAAAAGCATCCAGACTAGCACAATAGGTCACACTTAAATGATTCTCTCCTTAAGAATTAAACTGTCTTTGCACCATGCATTGGTGGAAGAAGATAATCAGATGCAGCTCCCCTAACCGAATCTTTCTTAAAGGAACTGACCAGGTAAAAGAATGGAGTTACTGTGCATGAAAAAAGAAAAATACAAAAATAATTTGACCTGCGAAAAGAATCAATTTTTCTGTGTACTGGAGCAAGACGCTAACAAGCATGACAGTGAGCCCTTCCAGTATTGAAACACTCTGTAAAGGCTTTGCTTCAGCAAGAAAGGCATCCATGGGCCAGATTTCAGCTGCAGGATGATTCAGCCACCTAGATCTGAATTCATAAAGAGTTTTAGATAGGATATGTCTGTAACTACCGGAGGTTGGAATTAGCTGCAAGATTGTATGTGTGTGTGTTGTGGGTGGGGGTGATTATTAGGATACTGAGGATTTATAGCTCCATAGAGAAACAGAATATTACTTCTATCTGAGATTGCCAGCCACCACAGAACACTTCCCTGTGGCTCAACTCTTCTTAAAAAGAGGACACTTTTGTTAGCATTAACATAGAAAGGGCATAGGACTAAATGGGGTTGATAGATTTAATTTCTTCTTAATAAGATGATATTTCACCTGAATAAGGTCGTGGTGGGTAGGGATGGAGTTGGGGAGGGCTCCATTTTTGTAGTGAGATTGCATAAAGCTGTCTGAAAAGCTCTGTCATACTCTCTAGTGAAGAGACCTTTTAAGTTCTTCATAAATTTGAAATTATTTCATTGTAGCAAAATAATTATAGCCATAAATTTGCATTGACTATGTGTGAACCACTGTTCTTTATATCCGTTTTTAAATTTAATGCCCATAACAACTCCCTAAGGCAACGGCAGATATTCTTAATTAACAGATTGGCAAACTAAGGCTCAGAGTGGAACAAGGCACAATGGTAAGTGGTAAAGTAGGGATTTGAACCTGAGTCCATCCAAATCTAAGATGCTTTTATGAGGCTTCTAACCACTATGTGATCATCTTGATTCTATATGGTCTTACTTGTCCCATGGTCAAGTGCAGGATTCCCCATAGGGACTAGAAACATGCCCTGTGCTGTTTCTCAAGAGAGGGAGCTACTTTCATGTTATGGCACTGCTCATTTAAATAGTTCACATGTGTCTGTTTGTTGAGTGTTTTTAAATGTTGGTCATAAATATACTTACTAGGACATAGTATAAAATATTTTAAATTGAAACTATCAGACAATACTGAGTGCCTGGTCACCATAATTACAAGAGGTATAACACAGTGATCCTTCAATTTCTAGGGATTTACATAGCAGCCCAGATGAGAAGGGTGGTTGAGGACATGCTGAATAACTATATGAATCTATTTTCTTTTATATGGAATAAGTATGTTAAGTGCCACTTAAAACTCCAGTGTGGGAACAAGTGACTCTAATCTTTAGTCAGTCTCACCTACCCTCTAAGACCTTTTGGTCACTTCATCAGTTCCCCTGGCTTCTTGATCAATGAAACTGGCTTAAATGGAACTGTGTAAATGAAATCAGATAATGTGAAAACACTAGCAAAGTAAACAATGTGAACAAAACAGAGAAATTGCTAGAGCAACAAACTGACTGAGGCAACTGGAAAAACTCCAGTGTGCCGACTCTTGTGTTCAGTTTCTCCATATCATTACCTATTGGCCATCTGTTCTCTGGTCAAAATTCTCCTCCATTTCCCATCCCCAAATGAAACATCCTGGAAAGTGG
The DNA here is from genome assembly GCF_000001405.40 of Homo sapiens. NCBI lineage: Eukaryota > Metazoa > Chordata > Mammalia > Primates > Hominidae > Homo > Homo sapiens. The sequence goes on from NC_000003.12 coordinate 182,063,143, forward strand.
GCTCCATCCCATATTCTTCAATCTAGTTAACTAGCTTCCAGCTAAAAAAAAGTTCATATATTCCTACCAAGGATATTTTGAATCCAACAGGTTCAAATAGACTGCAACTCACCTTGCAAATAAAAAAGGATAAGAAACCTAAGTTTATCTAAAATTTCACATTAATTCTGCATGCCAGAAAGTACAGAAAGCAGGGACCAAAGTGAATACTATTGAGGTTAAGTACTTGAACACAACCTTTGTTCTGAAAAGTACAGACCATAAAGACAAAAGTCTAGACAGTAACAATGACTTCTTACTAAGTCATTTTTGCAACTAAGTATTGCAAAAAAAAAAATAAATAAAGGTGGGGGAGAGAAAGAAAAGAAGGAACAGAGGAAGGAGGGAGGGAAAAAGAAAGAAAGGAAGGAAAAGTAAAAGAAAAAAAAGGACAACATAATGGGTGCTACGAGCCGTGTACTTCCAGCCAGTTTGTACAAAATATTCAGTGGGTCAGATGCATGTTGGCAGCTAATGATGCATCATAATACACTCAAAAGCCTTTAGAATTTGTGAGCATTGTGGCAGAATTTTGCAGGGAGAGGGAAATTAACCAAAGTTGTTATTGTAGTTTATAATAAGTCAGATGTTAGAGACCAGCACAAATCTGTGAAAATAGACTGGATTTTCTTAAAAGCAAATGGTTTTTGTTAGGGGTTTATTTTTCTCATGTCAAAAATATGAAATTACTTCGTAAAAGGAAGTGGTAAAATCTGCATCACTCAAAGTCTTGGGGATGTATTCACATGTTCCCACATGTTCAACAGTTATTGAAAGTGTGGATTCTCATTTTACCTGCTAATCCAGTGCTTGGAAGTATTCAACAGGGAGCTTAGCCTTCTCCTCAGTTTTGTTTTCTGAGCAATGTCAGTGAACACATTCTATTACAAAATACTCTCAAATGTTTATAATTTTAGAACTTACTTTATGATCAAGTGTTTTATATGGTTCCTCTATGGTGAGAATAAAGCAACAATTTCCGATTAATATATATAGTCTGGCAAGTTTTCTTTGAAGAGAATTCGGGAAATACATAATGAATGTATACATTTCATCCATATACACTTTTAAAGTGACTCTGTGATGTATGATAATGAAACAAGCTTTTTAGCTGAAATAATGGAAAAGGTTCCCAGAATTGAGAAAAGAGCAACCTTGGCCTGAGTTTTTTTTTAGATAACTGGCTCAATTCTGTAACTCTCCTTTTGCTGTAATCTCACACCATCCTAAATTTAGACTTTTGAATGAAAGATGGAGAGGGACATCATGCAAAGTTTCAATGAAGCATAAATGATCCTAAAGCAAAACTTGATCTTTAAATTTCTATGATACGCTTCAAAAAGTTTAAATGCATTGAAAAATTTTTAATGTTTACAAATGAATAGAATACTAATTACTTCTGACATATAGCAAGGACAAGATATTAAGTCACTTTTTATTAAGCCTGTAACATTACATGTATTTTATATTTCAGTAAATATAAAATATATTTTTGTATTTCATATATAATATATACATTAAATATAACATATACATTAAAATTATACATACACACAAATATATAATTTTTAAGGCAGTATTAAGGAACAGTTTATATCCTCTGAAATTAGTATACAGGCAAGATTTATTTACTTCAAAGGTCACGATCCCTTAGCTTCTAATTTCCTGGGTCCTTACTGACTTCAAAGTTTGCAGTTGTTCCTTAGTTGCTGATTTCCTGGGTCCATAACGCTGAGTGGAGCAACAGATCTTTTAACCTGGAAAGATGGAGAAACCAGTAAGACCAAATTGACCTAGCTCTTATGTTACTCTCCTATTGACTTGGAAAAGGAACATCAAGTTCTGTTGAGAGACATCAATGGTATTAGTAATAGTAAAAAGCACTAATTATGCTTTACATGGATATAGCACTCAGAATTTCTGTGTGCTTGCATTTGTGTTATCTAATTTCTGAATTCAAGTGGCAGTAGGGTACCTTAAACTGTCTACAAAGCTACAGGACTAAAACAAAAAGAAAAAGTAATATACTCATTGTTTTGAACCAAACCACCATCCAAACTCTGAATTTTGGTTTTCTTGTGGTACTATGAAGCATTGGTGAATGGAATATGCGTTTTCCATATCATTTCTTTAAGAGATAAAATAAAAATGGTCATTTCTGCTTATTTGGGGACTTTGTCGTAGAAACACACTATAAAAATAGGCTGCAACCACTTGGGACCAATGTTGCCAAATGCATGTACTGAGCACACTGTTGATTCAGGCTGAAGCATTCACTCAGCTTAGTGATTATCTAGCATTATCTCAGTGGATAATGATTTTAATACTTCATAATACTCATTATGGCATTAGTGGTTTCATATTAATAAGATATTAGTTTTGTTATTCAGGGAATCTAATACATGAAAGTAAAAAAAAAAATCAACCCTAAAGCCTTTATTACCCAACAGGGTTTTTGTTTGTTTGTTGTTAATATCAAAAGACCTTTCTTTATTAAAATAATTATTTGAGCTTTCATGATTCTATCTCACTATTCTTAGTGTTAATTTATCTTGTTCCTTGACAATTTGACACTTGTGAATGCCATACTTTGCATTTGGCTATAGTTTATCCGGGGAAAATTGTTAGATTATCTTATTTTAACTTCTTAGTTTGTTTATGCAAAGCAACTTGATCTCAATGCTTATCTTTCATTCTGTACAGATTAATTATAAAATGTACATAGATCAAAAAGCAAAATTTGGGGATAATGTCATTATATTTGGAAGCCAGTGACTTTCGAAGGTTATGAATGAACAGAAAGTCCTTTGGTGTAACATCACTCATCTTGTTCTTACGACAAAGCATGCAAATTGACACAGGAGAGTGCCATGTCAAGGTTTATGAGAGGTCTGGCAATGCAGATGAAGGCTTTTACTGTAAAGACCAGGGAAAATTGCCTGAGGAGAAGTCTTCCTTTAAAACCATAATATTTCCCAAGGAGTTTTAGAATTTTGAATTTAATCCCAAATGAAGCAAATGTAAAATCTTGGAGGAAAAAAGTACATACATGCATATGTATATATATACACACACATACACAGAACACATGTAGCTCATAAGATGATAGCTCTCCTAACTAGGTTACAATGTCTAATGCACAATTATAATTAAAAACAGGACTGATTTATTTATTTAATAAATATCTATTGAGGACTTGCTATGTGTCTGGCACTGGGCTAAAAGTTAGAGATACAATTATGAATGAAATATAATTTTTGCCCCAAGGAGCTATTTATTCAGTATAGTTCCTTGTCAGATCTCACAAGTATAAACCTTATTTTTCAGTATAAATAATAGCAGCATATTCTAAGTCTTCCTCATATACACTACATCATCATCTTACAGTGAGCACAAAATAAAGAATTTGGATGGCACAAAGTTTGACACAGAAAATAATACTGTTAATAACACCTTCAAATTAGGAAGGCACGTGAAAGATATACTAGATCTATTCTTTTTCATAAAATTGAGATTTTTTTCCTCATAAAATTCTTTCTTGCAAAATTTTCAGAAATGCATTTTTAAATCTATGGTTTAATAAACTAATTTTAGTTATTTTGATACCTCCCAATTTCTTATTTTAGCCAGTTCTCCCAATAACAATGGAAGAATACATTCAGGGAAATTTGATTCTATTTCAAGTGACTCATGATGAAGTCTAAGGGAACTTACAAAAAGGATTTACTTTTCAATGCATTTTTTGGCAACTGAACCAAAAGCTTTAAAAATGCAGAGTGGTCAGTAAATTCAAAACTATGAGAGTTGAAGGAAATACCACCAACTCAGAAATCATGCTCTTTAATTTCTCGAATTTGGGGAAATACTGATTTTTATGAGACTTCAATGTGTGTAAATGAAAAAACCATTATTGATGGTGGTGATTTTTACATATTGAAGAATGTTAAAATAGGTTTTTTACATCTTGAGCTTTATGGAAAGTAATGGCTTAAAATTTAAATTTAGGGGCATGAGGGAATGTGAGATGGCGCTCAGAATGGTCTGGGAATAAGAACCCATGTCATGGAAGTTTTAAAACAGAGGTGAGGATTCTAAATATATCAGGTGACTCTTGATATTATATGAAATGTACTTTGGAGATTGCACTGTAGCACACTAAATAAGTAAAAGGGTAGGTATTAAATGTTTTGTGTAGCATTTTTGCTGGCTTCCTCAGTCTAGTCACTGAAGACATTATAAAGATCACACCGATTGAAGAGCGTATCAGAACATTTATGTACCCCAAGGTGAGCCCCAGAATGAATACAATTCACTTCTTTTGCAAGTTTAAAGTTACATATATCAGACGTTGACTTCTGGACCTTTTGCCACTAGACACAAGTGATCTTTGAGATGAACTGATGCTACTCAGTACTTCAAAGAATGCTGGACAGTTCCTGAGAATCCTTGAACAAAGCCAGCCTAGTAACACCAACAAAAGTGCACCATGTTCTCCAGTGGCTGGTGGACCAAACAACAAAATTTGACAAATCTGTGTGAGTCATCGTGATCACAACTTGGCTTCATTTCTGTTTGTAACTTAGCCTCTAGTTTTAAGTTGATTTTCCCCCCAGATTTTAAGGTGAGCCTCCTGGCAAAGAAGACACGCATACATTTCAGCAATATTAACTTTTAGTTATCTCAAAACTCTTACACACACATGCACATACACATACATGCTCCACAATTTCCGCCATGGGAAAGTCTCTCAAAAGTGTTTCTCTTGACATCAAAGTAAATAGCAAGTTTGAAGAATAGCACTATTTTGCTACAAATGTGACAAAAACTGCCTTTGCAAATAGTATTGCCTGTTCTCATCTATGGTACGTAATACAAAAGTTTTCTGTATATCACAGAATCACATAATGCTTTTTGTTCAAATGCTACATTAGTATCAAATTACCTGTTTGCCTAAAGTTATCATACCAAATTCTCAAAATTAAGTATGTAAAGATTCATATAGTTTTTTTATTTTTGGAAGAAGCAAAAACATCCAAAGGAGAAATTTGAATGATACATGCATGAATGAATGTTGTCTTGTTTCTTTGAAGTTACTTTTCAAATAAGTCTTCCAAGCTAGGTGTAATAAACGTATGTAAGTGAGCTCTGAGATCTAAAAATTAGGTTGCCCTTTGCTCTTGGAAATCAGTGACGATAATGTGGGAATTATGCCACAGGAAGGTATCATTCCAGCGAACAACCCTGGCTGTCGAATTCTGATCTAGTTGCAACCTGAGCTCAATAGCTAGGAAAATAGCAAACCAGTAATTGTGTGAATCCAATCAGGGAACAAAATCGCAGAATACTTCAGCAAGTAAGAAAATGGAGTTGTAAATATCAGCCTTGTTTATTTCCCATTACCACAGCTGGAGGCAAGAAAAGAACATGGTTTAGTATAATACAGTCAGGTAGGAATTATCACACACAATGAGGTTGAAAATTCTAGAGAAATATTAGAAAAGGAAAGCACAGCACCTTCATGAAACATATTTGGGTGCAGCTACCCTGTCCCATTGCCTCATTTAAAAATCATATCTAGTTTAAAGACAAAATTACTTTCAAGTCTATAACAGTAGCAAACCTGCCCTTTGTTGCCCAGGAGTAACTTCAGAACATCTCTGTGAGCCAATATCATTTTTTAAAGAAGGATATATTTTTCACACCATATGTTTCGATGATAATTTTTGCAAAACACTCAAATAACCAGATAGTTATTAAACAATGACAGCTGATACGCCATGCATCTTGGAAACAAATTTGTGTAACAACCCATTATCTGTGCACCATTGACAAATGCTGACATGAAGTAGCTTGTATCAGCCAGTATTGGCAGCTCAACTGTGTCTGTAAGGACAGCTGCCAATGAGTGCATCCTGTGCGGCTTAAGGCCTTTCTATGTATACACAGGGCCTACACACTTCATTCCTTCAACCTTCCCCAAAAGCCTGTGTCTGTCTGTACCCTTCCTTTTTCTTTTTTTCCTTTTTCCTTTTTTTTTTTTTTTTTAAGAGACAGAGTCTCACTCTGTTGCCCAGGCTGGAGTGCAGAGGTGCAATCTTGGCTCACTGCAACCTCCGCCTCCCAAGTTCAAGCAATTCTCCTGCCTCAGCATCCTGAGGAGCTGGATCTACAGGCGCACGCTGTCACGCTCTGCTTTTTTTTTTTTTTTGGATTTTAGTAGAGACGGGGTTTCACTGTGTTGCCCAGGCTGGTCTCGAACTCCTGAGCTCAGGCAATCTGCCCACCTTGGCCTCCCAAAGTACCTTTCCTTTTTTCTTATTTTTCTTCCGAAATGATCCTCACATTTCCTTTCTGACTTTTACACCATTGACATCTAATACTTCTTATGAAAAAAAAAGTCTAACTTTCATCTTTCCTATGAATAATGGCAATTAGAAGCCAGTTCAAGGTTTCTTTAAATCTTAATCAGTCAGTCTGACACTAAATGTTAATCTTTTACTGCAAATAAGGCAATAAGAATAGCAATAGGAGAATAATAAAGATGTCACTAGAACATTTGGTAAACAGAGTACGAATTCAACTTATCAAAACCTTAGCAAAAAGTCCCACAAACCTACTTCATATATACCAGGGCTCCAGACATCATCTATTCATTGTAGTAAAGACCAGAAACTAGAAAGAAGAATGATAGTGTCCAAGGACTAGTTCATTTATGGTTCGATTATAGTGTTGTTATTCCAGAGGATATGAATTGGCTCACAAAACTATATAGAGGACAGTAAGTTAAATGTAAATGAAAAGGAATAGAATAAAACAAAGATGTGGACATTCAATAACGTAAAACAGAAACCAGTTAGGAAACTTGGTCCTTTTGGGTTGCTATAATAAAGTACCATAGACCGTGTGGTTTATAAATAACACATTCATTTCTCAGAGCTCTGGAAGTCGGAGGTCAGGGTGCCAGCATGGTTGGGTTCTGGTGAGGGCCCTCTTCCAGGTTACAGACTGCTGACTTCTTGATGTAACCTCACATGATTGAAAGGAGGCGTTAGAACTCTCTGGTGTCTCATTTATAAGGGCACTAATCCCATTCATGACGACTCTACCTTTATGACCTAATTACCTCCCACAGGTTCCACTTCATAAGACCATCACATTTTGGGGGACACATTTATTCAATAACATTTCACCCCTTGTCCCCTCAAATTTATGTCCTTCTCACAGGCCACACCTTTAACAGTTTGCTCAGACCTCTCTCTATGAGAGAGTATCCAAGTTCATCACTCACAATTTCTACCTTCCACAAAACACCTAGGCCACAATTCAGCTAAGTTGTAAGTTCTTTTTTCTCTCTCTCTCCTTTCTTTTTTTAAATTTATTTTTATTTTTATTTTTTTTTTGAGAGAGTCTCACTCTGTCACCCAGGGTGGAGTGCAGTGGTGCAACCTCAGCTCACTGCAACTTTCGCCTCTAGGTTCAAGCGATTCTCCTGCCTCAGCCTCCCAAGTAGCTGGGACCACAGGCATGCGCCACCAAACCCGGCTAATTTTTTTGTATTTTTCGTAGAGACGGGGTTTTGCCATGTTTGCCAGGCTGACGTTGAACTCCTGGCCTCAAGTGATCCCCCCACCTCAGCCTCCCAAAGTGCTGGGATTACAGGCGTGAGCCACCGTGCCCAGCCTTCAGCTAAGTTCTTTGCTGCTTTGTAGCAAGGATCACCTTTCCTCCGGTGTCCAATAACGTGTTCTTCATTTCTGTCTTAGACTTCATATTTTTACTGATAATCTTTTTAAGGCAATCTGAATTTCTTCTAACAACCACCTCAAAACTCTTGCATCCTCAACCCATGATCCAGTTCCAAAGCCACTTCTGCATTTTAAAAATATTTATTATAGCAGTGCCCTACTTCTCAGCACCAAAAATCTGGATTAGTTTGTTATGGCTAACATAACAAAATACTACAGACTGGGTAGCCTTAAACAAAATAAATTTATTTTATCACAAAAATTCTGGAAACTGAAAATCCAAGTTCGAAGTGTCATCAGGGTTGGCCTCCTCTGAGGCCCGTCTCTGTGGCTTGTAGATGGCTGCCCTCTTGCTGCCTCGTAGATGGCTTCCCTCTTGCTGCCTCTTCACATGGTCTTTTCTCTGCACATGTATGTGTGTCGCTGGCCTCTTTGCACATGTGCTAGTCTCCTTTTCTTCTTCTTCTTTTTTTTTTTTAAACATTTACCGGTTTAAGAAGGATATTTTAAAGAATACAAATAAACAGCCAGATAAAGAGATACATAGGGTGAGGTGTGGGGGAAGGGGTGTGGAGTTTCCATGCCCTCCTGAGATAACACCTTCCAGCAACTTCCACATGTTCAGGTATCTGAAAGCTCTCCAAACCTTTGGGTTTTTATAGGAGCTTCACTAATTTCCTCTTCTTCTGAAGACACCAGTCATATTGGATTAAGGCCCAGACTAACAGTCTCATTTTAACTTAATTACCTCTTAAATTCTTAAAAATTTATTTTTATTTTTATTGATATATCATAGGTGTACATATTTTTGAGGTAATGTGATATTTTGATACAATGTGTAATGATTCAATCAGGATAATTAGAATATCCATCACCTCAAACATTTATATTTTCTTTGTATTGGAAACATTTCAATTCTTCTCTTCTAGCTACTTTGAAACGTGCAATAAATTATTGTTAACTATAATCACTATACTGTACTATCAACTGCTAGAACTTATTCCTTCTAACTGTATTTTTTTTACACATTAACCAATCTTTCTTCATCTCTCCCACAGTCTGCTACCTTCTGCTTTTCCCAGCATCTGGTAGCCACTAACTCTACCTACCATCATGAGATCCACTTTTTTAGCTACCACATTTGGGTAAGAACATCCAATATTTGTCTTTCCGTGCCTGGCTTATTTCACTGGAACCTCCAGTTCCAGCTCCTTCTATGATTCTGCAAATGATAGAATGTTATTCTTTTTGTGGCTGAATAGTACTCCATTGTGTATATATGCCACATTTTCTACATCCATTCATCTGTTAATGGACACGTATGTTGATTTTATTTCTTGGCTATTATTAACAGTGCTGCAACAAACATGGGAGTGTAGATATCTCTTCAATATACTGATTTTCTTTCCTTTGGATATATACCCAGCAGTGGTATTGCTGGATCATATGGTAGTTCTATTTGCAGTTTTTTGAGAAATCTCTATACCGTTTTCCATAATGACCTTACTACTTTACATTTCTACCAACAGTGTACAGGTGTTCCCCTTTCTCCACATCCTTACCAGCATCTGTTATTTTTTGTCTTTTTTATAAAACTATTCTGACTGGGGTGAGATGATACTTTATTATGGTTTTGACTTGCATTTCTCTGATGATTAGTGATGGTGAGCATTTTTTCATATACCTGTTGGTCATTTGTATGTCTTCTTTTGGGAAGTGTCTATTTAGGTCTTTTGCCTAGTTAAAAAAAAACAGATTATTTGTTTTATTGCTATTTAGTTGTTTATATTTCTTAGATATTCTGGTTACTAGTCCCTTGTTGAATGAATAGTTTGCAAATATTTTCTCCCATTCTGTAGGCTTTCTCTTCACTTTGTTAATTGTTTCTTTTGCTGTGCAGAAGCTTTTTTAGCTTGATATAATCCCATTTGTCTATTTTTACTTTTGTTGCCTATGCTTTAGAGGTTTTACTGAAAAAATCTTTCCCCAGACCAGTCAATGTTCTATAGCATTTCCTCAATGTTTTCTTCTAGTAGTTTCATAGTTTCAGGTTATACATTTAAATATTTAATCCATTTTGAGTTGATTTTTATATATGGTGAAAGACAGGGATCTAGTTTCATTCTTTTGCATATGGATATTCAGTTTTCCCAGCACCATTTATTAAAGAGACTGTGCTTCCCACAATGTATGTTCTTGGCACCTTTGTCAAAAATGAGTTGGTCATAAGTGTGTGGATTTACTTCTGGGTTCTTTATTCTGTTCCACATGTCTGTTTTTATGCCAGTACCCTGCTGTTTTGGTTACTATTGCTCTGTAGTATAACTTGAAATCAGGTAGTATGATGCCTCCAGCTTTTGTTTTATTGCCCAGGATTGCTGTGGCTATTTGGGGTCTTTTGTGATTCCATACAAGGTTTAAGATTGTTTTTTCTATTTATGTGAAGAATGTCATTGGTATTTTAATAGGGATTGCATTGAATATGTAGATTGCTTTGGGTAGTATAGGCATTTTAGCAATATTATTCTTCCAATCCGTGAGCATGGGATATCTTTTCCCTTTTTTTTTTTTTGATGTCCAATTCAACTTCTTCATCAGTGTTTTGTAGTTTTCCTTGTAGATATTTTTTTACTCCTTTAGTTAAATTTATTCCTAGGTATTTTAATTTCTTATAGCTATTATAGATGGGATTGTTTTCTTGATTTCTTTTTCAGATTAATCACTTTAGTGCATAGAAACACTACTGATTTTTGTATGTTGATTTTGTATCCTACAACTTTACTAAATTTATTTATCAGTCTTAAAAGTTTTTGTGCAGTCTATAGATTTTTCTAAAGATAAGATCATGTCACCTGTTTGGATGCCCTTTCTTTCTTTTTCTTGCCTGTTTGCTCTGGCTGGGACTTCCAGTACTATGGTAAAAGTGACAAAAGTGAGCATCCTTTTCTTCTTCCAGATCTTAGAGAAAAGGCTTTCAGTTTTCACCCATTCAGTATAATATTGGCTGTAGGCTTGTCATGTATGACCTTTATCATGTTGAGGTAAGTTCCTTCTATACCCAATTTGTTAGTTTTTCTCATGAAGAGATGTTTAATTTCATTGAATGCTTTTCCAGCATCTATTGAAATTATCATATGGTTTTTGTTCTCGATTCTCTTGATTTGCTGTATCACGTTTATTGATTTGTGTATGCTGAATCATCCTTGCACCCCTGGAGTGAATCCCACTTGATTATAGTGAATGATCTTTTTAATGTGTTGTTGAATAAGCTTAATTACCTCTTAATGGCCCTATCTTTAAATACAGTCACATTCTGAGGTACTAAGCATTAGGGCTTCAAAATGAATTTTAGGGGAGCACAATTCATCCCATAACATGGGAGTTGAGGGAAAAATTGGTCTAAGTTTCTCAACACTAAAATGAATAGGGAAAGCTGATCAATTGCACAATTCATGTGTGGGTAAATCAAAAACAGAACAACTCCCGAGGAGAGAACAATGCTCCCTGCTTTTAACACTTGACAGTCTTGTGAACAAATGATCGGTCTACCTCAGTAGACAGAAGATGGGAGCAACCTGGGATAATGTCACTAGGGGTATTTGTTGGCATCAAATACTCTACAAATCACTGTGGTGTCTGGGTGTGTTCAGGGAAATTCGAGCCAGGGGAAAATGGAATTTTAACTAGATGCAGATGTGCTAATGTTCAGCTAATATCCTCTAAGAAGTCATAAGGGTTAGAGACCTAGGAAGGAAATGGGTTTCAACAAGATGGGATATCTCTGGGGGAGTAGAACATCTATATCACGTAGGTGACTACTGGGGAGACAGGCAACATTTTAAAGACTGGGGATTTTCAAGAGTGGAGAACCTTGGAGGCGCTGATTGTGACCAAATGTTCAGCTCAGAGGGCCAAGTAAGACACCCAAGTAGGGGATTTTTGCTGATGGAGTTTGGGGCCACAATTGAGATGGCAGTTCAGGAGACTGGAGGACTAGCAAGTGTGTTCTGAAGCTGAAGGAAAAGTCTTTTAGAGAAGTAATGAAAAAGTATCCTTTTTTCTAGGAAAATGAGCGTGTGTGTGTGTGTGAGAGAGAGAGAGAGAGACAGAGAGAGACAGAGAGAGAGAGATAGGAATGGGGAGAGAAAGAGAGACTGACTAGCTGAATCTGGAATCATCCTTCAAATAACAGAGTCCAGAATATTAGATGGCAGGAGAATAAGAGATTGATTAATACTTCAATTTGGAATTTCTAAATAAAACTGCAGAAACTGTGATAACAATACTTTGAGTTTGGCAGTTTCAAGCGTGTAGAATGCTTGTTAGTTCATCTGAGCCTTGCCAAAGTTTTTTGAGGTCTGCTGGGCAAAGCTGTATTCTCTTTAATTCACACTTGAGACTGAGACTCAAAGGAATTAACTGACTTGCTCAAGATTATGAAATTGATGGTAGGATGGGCCTCCACACAGACTAGGTTTTTTTCCAAGGCCACAACCAGTGGTTGTTCTTCTGTGCCCAGCAATCATTCTCTTGAGTAGACTATTGGCCATATTGTGACTTGTATCACAGCAGAGTGAGGGAGAGAGCATGCTTTTGGTGTGGCTTTAGGAAGAGTACCAGCTCTTTTACCATCTCTCCCCTTCATCTCCCCCAACCCCCATACCTTCTACTCATACATACATTTTGAGGCAGGATGGCTGCAGAAAATAACCCAAAGTGAGTGGCAGTTGGAAGATAGCTGGGAAGTAATTGTCTGAGGGGGCCTTGCTTCATCAAAATGACCACACTGGAAAATAAATAAAATTAATCAAATGATATTTTTGAGGACAGGCAAAAGTAAGTAAGGAAAAACTGATTCAACTGTCTAACAATAAAGTGAAAATGAATAGCATCAGCGATCTTTTAAATCCAGTGTTCTGTTTTCAAATGAAGCTTTTCTGCTAGGGCCCAAGGCCCAGCCATCACGACAAAAGTCCAATGTCAAACAATGAAGAGCAGTACTAAAAGTACAAGGTCTTTAAAAAAATTATTAGAACTTTTTAATTTAAACCTACAATTGTAATTATCTTATGCCTTTGGAGAAGAAAAAAAGGCAAACTTTTAAACTATTACTTAATTTAATCAAGACTCAGATAAAGTTATTCCCATTTAAAAGATATGTAGAGATAAGGAATAGTTCAATCATCCAGAATGTCAGGCATGGAGCATAGATTAGATTAATTTTATGGAATTAGCCCCAGGTCCTGCTAATCCTCTTACAGGGCTGGTCTTTATATATTCAATGGAGATTTGACAAACCAAGAATGAAATCAGATATCTGGATGAGGAATGCACCATCTTCATTTCACCCATTCTGGTTCACATGAATGAAAATTACTACACTAATTATAAACAGAACTCCGGTGGCACTAAAAAAATTGGGAATGTTCCCCGTGTCTACTAAAAATACAGAAAATTAGCCGGGCGTGGTGGCGGGCGCGTGTAGTCCCAGCTACTCAGGAGGCTGAGGCAGGAGAATGGCGTGAACCCGCGAGGTGGATCTTGCAGTGAACCAAGATCGTGCCACTGCACTCCAGCCTGGGCGACAGAGCGAGACTCTGCCTCAAAAACAAAAACAAAAAAAAAAAATGAGAATGTCTGTGCTTCATCTCTATTACAGCCATATTTTTCCTCACATTCTGCTACAAAATCATGGTGGGTTAACGTACTGAGTTAGGGACCTTGAGACCATGTCCTACCTGGTTTTAGGAATGTTTCACTTCTACAAGATTTTCTTGCCTGGTTTACCACATGCTGTCCCAAAAGGAGACAGATGGCTCGCTCAAACAGGGAAATTAAGGAGAGTGTAATGAAGGGAGTATTCACAAATGTATGGACAGAGTGTAGGGAGATCAACCAGGGATGGTGAAGAATTTGGGCGCTAGCAACAGCAGGGAGCTCTTACCACTCAGCCTGAAGGGGCAAGCGAAGGAAGCAACCCCAGGACTCCAGAGAGACTTGTGGCTACAGTTGCAGCCTGTACACACAATCCAGGCACCTTGGCAATAGGAAACATTCCACTTCTATACCTAATGCATACATCTTTAAAATATGCATGAGTTAAATGCGTAAAATCCAAGCAACAGACTTAAATATTATGAAGATTTCCTTTCTCAAAGAGCTAAAAAATAAATGTGTACACAAACGTCAGTGGTGTAATTTCTAGCATTGCACATATAGTTTGAATTTTGTTCATTTCCTTCACAGTTGAGCGTCTTAACTCAAGTATTCAATTGAAGCCAAAAATCTCTCTGACATGCTCAATGATTTACTTTTTATCTCTTTGACGTGCCTAATGATTTCCATCTTTTTTTGGATTGTGCTTATGAAATCTATACATCTTATCACTAGCATCAGCACATTCACTTTTCTATTTTCAGATATCTGAATGAAATTGTAAGTGCAAAATATTTTAAACATTCAAATAATTGAATAAATTCTGCTATGCAAAGATGTCAATGCAGGGGAAATTCAATTCTTGCTCAGTGGGTTCTATTACCACATTGAAATACTCATTCATTGCCTGAATTATGAAAGTCCAGATTAAGTATATATGGTCAATGTATATTGATAGAGGGTAGCAATTGTACAAATATCAAACATGACAAAACTTGAGAATTACTGTATTTGCTTCTCAGCTTCACAGTAGATTAGAAATAAGAAGTAGCAGCTGGCAGTCTGACATTACAGGCTGAAAGAGAGATGCTACAAAAATCAAACACTGGCCAGGTGCGGTGGCTCATGCTCGTAATCCTAGCATTTTGGGAAGCCGAGGCAGGTGGATTGCTTTAGCCCAGGAGTTCAAGACCAGCCTGGGCAACACGGTGAGACCCCATCTCCAACAAATAATACAGAAAAAACTAGCCAGGGTGGTTATACAAACCTTTAGTCTCAGCTACCTGGGAGGCTGAAGTGGGAGGATCGCCTGAGTCTGGGAGGTCAAGGATGCAGTGAGCCATGATCACGCCACTGCACTCCAGCCTGGGTGACAGAGTGAAACCCTGTATCAAACACACACACACACACACACACACACACACACACACACGCAAAAATCATATCAATCTAGCAATATTTTATAGAGAGTATTTCCTTACAGACCTGGGGAGAGCACTAATAATTAATTTATAAGAATAATTCGGTTATAGCAAAGCAATTTATTTGTTTTTCTGTTTAAAATGCAGATAAGTGTTTAAAGCATTTTAGAAAGATCTCTGTTAAAGAAATGAGATTGGTCACCTAAAAAGGTTAATTCTCCTTCTAAAGGAAATTCATGTAGGCAGCAGAAGAAAGAGAAAGATAAGGAGCAATTTCTAGAACTGCTAATCATACTTTCTGCATAGATACTTCTTTCTAATAAATTGGATTCCTATACCTCAACTGTCCCCAAGATAGAGGAAAGTCTAGGAAGAAGACGTTAATTTGGGGCCACTTATGCAGGATGGTGAGAGTTAATTCCACCTATCTTTTCCCTACTCACCTTCCAGTGATGCGGGAAGGAGCCTTGGTATGATCATTTACATCATAGAGGTCAGCAAAAGCTATGAATCAGCACCCCCAACCTTCGAGCTAGTTAAAAATTCACCAGCACATCCTTGACTTGGGGCTCCTGTTTCTTTTCCTGATCTTAGCTCCCCTGGTGATTCTTTTAAACAAACTTCTTAATTATAGGAAATTGCAAATACATATACAAAGGTAGGCAGAGTAGGGTAATAAACTCCCAGTATCCATCACCCAGTTTTAATAATTATTAATTCATAAACAATATTATTTCATTTCAACCGCACTCACTTGTCTCTTCCCCAGGTTATTTCAAAACATACCCCAGACATTATACCATTTCGTCTGTAAACATTTCTAAAAGATAAAGACCTTTATAAAACTCTAACTACATGCCATTATCACTCAAAAAATGATGATACATTTTAATATGTTCAAATATCCATTCAGTGTTTAACTTCCCAAATGTCTCATAAAAATTTAAAAAATAGTTTCATATTTAATCAGAAACTTAAAATAATGTACACACATTGTAATTGATGTATCTTTCAAGTTTCTTTTTGTCTACAGGTTCCCTCTGTATTTTTTTTAACCTCCTTTGTATTTCTTTGTGGAGGAAATCAGGTTGTTTGTCCTGTAGAATTTCCCTACATTCCAGCATTCAGGATTTTGCCGACTGTATCCACTGCGTTCTTTTGTCATTTGTATTTGCTATAAATTGGTAGTTGGATCTAGAGGCTTGAAACAATTCAGTTTCGATTTTTATAGTAAGGATACTTCAGAGACAGTGGTGTATTCTTCTGTCAGGGAGCACATACTGTCCGATTACCTGCCCTTTTGTCACGTTAAAAGGAATTGGCACACATTGCTTATATTTGTTAATTAACTAGAGATTCCAAAAAGAATATTCCAATTGTCTTATTCCTTCTCCATTTCTTAGCTGAAATACCTCCATATGTTGAGAGAAATTTACCCTCTTTTAGTTCATAAGAAGCACAGTTTGTTTAGGAAAGTCAGGATTCTACCAAATACTTGATTCTTCCCAATGCTTTGGAAACTGGATAAGCCACTACCCTTCCCATTTACTTGTTCAGATCAGAGGTACAACATCCTTATTTTGTTCCTACTGTCCCTTAAAAACTTTTTTTAGCCATATAAGTGTCTCCCTTTTGTTTATTATTCTCCAAGACACTTAACAACACTCTTTGTTAGAAGAACATACTTAATTTTGAGGTGTGTAAGATGGCATATAAAAAAGGATTGCTGTAAATACCCCAAAGTTAAATTGTTTATCTAAAACTTATGAGAATCATTTAGTTAGGAAAGAGTACCAAAAATCACATGAGAATGGAGAGAAGTTCTGAATTGATTTGACTTGTGTGTGGTTATCACTATATTAAATAACAAATTTTAAATATAATAAACTAATACTTCAACTTAAATAACTAAAAATATTCATTATTGGTAGAAATCTGTAAATACAATTCAATATTGGCAGAAAACCTGAAGGCATTTTTGTTTGAATTGGCATTCTAATTTCTAGTTAGGCTTTAGAAACACCTCATCTTTTTAAGAAGGAACAATTGTTCCTGCTCCAATTTCTTCAAAATTTCCTTTGTACCAGATATTGACCTCTTACCAGGTATTGACCAGCTTGATTACTTGAAACCGTTGTTCTGAATGCTAATTCTCTTTACATCCATGGCCAAGAAGTAGTGTCTTTGAATTTGAAATTCATGGGTAGATTACATGAAACATCCACTTCAATTTCGAAGCTTAATTAATATTCCTATTACCTTGTAAATTTGTTTTTGAAGGAAAAGATACGGTTCATGGTAGAGGTAATTTAATTAATATCACAAATATTCAGCAAATAGTAAAGAGGTTATTTTTGCTGTTGGTCATATCGCAATTTATCTTTCTAGTGTTTCTGTGTGTATTTATGTGTATGTGTGTGCCTTTTTCTAAAAAAAGTTTTCTCTCCTTAATCTCACCAATCTGCTTATTTTAAGGAATTGTAACTTGTGCAGACCTTTTAAGTTTACTGAGACCAGATACCATTTATATAAACCTTTTAAAGATCCACAATTCTCAGGTGAGTAAGTCTTATGTGCTGAAAGGAGAGAGATTTGAGCTTTGTGAGGTCATTTTTTGACACAGGATAAATGCTCGAGAAATATTTATTGATTGAATACAATTTAAAATCTGATCGATTTCTTGATATAACATTTGGAGCGACTATGGCTGCTGAAGTGTCATCATAGAAATTTGGTTTTCAAGCAAACAATTCTCTTTTCTCTTCCTCTCCCCACCAACTCCTACCCCCCCTCTCTTCTTCCCCATTCTACCAATCTCAATTTTATCTTTCTTTCTTAATAAAAGATCCACACTTAGAAGAAAAAACCAATAACTAAATGTGATTTCAGTCTTTTCCCACCCCTCCTGTCAGCTTGGCATTTTGTTAAATGTTACTACTTTTCACTTTCAAAAAGATTTAGCCAACAGCATTCAATCTACTTTCTACCAGGTAAAACTTGCCCACCCCCTAACCTTTAGGTCATTTCAATCATGTTATTTCTCCCATAATGCTAGAAGTAATGGAGTAGACATGAAGTGAAAGTAGAAGTTATATAGCTCTTTCTTTTGTTTGCTTGTCTCTAACTACCTTAAACTACTTCCTTCTAGTCTTTGTAACAACAGGACAAAATGGTTCTATCTAAGTGGTCCCAAAGCCAGCCAGACGTCTGTAACCTATTTTTATGACCTTTCTCTCATCAGTAATTGTTCAGCAATTTGCGCCTAAAGAAGCCTTATGGCCCCCAGTGCCTGCATAAGATATGGTGAAACTTGCTTGAGGGCTAGCTCTGGCGATTATCACATACCAAGATCTTACAGGTCACCCAAATGCAAGAGGCTTAAAATACTTTAAAATATTTGAATAGTGAAGTGATGAACATGTTGTTAGAATGATCCTTTAATTTCATTTTAATGAGGATCCACTCATGGCCTCCTGTTCTCAGCTTTGCGTCTATTATGAGGATGTCTTTTTGGTAAGAAAGCCAACTAAGAGGTTTTATGTATGTTTGGTGGAAATGAGAAACATCCATTCAAAAAACAAACAAAAGAAGAATAAGAAGAAAAGAAGTGAAAGAAGAGAAGGAGAAGGTGGAGGAGGAAACACTGACAAAGAAACCCATATTGGTGTTCATCAGTTGCTTGTAAATGACAAGCTGTTATTTGCGTATGCATGGGGATAGTGGGGGGCCAAGCACCAGTGAGCTGGAGATGGAGCAGTTATATAAAAGAGACATGAACAGGAAACTAGTTTCTTCTTTATGTTCTCTGTGTATATTGTTTTCTTCCCATATACCCCTTTTGCCATTACCTTCTCTCATAGTCAGAATTTTTAATAATCATTATGCCTTCAGGTAGCTTTATGCAGCCAGTGGACATTCAATAAATATTAACTAATGACTGCGATGTATCATGCATTATGGACTGTTGTATTTCTCTTGGATCACAACCCATTAGCCTAATTTAAGTCTTAGAGACCTTATAGAAAATACATTAGTAATGACAGCAAGCCTGTAAAGAACTGCTTTTGGTTTCATGATGTTGAACACTTAGGAAATTTCTCATATACTAGTGAAAACACTCAAAAAGCATTTGTTGTGGGTAGTTAAGAAGCAGATGGGTGATTAGCATGGATATCCTTCAAGGTTCACTTCTAGGGAAATTTGAGATTATTCTTTAGTTTGATACAAAGTACTCTGCCTCCATTTACCATTTCCCTATGCTTTGCAAGCACTTTTTTTCTTTTCTTTTCTTTTCTTTTTTTTTTAGTTTTTTAGAGGCAGGGTCTTGCTCTGTCACCCAGGCTAGAGCATCATCATAGCTCACTGCAGCTTCGAACTCCTGGGCTCAAGGAAGCCTCCCACCTTGGCCTCCCAAAGGACTGGGATTACAGGTGTGAGCCACTGTGCTCAGCCCCTTTGCAAGTTCTTCTTAATTCATTTTAATTGTGTCTGTTGCTTATGGTTATCTGCCCCCCTCCCCCACCCTTCTCCATAACTCAGTCAGTGAAAAAGGTAAAAGAAGTCAGAAATTTTTCTTTGAGTCGCTAGAGCTCTATCCACTAGTGACTGCTAAAGTGGGCTCTGTGTACCCCAGGGATATTCACAGTGATCAAGTAGTGGTTCTTTCATTTTTAGTTTATTTTAACTTTATTCTTTATATCTATCTTTCATGTGTATTTTCTTTTGCATGTAATATATTAGTATTATATCAGGCAATCAATAGACAAAAAGGTTTTAAGATGCTAGGACAAGACAACACAACATGATGGAAAAAGAATAGGTAACAGTGATGAGGAGATTCAGGAGATAATGAGATAAGTTTGTTCGGTCCAAGATAAATAATCCTTGCTCTCTTGAAACCCAGGAGTAACTTACATTGTACTAATAATCACAAAAAGAGGGAGAAAAAGGCAGCAGGCAGGGACAGTCTTTCTTGCTCTGATTCTGGTTAGTTTTCTATAGACTTTGCTGTTTTCCTCACAGAGGTTGGGAAGACAGAGATGATTATTATTATAAGCTAAAAAATAAATCTTCAGCAATTAGGTTTGGCCATGAAAGTTACATTATATCTATAAATATAATTTTTTTCAAAGATCCTCAGATGTCTTTGGATATACATAAAGTGCTTTGCTTAAGAATTTCCAATCTAAAAGCACTCACAGACAGGAACCAAGCCATGCTGCAGATGTGGGGATTTCAACCCTGTTGGCATTAATGGCTCTGTGAAAGCAGCATACTTTATCTTAGTCGATGATTCACAATGTTTGTGCATAGCTTTGAGATGTTTTAGCAGAACTATTTACCCCACAATGTCCAACTAAATGCAACAGCAATGGGATTGTGGAAAGTGTTCATAACGTGAGGTTTGAAAATAAAGTAAAGCTAGCCAAACAATTGGAAGTGGAAAGGAAGTGTTGGTTGTTGCTTGGACATGGAATGAATTTTGTCCAAATGAATCATTCTACAGGACAAAGAGTGAATTACCTAAAACACAGTACCTATATGAATTACAATAATCATAGAGGAAATAATTATGTGAACGCAAAATCTTTCGAGGGGGTGCCTGGGTGGTAGGTTTCAAGTCTTTCCAAACAATAAGCAATTGTTAACTGTGTAACCCCAATACACTTATATTTATTGATTATATACAACGTACATATACAACTATCACTAGCTAATATCTCAGGGCAAAATTCACATTTGAGGCAAGACAATTCATTAATAACAGTGGATATAAATTGATTGGAGGGGGACACTGTCTTGTCAGATATGATAAGATCGTTAATTTTTTCTCTGTAATGTGATGAACAAAGAGCTTATATTAGGAGTGGGAGAAGTGTCATCTCTGCCATTTTCTTGTTGTTTATATGTGCTTGCATAATTAATATTCTCTTTGATTCTCACAGCATCTTTGCAGAAAAAATTAAAAAGCCAGGTGCTCGTTTTGAAAGCGTGAGCATAAACTAGAAAATATAGTCTGGAAATGTGCTGAACTGGGGACACACTCCAGTAAGTTGTAGTGTGACAAAGGAGGAAAGAGAGGCCACCACTGTTGATCCCTTCACACTCTGGGGGATCACACATGCCCTCTTCCCTCAGAGCATGCGGGCCAAGTAAGAATAACTGTCAACTCCTATATTACACACTGGTAAATATTAATTCTTTTTGACTTTTAAGATAAACATTTTTGTTAATAAAAGTGCTGGTAGGCCAGGAGTGGTGGCTCATGCCTGTAATCCCAGCACTTTGGGAGGCTGAGGCAGACGGATCTCCTGAGGTCAGGAGTTCGAGACCAGCCTGACCAACATGGAGAAACCCTGTTTCTACTAAAAATACAAAATTAGCTGGGTGTGGTGGTACATGCCTGTAATCCCAGCTACTCAGGAGGCTGAGGCAGGAGACTCCCTTGAACCTGGGAGGTGGAGGTTGCAGTGAGCAGAGATCGTGCCATTGCATTCCAGCCTGGACAACGAGAGCAAACTCTGTCTCAAAAAAAAAAAAAAAAAAAAAAAAAGCTAGTAATTTCTCTCATTTTGGAAACCCTTGATGTAGAAGATCAGCTCAATTTCAGGCATCTATTAGCTTGATATTCATTCTGAAGAGGGGTAAGTTTGTCCAAGTAATTAAAGGCTAAAATGGTGATAAAACCTTTAGTAAGCTTTATTTCAGAGGTTCAAAACTTGTTTGAATTTGGGCAACATGGAAGAATCCAGATAATGAATGAATAATAAAGCCACTATGGGATTCCCTGTAACATAAACTGGGGAGAGTGACATCTGCCTTAATATATTTTGATATATTTAGGTAAAAATATTTAACACAGAATTAAGGAAGAGAAGCATGTGACTGGTTTTAAAGTGTGAAGGACAGATTTAATCTCCTACTTGGTGGATAGTTATTATAACTTCTATGTCTAGTGGTATGGCCAGCTAGAAGCACTGGCTGACTCTCTTGCTAAAGAAAACTGGATAAGTACCATATAACATACATAAAGAATCTTTGTAAAGGCACTGATGAGCTGGCAAGAAGATGAGGATTCCTGACAGGTCAAATACTGAGTGAAAGTAGGAACCCAGAGTGGCAAGCTGAGCACACTGAAGCATGTTCACACACTGCCCTGAAGCTGGTTGAACGTCAGTGACTTTGAGTGTCAGTTTTCATACTGCTGACAGGAGGTAAAACATAGGTCCTACCTAAGGAGGGGAATTTAATCAGGGGACCTCCGACATAAAGCTAAAGCCCCAAAAGGTCATAGCCTCCAAGTAAGGGTGAAAAAGAAAAACCTGTCTTCCAAGGGGAAATAAGAAAAACGGCCTCTTTCAAGTCTTGCTGGTGGGAAGAGAATAAAAATATTTCCTGAGTATTCTCAGTCATCAGTG
This sequence comes from Homo sapiens, assembly GCF_000001405.40. Taxonomy (NCBI): domain Eukaryota; kingdom Metazoa; phylum Chordata; class Mammalia; order Primates; family Hominidae; genus Homo; species Homo sapiens. The sequence goes on from NC_000003.12 coordinate 182,085,421, forward strand.
AGTCCTCACCTAGGTTTGTGGCCCCAAAACATGCTATCTGGGTGTGCTGAAAATCTAAAGCCAATAATTAGGTTTAAAGTGGTCCTAGGTGAGCTAGGCTCATGTGTCTAGGACAGAAGACACAAATCTGGAGAAACTCGCTTAAAACTCAGACCCAAATAATTCCCATGTATATTTAACTTCCAATAACCATGAGCTCATAATCTAAAAATCAACTAATACCTGGAAAACAATACACCATGAACATGAGCCAACAGAGACAGATCTGCAAAGGCTTTCCAATATTTAATTGGAAATATTTTTATTCCCGTAATTGTATGTCACATACTGTCAAATAAATACGTTTTATGTATTTAAAGGAAAAAAGTAAGAGAATATAATTAGGAGTAAGGTGCAAGAAACTAAAAATTTTTCAAACAAATTTAAAAAAATTAGAAATAGTAATTGAAATGACAAATTCAATGGATGGCATTGATAGCAGATTAGACACCGGTGAAGACAGAAATTACGTAGCATGCAACACACAGAGAAATTTTAAAAAATGAATAGTTAAGAAACATGTAGGTAGAGTTTCAGAAGAAAAGAGAGAGAATGCATCGGAGAAAGAACATATGAAGAAATGATGGCTGAACATTTTCCAGAAAATGAGAAACACACTTCTTAGATATGGGAATTTTAAAGAATCCCAAGAATAATAATTAAAAATAATTCAGGACCAGGCACAATGGCTCCTGCCTGTAATCCCAGCCCTTTGGCAGGCCAAAGTGGAAGGATTGCTTGAGCCTAGGAGTTCAAAACCATCCTGGACAACATAGTGAGACCCCATCTCTATAAAAAAAAGGAAAAAAAAATAAGAATATTGGCTGAGTGTAGCAGTACTCACCTGTAGTCCCAGCTACTCAGAAGACTGAGGCAGGAGGATCGCTTGAGTCCAGGAGGGTCAAGGCTACATACAGTGAGCCATCATTGCGTGCCACTGCACTCCAGCCTGAGCAACAGAGTGTGAGCCTGTCTCAAAAAAAAAAAAAAAAAAAAAAGGAATTTCCATCTACACTCATCTTAGTGAAACAGTAGAATAATGAAAACAAAAAGAGGCTCTTAAGGTCAGCTAGAGACAGAAGAGGGGTTATCCATACAGGCAAAACAATTAGACTGTGACCAACTTATCAGAAACAACAATGAAAGCCAGAAAAACAGTGGAATGGTACCGTCAAGATGTTCAGAAAACCGGGAATTGTATACTCTATGAAAATAATTTTCCAGAAAAAAAGGATGAAAACAAATTTCTAACAAATACATATTCAATGAGTTTGACATCTAAAAAAAATACCTCAGGCAGGAGGAAAGTCATCCCAGATGGGGAAATTTGGGATGCAATAAAGATTTTTTAGAGGTGGTAAATAATAAGCAAACTTAAGCAAAAGTTGACAATAAGACAAGAATGATAAAATTTGTAAGGTTAAAAAGTAGAACTAAAAAGAGGGCAGTAAGAACATTGAGAAGTAGTTACCAGAGATAGCGTTCTATGGTTTACATGGTTATCTAGTTGAAAATGAGTATATAACTCTATGGTTAGATAGTTTAAGAAGCTGATATATTAACTATAGGCTTTGATAAAAGTTAGCATATGTGTTTACTTTATTGGGATAATCGCTAAATGAATAGAAATAAAGTATGTAATATCTAAATTAGTAGAGGAAAAAATGGAAAGAGAAAAATACCTAACATAAATGTGTAAAGAAATAATAAAAAGCAACTTTAAAAGCAAGAAAAATAAGCATAAATAATACAGTAGAAATAAACCCAAATATATCAGCAACATGAATTAAATATACCAATCTAAAAATTGTCAAGTTGGATTTTAAAAAATTCTTAATTGTATGATGTTTATAAGACACCTTTTAGCATAGGGATACCAAAAAGTTAAAAGTTAAAAGAAGGGATTGAAAATGAAACTCTCTGCAAAACCAAAAGTAAGCAGGGAAAACGTAGCAATATCCAGTAAAATGGACCTTACAGCAAAAATAAAGAGAGAAACTTGAGATAAAGAGGACAACTCATTATGCTAAATGTTCATAATGTCAATTAACCAGGAAGATATCATATTTAAAAAATTGGATACATTTAATACTATATCCTCAAAATATATAAAATAAAACCATAAAATTGCAAGAAGATATAAATAAATTCATCATCATAGTTGAAGAAACAATGTACTGTTCTGAGTAATTAATAGATTAATAGATTAAACAGACCAAAAAGAAGACTATGGAAAATTAGAATAGCGTAAATAAGAAGCTGTTCCCAATGGGTATATGTAGAACATTATACTCAGCAAATGGGAAATGTGTAATCTTTTCAATCATATATACTCAAAGTATCAAAGGAAACCAGACATTTGTTCATAAAACTAGTTCATCAAATTCTAAAGATTAGTAGGATATAGGACATATTCTCTGGGCACAGTAGAATTAAGTAAGCAGTTAAAAACCAGAAAATCCTCATGAGTTTTTAAGGTAAGAAACATGTTCTATATATTATCCAGATAAGACAAGAAATTTTAAGAAAAATTAGAGAAACTTAGAAGTAAAGAGTAATAAAAATACAACACAAAATTTTGGTAGTCTAAAGGGAAATTATTGGCATTAAACTATTTATATTGGGGGGAAAGGAAAAATATTAATAGGTAACTAATCAACTCAGGAAGTTAGAAAAAAACAATAGAATGAAATCAAAGAAAGCAGAAGGAAATAAATGGTAAGAATAAGAGCAGAAATTTAATGAAATTGTCACTCATTTGTGGGAGCTAAAAACTAAAAATTGAACTCATGGAGATGGAGAGTAGAATGATCATTAACAGAGGCTGGGAAAGGTAGTGGTGGGGAGAGTGGAGATGGTTAATGGGTATAAAGATACAGTTAGATAGACTGAATAAGATCTAGTATTTTATAGCACCACAGGGTGATTATGGTCAATAATAATTTATAGTACACTTTGAAATAACTAAAAGAGTATAATTTAAATGTTTGTAACACAAAGAAATGATAAATGCTTGAGGTGATGGATACCCCCATTTACCCTGATGTGGTTATTATGCACTGTATGCCCATATCAAAATATCTCACATATCCTATAAATATATACACATACTATGTATCCATAAAAAGTAAAAATAGTTTTTAAAAGATTTTTAAAAATTTAATAAAATTAAAAACAAATATACAGTAGAGAGGACTAATAAAAGCTACCTAAAGGAGAAACAATCAGGAAAAAAAGAGGAAGATACAATGTGTGAAAATAAAAAAAAAAAAAAAAGAATGAATAAGGGGGCCGGGCGCGGTGGCTCACGCCTGCAATCCCAGCACTTTGGTAGGCCGAGGTGGGCGGATCACGAGGTCAGGAGATCGAGACCATCCTGGCTAACACGTGAAACTCCGTCTCTACTAAAAATACAAAAAATTAGCCGGGCGTGGTGAGCCTGTAGTCCCAGCTACTTGGGAGGCTGAGGCAGGAGAATGGCGTGAACCCGGGAGGCAGAGCTTGCAGTGAGCCGAGATTGCGCCACTGCACTCCAGCCTGGGCAACAGAGTGAGACTCCGTCTTAAAAAAACAAACAAACAAAAAAAGAATTAATGAGGGAACAAAATTATAGTTTCCTCAAAGATTTAAATAATAAGAGACCATTACGAAAATCTTCTCTACTAATTAATTTGGAAATTTATTTAAAGTGGAAAAGCTTTAAGGGAAATATAATCTCCCTGACTCAAAAGAAAGGGATACTGAGTAATCCAACAAAATCAAAGAAATGGAATCAGTAATGAAAATCTTTCCACAAAGAAAACACAGACCAGATAGTTTTACTGGAAAGTTCTATTAAACATTGTAACGAACATAAATCCAATCTTATGCAAATTATTCCAGAGTAAGAAAAAGCAGGAACATTCATCAACTCATTTTATGAAGCTAACATAAATTTATACTAAGACCTAAAAATGGGGAATTGTAGGCTAACCTCATTCAGAAACAGAGGTAAAAATCCTAAATAAAATAATAAATCTAGCAATATAAAAAGATAATACATTATGATTAAGTTGGTTTTATTCTAGAAATTTAAGGTTGCTTTGTCATTGAATTAATTAATGTAATTCACCATATTAACAAATTAAAGAGAAAAGTATATGATTATCTCAAAATATTTTATAAAATATTTTATAAAATTTGCAATAAAAATTCTTAGCAAATTAGAAAAAGAAGTTTCTCAACCTAAAAAAGGATATCTATGAAAGTTCTACAGACACTACCACACTTAATGTCAAACTAAAAGCTTTCCTTTTTTTATCAGAAATAAGAGAAAGGGGCCTAAATAGCATTGATTTTATTAAAATTATACTGAAGGTTATATAAGCTGTGATAAAGTAAGTAATATATAAAAGATGAAAAGGATGAAACAACACTCTTTTTCTTTGCAAATGGTATGACTGTCTAGTAGAAGACCCAGAAGAATCTACAGATAAATAGGAAAAACTAGATTAGACATAGATTTTGGTAGATACAAAAATCAATCTACAAAAAAACACATTTTTATTAATGAGAAGAAAATGTTAAAATATAACTTACAATAAAATCAGAAAACAGAAATAAATGAATACAACTTGATTCAAAGACAGGGAGAAATATACCGAGTTTATGTGTAGGAAGACTCAAGGTTTCAAAGATGTCATTTCGCTTTGAATTGATTTGCAAATTCTGATTTCTAGAAATTCAGACAAAAAATTCCAACTATTTTTTCCTGTAGAATTTATCAAACTGTTTTTTAAAATCATATGGAAGAACAAATGTCCAGAATACTCAAGATGCTCCTGAAGAGAAGACTAAGTAAGGTGAAAAGACTTGCCCTACCAAAGGTTCTAGAATTTTTTTAAAGTTATAGCAATCAGGAAGTATGGTATTGACACAGCATTGGACAAATAGATCAATGGTACAGAATAGAGAGCCCAGAAAAAAAAAGAATAACACATTTGGAAACTTGATTAGTTATAAAACTTGTATTACAGTTAAGTGGAAAAATGATGGACTTTTCAATATATGGTGCTGTGACAAATCACATGAAACAAAATTAAATTGAACCATTCTTCATACACACCTAAAAAATTGCAAATATACTAATGGGTGAAAAATCTTTCAGAAGAAAATATAGGAGAAATCTCCCTGACCTCAGAATAGGGAAATATTTTTCAAAATTAGACAAATGCCACTAACCAAAATAAAGAGATTCAACTGTACGAAAATTAAGGTGCTATGTTCATCAAAATGCACAAAAAATAAAGTGAAATAATAAGCCACAAAGTAAGAAAGGATATTAGTAACACATATGACTGACAAAGGATTAATAGTACAAACCACATAGGAACTAGAAATTCATAAGAAAGACAAAAACATAATATTAATATAAAAATAGATTTGAAGAGGTACCACATAAAAATGGAAATAGACATGACCAATAGACATTTGAAAAGATGCTCAAACTTCTTAGTAGTTAGAAAATCCAAAATCACAATACATCCAAGTGCTACTTGTCAGATTTGCAGAATATAAAACATCTAACAATGTCAAAGATTTGTAAGAATCTGGAGCTTCAGGAACTCTTATGCCCTGCAGCTGGGAGCCCAAAGTGGTAAAATCATTTTGGAAAACTATTTTGCATTATCTAATAAAATTTAAAATGTGCACACTGTGGAACACTCTTCCTCTGATATCCACATGACTTCTGCCTCATCTCCTTCAAGTTTTTGTTCACATGTCACGTGCTCACCACGTTACTCTTTCTGACCACCCTATGTAACATTAGAAACTGCCCAGACACTTCCTATTTCCTCCCAACTTCATTTTTCTCCATAAAACTTATCACTTTCCAACAGATATAATTTATATATTTATTTTGCCTGTTTCCCTTTACTAGTACATAAGCACATGAAGTCAGAGACTCCTGCCTGTTCTTTTTATGTATGTGTGCTTAGAGTATAAAATATTGCCTGACACAGAAAAAAACTTGTTGAATTAAATACCTTATGGTCCAGCAATTCTGCTCAACATGTACATCACGGAATAACACAAAACAGGAGACATGCACAAGAATGCTTGTAGCAGTATAACTTGTAATGGGAAAAAACAAAAACACAACACAACAAAACATTTTTTTAAAAAAAGTCCTTAGCTGTACATCAACAAAAGATTGAATAATTCATTGTGGAATATTCACATAAAGGAATATTATATAGCAATTAAAATAGATGATATATAACATGAATTCGAAAACCTAACATTGAGCCAAAAAAGAAGTCTCACAAAAATACAAACAGCATGAATCCATTTATTTAAATTATGAAAACTTGCAAAACTAAGTAATACATTATTTAAAGCTACGAAAAACGTAAAGATGAACAGGGAGTTATAAGTAAGCAATTCAGTGACGTTTACTCTTGAATGAAAAGGAATGCCCATAGGTGGTGTTGGTCTTCATTCTAGTGGTAGTCTTCTACTTTACACTCTACATATGCATGCAATTGAAGCAATGAGTTCATCAGAGCCTGTAAGTTCCTACTGGGCTTGATTGTGCTGAAGTATTTAAAAAGTAGATTTCACCCACAGGTTTTAATGTGTCTGGGTGTAGACTTACTTCTGAACTATGTAAATATTCCTTGTTGAATTGAGCAGCCTTTAAGAAGTAGGGTGGCCACAAGGTTATTTGCTTCGTTGGGGTTCCCACAATCTCTATTATCTCTAGACTCCCACAGACCGCTGCACTTTGGGATGGAGAGCCTGAATAATTCAAGTCCGAGTTCTGATGATACTAACCAGTTGCTGTCATGTTGGCAAGAGACACTTTATACAAAGGAGATTTACTAAATTTTACAGTGATCCTACTATGAGATAGTATTATTATGTCCATTTTACAGATAAGAAAACTGAGACAGAGAAATTGAGAATCTTGCTCAATATCCATAGCTGATAAATTTTAGAACTAAGATTCGTGCCTAGGTCCGCCTGACTCCAGACGTTTTTCTTTCCTGTCAGTCAGTCTCCTCTTAGCTCCCAGAGCTTCTGCTGTTCCAGCTAATTTGTTCCCTCTGTATCTCTCAGTAATTTTCCACATATAAAGTATTTTACAAATTTGACCCAAAGGAAGAAATTGGGTAGAGAGGAAATTCACTGTTTCTGCAGGAAAAAGGGCTGCAGCACACACCCATCTGTTGTTTACCGAGGCTGAGAAGGCTGAATGGTTCCCAGTAAGCAGTGTCTGCCTTCTGCATTTTGCTTCTTTGGAAGATGTTTCTTGTCCTGCCCCTCACCACCCACTCGCTTCTGTCTGGTTCCTCTTTTGCTGGCCCTCTTCCCATAGCAGTTAATGTTTGCCCTGCAAGTGCCAGAGCATTCATCCTTTCTTCCTTGAATGATGTGCCCATTTGCATATCATGCAAACAGCCCAGCTGCTGAAGTCCCAGATAGGGTAAATAACGGTCACAGTGTTTGTGCTGATTCCTCCTGGGGCCTTCTGGAACCTGCTGCACAGCTCCAGGGGAGAAAAATCGTTTTGTTGGAATCTCTGCTCTGATCTTGTGACATCATGAATGAATACTTGTGCTAAAAATGCACACGTAACCCTTTCCATGTAAATATGTGCTTTTGAGCCTAATGACGTAGGAAGGTTTGTAGATGGAGACAAAATGCCCACTATTATTTTTGCTTTGTCTAACTTATTTGATTTTTACTTTGGAATATGTTTTCTAAGTATACATTCATTTTAAAAATTCAGTAAAAACAATAATTTAACATAATTCCACAAACATTTAAATATTGTTTTCAAATGTAATCAGTTATACTCTTTATGCATCTAATATATCAATTTTATAGTAACAACACATGGCAATGAAAAAAGAACTTAACACCTGGCAATGAAAAAAGAATCAGTAAACCTATACTGAAACAGATTACAAAGTTTCTACCACCATTGATTTGTTTTTTACTTTCTTTATTATCCTTTCAATTAAGTTTTTTCTCTCTTATTTCTTCCCAGGAGTACAACTTACACACCAAACCTCGAGTGAGAGTAGTCATTTCTGGACCAGCTGAAGCTGTAGATTATCTAGTGGGATACACTCCTGGTTACAACTACACTTTTTCTGTTACCGTAGAACCATTCAATTTGTTGGCTTTGAACTCAATACGTTTTGTTTTTTGTGATCCCAATCAGTGCTCACAAATGATGCTTATTTTGAATCTCATTTTTGTAATATAGTCTGTCTTTTTTGAATTTTTTTCATTTATCAATTAAGATGTACAGTCTCTTAATATTCATTTTTATATGAATGCATAAATATTTCTATTTTAGGTCATGTATACTTTTAAATATATTTATATATTATATATAATTATATATATTATACGTATTTATAATTCATTTAACAAGCTTCTAAAAATCTGATCATTAGTCATTTAGGGTCAGCCTAGGTGAAGCTCTGATAAAAAAAAATCAACGATCAGATTGTAGAAGCTGCCAAATCTCCAGAGAGCCTAATGAAAATATCTAATTATTTTACATTTTAATGTTCTGGTTTATATAAATGTCATTGCCCTAGAATGATTTTACCAACAACTGTTTTGAATTCCAAGACTTGAAGTATAGGAATTTCAGGTAGAAAGACTGAAAGTTAAGTCACAAATTTATATGTTTATTCCAGCTCATTCGTTTCTTTAATTAATGCTTACTGTATCCCTATGCTGGGCACTGTGGAGCCCGTAGAAATCAGACTAGCTACCTACACTGCAGCACACAGCCTTGCTAACACCTCTGAGAAACACGCTAAAATGAGTGCACATGTTGGCCAGCAAACCCACATACGCAAGGAAAATACCTTTCTTTTTTCTTACTTTACAACTTAGTTTTTGACTCTACTCTAATGTTAGTATGTCCTCCTTGGTCATCGTTTCTATCTAAGTTCATTCTTGTGGTGATCTCATCAAGCCCAATGGCCTTACATACCATCCATATGTTGTTGGCTCCCAAATGTGTCTATTCAGTCCTGACCTATCCCCTTGGATTCCAGATCCATGTGTTCAACTGCCTGATTGAAATCTCCACCTGGATGTCTAACAGGCATCTCACACCGGGCTTGCACATAACAGATTCCTGTTCATCCCTTCCAAACCGCCTCCCCCTATACACGTCATCTCAACTAACATCAACCTCATTTTAGTTGTTCAAGATAAAATCCTCAGTGTCATCCCTAACTTCTCTTTTTCTCCCACCCCACATCTGATCTGTCAGCAAATTCTCTTGGTTCGATCTGTAAAAAAGATCCAACATTCATCTACTTCTTACCACCTCCACTGCCACCAACCTGCACAAGTAAGTCATCATGATCTCTCACGTGGTTTTATTGCAAATAATCTTCTAACTAGTCTCTCTGCTTCTGCCATCCCCCTTCACATCCAGTTCTCCCTGTCTTAGTCCCTTCCTGCTGCTATCACAAAATGCCTTCGATTGGGTACTTTATAAATAATAGATATTTGTTTCTTACAGTTCTGGAGGCTGGGAAGTCCAAGATCAAAGTGCCAGGAGATTTGGTTCTGGTGAGGGCTCACTTTCTGCTCCATAGATTTCTTTGTCATCAATGGTAGAAGGGTGGAAGGATAAAGAGCAGAAAGGATGAAATCGCTTCCTCAAGCCCTTTTATAAGGACTCTAATGCCATCTATAAGGGCAGAGCCCTCATGGCTTAATCACTTCCTGACAGCCCCACCTCTTTTTTAATATATTTTTAATTTTATTTTATCTTATTTTTTTAACTTTAAATTTTTATTTTTTATTTTACTTTAAGTTCTAGGATACACGTGCAGAATGTGAGGTTTGTTACATAGGAATACATGTGCCATGGTGGTTTGCTGCACCTATCAACCCATCATCTAGCTTTCAAGCCTTGCAGGCATTAGGTATTTGTCCTAATGCTTTCCCTCCCCTTGTCCCCCACCCCTCAAGAGGCCCCAGTGTGTGTTGTTCCCCTCCCTGAGCCCAGGTATTCTCATTGTTCAACTCCCACTTATGAGTGAGAACATGCGGTGTTTGGTTTTCTGTTCCTGTGTTAGTTTGCTGAGAATGATGGCTTCCAGCTTCATCCATGTCCCTGCAAAGGACACGATCTCATTCTTTTTTATAGCTGCATAGTATTTCATGGTGTTTATGTACCACATTTTCTTTATCCAGTCTACCATTGATGGGCATTTGGGTTGGTTCCAAGTCTTTACTATTGTAAATAGTGCTGCAATAAACATACATGTGCATGTGTCTTTATAGTGTAATGATTTATATTCCTTTGAGTATATATCTAGTAATGGGACTGCTAGGTCAAATGGTATTTCTGGTTCTAGATCTTTGAGGATCACCACACTGTCTTCCACAATGGTTGAACTAATTTACATTCCCACCAACGTGTAAAACTATTCCTATTTCTCCACAGCATCACCAGCATCTATTGTTTCTTGACTTTTTAATAATCGTCATTCTGACTGGCCTGACGTGGTATCTCATTGTGGTTTTGATTTACATTTCTCTAATGATCAGTGATGATGGGCTTTTTCCATATGTTTCTTGGCCACATAAATGTCTTCTTTTGAGAAGTGTCTGTTCATATCCTTTGCCCACTTTTTGATGGGATTGTTTTTTGTTGTAAATTTGTTTAAGTTCCTTGTACATTCTGGATATTAGACCTTTGTCAAATGAGTAGATTACTCCACCTCTTAATACCATCACCTTGAGGTTTAATTTCCAACATATGAATTTTGAATAACACCCATATTCAAGCCATAGCACTCCACCTTCCACCCTTGCCAATTCTCCTGTCAATTCTCAAAACAGAGTGTTACTGTTACAGTGTAAGTCAAATGATGTTATACCTCTACTTGAAAGCTTGTAACTTCTCCACTCAAAATTCTGTAGTTCATTTAGAGTAAAACTCAAAACTTTATTTATTGTTTGTTTGTTTTGAGACAAAGACTCACTTTGTTGCCTGAGCTGGAATGCAGTGGCCCAATCAGAGCTCACTGCAGCCTTGATCTCCTGGGCTCAAGTGATCCTCCTACCTCAGCTGGAACCACCGGTGTGTGCAATCACACTTGGCTAAATTTTTTTTTATAGAGATGAGATCTCCCTGTGTTGCCCAGGCTGGTCTCAAACTCCTGGGCTCAAGTGATGCAGGAGGCCTGACTAGGCCTCCCAAAGTATTGGGATTACAGGTATGAGCCACCACACCCGGCTCCAAAACCTCTTTCTGATGGCCTAGAAAACTACCTCATCTCTCCCTACCACACCAGCCTCCTGATGATTCTTTTAACACCCAGGCACAATCCTGCCCCAGGAAATTTGCTCTTTCCATGACTGCTTCCTGAAATACTCTTCCCCCAGGCATCCATATTGCTAGGTCCACTTTCTTTAGGTATTTGCTCATAAGTCATTTTCTCAGTGGAATCTTCCCAGGAAATGCTAATAAGATTTCAATCTCCATTTTTAATATTCGTCTTCCATGCTTACTTTTTTTCTCCCTCAGCATTTATCACTAACATTTTAAAGATTTTACAGTTTATTTTGCTTGTAATCCATCTCCTCCACTAGAAGCAGTGATTTTGTCTGTTTTGTTCATTCCTGCTCCTGTTACCTGGAACAGTGTCTGGAACCCAGTTGGTCCTCAATAAATATTTGTTGAGGGAAAGAAAGAATGAATACCAAAAGAGTAATTGATGTCATTTGTACCATTGTGTCATTGTCATTTTGGTGACTGCAGCTATTTAATAGAAGATCTTTCTCCCATTAACTGGTTTCATCAAGCACCATGTCTCATTTACCCTCATTCAATTTTACTAATCTTTCTGATCCTGGGTGATACCTCATCTAGATCTTTCTGTATCAGTTTGTAGAATCCCATCTCCAGCAATTGGCAAAACGATGTGAGTGACAAGTTCCAGTGCAGCCAGTTCAGGGCAGATCCAAGATTCCTTCATGTTCTATCTGAAGAAGCAGAGAGAGGGAGGGAGAGCTAACGGACATGTGAGAGAGCAGCTCGAGTCACTTCGCTGTTGTTCTAAGGCAAGATTGATATTTCTATTTGCACAGATTTTAGCAGAAACACCTGAATTTTGTCTCTTTTAGTCATAATTTCTCAGACACAGCAAGGAGAGGGTGGCTTTTAGCACTTTGGTTTTGCAGGTTATTTCCATTAAATTGGTCCTCAATTCTCTGTAACTATTGCTAAATTCTTAAAATGGGGTGGGGTGGTTTTTTTGAAGAATGAGTGTTACTTTAAAACATCATGTTACTTTAAAACTTTAGGACCTCTATCCTAAGGCAGTAATGACCAAAGATCCATAAATGGGGGTATTAATCACAACTGTATTTGTCATAGTGAAAATTAAAAGGCTAATTGATTATAATAGGAAAATGTTAATTAGAATCTTTTACAGCAATTACAGCAATTAAAATGGGTTTTTTGCAGAACTCTTGATGGCAGAGTGCTTAGAAAATTTCTTAAAATTTGGTTTCTCTTCCTGGCACTGATGAGGAAAGGAGAGCACATCTTAACCTGCTTACGAACTGCAAGTGCTTTGAGAAAAAAGGCAAAACAATAGTCTTTAACTGGTCAGGAAGACCTCACCATGAGGACGGTTTGGTTCCCATGTTTATTGAATATTGTCCCTTACAAGAAAGAAGTTGATTGATTAATAAGATCTCTGTTTGGAAGAACAAAGTCTTAGACATGAAGGAGCCAGTAAGAAATGTGCTCCATTTCTGATCCATGGATCAGAGAGGAGGGTGGAGGTAACCCTACAAGTACATGCCCATATAATTTGTTGTCAAAAATGGAGCACTTCTGTGAGTGAAACAAGGTGTTATTAATAACATCCCTCAGAAAAACACTTATGGACTGGGACTGAACAAGCAAACCAACATGAATGGTCACTGCTATAGGTGGAATGTTTGTGTTCTTCTCAAATTCATACAGTGAAATCCTAACCCCCAAGTTATTAGTACTACAAGGTAGGGCCTTTGGGAGGTTATTAAGTCATAAGGGCAGAATTCTCATGATTGGGATTGGTGCCTATATCAAACAGACCCCAAAGAGCCAGCTCCACCCTTTCACCATCTAAGGACGCAACCAGAAGGCACCTTCTATGAACGAGAAAGTAAGCCCTCACAAGTCACAAATCTGCTGGTGCTTTGATCTTGGACTTTCCAGCCTCTAGAACTGCAAGAAATATATTTTTGTTATTTATAATCCTCCAGGTTCATGGTAATTTGCTATAGCAATCTGGATGGACTAAGAATGTCACCCAGAGAGATGATTTTGCTCAGAGAAGCCCTGGAAGGTCTCAGGAGTCTGGTTTCAAGGAACATTATCTCTGGCCCGCCTATCTTCGTGGAGAATATCTGGATCACTAGAGAATTCGGCCTCAGGCCACAGGTTCAATACTGAGGAGAGCTGGGTGGTTGGAAACACTTCCTTGCTTACCCAGTGCACTCAATTTTTCTGTTTCTAAGGTGGCTGCATTTGATCCACACAACTGACAGGGTTAGGGAAGTTAGATTAAACTGTTTTTCCTCTGTTCAGAAATCACTTGAACACCTGAAAACACGTCTATTAAATCAGTGTTTCTCAAACTTGTTTGAGCACAAAAATCATAGCGGTGTGTGTGTGTGTGTGTGTGTGTGTGTGTGTAGGTAGGGGTGCTATTAAAAATGCCAATTGTTGGGCCTACCTCAGACTTTCTGAGTTGATTCTCTGAAGGAGAATTCTGAAAGATCCATATTTTAAACATGTTCTTCAGGTTATTTTATTCTGTAGGCAAGTTTGAGAAATGCTATATCATATTAAGTTTTTAAAAAGTAGGTTGGGGAGCAGATAATCAAGTATTTATATATATATATATATACACACACACACACCCACACACACACATACACATATATATACAAATATATGCATATATACATGTATATATGTGTGTGTGTATATATATATAAATACATATATATATATATATATATATTTTTTTTTTTTTTTTTCTTTTTGAGATGTGGTCTCACTCTGTCACCCAGGCTGGAGTGCAGTGGTGCGATCTTGGCTCACTGCAACCTCAACCTCTCGAGTTCAAGTGTTTCTCCTGCCTCAGCCTCCTGAGTAGCTGGGATTACAGGCATGTGCCACCACACCCAGCTAGTTTGTGTATTTTTGGTAAAGACGGGGTTTCACCATGTTGGTCAGGCTGGTCTCGAACTCCTGATCTCGTGATCTGCCCACCTCAGCCCCTCAAAGTGCTGGGATTACAGGCATGAGCCACCGCGCCTGGCTCAAATATACATATATATATATATATATATATATATATATATATATATATATATATATTTTTTTTTTTTTTTTTTTTATATGTGCATATACATGGACCAGGAGGAAGTGTTAACATTAACAGGGTGATAATCTCTGATATGTTCTACCCACTTGTTTGTACTTTCTACAATGTTTACAGTGAGTTACATCAGACACAAAAAAAACATTATTTTAAAATTATCAAACCATTTCTTAAATGTAATTATAAGCCTGGTTTATTCTTTTTCCTTTGTATATGAGTGAAATACTCTGTATTATATGGAGTAAGGTTGTTCCTCTGAGATTTCTCATACTCGATGACTTTCATGCAGCTGTGCAGGTTGTGCACTGCACAACTCCAGGTGGTGTCAATTACACTGTGTTCTATTGGATGGAACCTTCTAATGTTGTGCAGTGTGTACCTCTGCCTCATTACCTGAAAAGTCATTTATCTTGGATTGATTCTTGAATTAGAGATTATATGTAGAAAAGCAAGGCATTTGTCAAGGCTTATGAATATTTAGCTACAGGCATACCTCAGAGATATTCAGGGTTCAGTTCCTGACCACCACCATAAAAAAAATCACAATAAAGTGAGTTACACTAATTTTTTTTTGTTTCCCAGTGCACATAAAAGTTATATCTGCACTATTATCTATTAACTATGCAATAGAATTATGTCTTAAAAATGTAAATACCTTAATTAAAAATAGCTTTTTTTTGCTAAAATGTGCTTACAATCATCTGAGCCATCAAAGAGTCATACTTTCTTTTGTTGACCCAGGGTCTTGACTTGATAGCTGCTGAAAGTTGGAGTGGCTGCAGCAATTTCTTAAAATAAGACAGCAATGAAGTTTGCCATATTGATTGACTCTTCCTTTCACAAAAAATTTCTCTGTTAGATGTGATGCTGTTTGATAGCATTTTACCCACAGTAAAACTTCAAAATGGGGCTAAGACCTCTCAAAGCCTGCCTCTGCCTTATCAGCTAAGTTTATGTAATATTCTAAATCCTTTACTGTCATTTCAACAATGTTCACAGCATTTTTACCAGGAATAGATCTCATCTCAAGAAACCACTTTTTTTGTTCATCTGCAAGAAGCAACTCCTTGTGTTAAAGTTTTATTATTAGATTGCAGCAATTCAGTCATATATTCAGGCTCCACTTCTCATCCTAGTTCTCTTGCTGTTTCCACAGCATCTGCAGTGACTTCCTCCACTGGAGTCTCGAGCCCCTCAAAGTCGTTCATGAGGGTGAGAACAAACTTCTTTCAAACTCCCGTTAATGTTGATATTTTGACCTCCTCTCATGTTCTTAACAGCATCTAGAATGTTCTTAATAGCATCTAGAATGGCAACACCTTTCCAGAAGGTTTTAAATTTACTTCACCCAGATCCATTGGAAGAATTCCTATCGATAACACTTATAGTCTTTTGAAATGTATTTCTTAAAGAATAAGACTTGAAAGTCAAAATTATTCCTTGATCTGCATGGATGCAAAATGAATGTTATGTTAGTAGGCATAAAAATAATGTTAACATCCTGTATATGTTCATCAAAGCTCTCAGGTGTATTGTCAATGAGCAGTAACATTTTTATTTTTTATTTTTTTTCCTGAGCAGTAGGTCTCAACAGTGGGCTTAAAATATTCAGTAAACCATGTTATAAACAGATGTGCTGTCATCCAGGCTTTGTTGTTTCATTTATAGAGCCCAGGCAGGGTAGATTTAGCATAATTCTTAAATACTCTAGGATTTTTTAAATGGTAAATGAGCACTGGCTTCAACTTAAAGTCACCAACTGCATTAGCCCGTAATAAGAGAGTCAGCCTGTGCTTTGAAACTTTGAAACCAAGCATTGACTTTTCTTTAGCTATGAAAGGTCCTAGATGGCATCTTCCTCCAATATAAGGCTGTTTAATATACATTAAAAATCTGTTGTTTAGTGTAGCCACTTTTATCAATTATCTTAGCTAGATCTGGATAACTTGCTGTAGCTTCTACATGAGGACTTGCTGCTTCACTTTGCATTTTTATGTTATGGAGATGGCTTCTTTCCTACTTCTGTTGGCTTCTAACTTTTCTTCTGTAGCTTCCTCACCTGTCTGAGCCTTTATAGAATTGAAGAGAGTTAGGCCTCGGTCTGGATTAGGCTTTGGCTTAAGGGAATGTTGTGGCTGGTTTGCTCATCTATTCAGATCATTAAAACTTTTTCCATATCTGTAAGAAGGCTGTTTCACTTTCATCATTTGTGTGTTCACTGGAACAGCACTTTTAATTTCCTTCAGGAACTTTTCCTTAGCATTCACAACTTGGCTGTTTGGCACCAGAAACCTATCTTTTGGCCGATTTTGGTTTTGATATGCCTTCCTTACTACATTTAATAATTTCTAGCTTTTGATTAAAAATGAGAGACATGCAACTCCTCCTTTCACTTGAACACTTAGAGGCCATTGTAGGGTCATTAATTGTCCTTGTTTAAATATTGTTGGGTCTCAGGGAATAAGGATGCCTAAGGAGAGGGAGAGAGATGAGAGATGGGGGAGCAGCCGGTGAGTGGAACAGTCAGACCACACATAACATTTCTCAATTAAATTTGCCATCTTATCTGGGCTTGGTAGGTGGTGCCTGAAAACAATTACAATAGTAACATCAAAGACCACTGATAATAGATCATAATAAAGGATATAATAATAATAATGGAAAACTTTGAAATATTGTGAGAAATACCAAAATGTGATACAGAGGCACACAGTGAGCACATGCTGTTCCGAAAATGGTGCCAGTAGACTTGATTGACACAGGGTTTCCACAAACCTTCAATTTGTAAAAAATGCATTACCTGCAAAATGTAGTAAAATAAAGCACAGTAAAATGAGGAACACCTTTACTCTTACATGAGTAATTAGTAAAGATATTACTAATGTGAAAGAGTCTTAATAATTATATAGGGAAGATTCTTTTACACCCTAGTTATTTTAATAACAGAATTTGTTAAAGCAAATGTCTTGCTGCCAACCATATTTTCAAGCTGCCCGGGGCCTAGGGGAAAAATGAGGTTGATATTAAAAAAGTACTTTAGCCCCATCAGTTAAATCGTCACCATATTCACCACAACCCTTTACTTCTCATGAATGTACTGTGTGATTTTGGTTTTGTTCATTTCAGCATATGCAGTGTTGCTTTTTTCGTACTCTCAAAAGAGCACCCAGCTAATTCCAAAAAGCAAGCCTTATGGTCACAGGTCAGCTGCATACCTCACCTCTCAGAGCGCAAAGCCCCATTGCCTTCTTAGTCACTGGAAGGTTAAAGATTTTATATTAGAGAGTGAATGTGACATGAAGAAGTGACCAGACAAAGCTCTGTTGCACAGGATTATTTATTTTTTCTATATAATTGGTAGAAGTAAGATTTTAAAATAACATATTATTGATATAGGCCATTGGCTGAAACAGAAATGCCTTTTGCGCAGAATACTTCTCTGTGGTGTATTTGTTGTCGAAGCATCTTTGTTACCTGTCTATCAGGGAAAAGTTTTTTCTCTGTTGTCCTCATATTTCTAAAGAGCAAGATGATTAAGTTCAAGTGCATGTGCATTTGTGTTGGTGGTGGTGTTGGTGGTGGTACTGATGGTGATATGGAGAGTGTTGCTGCCGCCTCAGTTTAGTCACCTTTATAATGGGCCTAGGAATACGAGAAGACTGATGAGGTTGATTCATCAAATTTTGGAGTCTGAGTGAAAAAATTAAATGAAGAGGGTTTTAGTTGTTTGCTCATCTGACAAACAGGCATTGGAAAAAGGTGAATATCACCTTGGTCTCAGACCGGAAGACGGCACCATAATCTCAATCCCTAGGCTTAATTATAACTCCATACTCACTGGCCCTCTGTTTTACCGCACTGAGCACTATTTTTTCCTTTGTAATGTGGTCATCGTATTTTCCTTCACAGAATTAATAAGAGGATTACATGAGATAATTAGTCTAAAAAATGCTCTGTAATACAAGGTAGTAATAATAATTCTTGCTGTAATCTATGGAATGCCTAATATATGTTGGGCATTGAACTGAGTGCTTTAAATACATTGTCTTAAATCTTCAAATTCTCTTGTTAAGGTAGGTATTACTAACTCTTTTACAGAGAAGGGAACAGGTTTAGAGAGGTTAAGTGACTTGTCCAAGCTCATAAAGCCTGGTAAATGTCTGAACAAGGGTTCATATTCAGGTCTGTTTGACTCCCAAGCCTATTTGGCATTTGAACTGTTTTTTGATATATTTCCTTGCTTTCATTAATCATTGAAGGCTCTCTTTGGACATGAACCATCAATAATAATGATGATGCTAGTAATAAATTAAAATACGTATTGGCTGGTTACTATGTGATGTGCCAGGCACTTTACATGTCCTGGGCACTTTACATGTAACAATCCATTTAATCCTTATAACTGTATGTGGTAGGTGCTGTTATTGTCTTCATTTTATAGATGAGAAAATTGAGGTACAGAGAGGTTAACTAACTTGTCCACCCCAGTAAGTGGCCAAGCTAAAATTCAAACCTAGACAGTCAAGTGATTAAATTATTTAGAAGATAAATAAACTATTGGAAAGCAACAAGGGACTTCCTGACTTTTCGTTAATAGAATGCATAATGTAAGGTTTCCCTAATAGGTACAATTTACAAAGAGATGAATATACAGTATGCCTTTATGTCCCAAAGCCTTGACAAAATTGTTTCTATTTGGAGAATATTTTGTCTCTCATGAAGTGAAGTTCAAAAATAAGCCACATCTATGCGCATATGTATTCATTTAACTCTGTAAAAATTACTTTCCTGAAGATCATATAAATTCTTAGTCACATAAATGGTACATTGACAAAATGTCTCCTTTTATTTTGGTCTCAACCCAGGAAGCTATACAAATAAGGGTTTCTTATTTTTCTTATTAATTTTCCAAAAGAGTTTAAGATTTGGAGGCTTGTTGAAACAAATCTTTTTAGCAAGATTAATTTTAAAGTTAGACATTATGAGTATCAAATTAAGCTGTCAGCCTGTGAAATGATACAGAGAAAGATGTGTTACAACAATCCCCTCCTCTCCAACCTCTGTAGAGATGGGTAAGTCTGAACAGGAAAACCAGAGGCCAGGAATCACATTTTAGTAATTCTTTTCTAGTTATGTCAGATTTCTAGCATGCTATTAGAGACACATGTGTCATCTTCACCATCAACCAACATATCATTGCTGTTTCAAACTGTTACTAGAGCTGTTGACACAGAATATTGTGTCTGTCGACAGCTCCAATTAGCTGGCGTGTCTGACTGGTGACAGCACGGTCTACTTTTGTTTACAGGGATGGTGGGAGCTGTATCTCCGTCTCCCAACCTCCAGTGGCAGACAGATGGATAGAGCTATATAATCATCAGTGGAAGTGTGTGATATTCTGTCTTCACAAACCATCGTGCAAAGCAGAACCAACGGCCTTTTGTCTGCTTTTAGAAATGTCTGCAAGAATCCCTCCCACCTGTCAAGTTATGGGGATGAATATGTATAAAATGCATCATGTATGTGTACCTGTAGAAAACACTGGATTGGGATGTGCAGAGGAAATAAAGCAAACAGTTTTTTAAAAAGCCAATGTGATATTTAATTTGTATTGTGGCAACATTAAATATATGTTTGCCTCAGCACTGCTTCTAAAAACATCTTTTATTGAAATTTTTTTAAAAAAATCAACCAATTAATGTTTTATTATTATTTACCAGTAAAATTACTAGTAAAAATTATTAAATTGCATTTTGTAATTTTTGACATTCTCTACTGTGTATGGCCTTACTTTGACATATAATGGTTACATTGGCTTGGAATTCTCTATGATATGTCATCTTCTCTACTAATTTTCATCCTTTCATCAATGGAGGCACATGTCAGAGGTTGATGTTCACAGGCAAAAAAACCAAAACAAAACAAAACAAAAAAACACCTTAGTAAATGTATCTGAGGATGTGTGCAGTTCAGAGTACATGGCTTGTAACTCCATTATTTCCAACAGAAAGAAGTGAAATGTGATACAAGTAATTGAGGATGATACAATTATATGGATGGTCTAGAATTATTTTTAAAATTAAACTGTTCTTAAACTTCTTTAGTTTTTTCTTATTAGTTTTATTATGGCATGAGTCAAGACTAACCATTATATGGCTGGAAACCACTAACTCCATTCATTTCCTGTTCTCCGTTAACTGCGACTCATCCCTCAGGTTTCAGCTCAAATGCCATTTCCTGAGAAAACATTCCCAGAATCCTCGCCATACACACTTACAACACTATTCCTTTTATTTATGATATTTATTGCAATGTGGAATGTCCATTTGTGTAATTATTTGACTAACATTTGCCTCTTCACTGAGTCCTATGAGAGCAGAGAACGGGTTGGTGTGGTTCACCATTGAATCTCTGGTGCCCAGTATCATGCCTGGTACCCAGCTAGGACTCAATACAGATGTGTTAGATGAGTGCTGTTCAGGTGGATTCATAATAGAACTTCCCATATAAAAGAAATACTACTCTTCTGGTTTCCTAAGACTGGAGCTTCTTGTGAGACAGTGTTTGTGTGGTGTGTGTGTGTGTGTGTGTGTGTGTGTGTGTGTGTGTGTATGTGTGTGTGTGTCTAATTACACCTCCCAAATTAGCACAGAACTAGATGTAGGTAGGTGATAGTGGGGGCCAGGGGCTATGTTCCAGGTAGAGGGAGTCACATGTATGAGGCTATATGTGGGCTTCCAAGAGCCCAGCTCTACACATGGCAGGATTGAAGGGGAGGCCTAAGAAGAGTAAGACCAAGAAAGAGGCCATCAAACAACAGACCATCTACAGCTGTTGGAGGTCAACCTGAAACTCTGTCTTGGAAGACCTTGAGGAAGATTTCTTTTTACCTTCTATTAATGGATAGTAAATATATTAATATTGGTCTTATTAATACTGTGTTCCAGCAAACATGGGAATAAGACTCACTCTTCTGAAGCCTGGTTTGATAATCGTATCCCATATATCAAGTGGATAGGTAGCACGAAGGAGAAACAAACATTTGTTGTTTCAGGTGACTGAAATTTTGGAGTTATTTGTCATGGCGGCATAGCCTAGTCTGTCATGACTGATATGGAAATCTTTGCATCATACTGAGTTATTTACATATTTCTACATATCAGAGTATACAGTGAACAAAAACCATGTTTTCATTTTTACTGTTCTACATTCAACAAATTGGCTGCCCTTTAGTGAGAGCTTGAAACCCTTTTCTGAATAAATGTTTAGAATTTGAAAATCAGTATTTACTGGACTAATGGTTCATTGAGAGCAGAGGCCATGTCATTTACATTTTTATACCTCCTATCAAGACCTACACACTTAGCAAATAGGAAGCATTAACTAAGTGTTAGTTGCATGCATGGATCACCTTATAAACATTTCTTTTCCTGGCTGAAGCCTGCCAGTTAGTTTCCTTTTTTTTTGCGTAGGTTTCACTTCCCAACACCGGAATCCCTTTCTCCAAGTTCTCCTTATTTTTTCTGAATTGTAGACCTCACAGAAGGTTATGGTATGAATACCTACAAGATGTTAATTAAGTTAAATCTGTTAAGTCTGGCCTATTCTGAATCCTGGATCCATTTTGTTGCTTTCACTCATCTAGATAGTTACTGTCTACTATTTGGGAAGTTCTTTCTCATATACTTTGGTCCATGGGAGAGTCATTTAAGACCGTATTTATTTAGCTTTCATTTCACAAGACATTTTTACATTATTATTATTTGATGCTCTCCAGAAACCCTGGGAAAAGTGGATACGGTAAGTATTTCCCCCATTTGATAAATGGAGAAAATAAGGTTCACAGAAGTCACCAAACTAGCAATGGAATATGTATCATTGAGTTGTTGGCAGGATGCCTAATTTTGCTAATATCAGAAAACCAGATAAATACTTAACCTTGCTGTGCTTAACCACCAATTTGATCTATCAGGTAGAGGCTATTGCTGCTCTGGACTTAATTCTCATTAGCAAGGCAATGCTTGTGGAGATGATGAAGATTGTGGGGGAAAAATGACTATATTTTTTAGAGTTGAGAATAGTTGAAGGAGGGAAGACTGAATGTAGCCAAATGTGTTCTTTGGGCTTTCAGAATGTATTTTTCCCCCCAAATCAAAGAAATGACTCCCAAGAAATGGCATCATTCTATGGACAGAGACTTTGAAAGGGAACATAGCTCAAAGGAGATAGGAAACTCTGAAAAATGTAATTCTGATCATATATTCATGAATAATTCCCATGTGAATAAAGGTAGGCACATCTAAAGAAGCTTTTGTGACTGCCAACGGGGCTCTCTGATGAGCTTATATTCAAAAGGACTCATAGGAGGGATGGAAGAAGGAAGGCATAATGATGGATAAGATTGGCCAGGCACTGCATGGATGAGCCCCGAGAACAAGCAGACCGGATCCCATAGGCTACTCAGCCATGTGTGACCTTGGGTGGGCTACTGCTTGCTTATGGGAGCCCTGGAGTAGACATTCTCTGTCCCCATTTCTCACTTCAAGATTCACAAATATTAAATATGCAAAAGAGAGATGCTAAACAGAAGTGTATTCAGATGAGATCAGCCCATAATGAGATGCAGCTGGTAAAAATGCCAAAGGAGTATAAAGCTGCTTTCAAGCAAAGAAAATAAGAAAGGGAACTGTGAGGATGAAAGTGAATGGCATGGGTAAACACATCCTATAAACTGTGGGGAGATATATAATGTGAGGATCCCTAGCTCTGATTCTGTTAGGCCCCTTGCTTGGAGAATCTTTTGCTCTGTTAGTAGAAACCACTTTTGTTTGCCTGTGAACTGATCTAACAAGAATTACCATCTTTAAACTGAGAGGGCAGAACAAGCAATGCAAACAGAAAACAGAGCCAAGAGAGATGAAGAGAGACAGCATCAGGTGTTCTTAATGAGAAAACTTCTGTGTTCAGGAGAACTGTATCCCAAGATGCCGAAACACCTTAAAGATATGATCAAAGACCTATCTTGATGCTTTTAAGAAACCACAGAGAAAAAGAGAAGAGCCTTCCACACTGAAGGGCAAACACTATCTCAGTTTTCAAGAGAGATAGAAGTGTGAAGCATTAGTCTAATTAATGAACATAGTGTTGATCTCTAAAAAATATAGAGTAGATTTTTGAATTAGAAAGTTTGTGAGCACATGATGAGAAAAGCAGCACACAGAAGAGTCATTATGATTCTTTAAGAACATCTGGATGTTACACACACACACACACACACACACACACACCAAAATTGGGTTGGTAGATGTGGCAGAATAATAGCTCCAAAAGATGTCCTTATCCTCATCCCTGAAATTGTGAATATATTAGGTTACATGACAAAGGGGAATTAAGATTACAGATGGGATTAAAGTTAATAATCAGTTGAATTTGAGATAAGCAGATTATCCTGGATTATCTGGGTGATCCCAATCTAATAAAAAGCCTCCTTAAATGTGAAAGAGGGAGGCAGAAGAGTCATTGTCAGAGTAATGTAATGTATGAAAGACTCCATCAGTCATTGCTGACTTTAAAAATGGAAGGGGCCATGAGCCAAGGAATGCTGGCAGCCTCTACAAGCTCAGAAATGCCTTTGGACTCAAATGGGACTTACACCATCAGCTCCACTGGTTCTCAGGACTTTGAGTTACACTGCTGATTTTCCTGGTTCTCCAGAAAAACCTGGAAATGGCAGTTTGTAGAACTTCTCAGCCTCTATAACCAAGAGAGACAATTTTTAGAATAAATCTCCTCTTATTACCACAAACATAGCACTTAAAATGACACATTTATTATCTCACAGTTTCTGTGGATCAGAATCCAGTCATGGCTTAGCTAGGTCATTTGCTTCTGGGTATCACAGGATACAATCAGCATGTTGGCCAGGGCTGTAGTCTCATCTGAGGCTTGACTTAAGAACATCTGGCTATCAGCAGCATCCAGTTCCTTGTAGGTTGCTGGAATGAGGACTTCAATTTCTTTTTGACTGTTGACCCAAGGCTACCCTAAGCTCCTTGCGCATGGACTCCTCCAATATAGAAGCTCAAACCATGGCAACTTGCTTCTTCAAGTAGCAAGGGAGAGAGTCACATACATGCAATTACATATATCTTGTCACCTTTGTTATTATATTTTCTTAGCCAGAAGCTAGTCACAGGTTCTTCCTACACTCAAGGAAAGGAAACCACACAAGGTTATGAATGCCAGATCATGGGGGCCATGGTAGGGTCTGTCTTCCATGTTACCCTATTTTCTCAATTTATTGATGAATTGGGCAGACATATCATAGGCTCAGCTGCTCCTCTAGGAAGTACTGAGAACTTGATCTAACTATTTCCCTGAAATTGTGGTTAACAAAGGTGCTAAAGCACTTTGCTAAACTTTTGTCCCATCCTATCATGAGTTCTTCAAGGGCAACAAACTTTTAATTGATATTGACATTATTTAAATATCACCAATTTGCTTTTGTCATATATGGCATATGATGTAGACTCATGGTAGGAGAATCCTAATTACCCTCCCTCACCCAGGAGTTCATAGTTTGGTTGTTACTTTACAAGTGATTAAAATAAATTTATCAAGTTGTATAAATTTGGTATTTATTATATGTACAAAGAGGTAGATAAATGAAGAGAGAAATAAAGGCTCACATTTAGAGGGAACCCTTATCTTTCCTCTAAGTTAAGAGAATTCATGGATGAGGAGTCCTTGATGATTTGTTCTTCATGAACATGAGCTGACCCCACATGACTCTTGCTTTTTTTCCAGACACTTACAGACTATCTCCTTCATGATGGGCCCTTGCCTGCCTCATTAACATCATCTCATGACACTCTTCCCCTTTTCTATCACATTCCAGCCACATTTGCCTTCTTTCTGTGTCTCAAACTCACCAAGCTTTTTTTGCCTCAAAAGTCTGTGCAGTGTTGTTCTCTCTGCATGGAAAATGCCTCCACAAGTTGCTTTGGACTTCTTGTGCTGCCACAAATCCACCCATCACAGGAGTTCTTAATCTTTCCTGTGCATCAAATCCCCTGGAGAACTTGTTTAAAAACAAATTGCTGTGTCAGTCTCTGATTCAGTAGGTCTACAGTGCGTACCAAGAATTTGTATTTTCAACAGATTCCTAGGTGACGGTTCAAGGACCACACTTTAAGAACCACTGATTTCTCATATTATCCTATTTTATTTTCCTCATTGCATTCATCACTTATTTTCTATGTATTTGCTTATTTATTTTTTAGATGTAAGTTCCAAGAACATCAAGGACTGTGTAACAAATTACTAGAGCAATGTGTGGCTGTCTGGCATAGTTTTTATTGGATGAGTGAACAAATAATGAATAGATTGAAATATGAAAAAAAAATTCTACTAGAATGCATATCAGTTTTTGGAGCCGAATTGGAGGATCCATTTTTATTTGTGGTTTCACTAATAGATATTAAATATTGCTTAGAAAATATATACTTTAAGCTGTAAATTACAGTAATTATAATAACACTTTTGTGACTCTATCTACAAGTAATACTGGGTTGCCACAATGCTCATATTAGGGCTTAAGACAAATACAACATTAAGCAGCCTAATTTTATAAGTAGCATGTAGTAATGAACACATTTCCATGAAAGTCTTAAGCTTAATATATTTTAAACTAAAGAGGATAACTTTTAATTTTATCTGGAAAGTATCTCTTTCTCTCATTTTCTACTTTTTCTCTTTCCTTCTCCCAAGAATACTAATAATTATGTTTTTTTTCCTTTTTGCCCCAACAGTAGATTGACTACATATCTATCTTTACAGTCCTGGAGTGTTTCTGTCATTTTCCCTCATTATATTATAACTGTGACACTTTTGTTAACATACATTCATTACCAATTACCTGCGACACCTGTGGATACCACATGCAGAATGGAAATGTTTTTAAATGAGCAGTCTGATTAAATAGAGTTGGTGTATGCTAATTATGAAGCATATGTCTTCAAAAAAGGAGAAGCAAGAAAAATTTACAATTAAAAAATATATTTACAGACACCCACAGTCTATAAAATTGGCTTTTGCCAAAGGGTGTGAAAGACTGTAATGTAGGTTGTACACATATGCCATCAAATAAAGTGAAGATTTGGTATTTATCACCCTGGTTTTAATGCTGACTACCGAGTACCAACTCACAACTTCAGTAGCCAAAATTGGCTGCAGTAACAAGACAAACCTGACACCTTCCAGACCTCGCCTCCGTGTTGCATTGCAGGTGCATTGATGTTGGGCAAGACACAAATATTTCGTGCTCAGATCTAAGCAATTTCAGCATGTAGCCAGTGCTTATAGCCTTACTCATCTTTGAATGAATGGCATTTGATTAACTAAATTTCAAAATGAAGTCACAAAATCATAGGTGTTATAGTTAGAAATGGCCCTAAGGATTATTATTTTTAAATCTTCTCCTTCAAAATCCAAGGATATTGACAATAGATAAGTAATTTTCTCAAGGTCCCACAAGAAGTTCGTGACAGAACTGGGACCACAGCTCATGTATCCACAGTGATCTTTGCCACTAGTATGTTTTTCTCCTAGTGTTCCATACTCAGTTTATTGTAAGGTGACTTAGAGGAAACCCATTTGACATTATTAGCTACCATAAATTTTTTATAGTGGAAGAAATTATATCTAATACTTCCATAATTTCCTATTTCCATTTAAATTGTATTAGAGCTTGTTACGGGATCAACAGTTTCTCCCCAAAATTCATATGTTAAGGTCATAACTCCTAATGTGACTTGATTTGGAGACAGGGGCTTTCAAAAGGTAATTAAGGTTAAATGGGGTCCTAAGGATGAAGCCTTAATCCAATAGAACTAGCATCCTTACAAGAGGACAAAGGGACAGCAAGAGTGTGCATGCACAGAAGGAAGGCCTTACGAGGACACAGTGAGAAAGTGGTCATCTGCAAGCCAAGTCAAGAAAAACCAAACTGGCCAGCACCTTGATCTTGGACTTCCAGCCTCCAAAGCCATGAGAAAATAAATTTCTGTTGTGTAAGCCACCTAGTTGGTGATATTTTGTTCTGGTAGCCTGAGGAGAAAAATATCGGGCTGGTTCACATCGAGTGTTGTACCTAGACAGAGCTTCAGAAATGAGCCCATTATTTTTTTTCTTGTTTCTGCCACTAAATGCTAGAAATAAAACTATCACATTTTTCTCATAGTAGGTCTGTTTCTTTACCATATATTTAAATGTTCTTTTCAAGCAAGAAATGGAATTCTATTTGACTGGACTCACATATCACAAGTGAATTGCTGCCACCACAGTTGGAAAGCAGGACTGAACAGTTCATCTCTTGGGAACAATCTCTTCTTCCTTCACCTTCTCTCTCTAGTCTCCATCATACTGAATTTGTTTTTAAAGTCATAGTTTTATTTTAAGTGTGGAAAAGTTAGGGGCAGATATAGACTTAGAAGTAAGTGTCTGTCAAGGAAAAATTGTAGTCATGGACAAAAATGAGTGGATAGAATTCTACTCTAAGTCTAGTCTGGACGATGATCACCAATTTCAGCAACTCAGTGTGTGGAATATTGGATTTGTAACATTATCCCTTTTACACCCTCATCATCATGAGCACAGCTCATACCTTAAATCCATGAGTGATTCACCAGAATGAGTTTGATGGGAGAAAGTTTTAAGATGGGGCACCAGTTGGCTGCAATCTTCCCTCTTGGCCTTGAATAAAAAGAAACACTATAATGACTGAGGGTGCTCTGAGTTAGAGTCTCCATGTGATACTGTCTCCCTGTTTCCTACCCATAATGCCTAGCTCTTTGCCCTGAGTTTTGATGTTCCTTTGCTTGTCTACCCCATCCAGTTCACCCTGACTGATGTCACAGGCCATCTCAGCATTAATTCCACTCATTGAGCTCACCCCTGCCAATCTTCTTCCCAGAAATATCCCCCTCACCCCTTATCTAAATTCTGCCAGTTTTCAAAGACACCGTAAGTCCCATCTCTTCTGGAAAACCCATGAAAATACTCAATCATCTTGATCTTTGTTTTTCCCAAACTGCTTTAGCAATTTGTCATCATCACACAACTAGTATCTTATTACACCCTCTTTGATCCACAAATTTTTACTCTATGCAATGCTGGTGGGTATGTATGCAAACAGTCCACATAGCAGAAAAATTATGGGTTTTAGAAATAGATCTGGGTTGAAATCCCAAACGTGCCATTCATGAGCTGAGTGACTTCTGCAAATTACTTAACCTTCCCAAGTCTTAATGGCTTTGCTAATAAACAGGGGTAATAGTAACTATTTTCTAGTGTTCTTGTAAGAATTAAGTTAAGTGAGACCCTGTATACGGTGTGCTTCTTTCATGTATACTAGTCTTTTTTTTTCTGCTCTGTTTGTAATATTATGAGTTATAAAGATTTTTCCATTTACAAGCACTTTTCTTATATATTCTATGATTTATAAGCTCTTTCCTCTGTGGGATGGCTCTAAGACTCTCTGTGGATGGGAGTTATGTCATCTATGTTTTTTACACTGAAATAGCCCAAGACATCCAGGAAACATTGTCCTAACTTGGGTAGTTTGAAGCCCAAGGAGTGTTGGAACTTTTCTCTCTACAAAAGAGAGAAGTAGCAAAGCTAGCAGCAGTGGGGAAAAAAAAAACTAAGAAAGTTAATGGGCTTTAAGACTTGCTCCTTCAGGAACCCCCATTTGTTTAATACATAGTGTGCACAAAGTCACCATATTGTCACCATATTGACACCATATTGACTAGGAGCCAATATGCCAGCAGATTTAATCTGGTGGGTGGAAATCAGAAATTAAAGTCTTAAGGACAGTTGTCACACAAAATCAGTTGAGTGACATCACATATTCAGGAAATCAGCCCACTTTAAGTAAGATACCATGAAGAGAAGACCCAAGCATCAGAGTCCTTAGGGAGAAGCCCTGGAAGATTTAGGAGGAGAATTATCTGGGCTCCAGCCAAGGGCTCTGGGATCCTGTACAGAGTTCCATTTCTAAGAGAATAGAAGCGAAGCCTTGGCCAAGGTGATAAAGATCAGAAAAGGCTAGAACTCAGAAGCCAGATGTGTATCCAGGCTCTTGGGAGGCAAACCAAACAGTAGATCCATAGTAACAAGACTAATTTCAGATCCCACCAGCTGGTCACCTGGGCACTATTCTCTCCCTTCTGTCTGTGTCCCTTTGAAAGCAGTTGACCACCTGGTAACCTTGGCCTGAAGTCAAGGTAATAGGCAGTAGCTCCTGACTCAGGAACGTATCAAACTTCTCTCTCACTTATCCTTTTATTCTCCCTGTTTCTGCATGTCTTAGAGCTCTAGCTCTGCATATCTATTTCTCCTCCATCTTTTCATAACTTATTAAAACTGCATTTTTGGTCTTAGTCCCTCATACATATGCACATTCAAAATGATCCTTGACCTTGCATACATGAACTTAGTTTAAAGCAGTGTCTGACACTCTTGGAAAAGGTGCCTGTAGCATTTGCTTTCAGCCCTGGCCAAGGTGCCCTCACCCTCTAAATTAGAGCCAACCTCTGGGCAGGCCAAGGCTTGCCTTGCTCTGGGTTGGCCCAGCGACTGGACAGGGGGTGGGATGTGGACTGGCTGATCCTGTTATAGAGAACATTAATGACTCCAACTGGGAGAGCCAGGGCAAGGTCACAAGTGACAGACACATAAAAAGCCATCTTGACTCATTTGTTGGGAGACAACCATGAACTTAGGAACATTCTGCCCTTGAGAATGGGGTGATTTAATTTTCAACTTCAGGCTCTTGCCTTGGCTGGCTTCCTTGGTAACTAAAATAAGCCATCTGCTTGACTTCCTATGCCCATTTGCTTGCTGGAGGAATTGTTTGTCTACCCTCCCATCTGGCTAAAGCTCAGAGAGCAGAGGACCAAAGATGCCTGAGGTTTTTCCAAATCTCTCTTCAAAGGATCAAAAGATTCCATTGTGTGGAAATTTAGTTCCTGTCTTATCCCTTAGTCATTTTTGGGTAACTTTTCAACATTTTCATTGGCTTCATTTTACATTCAGTAACATGGAGATGATCTCCTCAGTGGTCTCCTTTACCACACAAACACACACACACACACACACACACACACACACACACACATCCCCTGAACATTACCTTGAGCCCTAAAGTGGGCTGGCCACCAGGAGGTCAATGTTAATGAGGGGTATGTATTCTTAAAGATCGGAAGAATTTTGAAATAATAGCTCCCCCACTGTTCAGTACTGCAAGTGGGCTACCTCTATGCCTCCTAGAATGCTAACCACATCACTCATTTCATAAAGAGTACTTTCAGGACATTTGAACTGTGTCTCAATCTTTACTTCCAACACTTCTCAATAAAATCCAGCCCAGCTGGAGTAGGACAAGAAAAACGGGGTGATTCTTTAGCATAAAAAATCTGCAGTGGCTTCTCATTGCTCATAGCACAGAATCAGAATTTCCTCATAAAGTACATGGTATCTTTCCCAGTTGTTTCCCAAGGTAACTTTCTAGCCTTATCTCTTTCTACTCTTTTCTGGATGATTTTGTATTAACATCTACTCATTGGAATTTGAAAAATATGCCAACATCCCACAGAAAGAAACGTACCCTCCCTGCCCCTCCCACCCCTACACCACATGTTTAAGTGTAGTGGCTCGTTTCTTGTTCAGGAGATCTTAACATATCTATACAAACATGATAAACTTCACTCAGAAACCAGGAATTGCTCAAGTGAGAAGTTCTGGCACAGAGAACATTCTAAGATGGTCTGCACTGAGGGAAAGTCTTGCCCTGGAACAGAAAGGCAGCTACTCATGAAACTCTACAAAAGTACTTTTAGTTTTCACAGAGAAAACTCTATGAAAACTCTTATTTGGGAATTCTCATCAAGCTGCTCCTTCTGCCACCAACCTCCTTCCCGGCCCTCCACCCACCTCAAGCTCCAGACTCAGAGTTAAAATATAAAGTATTTAATGACTTTTTAAGGCCCTTATAATATGTGGTTTGGGGAATGTGGTTCCGCCTTTCTCAAAGTACACAAGTGTGTGTATGTGTATTCGTGTGTGTGTATTCATGTGTATTCATGTGTGTGTATTCTGTGTATATGTATTCGTGTGTGTGTATTCGTGTGTATTCATGTGTGTGTATTCTGTGTATATGTATTCGTGTGTGTGTATTTGTGTGTGTGTATTCGTGTGTGTATTCTGTGTATGTGTATTCGTGTGTGTGTATTTCTGTGTGTGTATTTGTGTGTGTGTATTCGTGTGTGTGTATTTGTGTGTGTATTCGTGTGTATATTCGTGTGTGTGTATTTGTGTGTTATTCATGTGTGTGTATTTGTGTGTGTATTTCTGTGTGTGTATTCGTGTGTGTGTATTTGTGTGTGTGTGTTTCTGTGTGTGTATTTGTGTGTGTGTATTTCTGTGTGTGTATTCATGTGTGTATTTCTGTGTGTGTATTTGTGTGTGTGTATTCGTGTGTGTGTATTTGTGTGTGTGTGTATTCATGTGTGTGTATTTGTGTGTGTGTGTATTCGTGTGTGTATTTGAATGGTTTGGGCGTAGGTTTTCATGCACTTGCACTTGGCCAAACCCTCATGATCTGTATATGCCATATTGCCTGCTGTTACGAATTCTGGGACCTATCCTAATTCTCGGAGTTCTTGCCCCATTTTTCATCGTAGGATAACAAGTATCTTGACTGTAATCTATTAATTGAATAATTGAATAAACTTGTTTCCCTCCAGCGTGAGCATATTGTTTGCACACAGTGTCATCCTGGGCCCTCCAGCTATGGAAGGCCTGCCAGATATGTTTATTAAACCCCCTGTGCTTGGAAAGAACACAGAAAACTGTCATCTAGAGCAATACAAAAGTGCCTATCTCAGCTGGAGATCTCACTGTTATGAATAAAGGAAGAGTTTGTGGTACAGTTTTGAGATGTAAAGAGAAAAAGCTTCCCCATGGTGCAAATGTGTTGTAACCCTCAGGCGAGAAAAAAATATTGAATTGTTGCTGGCGGTACAATGTAATTATTGAGTTAGCAGCAGCTATGTTTCTAAGCTTCTTAAGGTAAAAATCACACTAATTTGGCCTTCTCCAAAGAACATTCCAGGTTGTTAAATGGAACTGTTGAAACATTTTTCACTAATGAACCTAGCCTATGAACAGCCATTTCCACGTAAGTCAGATATTAGACAAGTTGGCAGTGAAAGAGGAGATGTGCTACCGTGGAGGCTGTCTTTGTTCACTTGAGGCCACACTGCCTCAGAATGTGTTTTCCAAACTCCTGAGGTGCAGGCATTTGACCTAGGTGGTAACCGAGTGGGAGGCATGATGGAAACCACAATGCTGTACTAAAAAAACATTAAGTGAGTCAGAGCTTGGCCTTTTCCTTTAGGACAGAACAACACACAGTGTATAACCCTGGGATGGAGGGTGTGAGGCTCTAAGATTTCCAAGATGCTATTTTCTAGACAAACAAAATGCTTGGCTCCTGAAAATTGGTGGCTTTTGCCAGGCGCAGTGGCTCACGCCTGTAATCCCAACACTTTGGGAGGCCGAGGTGTGTGGATCACCTGAGGTCGGGAGTTCGAGACCAGCCTGACCAACATAGAGAAATCCCATCTCTCCTAAAAATACAAAATTAGCTGGGTGTGGTGGTGCATGCCTGTAATCCCAGCTACTTGGGAGGCTGAGGCAGGAGAATTGCTTGAACTCGGGAGGCAGAGGTTGCAGCATGCTGAGATCATGCCATTGCACTCCAGCTTGGGCAACAAGAGTGAAACTCCGTCTCAAAAAAAAAAAAAAGAAAAGAAAAGAAAAATGATGGCTTTCATCCCTTCATTTTGATTCCTCAGGGCTTATATCACTTCTCAGAGTCATTGTAGACCCCAATCTTAAGTGGCACTGTCTCTGCCAGGCAGAGAAAGGAGCCAATGATGCTCTGTGATCCAAACTCAGATTTGGGGACAACCTGTGGTGGTCACTATACACTGCTACAACCCAGATTCCTGCAGTGGGGTCCTCCTTGAAATATTAGTGGGGAAAAAATATGTGCTGCCTAACTCAGGGCTCAGCTACAGAAATCTGGGAGGTTCATTTGGCATGCTTTGTCTCTTAGATACAGAGAAGATAATTTTCAAAGGTCAAACTCCTTTGTTACTTCTTCCTCCTTACTCTACTGGGTGGGGTCAGGGCAATGGACTCAACAAAGAGTATGAGTGGGTAAGGAAGTAAGGTTGAGGATCCTTTGACTTATTATGCTTCCATATCAACTAACTGATACAAGCAGATAGTGTGGTGAAGTGGAAAGAGCAGACTTTGAAGCCAGACTGAACTGGATTTATTTTCCTTAGTCTTGCAGACTAAGGTTAAGTGAACAAGTCACTTAACCTCTCTGAGCCTCAATTTCAACATTTATAAAACTGAATTTAGAAATATCTACTTTGTGTCAATGATTGACAGTCTTTGAAAAATCCTTTAAAAGGCCAATCAAATTTCAAAATGATTAATCATGGCATGAGGCAAACCTGTAAGGTGAACTTAGCCTTTTAAATTAAATGATATGTTACTATCAATATAAGAATATCCATTATATGTGTCTAAATTTTGCCTATAGGCTAGAAAATAATACGTAGCAAAAGCTTTTAAGAAATACACATTTATACAAGTTCCATTTTCTTTTCTCATTATCTATTGATACTGTATCTCCTGCTCTACTACAGGAGTTGTTTTGATGATACAAATTACAGGAAAACTCACTATCTCCCTGCAATCTTACATATCAAATTCCAGAATAAAAAGTCCCTTTAAGTGAGTTTTAAAGCTTCTTTCTCCCTTTTGTTAATTTTCTTAAAAAACAATAGGCCTTAACAAGAGAAAAGGACATTCTCTCCATTCCATAGTTATTTGAAAATATTGTGTTAGTGAAAAATCCAGATGGTGCTGTTTTTTAAGTCTAGATCAATAAATATCACCCAGTGTAAAAACCACACCACCTTATCTGTAATGCATGGACTCAAGGAGCTAGCAAAAGATTTGTAGAGAAAAAAACTCCACAAAGGATATTACTCTGGGTGAGATTTGGTATATATGAGTTGATAATTTTTTTGTCAACTGGCAAAAAAAAAAAAAGAAATAAGTAATTTGTAAGGATTAGACATAATGTCTGTAAAGAGACTAGAATCGTATCTGGCAAATCGCAAAACCAATACATTTAGCTATTGATTTTTTTAAGTTGATTAAAAGAAAAGCACCTGAAAGATCCAAAAGAGTGAATCCAGAAATACCTTGCAAGGGTATTTACCTGGCAAGGAGGCTCACAGCCATGTGTTTTGGGGAGCATATGAGGTTCTGCCTCAGTTTGAGCAATTAGGACCTTGTTTTAATGTTCTTTTTGCAACCTAGCATGCTTCTTCCACTTAACCTAAGCATACATCAGCAGGACGACTATTCAACAGACCTTCATCCTCAAAGCCAAGTGTAAATCCTGTGTCATATACCAGAGCTTTCTGTGGCTTTTGGTATGAGGTTGCCACTTGGTCTCATCTATAATTTTATAGCTGAAAAAAGAAGCTTAG
This sequence comes from Homo sapiens, assembly GCF_000001405.40. Classification (NCBI taxonomy): domain Eukaryota; kingdom Metazoa; phylum Chordata; class Mammalia; order Primates; family Hominidae; genus Homo; species Homo sapiens. Next base: position 182,120,519 of record NC_000003.12, read on the forward strand.
TGATAGGTTTTTAAAAGTGCTTTAAAAATACAAAGTCTTTAACACCTATTTGGACTGCATGGTTAGCAGCTTTATTGGGCAGGTGCCCCCATAAATTCAGGAATTTCCTCTGGGCAGGAGGAAGGAGACACCCAGAGTTCTAAGAGATAATAGAAGAAAGACAGTGAGAATGGCAAATGAATTAATATTTCATTTGTGAAACCAACGCCTTCAGAAAATTGTATTTCTACACTTAGTCCATTTTCTTAAAGCAAGAGAGAAGCTCTCTAAGACTTCTTGTGACTGATGCAATACTTGGTGTTGCAGTACTATATGATGCGTTCTTAGAAGGCAGCACTTTAAATAACATTAGCTGACTGTCCATCATGTGGCAGACCATCTAGAGAAATTGCCTATTTATTGAACTCAACAGCCCTGCAGGGAGGTAGAGGAACATTCCTTTTTAAACTGTGGACAAACTGAGTTTGTATGAAAGTGACCACCTCTCTGAGTCACACAGCTTATGATAGCTGACTCCAAATTATGACCTTGCAGCTATATTGTACTGTTTCTATTAGAGCACAGAGACAAGTATTTTTCCTCCTTACATCTTGGTTGGAGCTTCCCAGCATGCTTTGCAGCACAGAGTGTAACAATAGTCCACTCTCAAGGGAACAAAAGCTGGGATAACTGTGTTGTGTACCTTGGTATTATTTGCGTAGCCAAATAAAGCTATCTTGCTACAGATGTAACCTTCGATAATTTATTGATGTAAAAGTGGCCTCAGGTACCAGGATTTTGGCAGCTGTTACACTGTCAGAGTACACTTAGAACATGGCATCCATGAATATTTTATGCAGAGAAGAAATGGAAAAATACACCTTTCAATATATCAGTTCCCAACCCTGATCTTCGTTACTGAAATATGAATCTAATCCCATCTCTGAATTTGATCAACCAAAACTGTGCAAACTGAGAGCTTCCTAAATTGGATTTTAGTAGTGAATTGATTTGAGCCCTACTTTTTGTTTAGCACATCAGCTGCTTATGTCAGCCTGTACTGTAGTGGTGGGTTAGTGACCTCAGTGATATGTTGGAAGCTACAGACTTAACTGTCAATAGGATTGGCTTGGCCCTTTATCCTTCAGCGGCAGATAAATAGAGCCCCATTCAGTAGGTTCATTGTGTAGGGATTTGTTGGAGTTTTATTTATGCAGATTTGGAAGCAGTTGGAGATCATCAACATCCAATACACCCTCTGTCAAATATTTCTCTTCCATTGTTGGGTTATTAAAATATGGGTTGGGAGGTTGGGGGATTCTGTCCTTTTTAGAAGCAAATACTTTTTTAAAAATAATCAAAAGAGCATTTTTTTTATTTTGTATTTTTTGGTATCTAGGGTATCTCTGAGTAGTCGATTTTTGATCTCTACCCATCCTCAAAACTGAAAACCAGTCCTCCATTTCTCCAGGGCTTACCTTTTCATCACTTGAAGACCAGTGGTTACGTGATTTGGACCCACTGAGGAACGTAGAATGATATCAGTTCAAAAGTATTGGATACCTGTGGAGCACTTTGCAAGATATTGCAGGATTTTTGGGGCTTTCTATAGAACTACACAGAAGTATTGCTGAGTACTTTGCAATATGAATTCCTGCAATTTGCAGGAATTTGCCACGCTTTTCAGGTGATCATGCTTGGTAAGTGCTGCATTTTTATCTCAATTGATTTGATTTTGTGCTTTCATTATATCATTGCATTTAGGTTTTGCATACTTTGGGGTTTCTTTTTTTTTTTTTAACCTATCTTTAATCCCATCTCCTCTGATGAGCACCTGACTCAGCCTATCTATATCTTTAATTGATGCTGTCTTCAACTCTATATGCTAAATTGCAGTTCTATGATCTACCTAAGAGATAGACAGTTTAATCAATGTACAAGTTACTCTACTTATTTTAAATAAGTGCCTTTCAGACTTAGTAAACACCATTAGGGGAAACATGGATGGTTTAAAATAAGGTAAGTGATTTATATTTCTTCAAATGAAGCCTTTAAACTCATTTAAGTAATGAAATACTTCTATGTCCCTTAAAAAATTTCTTTTTAGTGTAAAGTGTGCTTTTGTATTTAGAATCATGTAATTGAGCAAGATTCCTTCAACACAGATTGAAAGATATATTCTCGTTGGCGGCTGTTAAATCTTCTGGTAATATTCTAGGGTTCTAAATTTAGGATGTCAGGACAGCACCTCTCTCATAATACTTACTATATCAAAAATATGTTTATTAAAAGAAAATAGTTTAATTAATATCACACATGACATTTGAGGATCAAAGCTCTATAGCTGTTATTTTTCTTAAACATATAAGTAAATGAAGTGTCAAATAATTATTGAGTTTTATGGATAAGCCTAAAAGCTTTCACTAAACTTCCGGAGTTGCTTAACTTGTAACCATAAATAAATGCAGATGCTGGGTACATCGCATTTCGTTTCTAAGTGGTAAGACCCCTGCTGACTCCCACTGCTCTATTCCATTCCAATGACAGTGTGATACCTTTTTGTTTTACTCTTTTTTGCCATATTCTTATAGCTAGCTGGGACTGAGTCACAATTAAAACCCAAGTCTTCTGATTCTTAGCCCAGAGCTCTTTCCATTATTGTGCCTCTCTTGAATGTCCTGCTTTAGCACTGATACATAACTGAATAAATCAAGCACAAATATCTGGTTTACTCAGTTTTAAGGGAGTAAAAGCATGCCCTCTTTTCTACCAATTGGTGAGTGTAGTTTTTAGTCCTGGAGTACTAGAGTACCTAGTTAATCAGGAACAATAAAGCTTCAAGGTATTAGAAAAGATCATTAATTACCGGGGGCTCTTTTCCTGAAAATTGTGGATATAGGTATGGGAACCATATATATTAAATTTTTCTTGGCAGTCCCAATTTCAAATATTTTTTTTCTCTTTTTCTCACAAATTTACTAATATCAATCAGATAGCGTGTCTAAATTTCTTGGCTCAGAAATATTGATATTTAACTATAGAATTCCTTTAAAGGATAAGAGCCTGGTGAATTTAAACTATTGTTTGATTTAGAAAATAATCAATAATCAGAAATAACTATCTCCAGCAGCCCCCAACTCCCACCATTAGTCAAAATTTGAGTTAAGGCATGGAAAAATTATTCTTTAAATGTCAATATAACCATAATAATAATTACCATTTATTGAATGCCTATAGAGGGCCAGACTAGCTGCTTTACATACATTACATTCTAATCCCCTAGCTGGTCATTCAAAATCTACATTATTATCCTTATTGTAAAGATAAGGATAAGCAACTTGCCCAAGGCCACACAGCTAGTAAGTCCTAGGGCTAAGGCTTGAATCCAGGTCTGTGTGTTTCTGAAGGCTTTTTATTTCTCCCTGTAAGATAAAGTAATGAATGCCTGAAACTATACTGCTCAATGACATTGAGTCCACATTACTTTGAAACTAATGAAGGTCCAGAAATAATGGCCCCAGGGAAAGTGCCACAAGAAAGATGTTTATGGTAGACTGTAAAGATTTGACTTCATCTCCTTCATGGTTTTGCCTCAAATCCCATGCCTTTGCCTTCCCAGTCTCTATTTGTGCACTCTTTGGCCTGCCAAGACAGAACTGGCTCTTTTTGGTTACTCAATCTGTTCCCCTTCATTAAAATGTAGGCTTTTGATGTAGAACCAAAGTCTGAGAATTTCAGCAACATCTGGTGACAAAGACAGAACAGCCAATCACCACCTGTCAGGCAGTTACAGACAGAAGAATGACCACAGCTGAGCCCACACTGACCATGTGCTAATGTGCCCTCCTCCAAGACTGCACCGCCCTAGGGTGACCGGAATTCCAGGCTTGTGCAGTGATTCAGTGTAGGGAATAGGGTTTCCTACCAACATTGAATCCAATTTTACAAGCATGACCAGGGCCTTCATGTGCCCTCATGTCACATCCCAGCAGAGGTGAGGTCATTTGGATGAAAGCATTTTGCAACTTATGCTACATGGTGGCTGGATGGTTACAGATGATCACGGCCCCTGTATTGCAGTTCCCCAGACCTGCCTCTGGACTTTTGCACATACTTTCTCTTCTTCTTGGATGGTCCTTCTTCCCATTGTACTAGGTTAATGCCTGTATATCCTTCAAGGCTTAGCTTAGATGTTGCCTCCTATGACCCTCAAAATTGACTTTAATGGTTTTCCATGTGTCCCATTATTAACCTAGTGCCTGCTCCTCTTATGGTAGTTATCACTAATCCAAAAATGACATTTTTTCTTTCTTTCCCAGAAGACTAAAAGCACTGAAGGCAGGGACTTAGAGAAAATATTGCATTTGTTTGAGAACATACTCTGAAATCAGACAAAACTAGTTTGAAATGCTGACTTCAGCATTTACATACTTACCTTACCTTGGGTAAGTTTAACCTTGGATTAAAGAACCACCTTGAGCTTCAGTTTCCACATCATCAAGACTAGGATAATAATGAAAACTGTCTTGTTGAGTTATATTGAAGATTAACAGCAATAATGAACATAAAGCACTTGAGATAGTACCTTGTAAATAATACACGTGCAATTAAGGATATAGATATTCTTCATTGTTGTCCCACATTTCCTACTGTAGTGGAGGCTTAAAGAACATATTTAAAATACAAACTGTATTAGAGAGCTTGAAAAAGAGCAGTTCACCACATTTAATATATACTTCCACCACTGCATCTTAGAGCGATCTCAGGTAATGTGTGGTCTTTTTCTGTGCTACTGTGAATAGTTGATAATTGCTTGTTTAAGTGTTAAAACCCCAAATTCAACTTCAACAGTTCCCCACTTTTTAACTCCAAATTAGCAGAAAAGGGAAGAAAAAAACATATAGAAGCTGCAACTGAACATCAGATGCAGGATCTGACCAGGGCACAAAGGACGTATCAGTGAACCCAACATACTCACACATGTCAACTAGGCTGCAAGTACCGAAGGACTTGCAATTATAATTTTTGTTCGCTATGTCAATGCTAGTATTTGTACAGGTTTGGCACAGTATACACTCAATAAATACTTGCTGAATGAAGTAGTAAACACATTTGAAAGATTGGAATGAGCCCAGTTTCTCTTAGGAATGATTTAGCCATATAATTGATCACTTTCTTCTTACATTAGTAACAGCTGAAGTGATGCAGAGAGGACATTTTGCAGAGTCTGTATTCATCTCACTTAACTTCCAAGATTCTCTCTTGTTCTACTATTTTCAAGATTTAATGAACACGTTTACATTGACCATGTTACTTGTGATTTACAAATTTTATTTGTATGTTTCTGTTTTGGCCTTTTTAAGCTGAAATGAGCAAAACATTTAGGCCTCCCCAGGCAAAGCATACCTGTATTCATTTCAATTACATTAGTTCAGTCCTAAACTTACAGGGTGCTTCTGTGCCTCCAGTGTCAGGCACTGTGCAAGGTGCTGGGAACACTGAGATCATTTTTTTGGTCCAATCACACCTTCCTTGGGATTGGGTAGAGACCAAGCTTCCCTTCAGGTACAGAATATTTTAGAATTAGGTCTTGGCTTTGTTTTTGATTTTGTTTCTAATCACTTTCTTGGAGATACCAGGTTTGTCCTGGCGTCTTTGATGCATCTCTCTTGCTTTCTTGCTCTGGTGCTTCTTGCCTCCTCCACTTCAATGCTCAAGATTGTCACTGTCATCTCCCAAATCCCTGCAAGGGGAGGCAGTATTATCTCAAGAGTTTTATTCTGTTATCAACCAGAGTGGTTGTACGACCCCTGGTTTTTTCTTTACAAGAGGCCAGGGGCCCAGTCCTTGCTCTATTTCTGCATGAGGCTTTGGGGAGCACTGGATTAGGAGTCAAAAGATTTGGGTTCAACTTCATTCTGCTGCATTCTTGGTACATAACTTTTGGCAAGCCATTTAAAATAATGTGTTTCTTTACCTGAAAAATGAGGCCAAAATCTACTCCACGAGTTTTCTGTGAGGGCTAAAGAATACTGCATATGAAAACATCTTATAAACAGTAAAGTGTTCATATTTGTGTAAGTTATTATCTATTATCATCTGCAATGACCTGTAAAGGATTCACGTGAATACATTGGACTATACAATCTTCTAAAAGCTCAAAGATTTGGGTGGCTAGAACTTAAACTTCTCAATTTCTCAGTGTGAACTCGACTTAATGATGGGTATTTGTTTAACGATAAAAAAAACCATCTATGCAAAAGCAATGGCACTTTCTAGAAGATAAGAAACCATTTTTTATGGGCTTAGAGTTGGCAATGAAAAAATATTAAAGAAACAAGGAAGATGCCCTAATCAGCAGTTTTCTTTAGCTGCCTCTATCTTAGGCTATAGCTGAACTAGAAAAGAGTAAAGAATGCTCTCTTTTGACAATTCATTCTGTAAATGGCAACGTATTTCAGTCAATATTTCAATCAACAAACATTTATCGGTTATTTGCTTTGTGGGTATTATGCTATTTATCTAGCTGTCATTTTTCCTGTTGTTAAATTAAGACTTCCGTATTTATTAATTCAAAAGCATAAAATTCTTAGCCTTTAAAGCCAAAATACAGAGTTAAAATACAACTCTGGATATGGAAAACTGAATAAGAAATGATCCCTGTCTTTAAGGCACCTACTTACTTGAGGAGAGATAAGTAAACAACTCACTATCATACAAGACAGAATAAAACAAGAAGATACATAAAACTTCACAGCCACACTCTGATGTCATATAGTAAGAAGTGACTGTTATTGGAGGTCTTGGAAGGTGGGAAAGGATGTAAGGAGACTGTTGAAGAACAGCATGTCTTGGGAGAGAAAGCAATTCTCATTTTAGTAGACTCTCCTTAGTTCGTGATTTTAATCTTATGATTTAGAAAGAACAAGATTATTTTATTCAGAACAGGATGAGGAGGAGAATTGCTGGCTATGAGAGCCTGTTGGTTGGGGCAAAATATGTGCTTGGTGGAATGACTGGAGTCATGTTACAGGAGTGGTGAACAGTGCCGTGTGAAGGTACTTTGAGGCTAACTTAAGGAATAGTCCCACTGCACAGACAGACTTTATTTCATGAGTGATAGGAACACAAGGAGTTTTGGAGGAAGAATTGTGACATAATTCAAAGGAAGGCAATGCTGGTGGCAATTCGAAGACTGGTTCTAAGATGCAAGATAAAATGTCCATGGCATGAAATCATGAGAGGTCGTGTCTACCGTGGTTGAGGAAGATGATTAAAGATTGGCACAGTAAGAGAAAAGTGGTAGGCACGCTTTGTGGTCCTCAGATTGATGGGTCAGATTGATGATCATCACATCAGCATTTGATTCCTGTGCCTCAATTTTGGATCAGCTCAGACTATGTTATGCTTTAAAAAGAGGCTTAGGAAGTACAAATACGCTGAAAAATATAAACTGGTGGCTCATGCTTGTAATCCCAGCACTTTGGGAGGCCAAGGTGGGCAGATTGCTTGAGCCCAGGAGTTCAAGACCAGTCTGGACAACATGGCAAAACCCTGTCTCTACAAAAAACACAAAAAGTAGCTAGACATAGTAGTGCACACCTGTGGTCCCAGATACTCAGGAGGCTGAGATGGGAGGATCTCTTGAGCCGGGGAGGTGGATGTTGCAGTGAGCTGAGATTGCACCACTGCCCTCCAGCCTGGCTGAAAGTGAGACCCTGTCTCAAAACCAAACCAAACCAAACCAAACCAAACCAAACCAAAACAAAACAAAATATAAATAATCAATTCTATAGCCTCATCTTTATTTTTTTAACTTTTATTTTCAGTTCAGGGGTAGATGTACAGGTTTGTACATGGCTAAACTTGAGTTGTGAGGGTTAGTTGCATAGATTATTTCATCCTACATAGTCTCATCTTTAAATCAAATAATATTTAAATCTTTAAAATAATATTTAAATAAAACAATTGATAGTTGGTCTTCACTTGTAAAGGTCAGGAGTGTGTTTTCTTATTTACAAACTATATTTTCTAGACTTCAAAACCCAATTCAAATCCCACTTGCTCCAAGAAGCCTTCCCACTGCCAAAAAGCCAAAATAAACCTCTCTGTCCTCTGGACTTCCAGAGCAAAGCTCTGGGCTTTAACTGTAGCTGGGGCCACATCTACTCTGGGACAGAGAGAAGAAGACACAAATATCTACAATTAGTTCACTATTCCGGCAATGCCATGGATCAATGGATCATACTCAATAATATCACATGCAAAATAACACTGTCATGAGGAAAATCAGGTGGTCCATCCAGCACCAAGGCGTGGCAGCCCCTGGTGGGGGCTTGGCAGGTATGGAATATGTATAAAAAGATACTGCAGCACCTTATTTTTTATGACAAGAGAAGATTGTAGATATTCTTGATAAACTGTATTTTAAAATGTTCTAATCCCACTCAGTGTGACTTAGTAATAATGGTCATTAGTAAAAGAGTGCACAGGAACAGAAGAAGGGAGCTCTAGGTCTGCCAGTTACTGACATAGTGATCTTGAGAGAGTAACCTGCACCTCCGTTTTCCCTTCTGTGAAATGGAAATGATGATGTCTATCTCTCAAAGTTGTGAAAGATCCAGTGGAATAACCCACGTAAAGCATTAAGGATGTGCCTAACAGTAAATTCCAAAACATTTAATAAGCATGCATTATGGGAAAGTGCCCTAAAAATAGTATAAAAATATATATAAATCAAACTATTACCTTTATTAAACAAGACAACTATTCTGTATAAATACTAGAAGTTATATTGGAGTAAGGTAGCTCAAGATAAAATAATTATAATCTGTATATGACTGTAATAATGTTTTTACTGGATTATTTCTTTACAATATTGATAGTCTATTCTCTAAATCTTTATTTTTTCTATTAGATATGTCACAAATTTTAAGTACTTAAAAAGTGATACAATTCGTTAAGTGTTTTTCAAGGTATCCTTCAAATAGGAATTTTCTCTGAAAAATGTAGAATAGGTTTTTTATTTTTAAATGCAAATAAAAAGATATTCTCCTTACTGCTTCTTGACACCCTGCTCAGTTGCTAGGATATGGTGTCCCTGGATCACCACACTGGAGACATGCAGCCCCCATGTCACGAGCCCCTGCTGCCCTACTCACCTGTCAGCATCCACGTGTTTCCCCTAGTCCCGTCAGGTGGGCCTTGCTCCTCTGGTAGTATCAACCTGTTGTAGCCTCCAGGCCAAATGAGCTAGGCTCACTTTCACATTCTGTCTATTGTTTCATCTGAAAAATGTAAATGGGGAAGGAGCGGGGGTACAGTGGGAATTTAGGGGAGGGCGAGGAGGGAGGATAAGCGGCATCAGCAAAGTAATTGGCCTAAATTACACTCTGCTAAACAGCCATGAGGAAGGACTTAAGTGAAAACTGAGCTGGGGTCGCTGGAGCATTTCCTGGGCATGAGAGACGGGAGGAAGGGACTCACTAGCTCTGTAACTACTGGACGAAAGTATTTCCCAAATATCCACAGGGTTCTTTCCCTTAGAGGTTCTTTCTCTAACTCTAACGTGTATTGTTTTGAAGGGCGGTAGATCGAGATCTTTGTGTATAGAGAAGAAGAGGAATTAATTTGACAGACTTAAACCCTCTACCTGATACTAATTAAAAAAAAATTGACACCTTTTACATATCTGGGTTATGAATGTTAACACAGAAAGAAATATTTTCAAATAATCTGAACTTGTACTAAATTCCATTAAACTTTTCCCCCTTATTGTATCTGAAAAAAAAAGTCTTCATTTAGAAAACATCTTCTTTTATTTTTGCTCTGAGTCCATGATACCTGCCACAGCCATGAATTTCCAGTTGCCAAGGGGAAATTGTGGTTGGTCTCCGCTCAAGCTAATTCTGGAATATGGGATTAAGTTTGATCACAAAATGAAACTACTTAATCCCAATAAACTCCCCAATCTGAGAGGCATTAAGAAACATTGGGGATGCCAGGGGTTTTAAGACTGATAAACTTGGGTTACTTTGCCTTTAAAATGGGGATAATTGTAGTATTAACCTTAAAAATTAGATAACGTAAAGCCCTGTGCTTGTGTCTGGTCTGGCCCATAGGATGCATTTAATAAATAATCCTAACTGTCTAAATGGTAAAGCTGACATGAATTCAGCTGAAATAAATACGTCGCCATTATTAGAAATTCAAACATAATGCAGATATTTTTTAAAATGTAAAAACTAATGCTGTAATCGAGTTAGGGGAGCTTTGAACACACAGGTCATGATTCCTTTACAACCTGTTTAACTTTTTTATTTGATTTGGTTGTGGTTTATTTGAGTTTGAATGATGAGAGGGATATATTTGGTCAATTTTGACAACTTGAGAAGCATGGTCCTTTGTTTCAGCTCCCCAGTTTGGATTCCTGAAGAGATGATCCCAGTTAAAAACTTCTGAAAGCAACACAAAGCAGACTCTGAATCTGAAGAAACCTTGCAGTCCCTTTAACCTGCACAAAAATATTTCAAGGGTAACTAGAAAGTGCATAAGAGGATTCAGACGTTCTGTGACATACATTTTAAATTCTTCCATTTCCAGATGAGAGCACCATAATATGCAGAAGCAAAGTGCATCAAAAAGATGAGGGCCCTTTGAGGCAGGCGTTTGCAGAACTAAGTATTATTCAAAAAATAATCCTCAAAGAAGTAAGTGAGGAGCACAGAGGCTGAGGCTCTATATTTGCAAATGAGACTACGAATAGGAACTTGACCTGTTCAGGTAATTTTACCAAGTTCTAAACTGCGAGTGGACTTCCCAGTAACCCAAGCCTCTTACTAAATGTCTGTGAAAGCATGCTCACCTCCACACAGCACAAACACAGGGAGTCATGAACCTGCTTTCTGTCTGCCTGGGTTGTGAATAGAGAATTAGGAGCTTACTGCAGGCACCGCTGTTAATGGAGCATTCTGCAGAAAGACCTTGAGAGGTGGTCTCAGTTCACTCAGAAAGTAAAATGCCAGCAAGCTTGCAGCTGAATCAGTAGTAGCAGCTCTGCCAAGCTACAAATTGAAGAAAGACAATAACAACTGTCTTTCAAGGAGAGCCTGCTATGTACCAAGCACACTTGAACTTACATATTATTTTTATTTTTACAGCTCTGTGAGGAAATATATATTATTATTTCCCATTTATAGATGAGGAAACTGAGACTCAGTGACTGAGTAACTTGCCCACCATCGTAGCTAGTCTATGGTGAAACTATAATATGAACTCAAGTTTACCCAGCTACAAAGCCTCTCACTGTATAGGCATAAGAATATGATAACAAAATAAAATGTATAATCATACATTTTTCCTCTGACATCCAAGACTCTTCTTTGCGTTGCAAGGCTCAACTAACCTAAGGGCTGCCCCTAACTTTAAACAGATCCTTAAATGGACTTTGTCATTTCTTTTTTCCTAGTTTTTCTGACACCCCCACTCACTCTCTTCAGCATATTCTTGAAATGCATTATAATCTGTCATCTCTTTACCTTCCTCCTTAAGTGCTATTTTTTAATTTTTAATTTTAATTTTTTATTTCCATAGGTTTGTGGGGAACAGGTGGTGTTTGGTGACATGAGTAAGTTCTTTAGTGGTGATTTCTGAGATTTTGGTGCACCCATCACCTGAGCAGTGTACACTGTACCCGAGTTGTAGCCTTTTATCCCTCACCCCTTCCCGCCCTTTTCCCCCAAATCCCCAAAGCCCATTGTATCATTCTCATGCCTTTGCATCCTCACAGCTTAGCTCTCACTTATAAGTGAGAACATATGATATTTGGTTTTCCATTCCTGAGTTATTTCATTACTTCACTTAGAATAATGGTCTCCAATTCCATGCAGTTTGCTGCAAATGCCATTATTTTATTCCTTCTTATGGCTGAGTTACATATATATACACACACACATATATACCACAATTTTAAGTGCTATTTTAAAATATTTAATATTTTTTGTCTCTTAAAACTATTTTCCTTTGAATCCAGAACTAAGGTTATATTAGTTTATAAACTAAACTGTTGTAACAAATTATCTGTGATAAATAATGCCATATGTAAGATAGAAGTTTTTCTGTCTCTCCTAAGAGGACAGTGGTTCACGCCTGGTGGGCAGCTCTGGCACCCTTAATACTTGTTGCCAAGGTTGTTCAGCAGTAGCCATTTCCCATGCAGCAGGAAGAATGAAAGGGAAAATGCATGGCAAGTGGATTCGTCATTGAAGAGATGATCCAGAAGGGGCACACATCACTTCAGCTCTCATCCTATTGGCTCAAATGCAGGCTCATGGGCATACCTACTTACAAGGGAGTCTGGGAAATGCAGACTTTAGCTGGGCCGTTAAATGCTTATCTAAAACCCAGGGTCTTCAATTACTAAACAGAAAAGCAGGATGGTGAACACTGGGACCAGCAATCAAGTCTGACACAGTCTGTTTCTAGTCTGGCCACCAGTCTAGTTTGGACTATTACTGATGCTGTGGAAGTGGTAAGCACCAAGTCTTAAATGCACTCCTCTTAAGCAGTAAGCTCAATGCCAGGAATCTTTGAATAATAAACAAATAAAACTAAACCAATCTTCAAAACAAGTTTGCCTCATTGGCTTCTGGAACACTTAGATCTCTTCAATGGCAAGATTTTCATGGTCAGACCTGCATCAAGTTAGTTAGTTAGGTTGCCAGTTAATAAAAGTAAAGATTTTGGGCAAGTTGTTTATAAAGAGGTAAGAGATGTTGTATTTGTTTCTGAACTTGGATAAATATTATATTGATATCAATATCCATGCCATTCATTTAGGGTTTGTTCAGAAATCATAGAATAAAGTTTTTAGAAGGCATCCCAACCAATCTCATATTTTAACAGGTGAGGAAACTGAAGCTCAGATTAGTTAAAGGACTTTCCCAAAGTAACAGAGCTGATTAATGGAAATGTACATTGCAAAATATCATATTCGCAGCAGTGCCTATTCAATGCTAATTGAGTGAATGAATTAATGTTTGAATATTGAATAAACATGATGGGCAGAACAAGAAGTCATTGAGAAGAAAGAAGTTGTCATTAACTAGTAATAGGACAGATAGCAGATTTCAAAAGTAACATGGCAATCATACTTAAATTTTCTGAGATTGAACTTTTAAAATGGGCCACCCTGAATGAAACATTTATATTTAATTTTCCCTGGGAACTGTTTTGGCTTTGCTTCTAAACACATCATGGTGATATGGCATGCAATTTCTCTCTGCTGAAGCTCTGCTTATTCCAGAATCCAATCAGGTCAGGTCAGATACCTTGAAAATCATGAGCAGAGTCTTCAAAAGAAACCTAGCACAACTCTTTGAAAATGTATTTTTCCTATTATTAAGACAGGGCACTGTCTTGCTGAGCTGTTTTTTCCTATACCTCGGTAAGTGTTTCATGAGTCACCTTTGCTCAGCCTGACAGCAGAGCAGTTCAGAAGGTCACAGCCTTCTTTCTGGTTCTAAAAGACTGCACATCCCTGGAACGAGGGGTATTGTTTTACTGGAAGAAAAACTAATTAGGGTAAGAAATACATTAATGAGCACTGTAGTAGTCTATATACAATAAATAAAGAAGAGGAGAAAGGATAACAAGGAGAAGGAAGTCAAAACACACAATGAAAGCCTTAGAAAGTTGAGTTTCCACACATAAAACTATCTGAAGAAAACCAGAGAGAAAAATTAATTTGCTTCTTCAGTCCTTAGAGCACTGATTCCCAACCTTGGTTTTGTGACACTCCAGGATGTCCCCAATTATCTCAACAAATGTCATGAAATGTTCCAAAGAATTCTCAAAATGAAATTAGTTTTATTTCATTTAAAAATAGATGGCCAGTAGCTCTTTCAAGAGCAAGGGAATCAAATGAGCGATTGGCTGCCACCAGCCTAAAAAGGTTGCAGAACACCAGGTTAGGGCTAATGAAAGCCACACTGCCATTTTGGAATAAAAATTTGTAATACTTTTCTAGACATTTTTGTCATCCAAATCCCTTGAGATTTATTCTTAAAAATAGAATAATAATAAAGATAAATGTTTGAGACACTTACTCCACCAATTGACCATACAGTGGGCAGTAGGATTAACTGGAAAGAACGAGAGGTTGGGAGTCAGATGGCCCTGCCTTGAAAACTGGCTTGGCTACTTAATTGTGGAGGAATCTGAGTGTCTTCCTGTACACAATGCTTTCCTATTATTAGGAAAGCATGCATATGCATCCTAATAATAGTAATAGTAACTACTGACTTCTTAGGGGTGTTGTGGCATGAAACAAGATGTCTATGAAACATGTAGTACAGTAGCCTCATAGTATCTACTGCAATGGAGATGCCTTTCTTACCACCTTCTGACTTTTAAGATGAAAATGCAAGCTGATGTAAATACTCCTGGTGGCGGCCGTGGTGGTGGTGGCCCTGGGGGATGGTGCTAGCTTCCAGTATGGGGAATGGACATGTCTGTCACCCTTGGAGACAAGCAGAGGCCCCATGCTACTTTTTTATGGACAGAGATTGGGCAAGAGCAATAGAGGTCTGGCTGGTGCTGTTTTCTGCTCGTTTCCCATTAGTGCATCTGGGATAGCAGCCTCCCTATGCCTCAGAGATATTTCTAGTATACTTTTTTTTAAAAGTGGAGAAAAGCCGGTGATCTGAAGCCAGTGACCTCCAAGTGTATACTGAGATTAAGCAACAACAAAGGAAGAATGAGAAGTACTTGCTCTTGGCAGGAGATTCTTAGAGCATGAAAGTATCAGGAGGGACATTAGAGATCAATCTTATTTCACTCCCTCCCTTAAGGAACAATGAAAGTGAGGCTAGGAGAGATGAAGTGGCTCATCTAGAACACCCAGCAAATTGGAACCATGGTTTCCACTCAGCCTTGTAGAATGTGCAAGACTCAAAATCAGGAGAATAATTGAATTTTGCCAGCCTTAACCATTTTCCCTGCTTTGTTTTTCACTGAGTGAGACACCTTTCAAAGATTTCATTCTCAAATAAAGAAAACAGGTTCAGGGGAGTAAAGTCTTCCGCCTAACAGCACAGAAACTTTAAGAAAATGGATTTTGGTTTTTGACATCATGTTGAGTGGAAGGTTGTAATGAGACATGAGCATAAATAAAAATCATAAATACAACCTAAGAATTAAGGCATGATGAAGCAATTAGAAATACACGGCACTCCATTCAGCCTGTACCTGAGATCTGACTATGCTGAGAAGAGTCCATGGTGGCCCTTTAACAGTACATAGAAATCCAAGCTCATGGCAGAAACTGAGTGTCTGGAGCACTAATAAACACTACTAGTAAATTATTTGCTTAGAAAAAAATTATAATTCTGTTTCATACTATTTTATACACCTTTGCCAAAGCAATCTGTTTTAGAATTAAGTGGCATAAATATTTGCCCCTCTCTCCCTTCCCAGAGAATCATAGAATCTCGGGATTTAAAAGGGTCTTTTGGTCCAACCTCTGACTCAAAGCAAAAATCCCTTCTCCAGCATCCCATCCAGCTAGTCTCTGCTTGGCCACATTCAACGTAAGATAGTGTCAGAACATATAACTATAGTGGAAAAGAAAGCACAAAAACAGGGCTTGGAAAAGGAAAGCATGCATATGCATCCTAAAGATTGGTTTTGCTGAATCAGGATCTAGTGAATAATAATAAAAATAACACTCCCACTTCAAGTCCACACACTAGGCAGCAGTCTGGAGGATTTTCCCCTCCCAGATGCTGTTTACATGTCAAACAAGAGGCCATGATCATGGTGGAGTCTCAGCTGTGTTCAGTGCAAATACAGTGATGTGGGCAAAATAAACAACAGAATCACAGAGGAGGGTGCAAACAAACAGTGTGGTTGCACATTTCTAAGTAAAATGCCCCAGTTATGGAAGTGCCTGAGAGGTTAAAAGACCGTGTATCAGCCACCTTTGTTCACTCCCCTTAAAAGCATAATTGTGACAGGGTTAAAGTAAATTCACTTTTCAAGGAAGAAGCTGTAACCTTCCTTTATGTATATGTTATATTAGTCAAGATCAAGATGAATCCAGGCCATCCTATTGCTAAGGTGGAATATTTGATTAACTTAAACATCTTACTAAGCCTCAGTCACAAATGTGACCCAATAATCTTACTGTTGGGTATCACGGAGTAGCCTCCCGAAGACGTAGGAGTTTTGTTTATCTTGCAGTGTGTGGCTAAAGCAGATAGTAAGAACTGACAACCAAAGAGAGCACTCAGGTCTATAGTTTGAACCTCTTGAACACTGGAAAAAGTTTTTTAATATTGTTTTTAGTTAATTTCTCCCTCATCACTCTAAGTTATATTTGAATTTTTAGCAGTGCCGCAGGGAGTAATATAGCACTATTTGTGGATTTTAGTTACAGCCAATTCAGAATTCATGACATGGCCCCATTTTGAGAATCAGTGAATTCCCCATTTGTCTCTTTATTATGCACCAGGTACTAGCATAAATACAAATAAAAAAAAGCTCTGCTTTTAGAGACTGTGGAGAAGATAGAAATAAAGAGATAAAAACAATTCTTTCTTTTTTTATTTAAAAAAATCATATGCTCACAATCAGATTAGAAGTGTATTTACCATAACACTCCATGTCCCTTTAGATACACTGGATGGTTTTATGTATTGCATTAACTGCTTTTATTTATATTTATAAAAGAAAACAAACTTGGGATTGAAATGTGGCTTTGCTGTTTACTAGCTATAACCCTGAACAAAGTAATGTCTCCGAATCTGTAAAATGGAGTTAGTAACATCAACTCTGGAGGCTTACAAGGCTGTAAAATGCATGAAGCATCTACTATTGTATCGGATACAAGTAGCTGGTCAATAAGTGGTAACTATTATTAATTGCTTGCTTTATGTTCTAATAGTTCTGAGACTTGTCCAGTTTCAGGTGCAAAGCATTTAAACAATATTTTAGGGCCAGGCGAAGTGGCTCACACCTGTAATCCCAACACTTTGGGAGGCTGAGGCGGGCAGATCACGAGGTCAGGAGATGGAGACCATCCTGGCTGACATGGTGAAACCCCGTTTCTACTAAAAATACAAAAAATTTAGCCGGGCTTGGTGGCGGGCACCTGTAGTCCCAGCTACTCAGGAGGCTGAGGCAGGAGAATGGCATGAACTCAGGAGGCGGAGCTTGCAGTGAGCCAAGATCACGCCACTGCACTCCAGCCTGGGCGACAGAGCGAGACTCTGTCTCAGAAAAAAAAAAAAAAAAAAAAAATTTAACAATATTTTAAATAACTGTTGGTCATGAAAATATGTCCATACATAATTTTTCGAGTGTTTGTTATATTTGCCACTTTCCATTTTTAAATCTTCTAAACATACAAAGGGACATAGATAACAAACGTTTTAAGACCTATAAAACATGTGAACCAACCATCTAATTAAAGGATTAGAACATCACCAATAGCATTGCACCTTTTTTGAGAGTTCTTAAGATAATTATCAATACTTGCTATACAATTTTTATTTATTTTATTGCTAAATTCTTATATCCAACTTATAATAGCAGGTAATGGTTTTCATACAGTATTTGTGAGAATGCTAAAAGTAGTGGCAGGAAGAGTGGCACACCTGGGTATTGAGGTAGAGGAAGGAAAAGGAGGGAGGTTGTTGCTTTTCTACAACATTCACACTTAAATGCATCCTGGCTGCCATTCAGTGTGAGTTCAGGCTGACCCATTGTCTCTGTGGGAGCCATTTTTGCTCTAAGGTTTCATAAAACATAAGAAAACTGCATTTTATTAGCACTTTGTAAATTTAAGTGCACCAGGGAAAATTGCCTTATTAAGCATTACTGAGTTACCTGAAAAACACAATGTTAGAAACTAATATTTTTACAGAAGACTGACATTAATGGTTGGTTATACTTCCCTTGAGAGCTTAATAATCTTTGATGAATAAAAAGTTCTCTTGTGAACAGGAAACAAGAAAACATTTTAGAAAGTAAATAACAGTTAACAGAGGACTCCTCTTTCCCTGTCTGGTAACCCAAAACGGCCATCATAAATCACCAATTAATGTCTGTATAAGTATCTGTCACAGAAGAGAGTTCTAGGTAATGATATAGACTTGCTGTATTCAAGGAAAACAAGTTTCCTGGCAATGGTACACCATGCAACCTTTTTATATAAGATTTGCAAGTGCTGACTTAAAAAGTATGAAGTAAAAAAAAATGCTCAAGTAAAAATCATGAATGTTGGAAAGGAGGCTTATATCTTATTTAATTTTGATGTTATGAATGCAGAGAAAGTCACTTATGAGTAAAAGTAATGTGTTTGTTAAAAACCAATATACACCAATATTTAATACTTTCGGTAAAATTTTTATGTTCACTTTTTGGTAACATATTGTGACCAATTATAATTTTTGCATTTGTATGTCCTCCTGACTCCCTCAAAGTTTTCCTGAAAACAGTTTTTTGTTTGTTTGTTTGCTTTTTGAGATTTCAACACACTCAGAAATAGCCATTAAAATGATTCTTTACTGTTGATAGCACAAAAGGGTGACTACAGGCAATAACTTAATTGTACATTTTATTTATTTATTTATTTATTTTTATTTATGTATTTTGAGATGGAGTTTCGCTCTTGTTGCCCAGGCTGGAGTGCAATGGCACAATCTCAGCTCACAGCAGCCTCCGCCTCCCAGATTCAAGCAATTCTCCTGCTTCAGCCTCCTGAGTACCTGGGATTACAGGCATGCGCCACCACACCCAGCTAATTTTGTATTTTTAGTAGAGACGGAGTTTCTCCATTTTGGTCAGGCTGGTTTCGAACTCCCGACCTCAGGTGATCTGCCTGCCTAGGCCTCCCAAAATGTTGGGATTACAGGCATGAGCCATTGCGCCCAGCCCTTAATTGTACATTTTAAAATAACTTAAAGAGTGTAATTAAGAGTGTAATTGGATTGTTTCTAACTCAAAGGAGGGAATGTTTGAGGGGATAGGTACCCCATTCTTCATGATGTGCTTATTTCACATTCTATGTCTTTATCAAAACATCTCATGTACCTCACAAATGTACACACCTACGATGTACCCACAAAAATAAACAAAAAATTTAAATGATACCTAAATAATAGCCTAGGGACAGTAAAAGCGATATGTTCTATGTAGTCATGTAAATGATAAATAGTGCCATGCCTGAGCAGCAATCATAATCAGATGTTCAAATTGTGGGTTTGGGAACATTGTAACGAAAAGCAATCCTCTGAGAAAATCAGTGTGCACTGATGGGGGCGCTATTTCTGTTTTTTATCATAAGCATTAATCATTTTATTGCTTTGATAAGAAGATGTAGTTATAGTTGGAGATGGTGTTAAAAAAAAAAAAAAAAAGCCCTCAGCAGTGGATAGAGAAATCTTTTGCTTTCAGTTTTTCTTAGAAATCCCTTCATGTGCTGCCTCTCCTGGCCCTCCCTCAACTCTCCCGCTCATACACACATACACAAACACACGCACACTGGTGTCGTCTTGTCTTTAGTCTGGCTTGAGCTGCCTGAGGGCTTCTGGGGCAGCCTTGATGTCCTAAAGGGTGTGTGAAATTGAAGACAAACATTTTTACTAGGAGTTTACAGCCATAACAAAGTAAACTGTAGGCCCTCCAGGTGTCCTTGATGGGTAGGAACAAAGGCCTGTGGTGAAGCAAAAAGAGCCCTGGAGTTTGAATTAGAAGAAGCTGCCTTTGAGTCCCTGCTCCAAGTTCATGGGCTGGGTGAACTTGGGTAATCACTTTCTCTCTCCAAGTCTCCGTTTCATCAGGAGTCAAATGAGGGAGCAAGACTAGGTTATTGCTCAAAGTCTTTACCCAGCTCTAGGAACCTATGGTCCCAGTGTTTGCTTTACCCTTTATATTTTATTGGTTACTTTCCCATAATTAAAAAAAAATGATGTCTTAAATGTTTAGAAACCAAAGAATAAAATTGCATTTCAAATAGAATCATAAAATTTGGGTGATTTTCTTCTCCTTATTTTTAGTAATTAAAAGTTACTTTTAAAAATAAAATAAGACAAAATTTCCTTTAGATTTTCCCTTTTGAAGAAACCAAAAGATGGTGGTATGTTGGTTCTCCTTCACCACAAGGGAAATTTCATTCATTTGTTTGCTTATTACTCTAAGACATAATTTGTTTTTCAAATGTTTAATAAAAAGTGCCCATAAAACATAGAGTTTTTATACACGAATCATTATTTATTATGGAAGGTTGTATCATGCATTTCAGTTAACAAACCATATTTACATGCAGGATCATACTGCCTTACCTTATCCTAGTCCCACTCTATTAGGAAGGCAAGCAAGATACTAATCAAGACATCTGATCCATGGGGAAACCAAGGCTCAGAGAGGTTGGAACTTGGCCACAGCTGCACAGAAACAGACAGAGCCAGAGCTGAACATAGACATCTCCTAGAGCTGGGTCCCAAGTGAGTGTTAGTGTGATTAAACTAAACTCACTTAATTCAAGGCCACTGTATACATCAAATGACATTTCACCTGTATTAAGAAGTTTATTTCATTTCTAGTTTGAAGCTTAGACTCCTTTAAATAGTTCAAGCACTGGCCACAGTTCAAGTTCAAAGCATGGTATATCAATTCAGAGGTTGGGAATGCCCTTTGATGAATACCTTAGAACATAAGAAATAACTCATAGAAAAAGATAAAGAAGAAAAGGGAATAAAGTACATTTCCTTAGAATGTTGGAACCATTGCCTTCTAGTTGAAGAATGTGGATGTCAGGTGGGAGGGGGAATGAACTAGTACTTTAGAACTATGCAGACCTGGGTTAGAACCCTGACTCTTCCTCTTTCTGACTCTTACACATTTGGTAATACATCCCTTGGAGCCTCTGTTTAGTCCTAGGCTAAAATGTAAATATTTAACTTGCAAGGTTGTTTGTAAGCATCAGAGACAATTATATAAAGTGCTCGTCATGTAGTGCTTGACAAAATAAGCACTTCATAAGCAGTGGCTATTGTTCATAGGAATCATTTTCTTTCAAATTGTTAGATCTATTTTGTGATGTATTGTACTATTTAATGTAAGAAATCTAATGTAAGTATAGGGGGAGCTCTATCAGTGGGAGACCTGTTGAACTTAAATAATCTCTGAGATCCCTTGCAACTCAGCCCTTTTTGTAATTTATATTTTCCAATTTGCTACATCTATTAGAGACCCTGATTATGGTGGTGAAATAGATACTACCAACTTCATACATGTGATCTGTTATCCAAATATATATGTGTTACAAACAACTTTCAAAATAGAACCTGTACATATACAAAAAAGAAAATGCTAGTTTTTACTAAAAACAGTGCTAGAAAGGGACTGGCACTAATAGCAACAGTAACAATAGCAATAATAGCAACAATCATTTTTAAAGCATCTACTCTATTTTAGGCACTGTATGCCACAATGTGGAAACTTGACGGTATCCTCAAGACACTAGAGAGCATGACCAGGGGATGATGCCAGGGTGGGCAAGACATAGCATGCATTATACCTGTGTAGCTAAAGTGCCCACAAGAGACTGCAAAACTTCTCTAAGCAGCAGGTATGTCATGAAAAATATGTTGTGATTGGATCAAAGGACCAGAATCTATCTTTTATTAGTCCTGGGTGACTTTGGACAAGTCATTATCTTTTTGGGCCTCAGTTTCCTCAACTATAAAAAAAATAGCTGGAATAATCTTTCAAGTCCAGTATTCTATGACCCTGTTGTACTAATTATTTTTATAACTTGCCTGAACCAGCTCAGTTGTTTTAAGTGTATACAATCCTATAGGTATATACACTCTGTTTAATTCTTTTTCTCCTATCTTTCTTTCTTTCTTTCTTCTTCCTTAAAACAACATTATTTTGGCCAAGAATAAGTTGGAATGTCACAAATTTGCATAAATAGCTGAATTGACTCACAAATATGTTTTCTAATTAAGTTTTAATTTTTAAAATTTCTTGTAGAATTAACCCCATCAATCTCCTTTTGATGCTTAAATAGTATTGGAAAAATCAAGCTTTATACTGAGAAGTGGTGCTAGTAACTGCACTAAGTTCCTATTAACCAACGATGTAGTTTTCACAAATTTCATAGTGATTAGACCCATAGGAATGAGAGTAAAGTGAGTGTCAGAGATCCAATTACTATACTGTGCAGTTAAAATGTCTAGATGAGATTTTTGAACTCTCAACTCAATCTTTTTCCTTCTTCTTAAATGACTCCTAAGGAGAATAGCATATTAAGGAAAAATCCAGATATTAGATTGATATAAGAAAGGAAGAAAAACAGCACCAGGCAACAGGGGTAAAAATGTCTCTATAAATGTGACAGACATAAAAGAAAGTGAAGGAAAGTTAAAAATTACCATAGGGCAGGCAAGACACCTGCTAAAGAACCTTCTGCTGCCAGTCACAGCTGGAAAGAAAAATGAAAGAGATGCAAACAACTGTCCTGGAAGCATGAAATCATTCTTTTGTCTTTTTTTTTCTTATGAACAATTACAGTATGCAGAAATTAGGGGGGGATCTCAAAGTATTGGGATGAAAATTTCAGCGGGTTCTGCATATAAATAGCAGAGGCATGGAAGTGTGCCTCTTTGAAAACAAGATGTGTTTGGGAGCTCCCCGTGCATTGAAGAAAGTGGTAATTAATGCATAGTGAATGACTTTGAATGAAGGATGAATAGGGGACATAACAATGGGTAGTTTTTTCTTTTCCTTTTTCTTCTCTTCTTTTTTTTTTTCCTTTTTCTTTCTTTTCTTCTTCTTTTTTTTTTTTTAAGGTTAAAGCATTGAAGAAAGAAAGCTGTTAAAAGATGGCTACTGTGAGGCTACCACTTCAATGTCTGTCTTCTGTGGCTTTCCTCTCGAGGCTGTGGTGGGAGTTTGTTTTGTATTGCTCTCCAATCACAATGGAGATAATTTGCACCAATTTCATTTTTGTGCGTGCTCCTCAATGTTTTCCTTTTCTGCTGGATTTTTTTTTAATATTATTTTGGCAGGGTTTGGTCCTTTGATGATCCTTTTGAGCAAATGGTTTGCCCAAAGTTCAGATGGTGCTAGCTCCGTCTTCTTTTTCATTTACAACATCAAGAGGATTACAGAGAATAACTTTGTTGCCCAACATCAATGATATATCTTCAGGCTACTAGAAAGGTAGTTCTCAGAAAGTGTGTCTTCTAATAGTTTAGAACCTCCACAGGCTTCAGATAAAACAAGTATTAAATACAGAAAGCTCACAAGGATACCAAGGAAGGTTAAACTCACGCAACCTCCTTCATCTCAAACACCTGAAATATATCTTTTTTTTTTTTTTTTGACTGTCGAAGTGTGATCATGGTGAAGACAGCAGTAAGATCTTATATAACAGAAGACAGAAAAAGACAGAGAAGGAGTCACGTGGAGATGCACACACATATTGGTGAGAGAATATAAAAACAATCTTGTCCAAAGGCAAGTAAATTATAATGGGCCAAAAACTAAATATATGTAAGTTGAAAAAAAGATACCATAGACAAAGTGCTAACAGTGCAATTTTTTTTTTCTCTCAGTTAAGCCAACTAACACAACCCCAAATTTGGTCTTAAGGAAATTTTAGGAATTCTCATAATTTTAACAATTGTGAATGTGCAGAGGAATTCCCACATAACACAGGCAACTCGTATATCTTTGGCCTCCAGTTACCACTTCAACTGTGGATGGACATTCAAATGTGGATGACCCACTAGCTCCTTCTAAACCTGTCATTTCCTCTGCCCCTTTCCCTTGAACTAGCTTCTCTGATCTAGTCACAAATTCTGTGAACAGTTCTAAGAGTCCATTGGAGGAACTGGTATCATATCTGTGGTAACTAAATATTGCATCAATGTCATGCCATTGTGTTCTTTTTAACAGAGTCTGTTTTAATAGAGTCTATTTTATTGACTGCATAACTAAATATGATTTTGACTTTACACCTTTATGTGGCTTCTCATACAAATAAATTCAAACCCAGAGCAATTTACTGGGGGGAGCACAGAAGCATTCTCAGATGGCTTAAAAATTGCTACTAAATGTTACTAAAATGTTACTAAAAGCCTCTGTCTAAAGATTTTTTTTTTCTGATTTGTCATATTGCCTAAAATTCCACAATGGAAGATAAATTCCTTTTTGTTTTTGGTCCTCAAAGTCCCTATGTTAAAGCAACAATCTCTGAGTTGGGACTTTGTATCATCTGGAGATACAGAAGTTTCTGGGAGAGAGAAAGATGTTGGAAAACAAGGTGCAAAGGGGCCAAAGAAATTCTGGAACCTCACTTGGCACCTATTCCCCATTTCATCCTTCCTCTGCAGTCCCACTGTTGCTTCCTTAAAACAACAAGTTATCATCCCTATCATCAACATTTTCATGTCTCTAAACAGGGTCTTGGAATCCTTTATCAGCCTACTCCAGTTTACCCTCATGCTGCTGCAAAACTAATCTTCGCATAGCTTGGTTTAGGTCACTACCCTACTTAAAAACCTTTTGGGCTGTCTTTTGCTTTCCAAAGACATGCATTCATCCAGCTGGGCATTTGAGGACCTTTGTGATCTGACTGTAATCTGTCGTTCTGGCCTCAGCTCATGCTTCTTCCACTCAACGCTCTCTGTACTTCAACCACAGTATGGTATTTGATTTTCTAGCATGATCATGTCTACTCACCTTCATGCCATTGTTCATGCTATTCTCATCAAGTGCCTTCTTCCCTCTCCTAACCTCCTAACCACCCAATAAGTGCATGACAAATATCTTCTAATTTAAACATTGTTTAAAATGATGTTACCCTGCTTTGATGAGGTATAGGGAAGTGTGCAATTTCTTGTCCTGTGCAGGGAATGGAGATTGTTAGAGACCTTCCAGGGCAGAGCTTGATCGTTTCTATCAAATGCCTGATAATTGTACCCACTGTGTAATGCAATTACACATCTAGAATATTTTTCCTAAAGATATGGAAATAAATATTTGGCAAGAAGGATATTCATCATAGCATTGTATACAGTAGCAAAAATTTTGCAACAACCTTCATGCTCCTGAATGAAAACTTAGTTTAATAAGTAATACAACCAGAAATGGGATAATCTTTAGCCATTACAAGTAGTTTTACAAACTGATGTTTAATAGTACAATATTCATGATAAATTATTGAGTAACAGAAAAGATATCAAAATACTATCGATAATAGGATAATTCAGTATATCTATCTATCTATGAAGAAACCTGGAAAGAAATGACCAAAGTGTTCATAGAGCTTATCTCTGCGATTATGGGTGATAGTTTTTTATTTTATTTTTTCCTATTTGTAAAAGTGAATATGGCTATCCAGTCATGAAAAGACATGGAGGAACCTTCACTGAATATTGCTAAGTGAAAGAAGTCAGTCGGAAAAGGCTATGTACTGTGAGATTCCAACTATATAACATTCTGGAAAAAGCAAAACTATGAAGAAAGTAAAAAGATCAGTGGTTGCCAGAAGTCCAGGGAAAGAGATGGAGGGATGAATAGTGGAGCAACAGAAGTTTCAGGGCATTGAAGCTGTTCTGTATTATACTGTAATGATGGGCACATGACACTGTGCATTTGTCAAAACTCATAAAACCGTACAACACAGAGAAACTCTAATATAGACTATGGGCTTTAATTAATAACAATGTATCAAGATTGATTCATCAATTGTAACAAATGTCTTACACTAATGTGAGCCGTTATTAATAGGGAAACTCTATGGGGACGAGGGGGAGGCAAGAGCTGTATACGAACTTTCTACTATCTGCTCAATTTTCTGTAAACCTAAAACTACTCTAAAAAATAAAGTCTATTAATTTATCAAAGATGAACATGGTATTCTCTTACACTAAGAAGAACAGTATTCTCAAAATAATTTCAGACATTCCTTCAGAGCTCAATTTAAGTGTGTACTTTTTCATTAAGTTTTCCTCATTTTTCAAAGCATATGCTCTCTCTGTAGCTGATGGAATGTAGCACCTGCACCTATAGCCCACACACAGCCCGCCACTCAGTGTTCGGAATGTCACTCCTCCTGAGGGCAGGAACTGTGCCAGATCCTTGTCCCCTTAAGCCCAGAACAATGCCTGTCATAGTGAAGACCAACAGGAAACACTCAGGCAAAGGTGCAGACAGACATATGAACACATGAAAAAGGCAGAAATTTTAAAAAGTATATATAACAAACTATATATGCAATGAATGTTATAATAAGTTGACTTCTTAAGTTTTGGAAATATTAATTCAGCCTTGAAAAGAGCTATTAATACTAATCTATTTGTGTAAGACTGATAATAATTTAGGCCATTTGAGGGAAAAAAAATAGTATCCATGTCGTTGATCTTCTCTTCTATATCTTTATTAGGTGATATCAGTTGAAAATGTCAGCATTTTAGAGCATGGATAACCAGCGATATCTCACCAAATACATGGTTCTTTTTTTATTAGCACTATCTTGCTGTAGCTGCCATGAACAGTTTTTTTTTCTTTTTCCGTGAGATATACAGTTTAATGCTTTCAACATGCATAAAGTAATAAAAAATTTAACCTTTTAGAATTATTTGAAAAGTTACAGTTAAAGAGATTAAAAAGTCTCATCTTTATTCTTCTCTTACTTTTTGGATTCCAGTGGCATTGTATAAATACTCCTTGACCCATCCATATCACTTCTAGAAGTTATACACAAAGAATCTGAGTTGGTTTTTTTTTTTTTTTTTTTTTTTTTCAGACAGAGTCTTGCTCTGTTGCCCAGGCTGGAGTGCAGTGGCTCCATCTCGGCTCCCTGTAACCTCTGCCCCCTGGGTTCAAGCAATTCTCCTGCCTCAGCCTCCCAAGTAGCTGGGATTACAGGCACCTGCCACCGCGCCCAGCTAATTTTTTTTTTTTTTTTTTTTTTTTAGTAGAGATAGGGTTTCACCATCTTGGCCAGGCTGGTCTCGAACTCCTGAGCTCATGTGATCCACCCGCCTTGGCCTCCCAAAGTGCTGGGATTACAGGAGTGAGCCACTGCGCCCAGCCAGAATCTGAGTTTTATAGAAGGGAGTAGCAGTGAGAAATACAATGCAAGAAATAACTTCCTGTTGTGCTTTTTAAAAAAGAATATATAATATATACCAGGGTCCTTAATGTATTTCATTTCAACAAGAAATGACATATTATTGAATGCCTTATTTCTTTGGTTCCTTCTATCACAATTAATTGATATACTCTTAAACACAAGGTATATAGCGTTAGCTGTAAAGACGGTCCAGTATTTTGGAGTCTTTTCATTATTTTGCTTCTAGTATCACTTTAAGTCTCTGGTGTCTTACCTCTACAGAGACCTGGCATTTCTTTGTGTTGGAGAGGCAATTTAATCCATTTTTACTGTCTGCAAACAGACTTTCAAACAAAATCTCAAACTCTTTGAATGTGCCCCAAGGATTCCACCAAACTATAATCCTCTACTCTCTTCTGGGGCTGTGAAGGGTGGTGACAGGAATAGAGCTGGCACCAACTAGGAAGCCTCATTAGTGTTTGTGATTTTGATTTTTTTGTTACCATTCTGCTCTGTGGCCTTTTAAAAGCTGGAGCAATAAGTACCCTCACATCTCACTGCACCCCTCCCTGTAGCTCCACCAAATCCAAACCACTTGGAATGATCTGGAGAAGCCTCTCCAGACTGTGGAGGAAGCCCACCAGGTGTGCTTTTTCTCATGGAGTTGGGTTGGGGGGTGCCAATTTTAAATAGCTAAGTGTTCAGCATCTGGTTGTTGACAACTTGAGTGGGCAGCAGTAAGCCATCCTTGTCAGGGGAATATCATTCAGAGTTCTAGATGGCTGTGACTACTTCCGGACATGGAGAGGTGAGACACGTGTGCCATGCCAAAGAAGCAAAGGTTGGCTAAAGATAACCTAGAAAGGAGAGATCAAAGAAAAAAATAATCCTGACATTTTTTTTTCTCTGCGGAAAGTTTACTTAATGATTGGGAAGACAGTGCATTCTAAAGTCAGTCTCTTGAAAAGAATGAGATGGGTGGAGTGGATGAAACCACAGGTAAACAACATGTGACAAGTGACTGCCATGTGCCAGGCAAGTGATCTCATTTAAGCATTACAACCATCCAGGCATTATTATTTTCATTTTACAGATGAAGGAACTGAGGTTCAGAAAGATTAAGTAGCTTCAACAGCCTTTGTTCCAATCAAGCTTGTCTGAGTCCAAAATGCCTGGTCTTAGCTGTGGCACAGGCTGACTTTGAGGAAGAGCTTGCAAAGACTTACTGTGGTAAGCTCTAAGCTCTAAGATACCTCCCACCTCTCCAAATATCTTGTAACCCACCCCTTCTCTGTTGAATTTATGATTAACTATTAGTTTTAAATGTAGGTAAAATTTTAACATTATCCAAAATGTATATATTTATGGGTACAACTTAATCCCTTGAGTTTGTGGGAAAAGTCTTAGTAATACATATATGAATTTATGCATTAAGAGATGTATCTTGGGACAAACTTGTCTCCACTTATGAAGAAAAGTATAACAAAAGCATTGCTCAAATAAATCTTTACAGCCCAACTAAATCTTCTAGTAGATGCATAAAACTCTCATTTGTTAATGCTTAAGCTTAGTTGGCTAAGACTGACCTTTTTATCATAGCCACCTCTAGCACAAGCATGTTACCCAAAAAATCAGGACAGCAGAAGTCACCAAAAAGGAAGAGGATCTTAATATATGGAAAGAGCAGAGCAGAGATTTCACATCAGCCTGTCTTGGTGTGAATCCTGCTGAGTACATAACCAGTAATTTATCTCTCTGAGCTTCACTCAGGTGTATGCATGTGAGAATACAATGACACCGCCTACCTGCACTTTTTATTTATTTTTTTGTTTATCAGTGGAGGGGCCATTTTGGTGAGTCTATGGACTGGTGCAAATACATGATTTTCACAATCAAGAATTGGACACTTAGAAGTTTTAGCAGATATGATAATGTTGGTTTGAATTACCCTTCACTTTTTATGTGTCAACTTCTGTATCTGTAAAATAGGAGATAAATATGTTATAGTGATACTGTAAGTGTTAAAAGACAAAAGTATAGAAAAATGCTTCACTATCATTCATGATTCAAATCAGAGGAACTCATCTGTGCATCCTTAATCATTCAGGTGGGTAGAAGTACTAATGCCGGATTCTAATCCTTTGAAAAGAATGACACTGGATCTATGTAAACAGTAGCACGACCACGAAATAGGCTGTCTAGTTAGTCATAAGCCCAAGCAGTTTAGGTAGATATTTATAAAGAGCTCATATTAGCCTATTTCAATTACTTTCCTCAAATTTTAAGCTCTTTTACATCAGCCCCTTTCAGGAGTTTATGGGAAATTTTCACCTACATTATAGGTGTACATATAGGATGTTTTAGGGGAGATATATGCTATTGTAGTTTTTCAGGACCCTATGTCTCATATATAGAAATAATAACCCTAACATTCAATGAGTGCTTACTATATGCCAAGCATTATCTTAACCACTTGATGTGGACTGTCTCAATTAATCCTCAGCACCATTTTCCAGATGGGCAGCTGAGACACAGGGGACTAAGGAACATGTTTAGCTTTGCTGTCTAAAGCCATAGGATGACAAAGTCGTGGAGCTGAAGTGTGAACCAACAAACTGTAAACCTAAGCCTTCATTTTTAGCCACTGCTCTGTATAGCCTCCCAGGAAACTTCAGTAAATAAAAGTTAAATAAATAAATTAATAGATACAGTTGTTTGTATCTGGGAAAAGAAACCTTCTTTTTTTTAAACTCCTCTTTCTTTTCTTCTTAAAAACTGTAAAAAAAATTATTTATTTATTTATTTATAATACTTTAAGTTCTGGGATACATGTGCAGAACATGCAGGTTTGTAACATAGGTATGCATGTGCCTTGGTGGTTTGCTGCATCCATCAACCCGTCATCTACATTAGGTATTTCTCCTAATGCTCTCCCTCCCCCACCTCTACCCCTGACAGGCCCCAGTGTGTGATGTTCCCCTCCCTGTGTTCATGTGTTCTCCTTGTTCGACTCCCACTTATGAGTGAGAACATGTGGTGTTTGGTTTTCTGTCCCTGTGTTAGTTTGCTGAGAATGAAGGTTTCCAGCTTCATCCATGTCCCTGTAAAGGACATGGACTCATCCTTTTTTATGGCTGCATAGTATTCTGTGGTATATATACGTGCCACATTTTCTTTATGCAATCTGTCATTGATGGGTATTTGGGTTGGTTCCAAGTCTTTGCTATTGTGAATAGTGCTGCAACAAACATATGTGTGCATGTGTCTTTATAGTAGAATGATTTATAATCCTTTGGGTATATACTCAGTAATGAGATTATTGCTGGGTCAAATGATATTTCTGGTTCTAGATCCTTGAGGAATCACCACACTGTCTTCCATAATGGTTGAACTAATTTACACTCCCACCAACAGTGTAAAAGCATTCCTATTTGTCCATATCCTCTCCAGCATCTGTTGTTTCCTGACTTTTTAATGATCACCATTCTAACTGGCCTGAGATGGTATCTCACTGTGGTTTTGATTTGCATTTCTCTAATGACCAGCATTGATGAGCTTTTTTTCATATGTTTGTTGGCCACATAAATATCTTCTTTTGAGAAGTGTCTGTTCATATCCCTTGCCCACTTTTTGATGGGGCCGTTTTTTTTTTCTTGTAAATTTGTTTAACTTCCTTGTAGGTTCTGGATATTAGCCCTTTATTAGATGGATAGATTGCAAAAATTTTCTTCCATTCTGTAGGTTGGCTGTTCACTCTGATGATAGTTTCTTTTGCTGTGCAAAAGCTCTTTAATTTAATTAGATCCCATTTGTCAATTTTGGATTTCGTTGTCGTTGCTTTTGGTGTTTTAATCACGAAGGCTTTGCCCATGCCTGTGTCCTGAATGGTATTGCCTAGGTTTTCTTCTAGGGTTTTTATGGTTTTAGGTCTTATGTTTAAGTCATTAATCCATCTGAAGTTAATTTTTGTATAAGGTGTAAGGAAGGGATCCAGTTTCAGTTTTCTGCATATGGCTAGCCAGTTTTCCCAACACCATTTATTAAATAGGGAATCCTTTCTTCTTCCTGGTTGAGTCTTGGGAGGGTGTATGTGTCCAGGAATTTATCCATTTCTTCTAAATTTTCTAGTTTATTTGCATAGAGGTGTTTATAGTATTCTCTGATGGTAGTATGTATTTCTGTGGGATCAGTGGTAACATCCCCTTTATCATTTTTCATTGTGTCTATTTGATTCTTCTCTCTTTTCTTCTTTATTAGCCTGGCTAGCAGTCTACCTATTTTGTTAATATTTTCACAAAACCAGCTCCTGGATTCATTCATTTTCTGTTCATTTTGCATTTGCATTGCTTTTGTCAGATTTGTCGAAGATCAGATGGTTGTAGATGTGCAGCATTATTTCTGAGGCCTCTGTTCTGTTCCATTGGTCTATATATCTGTTTTGGTACCAGTACCATGCTGTTTTGGTTACTGTAGCCTTGCAGTATAGTTTGAAGTCAGGTAGTGTGATGCCTCCAGCTTTGTTCTTCTTGCCCAGGATTGTCTAGGCTATACAGGCTCTTTTTTGATTCCAAATGAAATTTAAAGTAGTTTTTTTCTAATTCTGTGAAGAAAGTCAATGGTAGCTTGATGGGAATAGCATTGAATCTATAAATTACTTTGGGCAGTATGGCCATTTTCACGATATTGATTCTTCCTATCCAAGAGCATGGAATGCTTTTTCATTTGTTTGTGTCCTCTCCTATTTCCTTAAGCGGTGGTTTGTAGTTCTCTTTGAAGAGGTCCTTCACATCCCTTGTAAGTTATATTCCTTGGTATTTTATTCTCTTTGTAGCAATTGTGAATTGGAGTTCACTCATGATTTGCTCTCTGCTTGTCTATTATTGGTGTATAGGAATGCTTGTGATTTTTACACATTGATTTTGTATCCTGAGACTTTGCTGAAGTTGCTTATCAGCTAAAGGAGATTCTGGGCTGAGACGATGGGGCTTTCTAAATATACAATTATGTCATCTGCAAACAGAAACAATTTGACTTCCTGTTTTCCTATTTGAATATCGTTTATTTCTTTCTCTTGCCTGATTGTCCTGGCCAGAACTTCCAATACTGTGTTGAATAGGAGTGGTGAGAAAGGGCATCCTTGTTTTGTGCTGGTTTTCAAAGGGAATTCTTCCAGCTTTTGCCCATTCAGTATGATATTGGCTGTGGGTTTGTCATAAATAGCTCATTATTTTGAGATACATTCCATCAATACCTAGTTTATAGAGAGTTTTAAGCATGAAGGAGTGTTGAATTATGTCAAAGGCGTTTTCTTCATCTATTGAGATAATCATGTGGTTTTTGTCATTGGTTTTGTTATGTGATGGATTACGTTTATTGATTTGCGTATGTTGAACCAGCCTTGCATCCCAGGGATGAAGCTGACTTGATCGTGCTGGATAAGCTTTTTGATGTGCTGCTGGATTTGGTTTGCCAGTATTTTATTGAGGATTTTCGCATCGTTGTTCATCAGGGATATTGGCCTGAAGTTTTCTTTTGTTGTTGTGTCTCTGCCAGGTTTTGTTATGAGGATGATGCTGGCCTCATAAAATGAGTTAGGGAGGAGTCCCTCTCTTTCTACTGTTTGGAATAGTTTCAGAAGGAATGGTACCAGCTTCTCTTTGTACCTCTGGTAGAATTCAGCTGTGAATTTGTCTGGTCCTGGGCTTTTTTTGATTGGTAGGCTATTAATTGCTGCCTCAATTTCAGAACTTGTTATGGTCTATTGAGGGATTCAACTTCTTCCTGGTTTAGTCTTGGGAGGGTGTATGTGTCCAGGAATTTATCCATTTCTTCTAGATTTTCTAGTTTGTTTGCAGAGAGGTATTTATTCTCTGATAGTAGTTTGTATTTCTGTGGGATAGTGGTGATATCCCCTTTATCATTTTTTATTTTGTCTATTTGATTTTTCTCTCTTTTCTTCTTTATTAGTCTTGCTAGCAGTCTATCAATTCTGTTGATCTTTTAAAAAAACCAGCTCCTGGATTCACTGATTTTTTTGAAGGGTTTTTTTTGTCTCTATCTCTTTCAGTTCTTCTCTGATCTTATTATTTCTTGTCTTCTGCTAGCTTTTGAATTTGTTTGCTCTTGCTTCTCTAGTTCTTTTAATTATGATGTTAGGGTGTCAATTTTAGATCTTTCCTGCTTTCTCTTGTGGGCATTTAGTGTTATATATTTCCTTCTAAACACTGCTTTAGTTGTGTCCCAGAGATTCTGGTACATTGTGTCTTTGTTCTCATTGGTTTCAAAGAACTTCTTTATTTCTGCCTTAATTTCGTTATTTACCCAGTAGGCATTCAGGAGCAGGTTGTTCAGATTCCATGTAGGTGTGCAGTTTTGAGTGAGTTTCTTAATCCTGAGTTCTAATTTGATTGCACTGTGGTCTGAGAGACTGTTTGTTATGATTTCAGTCCTTTTGCATTTGCTGAGGAGTGTTTTACTTCCAATTATGTGGCCAATTTTAGAATAACTGTGATGTAGTGCTGAGAAGAATGTATATTCTGTTGATTTGGGGTGGAGAGTTCCGTAGATGTCTATTAGGTCTGCTTGGTCCGGAGCTGAGTTCAAGTCCTGAATATCCTTGTTAATTTTCTGTCTCGTTGAGCTGTCTAATATTAACAGTGGGGTGTTAAAGTCTCCCACTATTACTGTGTGGTAGTCTAAGTCTCTTTGTAGTTCTCTAAGAACTTGCTTTATGAATCTGGGTGCTCCTATATTGGGTGCATATATATTTAGGAGAGTTAGCTCTTCTTGTTCCATTGATCCCTTTACCATTATGTAATGCGCTTCTTTGTCTTTTTTGATCTTTGTTGCTTTAAAGTCTCTTATATCAGAGATTAGGATTGCAACTCCTGTTTTTGTTTTTGTTTTTTTTTCTTTCCATTTGCTTGGTGAATATTCCTCCATCCCTTTAATTTGAACCTATGTGTGTCTTTGTATGTGAGATAGGTCTCCTGAATACAGCACACTGATGGGTCTTGACTTTTTATCCAACTTGCCAGTCTGTATCTTTTAATTGGGGTATTTAACCTGTTTACATTTAAGGTTAATATTGTTAAGTGTGAATTTGATTCTGTCATTACGATGCTAGCTGATTATTTTGCCCATTAGTTGATGCAGTTTCTTTATAGTGTCGAAGGTCTTTACAACTTGGTATATTTTTGCAGTGGCTGGTACTGGTTTTTGCTTTCCATATTTAGTGCTTCCTTCAGGAGCTTTTGTAAGGCAGGCCTGGTAGTGACAAAATCTCTCAGCATTTGCTTCCCTGTAAATGATTTTATTTCTCCTTTGCTTATGAAGCTTCGTTTGGCTGCACATGAAATTCTGGGATGAAAATTCTTTTCTTTAAGAATGTTGAATATTGGCCCCCACTCTCTTCTGGCTTGTAGGGTTTCTGCAGAGAGATCTGCTGTCAGTCTGATGGGCTTCCCTTTATGGGTAACCCGAACTTTCTCTCTGGCTGCCCTTAATATTTTTCCCTTCATTTCAACCTTGGTGAATCTGACAATTATGTGTCTTGGGGTTGCTCTTCTCGAGGAGTATCTTTGTGGTGTTCTCTGTATTTCGTGAATTTGAATGTTGGCCTCTCTTGCTAGGTTGGGGAAGTTCTCCTGGATTATATTCTGAAGATTGTTTTCCAACTTGGTTCCATTCTCCCCATCAATTTGAAGTACACCAATCAAACATAGGTTTGGTGTTTTCACGTAGTCCCATATTTCTTGGGGGCTTTGTTTGTTCCTTTTCATTCTTTTTCCTCTAATCTTGTCTTCACACTTTATTTCATTAAGTTGATCTTCAATCTCTGATATCCTTTCTTGCACTTGATCGATTCAGTTATTGATACTGTGTATGCTTCACAAAGTTCTCATGCTGTATTTTTGAGATCCATCAGGTCATTTATGTTCTTCTCTAAACTGGTTATTCTAGTTAGCAATTTCTCTAACCTTTTTTCGAGGTTCTTAGCTTGCTTGCATTGGTTTAGAACACGCTCCTTTAGCTTGGAGGAGTTTGTTATTACCCACCTTCTGAAGCCTACTGCTGTATATTCGTCAAACTCATTCTCCATCCAGTTTTGTTCTCTCGTTGGCAAGGAGTTGTGATCCTTTGGAGGAGAAGAGGTGTTCTGGATTTTGGAATTTTCAGTCTTTTTGCACTGGTTTTTCCTCATCTTCGTAGATTTATCTACCTTTGGTCTTTGATGTTGGTGACCTTCAGATGGGGTTTCTGTGTGGACGTTGTTTTTGTTGATGTTGATGCCATTCCTTTCTGTTTGTTAATTTTCCTTTTAACAGTCAGGCTCCTCTACTGCAGGTCTGCTGGAGTTTGCTGGAGCTCCACTCCAGACCCTGTTTGCCCGGGTATCACCAGTGGAGGCTGCAGAACAGCAAATATTGCTGCCTGATTCTTCCTCTGGAAGCTTTGTTCCAGAGGGGCACCCACCAGATGCCAGCTGGAGCTCTCCTGTATGAGGTATCTGTTGACCCCTGCTGGGAGCTGTCTCCCAGTCAGGAGGCATGGGGGTCAGGAACCCACTTGAGGAGGCAGTCTGTCCCTTGGTAGTGCTCGAGCACTGTGCTGGGAGATCCGCTGCTCTCTTCAGAGACAGTAGGCGGGAACATTTAAGTCTGCTGAAGCTGCGCCCACAGCCACCCCTTCCCCCAGGTGCTCTGTCCCAGGGAGATGGGGGTTTTATCTATAAGCCCCTACTGGAGCTGCTGCCTTTCTTTCAGAGATATCCTGCCCAGAGAGGAAGAATCTAGAGAGGCAGTCTGGCTACAGCGGCTTTGCCAAGCTGCAGTGTGCTCCACCCAGTTCTAACTTCCCAGTGGCTTTGTTTACACTGTGAGGGGAAAACCACCTACTCAAGCCTCAGCAATGGTGGATGCCCCTCCCCCAACGAAGCTCTAGCATCCCCAGTTGACTTTAGACTGCTGTGCTGGCAGCGAGAATTTCAAGCAAGTGGATCTTAGCTTGCTGGGTTCCATGGGGGTGGGGTCCACTGAGCTAGACCACTTGGCTCCCTGGCTTCAGCCCCCTTTCCAGGGCAGTGAATAGTTCTGTCTTGCTGGCATTCCAGGTGCCACTGGGGTATGAAAAAATACTCCTGCAGCTAGTTCAGTGTCTGCCAATATGGCCGCTTAGTTTTGCACTTGAAACCCAAGGCCCTGGTGGTGTAGGCACCAGAGGGAATCTCCTGGTCTGCAGGTTGCAAAGACAGTGGGAAAAGTGTAGTATCTGGGCTGGAGAGCACCATTCCTCACAGCACAGTCCCCCATGGCTTCCCTTGGCTAGGGGAGGGAGTTCCCCAACCCCTCGCACTTCCCAGATGAGGCGATGCCCCACCTTGCTTCAGCTTGCCCTCCATGGGCTGCACCCACTGTCTAACTAGTCCCAGTGAGATGAGCTGGGTACCTCAATTGCAAATGCAGAAATCACCTACCTTCTGCCTTGATCTTGCTGGGAACTACAGACTGGCACTCTTCCTATTCAGCTATCTTGCCAGCCACCTATTTATTTATTTTTTATTCTTTTCTCCTTTTGAGGAGGCATTTCTCTTACAAGGAGGCAGGAATGTGATACAACAACCAGATGCAAAAATCAGGAGTTCAACAAAAACCTCCACTGCTTACCAATAACTGAGAGCAAGATTGTGTCCCAAATTGAGAAATTTCAGTTCCACTCCCCAGCTCTGCTTCTGTATCATTATTGATTCTCAGGAGAATAAACCAGAGGTTGAGACTGGGACTACAAGATGGAAAATGGGGCTACGTCTTGTCTCCAGTGACATTATTTAGTGTGTCTGAAA
Source organism: Homo sapiens (assembly GCF_000001405.40). NCBI lineage: Eukaryota > Metazoa > Chordata > Mammalia > Primates > Hominidae > Homo > Homo sapiens. Next base: position 182,157,469 of record NC_000003.12, read on the forward strand.
TCATAAATAGTATAATTATTGTTACATTAACAAACCTTTTATTAACAGTTTCCCTTCTAGACACAGAACGTTTTACCCCCTTTTAATAAGAATTTTTTGAAAAAGCTTTAGTTCCCCCAAATTTCCACAAAAGACTCAACATGTGGGGTCCCCGTTGCCCCTATACTTTTTGGTCACCCATTATTTCTCTTAATGTATGGGTCTTAATATCCTATCATAGTTTATATTAATACTAAAGGACAAGAAATAAATCATACTTGTCTCATTATTGGAACAAAACAATAATTTAGACGGTTGGTGGTCAGTGCATAACACAAATTTTTAAAAATATAGATGACAACATGAGCTGGTGATTGTCAAGTTTCCCTAGTAAATTATTTTGGAATATTTAGCCCATTCATCAAGAAAAGTTAGGCAGTTTCAGGCCAGGTTACAAGTGGAAAGACATTTGTCAGGGCTGTTTTCACTGGCAAAGTACTTTAATGAGATGGCATTGAGAGAAGATAGCTAAAAGAACAAAGTCAGGTTTGTTGTGAGGCCTTCAGTAACCCAAGAAGCCACACTGCTTGGGGGCAGAGGCTGTGGAAAGGGTAATTACAGGGGGTTCCAGTCACACATACACCCCACAGAGAAACAACTGGCCATTGATGGTCCACACCAGTGGAGGGGCACGGAGGCTGGGAGGATGCAAAACAGCAGATACCTCAGAAATTATTTCTGATTGCCTTTCAAGGCATTATATTTGTTCCATCACTAGGAACAAACAAACAAACAAACAAACAAGAAAGCTAATAGTGGCAAAAGCAAGGAAAATATAGAAAGGGAGATTTCACAAGCCAGCATTGTGAAACAAAAAGAAAGAGGTGAGTGGGCCCTCTTTCAATTTTGTTGAATTAATGCAAGCCACAGGATGTTTTGATTTGGTGTGGATGTTCCTACTGGGAATATATGAAGGTTTGTGAGTTTAAGGAAGAAGATCTGTCACCCACAAAAATCTGGTAAAAGGATGTCCGTGGATATGAAGAATCCCTGGAATGAGGGGTGCGTCCCAAATCTGCTCGAACATTTATAGTACAAACTTTACAACTTAAGCCAGTGCCTACAAGGCCATGGGGATTACAGACTCTACTACCACTGTCACTGGTAGACTGTTCACTTCCTCCTGGAGACCCTGGGAAGGACTGCAGTAAATTTAAAAGTCATATTGCATTACCAGAGAGATTAAGATGAAACACAGGGAGTTCAGGAGCTAAAAGACAGACAAGCAGGGTGAAGTGACCATCTTTCAGGTAGATGCCATTAACATGTTTGATTCAAAGGAAGAGAGAATAGAGGGAGAAACTGAAGAGGTGCTTTCAACAGCACTGGGGCTGGAGTCATTAAACGGCAACTGCTATTGAGGGAAAGCCTACTTCTATAAAAAGCCACTGAGAGGGAAAAGTTAGAAGTTGCTCCAGTGGCAAGAATACTCTAGAAACAGGGTAAAGTTGCAATACTTATTAGGGCTTAAACAGAGATAATGAGGAATAATTTTGATGAGCACAATCATACATGATTGATTTTTTTTTAAACAAAATCCTCTGATCTTGATTACACACTCTGATATATAAACCACCTTCCCTTTTTAGAAAGCTTAACCCCTCTGAATAAATTCAGCTCATGTTTCAAATTAAGTTATAATGCCAGATTGAATTCAAATAAAACATAAAATAAATTTGTGTTCTTGGTACTCAGGGAAATGTAGCATGTTTTATTATTATTTCTTCAATGTGCTTGGTATAGTGTCTTTCACTTCACAGGTGAGAAATAAACATGTTGACTCTCTTGATGTAATTGGTGCTCGTGTTTCTTCTTAATAATCAATTCTTGATGCCACGGATTCTACTACTGACCTGATTTGATAGTGACCTCCTAGTTTGTTACATCCTCTGGACATTTTACATCTGTTAATTTCATCAATTTTACCTAGAATTTTATACCTTCCTTCTCTCCATTCCTTGTTTTTGTGGTAACTATCTCTCAATTCTTCTTGTACCTCTCTTGACTACCCTCCTTTTTATTTCCTTTGCAGTTCTTCCTCCTTCTCTTCCAAAACCTTTAAATATTTCTATATTTTTTGCTGGCCCATGTGTTCTGACAAATCCCACATCCATATCTCCAGCCCAGAATGGTTTTGTGAGCTCAAGAAGCATATATCCAATAGCCTACTAGAAATCTGCAACTGAGTGTTCCAGTGATAATTCAAATTCAAATATGTACATTTCCCCTACCAAACTTCTTATATATTTTCTTGATGAAAGGCCCAATTTTTACCCAGTTACCCAAGGCTGGAATTTATCACTCATCTTAGACTTGTCCCTCCCTGTGCCCCTGATGTTCAATCGGTAGCCCTTCTATATGTCCTCTCCATATTACTACTTTTGCCAGAGTCCAGTCTATCTTCATTTCTCTCCTAAAATGTAGCAATAGTGCCTTTTTGTTTAGCTGAGCCTCTAATTTTCTATCTCCAACCCAGCCTTAATTCTGCCCCCAAAATGACTTCTCTCAAACAATGTCAGAAGAAAGGGCAGAATCACATTGCTAAGAGGAAAACCCTAAGTCACCATGTGAGCATCAAATCAAGTTGCTGTATGGGCTTTTCTGTTCTGTGAGCCAGTGTCTCCCCCAGCCCCTGCTTTCTTTTTCTTTTCTTTCTTTTTTTTTTTTCCATTTCAACCAGTTTGAATTATGTTTTCTGTCACTTGCAACCAAATGATAATTAACTAACATACCATTATACATATGGAATAAAAATTAAACTTTCTCTCCCTGGCAATCTAACCTTGTTTCTCTCCTTTCACTCCCTACTTCACCCTCTCTAGCCCAGGATACCCTCATGCCTTTACAATTCAGATCTCTCCCCTCATTCAAAATCCTGCTCCTTCTTTAAGTCTCTGTAAATTCTTCTTTGACTCTTTCAGGTTGAAATAGGCATTGTTAAGATGTCCTGTGCTCAGTAGGGTCACTTACAAAGTAATCTCAATCAATGGATGGGACCATCCATGGAATGAACTGATAAATACCATCAACAGCATTTGAGTGAAAAGCACAGCTTGGATGAATTTGGGAGAAACTTTTTTAGTTGACGGGAGATGCTTTGAACTTTTAGAACCGTGGTGCTGTCTTCCAAGGTAGGAATGAATAGAACAGTATTTTCAAGTGAGAAGATGCTTGATAAATATCCTATCAGGTCAAATGAAAGGAAATCTCAGTGTTTCTATGACTAGGAAACCGTGAGAGGATGGGTAGGAGTAGGAGGCTCCTCCCTTATACAGTAAAGTTCAGTGAACAAGTGTCTTTTTAGCATATTACCATAAAGTGTATATGCAAAATACACCACTAAATTTTCCTAAACAATTAGTAATATTTCTCTTCATTTTCTGCTTTCTCCAAATCATTAGTTGTATTCATTTATTTGATTTCTACACTGGTACTTTTAAGAAAAAAGTCATTTTAAAATGCACTATTAAGAATATCTTTTACATTCAGAGAACATGTCTCCTTGATTTTCTGCTGGATTCACATATTTGCAATCTTCCTTATAGGGAAAGGCAGGACAGAAGGCAGGAGCTTAGATTAGGCACCTACTCAGTGGGCCAGAGCCTTTGCAAGTGTTGTTTAATTTAATTATCATGAGATTATTATTATTATTATTATTATTATTATTATTGGTATAGGTGGGTGTTGGTTGAGGGCAACCTCTTTTCTTTATAAGAATGCCCCCCAGATGGATCAGGTCTCACCGAGTTTTCACAACATGAAGAGAGAGGAGTGTAGTGCTGAGAACTTCAAACAAGGGTGGAATGATGGGTTTACATTTTAGCTCCACCCTTTACCAGCTGGGTGACTATGGATAAGTGGCTTAACCGCTCTGAACATTGGTTTCATCATCTGTAAGATGAGGAAATTAATAGTACTTACATCATTGAGTTATTGTGATGATTAAATGAGTTGATATTTTCAGGTGCTTAGAAGAAAGCATGGCACTTGGTAAGTGCTACAGTGTTGCTTAACAAACTAAACAAAATATTCCCCAAATGTCATCTCTCCTCTGCAATAAAATAGCAAGGAAACCGCCTCCCTCAGTCCAACCAGCTTTTAAATCCAAGATTTCCAGATCAATCTAAAAAATATATCATCAAATCCATTAAATCATCTGAGTGTTTGACTCTCTTTGAAGGCCCTATGACAATAACCAGCATAAGGTTAGGCCATTAGGGAGACTAAGAGTGCCAGTCATCGGTGGTGCTTCCTTTATTCTCTATAAATTTGGAATATGAAAACCTAAATATCCTCTTGAAAAGAGAGATGTTGAGAAGGAAAAAATGTCCTCCACAGTTATTTTAATGATGTATCCTCTACATGTGTACTTTGAGGGTGTTGGATTGAGGCTGCTATAGCCATTTCCAAGCTTATCAGGAAAGAGTTTGATGTTCAACTAGTAATGTCTTCCATCGGCACAAGAAGGGCACTGGAAGGAGGCATGCGTCTGATAGACCTGCACCCTTATCTTATAAGAAAACACAGAGACCTAGAGAAATGGAGTGATTTGCTCTGTATCACATAGCGGGCCTGGTCAAGAGTATAAACCTGGGACCAGTGGTGGAAAGTATGTATGTTGGGGGTGGTAGGTGGGGGTTGACTTGGAGATCACATGTAAATTTCATCAACCATTTTCCCAAAGTTAAAGCTTTTCTATAGGCTAGGCTTTATGAAAAGTTTATATCTTGACCTAGGGTTGACATACTTAGGTATCCTCAAACTAATAAAAAACAAATACAACATAATTTAGATTCACCCAATAGGATTGTCTGGGATGACAGAGAACATATCCAGAGTTTCACCCCTGGAAGCCTCAGTGACAAGTACGGCAATGACTCACCCCACCTGCAAAGACAGTTATGAAGAACGACAAGCAAGAAATGCTGGCCGAAATCTTGGCGATGAGAAAACCCATACATTACTGCAAACTCGCCACAGAGCTACAAAAACTGAACTGGTCATGCAGGTTCCAGTACCTGGGTGATCCTTTTGGTTACTATAGGTGCCCTCCAAACATTGAGAAGTTGGATCAAGACACAAATACGAATTCATCTCCCCCTGGTGGATCTCAAACAGTTTTGGAAATGAATAGAAAGGTTTATGCCAATATTTAAATATTAACAATGCTGTTACCTGATAATTACGTGTCATTTTGTCTGCAAGAATTAAAGAAAACTTTCTGCTTGAGTTGCTGAAATGCCACCACTTTTCAAAGGACATCAAGTATAAATAAGTTCTATTACTTACAACAAAATGCAGGCTTTGTTTAGCTACAAAGAAGCACAGTGAAATTCTAATTTAAGCCAAGGAGTTTACTGAAGAAGACACAGTAGATATATATTTTTTAAGTTGTTGTTAACCAGTTTTTTACTGGCTATCATGACATGGGAAAAAGCTTTTGATAATAACTGAGTGATCTTGTGTTTTGGACTTCTATAGGGTTGCTGCAGATGACTGCAAATATCGTCATTTGGTAAGAATGGGTACAACGGGAATAGACAAAAGATCTTTACTACAGCCCAAAAAGAAAAGTGTGCTAGTTGATTTCAGGAATCCTTTTGGTTCCCTGTGTATGTTCTTGGGAATTCATGAGTTAACCAGAATATCTTCATCAGCAATATGTTGTCAAGTAGAAAGCACAGATCTTTGAGCCAAAAAAGTAGGGTTTATGTCCTGGCTCTGGGATCATTAGCTGAGTGATCCTGGGCAAGTCACTGTTAGTCTCTCTACTAAAACTTAGCTTGCTCATCTGTGAAGAAAGCTAGCATAGTCTATTTCACCAGGTTGTTTTGAGATCCAAATAAGAAACATATGTAAAAATGCACAGCACCATGAGGTACATGTACATGTTTTGTAAAAATTAGTTGAATGTGAATAAAAATGCTTTGCTTTTATTTTGAATTCGATGCCAAGAAGTACTTTATGTTGCCCGACTCTTGTGTGCTTTCTAGTTTGTGAAGTGTTGTCTTTTAAAGTCAAGAGTAGGTTTCACTTGGCAGGTGACTTAGCTCTGTAATGTTAATGGTCATCTCAAATTTAACTGATTTATGAGTTCAGAATGTGATACATCAAATAATATAAAATAAGATGTCTTGTTTGTGCATAGTCAAATGGCAAGATTATTTTATCATTAAAAAATGTTAATGAGAGACTCAGTCATTCTGCTACCTATGTAGAAAACATTTCAAATATCTAATCCCAGGTCCTTTAACATTGAATACACATTTTTCTTCATTATATTTAAAATTTTTTTTTGTTGTATAAATAATTTTTATGGAAAAAGTAAAATAACACACCAGTATAGTTAGGTAAAAAAATAAAAGTCCCACCAGGTGTGGTAGCTCACACCTGTAATCCCAGCACTTTGGGAGGCCGAAGTGGGTGAGCCCTGGAGTTCAAGACTAGCCTGAGCAACATGGCAAAACCCTGTCTTTACAAAAAATATAAAAATCAGCAGGGCATAGTGGGGCATACCTGTAGTCCCTGCTACTCGGGAGGCTGAGGCAGGAGGATCACTGGGAGGTTGAGGCTGCAGTGAGCAGTGATTGTGCCATTGCACTCCAGCCTGGGCAAAAGAGTGAGACCCTGTCTCTAAAAAAAAAAAAAAAAAAAAAGCATTTACTGTCTACCTCCCCATCCCACTCATTAAAAGTAAACCCTGTTGGTTATGTTTATCATTCCAAAATTTTTTCCATTCATGTGCAAACAAATAGATTAGATAGGTATTTTACAACTCAATATGAAATTATATTGACATATTATCTGGCAACTTGCTTTTACTCACGTAATAACATACTGTGGGCATTTATATGTACCTTCTTAATAGTGACTGTGTAAGTCACTAGAAATGACTACAAGAGACCCCACTTGAATCCAGCTCCCATTATGACATATGTAATAAGCTTTATAGATTTAAAAATTAGGAGCATCTATTGAAGAAAGAGGAGGAGTGATCATAAAGCTGGCCAGTGGGAGAATAAGTTGGACTGACCAGGCCTCTGTGCAAGGTCTGGGCAGAAAAAGGAAATCTATACCCAGATTGTAAGGCAGACTTCTTGACCCATGTGGAAATAAGCAGTGTCTGAAAGGAAGGGGAAGAGAAAAAAGAAGGATTAATGTTTTCTATATAGCTACTGTATGTCCAGTACAGGATTGGGCCCTGTCTCATACTACAGCAAATGCAATTCTCATCACAATTCTGGTAGGCAGTTACTATTACCCTTAATTTACAAATAAACTGAGGGCTTAGGCCAGTCACTAACAAGACACCTAATAAATGTCAGGATTGGGATATAAGCCCTGTCTCTAAATCCAAAGCCCCAGCTCCTTCTTTGGTATCTGGGTGGGATTAAAGTGAACAACATATGTAGGGTACCTATTTCAATGTTTTACAAATGAGTTGTTCAGAAAAATCTAGTCCTTCTTCCCCAATATATAAATATATTTCAAAATGTCTGTGTATCTGAAATTAGACACATATGGCAGGAGGGAAGTTTTTCCTTCATACTTACTATCAAATGCAATACTATATAATAGTGCCCCAATCAATTTTAGTAGAGTTGGAGGACCAAATTTGGTACTGGCTAAGATGTGACATGCTTGAATTTTAAAAAGGAAAGAAGAATCAATTGTGATTTTATTTATTTATTTATAGACTGAGAGGGTCTTTACCCTTTCAACTCATAGCTATGACAGAAAAATCTTGGATATCAAGTCTTTCTGTCGTAACAGCTCAATAGGCATTTAAACTTCCAGTGAGTCAGAGATATGTGAGTTGAAATTCCACTGAAATCTATGGTTAGAAAGTGCTTATGTCAGCTCCTGCTAAGCTCCCACTGAAGCACTTTGCTGATCATAATTAATCAGGGAAGTTTGCTCACTGACATGTTGTACAGGTCAGTCAAGTTCTTGTGCAACGATCTGGGGAGCAGCTCTTGACCCACAGTTATGACAAAGTGATCGACAGTCAGTCGCACAGGAGCTTAGCCTGCTTTACTCATGACTGTATGCCAGAACTGCAGAGAGAACCTGGGATCCAGGAGACTCTCCAAGAGTACTTAACAAATGAATGAATGAATGAGCTCAAAATCAGAACAGAAACTTGAATGCTGGTCTCACATTTGTCACTAATGGCCATGTCGTACACCTTAAATAAATAACCAAAGGAAAGAATAAAATAAAGGAGGCGATCATTTCCTTACCTTTGCACTTAGATATGATCTGGGATATTGTGTTCAGATCCAGCTGTCTTTTAAAACAGTACATTTTAATAAGGGTGACACACTAAAGTGTCTCTGCTGGTGGGCGTCTAGAAGGCTGAAGGGTCCTGAATCTTATAATTCAGATGGAATTGAAATAAACTGGAATCATCCAGTGAAGATTAAGACTTGAGAAAAGACAAGACAGCTTCATTGAAAGAGAGTAGCACAGTGTCTAGATCAAGGAAATATTAGCCACAAATTGCATTCTTTAGATTTTAGACAATATCTGAATTATGATGCTTGCTTCTGGATGCAACTTTTAAATCAATTAATTCTCTTACTATAGGAATAATAGATTTTCATAGTTAAAAAAAAAAAATACTGTGAAGCATCTCATCATCATCCCAAAATCTTAATTGCATCCCTCAGAGAAAATGAATGTAAATAATTCAATATGTATACTCCAGGTTTTTTATGCAAATATAACATATGTTGGCATATTTTTAAGCTTACGTGGGATCAAGTTTTCATAGTTTGACATTTTTGACTTAAGATATATTATCTTTTCATATTATCCATATACATTATGCTTCATCCTTATTAATTGTTACATAATATTCTATGGCGTGAATGTGCTATAGTTCGGCTTAATTCTCTTTTGAATATTATAGTATATTAAATTATATCCTATTGATAAAAATTATTTCCAATTTTTAAAATTACAAATAATGCCATTATAAACCTTCTTGGTCATTCATTGTATACTTCTACAAGAATATTCATAGTTAAAGTCCCTAAAGTGCTGTTACCAGGTCAGAGGACACGTGCATGTTTGTTTCAATCTTGTTCTTGTTAAGCTTCTCCAAATTGCCCTTCTTGAATTGCCTGTTTCTTCGCTTCTTCACCAACTAGATATTTTCAAAATTTTAAATTTGTCAGGTGAAAAATATCTCATTGTTTTAATTTGCATTTCTTATTTTACTTGTGAAGTTGAATATTATTCCATGATTATTGACAATTATCTATGAACTTCCTGTTTATGTATTGGCCTGTTTTGTTAGATTATTTTTTTCTCTTTGTCTTATTGATCTCTAAGAGTTCTTTGCATACTAAGAATATTAGCCCTTTGTCATAGACATTACAAATGTTATTTGCTAGTTTGTAGTTTTATCTTTTGATTTTATTTATGGAATTTTTCATAGAATAGCATCTTTATTTACTTGATTTAGTTTTTTATTATGTTTTAATTTTTGATTTATATTTTTATTCATTTTTGAATAAAGTTGAATTTAGTCTATTTCTTTCCTTTATGATTCTGAGTTTCATGCCATATCTTTGCCATGCCAAAACTATATATTTTTAAATTCCCCATTTAAAAAATATTTCTATGGTATTTTCTATGTTTAAATGTTTGCTCCATCTGGAATTTGTTTTAAAGAGTGAAGCAGAGATCAAATCTCCTATTCCTGCAAACAGCTAGAAATAAAACTCAACATTATTTATTGATTAACCTATTTTTACTCTGATGACTTGAAGGGCTATTCTTATTATACACTAAGTTATCATATGTATTATGTCCTACTTCTAGATTTTCTATTCAGTTCTTGTATAACATAGAATATTTTCATTTCTAGCAGATCTCATACCATCCCTTTCTCACTTCCCCCACTCTCCCTGGCCCCCCGCCACACACACTCCTCCACCCTGTTCTCTTCCATAACACTTTCCTGGTTGCTTAGGCATGTTTATTTTTCCAGGTGACAACTATATTTTTAAAACAATGGGTTTAAATTAAAGCAACACCAACCCTCCATCAAAACGACCAGTCGTCACCTATGTTTGGCTTTTCTTCCTGTGAAGGAAAAGCAGAGTCTCTGTTCTATGTAAAGCCTCTCTCTGCACCTACCGCGCTGATCCACATCCCCATTTGCCCTCGCGATTATTCGTCTCTCTCATTCGTCATTAGTTACTTACTAATGATGAATCCTTTCACTAGGCATCTCAATACACCTTAACATCACCCACTTGAAAAAAAAAAAAAGCAGAAACCCTTAGCTCTATTTTCCACTCCTCTTTTTGCCCCATTTCTTTGCTTACCTTTTCAGCAGAAATTCTTAAGAGTGGTTTGTATTTGCTGTTCTCACTTTCTCACTCCCATTCTCTCTTCACCCATTCATTCAATCAGACTTTTCACTTCACCACTCCCTGAAGCAGATTTTATCAAAGTCATTGATGTCCTTCATTTGACACGTCCATGGTCAGTTCTCTGTTCTCATCCTATTTGAGTCTCAATATCATTTGACACGGGAGATTATTCTTTCTTTCTTGTATTTTCTTCTGAGGCTTTGGAGTCACCACATTCTTCTGCCTTTCCTCCAACCTCACTGGTCATTCTTTCTATGTCTTCTCTGATGTTTAATCTCTTACATCTAATCTCTAAATATAAGAGCAGGTCAGGCCTCTCATCTTTCCTCTGCTTTTCTTTTCACCTCTTCTCTCATCTCCTCTCCTCGTCCCTCCTTCCCCCTTTTCCCATGCTCTGCTATTTTCTCCTTTCCTTCATCTACTTGATCTTATCCAGTCCCATGCCTTTCAATATTCTATGTCTCCAACTGTAATCTCTCTCTCTCTCTAAGCTTCAGAGTTCTCTCTCCAAAGGTCTACATACAATCTCCGCTTGGATGTCTGACAGAAACTGCAAACCCAATATGTCCAAGACAACTCTTGTTTCCTGCCCCCAATTTTCATAATCTGCCCCCTAATCTTTTGTGTTTCTTTTTAGATGGAGTTTCACTCTTGTTGCCCAGGCTGGAATGCAATGGTGCAATCTCTGCTCACTGCAACCTCCGCCCTCGAGGTTCAAGCAATTCTCCTGCCTCAGCCTCCCAAGTAGCTGGGATTATAGGCATGTGCCAAAACGCCTGGCTAATTTTTTATTTTTAGTAGAGACAAGGTTTCACCATGTTGGTCAGGCTGGTCTTGAACTCCTGATATCAGGTGATCCACCCATCTCGGTCTCCCAAAGTGCTGGGATTACAGGCGTTAACCACTGTGCCTGGCCGTGCCCCCCAATCTTAACCAGAGGTGCACATGGCAGCACAACTCTCTCTCCTGTGCTAAGACTAAAAGCATTGACATTGTTTTTGGCTTCTCTCTTCCCTTCATACTCTACATTCAATCCATCAGCAAGATCTGTCAGTGGTACTTCCAAAACACATTGCAAAGCCCTACTGCTCTTCCCTATCTCCCTTACTACTACTGTAGCTCGAGCCTTCATTTTCTCAGTCCTGGGATCCTAACTGGTTTTTCTATTTCCACTCCCTCCCCTTATTCCCCTGCAGTTGATTCCTTACAGAGTAAACAGAGTGATATTCTCAAATCAGATCCTATCACTACCCAGCCCAAAATGCTCAGATGAAATTCAGCTGCTTACTATGGAGTGTAGAATTTACAAGACCTGACCCTTTATTGACTGTATGACCATCTCACTCACTATTCTCTCCAATGTCCACTCCACTATAGCAATTCTGTCCTCCTGGATGCAATGAGCTGTCTCAAGGTATTTGCTTTTGATAGTCCTTCTATGGGAGAACCCATCTCCCTGTGGTTTGTGGGGCTGTGTCTCTCTCATCTTTAGGGTCTTAGCTCAAATATTGCCTCTGCAAGAGGCTTCTCCATCTACCTTAACTTGAGCAGCATTCCTCCACACCCATACATCCACAACCCAGTCATTCTTGACCCTACTGCCCTATTGTATTTTTTTCATGTCGCTTAAATCCTTCTTAAATGATAATACTTTTGTCTTCTTCCACTAGAAGGTAAACTCCATGAGGGAGTGATTTTGTTTGTCATATGAATGTATGTGCTGTTACACAGGAGATTTCTGTAGCTATATACAATACCTGGAATAGCCCCTGATACACAGTAGGCCGATAGTGTGTTGGATGACTTTTGACAGTTCTAGGAATAAACACCTATATCATTTGGAACCTATATCATTTAGAATTCATACATTTATTAATTGGGATTACATAGAATTTATTGATTACTGTAAGGAGACATAACACTTTTAACATATTAAGTCCTGATGAAAAACAGTGAATATCTTTCCAGTTGCCCAAATGTTTGTTTTTAAATTGAAGTTCTTATAGCCCTATTCTGGTAAAAACCTTTTTAAGAGGAATATTTAGCTTGGAAAGTAAATACACAGTTATTATGACATTTATCTCCAAATACAATGCCAAGTGAAAGAAGAAACTAGTTTATTCACCATATTCCAAAGATCAGACCTTGATGGGAGATAAAGGAAACAAAATTCTAGTTCAAGGAAGAAGTTACTAAAAGTTAAAGCTATTCAACCTCAGATTGAGCTGTGTAGTGAAGCAGTGAGCTCTCCGTCACTGGAGATGTTCAAGCAGAGACTGTGCAGAGAAGATTCTTGTATCTATGGAAAATTGAACTAGAAGACATCTAAGGCCTCTCTTAACTTTAAGGGACTATGATTCATATTACCACTACAAGTCTCAACCAATTTGATGTATCTCAAGAAACTGAATCAACCCAAATTTTCCCCAACCAAAGATACTTGAGAGTTTCTGAAACTGAGTGGTTTCATGGTGAAGTCTAAACTCCATTCATCCAGCTCTGCCCTATGAGTTATATTTTCTTTCACTAAAATAATCTTTAAGACTGGATTCTCCTAGAACCTACCTCTTCTGAAATATTTTACTTTACTAAGACACCCTGAAATAGAGGGTGCTAAAATCCAGAACAAGTTGATATTTTCCTTAAGAAATCAGATGGCAAAGTTGAACAGCCAACAGGTTTTTTGAGATGTTGCTTGCTTCTGCAAGTTATTGCTTTCAAATAGACTTACTAAACCAAATACTATGAGGCTCTATTGAAGAAGTTTTGTCCAAAGTTGTTACTACTGACCCGCAAACCTTGACTTTTTTTTTCTCCCTCCAAAACCTTGAAACATTCGTAGAGAAAAAAAGAGTGAAAAGAAAGTAATAATGATAGTAGCCTTGCTTGCTATTATCATCATTTGAAAGAAATGAATGATATTGTTTGCCAAAGGCCCATGGCTGTGGAGCTAAACCACAATTCTAGATAGCTCAGCAAGGCTTACCAGAAAGCAGAGAGTGCACTTCTTTGTTCCAGGGTTTTATGGGAAGAAATCATTTCACAGCTTGTATGGATTCTGCAAAGGCCTCAAGCTAGAAAGTGTAAGGTGGCCTGCGGGAGGTGTGCAGGGGTCACTGAATGCTACGAGATGTCTCTTCAAGCTGGTGGATTACACTTACGAGCTCTCACAATGTGACTGCCACTCTGACCTTGCTGCTCAAGTCCAGGGCTCTCATGAGCAAGGAAAGAGATTCTGAACCAACCCATGCTCACATGGCACTATGTCATTCATTTGTCAGTCCAAAATTCAAAGAAAAGAGACCACCTAATTCTCAAAAAAAAAAAAAAAAAAAAAAGTTGTTGCACTTTTGAGTGTATTACGGCCATATCTTATACAACAAAATTTTCTCTTAGGAAGCACGCGGTGATTTTAGTCACTGTCAGCAGCCTAGAAAATCTGCCAAGCTGGCTTCATGGAATTTCTAGAAGCTCATTCAGAGCTTTGAATGACATTTCCTTATGTGTATACCACAGGCTATGGTTTTTAGGCACAGTCAGGATTATAAAAAATCCTCTTCAAAACTCCCTTATACAGAGAGACAGTATGTCTGACATGATGAGAAAGACAGTCACCTGAGACCCAAGGAGCTTGCCTTTAAGATTTGTTTGATGACTTTTCATTTCAGGAAAAGCAAAGCTAATACAACATTTCCTAAACGGGAACGTCTGTTCCAAAGGCAATCCGGTCTGTTGGCTCTCCGACTTCAGCACAACACCTCCCAGCATTCGGGGAGCTTGTCTCCTTTCCCTTTACTTTTGTGTTTTCACCACCCAACTTTACTTTCTTGGCTTACAAAATGGGGATAACATTACCCTCCTCTACACCTAACAAGGGTAATGAAAGGAGCTAATAAAACATTTTGTATTAAAAGACTTTAAAGAATTTTAAATCACCATTTAAATATTGGATTATATTATTACCTAGGACCTGAATTTAACTGTAGAACATTTTGCTTTTGTTGTTGTTTTGTTTTTTACTTGCATTACTTGTAAATGATGGGAAGAGAAGAGATATGAAGAATAAATTTGTCTCTAGCCATCCTTAAAATATGATTTTTCTGTAGAAAGGAAGACACTATGTGTGACACACAATGAAACTTTCTTCAGTATGGCTTTTAGAAACTACCCTCACTACTTTGTAGGCATATTCAGATATAATAAATATATACATAAAGTTAGTAATGCTCTTAGAACTTTATTATAAAGACTATGAAATGCATGGGTTGGAAATTATCTTTTGCAAAATTAGAGATTATAGAGGAAGCCTCAATAGATAATCATCTGATTAGCTGACTTACTGCTTTTAACCAGTTTCACTTGGTGTTTAGAGTATTTTTTCCATCATGATTTTAAATGCAAGTTATAGTCACAAGAATTTTTTTTTAAATTCAGCCCCAAGAGGAATTTTAGAAATAATCAAGTCTATCTTTTTGTTTTATGGAAGTAAACACCAAGATTCAGAGATGTTAAGTGATTAGACTAAAGACACACAGCTAATGCATGTGGAAGAGAGATTAAGACTCACCTCTTCTGGCTTGCAGCCCATTGCTTGTTCCACCCCATGCTACCTTAGCCCAAGGTAAGAAATATTTAATTGAGGGCTAATGACAAAAGACAATGAAGACATATTGTATTTCTTCTTTGGATTTCTTCATATATCACTGCAGCACTTAGGAACTCAGATAATTATACTGTGAGGAGACAAGTGACAGGAGAGCAAAACACCTCCTCTAATTCTTAGCCCTCTGTCAAACGCAAAGGATGTGGCAAATTGCTACCTGTAGGCTCCCGGAGGCAGGCGGGAGAGCAGCATTACTCATACAAAGAAGCAGTCCTGGCATCTCCCTTTGTAAGATGTAAACCTAAGATTTGGGGACATTTCAGGAATGGGAGTTTGGACAGGGAAAGCCCTTAGCCTCACATCTTGGACTCAAAATATTCTTTCCCCGGTTCTTATCAAATTAACTTGAGCCTCAAACAACCACCTCAGCTGGGGAGAAAAGCCGGATGGGGAACGGTGAGGTTGATCCTCAGTTACTTAAACTCTTCAGGTTTTCTATTATCTAATTCAGTCTCCCTCTCCATAATGAAGATCAAATTATATCCAGGATTCTGGTTTGCTGAAAAGAGTGGGAGATCATAGGAACATATCATTTTACAGAGGACAATACCAGCAATTTCTGAATGAATCTGGCAGCTAAGCCCGGCAATTATTTGGACCAGCACTCAGTGGTTCTTTGGGGATAAACTGAGCTAGAAGGGCTTTAGAAAGGGCAAAGCTACAGTGGCATCCAGTCTTCAGGTAGGAGAGATCGTTGACTCTTGCTACTCACTTCAGCACACTCTCTTGTCACAATATTTTCCTAAAATTCCAATGTATTATCATGGAAATGCAAAAAATACCCCACTATATTCACAAAAATGTTAATTTCCTACTTAAAGCCATTAGGAAGAAAGCCTCTTCCCCAAAACAAGACAACATTGGAATATTTTGCACACCAAAATGTTTGAAAGTTTTTTATAAAGTGGGAAATGTGGGTTTTTTTAAATTATAAAGAAATTTGAATTAGTTATTTGTGAAATAACTAATTCAAACCAGTTGCCCAGAGAAACTGAGTTCACTGTTCTTTCCCCAGCAGTATTTCAGTAGAGTAAGTGTCTGTGTTGCCTTGTGCAGAGCAGAAGTGTGGCCAATGGATAGAAAAAAAAGCTGGATTCTGGTTGCACGTTAGGAAGAATTTCCTAATGTTTCACGCTGTCAAAAAAATGGTAGTGGGTTTCATCGAAAGTCCCCATGGCTGAAGGTGTTTATAGAGAAGGGAAGGAAGCTGAGACGTGAGCTATATGGCCTCTCAATGCCATTGTAGAATTTTCTAAAACCCTCTGCTTTATCACTAAGAAACATTTCTCCATGTCCATGGCTTTTGTAATTTAAAACTCATGGATTCTTAGAATGCATATTCAACATCTCTCCAAACACAATAAGAGAAAAATGAATCCAAAAACAATGGCTTTAGAAAAGGAGTTTTTTATTTTTAAAAAGTCTTGTCCATGCTTCCATTCTTTCAAGGGCATCTTCTAAAATGATTCAAAATTGTGAATAACTTCTGAGCATTCAGTCCCACTGTCATTGGTTGGTCATGGCCTTGAGGTGGGGGTGCCACCCTTTGCCCGAAAGCCAGCATAGTCACATTTTCCTGCAATGGAAATAGTTGATGTAGGCAACCAACCTTTTTGCCATGTTTCCACAAAGCAGTGTAAATGTTAGTAGGTCACAATGGAACAGACAAAGAGAATTTGACAAGTAATCTGTTTATTCTTTAGATTATAAAACTGCTTTCAGGGCCGCATTAAAGTAATTCACACTTGGCCAAGAGAAAGAAATCATCACTTGGTACACATAGAATACAGGCTTTCAGACAACCAGGGGAAGGATGGCGAGTTGCCCCTCTGCCACACAGGCAGTGAAAGAAAGTAGAAGTACTGTTTCAAAGGTCAGTGTCACCAATACAAAGCACAAAATTGGTGCAGGGGAAAAAAGTAAAAATAGGCCAAAGATGGGGAAAGTGGCCTTCAACATTTTTAAGCAACATGATATATAAATGGCAGAAAAACCAAAGAGTAGGAAACTTTCTGATTATTGCAGTACCATAGGTCATTGTAAAGATATCATATATTAGATTGCATACACTCAAAAACTTAAAAAATATCTAAAATGCGCTTTTGTCTTTGAACTGTCTTTGTCTGTCTCTCTCTCTTTTTCATACTTCTTCCCACATGCTGTTGGAAGACTTGTCCTCTTTCGATTTGCCTGCATGAATTCCATCTTATTCTTTACATCGCAGCTCAAATATCACTTCTTCTACAGAGGGGCTTTCTTTGGCCCCCATTTTATTCTTCCCCTGGGTATCTATCTCTTTTCTTCATAAAATGTACACACTTTAAAATCATATTTGCATTCATACGTTTTCTTCGTGTCTCACTCCAATAAGCTCCTCAGGACCAGAGACCTTGTCCTTTGTGTTTTCCTCTTAGTACTCAGTGTTGGGCATGATGCCTGAAGAAATGTTTTTCCATAAATAAATTAATGTCAGAATAGGATCAGAATGGTGATAAACAAGGAGGGTCCTCAGCATCAGGTGTCTGTGGTGGGTGGTGGGTGGGGCCCACCACTGCCTTCTATGCCCAAACAGATAGGTGCTATGCTACCTGATGCTCTAGATTAAGAGTGCAGGGTTAAAACAGCAAAGTTTTCTGTTGGTAAATCACTTACAAGGATCCAAACAGTCCAGTCTTCTTCAGTTCTCTACTACTCAGGTTGACCCACATAACTGAGATTGCTTTACCGCAGTCTATTACCCTGACCAAACATTAATGTTGAGAATGGCTAAAAGACTCTATAGCTGTTTATATCTACCCAACATAACAAGTTGTTTTGCTTTCTGAGAAATCTTTTATTTATTAAAGTATCACAGAAACAGACAAATAAATAAAATTTCTGAACATAGAGTTGCATCTTGCTTTTTTTTTTAAGGAAGCAGCTTGAGGGACCTCCTAACCAGACAAAAACTGGCCCTGGATGTCTCTTCTTCCCAGTACTAATCACAATTGAAAATTTACATTTATGGTTGTGATTATTATTTAATATCTATCACACTCAAAAAGACTATAAGATGCCTAAAGGTGGGGGTGTTGTCTGTTTTTGCTACTATAGTATCCCTGGCACCAAACCCATAAGATATTCAACGAACTGATGAATGAATGAATGAGACTTACATGCTTCCTAGGCTTGACTTTCTCATCAGCTCTCTGGGTACGTTTGAATAAGTCACTTTATCTTGCCAGTGTTCATTCTCACATTTGAGAAAACGGTGATATCACTCTGACCCCTTCTTAGTATAGTTTCAAGGATCAAATGATGCAAAAATGACCTGAATGTTCTGAAAAGGATAAAATTCTATTAAAATGTGAACTACTATGCAAGGAATTACTCTTGCTATCAGGGCAGTAGCTATAGGCGGTGGAGCAGAAAGCAGATCTGAGATCAAGTATGACCTGCAAGCAAGTTAGAGCCGGGACAGGAAAAGGATTGGACCTAAGTGCTAACTTCAGGAATTCTGGATTATTAGAATCACCTATTAGAAGTTCTATCTGTGGAGGAACTTCCTATGTCAACTAGAGAAAAAAGGAAAGGAAATGTGGACCCCCAGAGTTGACACTCCTGGGAAGAGAAAGACCACCTTGGCCTTCACAGGGAGGATGCAAGGGAGACAAAACAAGTGCAGAGAGCTCAGTCCTGATTTTACAGTTCAGGGTCGGCATGAGATTGTGGTAGATGGTGTTCTGGACCTTATCTAGCTTGACATTAGAAACACCAAAATTTCCTAAATCAAGAGAATAACAAAACTCAAAGAGCAAGGTTACATTTGGAGAAAGGGGTGTCTTATAGCTGTAACAATTCAAGAATAATACTAATAATTAGTACTATTTAGTGCCTAAAATATCTTAGTAACTTTACATATGTTCATCCCTAACATCAACTCTGTAAAGTAGGCATCTCTAGACCTATTTCACAGATGAGGCCCAGTGAGGTCAAGTGACTTGCACAGGATCACACAGCTACATGGCAGAGCTAGGTATCAAATATAAGACTGCCTGACTTCAAATATCATGCTCTTTCCCCTCTGGATCTCCAGCTGGAGACCAAACCATCAGGACTAGCTACATAGTGTGCAAGGCCCAGTGTAAATTGACAATGCAGTATCCCTTGCATTAATTAAGAATTTTAAGATGCCAACTGCAGAGCAATAAGCCAAGCATGAGGCCCTTCTGGGTGTGGGGCCCCGTTCTGTACAGGTCATATTTAAAGTTGGCTTAAAAGGATAGAACAACTAAGACCCTACTTCACGCCAGTTCTCAGGACTCCTATGGTTGAAGCTTTGGCCGGAGAAATAGTGACGATGGTGGTAAGGCAGGGCAAAGGCTAGTGGCATGGGTAGAAGCAGGGGAAGGTCATAGAAGTGAAGTAGATCATCACTGCTGTACCTTCCAGGGATAGAGCCACCTGAGACTGGCATCAATGAGAGGGGTCCGTGAGCCCGACATCCTGGGAGCAGCCCCCACTGAAGCTGAGTCTTGCACCATGGCCATCACCATCCACATTCTTGGTTATCCCCAAGACAGGTGCCCTGGGGCAACAAGGTAGCCAACTATAACATAAACATGCAAACATTTTAACAAGAATGAAGAGACAAAATTCCCATGAGAAATGAAATAAGAAACATTCGCTTGTAAAAAGCTCAAGTTACATAGAGGCAGAACCAACAGAACAGGGCTTTCCTGGTCTGGTTTCAATCACTATCATAGCTAAGAGGGCAGAACAATCCAAAGGGAAAAAGTCCTCTCAAGAATAAATGAAATTAATCTGGTAGAAAGCTTGTAATGACTGACCAAAATTTGTGGGCCCTGAAGATGCAATTTTTGTGAAGGACTTTTACCAACATTTATGTCTTTTCATACTACCATAAAAGTCATACATGCTAGTCCAGAAACTTGTAAAACAGAGATTCACAGTGAACAAGCATCAATCATAATTCTATCACTCAGTGATAACCATTGCTGATTTGACCCTTTGGTATAGGAGCTTTCAAACATATACTATATACAAACATACCTATACAAATAATTATTTTCAGGCATGGTTTGAGCCTTAGCAAAAATACCATGATTTTTCCCCATTGTCAAATATTATTCTTTGTGATTTTTAAACAGCCGCATAGTAGCTCATCAAATAAATCCTCTTCGACATGTTTCTGGGGTTTTCTTTCTTTGGTATTTATAAATTATGCTAATATAAACATCTTTTGTACATGCATACATACCCTTCCACTAATATATTATTTATCCTTGGTGTTTCTAAGAAAATATTTTCGTCTGGTGTTACGTTTTCTGTTTCTACTCTTAGGAAAAGCCACGGAAAGAAAGTGATTTTTTTGTTTTGTTTTGTTTTAATTTAATTTAAAGTTCTGGGATACATGTGCAGGATGTGCAGGTTTATTACCGAGGTGAAAAATGTGCCATGGTGGTTTGCTGCACCTACAACAAAGTGTTAATGATAGTGCAATAGCACCCGGGCAGATCACCTTCTTCATGTTTCCAACACTCCCTTAGCACTTCACCTGCACATCTTTGATGGGAGTTCCCACCCTCTCCTTCCTTCTTATTTTTTCTGTAACTGGATATTCCTTGAAGGAGAGGGCACAAGACACTCATCTCTGTACCCCCCCAGTGCCTCGTCCACATTGGGTGCTCCATAAATGTCTATGCCATAGCTGAGCAAGTTCCTCAAATCCTGTAGCCTAGTCCTAATTCCCATCCCTGCCACCTTTCTTCCATAATTGATGTGACATTTCCTTCACAGTTGAGGGATTGAAGTTTGGAGATGTGTCCTGAGGGGGTCAATTAGTTCCTTTGATGCATCTACCACCAGGTGAGCAGAGGTGGTTCTTTAAGAAATTTAGCAGGAAAAGTGGTTTAGGATTTCCCGGGTAGGTCTAGAAGAATTAAGATGCTGAAGTTTATAGTTTACACTCTTGAGAAATGACTTCATGTTTTACACTCAAAATTAATTACACTTTTTATATTCTGCAAAGCACTGTTAACCAAAAAGCATTGATAGACTTCTATAGACCATTCAATGTCATATAAAAGGAAAAAAAAAAAATCTTTTTTTAATCAATTAATTAATTTATTTATTTATTTATTATTATTATACTTTAAGTTTTAAGGTACATGTGCACAATGTGCAGGTTAGTTACATATGTATACATGTGCCATGTTGATGCGCTGCACCCACCAACTCGTCATCTAGCATTAGGTATATCTCCTAATGCTATCCCTCCCCGCCCCCCGACCTGGAAAAAAAACATCTTAAGCACAAATGATGTACTGCCTCTCCTTAAATGTGATGAAACTCCATTTATAAACATTTGTTTGGCTTATTCTGCTCTCATAAGGGTGCCTTGGGCTTTTCCCTACTTCAGCCTTGAAATATTCTGAGTTGCCTGAGGCTGTTAAAAGTGTTAAATCACATCCTATCTCTTAGGAATAATAATAATTTTAAAAAATCAACTCTCATGAATACTCTGTACTGATTAACAAAATTGCCTTCCCCTGTACTGGTCTCCTACTATGCTATATGCTTCCCTCTGTGTGCAAGGCTTATGGCAGAAGCTGGAGTGCAATCGTGAATGAAGCAAGGCCCCTCCTTCTTTCAGGAAATTTTCAAAGTAATGGGAAAGACAGGTCAGTAGGCCAACACCTGGTGGGACAGCCTCTGTCCTAGATGGTCTTAATAAACCCACTTTAGTTCTTTCTGGGTAACTGAGAGGGCTTACTCAGCCTTTTGTAAACTAATGTTTTAAAGCCAGACAAGTTTGCATCATTCACTGAAAATAAAAAGCGAATACCACTCAGTACAATAAAAACGATTAGGTCAACAAATTAGATTTCCGCACATACATGCTTCTACATTTAATACATTTTTAGGAGAATGTAGAGTGAGCTACAACTCCTACCTGCAGAAAATCCAACCCTGCAGGCTCCCAGCCCTTCCTTCCCAACAAGGAAAATGATGATCCAGAATGAGGGCCAGACCCTCTGAAGGAATCCCAAGGGGTAGAAAGTCAAATGATTCATTCCTGGGTCCCTGGTCACTTTTCTCTCCTTAACCCTAAACATCCCTAAACCTCCACACTGAAGAGGCATCAAAGCATAAAAAAAAAGAGTTGGGGAAAATCTGGCTTTGAATTTTGGCTGATGTATGTATTAGTCTCAGGTTTCAGGTAAGTTGCTTCACCTCTGAGCATGGGGAAGTGCTTGACACAGCAAACACTCAGCATGCAGTAATATTAATAATGTGATTGCAGTAGTGAGTGCTTAAGAGCGGGCAGTCTGTGGTTCCTGACCAGACTGCTGGGGGTCAAATCTCTTTCAGCATTTTATGTTCTGTGACCTTGGGCAGGTCATTTCAGCTCTCTGGGCTTCAATTCCATCAGCTGTAAGATGGAAATAAAAATAGGATCTTCCTCATACGTTGTGAAGATTAAACATATTCATATATGTGAAATGCTAAGAATATTGTGAATTCTTATTACAATGATTAGATAGTTGCTGCTGGTAGAAGTCATGATAGCGCTGGTGGGGAGTGATAGTTATAACAGTCTGTGCCCAACCACAGACCCAGATCCTTTCTGTTTATATTTAATTAACCTCTGGCTAATTCTATTAGAATTTGAAGAACCTAAATTACTTGCATCTTCCCTAACTTAGTAATGACACTAACATCTGTCGAGCATTTTCCATGTGTCAGACGTAATTCTAAGAACATTGGAAGCATTGGCTCACTTAATTCTCACAATAATGTCAGGAGGTAGGTACTCTGATTAGCTCCATTTTACAGAGAGGGCAAATGAGTTAGTAAATGGCTTGTCCAAGAGTACATGGCTAACTGCTTCAGTTAGCTCACATAGTCACTCTTAATTGATAAGATATAAACCCAACCATTCTCATTGCTGAATCTTACTAGGGCTTGATTTCTTCCTGCAAATAGCCAATAGCTATTGAATATTATTTGAGCTTCCAAATGCCTGCTGTCCTATGTAATCGCAAGGTGCTATTCTAAAAAGCACTTACAAAATGACCAGAGTTTTTACCACTGAAGATCATGGTATTTTGAGAATTTGGCTGAGCATTTCTCTCTGGCCCCTGTGTTGGGATAAGAGGGAGTGCTCCTGTTTGCATTAGCCAAAGGATTGTGAACTATTATCTTACCTTGTTATCTGAGCCGCTGGTGCACAAGGAAGTTTCCTTTGCTAATGGTTGAACTGCTCTTCAGATAAAGGCCTCCCCTAGATCTCTGCAGCACTAATTAATCAGCTGTTAAAACAGTAGTTGATAAAGACAGGCTTACTTAAAGTTCGAATTGCCTCAATCAGAGATAACGGGCGAGTCCCTTTTGGCAGTGAGATATGAAAACAGGAGAATGATCTGTTATCAGAGTGAACATGGCACTCAAATGAAAAATGTGGTTCAAAAAATCAAGTAATGTTCAAACTGGAAAAAAAAATAAACAAATAATTGTTTCTTTTAACCTGTGTCGGGAGAGTGAAAATGTTGCAAAACACACGCACACAAGTAAATATTAAAACATGATCCACACTAACGCTTCAGTGTGAGTCGGGTGAGCAGAGCTGGAGCAGGTTTCATCAATGTGGTCACACAAGAATGTGTGACATGTGACCACCATTTCCCTTTGACGGCTCCTTATTTGCCTATACTTATTATCTTTAAAAATCAAATTTTTCTTAGAAGCAAAGGACATGCTTTTAAAAAAAATAGTTTCTAAAGAAATCACCTGACAAAACAGGTGGATGAATGAAAAAACTTCTCTGAGAAAAAGCCTAGCTGAAAGGGGGAAAAAAGGCATGTAAGTTGGTAGAGGTTAGTAACATTTTTCCAACAGGTGTAGCGGAAAGAAAGGATCTAACTGGTATAAATGTAGAGGGAAGGACAATTCCCGAGGTCTAAGGAGGTTCACACTGGTAGAAACAAACAAACAAAAAAAATTCCTGTCTCTGAAATTTAGGTTTCAGAGCATGCAGAATTTTAAAAAATTGCATATGGACCCAAACCTGAGCCATAAGCAAAAAAAAAAAAAAAAAAAAAAAATTATAGCTTTCCTAAGTGATGCTGTGTTAGCACCATCACATACATTGAATTTTGAATTTACTTGTTTTTTTTTTTTTTTTTTTTTTTTTTGAGACGGAATCTCGTTCTGTCGCTCAGGCTGGAGTGCAGTGGCGCGATCTCTGCTCACTGCAAACTCCACCTCCCGGGTTCACGCCATTCTCCTGCCTCAGCCTCCCGAGTAGCTGGGACTACAGGTGCCCGCCACCATGCCCGGCTAATTTTTTGTATTTTTAGTAGAGACGGGGTTTCACCGTGTTAGCCAGGATGGTCTGGATCTCATGACCTCGTGATCCGCCCACCTCGGCCTCCTAAAGTGCTGGGATTACAGCCATGAACCACCGCGCCCAGCCGAATTTACTTGGTTTCATAAACTTAGGATGGTGAAGTGGAAAGATTAGTGGATTTGGAATCTGGCAACCTAATTAGAGAATAATAGTTATTATAAAAACTAATAATCAATATAAACGAGTAAATAATCTCTCATCCTCAGTTTCCTCATATATAAAATGGGTGAGTAGAGTGGTCACCAAACTATATTACTTTCAATATATCTTGCAAGACTAACATCTTATAATTCTAGATTTTACCATGTATTACTTGCATTCAAATACTATAAATTTTATTAACAATTTTAAGCTACATACCCAGGAGCATCCCAAAAGTTTCAAAATGCTTGGGTTTCAAGAAGCAGTATGAGCTAAAAAACACAACTATGAATGTGCAAGGCTTTCCTAAAACTCTCTTAGAAATTTTGATCTTTAAAATGCAATGGTAATTCATAATAGCTAAGAACCTTTTGACAAAATTCCACTTACTTACATATTTACAGAAGGCTGGCACAATGGGAATCAGATGTCACTGATTTTCCATGTCAGTGATCCCATTTTGCATGCTTGAAATTGCCTTCTGGATGCTTTTTTCCCACACCACTTGATATGTGTGTAACATGATCACCACTGTACCCAAGAGCTTTACCGAATAAGACAGAACTCAGTCATTATTATCACTGTAGAATGTGGTAGTTCAGGAAGTGCACGTGTGAACAGCCGATGAGGCGGGTATGAGTTGGGTGGTGAGCAAGCCGGGGCCTGAGAATCAGAGCACCCCCAATGTCCTCTACAGCCATGGGCATGCCATCACACAAGCCCTCTGTGAGTCATAGTCCTCTCACATGAACCATAGATAATAATAACCTAGCCACAGTCACCACATGCTGCTGGCTGTCATTCAGAGGTGCTTCACCTGATCTACAAAGCCAGAGAAACTAGTGTATAAATTCAGGAAACTATTATTATTCTACTATCTAAACTATTATGATGTCTTTGCAACCTGAGAAAGAACCAACCATGGCAAGTAATAATGAGAAAGGAAAAGAAATATCCCTTAACTAGTTACCAAGAAAGTAGCATTTGAGAAAAAGTAAGTGCTCATGATTATTTCTCCAAGATTGACTATAGAGAACCTGCAAAGTAGGATACTATGCATAAAAATAGTTAAAACATAACAAGCTTTTCTCATATGCCAGGTATCATACCACAAATTTCCTCATAGCACCTCCTCGAATTCTCAGAAAAACTCTATTTTTATAGAACGGGAAATGAGGCACAGAGAGGTCAAGTTGCTCAAGGTCACACTGCTAGTATGTTGCAGTCTGGATTTAAACCCAGGTGGGCTGGCTCTAGGACCCGTGCTTTTAACCACTACACTAAGTAAAGTTTGTTTGTTTGTTTGTTTGTTTTTCATTTTTGTTTTTGTTTTGAGATGGAGTTTCACTCTTGTTGCCCAGGCTAGTGTGCAATGGTGCAATCTCACCTCACTGCAACCTCTGCCTCCTGGGTTCAATCAATTTTCTGGCCTCAGCCTCCCGAGTACCTGGGATTACAGGCCCCTGCCACCATGCCCAGCTAATTTTGTATTTTTAGTATAGATGGGGTTTCACCATGTTGGCCAGGCTGGTCTCAAACTCCTGACTTCCTTCCTTCCTTCCTTCCTTCCTTCCTTCCTTCCTTCCTTCCTTCCTTCCTTCCTCCCCAGTGTGGCCACAAGGACTGAGTACTCACAAGTAGACTCATCTAGATTTTTAATATGATCACTATTGTAGTGGAAGTGCACCCTATGCCAGTTAAAATAAATCTTGAAGCTAAGCCACAGCTCCTTCCCTTTTATTCCTGCCGCCCACCTGTTAGATGGATAACCCCCACAGAGGACTTGGGATGACTATGCTTTCCTAATCTATTTTTAATTCTCACTCTTATTTGCAAGTAGAAGACTCTTATCCAGATGCCATGCTCAGTTTGGGTGCATTGTGATGCATGGTAGTACTCAAGAAATGCCATAGAGGCTGTTGTGATTGCTGTGAGCAATTGCCATGAGCAATTAGCTATCTTTCCTGGACTGCTCAAGACTTCTCAGAGACGAAAAAGTAAACTGTTTTCTTCTTAAATTCAATGCACAGATTCCACTCATTCACTAATTAAATACCAAAGAAATCTGCCCTTATAAACTACAGAGACACGAGTCATACTTGCCTGGATTAGTTTCCGGGCTCAGATCCCTTAGAAGGATTTTCTTTGCATTATTTGCTACATTTTTGCTCCCATTGCTCAACAATAAGTGATGAGTGAAGCCAGATCTTCACACGATGCCCTGAATCCGGGTGATGTCTCCTTGTTCCCAAGCACCTGCTTAAACAAAAGGCATGAGTTCTCCTGGCCTTCCACATTATTACAGTGGCATGCTCTTCTAGTCAGTTTGGGGTTGAATGCATGTGTGCATGTGTATCTGTCTGTGTTCATTAAAATATTTACTTGGTTTCTTTTTTTATTTTTTTCTTCCATCTAAATGCTTAACTAATAAAGAAAAGAAAACCAAGGTACATGCTTTATGTCAGGGGAGAGGCGAAAAAAGGACTTAGAAAGGTCCTGTTGAGAACAAAAGCCTTTTGTTATCAAGGTGTCTTAATATTAGCGTAATGACTTCAGAGGATGAGATAAGGTAAGGAAAGGTAAGATGGAGTGAGATAAGATAAGACAAGG
The DNA here is from genome assembly GCF_000001405.40 of Homo sapiens. Lineage (NCBI taxonomy): Eukaryota > Metazoa > Chordata > Mammalia > Primates > Hominidae > Homo > Homo sapiens. Next base: position 182,184,722 of record NC_000003.12, read on the forward strand.
TGGTAACATCAATAAGTAATACAGTGTTAAGGTACAAAAGGTGAACACACTAAAAATGTTTTAATCTGAAGAGAAACTGTAAAATTAACCTGGGTTTTAAATGGGTCCAATGATACTCTAGCTTATGCTACAGAAATTCAATAACTGACTCTACAATCTCCAGAAAGACTTGTTCTTCAGAAAGCTGCTTAAGGAAGCATAGGTTTGGAACCACCTATTTTACTTATGCTATTATAAGGAGGCTGCTTCTACTGGTAAGAAGTGCGCCAACTCCCATTTTGAGGTTATGCATTAATTCTTCCAAATGCTGTGTTGCTTTAGTAAATGCTTTCTCCTATTTGGGTCTAAGAGATCAACGACACATTGCAAAAGTAAAATCAGCCACATTCTAAATTAAGACACGCTTGTGTCCAAAATTTTGTTAGTGCTCCACCCGCGACTCCCAGCCCACCCCCGGTTCTGCCCCATCCTGGTAAAGGAGTATAAATGGCAGGATAAAATGTCTTTTTGAAGCATATTGACATAAACATTTCTTTATTTATTACAGTGTTGATCTTGGACTCAATAATGATCTTGGACTCAATAATTTCATTTTATGGGTGAAAATACTGAGGTTTGGAGAGGGGCACAACTTCCTGAAGGTTATATGCTTCAGAATCAGAGCTGAAACCCAGCTCACACAAGCCAGTGAGGGTTCTTTGAACCACACCATACTGCCCACTACGTCTTTGGATTGTTATTGTTAATGGTGAAACTTTTGTCTTTTGAACATGCTATAGTCCAAAGTGCTTCCCTGAAAAGTTAGAATGCAGTTCTCTTTCATTCTACATGAAACACTTTTCCAACACAAAAGAAACTGGATTTGCATGAGATTAGAAGAGGGGACTCACTTGCAACAACTATTGCAAAATTTTTCTTGTGGCTAGAGCAACAGCCTGGATGTTTTGTGAGACTGAGGTTGCTTCCAATGTTCCAATTAAATCTACACATTCAATAAGTAAGATCTTAGCTATACTTTTAGAAAAATATCCACTAAGTACTTATTTTTGTTGTATTAAAAAATATTGAGCATTCAACTTCATTTTGCAAGGTAGAATACACCCATTTTTAGGAATATTACAGTTGTCGAGATTTGGCTCATTGGCTTACCTGCAAGGCCTTTGGGTCTTAAAATAAATGAAATCTTTCCGAGGCCTTGTAAAGACTTTGTGGAGTGGAAGGACAGCTTTGAGACAGCTTTTCCCAGCTCTTAGTGGGCAACTCATAGCAGCAAAATGATTCACCCACACTTTATTTTTAATTGGAGCTTCAGTGAGTTCAAGCGTGAGAGTTTCCTGCAGGTTCCAAGACCTGAAACAAGCAGTGAAGCCCCTCATTCATGTCCAGGCAGAACTTTATTTATTTATTCATTCATTTATTTTTATTTCTTTTATTAAAGTTCTGGGGTACATGTGCAGAACGTGCAGGTTTGTTACATGGGTATACACGTGCCATAGTGGTTTGCTGCACCCATCAATCGGTCATCTACATTAGGTGTATCTCCTAATGCTATCCCTCCCCTAGCTCCCTACCTCACAACAGGTCCTTGTGTGTGATGTTCCCCTCCCTGTGTCCATGTGTTCTCATTGTTCAACTCCCACTTATGAGTGAGAACATGCGGTGTTTAGTTTTCTGTTCTTGTATTAGTTTGCTGAGAATTATGATTTCCAGCTTCATCCATGTCCTTGCAAAGGACATGAACTCATCCTTTTTTATGGCTGCATAGTATACCATGGTGTATATGTGCCACACTTCTCAAAAGAAGACATTTATGCAGCCAACAAACATATGAAAAAAGCTCATCATCGCCAGTCATTAGAGAAATGCAAATCAAAACCACAATGAGATACCATCTCACACCAGTTAGAATGGTGATCATTAAGAAGTCAGGAAACAACAGATGCTGGAGAGCATGTGGGCAAGTAGGAATGCTTTTATACTGTTGGTGGGAGTGTAAATTAGTTCAACCATTGTGGAAGACAGTGTGGTGATTCCTCAAGGATCTAAAACTAGAAATACCATTTGACCCAGCAATCCCATTACTGGGTATATACCCAAAGAACTTTCCTTTAAAAAAAAAAAATCTTCAGAGAGTGGGAGGTAGGATAAGAGATGAGCAAGGACTGAAGGAAGCCTCCCCAAATAAGGTTCTGTTTTTTTGTGTGTATTGTTTTTTCATGAACTAGTTTATCTGAATACAAATTTCCTCTATTTGCAGTCCTTCTTTTTGTGGCCCGATTTTCTTGCCTGGAATTGGAAGAAGGAAGGGTCTTGGTCAAGTGAGCAGCACTTTTAAAGAAAGGGCAGCTCCTGATCTCTTTTCTTTGCAATGACATTTGGTGATTTTTACATTTCCAAGTCTGGTCTGTTGGTCTTTTTTAGTTTTACACCCTATTTGGCTTCATAAAGAGAAAAAAAGAAAGAAGAAGGAAGGGAGAAGGAAGGAAGGAAGGATGGGAGGAAGTGAGAGAAAGAAATGGAGACTGGTTGGCCCAATTTCCCAATCTGTATTTACCTGTAGAAAACATGAGGGCATAGTATTTATTTATCAATAGACGATTAATGTATAACGAGCAGATTTACATGGAAAAGTTTCTTATTCAGTTACACATGGTCAAAAGGAAAGTCAAAAATCACAGGGAGAGTGTATTCTGCCCAATGCCCTATAAATTATGTGGTTTTCCAGTCTGGTTGTTGGAACAGGCACTAACCTAGGACAGACTCCAACATGCACACCTAACCCATGACAGTACTGGACACTGTTACCGCTAATCCTTTCTGGTGTTTCCTTCTCAGGCCTCTGACAGCCTCCTCACATGCATGTCTTGATCAGTATTCTGCTGGATATGTGAGGCAGAGCCTCTGGAGATATCCAGCCTTCTCCTCTCTGGTACTTCATCCTGTGAATTCTAGCCACCTTGGTCATCCCAGCCTTTAAGCACTGCTTCCTCCATTCAGGGAATGTAATGGACTCCACCTATATTCTCTCTCCCTGCATCATAGCCTAGAAACTCTCTCAAGGCAGTAAGATGGGTAGGTTTCTTAATGTGGTCAGGCTTCTATAACAAAATACCTTAGACTGGGTAACTTATAAACAGTACAAATGTATTGCTCCCAGTTGTGGAGACAGGGAAGTCCAAGATCAAGGTATCAGCAGATCTGGATCCAGTGAGGTCACGTTCCTCATAGATGGCCCCTTCTAGCTTTGCTGTCACATGTGGAAGGGTGAACAAGTTTTTTCAACCTCTTTTATGAGGGCACTTATCTCATTCATGAGGGCTCCATCCTCAGGACCCAATCACCTCCAAAAAGCCCCACATCTGAATACCACATTAGAGAGCAGGTTTTAGCTCATGAATTTTGAGGGGGACACAAACATTCAGACCACAGCCATAGGGTTTACACCATTTGTTTTCCATCTCATCAGGATCACTGCCCCTCATTACCTAAGGCCAGTGTCTCAAAAACTGGGATTTTAAAGTACATTTTATCTGTTTTTAAGTTCTTTCAGGTGGAAAGGTAAGTCTGGTTCTTGTTAGTCTATCTTAGCTAGAAACAAAAGTGCAAAGGAAGCTTTGAGGAATCACACTATCTCTAGACAGATCCTGATAAATCCAGATATGGATAAGTCACAGCTTCCTTCTTTCTTCTCTCTTTTACTCTCTTTGTAGACCAAGGAGATTAAAGAGAGAGCTCCATCTCAGCTGGCTGTAATCATTAGTGTTCTTTTTATGATACTTCATGTGAATTAGGGACAAACATTTACTTTGCATTAACTATGTGCCATGATATGCTCAATGTTTTGTGTCACTTACCTCTTAAATCTTTGAAACTACCTTCCATAGCATATATATATATCTCTATATATATCTCGCATATATATATATCTCGCATATATATATCTCCTATATATCTCATATATATGTGTGTATAGATATATATTTTATGTGTATATATATATTTGTGTGTGTATATATGTATATAATTTTCAAATGAGAAAACTGAAGCATTGAGAAGATAGGTTAGCTTACCCAAGTTCACATAACTGATAAGTAGTGGAAGTAGTGGAGTGAAGATTGAAAATCAGAACTGACTCCAAAATGAGCATCCTTTACACAGTGTAATGCTGCCTTCAAATTCTGACTCCTAAATATAGCTCCTGCAGTGGGTATTATTATCTGTGTTTTACGTATTTAAAAAACAAGTCTCAGAGAGATGAAGTGTTTGGCCTTAGAAGCCCCGCCTCAATGGAACCCAGGCCTGCATCCATGGCCCATGCTATTTCTAAGTCACTTGACTCTTCCTGAGGGTTCTGAGGATGCAGTAGTCACCTGCTCTTGGTTTACTATTATACAACCTTGGGGTCTTATTTAAAGCAATTTTTAAAGATAGTCTTTGTTGTTAAAGTTGTAAGGTACATTACAAAGAATGATGTGAAGTCCACATTGCTCAGCTTTACTAAGACTAGGAATCTACTATTCTTTTCCTATACTTATTTGAGAAGATTATTACTATTAGCTTTGATCCTGATTTCACAAATTCAGACATACAAACAAAAAGTCTTCTCCCAGGCAAACTAGATGAATATCCATTCACATTTGTTTAGTTATATCCATAGTATTCATATCTATGTATAATATATAGGGTAAAATTATGGGAATATGTTTTTTGGCTTCATTCATGGATTTCTTTTTTCAAAAACTAAGTATACCAGTAAATTTCCTTATGTCATTTTGAAATGAATTTTTATAATGACTTCAAGCTCATTTTTATGGCGTATTTTGGAAACCAGTTTTAAAATTATAATTGTAAGGTATATAGTCTTGCAAAGACAAAAATTCAATAGAACAGAAGAATATAAAGTGAAAAAGTGAAATGCCCTTTTCTCCTTAATTCTTATCATTCTCCAGGGGTAACAACTGAAAACAGTTTCTTCTGTGTCCTTTCAGAAATTTTTATGTATAAACATGCTTATAGAAATAAATATAAATATGTTTCTTAGTTTTATGAAATGGGATCATACATAAATGTGTATCTATATTCTGTATCTGTCTACTTTCTTTTAACTTGATATATCTTAGATAGCTTTTTGCATCAGTTTATATAGTCCATTGCATTTCTTTTATCACCTGTATAATGTTGTACATCATACACATATGAAATGTATAAAAATACCATGTTATAGTTAAGTAATGTCGCCCACTGGAGAACATTTAGATTGTGTTCAATTTTTTGCTGTTATAAGCATTGCAGCAATACATTCATTTTGTAGATACATCTTTGTTAACATAAATTCTTGGAAGCATAGATACTGAAAAATATGTGCATTTAAAATTTTGTTAGATATTTCTAAGTTGCCCTTCTTAAAGATTGCAACAATTTGCTATTCCATCACAAGTATTTTAGAGTAGAACTCAGTAAACACCTGTTTAATGTGCATATGAATGAGCACCCACTTCTCCATGTTCTTGTCAATGATTGACATTGTTGGACTTTAGGAGTCCTTATCTGGTAGATAAAAGTGGTACATTGTTGCTTTCATTCGCACTTTTAAAATTTCCAGTAAGTCGAACACTCTTTTTAGTTTTCTGCTTATTCACTAGCCATTTATATTTTATTTTCTAAAAACTATTTGTGCCCTTTGTCTATTTTCTGTGCAGTGATTTGTCTTTTCTTATTGATTCTGTAAGGGTTATACCATAGACTGAATGTTGTGTCTTCATCAGATTTATATGTTGAAGTCTAATCCCCGAAGTGATGTTATTTGGAAGTGGCACCTTTGGGAGCAGGTTAAGTCTCAAGATTAGAACATTCATGAATGGGATTTGCACCCTTATGAAAGACACCCCAAAGAGCTCCATTTGCCCCTTCCACCATGTGGAACGCACAACCAGAAAGTAGTCCTTCACTAGATACCAAATCTACCGGTAACTGGATCTTGAACTTCCAACTTCCAGAACTGTGAAAATTCAATTTCTGTTATTTATAAGCCTCCCAGTTTATGATATTTTGTTATTTCAGTGCAAACTAAGACAAGCAGTTTGTATACTTATTACATTGGCCCTTTCTCTGGCATATATATAGGACAAATTTCTTCCTAGTAAGTTGTTATATTTTAACTTTTTCTTTGTCTATACATAAATTTATTACTTTCATGTGTCAGAGTTATCAGCCTTTCCTCTGTATTGCTAGATATCTGATATCAAATTTATACTTTACACATGGAGTTTCTGTGAAGATATATTTCTAAAGCTGTTCTCCTTAACGTTGCAAAGGCTATTCGAATAATATATTAGCTACTTAATTAGCCAAATTAAGAATGGATTTTGAATAATATATTTTCTTTTATCTGAAAGGTTGAGGACACTAATAAAATGAAAGTTCTACTATTATAATGATATAAATACAGAAATTAAAATACATTGAGTTAAAAAATAACTTGATCAAAGTGAGAGGAATAGGGAGCTAGGTGGGTGACTGACCTCCAGACTCAGGTGCTAAAGGCATGAAAGTAAAATGTGAAAGAAGGAAAGACTTATGAAGAGAAATATGAGAAGAATAACTGAGGAATAAAAGGAGATAATCCAACAAGGAAGGGAGGCCCAGTAAGAGTGAGAGAAAGGAGTACTGAAAAATGAGTCCAGGTGCAGTAGCTCATGCCTGTAATCCCAGAACTTTGGGAGGCCAAGGCGGGAAGATCACTAGAGGCCAACCTGGGCAGCATAGTGAGACCCCATCTATTAAAAAAATAAAGAAAATAAGCCAGGCATGGTGCTTCATGCCTGTGATCTCAGCTACTAGGGGGACTAAGTGGAAGGATTGCTTGTGCCTAGGAGTTTGAGGCTGCAGTGAGCTATGATGGTTCCACTGAACCCCAGCCTGGGTGACAGAGCAAGACTCTGACTCTAAAAAAAATAAAAATAAAAATAAAAAAGGAAAGGTTCAAAGACAGAAGAAGATATTTCATGAAACTTGAAAAAGAGTAATAGATCTGAAAGAACTGTGGAAGGGGAAGCTCCAGTAGAATACCTCCCTTTCAATTCATTTCTAAGATGTCCCTTCCTTCTATCTGTACCATTCTGTGGGCCCAGGTGAAAATCAACTTCTAGTCAGCATTATCTGCTACCACCTCCAAATGCACAACTCTTTTGTTTATTTATTTTAACAAAAGAAACAAAATTCTTCATCTCATATGCCCCCATGAGGACATTGATATAGTTTGGACATTTGTCCCCACCCAAATCTCATGTCGAATTGTAATCTCTAATGTTGGGTATGGGGCCTGGTGGGAGGTGTTTGGGTCGTGGAGGCAGACTCCTCGTGGCTTGGTACTGTCTTTGCCATAGTGAGTGAGTTCTCCTAAGATCTGGTCATTTAAAAGGGTGTAGCACCCTTCTCCCTCCTTGTTCCTTTCTCACCATGTGAAGTGCCTGCTTCTGTTTCACCCACCTTCTGCAGTGAGGAAAAGCTTCCTGAGGCCTCCCCAGAAGCAGATGCTGGCACTGTGCTTCCTGTACAGCCTGCAGAACTGTGAGTCAATTAAACCTCCTTTCTTATAAATTACCCAGTCTCAGGTGTTTCTTTATAGCAATGCAAGAATGGTCTAATACAGACATCTTCAAGGAGGTAACAGTCAGATTAAATCTTTATTCTGTCAATTTTAATTTTGCTGGGTAAGAAAAATTGGAGCATAGAAAAATAGATGACTTGATATGGGTTTTTCGGAACTAGAAGAAAAATTTTAGTTTTCCTCTTCATATTCTTTTGGACCTCACTGGGCTCAATCTTAGTTGTAGAATGAATCAACACAAATCAGCATTGTCATCTAAAATACTTTTATAAAACAATTCTTAGAATAGTCCCTGAAAATTAAGGGGTAAGAAATGAATCCGATGTCTTATTCCTTTCTTTAAAGATCTTAATTAATTTAATGTTTTTATCACTCTAAAGAAAGTTTTAAATTCCTTGACATTATCCAATCATATATTTAAAGCAAAGAGAATTCTCGCCATTTCTGTAGGGTTTGTTTGTTTGTTTGTTTGTTTGTTTATTTAGAGATGGGGTCTCGTTATGTTAACCAGGCTGATCTTGAACTCCTGACCTCAAGCAGTCCTCCCATCTCAGCCTCCCAAAGTGCTGTGATTGCAGGCAGGAGGCACCGCGCCTAGCCACCATTTCTGTGTTTCAAAACAATCCTGCACATCTGAGGTTTGGCTAGACCTGGCATTAGCTTTGTTACAATAGTATAAACTCTCTCTTTTAAAAATGGAAATACATTCTGTTCCTCTAATTCTTTACTATCCTCCCCCTGTCCCCTCCCTCCCTGTCTGTTTTTTAACTGTGGGTTTTAGACATTAAAAATATATCAATTTCTCCATTTCTCTGGGGTTCAGGATTTATGCAGTTGAGTCTTTTAACTTTCTGTGATTTTTGAGATTCTATTTTACTCTTGTCTTCTCTGCACATCCAAGTATGTCTATTTCTTAGCGAGTGATACCTACAAAATATGACTAGTTTCAGAACTATTTCCAACTTCTTTGTTTTTTCTTGTATTTCTATTGTGGCACTAATTACTAGCAATATGATTAATGCACTACTTACTGGTGGCTTTGTTCCCTTTGTTTTTCTGATAATGCTAATTAATCCAATTTTGAAAAAAATACTTTCAGTTCTGCTCATACATGTCAGATTGCAGGTGCCTTGGAAATCATTTTTCTCCCCTTTGGTTTTAAATTAAAGTGAAAAGTAAGAGTAAGCCAATTAGTGATGTGGCTGAAAAAAGTGCTCTTACCTAAGTTGTTCATCAGGACTGTCTAGGGCCAGCAGTGTTAGAAATATCTCTGAAGTAAGAAAGTTTCAATTCACTGGAAAGTTGTTCTGCCTTTTACTCATTTCTTATTATTGTGTGGGAGGAGGTGGAGGAGTATTACTTAGGTTTAGGTGCAACAGATTTATTCCCAAGTGGAAGCAAGGTTGAAGATGGCTGCCTAAGATACGAGTACCAATCAGACTTAAACCAGAACACATTTGCCCCTCTCCTATCTAAATGTCTCAGTCTTCCCGCAGCTCTCTCTTAGCAGGTGCTCATTAGGTTTAACGCTGGGAGACTCAGTTTTAAACTTGTAGTTGTTACTTGCTGTGCAGTTTGGTTTATGTGCGCAGCACTCATTTTCTTTGACAGATCAATAACACCCAATGGACGCCCTCCATTAAACTTCTTTCAACACTTTTTAAGGGCTCTGCTAAATTACACTATATATGTTAAAATTTCAGTGGTGCCCAGCTTTCCCAGACGCCAAAGATGCAGTGATTTTTACCCTAAGAAATAATGAACTTAAAAAAAAAAAAAGGTTTCATTTCTCCTCTTTAAAAAAAAAAAAGAACTTCTTAGAGGACTAATTTTGTATCTACTTTTTAATGGATTAGGATTAAAAACCTCCCAGAACTTCAGAATCATTGCATAAATAACTACGTTTTTATTCATGCTCTTTGATTCAATGTATAGAATTGTTTATTCTGCATATAATTTCAAAAATGTTTAACATAAAGTTAGAATGTTTATGCCCAATATGGCATACAAAAAGTGACTGCTGTTTTCCTCTTAGATTAACCATTTACCATAATTTCTCATTTTGATCCTGCATATTCTAATCTATGTGTTTCTTATAGAATGCCAAGGAGGTTTTCCCAAATGCCTTTAAGCACTGCAGGAAGGTGGGCTATCCCCCTGCCACCACCACCTTTGTTTATTTGTTTGTTTCCTTTACTTCTCCTTAATAAACTGGAAGGGGAAATCTGTATAACCTCTCTTATTCACTCAGCAGGGGTAGATTAAAAATGCACATGCTGCAAATAGTTAAATATTTCTGTTGAAGTTCAAGGTTGTGCTTTTAATTTTTAAAATTAACTTTGAAATGGAATTCATTTCAACAAAAGGCAGGAGACTTGGTGAAGTCCTCACCCCTACAAAATTGGATTAAAGTGCTAATTGTTTTATCTGAAATATCACTTTCAACTAATTAATTCATTTCGCCCTTCACTGAATTGGTTGGAAACCCCAAAAGATCTTTAAGGAAAGAGAGAGCTGTGTGCCTTGACCTTCCCTCACCCCCAATCACATCTTTATTTACTATATTAAAACATGAAGCTCTGCCATAAAACAAAAGGTAGGAAAATTATGTAGGCTGAGGGAATAGTTCCTCCTTATGAAATGCAGACTAATAGATTTTCTTTTTCAATAAGATTGTTTATGTTTTTGAATGGCTCTAAAGAAACTATAATCACATTAATCTAGACTTTCATTTATGAAGCACCAATTCTTCCTTCGTTTTCCAACTGTCCCTGACTCGTATTTTAGTGAATTTTGTTGACAGATTCCACGCCACCCAAAGTTGTCAGATAAACTTGGCATTTCATGGTATAACCCTTTGGAGTTGTACAATGGAAGGCCTTTTTTTTTTTTTTTTCCCCTATGTCAGTTAGAAAGATAGGTGAAATACCCTTATAGTTTCACCAGCTTTTTTTTTTTACTCATTATACCTTTAGTTATACTACAGAACCATTCCACTATCTGTTATCTATTTGCATGAGGCTCTTTTAACTGATTTTCAAAAGTGGTTATATATACCAGGTGTTACACTTACTTTTTTTTTTTTTTTTTTTTGAGATGGAGTTTTCGCTCTTGCTGCCCAGGCTGAAGTGCAGTGGCGCGAGCTCAGCTCACTGCGACCTCTGCCTCCTGGGTTCAAATGATTCTCCTGCCTCAGCCTCCCAAGTAGCTGAAATTACAGTCACACGCGACCATGGACAGCTATTTTTTTTTCTTTTTGTATTTTTAGTAGAGACAGGTTTTCACCATGTTGGCCAGGCTGGTCTCGAACTCCTGATCTCAGGTAAAGGTGATCCACCCGCCTTGGCCTCCCAAAGTGCTGGGATTACAGACATGAGCCACTGCACCTGCACCTGGCCAACACTTACTTTTTTACCTGGCCTACACTTACTTTTTTAAAAGGACTTAAGTGAAATTCTGTTAGGTAGTAAAATGCCTTCAAAGCATATTAAACATCTGAAATGCTTTCATGCAAGGGCCCTGAGTATTTGGTAAAGTGTTTTGTGAATGTTTGTGTGGGTTTGTTTTTCATAGCTCATTGATTCTTTTTTAGTGTTTCTTTTTTAATTCTTGAGCATATTTAACAAATAAAATGTGTTTCATAAAACTTCAAATTTTCAAAGAAAGTTTCAAAATACAGTAAGTCTTTATTGTAAGTTCTAGTTTTTCAGGTATAATTGCTTGTCTTCCTATTTCTGCAATTTATGTATAATGACTAAAATCAATAATGCCATCTGTGAATTAAATAACACTGTATTTGCCCTGAGTTCTATAATGGTCTGTTGGCTACCTAGTGACATAACTGAGCATTTGAGCAATCACTCCATGTAGTATGAGTTAGTACTGTTTGTACTGCACGTACAAGGAAATGGTATATTAATTTTATTTAATTAATTAATAATATATTCTAAGATCATCAGCTATTATTTCTTGAGCACTTATTATATGCCAGGAACTCTGCCAAGGGCTATCCAAATGCTGTTTCATTTTATCTTTGCATCAATCCTCTGAGGGAAGTATTACTAGCATTTCCACTTTACAAATGGGGACACTGAGGCTCAGTAAAGTTAACCCAAGATTACATATAACACATTTGTCAGACACCAAAGCACCTGAGAACTGATTCATTTCTCTTTAATTCTGGAGCAAAGCCACTGCTCATTTTGGAAATTCAGAAGTTATTTTTACCAGGAAGTGATTGTTTTGTTACCAATTCAGTGAGGAGTATTCAAATGGCTTGTCTTGGAATCTCTGTTAAGCACGCTTTCAGAAATTTGCAGAAGACAAAGTGATGAACAATTTAGATTGTCAATACTCTGATTACAGGACCCTGGAACATTCAAGAAATTTCATGCATTCAATTAAAAATAAAAGTAAAGGAAGGAAAGGAGAGAGAAAGAAAGGGAAGAAGTAAGGAAAGAGGCAAAAAAAAGGGGGGGGACAGAAAAAGGAAAGAAAAGCATCAAATTAACACCAGGCTGATAAAATTTTTCACTTTTCCCAACTGCTTGCAGTGGTACTGTAGAGATCACAGCTTGAAATGGCTTAAACACTTTAGCAGCCACACAGAATCTTAGATCTTAAAATGTTCTGTTCTTGAAGAGGGACTGGTTTTATTCAAAAGCCAGGATCATTTGTAATCTTTCTTTGCTGGAAAATTAAAACAAATGCCGTAGAATTATCCAAACTTTTTAATTTAAATAGTACCATATAGTCAGTTTACTAAACTTTTAGAGTTTTTAAAAATATTTCTATCTTCACATATATAGGTAATCCATTTGGTTCATATATATTAAACACACAAGATAGTTTGTATATGTGTGTGTGTATAAACTCATTCACTATATATACACATTATATATATAATTATATAGAAACACTTCTTAAATTTTGTCTGTTTATTTGATTTCAAATAATTATTACCTTACCTTGATTGACAATGGTACATATAAGAAAACAGGAATGATTTCAGCAATACTTCTTCCATAGCTGATTATCACTCCATTTTTTTACATGGTCATTATCTATAAAACAACATGCATTCAAAAATAGTCCCACGATCTTTTCTATATTTCTTCTTTCATTATATGTATTACTTCCTTATTTAAGGAATGGAAATTTTCATGTAAAAGCTACCCCCAACCCTTTTTCTTTTTTTCTTTTGAGATGGTGTTTCTCTCCTGTTGCCCAGGCTGGAGTGCAATGGGGCAATATCAGATCACCGCAATCTCCGCTTCCCGGATTCAAGCGATTCTCCAGCCTCAGTCTCCCAAGTAGCTGGGATTACAGGCATGCGCCACCATGCCTGGCTAATTTTGTACTTTTAGTAGAGACGGGGGTTTCTCCATGTTGGTCAGGCTGGTCTCGAACTCCTGACCTCAGGTGATCCGCCCACCTCGGCCTCCCAAAGTGCTGGGATTACAGGCGTGAGCCACTGCTCCCGACCCATCCCCCACCTTTTTTTTTTTTAAAGATATTCTTCACAAGTACAGAAACTTATTTAAAAAATAGTGGCCAGCCTTTCATACCAGAAATCAACACTAATAATCTTGTTAAAAGCAATAAGGACCCGGAATTTTAAAATGAGTTATGAAAATATAGTACATGTAATTTATTGTAATTTTTATTTAATAATACAATACAAACCATTGGTAATATTTACTTATCTGTAATTTTTTAAAAGTTGGTTTTCCTCTTCCAGGTATTATATTCTAGGGTCACTTTCCCTTTCCTATATGAAGGTAAGTGTTTGAGAAATACAAAACGTCTTTCATCCAGTCTAAGCAAAATTCAGAAGATAAATTAGCCACCAAAAGAAATGAATTCATTCTAAAGGAAAATAAATTTTATTTCCAATTATCCAGTCTGTTCATATTTCCATTAGAGTTGACTATACTTGCTTACATAATCTTGCATTTATCTTTCCAACCTCAAGACTTTTGTAGGCCTGGCAAGGTGACTCACACCTGTAATCCCACACTTTGCAAGGCTGAGGCAGAAGAATCTCTTGAGGCCAGTAGTTCAAGACCAGCCTGGACAACATAGTGAGACCTCGTCTCTACAAAAAAAAAAAAAAAAAATTAGCCAGACCTGGTGGCACATGCCAACAACTACTAAGTACTATTCCAGACTCCCCAAGTAGGACTCCAAGTAGTACTTAGGAGTCCCAAGTAGTCTCAGCTACTTGAGAGCCTGAGGCAGGAGGATCACTAGAACCCAGGAGTTCAAAGTTGCATTGAACTATGATCATGCCACTGCACTCCAGCCTGGGTGACAGAGCAAGACTCCATCTCAGAAAAAAAAAAGAAGTTTTGTATATGTAAAAGTGTGCTACCATCCACTTGATGGATTATTGTGCAGTCACAGAAACATAGGCTTAGGAAGTATTTATATTAAGAATTTATAAACATGAAACATGTTTATTTTATTTATGTTCAGGCAAAAAAGTAAGGTACAAAATTACATATGCAACATGATTACAACTATGTAAAAGAAAAATAATAGAAGGTAATATATCAAAATGTTAACAGTGATCATGTTGGGTGACAGAGTTACGAGTGATCTTTCTTCACTTTTCTCTGTATTTTCCAAATTTTGTATAGAACAAGTATATGTTATTTTCATAACATAAAACGCTTCATTCAAACTGAAATGTGTGAGTTTAGTCATATTTTCAAGTGATGTTTAAAAGCATTCTTCCATTTCACTGGAGTTATTTTACATCCAGGCATGAAAATTCAGTTTGTGCCAATAAGAAAGCTTATCCCCAGTTGGTAGGTGTGCTGGTAAGGATCATCTGGATACAAAGCAATTGTGTGTGGGAAGAAATAAAAAGAGAGGGAATGGTTAGAACAATCAGATAACAGGAGTAATGGAAGAGTACTCTATTTAATATAGGGGTCCTATTGACTGATGTTAATTTAGTCCCCACAGATCTTATCAATGATTTTTAATAATCATTATTAGTAATTGGTTCGTAAGTTTTTTGTCTCCATATCCCACTAAATGAAAATGTTTTTCCACCCTATAACAACAATTTTAAAGAATGAGATTAAAAAATAAAACAAAAACATTGGTGATCAAACTATTTTGCTTTATTTTATTTTTTTCTGGCGGTAGTTATGAGAAAAGACCAACTGCAAAAATGAGAGTTACTAATTGTAACTCTCAGAAACTTAGTTTCTTTTTCCTTGTCAGTGAAATGAAGAGGACAATCCATGTTTTATAAGGTAGTCTAGAGAAGTGGCCCCCAAAATCAAGTATGCTCAAGCTAGTGGGTGAAACACCACACACACACACACACACACGTGTGTGTTATGCATTATAATTTTGTGTACACATATATTTATGTATCTACAACTCTGCTGACTTCAATGTTCCATGGAGTGATTGACCTGGGGCCATTGCTTGTTGCGTGTGTCAGATGACCGTGTGTTTCACACAGTCCAGGAAGGACAGTAAGGGAGTGAAGGCAGATCGCATCACAGGTGGCTGACGGGGCACCCTCATGTGTTAGGCTGCCTTCAGCACATTATAAGGCATTATGGTTTTCTTGTGTTCGGCTAAAAGGAATTGTGGATTATATTATTTGGTGTAACTAAAGTATCACTTACAAATTGAATGAGTGGCTTAAAAAGATCCCTATAGTAAAACCACATACAGAAATTCATAATAATAATGCAAATTCAAATGAACAAGGCAATGGCAAAGCCAGCATGTCTCCTAGTAAAATAGCCACACTAAGTTAAGGATAATGACAATATGTTTAAGCTTTGATATCATTAATAGCAAGCATAAAAACAAAGTGAACTTAGAGCTAGATCCTATTATAAACTGATTAGTCAGGATTTTCATAAAACATGAAGCATACTCAATTGTTCTTGTTAAAATACTATTAGTTGTATTTTTGAAGGCGAAATATAAATAATTATAAGCAAAATATTCTAATTTATGTAAAATAAAATTTGTTTTATATTTATCAGATTCTTTTGAAATCCCTGTTTTTGTGCACATTTTATAATGTATATAATATAGTGGTAGTGTAGAAAATATATATAATAAATCAATGGATATGCATATTTTGTGGATACATGGTCCAAATTGTGAAACTGTCGGGGTGTATGATCAAAGAAGTTTGGCAACCACTGGTTTCAAGGACCGGATCTGAAAATATGTATAAAGTCCCAGGAATAGCACTTGTCACCAGTGGTTGTCAATCTAACGCACTAAGGAATTTCTACTGAGGTGACTGTCAGTGAGAACTAAGAGATATTTTTAAATTCACTTCAGTTTATACCAAGTCTTTATGAACAACCTCATTCTTGGTAGGATATTTATATCACATCTGAGGGCACCAGAGGAGTAGCCAGTGATCCACGGGCTAACTCCACTTTTCACCAGTACAGAGAGAACGGAAGGAGGCATGGTAACTTGATGGACTTGAGGCTGGTTGATTTCTGACTCATCCAGATAACTTATCCAGAGAAGTGACGATGATTTCATTTCTAGTAACGAAAGTGACAAGTGATATAAAATAAAAATATAATGTAACAATGCTTAGATAAGCCCAATCCGTGTCTAACTCACAGAAATTTGGATTTTGGCAATGAAAGACTTTAAGTAAATATAGCGATCGGCTTATATATTTATATAGCAAATTTTTTTTCTCAGATGAATTAAAAATATCATTTATTGATCATACATCTTCTCAGGTCAAGTAATAAAAGTTTTTTAAAAAAAGCAATCATAGTTGTTTCGCCTTCCATTATTAGATGGTTTCAATACAGGATTAGAGAATTTAGCATAATTCTTCCCCAGCTTTGCCGCAGAGCCCCTGCATTCAAGGTATTGTTACACTGAGTGAGAAAGACTGTTGTGAGAAGGAGGGAGAAGGGGAAATTCACAGCTAGAGAATATTCAGGACCCACATTTCGACTCCTCAAGTGTTATCTCATTAAATGTTTTGTATCTGTTAGGCATTCATATTTGTAACCTGTTAAGTAAATTAGCAACCTTGCTTCTTTCTTCCCTATTCCCTCCTTATTTTCTTCTTCAACATAGGGACATTTAAAAGAAAATCAATAAATGAACAAACACAAAGAAAAATACTTGTTTGGAAAATAATTTTGACCCTAACTCTTATTCTTGAGGGATTAAATGATATAAGAGCGAGGGAAGAACTGGACAAATGTGTCTCTCATCTTTTCTCACTTTCCGCCTTTCTTGGACTCTCCTCTCCATCTACTGGAATGTTAAAGAGAGGAAGTTCTTTGGCCTATACATAGTTGGCTCATTCAAATTCCATATGCATTCAGCTGTGCAACTGGGAGAGGCCCTCTGTTTCCTTGGAGCGTTGGGGAAGCCAACATAATTTGATCAGTGAAATTATCGAAGGTGATATTTAAAACAAACAAAAAGCAGAAAGGCTGGGACCTAGAACAAAACAGTGGTTGAGAGATTTCAAGGAATTTCTTCTGACAGGTTTTTGAGGAATGTGTTTTCAAAAATCATAATTCACCCGTCGTTTCTAAACGGAGCACAGGGAAACAGCAACCCCTCTCACCGTCCAAATGCCTGTGCTGCCGTGTGACTAAACACAGCCTCTGCCACTTTTCCAGTTCTGATTTTCTAGCTGTGTGAGAACATCCAGCCATTTAGGGGGTGTCACTCAGGCTTATCCTTTTAATCGGAGCCCTTAGAAGAAATGCCAGTTTGTTTTTGGAGACAGTTAATCTGACGGAAGTAAATTCAAGTTTTGGCAAAGATCTGTGGTAAGATAGAGTGAAAAGCTGCCAAACAGTATTATAAGAAGAAGAAGAAAAGGTACGACCTCCCCAAGTCAAATGCCAGCACACCTACACCAGTTTCAATCAAGCCGTAGAAAAATAAGATATTTTTAGATGTATTAAGCCTTAGTGCTTCTTTGCCCTGAGGGCTGTTTTATTGCCACAGAAAGAGCCTGTAATCACTTTTCCATGAGGTTTTTATAATTTAATATGAAATGAGCTTCTAGAAAAACTACACTTCAAAACAAATCTGAACAGTTATTCCTCCACCTCACCCCACTGACCACAGACGCCAACCATTTTCTCTCACTTTGCTTCATCTCAGAGCCCTTTCCCGCAGCTCTTCAGACAGCTGTCCAGTTCTGCAGGCTTCAGATCAATGAATGCACCTCCTAGTTTGGGTTGCCTATGCCCATCATACTGGTTGAGTTATTGTTACACTGCTGAGCTGATGGCTAAACTGAGGCTCCAAAAGAACTTTTGGCATCTTGGCAGCAGAGCTGAGCGTCAAACCAAAACCTCCATTGTCAGAGTTACCTGTGGATGGGATCTAGGTGATGCTCTGGCCTAATACCCCCCTCTTATAAACAAGGAGACTGGAATTCAGGGTGGCTGTGGTGGACCCAACATCATGCAAGTCGTTAAGTGTTAAGTAGAGAGTATGGGTTAGAGCCTGGGTTTAGCCCATGGGTTTTTCCGTTTCACCTCTCTGGACTTTTTATTCATACCAGAAAAATAGGAGTGCTCGTTCAAGGAATATAAAGTGCTTCTTTTTCCTTCTTCTGCCTCTTCATCCACGGACAGGTCACAGGAGTCCTTCTCATGCCACACTGTGGTTTGTGAGTTTTCATTCCCTGGAGTGCCAAAGAGAATGCTGCCATGAGCATCCCTTTACCGAATTCACTCTGGTCATGGGGCAGAGGGGAGGGAGAGGGCAAGGAAGTTCCAAATAACACTCCCTGCAGCAAAGGAGGAGGAGTGGGGAGGATAGGCGATTGGATTCCTTTAATCCCATGTTACAACTGAAGTCACCAAATGGAGTCAAATATGCTCACAACAGCAATCCCTGTTTGCCAGGAACTATAATTTGAGCCATATGAAACTACCCACATTCAACCATTTTTGACCTACAAAAACAACGAGTGCATATAATTCGACCTAAATGGTATTAAGCAGCCAACTACATGCCAGGAACTCTGTCAAATGTCCATCAGTAACTCAATCGTTCAAATCACCAGTGAGTTCAGGGCGGGCGCAGTGGCTCACACCTATAATCCCAGCACTTTGGGAGGCCGAGACAGACGGATCACGAAATCAGGAGATCGAGACCATCCTGGCTAACACAGTGAAACCCCATCTCTACTAAAAATACAAAAAAATTTAGCCAGGTGTGGTGGCGGGTATCTGTAGTTCCAGCTACTTGGGAGGCTGTGGCAGGAGAATGGCGTAAACCTGGGAGGCGGGGCTTGCAGTGAGCTGAGATTGCGCCACTGCACTCCAGCCTGGGCTACAGAGTGAGACTCCATCTCAAAAAAAAAAAAAAAAAAAAAAAATCACCAGTGAGTTCGATGTTTTGGTTCTTCCTGAGCAGATGAGGCCACAATGACTCAGCAAGGCAATGAGATTTACCTAAATCGTAGGGCTGGGAAGGGAGCATGGCAGGATTTGGCCAATTTGGGCTCACTCATTCCTTGTTCCCTCATGTTTTCCCCAGTAGAGGAAAAGAATGTTCCTGCTGCTCACTCCCCACTTCCTCTCCATCTCACCTCCCCTCAGCCTTTCCTGCTCTGGGCACCAGGTACTGATGGTGAATGGTGTTCTGGGATGGAACCCATGACCCTTACCTCCATAACCCTGCACCATCTATCAAGCCTTCATTGGGAGGTCCCCCTCCCCATTCTCCCATTGCTCTCTTGGGTTTATCCATTCAGCCCTCTGATCCCAGGTCTGGCTCTACCTGAGAAGTTCCCTGCTACAGAGTTATTCTCCTAAGCCCTAGCCATCCACTCCTCCCCCTCCACCTGCTGGCTCCCAAATAAAGATAGCCTGGGTCTATGCTGAGGACTGGGCTTCACAGACCCTGCTAGCCAAGTTCCTGGCCACAGGACAGCATAGCCTGGCCCAGGAATCCTTAACCAAGGGTTACTAAAGAGAATTTGAAAGTTAGGTAGCTTTTAAACTTGAATAGAAATGACATT
This sequence comes from Homo sapiens, assembly GCF_000001405.40. NCBI lineage: Eukaryota > Metazoa > Chordata > Mammalia > Primates > Hominidae > Homo > Homo sapiens. Next base: position 182,204,353 of record NC_000003.12, read on the forward strand.
CTAATTTTCATGAACTTTTCACTGAAATTTGGCATTTTCTTCCATTTTGAATGGAAAAAAACAGTAGAATTCACATACCTATAACTCTGTCATCAACAGAAGTCACAGATATTTTCACTTCCAATTCCAGTTATTGCTGAAATAGTGTTACATTCATCACAACTTCCAAATCATGACCTACCACCAGCTGTTATTATTTTATTTATCAGCAAAGAAGCACATCTATTATAATAACAAAAATTTGCTTTTTAATATTTGGTCATTAAATTTTAATACATTTGGGCTTTTTTCAGCCTATATATTTTATTTTATACATTTAAAAGCATTTTTCTGAGAAGGGATCCATGGGCTTTGTCAGATAGCCAAAGGGGTCTGTGGCACTCAAATAGTTAAAATCCCCTGGTCCACAGGCTAAAGGGCAGTCAGTTAGGGTTGCATCTGAATCCTGCCCTCACCAGCTGAGTGGCCCAGGAAGTAGCTGCTGAGCGTCTACACCTCACAGATCTGTTGTGAGGCTCAAATGAGATGACACCTGCAACATACAGAGCACAGTGCCTAGCAGAGCCAGGCTCCCAGATGCTAACCCTTCTTATTGGTGGGCCATCCCGCCCTGTGGTGTCACTGACCTTACACAGTGCTCTATCATTAAGAGTTGGATCAGAGGCAGTTGGTGACTTCAAATTCACTCTTGGTACCCAGTGCTCTTAAGATCCTTCCAGGTACCCACAGATTGTCATGGAATGTTGCCCTCTCAGAAGCAAGGAGTTCACCATTTCCCCCCATCCAAGCCACTTGTCATCAATAAGCAATCCCTGCCCGATTTCCATGGGGCCATTTCTCTATCCAAAGAGGGAGTTTTTACCAGTGGACTTGGAGTCAGACTTTAGTTCTACCAGCAGTCACATCCTGTCCTGGAATAGTCACTAGTCTTGGTGAGTCCCTTCACCTCTCCACACCGCCATGGAAGCAGCCAGGAAACCTCTGGCTTGTCCTCTTTTTATAATTTACATTTTATTTTTTAAATTGACACATAATAATTATACATATTAATGCGTAATGTGATACATAGTGGTGTATGTATCATAGTGATGTTTCCATGCATATAATGTGTAGTGATCAGATCAGGGTTCTTAGCATATACATCATCTAAAACATTGATCATTACTTTGTGTTGGGAACATTCAATATCCTCCTTGTTCTCTTCAACCGACTGTTGTGCAAAATAAATGAGAGAGAGAGAGTGCAAAGGCCCTATGAAAACTGTGAAGTGTGATGTAAATGTTTGCCACACACACCTCCCTCTCCCTCCTCTATGCCTTTGTGTTTGTTTTCTGCCAGCAGTACTTTTCTCTACCATATTTCTAGGCCTGACTCAAATGGTGCCTCCCCCAGCAATATGCCCTGAAGAAGCCATCTGGGAGATATAATCATCCTCCACTTTCTCCTATCGCCCCTTTATTTACATCAGTCATTCAGCACTCTTCACTCTCTACTTTACAGCTTGTCTTCCCTGCCAAGTAAGCATTCTGAGGGTAGGACCACTGTCTAATTTCACTTTGTATAAACAAAGCATTCTGAGGGTACAACCATTGTCTAATTTCACTTTGTAGAAACAAAACCTGTTGTATTATAGGTCCCTGCCTACATATATGAAAAAACTCATTAAAAATATATGAAAAAAACCATTAAAATATATGAAAAAAACTCATTAAAAAACCTTTTTCAAGATGTTGAAGATAATTCCTGCCCTACAGGAAGGTTAATGGGGACATAATAAATAAAAACATGGGATAGCTCAAGTGCAAAAGCATTATCCAAACACCATACTCTGAGCTCTGAAGGAAAGGCAAACAGTGAACTCTGTGGGCTGGGGATGGGGGTGTGATATTGTAGGGAAGGCTTCCCGGAGGAGGTGACTATTGTCAAGAGATGAGTAAATGCTGGACTGATAATTTGAATAAAGCAGGAGGGATAGGTGAAGTACTAAGCATGGAGAATTACACAAAGAGAAGACCAAGACTGTGATACATCTATTCATTCTTTCATTTTCTCTTTCCATCAACAAATCTTTAGTGAAGACTTGTTCTGTCCCAGGAAGAGCCCTAGATAAACCCAGATAATGGAAGGCAACCGATGTGCCATGACAATTATTATTGTGACAGTAAGAGTGTAGCTGTGTCTGTAGTCCCTACCAAGGGCACCACTGATGCAGGAATTCTGGCTTGTCGAAACCTGGCAAATGCCATGTTTAGTGGGGGCTCCTCGTGAGCAGACCATGTTTCTACATAGTGATAGGTGGTCATGGATGACACCAACAGACTTTTCATCCCTGGGTGACTTACAGGACACAGGGACACTGTGGAGGTTAATGGTCACTGCAGCTGTTACCCTTGACACAACACCTATGGCAGATGGTTTTAGATTCCTCCAAAGAAAGAAAGGCTCTTTCCTAATACACTTGTTTTGGGGTCCTTAATTATCCATTTTCGTAACTAGTTGTTCTTCTGTTCCAACTACGCACCAGACATTTTCTGTTAGTCATCTCATTTAAAATGCTCAGAGACCCCATGTGAGGTGAATTTCTTCCCCCCACAGCTTACCAACAAGAAACAAAGACAGATGTTAAGTAGCTTTCCCAAGGTTACACAGTTTGTAAATGTAAAGCCAGGTTTTGGTGCAAAGCTAGTGTTTTGTTTTTGTTTTTTAACCACATAGTTCTATATTCATGCCTTTTCATGTTACACTTCTTGTATTAAAGCTTCTGGACATATGGGGTTGGTTGGAGGCATACTTCACGTGTACACACTTGTCACACCCAGAGAAAACATTCTAAAACTGAAGAAGAAAAATGCTGATCAGGTCTATGCTGGGAAAAGTAATATGAACCTAACGTTTCAGAATGGATTCTTTAGAATTCAAAAGGACTAATAATAAATATGATGTGGCCATTATTTTTGGTGAGCAATTAGAATAGTATTATCTTGACAGAATTGAATTTCCATGAATGGAAGTAGGAAGAGTACTTCAGAATCTGGCACATCTTCACTTTTATGTTTGAAGTAAGCACTGGAAACAATGTTTTCCTAAAAACTTCAAAAGCCCACTTATTGTTGGAAATTTGTTCACGGATATATGTAGCTGTTCTTTGGCACTGTTTCGTAGAAGCTTTAATATTCAATTTCAGAGGCTCTCTAGCACAATCATACCAATTCAGTCTTCATTCATTCACGCATTTAAAGAATTAATTTAAAGTTGCGCAAAGAACCATTTGAAATCCATAGGACTTGTAGCTCCCGCCAACCGAGTCATGAATATGCTTATATTGCTTTTCATAACAATGTGTTTGTTGAGCACAGATGTGTGTGTGCACAGTAGTACAGATCTAAGTCTATGTGCATGCCCACATACACATATACACTTCTGCATTCATAGGTACATGTGCTGTGGGATTGCCTTCTAGAGGTTGATTCATTTATTAAATAAATATTACCTGGCACACCCCATGTGCATCTCTTCTAGACAATTGCATGGCATTCAAAGTATCCTCAGATCCAGTCTATTAAGGGAAAGAAGCCAGAGGAAAATAAAATGCTAAGTACCTAACTGAGAACTGCTATTACTTAATCTATGGCAAATGAGTGGTCAGAGTTGTAGAAAGAGAAATAATAGTACTCATGGCCTCATACTGGAAGAAGCTGTGTCTTTAGCTGCCAGTGCTAGCTGCCATCCCCCGAACTCTCATCATGTGCCAGGCACTTTACAGACGTTATCTCTGGTTCACATCCTTCTTTCTAAGATGAGAAAGCAGACATTAAGGGACATACCTAAAGATACACAGAAGCTGTGGACAGAAGCAGAATCCACACCCAGTTCTGCAGGCTGCAAAGTCCTCACACTTTCCACTCCACCCATTACTCCTCTTCACTCTTTTACTCCCTTTCACTCCTCAGAAAAAGAAGGAGGCTTTCCTGTAATGGAACAAACTAAGGCTCATGGCCAGTGCTACGCTTTCCCTGCTTGTGGCCTCCATAGGACACACACATGGATGCCAGGAGATGGAGCAGAGTGGCAAGTTTGGGAGGATGCTAATAAGAGGGGAGAAATTCCATACTGGAAATAAGCTGAGCTAGGAGGGGCTGGGCAGGCATTACCAGAGAAGCCTGTTCATGTCAGGGACTTTGCTCTGTGCAGGCAGGCACACATGGTGGGTCACGAGGCGCTCCCTCAGCCTTGGAACCCTCCACGTCTCTCATGGCCCTAGGAAAGACCTAGGCTCAACACAAACTGAAATAAAAATGTAAGGCCCCGTCATGGGATCTCTGGGGCTATGATGGTGGACCAGCAGCCTACACAGCAATAGGTGGCTCTGATATCCTATATTCACACCTCCCATAGATAGTACTGTCAGTGATTCGTGATATTGTATATATTGATGCACACACATTTTCATATACATGTTAGAGATAAGAGTGGTTGACATCACTAGAAGACAGCTTGTTTATAAAACAACATCCTTCTGATAAATTTTTGAGGTAAAAACTGGCTTTGGGAGTAGAATTTATTATTTCTATTGTTAAATCCGAATAATGTTAATTTTTCTTGCTAAAGTACTTAAGTGCCCTTATTTTGTTTTTACTAGGCATATTTTGTTGTTGTTGTTGTTGTTGTCATTTTTGAGACAGAGTCTCGCTTTGTCACCCAGGCTGGAGTGCGGTAGTGTGATCTCGGCTCACTGTAACCTCCCCTCCCAGGTTCAAGCAATTCTCCTGCCTCAGCCTCCCCAGTAGCTGGGACTACAGGCGTGTGCCACCACATCCAGCTAATTTTTGTATTTTTAGTAGAGATGGGGTTTCACTATGTTGGCCAGACTGCTCTCGAACTCCTGACCTCAAATGATCTGGCTGTCTTGGCCTCCCAAAATGCTGGGTACAGACGTGAGCCACTGCACCTGGCCTGTTGTTGTTTTTAAAGGAGTAGGAGTTGATTTTGTAAAAGAGCTATTAATGGTGTCCTTCATATTAAATGATGATTGTTTGATGCCTTAGATCTCAGAAAATTTAGTTTAATAATCCAACTTAACACCTCACATCATAAGGTGAGAATGTTTAAGTCATTTGCATAAGTGCCCAGTGAAGCAGTGGTGGGAACTCCTGACCAGCACAATGCTGGCTGGGTGTTATGGCAGAGCAATGGCTGTGAAGAAAGCATGACCGAAGAGTGCTTTTCTCCTCCTCTTTCTCTTCCTCCTTTGCTTTATTCTTATTCTCCAAGAAAAGTGAAGCACTAGACTTTTATTTTCTAAATAAAATTTTTATTTTAGAATAGTTCTAGATTTACAGAAATATTGCAAAGATAAGAGAGTTTCCATACACCCCACACCATTATTAACATCTTACATTAGTACATACAGTTGTCACAATTAATCAACCAATACTGATACATTGTTATTAACTAAAGCCCACACTTTACTCAGATTTCCATAGTTTTTGTTTTGTTTTGTTTTTTTGTTTTTCTTTTTGAGATGGAGTTCGCTCTTGTTGCCCAGGCTAGAGTGCAATGGTGTGATCTCGGCTCACCACAACCCCCACCTCCCCGGTTCAAGTGATTCTTCTGCTCCAGCCTCCCGAGTAGCTGGGATTACAGGCATGCACCACCACGCCAGGCTAATTTTGTATTTTTAGTAGAGACGGGGTTTCTCCATGTTGGTCAGGCTGGCCTCGAACTCCCAAACCTCAGGTGATCCACCTGCCTCGGCCCCCCAAAGTGCTGGGATTACAGGTGTAAGCCACCACGCCCGGCCCAGATTTCCATAGTTTTTACCGAATGTCTGTTTTCTTTTCCAGGATCCCATCAGGGATACCATATTATATTTGTTGGTCATGTCTCCTGAGGCTCCCATTGGTTGTGATAGTTTCTCGGAATTCTTTATTTTTGAAGACCTTAACAGTTTTGAGGAATACTGCTCAGATATTTTATTGAATGCCCCTCAATAGAGATAAGGTTTATCTGATGTTTTCTCATAATTAGAATGTAATTGTGAGGGGAGGGAAACCACAGAAGTAAAGTGAAATTCTCTTCACATAATGCATCTTCATTTTTAACATAAGTAAAACACCTGGCACATTGGGTACATAGTAAGTACTCACTAAATGTAAAAACTGTCAATAAATGTCAGATTCTTCCTCTCCTCCCTTTCCTAGGCCAGTTGGGTAACTGAAATTTGTATATGAAATGTCTTTACCATGCGTCAGTTCCTCTCCTCTAGGAAAGGTGAGAACCAGAGAGAAGGCAGGCTTGACCCCACTGTGTGCTCCCAAAAGGTAATCTCTGTGGCATGTGACAACAGGCTGGCTCTTTGCTGTGTGTTCTGGTTGGGTTTGGTCTGTGGGGCAGTAGCAGGAGTTCAGAGGGCAGGAGGAGAGTGAGATGGGGTATTTGCTCTGAGCTGACTCCCCCCTACGTTTGGTTGACATGGGCTGGCTGCCTCCCCCAATGCAGGCCCTTGCATGCAGCCCTGTTCACAGCAGCAGCCCTCCCTGGTTCTTGCCCCTGCTCCTCTCCTTGCGCCCCTTCAGGCTGAGGGGCATGATGGTGCCTCCATGCTGCCTATCCAGGGATTTGCACTTTCTGTTATTGGTTTCCACAAATCCTGCTTATAACCCTGTAAACTGTTTCTTTATTTAACTCTCCTCAATTACCCATTTTGTGTCACTCTCTCACCAGGGTCTTGACCGATAATGTCCCCTATATAAATTTGGATACAGAAGAATTGAAAGGGGCTTCTAACAGGTCAGGTAGTCAAATAGCATCTATTGAATTGTGACCTAATAGGATGGTTTCATATGTTTAGAGGATGAATCACTGTAGCAGAAACTTCTATGCTACTGTTCTCTGTCTTTCTAACGCTCTTCAGAATGACCTTTGCAGGCTTTCCATTTATTTTAATGATGCTACCATTACACAAAATATTTTTGGAATTCTAGAATCCCTGCTTGAAAATTATATTTAGAGACAGTTTAACTTATAGTGATCTTACCAAACTTGATTCCTCCTCTCTTCACCAACCTGAGTTTTGAATCACTTTCAACTATTTCCAAAATCAAATTCAACTTCAAAGAGTGAAGCTTTTACTGGTGATATTTAGACCAACAAGGCATAGTTTCCACAAGAATTTTTTTAGAAATGAAAGAAAAGAGAGAGTTCTGGAAGTGTTAAGCCACAGCAAAATTTGAAATAAGTATAGAGCATACATAGGTGGCTACTTTAAGATGGACTGGATTCATTTACATGCATAGATTCTTCTGTGTTTTTTAAAAATTTGTCATTAGACCATAATAACATAGTGTTTTATAATTCAGGTTCTAAGGTCAGACTGTCTGGATTTAAATGCCGGCTTCATCATGTATTATCTGTGTGTGACCTTAGGCAAGCTGGCTAACCTCTCTCTGCCTGGAGTTTCTCATCTGTAAAATGCAGACAATAAGAGTACCAATGTTGTAGGGTGTTCTAATAATTAAATAAATTAGTATTTGTAAAGCATTTTACATTGTGCTAGAACATAGGAGGAAATCAATTATTAGCTATTGCATCATAGGTCTTGATTAATGACCATTAATTTTCAGCAAATTGGCGCTGTAACTATATTTTTATATTCTTAAATCTTACTAATTTAGTTGATGGTTGTTATCTTCATTAGGCACTACTAAGATGTAAAAGCAAGATTTGTTCAGAGATGAATAAAGTGAAGAAATATATTTATATTTACTTTTTTGTTTTTACAACCAAAAATTGAGTGTCCTTTGAAAAGAAAAAAGTCTCTGAAGGCTAAGGTTTCTGACAACATTCAACTAAATAAGCCCCAAGGCTGGGAAAGGAATTAGAGTGGGCTAATTCACCAACTGTTATGGACCTCAGTCCCTCACATATATCCAAGCACAGAGAGAAAAGTGAGAAATATCATTACCAAGTGTATATGTTACAGTAAAATGACATACATAGAATTTTTTTTTCTAAATGTTTCAAATAAACACAACATTTTCTAATTATTCAATGACAGGTTTTACCTTTAAATTTCTAAGCTGTAGCACACTCCTGGGCTATAAGTAAATATGCACACACACACACACACATACACACACATATTTTTAACTATTATACAGTCAAATTAAGTTGGCTGGAACTACTGAGTAATCCCATGAATTAATGAGGTAAACATTTGCCCCCACTGGGATGTGGAAGACTTCCAGGACTCCCAAGCTTACACCTGCAGAAACCGATGATTCACCTCTGAGTCACTCGGCAAACGTTAGCAAGGAGAAGCCAGCTGGGATACAGGGGATGCACTTGGCTGCTGGCTCTCTCTCGCTCTCCTGGAATAATGACATTAATGACACTTCCAAACAGCTCACCCAGTCACAAAGTGGGAGATTACAAAATCCATGTGGCAGCTGATTTCCTAATAGGAGGCATTAAACAGGACATTGCATGTTTTATGGGCTAGGGTTGATTAGACTATAAGACTTAAAATATGTAGCTAAAGTGGTTGAAAAATAGGCCTTGGAAGTTCAGATCAAAGCATTACAGAGGGGTGATTAGATAAATAAAAAGTTTAAGCCTAACTGAGCAAATAATTGCACATCCCCTGAAAAGCTCAGTTCACAGGGATTGATCAAATGTGAGTCACCCCAGGCACAGATGTCTTTCTAAGAATATTTCTTTTAATTTTTTTAATGTACATCAAAAGAAAAAAAAATCTGGGCACTGACCAGCAAATACTCCTGTTTGTATAAGAAAAGCCTCTTTAAGATACTGACAAATATATATATATATATTCCTCATTGTTTAAATAGGCCATTTTTTTTCCTTTCTCTTCCTTCTCAGTCTATAGTAAAAGGTTTTACCTGTTTTAACACAGATTGAGAGCTCATCTAAGAAAATTCTAAAATATTTCTGGAGTCTTATCTTGTCCATTATTATATAGAAGTTAGATTCAGGTTTATGTTAAAAGCATGTACTGATATTTTTTTCCTAAAGAAAAATATACCACTGGAGAGACTTATCTTCATCTAGTTAAAAAACAAAAACATTTGCTAAGCTTATTTGTGCATTGGTATGTGCCAGACAGAACTTATCTCATTTAATCCCCATGAAAATGCTCAAAGGCAGGTTTTCATATTTCTGTTTTATATGTGATGAAATGGAAGCACACTTACAGATTAAATAACCTGTCCAAAATTGCAAGGCTGGGAATTGGCAACGCGGAGCATGAGCCAAGACCTAACAGTGGGCTTTTCCCGCCTAAGATCACTTCTTACAGTCATTCTCTAGCGTCCACAAATCTGCAGTACTACCTAGATTTCAAACATTTCTATGAGCTGATCTTCACTGCTTTTTTTGAGGCAAGACCCCAGTATTATTTCTTATTTTGCAAAAAACAATCTGACGTAGAGATCACGGCTTTCCAAAAACTACATAATAATACCAGACAGATGAACACGTTGATGTGCACTCACAGCCATTAGGTTTCAAGTCTGTGATTTGGCCATCAGCCCCTGTGGCCGGGTGACCAGGCAAAATATTTTGGTAGCTGGATTTCTTGGTGAGCTCTTGTCCCTGCCCCAGAATCAGCAGTTTCTTTGGGAGCAACATTTGTCTTATTATAATAAACCCAAGAAAATGGTGATCAGAATTATTATTGATGATATTTGACAACTTATTTACATACCACTCATAGCTAACACTCTTTTTTTGGTATTAACACTTCATTTGTTAGAAATTTTTTACTCAGAAGTTTTAACAATGTTAAAAACCAGAATTTTGATAATTCATTCCACCAAATCAAAGAAAATAAACATGTCTGCTTTCACATATGTTACCATGAAGATTTGTCAAGAAATATCTAAATAACCTCAAGAAAAATTAGGGGAAAAAATAAACATATTTTGAAAACGTAATTGTGGGGCAATTCCTTTCTCTTTTTTCATTTTTATTATTATAAAATATCTAAAACAGAACCATGTACCTTTAACTCATACCAAATCAATAACAGATATCATCTTTCAATTTTCTGCCTTACCTACCTCTTGGCTTAATATGTTCTGTACATTGCTTCCCATTCACAGAAAGGGTGCAGGGCTGGGTTTTGTTTGTTTGTTTGTTTGTTTGTTTGTGCAGAGATGATCATAGATTGAGCTACATGTATGCAACAGTTTTGACAAGGAACCAGAGAAGTAGCTGGCCAGCCGCCTGTGGTACATGCGGTCTCACTCATATGAGCTGGCTTTCTACCAATTTCTAGAACTGGAAATACTCAAAGACAGAGCAGATCAGTGGAGACAAGCAGAATGTAGGTTGGTGTTCCTTGTAGGGCTGCACCCCAAAAGAACAAGCAGAGGAATCAGGTGAAGAGGGAAGCAGGCCGATAAAGGATGAGAGACACACAGAGATGAGGGGGATCGTGCAGCCTCGTGGAAAGAAATGTTTTCTTGATTACCGACTACCTTCTAGGTGCCTGTTCTATGAGACCTGCCCATAATTCCCACCTATGGGTCCAATGACATTTCCTGTATTTTCACACTAACAGCACCCAGGAATACCTTGATTTTTCTACTTGAAAGCTAGTTTGGGTTCTAACACTCTTTCTGAAGTTTGTTTACTCAAATATTTCTGCAACAGGTTGTTGCTTTATATTTCAATTTCCCCTCAGACAGAAAGGGGCAGGGAAACAGCTTAGCACACAGAAACTTTGAGAAAGTTGCTAAGCTCCCTGAGCCTCAGTTTCTTCACTGCTAAAATGGTATTAGCTCATAGGGTATTGTCTTAGTTCACTTCGGCTGCTGCAACAAAACACCACAGACTGGGTTGCTTAAACAACAAAAATTTATTTCTCACAGATCTGGAGGCTTGAAGTCCAAGATCAAAGTACTGGCCACTTCAGTCCCTGGTGAGTTCTGTCTTCTTCCTAGCTTGCACATGGCCATCTTCCTGCTGTATCCTCACATGGCAGGACAGAGAGGAGAGAGAGAGAGCGAGCTCTGGTCTCATTTTATAAGGGCACCAATCTCATCGTGAGGGCATCATGTAAACCTTATTACCTCCCAGAGGCCCTGCCTCTTTATACCATTGCATTGGGAGTTAGGGCATTGACATGGGAATTTGGGGGAGGACATAAACAGTCAGACCATAACAGGTACCACCAGTAAAGCAACTGGCAAGAGCTCCATAAATGTTAGTCATTATTACTGTCACTCAGATACCAAACTTAAGGAAACAGATGATATGACAATAAAGAGCGTCTGTTTACCCATCTTGACAAATATCAAGAGACAAGCATTTATTGTGCCAGATGCTGAAAGACACAAATAAGAATAAGGCAAAGTTGCTTCCCCTCAAGGAGCCCCTGGTCTCCTGTGCTCTTTGGAAGACTCTGCTCCAGAAGACATCCTGCTCTCCTTGAGGACCACCCTCTGTTTTGCAGGGAAGGTGACTAGCTATGGAAAAACATCCATGACAGGCCTGGAACACACACCTGTTGCACAACTATAAAAGCCATTAGACAGAAGTCATTAGACAAGCATTCAAATTCCAGTTGTTGTAGTTACTGCCTGTGACTTTGGCCAAGTCACTTAACCTTGTTCAGTTCAGCTTTCTTCTCTATGGAATAGGAATAATATTTATTCATTTTTTACTTTAAAATGTTCATGTTTTTATTACTATTGCATCAAAAAAGATGCTTATCTTGCACTTTACAGTGTGGTGCCTAAGAAGGAGACAGCTGTGCACAGCATGGGGACTGCAGAGTCCATGGGGTGAATGTGGAATCATCACCACCACCATCATCATTATTGTATTAGTTCATTCTCACCTGCCATAAAGATACTACCTGAGACTGGGTAATTTATAAACAAAGGAGGTTTAATTGACTCACAGTCCCACATGGCTGGGGAAGCCTCAGGAAACTTACAATCATGGCAGAAGGGGAAGCAGGCACCTTCTTAACAGGGCAGCAGGAGAGAGTGTGAGTGTGTGAAGGAGAAACTGTCAAACACTTACAAAACCATCAGATTTTTCACTCACATAAGAACTCACTTGCTAGCATGAGAACAGTATGGGGGAAACCACTCCCATGATCCAATCACCTCCCTCCCACGACCTGTGGGGATTACAGGTTCCTCCCTTGAGATGAGATGTGGGTGGGGACACAGAGCCAAACCATATCAATCATGATTTACTGTATATCATACCCCATATATGTCATATCTAACAACTACAACCCTAATTTGCAGAGTTATTGTGAGAATTAAATGAAATGTATGTAAAATCAGCTATCTGTAGTTATCTCATACAAGGACTCAATAAATGTTCTTAAAATAAACATAACCAAATCAAGCATAGTCCCTTCTTGTCTGGAGGGTATGTGAGGAGAAAGGTTCTGCCCTATCAACACATTTATCTGTAACAACGGGCAGAGCTCAATAAATTGCCATAATATACTGAGGCTGTGGCTCCATGAAGACAAACTTACAAGCAGAGTGGCCGTGCATGGTGAACTTCTGTCCTTGTCCTCAGGGATCCACCAGCTGGGGGTCCTTGCAAGTCGCAGTGTTAACATTTAATGTGCTCTGGCACCAAAGATAAAGCAAACATGAAAAGTTTTTCCAGTGCTACCTAGGTTTTCACTGATTGCTTTAGAAATCATCCACATATTAAAAATGAAAAACAAAACACAGCAAGTCTAAAATAGGGTTAGTTCCTTCTCCCCTAAAGCATTTTTCCACATTCTCTTTGTCTCATGGAAATGAAGATTCAAAGGAAAGTTTCAGAAGTGATACATGCCCATTTTTTTCCCTAAATTTAGATTTGAACCTCAATGAATACTAATGGAGAGAGTGAGCCAATATAAAATAGTGTTTTTCAAAGACTGATAGAGTACCCTTCTCAGAATCAATTGACGTCTTTGTTAAAAATGTAGATTCCAGACTAGTTATCTTGACCCTCTGGGGAGGAGGCCCTGGAATCCCCACGTTTAACAGGCTTCCTGGAGGACTGACTCTCACACAAAGATACTGGAGAAACTCTGATGAATGAGGATGAAATTTTCTGAACTTATTTTGCCTGCAAACAACACCAGCTAATTTTTAAAACAAAGCAATAACAGGTTGAATTAAAATTGACAAATGAGAAGACGGAGTACCTAAAAACATTTCTGATTGAAATTCAGTTGTCCTTTGATATCTGTTTGGGACTGGTTTCAGAAATCCCCTGTGCATAGCAAAATTTGAGGTTGCTCAACTCTCTCATACGAAATGGTGTAGTATTTGCATATCACCTATGTACAACCTTCTGCACACTTTAAATCATCTCTAGATTACTTATAGTATCTATACAATATAAATGCAAATGTAAATAGTTGTTATACTGTTTTTAATGTTGTATTCCTATTTTTATTTAAAAAAATATTTTTATCTGCAGGATCCGCAGATGCAGAACCTGAGGATACAAAACCATGAGTATAAAGGGACAACTGTAGTAGCAAACTCCAATTTGCAAACAATCATTTTACCAAGTTTGATCCTAGGGCTAGTCTAAGCTTACCAATGTGTTAGGGACCATCTAATAATTTAGAAAGAAAAAAGTGTGTGTGTGCGTGTGTGTGTGCATGTATCACCATCAAGTAGACCAAAATGTTAAATAACCGCAAAACAATAGGGTCACAGAATCATGAATTACATCTCTTTGATGCATAAAAGTGCCAAAATAATCTCAATACTCAGGAAGACTCACTGTATATTAACCAATATTGTGTGCCCACCCTGCTGGACACTGCCCTAGCCCCTAACGTACAAAGATGAATCAAACATAGTTCATCTCTCCAGCTCACTAGTGCCGTGATTCTTAAACAGTACAGGCTTCCAGAGCCCTTTGAGAGTCTGATGAAACTTAAAAGGTTTTACCTCGAAAAAATGCAACAACACTTGATTTTGAATATGGTTTCAGGGGACTGGTGGAGACTTCACTTAAGAATCTCTCATCAAGAACAGGCACAGAGTACGAATTGAGGAGGCTCTGAATTCCGGAAGGTTGGTGGTGTTCCCTTCCCACAGATGTTTCAAAATAAAATTTAACTGTTTTAAAGACATAAAAATGAAGTGTTCTACATTAAAATTGCATCTTTCGAGGTCTTCTAATTGCACATTTCTGCTTTTGTTTGTTTGTTTTTTGTGTTGATGGTTTTAGTAGTTTGTTTTGTTTAACGCCTCTGCTTTGCCAGAGCCCAAAGTGTGTATTTAATTTTCCTGTGGATAATTTAGCAATAAGCTGGAGGGAAGCATTGGTCTTCACACATATTTATTACATTACAATATAGGATGCTACAAGCTCTCAGAACGATCTGGGAGTACAGAGCAGAGGGCATGGGAAGAAAGTTTCATCTCAACACAGTTATCCAAATATAAGTTCTGAGCTCAAATGGAATGTTCTATTAGTGGTGCTAAGGGAAGGAAATGACTCTCAGTTAACAGGCAGTATCCCCAGGGTGCCCTCAACAATCCCTTTGGGCTAACCAGTTAGAAAGGGCATATGTGAGGCTGGTATGGAGAACAAAAAGGGAAAGGCATTTGGGTAGCATCAGATGTTCTGTCCTGTTTTCCAACAAAAGATACCATTGAATGCCTACTAATGGTGAGGATAGGGGCAAGGTAATGTGTGAGCCAACATGAAGCTGTGGGCAAACAGAGGACAGCAATGGGGAAAGATGAATCAAGTGAGAGAAAAATCCTGCCACACAATAAAGGAATGGAAAGGGAAGTGGATAAGGCAAGGACAGAGAAAGTGGCCACACTTGGAGGACTGTGCTTTGCAATTTACCCAAATGTTGCTAACAGAACAAAGAGGCTCCCAGAGCAAAGACCCAAGTGACCTGGGTTCCCATTCAAAAAAGATTTCCATTCTTATTGTTCAAGTTATTTACCTCATAAGACATTTGTTTTTAACTCTCTCACACACACTGACCCATGTCTTCTCAATCACCATCTGCTTTCACCCAAACATCCAGAGAAGAGTTGACTGTTTATTTATACTCTGCCTGTTTCCAAAATGGATTTAAGGCAGTGGAGCCAAGAGGTAAGTCAAATTTCAATGTTAAAAATTCATCACTCTAAGATTTTTTCGTATCTTTAGCTAGACAATACCCTATCATTAGAATGTTATGTTAGGGCTTCCAACACTGTTTATATTCAGGTGCTTCTTTCTGCTTATGTAATAGAGAAAAGAGATCTCTTGTCCTCAACTCTATGCCAGTTGCTTTTAAATATTTCAAGGCAGGGTATCAGGAACCATATTTTCAGATGGAGAGTCAGCATGCATGTGAAGTTCATGGTGATAATAACTACCATTTCAAGTGTACCTGCCATTTTAACATAGAACCATATTGAGTTCTCACAACAATCTTTTAAGGAATTTATTGCTAAAATGTCTTCATTTTATTTTATTTTATTTTATTTTATTTTATTTAGTTCACATTCTATAGATGAGGAAACTGAGGACCAAAAAGGGATTTATTGACTTGCCTGAGGCACATTGCTAATAGGTAACAGGTTCCAAAGGCAGGCCTCGCTGAATTCAAAGCCCTGTGTTTTGCTTGAGAGTGCTTTTCCTTTCTGAAAATAGGGAGATGTTGGCAAAGGTGTGAAGCATCAGAGGTAGCTCTCAGTACCTGTGGCCCTAATGCAGAAATGGATACTTGCACAGAGCATTTCTTCTGAAACACACCTTTGCTATTAATCCACCCCAAGGGTTTTATTCACTCTGTCCACCTAAATGAACAAGGTTTGCTTTAGCATCACTTATGCAATGTAAACAGCATCTTTCCCCATGGGAATCTTTTTCCCGTTTGAGACTGTTGGTTCAGGCCTGGATTTGTGCATGTTTTGCCTGGCAGATCATTGCCATGAACAATTTAAGTGACTGTTCAACAGAAAGGTAAACACACTGTTTTCAAACACCAGTGTTTTCACATACCATTGCAGAAGTAAGATTATTAAATTAAGACCC
Organism: Homo sapiens; assembly: GCF_000001405.40. NCBI lineage: Eukaryota > Metazoa > Chordata > Mammalia > Primates > Hominidae > Homo > Homo sapiens. Next base: position 182,220,403 of record NC_000003.12, read on the forward strand.
TCAGCTGCAAATTTTGTTTTTTATACAGTACTTTAACTTTTTTAGGGGGTAGAAGAAGTCTGGATGTAATTCAAAGGGAAATAGGGATTTAGTAGGATCCAATCAGGAGTTAATTAGCCCTTTATATGCCAGGAGCCTATGAGTATTCTTCAACTAATCCTTGGTTCTGTAACTTGTGCCTAGAGGAATTTTGAGTCCAGGGTAAAAGTCAGAGATGCCACCAAGATTCTGGGATGAGTACTCAGAACTGCGTTAGCAAATCAGCTCTTTTGTGGAATGTTCCCCTGTTTCCACATGAATTGACATGGCTTTGTATTTCACCAGCCATTCTCTTCTAAGTTAGTGACTGAGCAATGGTTCTCAAACTGTTTCTAAAAAATGAAAGAGGGACTTCCACTCCCCTCACCAATGCCTGATATGAATCTTTTGCTCATTATCCATTTAAGAACATCTTTATCTCAATAAAAATAGTGATGTTTTCAACAAAAGATTATTTTTCTTCCCAACCATAACCAACATCAACTCAAAGTCTACTCCCTATGGCTTGTGAGCCTGGATCAAAGATGCTCCTTTCAAAAACCAAAGCCTGTAATACACAGGTTGACAGAGCCGTAAACTTGAAGACAGGCAGGGCCGCACACAGAGACAGGCACTCCATAACAGTTTTAATGATAAATACGACTGATTGAGATGGATTGACTGCCAATTTTTGGCCACTTTTCATTTGTTTGTGGAAAAATCTTAAAACATAAGTTAATATATATTTCTTACAGAAAATTTAGAAAATGGAGATAAAGAAAAACATGAAAATTCTGTGTCCTGCTACACAAAGGTAACCACAGTTAATATTTCAGTATAGTATATTACCTTCCAGGCTTTTAAGAGACACATAATGTATATTTTATATGAAAACAGATCATGTCATAGGTGATTTTTTTAAAATCCAAGGTTTTTAAAAATCACTTTATAAAATAGCATGAGCATCTTTCTATGCCATTAAAAGTTCTTTTATAACATCATTTTTCTGTCTTTATAGTATTCCATTTTGCATAATTATTTATTGTAACAGGAAAATATGAGTGTCTATTCTTTTCATAACCTCAAAGACAGAGTATTATCTCTTTTTAACGTTTTTCTAATTAGGCTGACAAAAGAGAAATATGATTTTATTTCTCATGACTTTGATTCTTAGTAAAGTTGATTATTCCTATATGTCTATTTGTATTTCCCACTATAATTCTCACATTTGCATTTCTCACTATGTATTGCTTATTTATTTTATTTGCTCACTTTTCAATGGGTTTATGAAAGCCCCTTTGTAGTAAGACTACTAGTCATTTTTTCTGTCATCTGTATTAAACATTTTCTTCAATTTGTTCTTTGGCTTTTGTTTATTTATTTGTTTGTTTTAAACTTTTTATTTTTGAACAGTTTTATTTATGGGAGAAGTTCAAAAGTAGTACAATGAGCTCCCACATATCCTTTATCTGGATTTCTCTGTTAACTTACATAATCACAATGCCATTATCAAAATTAACATTGGTACAATACCATTAACAAAACTATAGACTTTACTTAGATTTCACCAATTTTTTCCACTATATTTTTCTGTTCCAGGATCCAATCCAGAATACCACGTTGCATTTTGTTGTCATGTTACCTTAGTCTCCTCTAATTTATAACAATTTTAATCTTTCCTTAATTTTCATGACCTTGACACTTTTGAAGAGTACTTGTCAAATGTTTTGTAGAATGTCACTCAGTTTGAGTTTCTCCACTGTGAAGTTACCATTTTTCTCTTTCCATATTCAACTGTTAGAAGAGAGTCCCTAAATCTACTGTACTGGAAGAGGAGGTGAGCTAATCTCCACCTTCTAGAAGGAGGAATATCAAAGAATTTGTGGAGATATGGTAAAACTAGCACATTAAGTAATAAACATTAGGGAGTGGAGATAATTTGAGGTTAGGGAAATGTTCGGTTTCTCATTGAAGTTTCACCCACTAATTTTAGCATTCAGTACTGGATCTTGCTTAGAGAAATTATTACTGTGGAGTTCTAAAGGTAATTTTCTATTTGTCCTCATTGCTTCTACATTTATTTATTTTCATTTAACTTTTATTGTAAGTTCAGGGGTACATGTGCAGGTTTGTCACATAGGCAAACTTGTGGCATGGGGGTTTGTTGTACAGATTATTTCATCACCTAGGTATTAAGCCTAGTATCCATTAGTTACTTTTCTTGATCCTCTCCCTCCTCCCAACTGCCACCCTCTGACAGGCCCCAGTGTGTGTTGTTCCCCTTTTTGTGTCCATGTGTTCTAATCATTTAGCCCTACTTATAAGTGAGAACATGAGGTATTTGGTTTTCTGTCCCCGTGTTAGTTTGCTAAGGATTATGGCCTCCAGCTCCACTCATGTTCCTGCAAAGGACATGATCTCGTTCTTTTTTTTGTCGCTGCATAGTATTCCACGGTGTTTATGATTTTCTTTATCCAGTCTATCATTGATGGGCACTTAGGCTGAGTCCATATTTTTGCTATTGTGAATAGTGCTGCAATGAACATATGTGTGCATGTGTCTTTATAACAGAATAATTTATAATCCTTTGGGTATATATCCAGTAATGGGATTGCTGGGCTGAATGGTATTTCTGTTTTTAGGTATTTAAGCAATCATCACACTGCCTTCCACAATGTCTACACTAATTTACACTCTCATCAACAGTGTATAAGCATTCCTTTTTCTCCACAACCTCATCAGCATGTTATTTTTTGACTTTTTAATAATAGCCATTCTGACTGGTGTGAAGTAATATCCCATTGCAGTTTTGATTTGCATTTCTCTAATGATCAGTGATGTTGAGCTTTTTTTCATACAATTGTTGGCCACATATACGTCTTCTTTTGAAGTGTCTATTTATGTCCTTTGCCCACTTTTTTATGGGGTTTATTTTCTTGTAAATTTGTTCAAATTCCTTATAGACTCTGGATATTAGACCTTTGTCAGATGCATAGTTTGCAAAAATTTTCTCCTATTCCATAAGTTGTCTGTTTATTCTGTTGATAGTTTCTTTTGCTGTGCAGAAGCTCTTTAGTTTAATTAGATCCCATTTGTCAATTTTTGCTTTTGGCATCTTCATCATGAACTCTTTGCCTGTGCCTATGTCCTGAATGGTATTGCCTAGGTTGTCTTCCAGGGTTTTGTAGCTTGGAGTTTTACATTTAAGTCTTTAATCCATGTTGAGTTAATTTTTGTACATAGTAGAAGGAAGGGGTCCAGTTTCAATCTTCTGCGTATGGCTACTCAACTATCCTAGCACCATCTATTGAATAGGGAATCCTTTCCCCATTGCTTGTTTTTGTCAGGTTTGTTGAAGATCAGATAGTTGTAGGCGTGCAGCCTTATTTCTGGGTTCTCTATTCTGTTCCTTGGTCTATGTGTCTGTTTTTGTATGAGAACCATGCTGTTTTGGTTATTGTAACCCTGTAGCATAGTTTGAAGTTGGGTAACATGATGCCTCCAGCTTTGTTCTTTTTGCCTAAGATTGCCTTGACTATTTGGGCTCTTTTTTGGTTCCATATGAATTTTAAAATCGTTTTCTCTAGTTTTGTGAAGAATGTCAATGTTAGTTTAATAGGAATAGCATTGAATCTATAAACTGCTTTGGGCAGATGGCCATTATAATTATATTGATTCTTCCTATTCATGAACATGGAATGGTTTTCCATTTGTGTATGCCATCTCTGATTTCTCTGAGCAGCAGTTTGTAGTTCTTCTTGTAGAGATCTTTTACCTCCCTAGTTAGCTATATTCCTAGGTATTTTAATCTTCTTATGGCAATTGCAAATGGGAGTTCATTCCTGATTTGGCTCTCAGCTTGACTGTTGTTGGTATATAGGAATGCTAGTGATTTTTGCACATTGATTTTGTATCTTGAGACATTGCTGAAGTTGTTTATCAGTTTAAAAAGCTTTTGGGCTGAGACTATGGGGTTTTCTAGGTATACGATCATGTCATCTGCAAACAGGGATAGTTGGACTTCTCTCTTCCTATTTGGATGCCTTTTATTCCTTTCTCTTTCCTGATTGCCCTGGCCAGAACTTCCGATACTATGTTAAATAGGAGTGGTGAGAGAAGGAATCCTTGAATTGTGCTGGTTTTCAAGGGGAATGCTTCCAGCTTTTGCCCATTCAGTATGATGTTGGCTGTGGGTTTGTCATAGATGATGGCTCTTATTATTTTGAGGTATGTTCCTTTAATACCTAGTTTATTGAGAGTTTTTAACATGAATGGAATTTTATCAAAACCTTTTTCTGCATGTATTGAGATAATCATGTGGTTTTTGTCTTTAGTTTTGTTTAAGTGATGAACCACATTTATTGATTTATGTATGTTGAACCAACCTTCCATCCCAGGAATGAAGCCTACTTGACCATGGTGGATAGGCTTTTTGATGTGCTGCTGGATTCAGCTTGCCAGCATTTTGTTGAGGATTTTTGCGCCAATGTTCATCAAGGATATTGACTCAAAGTTTTCTTTTTATGTTGTATCACTGCCAGGTTTTGGTATGAGGATAATGCTGGCCTTATAGAATGAGTTAGGGAGGAGTCCCTCCTCCTCAGTGTTTTGGAATAGTTTCTGTAGGAATGGTACCAGCTCTTCTTTGTACATCTTGTGGAATTCAGCTGTGAATCCACCTGGTTCTGGGCTTTTTTTGGTTGGTATGCCATTTGTTACTGCCTCAATTTCAGAACTCGTTTTTGGTCTGTTTAAGGATTCAGTTTCTTCCTGGTTCAGTGTTGGAAGGATGTATGTGTCCAGGAATTTATCCATTTCTTCTAGATTTTCTAGTTTATGTGCATAGAGGTGTTCATAATATTCTCTGATGGTTGTTTGTATTTCTGTGGGGTCAGTGGTAATATCCCCCTTGTCATTTCTGGTTATGTTTATTTGTATCTTATCTTTTTTCTTCTTTATTAGTCTAGCTAGTGGTCTATCTATTATTTTTTTCAAAAAACCAGCTCCTGGATTTGTTGATCTTTTGAATGGTTCTTTGTGTCTCTATCTTCTTCAGTTCAGCTCTGACTTGGGTTATTTCTTGTCTTTTGCTAGCTTTGGGATTTGTTTGTTCTTCTTCTCTAGTTCTTTTAGTTTGATATTAGGTCGTGAAATTGAGATCTTTCTAACTTTTTGACATGGACATTTAGTGCTATGGATTTCCCTCTTAGCACAGCCTTAGCTGTGTCCCAGTGAATTTGGTACATTGTATTTTTGTTTTCATTAGTTTCAAAGAACTTCTTGATTTCTGCCTTAATTTCATTATTTACCCAAAATTCATTCAGAAGCAGGTTATTTAATTTTCATTCTACATTTATTATATGGAATCCTTCTGTAAAGAACATATGTCCCTTCTCTCTCAAAAATACATTTTACTTCAGTGGCTAAACAATGTCCCCAAAGGCCTAACCTCTTTATCTACTCTGCTTTCTGTGCTGTCACTTTTCCTGTGATGGTACAAAGGCTCCCATGGTATATTAGTTTTCTATTGCTGCTGTGGCAAAGTACTAGAAATTTGGTGGCTTTAAACAACACAACTTTATTATCTTACATTTCTGGAAATCAAAAGTCTGAAATGTGTCTCACTGGGCTAAAATCAAGGTGTTGGCAGAGCCATGTTCCTTCTGGAGGATTTAGGGTAAAATCCATGACCTTGACTTTTCCAGCTTCTAGAGGTCACCACATTCCTGGATTCATGGGCTTCATCCTCCATCTTCAACGTCAGCAGTGTCTGGCCAAGACCATCTCATACTGCAATCTATCTGGTTCTCCCTCTTCTGCCTCCCTCTTTCACATATAAGGAAGACCTTTGTGATTACATTGGGTTCACAAGGATAATCCAGGATACTCTCTCCATCTCAAGGTCAGCTGATTAGCAAACTTAGTTACATCTGCAACCTTAATTTCCTTTTCTTGTATGATGTATCATAGTCACAGTTTCAGGAATTAGGATGAAGACATCTTTGGGAGACATTATCTGTCTATTACACAAAGCTATAAACTTTTTCATCTGTGAGCACCGTGAGAAAGAATGAAATAGAGAAAAAGAGAAAGAGAACAATTCTATCAGCCTCAATAGGTATAATACAATAGAATTAGTTTGTACATGGGACCCTGATATATAGCTCTGGGCCCTCTTTATTTTGGGGGTCAAAAGAGTTCAGTTCTGCTGAGACATTATTGAGAATTACCAGATATTCAGGGCCTAGGCTCCTTAGGTACAATTTACCCTGAGCCAAAATATCATTCTTATATTTAAGGGCTACAGACTTCAATTAATTCAAGGACCAAGGAAATAAACTATCATTCCAAACTGACCATTAAAAACAGATTTTTGAGGGGAGACCTTACTAATTCACATAACTATTCTTGATTAAATACAAGATATTCTAAAGTTCTCTTGAACCTAAAGGGAGGCGTTCAGAAACTGGCTTCTCTAGTGTTAGTTACTTTGACCTTGTTAGAAGCTGTAAACTCTTATTCTCCTTTGTACTAGGAATTTTCCCTATCTTCTCCTTTAGGTTTAGTGAGCAGTGCTAGGTAACAGGGATTTCATTTTTCTTTTATATTGTGAGTCTCTATTTTTTGTATAAAGGTTCACGTCCTCCATCTTCCTACTACCCCTCCTATTGAGGGCTCTTGTTCTACTCTGCTGCACATAGAACTAGAGGAAAACGTTCTGTTACTCCAAAAGACAACACAAAACAAAACAACTGGGCTCACCTTCTCTATTGCTTATAGCTCCCTCGAGTGGTATGACTCTTCAGTACGTGGGAAGAACAGGTCTTTGGAACCATCTAGACCTGATTTCAAATTCTGTTTCTGCTTTTTAACAACTATGTGGTTTTTGAAAAGTGAAATCTCTTGGAACTCTGTTTTCACCTATTCATAGGTTAGAGTGGTCATTGTCTTTGCCATGAAGGCTAGTTATCCATCATTGTTTTCTATTATTCATCCATTGAACATCTACTATGTGCTAAGTTCTTGGTATGAAGAGCACAAAGGTAAACATAACCTATATAATAGATTGCCCTCATGTTGCTTCCAATCTAAAGGGGAAGACATATTAAAAATCTTAGGACAGTGTAATAAGCATTGTGCAATGGTGACTTAAGTAAAGTGCAATAGACAAGAATTTAAGGGAATGTAAATCTCTTTTTAATTTTGCTAGAGTTTGTTGCAGTTGTAAATGTACATGTTTGCCTCTGCTGGTTGATAAGTTCTTTGACAGCAAGAACTCAGTCCTCTTCATTTGCATAAATTTATCCACCACAGAAAGCAAGAACTTAATGGAAATCTGTTAAGTCCAGGTTTTCATGGTGGACACTTCAAATTTTATTGCTAAATGAAATGAACTCAATTGATTATCATAAAAGGACTAGACTTCGGGCTGTTTCATGGCAGTCACTGCTTCCCTATTAATCTTGATACCCTTAATATCTTGTCTAGGGTCAGATGCATAGCAGCTACACAAAACATTATTGTTGAATAAATGAATGAATAAACTTGGAATCTAAAAGTACCTTTGTCTATCACTAAACTTCTCATTTAAATAAGTGAAGAAATATTCTTTATGAATATTTGGGCTAACTGAACACTTAAAAGTCATGATAAATATCATCTTATTCTGGTATGTCTTAAATATGCCCCGCATGAATAAGGTGTGAGATTTACAGTCTAATTTCTCTATGTAAAAGCTTTTTATTTGGCTTCAAAGTCTTCAACTTCCCAGCAAAATTTCATTATGTCCCAGTTGAGTTCTGTTTAATGGAATTAAATTTCACCCCTTCTAATTATCTTTTGGAACAGACAATCTTTACAGAATAATTAGTAATAGAAGAACATAATGGATCATTGTCTTTATTACTGCAAAGAAACCCTAGATGCTGCTCTAAATCTTAAAAAAAGATCTCATGAAATATAAAATGTATTGAATTCTTCCTCTTAAATTATATAACATTTAAACTTTGTCAACATAGCTTAAAGATTAGGGGAGGTAATTATTTTCTTGCTTCACTTGAAATTATTTTATGAAACCACCTTAATGATCTCATTCAAATTAATTATGCTTATATTTTATTTTTAATATTTTTATTGGTAGGACATTTTATTATCCAACACAATTTAACCACATTTTTTTTCACTCATTTTGGACTTTATTTTGCTTCCATGGACTTTTTTTTCTTGCCTCTAACCTAAATTCATTAGATTATATATATAGAATACAAAAGAGGGCTAAAAACATAGCTACTCCAATATAAAAAAAAGATAAGATCTAATTAAAAATAATCTAACTTACCCATTTGAAAAACCAGGGTATCATTGGAAAAATTTCATAAAACATAGTTCAATGAAAAAGAAATATCCAAACATGGTTCTTTTATTTTAAAAAAATTAAAAAGCAGCAACACACACACAAAAATCTCCTTTTCCTTTCTCCACATTCAAGCAATTAAAACACCTTTAAAAAATGGAAGATGAAAAATGTGCTTGAAAAATGAGTAAGGTCCTTCTTGGACTTGTAGTCTTTATAGTTTAATTTGTTGAGAATTTAAAATTACAGTAATTGCCCTTAAATAACTGACATTATTTGACACTACAACAACAGAGGAGTGGAAATGACTGACAAACACACAAAAGACTTTTGTTATCTTTGTTTGTCTGCCTGAATAAATCTTAACAAGTATTTCAAAGATTTAAATTTATAGCATACTTAATCGCCATTAGATGGCCAATCCTATTGGCTTTCAGCTAAGTTTCACTGACACTCAACATTTTTCGTATCAACTTCTTTAACACATCTAGTTAGTCTCAACAACTGTTTTTAAACTAAATTATTACCTCTAAATTAAACATTTTGATAAAATACAGGCAAACCTTAGAGATATTGCGGATTTGGTTCCAGACCATCACAATAAAGTGAATATCACAATAAATCAAGTCACACAAATTTTGTGGTTTCCCAGTAAATGTAAGTTATGTTTACACAATACTGTAGTCTGTTAAGTGTGCAATAGAATTATGTCTTTAAAAAAAGTCAATGTACAGACCTAAATTAAAAAATACTTTATTGCTAAAAAATGTTAATGATCATTTGGGCCTTCAGTGATAGTGAATCTTTTCACTGGTGGAGATCTTACCTTGATATCAGCTGATGGCTGCTGACTAATCAGGGTGGTGGCTACTGAAGGCTGGGGTGGCTGCGGCAATTTCTTAAAATAAGACAACAATGAAGTTTGCTAGATTAACTGTCTCTTCCTTTCACGAAAAATTTCTCTATAGCATGAGATGCTGTTTGATAACATTTTATCCATAACAGAAACTCTTTCAAAATTGGAATCCTTTTAAACCCTGCTGCTGTCTCATCAACTAGTTTATGTAATATTCTAAATCATTCATTGTCATTTTAACAATGTTCGTAGCATTTTAACCATGAGTAGATTCCATCTCAAGAAACCATTTTTTTTGCTCATCTGTAAGAAACAACTCCTTATTCATTAGTTTTATCGTATGCTCACAGCAACAAAATCACATCTTTAGGCTCTATTTCTAATTCTAGTTTTCTCGCTATTTCTACCACATCTGTGGCTAATTCCTCAACTGAAGTGCTGAGCATCTTGAAGTCACCCACGAAGATGGGAATCAACTTCTTCCAAACTTCTGTTAGCATTGATATTTTGACCTCCTTCCATGACTCACAAATGTTCTTAATGGCATCTAGAACGGTGAATCCTGTCTAGAAGGTTTTCAATTTGCTTTACCCAGATCCATCAGAGGAATCACTAGCTATGGCAGCTATATCCTTTCAAAATTCTTTTTTTTTTTTTTTTTTTTTTTTTTTGAGATGGAGTCTCGCTCTGTCGCCCAGGCCGGACTGCGGACTGCAGTGGCGCAACCTCGGCTCACTGCAAGCTCCGCTTCCCGGGTTCACACCATTCTCCTGCCTCAGCCTCCCCAGTAGCTGGGACTACAGGTGCCCGCCACCACGCCCGGCTAATTTTTTGTATTTTTAGTAGAGACGGGGTTTCACCTTGTTAGCCAGGATGGTCTCGATCTCCTGACCTCATGATCCACCCGCCTCGGCCTCCCAAAGTGCTGGGATTACAGGCGTGAGCCACCGCGCCCGGCCCAAAATGTATTTCTTAAAGAATAAGACTTGAAAGTCAAAATTACTCCTTGATCTGTGTGGCTGCAGAGTGAATGTTGTGTTAGCAGGCATAAAAACAACACTAATCTCCTTGTACATCTCCATCAGAGTTCTTGGGCGACTAAGTGTCTTGTCAATAAGCAGTAATATTTTGAGAAGAATTTTTTTTTTCTGAATAATCGGCCTCAATAGTGGGCTTAGAACACTCAGTAAACCATAAACAGATGTGCTGTCATCCAGGCTCTGTTGCTCCATTTACAGAACCCAGGCAGAGTAGATTTAGCATTGTTTTTAAGGGCCCTGGGATTTTCAGAATGGTAAATGAGCACTGGCTTTAACTTAAAGTCACCAGCTGCCTTGGCTCCTAATAAGAGCCAGCCTATTACTTTAAAGCTTTTAAGCCAGGCATTGACTTCTCCTCTCTAGTTGTGAAAGTCCCAGATGACATCTTCTTCCAATATAAGGCTGTTTCATCTACACTGAAAACCTGTTGTTTAGTGTAGCCACCTTCATCAATTATCTTAGCTGGATCTTCTGGATAACTTGCGGCAGCCTCTCCATCAGCACTTGCTGCTTCACCCTGCATTTTTATGGTATAGACATAGCTTTCTTCCTTAAACCTCATGAACAAACCTCTACATCTTCTTCACCTCTCCCGCTTTCACAGAATTGAAGAGAGTAAGGGCCTTGCACTGGATTAGGCTTTGGCTTAGGGGAATGTTGTGGCTAGTTTGATCTTCCATTCAGATCACTAAGACTTTCTTCATATCAGCAATAAAGCTGTTTTGCTTTCTTATCATTTGTGTGTGCACTGGAGTAGTACTTTTAACTTCCTTCAAGGACTTTTCCTTTGCATTCACAGCTTAGTTAACTGATGCAAGGCCTAGCTTTTGGCCTATCTCAGCTTTCAAACTGCCTTCCTCACTAAGCTTAATCATTTCCCGCTTGTGATTTAAAGTGAGAGATACGAGACTCTTCCTTTTGCTTGAACACTTCGAGACCACTATAGAGTCATTAATGGGCCTCATTTCAATATTGTTGTGTCTCAGGGAATAGGGAGGCCTAGGGAGAGGGAGAGAGATGGGGGAATGGCCAGGCGGTGGAGCAGTCAGAGCATGCACAACATTCATTGATTAAGTTGGTCATCTATATATGTGTGCAATTCATAGCACCCTGATAGTAACATTTGACCTTACAATAGTAATATCGAGAGCACTGATCACAGATCACCATCATAGATATAATAATAATGAAAAAGTTTGGAATTTGTGAGAATTGTTCAAATGTGACACAGACATGAAGTCAGCAAGTGCTGCTGGAAAAATGGTGCCGATAAACTTGCTTGACACAGGGTTGCCACAAACTTTTAATTTGTAAAAAGCATGTCTGCTAAGTGCAATAAAGTGAATATCACAATAAAGCAAGTCACACAAATTTTGTGGTTTCCCAGTAAATATAAGTTATGTTTACACAATACTGTAGTCTGTTAAGTGTGCAATGGAATTATGTCTTTAAAAAAAGCCAATGTACATACCTAAATTAAAAAATACTTTATTGCTAAAAAATGTTAATGATCATTTGGGCCTTCAGTGATAGTGAATCTTTTTGCTGGTGGAGATCTTACCTTGATATCAGCTGATGGCTGCTGACTAATCAGGGTGGTGGCTACCGAAGGCTGGGGTGGCTGTTGCGATTTCTTAAAACAAGACAACAATGAAGTTTGCTAGATTAACTGTCTCTTCCTTTCACGAAAAATTTCTCTATAGCATGGGATGCTGTTTGATAACATTTTATCGATAAAATGAGGTATGACCATCTGTAGAATTTAATAGTATTAATTGAGTTAAGTACAGTCTCTTCTTTTATCTCCCCCTATACTGAGAACTGACTTGTTGGGGGAGGGGTGTTGAAACGGTGATTTTGAAAAATATAATTGACTGTCTACACTTCATGTAAGTTGATAGGTTGGTTAATATTTGGTTTGATGATTTATTTCTCAGAAAATCAAGTACATTTAAGAAATCAACACCCAAGCCATTTGTTGTGATTTAGATGTCAAGTAGAAGTCACTTAAAGAAAATCAAGTCTGCCATACAATTTAAAATTCCTGCAAGGAATACAGAATTCAAATGACACCAGTGAAATATAACTTTATTTTTTCATTATTTTTATTTAAGTATTTCGTTCTTATCTTTTCCTACTTCTAAATAAGACATAACCTACAAATGAACATAAAGCATTTCTTCTTGAAGCCATCATTTTATTTCCTAGTGAAAATAAACACTTAAAACAATTAAATTGCAATATTCCCTTAATTGGCAACACATTTGACATTTAAAAAATGTTTTCCCATAAATTCATTTAACATTTGCCTGGCTTAAAAAAAATCATCTCCTTTTTGTATTTTAACTTTGATGTCAAGTTCCATCCATACCAAACAAGAGGCATAACTGCTTCTACGTGCATTATAATCTAGCGACTTTCTGATTGGTAGTAAAGTAAGGAAATATTACATATGACATAAAGAATGGTCTTTTGGCATGTGAGCACTTGTAAAATAGCAAATATATTAGGTTTCTATTATGTTAGGTCACGAATATGAATGGGGCAGAGGGGGCTTTAAGTTCACTAATGCATGGTCCACCTCAGAAGAAAGATTATCTGGTTTTCTTTTTGGATGTGCTTCTCTTTGTCCATGATTACAGCCTATTTCTTCATGAAATTAAAAGATGCTAGCTTGTTTATTATCAGAAAACAAGTTAATTATTTGTACTGTTTGTGTATATCTATAGAGGCTAAGTACACACAATTACGACAACTCAATTTTTCCTTTAGCTCTCTTCTAGTGCCTTTATGAAGTCAATGAAAGCACATCCTACCTATCCAAGGTTCTAAGGACTTTTCTGCTGGAGCTATTTGTTCCATACTAGCTATTTACACTAACTGCCTAATTAACCAGCAGAAACTCTGATTCATTCCTCTGGCCAAATAAGGCAATTTCCTTCCCTCCTTCTCATCTGGTACAGGTGAAATGTCCCATAGCTTTAGATCTGACATTGTCATTGCAATGATACTCTTTCCCTTCCTCTCTTTCCAAGTGCTAAAACCTGGGAACATCTTTTTCATAATAGCTAATGAAGATTTCACAGGAAACAAGTCTCTTTTTAGATCTAAAGTCTTATAACAACTTCTTAATGTGAAATCACTGAGATGCTTTATTTTCAACTCAACTATTGCAACCCCATTCTCCTTTGAGCTGAGAATGTTCTAAGAATCTTGATTATGGATGATGAATTAAAAATTATGGAGTTTATCTCAGAGACCAGGAAACATCACCTTCATCCATAATTACTCTAATATTTGAGCCAGTATTTAAAGACAGGCAATTGGCAGTTGGCACAAGGTGGAAATTATTTTGGCAACTCGAGGGTTAAATATTAATTGACCTATTAGTTCTCAGTATTCATTTATTTAATCTCAGTTACACACCATGACAAGCAGATGAGTCTGATGGCAATGTCTTCACCAGCTTTCAGAATTGTCCTTCCTGTGAACTTAGCTGCTCCTGAGCTGATAGGATCAGCAAACTTCCTGAAGCCTACCGGGAGACTGGTGATGTTCAAAGAGTGGTTCAGGAAAACAAGAAAAGCAAATGTTCTTAATCTTTGAGGCAGAAGGAAGGGTAGGGAGAAATTTTAAAATACAGCAAGGAATTATTTCCCTGTCGATTGTATTTTGACAGGAAAGCAGAATGTATTCTTACATTGTTTTTCTCTTTAAAGATTTATTTAAGGAAAACCCATGTTCAAAATTGGGCTGATCAAAAGAGGGAAGATATTGATCTTGTGAGTGGCAAATGCCGAAACATCATCTGAGGAATTATAAATTAATCGGTTACGTATCAAATTAATCTAGCATTTAAATTTAGACTCAGTATGGCCAATTATTTAGCTATAGTTATAACAGATACTCTTAATGTTATTGTTAGTGTTTGAAAGTGTGTAATAGTGATAGAAGAGATCTACTACTTTCATTCAGGTGGTCTCCAGGAACAACATTAATTTGGAAAGTGATGTGTAAATGCCACATGTTTACTTATAAAATCTCTGTTCATTTGTATTCTATTCAGTGCAGGTTACATGGTTTGGATCTTTTTGTTAGTGACATCTTGACTCTGGGTTGAGATTATTTGAGAGATAACTTACCAGCCTATAGCAGGTATTATTGGGTTTACTTTGTCCTTATCAGACTTAGGAGAAATAAAATAAACTTCCTTCTATAGTTACTGGTGCAAAGATTGATCTATAGTCACTAATCATCTTCATGTGATGAATTCTTAGGGCAAAAACAGAAACGTTTACTCACAGTTTGCTTGATACCAGAGCTGAAGTAACTTGATTATTCTTTTCTGGTTTAAAACATGTTTTAAATGACCAAATGAAAGAAAAAAGCAATTAGTAGTACTTTTTTTTTGCATTACACAATACTAGATGAGTAATACGTTAAGACTTTTGTACAAATATGTCTAGAAGGACACTCATTTGTAATAATTAGTTAATAGAACATTCAGCAACAAAATGTTCTGTTGGGAGACACACTTTAATTTTTTCCAAATCTCATGTTCATAATTGTCCCCCACTGTTACCAAATAAATTATATTGTTAGAGCAATACACTAAAAAACACAACACATCTTTGTTACGGAAAACATTTAACAGTCAAGTTGAATTTCATAAAATATTTTATGACTAAAGTTGAGGGAAAAGGCACAAAGAAACAACACAAATGAAATTTAAATTTAATGAATATTCTGTTGTTGCCTGCCAGAGGGAATAAATATTTTCATATTCATTTTCTCTTTTAAGTATACCTGGTAACTGTGTAACTTTCCCCTCCTCACTTCTATTTGGTTCTCTTATTCATTAAGCTTTACTTAGGTAGAGGACCACACAAACATACCAGCATTTTGCTAAGTTGCACACAGCCACGTTAGAGGGAAATAGTAATTGATCTGTAGCTCCTAGATATCTGGCTGTTGATCTCAGTCATACACAGAGATTCTCAGTCATACCCAGGAAACAAAAGGTCCAGAACAGTAGGGCTTTCTTTTGAAAGTAGCTGTATGCTGGCTATTAAATGTTGAGGCTGGTTCTATGCAAGGAAATAGTTGTATTTGCTCCTCCAAGGAAACCCCTTGTATTTGTCGCATTCCTACACTGAGAAAAGCATTCTGGTGCTTTCTGAGATAATCATATGCTTCTCAGGGTTTTGTTATGATTTTTCTATTAAGGCCAACTACGCGTAATATTGGTGGGCATGGCTTAGATCTGATCAAAGTTGTGGTAATACACAATAATGTCTAAACCCTTTTTGATACCCTGCTGTAAAAATGGGGATGAGAAATACCATTTACTGAAGACCTGCTCTGTGACAGGCACTGCATATATTGCAGATACTGCAAATATATTACATAAACTATCACACCACAACAACCTCATGAGCTAGATACCATTATTTTCCTTCCCATTATGCAGATAAAGAAACTGAGACTCAGATGTATTAACTTTCCAAAATTGTTTGAATTGAGACCTTACACAACTCTGATTAACTTGCCAACCGATACCTAAAAATAAAAGCCTCAGTTGGGTGGAAAAGCTCTGAAAAGCATTTTCGTTCAAGACAGTTCAACAAACTACTGTAACTGGAAAATTTTTCAGTTTGAATAAGTCACTTGTTTAAAACATGGGATGATTCCTGACCTTGCTTAAAGTGCTGATAGAGTGGCCAGCCTGTGTTTTCGGCTGCTGCACCAGGTAAATGGAAGTCCACTCACCACTCACTGTGTGTGACAGTCTATTTTTTTCCCACCGTGGAGTTTTTATGTTGATGCTTCTCTAAAACTCTTTTTTCAGAGTGTGAGCAGGATAAAAATATAAAAATACAAGGATACAATAGTGTTTTAAGAAACACCCTATTTGTTGTTCAATGTTCAAAGTTTTTTCATGGCCAGCAAATACAGCATGTTTTGTTAAGTCTTCCAGAAACATCCAAGTCCTGGATTACTTGTATATGAAGATTGGTTATATACAAGCATATACTTATTTGATTCACCAATAAGACCAAATAATTTGATTCCCACATAGACAAAATTCTCCTAAAATGCAATTCAGGATAATCATTCCTTCTCAGACTTTATTTTTTCCCTCCTGTTAAAACCAAAATGCAAACAGGACTGGGGGAAAATTCTCTAGTCCAAATAGACACGCAACATGCAAACTGCTGTTGCAGTTTTGCAGACTGCTGTTAAAAATGGCACCATACATAGGTATACTTAAAGTAAAATTTAAAAAAGTTCATGGAAAACAAAACTAGAACAAACATTTTCATAGCACACTAAAAATAAATAAATAAATATATATATAAATAAATAAAAGGCACCATTAAAAAATCACAGCTCCTAGAGGCAGATAAAACCTCAGACTGGGTTTAGTCAAGCAGGATACCGAGAAAATTTTTTCAAGGTTTTGGTAATTTTACTTCCTTTTTGTCTGCCTACAAGACTTCCTTCTACCTCAATGAGTGTTTATTATTATTACTATTATCATTTAACATAACTGACACAATTAGTCTTTTGAAAGAACAATAATGAGATGGACAAGTGGGTCTCTGGCTTTTGGAGAGGGTTATTAATAAGTCATTTGACACTAATAGACTGGAAAAATAATTTGTGGCCCATGTAAGTGATAAAATATCCTTAATTTGAAGACATTGCTTATAGCAAATGTTTAGGAGTTGAGAACCCACAGGACTGTTCAATAATGATATTGAGTCTAAATGCAATTGTAATAAGTAATCTGTTGTTATAATGATACCAGTTCCCATTTATTGAGGGCTTACTATGCACAAAGCACTGTTCTAAGCACTGGCATGCATTATCTCATTATACTTCACAACAGTCTCTATGAGAGAGTACTATTATTGACCCCACTCTACAGATGGTGAAAACAAGGCTTAGAGAGATCATCACTTGCTCAGTGCTACAGAGTCAGTTGTTAAGCTGAGATTTAAACCCAGATCTCTTTTACCCCAAAACCTGTTGGACTAATCTACAACACAACTTTGCCTTCTGTACTCTGAATCCTAAAATAGTCAAGCTGAAAGCAACCTCTGAGACTGCAGTCCAGCCTCTTTCTTGTACATATGAGAAAATTGAAGTTTTAAAAAGGAACTATGTCTTTCTCATCACCCTAATAACAAATTGGTGACTGAGCAGGCCTAGAACTCAGGTCTCTTGCCTTCAATTCCAGATAGAATGCCATTCTATCATTTAACAAAATTTGCATGACCCAGGAGACTAGAAGACTAGCTCTGCAGTTTAACACACACACACACACACACACACACACACACACACACACACACACACCAGATAAAATACCAAAGAGCTAAATTCAGGTTGCTTCTGTGTTTTCTAACTTGCAGCTGCTTCATTGCAGGATCATACAACACATGATGCGACAGGGACTTAAAGCCACACATAAAACATATTAAATGTAGTCAGCAGTGATGAGATTTGGTACCAAATAAGAAGCTTTAATTAATTTTAAATGGTGCTTTTCATAGTGTCAAAAGCTCAGTCCACTGAAGTGGAAAAGGGGGTTGGAATGGCCAGATCCTAGCAACCCAGCTAATCTGGGCCCTTCTGAGCAAGCTCATTTGGAATTCTTACATCAGTGCATCGGCACGCCGAGGTGGGGCTCATGGGGACAAACAAAATAGCAACCCCAACTCCGGCACTGCTCAGAATCCCGCATCCCGGGGAGGCCTGAGAGTTCAGCTGTATTAAGGGGCCGTTGGAGTTTCCCTGTTATTTGTCTACTTTTTGAGGATTAGAACTTCCGCTGGGCTGTGTTCATCTGTGCTGAGAATTTAAACTCGGTGCATGCAACAACAGGAACAGCGAGATCTGCTAGAAACGTTCAAAAAGAAGTCTGTTGTGACTTTTAAAAGCTGTTAGATGCACAAAGAGCAATAAATTGAAGGGTTTCTGATTTCTTCGGGGAGTGTATATTGGGCAGTGATTTCTTTTTCTATTTCCTTCCCCCCACATCATGAGCCTTTGTTTCAAGGCTGCGACCGTACAGATATTCACCATGTAGACCTATTTGAGTAGCATCGTTTTAGAAAGGCTGGTACACCCACACACACCCCCACACACAGGTGACCAGGAACCTTCTTTTTCTCTCCATGACATAGAAATAGAAACTATCGTTATGGTCCTTCCTCCTAGAGGCCGCAGAACCATGTAGTAAGAAGCAAACAGTAAGGACCAGTTGAGATTTTCTGTGACCCAATTCCCTGGCTTTACAGGTGAGGAAACTGAGGCTCAATGTGCCATGACAAGAATGAGGACACGACTGCAGATTTCTCTATTTTCCTGTTCCTTTCATTATTACTCAGCTCATCATTTATAGGTATTGTTTATAAGAACAGCATATAAATAAGAGCCAGGTACCAGTTGGGAATGTGACATACTTACTGTTTTCAATGTAGGGACTATGTTATGCATACATATTGATGACAATAATGATAAAAATTGTGACTAGTTCTTAACAAGTGAAGCATTCATTTGGGTCAACAATCGTGGATCAAAAATATTTTATTTCTGCCTATTACTTTATCTTACATAAATGCACGGCTTGTCATGTGAACGTAACTAACACAAAATAATTATAAGTTTCTGAGGATCATCCATTTATTGACAAGAGTTATAAGCTTTTTTCTTTTTCCCCAAACTCAGACGTGACTCTGTTTTGTCCTCTACAGAAAGAAACAGTAAAACATCACCCATTCCTCACCCATGCTTTCTGTCCCTGTTGTATGAACAGGGGTCTAGAATCAAGACCATCCTGCAGCCTAGGTGATTTGCTATTAGTGGTAGGAATGTGCACAAAACAGTTTAGGCCAGCATCCAAAAGCACATATCTGTTCAGTGATCTAGTTCCTGAAAAGGAACTAGAAATGATCAGGTTTCCATCACAGGATTTTTAGAAACTTGATATTGGCAAGATTGGAAATATTTTAAGGAGATTCTTTTTAAGGTGTTCCTGTTTTTTCTACATTTCTAGCCTATATCAAATTAGAGTGAGAAAGAAAAGGAAAGAGCTAAGAGAATAACAATTGTACTTTGCATTACATTGAGGAACACTGATTTTCTAGCATTAATTTTTAATATTTACTAATGAAAAGTCACAGAAACTCAGGTAAACTCTTTATTGATGGTTTTAAACATTTTTTTTCTTAGTATACTTGAGATACCCTTCACAGTTGTTTAAGTCATTTCATTAACTCTGTATTGAGTATCCCAATAGGTTTTTCCCCTGCAAACAATTGAATTTTCTTTTCTACCTGTCCCTTTGCCTCCTTAAACACAATCCAAATATGGGATGCTGGTATTAGTATGGTTATTACTGGACTTTTGAAAGCATCTTTTTGGTCTTATCTACCAATCATTCCACTCAGAAGAAAAAAGTTAAATTGAATGGAGCCTGCTTATCTTGTTAATAATAGTAGCTCTCATCATAGAAATATTTTATACAGTACTTATTCAATATCTTCTGAGAGATGTGTGTATGTGTATAATAATATTTTTAAAAATAAGAAAGTTCTTGGCATATATGAAGTATAAAACTACCAAATATTAAAATAACTGAATCAATAGAATTTATAAATAGATATCTGTTTTGCCCATCTATACCACTAAAATGCAAATAATATATTAGTTAAAACTTAGAATGGAAAGAAAAATGAAATTTAAATGCTAATCTGAAAACATTCTTTGTTTGCATGTAGGGATGTGCAGTATGAAACTGACTCTCTCAGCTCAGCCACTTAATAACTAAGCAAGGATTAAGGTAGCAGGTAATAGATCTTGTAAGTACAGAAAATGGAGGGAGTTGTGGGAGTGAGTGTGGGGAGAAATCCAAAAACGGTTTTGGAAAAGCAGTAACTTTGTACACACTTTGATCATTGCTGAGAAAAGGGTAAAGAACTTTTGTTAGCCTTAGATAAGTTCAACAACAAGAGAGTAAAGGTTAAGAATCCTACTTTCAGTTCTAGTGTGGAATTAGAAGTCCATTTGCCCATCAATACACAGGGGATTTGCACATGAGAATGAATGGGAGTTACATGATCAAATCCTTCAGAGATCTGTGAGAAAATAAACTCTAGCAAGAATATTTGAACTATCTTTTATAATAGATGAATCGTCATAATAGACATGCTTATAGGAATTTTAATATTTCAAGAATAATGTATAAGTACGTCTAAATAGATGTGTATTTATATACCTCTATAAAATATACGTATATATTTGAAATCTGCATGTATCTATGTGATTATGCACTAATTCTAGTCAGTAAAACAGCTCATTAAGTGCTCCTAGTAGTTTGTGTGTGTGTGTGTGCTGTTTTGAGGACATGATTACAGCATATACGATTTAATTTAAACAATTGAGATAATACTATGGAAAAACTCAAATGCACTTCATATGAATTTTTCTTTTACTTTCTTTTTTTTCCCTGTTTTTTTAGTAGGCTCAACCATGAAACACACAAAAATATGTTCATTACATTTTTTCTCAGAGGAGGCTTTTCAACAATAGATAAAGCATCTCTATTTTTCTTTAAAAAGACCAAAAGAAGCAAATTTTCCATTTTCCTTTACAAGCAACACTGGATTTTCACATGCAGATTTTAGCATAAAACATCTTCTCACTGTGGGAAAAGTGGTGCATTCTTGTACAAATTAAGATAGATAATTCTTATACTAACACGCGTATTATAATATTAAAACATATACGGAGGTGGATGGAAGGCTAGTGTTTATTAGACTATTTCAGCTCTTCATAATCTGTTTGCTTACTCCTATAGCAACTTGTTGATAATAGGAAGTCTTTTGTGAGAAACGGCATGAAAAACAATAAAAAGCATCAGATTTAATAAAGTATCTAAGGAAAGTCTTAAAATGACACCCACACTATGAAGGGAAAGCCAAATTTGCTTTTTCTGAGGGGAATTTGTGTTCGTCAGGAAGGGTTCCTGGAGGCTTTGTTTTGAGGCCTTGATGTGTGACCAGTGCGCTACGGGCCGCCCTTCACCCTTGCCCTTCTTCTACCACGGCTCTGCCCACCCATACTGACACCGCAGGGGGAAGGGTTTCAGAGCAGAAAGAATCAAAAGCTGAGGGACGGGGGAAAAAAAGTGCTTTTCAGGGTCTGATGTGTGGGAATCAAATGAGAGGCCTAGCTCAAATCCGGTCGCCAGGCAACCAAAGTGATATGCTGAGGGAATATCATTAAAGTTGGAAAGTAAGCAGTCTCTCTGAATTAGTAAACCAACCACAGGATCGACGATACACCGAACTCTCTCAGTGCTGGAGCGCAATTTCTCCAAGGAGGACAAGCGGGGGGCTTTGCTAAGTGTAAGGGGGAAAGGAGAGGGAGAGGGAGTGAGAGAACGCAGCTGATTTGTAGAGTTTTTTCATAAAAAAAAGACAATGGCTGTCCAGACATGGAGTTGGTGGTGAAATATGGTAACTGCCACGGCTGCAGCTGGCTCTCTGACACAAGATTAATAAGTTGCCGTTTCCTAGCCGACCAGAACCTAGTGGGAACTATCCAGCATTTTATCTTGAATTGTGGGTAACAGCCTTACTGCAAGCTGGCCTAGTTTACTGCTCTGTTTTTTCCACATCTCCCAAAGTGCAGCAAACATCTGTGACTCTAATGAGGTCATCATTGAGGGTGTCCAGCGAGCTGGGCCCTGAGAACTGACCTCACCTCTGCCTGAACATAAAGTACAAGTGCTGTGGGGAAGCAGGACAAATTAAATGGGGGAGCTGGCACTTGGCTGTGAGTTAAGCTCTTAAGAAACTTTTTGCTGTGATTAAAAAAGAGAGGGAGAGAGAGGGAGAGAGAGAGAGAGAGATTGAGGTTCAGAAATGACAGTACAACAAAGCAGTAGCAAGCCTACAGAATTACATTTAGGCCTCACTGATGAATATTATCACTGACATGAACAAGCAAAGCTTATCTAGGCCTTCCTTCTTGAAAGGCTGAATAAAATTGAATTGCCAACTTCTGCATTTTACCACATTTTGGTGGAAATGTCTCAGAGACCTACATGATTTAAAAGGAAACCTGGGAGAATTCAACCACAAAGTGTATATATGTGTTTCTGACAGCAAAATTTCAAGCATTATAAACCATGTCATATCATTTATAAGTAATTTGATTACAGACACAGAAAACAAATCAAACTTCTCCAGATAGGTCTTTCTTTTCCCTGCAGTTATTCCAACAGAGGCATGGTTTTTATAAATAACATGACCAGGCAAACATGCAAACACAACCCAAAACTGCATTCAAACCAGTGAACTATAATAATTTTGTTTAGTCATCAGAGGAAAGAACATTGAAGACGTGACTGTACCCACTGATTTCTTAAAACAGTCCATTTCAATGGAGTGAGAAATGTAAGCTTTCAAAAGGAAGAAAAATGTTTTAAGTTTGGAAGAAAAAAAGCATATTTCTGAAAGTTTTCTCTATCATTTAATATGTAAGTGTATCAGCCACATGTTGAACATGTATTGTTCATTTTAGCTACATCTGCTCTCAGTGAGAACAGTCATTCTTGATTCCTAAAAAAAAAAAATGGCTATGTGGATAAAGTCCAGAAGGAGAAAAAAAGATGGAGGTCATCTTCAAAACTCATCTAGAAACCTTCATTCATATGTATTAACTCACTATGTATGCAGATGTATTTTTCCCTGGGAGCAAATCCATGAAGCCCAGAATGACATGTCACAGTACTTTTACAAAGAGTTTGATTTTTAAAAAGTAGGCATATGACGAGATTAAATCTGGCAAGTTTTTATCTTATTATTCTCATATTATTATCAGGCTCACTGCAGCCTTGACCTCCCTGGCTCAAGAAATCCTTCTACCTCAGCCTACTGAATAGCTGGGACTATTGGCATGCACCACTACCCCTGGCTAATTTTTTAAAAAATCGTTTTGTAGAGACAGAGTCTCACTATGTTGCCCAGGCTGTTCTCAAAGTCCTGGGCTCAAGTGGTCCACCTGCCTTGGCTTCCTAAAGTGTTGGGATTACAGGCATGAGCCACTACACCCAGCCTCAGTATTATTAGACCAGATCTGATGCAAGAGATACAGAGGACTTGCAATAGAAATGTAATCACTTTCTCAAAAGCTAGAAAATGTTATACAAAACTTTTGTTTGACTAAATATGTAGTATAGGTGGCTGGAGACTGAGAGGGCAAGAGCAGATAGGCTAGATAACAGAAAGTGTTAGCTATTTCTGTTTGATATGAGCCTTTCCACTGTGATATCAAGAGGGAAATCAAGGAGCTGTCCTAAACTTAATTTAGAAATAATGGATATTATGGATTAGGAATGATTTTGAACATGTGCTTTAATGTAGGACATTCAGGATGGAGGGTTTAAACAGTAATGCTAGAGAAAAGTTCTAGTGTTACCTGCAAGTCCCTCAATTTGGACAGCAGAAATCTATCCCATTACACTCTTTCTCAGTTTTCAGGAAGGGCCTGCCTAATGCCCATTTCAAGGCTGAGTTTATTTTTTAAATGCAAATGAAGGAAGTGTTGCGTTCAGCTTTGCAAACAGTTTTCAGAAATCCTGTTGGCCTACATTTAGCTGGGAAGCAGCACCCAGTACCAAGTGTAGGGGCTCGAACAATCAAGTAGTTGTTTGCCTCACTCACATTCCTGAGGCAATCTGGTTCCAGCTGAACTCCTTGGGAACAGTCTGGGCTATGTACCCCTGGGGCATCTGCCCCAATTAGCATTGACCCTTGTGGGCCTCCTTGCTGGCTCTAGGTTGCTCCCAACCTCTTGAACTCTGGGTAAACCAGATTGCTTTAAGAGCCTCCAAAGCTTTCCACAGCCCCAAGATGAACTGGACATCCAGGCTCACCAACAGAAATTCAGTCACCCTGTAGCGCCCAAATCAACATGGCCTCCTCCAGGTTCTCTGAGCCAGAGGAGAGACCCATGTGTTGGGATTATTGCTATGACTAAGAAACAAGAGGAAAGAAGGCTCAAAGAGTGCTTTGCCAGGCTAAACTCAGTAGTATGTGGAAAGAGTACACAGGTCTAAAGCCTCACAGAACTAGGTTGGACTCTTGGACCTTCTCTAACTAGCTGGGTGACCTTGGCAAGTCACCAAACCCTATCAAGCTTCAATTTCCTCATGTGTAAAATGGGGACAAAGATGTCTCTCCTGCAGTATTTTTGCGAAAATTAAATGGTTTAATGCATGTAAACATGTTCAGTAAAATGTCTGGCTTATAGTTGGCCCTCAGGAAATGGGAGTTAATTACAAAAAATAAAAAATAAAACCCATCATGTTTAACCAGGGCAATACCACTCCTGAGAAAATCCAGGCCCACACGATTCTTGAATTCCCTCTTTTTTGTTGTGGTTCATGATCCGTTTGTTACTACCTCTTCCTTTCTCAGAAAACAAATAACCCACAACTAATTTTTGTACCTCTCTCGTCCAGCACTTCCAGGAACTGTGGGGTTGACAGAAGGGATATGCAACAGGTTCTGCATCCTTGAGGATCTCACTGCAAGAACAGCACAGAAAGAGCATGACCCAACTCAAGAGGAGTCTAGACATCGAGTTGCACAAGACTGAGTGTGCACAATGGGATTGGAGAGAAGTAACGGCATGGGCTGCCATGATCAGGGAAAGCTGCACAGAAGTGTTGGGTTTGGTGAGTGTCTCACAGTGAGTGACTGCTATGAATCAGATACTGAGGCAGAGCTAAATAAGGTGCAGCCTTTGCTCTAAGGAGCTTAGAACCAGTAAAGAAAGACGTATTAACATGCAATGTTTAAATGGTGCAGTGAGGGAGTGCTAGGAATGGTTTTCGGGAATATTGTAAGAACATGGAAGGAAAAGGGCTTAAGTTGGCTTTGCAGGATGAATTGGGTCTAAGTTAGCCCTAGGTAGGTGGATCAGCACGAACAAAGGTATAACAGTGGGGAAACAAGCCAGGTACCCCTGTGTGTGCATGTGTGTCTGTGTGTCAGGATGGGATGGGGGCTGGGGAGGATAGGGAGAGAGGAGAAGAGGATATATAAGTGGAAGAAAAAAATAGGTCGGAAATTAGATACAAGATTTAAAGGGGAACCTATTCCAAATAGTTATCTTTCTTTTTACTGATGTGGCAGATGATCCCACTATGATGATCCATGGTTGGTAGGTTATAAAGGCTAGAGATTTTAGAGTATGGCTTTAGTGGGTGAGCTATGCAGTTTATTCACATTTCAATATACTCCTATTTCCCAAAGAAATTTCACAAGCTGGTGGGATCAACCAGAGTGGGGCTGGAACCAGGAGTGATTTTTGTGAGTTGGTTTTCTGATCAAGGCTTTCTCTTAGAAACTAGCCAGGAAAGCAGAAATCTGGGCCCAAGTTTCTGCAGCAGAATCCATTGTCCAGGCACTGGGTGTGGGGTGGGAGTAAAAGGACTATGAGGATTGGGACACAGACAGCACTTTTGGAATTGGCTGGGAGAAAGGAACTAGCACTAGACACTGCTTTGAGACTCTCTGAAGACCCCTAAATCCCAATCCAATACCCAGCAAGTCCTCTACTTCTTTGGCTTGAGTCATCTCTTGTATTGGCTGATCCCTGCTGGTATGGCTGTCTGCCCTGCATGCCGGGGCCAGAACAGGAAAGGGGTTGAGGTTCTGGGTCCTTCTTGACAAGGTCATCCAAGGCTCTATCTTATGGAATTATCCATGTGTATTTATAATAATCTGTGAGCTCTAGTAGTTCAGAAGGTCTTCAGTGCTCTAACAAATGCTCCTTTGAAGAGAAAAAAAAAGTATGAGCCATCATGAGCTTCTTCCCTTAGTGACAAGAGACCTGGGGACATCTGCTTCTTCCACCACTGGGACTGAACATTACCGAACAGTAGTTCTGCTGTGTGAGTATTTAAGTGTCACCGGGAAGAGTAAGCTATTGAAATACAACCACTCCGCTCATTTGGAGTTTCCCTTCTTTTATCCAACATTTATTAAGCACCTATTATAAGCTAAACGTAATGCTAGACACAGTTTCCATCTTCAAAAGCTCAGGGTTAAGAAGAGTGAGAATGCTGGTAGAAGCAAGCATAAAACATGGAGAGAGACCACAGGAGTGGGCCTTGGGATCAGGAAAGGTTTCCTGCAGAGGAGACAGAAAACACCGTGGAATAGTTGACATGATTGCATGTGAGGACATGTGGGACAGAGAGCTGAAGCAGGATAGGCAAGCAGGCCATGAAGTATCTTACACAGCAGGCCAACGAGACAGAGTTTTATCTTGAAGGAAATAGGGCATCGCGGAAGGTCTTAAGCAAGGAAATGGCACAATCAGTACTGTGTTGTAAAGCAGTCATTTAGCAGCTGAAAAGTGGAACTGGTGATGGGGCAGGAAGAGACTGCAAGTCTGTGAGGCAAACGATGAAAATATTATTAGTTATCTTTCTATGGATGATACATTTTAGATGCCTGTTAGTTTACTTGACCAAATTCTCAAGGCTCCCCAGGGGAGTTTCTTGAGGACAGGGACCCATGTTTTTTACTTTAGTGTGCTTTCCTCTGTCTAGACAATCCTAGTCCATAAGGCACTTGCAAATCGCTGCTGAATCAATGGCAAATCTAGGGTGAGGAATCAGGTTTCCAGTGCTCCAACTAGAGCTTTTTCTATACCCACACAGTGGTTTCCCAAGAGAGTTTTATTTTGGAAATGATTAGAGGTTGGGGTAGCATTTTTGTGTAGTAGAGCCCAGCACCATTAGACCTTTTGTGAATACTGAGTGGAGCAGGCCAGTGTCGGAGAGGGGAGCTAAAGAAGTAAGAAAAAGCCGGGCGTGGTGGCTCACGCCTGTAATCCCAGCACTTTGGGAGGCCAAGGCGGGCAGATCACCTGAGGTCGGGAGTTCGACACCAGCCTGACCAACATGGAGAAAACCCATCTCTACTAAAAATACAAAATTAGCTGGGCGTGGTGGCACGCGCCTGTAATCCCAGCTACTCGGGAGGCTGAGGCAGGAGAATTGCTTGAACCCAGGAGGCAGAGGTTGCAGTGAGCCGAGATTGTGCCATTGCACTCCAGCCTGTGCAACAAGAGTGAAACTCCATCTCGAAAAAAAAAAAGAGGTAAAAAACGAGTGTTCCCTTTAGTCTCCAGTGCATTATTAGACTGTGAGGCATTTTGGTAGGAGCTGCAGCCGGTAGATGGCTAAAGAGGAGGACTTTGGGCAATCCAGAGTCAGAGTGAGGTCATTAAGCTCTTGGGAGAGGCAGGAGGGAGACAGAGACGTTTCTAGGAAGTAGTAGAGACTAGGTTAGGAGATAGGAGGAGCCCTGCTTTGACATTTTGCCGCTGGCCTGCACCCTCCCCACCCCTCTACCCTAAAGGCAGAGAGGGAGCTTTTGAGCTTCCATCTTTGTCTAGTCAGTTCCTTTTGTCATTAGGCACCCATCAGCTTCGGCCCACCCAGAATGTAGAAGTGATGTATAAGAATGTGGATAAAGGCTGCACAGCACAGGGCTGCATGGGCTCTTGAATCTGAGCTCTGGAATATTTTGGCCTCAGTTTTCTCATCTGTAAAATGGAAATAATAGTACCCACTTCAGAAAGTTGCTCTGAAGATTTAATAGATGATGTTTGTAAAGAGTTCAGCATAAGTGTCTGACCCAAGTTAGGCACTGAAAAAAAGATTTGCATTGATTATTTTCAGGAGCTGGGGAGGTGAGAAGGTCATGGAACCAATAATTGATGGCCCCAGAGATGCATCTCTCAATAACGACATTAAACTTCACAATTGGCCACCAGATGGCTCTTGAGAAACTTCCCTTATGTCCATATCTGCTCCTGGTGTGGCTGAGGGATCGGCCTCCATTGTAACAAGCACAGACACCCAGGGTAGTGGAAGAGGGAAGGCCCTGGCGACAGCCAGCGAGTAGAACCAACAGAAGGCCTCAGGAAACCCTGGGGTGGCCACCCACGAAAGCAACAGCCAGCAGCTGGAAGGAATGCTTAGAAATGTGTCTGCATAACCATATTTTAAAACATACCAGACTAACCCAAACTAGGAAACAAAGGAAATATAGTCATATCTTCAAATGCAGCCTATCCAGCACACTAACCCTAAGTGTGACCCAGGAAAATTTGAGGAATTGAAGTACAAAAGAGGCTGTATTTCTTCTATCATCCTATTTATCATGGACATCACATACAAAAGTAAATAAAATATTCAAAAAATATTAGAAAAACAGGCAAATTCTTATTTACTTTCAATAACTCAAAGAATCTTTATTCAAAAGAAAAAAATCCATAGCAGTGGGTTTCTCCAGAAAAATTTCTGATTGAAATATTTACTCATTAGCATTTGCACTGATACATTTTTCCAATTATTATAAGAACCTTGGTATATCTCATAGACACTAAATCAGTAGAAAGATCAGTTGAGAACATATATAATAAAGTGTGAAATTGTATTTAAGTTATACCTAAAAAAACAGAGTTAAATAAATAAATAAAATTTATACGTTCTTCAAAAATAAAAACATTTGATATTCACTTTTTTTTTTTTTTTTTTTTTGAGGTGGATTCTCACTCTGTGGCCCAGGCTGGAGTGCGTGACACGATCTCGGCTCACTGCAAGCTCCACCTCCCAGGTTCAGTAGATTCTCCTGCCCCAGCCTCCCAGGTAGCTGGAACTACAGGCACGTGCCACCACGCCTGGCTAATTTTTGTATTTTTAGTAGAGATGGGGTTTCACCATACTGGCCAGGATGGTCTCGAACTCCTGACCTCATGATCCACCCACCTCAGCCTCCCAAAGTGCTGGGATTACAGGTGTGAGCCACCGCGCCTGGTCGATATTCACTTTTAAAAATCTGGCCTAAGCCAATGGACAGAAATTAAACCAATTAATTATGTACAAAGATGAATATTTATTATAGAATTATTATAATGGTAATTATTAAAACTGAACTAAATGTCCAACAACAGGGGACCTGTTAAACCCATGCAATAGAATGTTATATAGTTATTAGAAATGACCAGCCTGCCCAACATGGTGAAACCTCGTCTCTACTAAAATACAAAAATTAGCCGGGCATGGTGGCACACACCTGTAACCCCAGCTACTCGAGGCTGAGGCAGAGGAATCACTTCAATCTGGGAGGCGGAGGTTGCAGTGAGTCGAGATCACACCACTGCACTCCAGCCTGGACAACAGTGAGACTCCATCTCAAAAAAAAAAAAAAAAAAAAAGAAATGATATATGTTGATGATTTTAAAGACATGAGAAAATGCTCAAAATATAATAGTAAATAAAAAGGATGCAGAACTGCAAATGAAGTATGATATCACTTATATGCACCATAACAAGACTGGGAGGAAGTTACCAATTAGCATGCTAAACTGTTTAACAATGGTTATCTTTGGGTGGTAAGATTATGGATGATTTTCATTTTATTTTCTATTATAAATATTTCCTAACTTTATATACTATATGCATATAATACTTTTTAATTGATTTAAAAACACAATAAAAAAAAAACCCTGCACAGTTATAGTTGTTTTAGGCCTTATGAAAGGAACTAATTATTTCTGTTCATAACAAATTCCACTAAACTTTATAATAGATATAAAATACGAGTTTTGAACAGAGTCCACTCCCACCCCCAGATCTCCCAGTCCCCAAGAGATTCTGATCTCTAAAGCTATTCACAAATTGCAGCACCTGCCCCACCCCACCCCATTGTTTTCTCTATCCACTGGTAAATTTCTGTCTTAAAACCCACCTTATTCTTTCTCTCTTATATTAATGAGGTAGAAAAAAAAAGATAATAAACAGCCACACTGAGCGAGAAGGTATATATGGGTGCTTTGTGGCATTTTGTTGTTGTTGTTGTTTTGTTTTGAGGTAGAGTCTTGCTCTGTCACCCAGGCCGGAGTGCAGTGGCACAGTCTCGGCTCACTGCAACCTCCAACTCCCGAGTTCAAGCAATTCTTCTGCCTCAGCCTCCCCAGTAGCTGGGATTACAGGCATGCACCACCACGCTCAGCTAATTTTTTTTGTATTTTTAGTAGAGATGAGGTTTCACCATGTTGGTCAGGCTGATCTCAAACTCCTGACCTCAAGTGATCTGCCCACCTCGGTGGGTGCTTTGTTCTGAGTCAAAACAGTATTATAAAAACAAATATATGATTTTTAAAAAAGCAATCCCTTGTTTTACAAACAATTCACATTCGTAAGTTCACCTTTAGAATCTACAGCAATGAATTTAAAATACAATTTGATTCTTCTTTTTTTTTTCCTTTTGAGACAGAGTCTTACTCTGTCGCCCAGGCTGGAGTACAGTGGCACCATTTTAGCCCACTGCAACCTCCACCTCTGGGGTTTAAGCAATTCTCCTGCCTCAGCCTCCCGAGTAGCTGGGATTACAGGCGCCCACCACCAAGACTGGCTAATTTTTGTATTTTTGGTAGAGTTGGGTTTTCACCATGTTGGCCAGGCTGGTCTTGAACTCCTGACCTCCAGTGATCCACCTGCCTTGGCCTCCCAAAGTGCTGGGACTACAGGCATGAGCCATGGCACCCAACCACAATATGATTCTTGAAGATACGAGTTTCCCCAGCTTCTTTTCTCAGGATCCATTGCTTTCTCCATCTCCTGTCAATCTCCAGGTTCCCCTTAGACAACTTATCAGGCTCTAATTTGTAAAGAAGCTCAGGCAGAGCTGCAGTGAAACTGACTGGAAAAGGTTGTTCTTCAGGCTGGGATTAACTTAAGGCAAGTGAGACACTTGCTTTGGGCACAAAATTTAAGGGTTAGGAGGTGGGGGGAAACAAAAAAACTCATAATCAAGCTCAACACTATCTCAATGTAATATTTTAAGCATCAAAATTAATGCAAAAATCAATGATAACCAAACATTGAAATTTTGAATAAAGTCCAGTACCATGCCAAGATGCCAAGCCACATTGGAGCCTAAGGTGAAAAAAAAAAGTACACCACCAGTAAACATGTTTGTATCTACTTTTTTAGCAGTTAATTTTTCCTGGAACATTAAAGTAGTTTAAACCTTTTGAAACACTGAAATGTGGGTGTATTTTTATTCCTAAAGGAACGAAATGATACAAAAATCACTCCTCAAATTCAGTGATTTCCTCAAAAGCAACCATAATGAAAAGGCCCCAAGTTCTGGGCCAAACATTTAACAAATATAGTGTCTTAAGTCCACTTAATTGTGGGTTAAAGTTCCTATCCCAGGTTAGGAACTGAGAGTCCAGATTCAAGGAGAAGACGTCCTGCAACTATGCCATTCAGTTCACAAACATTTACTGAACACCCACTGAATGTACAACAGTGCGTAAGACAGACAAGAGGCTGATATCGTGGGACTCATGTTCTACTGAGCCCTTCATTGGCTTTTCTTGCTTGTTTGTTTTTAATGAGTCTTTATTTCTACCCAAGCTTTTCTTTTTCAAGCTGCTGTAAATTTACTCGCTGCTCATCTATGTCATTCTTTGCGCTACTGAAATATGCTCTCTTGCTCTAACTCTTGCATTTCACACTGGACCTCTATATTTTCAGTGATGGTATATTTTCCACATGCATAAGTCTTTCCTTTCACACTGCCTTTGCTTTTCCTATTTCTTGCTTTGCTGAGCTCAGTGCTTTACACATAGTAGCTGTTCACCAAATATTTGAGGGTCACTTGATTGTTGAATGAATGAACCAGTGAAAGAATCAGCAAAGGAAGGAACAAACAAATCAATGTACCTGGTCCCTGGAGAGGTGGAGGGAGGAAGGGAGCAGCGTCTTCACGTGCCGTCTTGCTGTTTTTGTATGTTCCATATACGAATGTGTGATTGTGTATGCATTGTTTGTGTATGTTCAATAGCTGCACCTTCACAGGTGGGATAGAAACAGCAGGATAAGCCCTTCCCAGTTGTATTGTCTCAGAAAGGACACGAGACTGGGAGATCTGTGGTATGTGAGGCAACTCATTCCCCTTCACTGAAAGGGTCTCTGTTTCCTCATCTACAGAATAAGGGAGCTGGATTGTGAAATCTAAAGTACCTTTCAGTTCTAACGTGGATTGCATTCATTGTTTCTAATGCTATTGATACCCAGTTAGTGTAGGTGCCAATAAGCACTGCCTTGGATTCTCTTGTGCTTTTGGTTTTCTTGGAAAAAGAATGCCCTTTAACTCTACAATAGAAACATGAGTCAGGAAAAGGGCACAAGTACGGCGTTTCTTCTTGACGAAGATTCCAAGAAACAGCTGTGTGATTCTAAGACATCCCTCTGTTCTCTAGTAATTTTAACGTTAAAATGAAACCTCAAACAATAACCTCAGGTTTCATCTAGGACAAAATATCTCTGGTTTAGCATGTTCTACTTTGAGAATTTTTGTACTCAGGTATGGGGTGAGGGTAGAGGAATATTATTTGGCTTTTAAATTAGCCTTTAAGGAAATTGGCAAATCAAATGCCAGATCCTACATACTATTACAGTAACTAACATTTGTGAAGTGTTTTACAGTTTACACAGAAATTCTCACATTTATATTCCTATTTAAGCCTCATGACAGTCCTGTGGAGTGGGAATTCCTTACCATAATTCTCTTTTTTTTCAATGTGAGGAAAATGAGCTGAACTTGGATGCCCACCTTCAGATCCCAAATCTTCAGCCCCTTACAGACACAGATTTTTAACATCTCTTTCAAAGAGGAAGGATCCCAAATAGAACAGGCATCCAGCAGTCTGTGGCACTGTCTCTCAAAGATGAGGGAAAGCTTTCTGCTTTGGAGGGGTAGGTGAAATAAATCAGTAGTTCCGCCAAACCTGGCCTCATCCTAGACCTGTGGACTCAGAATCTCCAGGGAGTGATTTACATTTCAGTTTTGAAAAAATTTGAAATTTTTTCCTTTTTTTTTTTCTTTTTAGAAATAGGGTCTCACTCTGTCACCCAGGCTGGAATGCAGTGATGTGATAATAACTCACTTCAGCCTCAAACTCCCCAGCTCCAAGTGATCCTCCCACCTCAACCTCCCAAGTGTTGGGATTTCAGACAACGAGCCACCGGGCCTGGCCTCAACATTTTTTTCTATTAAAAACATTTCTTATACAAAATTTTAGTTAAGTATTTATTCAGTGATAATGCATTTGTTTTTATTTCTCCACTTGATGAAAAAAGTTGCAACACTATGTTTGGTTCCCTTAGTTTTTAGTTGTGTATATCTGGCTGTCTATGTATTTCTAAGAACTTTTTTGGACTTTTTGTATAACTGAAAAGCCTAGAAAACAGTGATGCATACCTATTACTTTTATTATATTAATTCCCTACATAGAAATCTCTAATGATCTTTCATTACTACCAGACTAAATACTATTTCCTAAGTCTAATTTGATGACAAGCTGCCTGTTTGATTTCATCTGCTCTGGGTTTTTTTATTTTAAGCTGTAAAATGAGGTTGTTTGACTAAATAGTCTCTAAAATAACTCTTAGCTCCCACATTCTATAGATTTATAAGTGTCATAGATATGAGTACAGTGGCATTTAAAGAACAATAAGCAAAACATTCTTAGGGAAGGCTCTTCCTGAAGATGGGAATAAGAACGGCTTGGGAAACTCCACATTTCCTCTGAAGGGTATTGGCCCACTTGAGTGTGGTTCGGTTGTCAACCACAGAAGCAAGAGCTCCACCCACTTCTGGTGAGGTAGCTAGAGGAAACATTCTTCTATTGAATTGAATTCTTACGCACATTTGTCAAAATATAATTAACTAGAACATCATGAAGTAAAAGATAAAGGTCGTTCATTATAATATTGACGCAAATATAAACTGCCCAAATGATGATCTAATGTTAACTTTCTCTAACGTATCACACTTAGATCTTTCAAGATTTTTGTTTTATTTAATGTTAAGGACTTGTATCTCTTTTTGAGTAAACTAATTCATTTCTCTTTCCTTTCTTCCTTTCCTTTTATCTTGCTTTCCTTCCTTCCTTTCTTACCTTCATCTTTCTTTCCTTCTGTCCTTCCTTTCTTTTTTCATCCACTGGCATCTTTAAAGGAAAATCAATATCACTATGACTTGTTTTAAACCATCCTATTACATGCACGGAAAGGAGTAAATCAGAGCAATGAATGTGTGTTGTGAAAATGTATAATAAAGTGGTGATAGATGACTATTATCGTGGTTGTTATGATACTGTCAAATTAAATGCATGTACAATATGTCCATTCAGAAATCCAGCAAAACACAAAAACTATTCCCTTTTTTGCCTTTTTTGAAGCTTTGTTTTAAAAAGACACCTTCCTGTCACCAGTGCTTATAAGTGAATAAAATGAAATTGATGCCTTGCAGGGGAAAAAAAGGAAAATACTTCTTTACTTTGTATTAAGAATACGTGACATCTTTGCTGTCAGTGATAGTGAAGTGAAATACATACCAAATATGTCTTGACATAACTTGACAGAAATGTATGTCTTCTTTTCTCTCATTTATTTTTGTGATAAGAATATGTGATTTTGCTGCCAAGGAAGCTTGTAATGTTGTAGAGAAATGGAAATGAATTGTGTTGGGCATGTCCAATTCCCCCTGACAGAGTGGCATAAGCTATAGTACTCAGGCAGCCTTGCAGAGTCAACAACAGGCCTCAGCCAGCAAGACCCAGGCGCTGACATTTGTCAAAACAACTTTCCTCAACACATCAAAATGTTCCTTTCTCTTTTGTGTTATTCAGATGTGTTCGGGTAACTACATTTTAGAAAATAGTGACTGTCAAAGAATCATTGCCATCCACATGTGAATGATATCAAGAGAAAAATCTTAACTTTCCCACTGAAGGATGAGTTTATTCCATTTTGATCATTCATAATCCGTGAGGGTCTTTTAAATTAAACCCCAAATCTAATGTAACTAAAAGTATGCTATTTTTTGTGTGTGCTTTCTCCCCTACAATCTGACAAAAGTAAATGACACAAGTTGGTTCTTTCTAATTTTCAAAGCATTACACAGATGGATGTTGTGTGCTGGTGTGGGTTTGGTTTATTGTTCTTGAGTTCATATGCTTTTTACCATCACTACCTTTCTTAGAAGAACTCAAATTATGTGGGTACCATTGGCCCTTTAGAAAGCATTCTATTCTTAATTTCTTGCTCTATTGCTATGGAGCAGTGAATGTTAGGTGAGGTGGGTACTAAGTACAACAAAATGGTATTTTATGTGAACCTCCAATTCTGTCTTTTTGGTACTCTTTTAAGGATACACACAATTTCTAGAACCCTAGCAACAGTTTCTACAATAAATGGTGTTTGAAGCAAGAATCCCTTACCTAGGGCAGACAGAAAGAGAATCAGCCCAGCAGTGTAATCATTGCTCTGCTGTTTGAAGGAATATTGAGCTCAGATGCCTCCAGAAAGCCCACCAGGCCCAGAGGCACTGGACAATAAAAGGGGAAAAATAATAGACGCCAATGCTTTATTAAGTATATTTTTTTCTCACTTAGGTGCGCATTCCCTGGTCAGACAATTAGTTGAGGTTCTTTCCAGAGAAAGTGTTACCCACCAAGAAAAACTCTTTTAACCTTTCAAAATAACAAATATCTTTAATGACTTTTATCCCCTTTCCATTGACATCACAGATACAATGTGGCCTGTCTTGAAGTCAAGCCCAAATTGAAATCACTGCTGGCAGGGACAGGAAAAATAGAACATTTGACAATAAGAGTGACAGATGAAGCATTGGGGACCTTGAAAGGGAGAATAACTCAAGCTATGACCCAGGACAGAAATACTGCACCTTAGTAAAATACCTGCCCAATCTGTAAGTTAATAGGCAGGTACATTTGCACATGATAATGGGCTAAATCCAACGCTTGGTAGAGTTGGTATTATTTTCCATGTTCATGTTTAAAAGGAAAGCTGAACATGCTTCATAGAAAGAACCTTTTGATTATAGACCAACTGTTCATCACCACACTTCCTGGGGAAAACATTTTTATTTGGTTATATAAAAGGGTAACATTTGTTAGAAATATATCTAAAGATAGAACTTCTGAAATTTGTCTACTCTTGCTACAAATGATTATTTAACATTTATAAGAGTAAAGTTAAAATATTTAAATGTACATGTGTGTATATATATATGTGTGTATATATATATGTGTGTGTATATATACACATATATATGTGTGTATATATATGTGTGTATATATGTATGTGTGTGTGTGTATATATATATATATATGATAAAGGCAACTTCATATAATATCATATAATATCCCTTGATTCATTGGCGGAAAGGAGAAACTTTGTATTTCATGACTTATAAAATCCATTAGTTGCATCTCAAATTTCTTTTTTTTTTTTTCTTTTTCATTGTACTTCAGTTCTGATTACTTGGATTAGGGGGAGAAAACTCAGTAGGATCTGCCAATTTTTAGTGATTTCTGTCATCAATTCCTGATTGCCTAGGATTGCTTTGTTGTTCACCTTAGATGCCTTTAAAACATGATTTATTTAAGCCTATTCACTCTTAGTTGGTTTGGTGATTGGTAGTAAAGTTGTTTTGGTGTCACCCATTGGAGTGAGAATTTTCCCCACATGATGGCCATTGTAGGTCTTTCACATCAGGTGTACTTTACTTCTAGAGTTGTCAGAAAAGAATTTAACTCCAGTAATTAATTATTTGGGATAAGTTTCCCAAGGAGTCCTCAGCTTAGGCTACATTAGAGGCACTGCATTCTATTCATATAATATGAAACCTTTTAGGTCATATGAGTAATTAAGTTTTACATCATTGTGAAATAAACACATACGCCTACGATTTCACCGAAGCATGTAAGTGGATGGTTAAGAAGCAAATGTGTGTTTCCCTTTGTGGATAATAATGGCAGACAGTCATATTGTTTATTTTGCCTTTGATATGAATTTAAATCAAATAAAGATGGTTCAAGTTAGCACAGGGAAAATCCAGTTGCTTCCCTGGGTCCATCAGCATCTTAATCCGTTTTTCAAATGTTTTGGAGTTTTGCAAAGCTTGAAACTTTTTTTTTTTTTTTTACCATGCCCCCTTTCCCTTGTTTTATAAGCCAATATAATTTTAAAGAAAAACTTAATCCATATGTTTGTGATTCATTTTTACTAAACTCATCAAAATGGTGTTTTGTAAGAGTGATTTGGTGTCCAACAAGTCTTTTGAGTCTCTCTGTAACAGGCCTTCTTAATGCCATTTCTCTTTGAAGCAAGAAGTTGTGTTTTGCCAACAGTAGAGAAATTCAAACCCCCAAAGGGTTGAAATCAGTTTGAAACTTCAAGCCTAAGGACTCTGTGGGGTTCTATACTTGGCAAATGGCTACTTCCCTTCTAACTTTGAAATACCTTATTTTCCTCTCACAAGAAATGCTCTACTGTTTTGCTAAAATATGTATTTAAAATAATCTTCAGATTCTTTAATACATAAAAATATATACATTAAAAAGTGGGGCCTAACGTTTAATTTATTCTAAAGCAATATTATTTGATTATCCATTTGGATTTTCCTTTAATTCTCATTTTCTGACCCTACACATCTTTGTGATTTGGATTTACCCAAAGATTTACCAGAAAAGATGACCATGATGATCCTACAAGCTGGAAATAAGTGCTGGGTAGTTATTGGCTTTCTTCCCCAGGTTGCTCAATAAAGGACATATTACTTAATGTAGTACGCTAATGTCTCACACTATATTTCATACTTTTATTTATGTTGACAACCAAAACTTCAATGCAGAAGATTTTGAATAATATGCTCTATGTCACAAGGTGAACCATAATTCACAGTTGTAGATGTTTGCTAGTTTTTCAATGTAGTTCATTTCTATTTATATGTTTAAAGGAAGACCTGTATAATTTCCGTTAGTTTTTATACAATAGGCAAGAGGAGAGAGAGTGAGAAAGAGAAAACAAAATAGTATGTACAGCAAGTTAAATATCCAAACCACTATGGTCCTTTGTCCTGACTGCTTTCTGGCCATGAAGTGGGAGTGCCCTCTAGTGAAACTTTAAAATCATTGGAAGATATTGGGTGTAACGTGGTTAAGGTTTTCTCCTAAATTCTTTTCTTCAAAAATCTTTGGGCATTAACAATTTGCATAAGTTTTGAATGAGAGTTAGAGAAAAACACAAAATACCATCAAGTAAAACTATTTCTTTGGGAAACAAATACAAATGAATACATTACTGTCAATATCAAAAAGTACATGTCTGCATATCTTTGTCATCTATCTGTTTATCTATCTATCTATCTATCTATCTATCATCTATCTATCGAAAGATCCCAAGGACACATAAGTAGCATATAACCCACAACAGGGCTATAGTTATCTAAAAGAAAACATATAAAAACATAATTACCCACTTCTCAAGAAGATGAATAATAAATAAGTTACTTTGGAATGTGAAAATAAGGCAGTAGTAGCAATACACACGAGTAAATAAGAAGTGAAAAATACATCTTGTCATCTATATTATTCCAAATCTCTTTGTAGAAAGCAGCACATGCTCATTGTGATAAAATCTGAAAAAGTTCAAGGCCAGGAGTCAGAGTTCTTACCCTGGACTTCACTTACCAGCTGTGTGAGCTTGGGCAACACATTTAACCTCTCTGAGCCTCAGGGTCATCATCTGCAAAATGGGGCTTAAGAACACCTGCCCTACCACCTCATAGGGTAGTATTGAAGGAGATAAAGTATGGGAA
The DNA here is from genome assembly GCF_000001405.40 of Homo sapiens. Taxonomy (NCBI): domain Eukaryota; kingdom Metazoa; phylum Chordata; class Mammalia; order Primates; family Hominidae; genus Homo; species Homo sapiens. Next base: position 182,259,472 of record NC_000003.12, read on the forward strand.
AGGGCTTTGAAGTAGATAAAGTTCTATACTGTGAAGGTATTATTTTTCTGACTTCTTTCTACTGAGGAAATTTCAAGCAAAGTCCCCTTTCAGGATGAAGAGGGAAAGAAAGAAGACCCTCCTAAAATTCTCTGGAGTCAGGAATCATTGACAAAACATCTTTCTTCCCAATCAAAAAAGAGTCACAGAGAAAGAAACAGGTGGCGCCCGAGGAAGGATGCAGGGTTAGACATTACCATCGTGGAGCCGCCAGCTCTCCCGGACTAGGCTGACGCCCACGTGGAGGGCCCTCGGCCAGGAAGCATGGCCTGGGCAGCCTGTGCTGGAGCCGGCTGGGCAGCAGCTGGTGGAGGAGTCAGGAACCGCGTCCCCTCGGGTTTACAGCAGCAAGAGTTTCCGTGAGTCTAATCTCCACCTTGCACAGAGAGAAGCTCAGCAGCACGTATGCTCCGCACCTCTGTGCTTTTAATCCCCCTCTCCGTGACCATCCATGCAAAACCGTTCCCTCTTTGTTGTCTTTTCAAAACTGAAAATATTTTCATTTTGTTTATGCCAACATAATAAACTCTTCATCTGAGCAAACAATCTGATTTTTCCTTTTAGTTGCAGTGAGTTTAATTTCAGATTTGTGCTGTAACAATTCCTTACTTTTCTCCACATAAAGCTTGTTTTCAGTGAGATGTGGTTTCTCACTAGCTGTGTTTGCTTTGAAGAGAGTTTTACGTACTTATTTTTAAAATCAACTTGTATAGGCACTTTAAATCAAGGTATTAAAATTTTCAGAACATTCAAAAACTGTTCCCTTTTTTTTTACAACAACATAGGTATCTCCTATGTATTTATTGCCTAGATTTTCACTATTTATCTTCTGGATGTACATCTTTCTTTTGTCCGGAGTGAGAAACTGTTTCTAGTTTCTTTACTCAGAGGTACTTCACATTGTCAGACATGCATAATCAATCTTGTACTTAAACCTTTGTGAGGAACACAACAGATGGATAATGGGAACATGGTTGCCATTTGGGGTCTGGTCAATTCATGAGCTGCCTCTACAGCCATGACTCTGGTGTATAGGAGAAAAACCATAAAGTTAATCTCTAAAGCTATCTGACAGGTCCCATGCCTGCTGTTTATGTCCTCCCTCCCCATTTGATCTAAACAGTTGGCATGGGGGTTGAGGGGTGCCACTTCTTCCTCAGAATAAAATTAAATAAGATATTCAGCAGGTCTTCAACTGCTCACGGATTTATCCAAGATAAGTGACCAGTTTCAGTTGAATGACTGGGGCTCCCATGTCATAAAATTGCTCTTGGCTAAAGCTAGAGTTCACTTTGTCTAAGCTACATGCTCGTGTATTGCTGGAGCACCACGACTTCTCATTGAAACTTTGGGTTCCTTCTGTATTAGAACCTTCCCTGACCTTTGCTGAACACCACAAAGAAACCAAATGCTAACCTCTGTTTGTCTCAAATTTTCCCCTATTAATGCTTGGTCCAAGTCTACATTTCCAGCCAGTCTTTCATTTAAAAACACAATCTCATTCAAAACCTGCCTGGTAACTTTATCACTGGGGTAACTGTTACCTATGATGCAGGGCTGACCTGGGTCCTTGTAGCACTTGACATCATCTTTTGGACGGGTTACAGAGCCTTTTGAGGGAGTTGTTAGAAGCAGGCTCACCCTGCAATGCAGAACCGGTCACAGAAGAAAATTAGTGCATTTATCTGTCAGCATTAGACTAGATTTTCAATCCAGTTCACTAGTCACAGGGTCTGGTTTTCTCTTCCTCTGGGAGATGAAACTGATATGCTGGTAGGTAGTAAAGGTGTCAGTTATAAATTGGACCGTTGCAGCACGCACACACGAAAAATAGACGAGAAGACTTTAAGGCCATAAATTTAGTTCAAGGCAAAGAATTTCCCTAAAAATAGTCCCGCTTGTTAAAACACTACAGGAAGAATGTATGTCAGGTAACCGTTGGCATTATCAGAACCAGTTCACATTTCTTTTATAGGAACCAATGTTTGCAATTCTCTCTCCAGTGTGCTATTCCTTTTAACTACTTGAGGGAAGACAGGATTTTGCTGACTCTGGTGCTAAATAAATAAATACCTTGATTGGTTCCTCTTTACTGTTTCATACATGAGTGAGGATGCAGCAAGTCTGACTTGCAAACAGAAGGGGCAAGTTTGGCAGACACCATCAAGTTTCTCCCTATGTTCTACTTACTATTTACCTACCATTTAACTAAATGGGACTCCAGTATCAACTCAAAAGAAGCATATGACCTTTTCTTAACTCACTGAGTGATCCTGTTCTAAATTGGTTGTTTCCTACCCTCAATCCTATAAAATTATTCAGGTGGAAACCCTGAAGACCAACCTAATGTTAATGACCCATTACTCAGACATAGCACAAACTAATGGTTAAAGTAAGAATGTTCAGTGTCCAGTGACTCCCATACTTCAAACCAATAGGGCCCATATGCCCACTCAGTTTGATAAATATTGAGTGTCTGTTGACCCGGAACCACTGTGATGAACTGTATGGGTTTACACATACTACCTCTTGACTCAGAGAGCTAATAATATAGATTGAGTGATGATCTCCAACAACTCACCATAGAATAAATCAGAGGAAAATAAGAATTCAGTGGTGGTAAGCATCAGTAGCATATTATGAAAAGAACGAATGAAGGAATCCATAATATACCATATAGGTAGTAGTTTAATTCATTTATCATTTAAGCCTTTATATATGTCACCAACTACACATCAGGTATTGTGCTAAATATTGAAGATTTTAAAAAACCCTCCCTCCATGCAGCTATATTCTCTCAAGGGTAACAGAAATAAATAACTACAATCCATCTTTATACCCACCTCTTCCTTCCTCACTATATTGTGTCTTCTCACAGGACGGGCTCATCTTATTCATCTGTGTCCCTAGGAAAGCACCTGGCCCAGAGCAGGTGCTCAATACATGTATTTCAAAGGAATGAATGAATGTTAAAATGTGATATGTGTGATAATGTTTCTAAGAAGCTTCACTTTTCCTGGATGATAGGGAAAGTGTGTTGAAAATTAAGATGTGGAGGATGACTCCTAAGTTTTAGTAGGGCTCATAGTGGATAGGAATGCTACCTATAAACTGATACAGAGAACACAAAGGAGAACTAATCTGAGGAAAGGGAAAGGGAGAGACACTGAGCTGAATTTGGGATGAGTTGCACTGGAAGTACTAGTTGTATGACATTGAGCGGGAAATGTCTAGTAGGCTGCTTAAGGATTGGCTGAGAGCTCAAAAGAAAACTTGGAGTTAATTTATCAGTATATTAAGAACATGTAGATTAGGAATAGTATTAAGGACTGCTTTGATCTAAGTATTTGTGTCCCACCTCACCCCACCCCTATTTTTATGTTGAAATCCTAACCCCCAAGGTGATGATATTAGAAAGTGGGGCCTTGGCTGGGAGCGGTGGCTTCCGCCTGTAATCATAGCACTTTGGGAGGCTGAGGCAGGCAGATCACGAGGTCAGGAGTTCGAGACCAGCCTGGCCGACATAGTGAAACCCCATCTCTACTAAAAATACAAAAATTAGCCGGGCATGGTGGTGGGCTCCTGTAGTCCCAGCTACTTGGCTGACTGAGGCAGGAGAATTGGAGATTGCAGTGAGCCAAAACTGCGCCACTGCACTCCAGCCTAGGCAACAGAGTGAGACTCTGTCAGAAAGAAAGAAAGAAAGAAAGAAAGAAAGAAAGAAAGAAAGAAAGAAAGAAAGAAAGAAAGAAAGAAAGAGAAAGAAAGGAAGGAAGGAAGGAAGGAAGGAAGGAAGGAAGGAAGGAAGGAAGGAAGGAAGGAAGGAAGAGAAAAAGAGAGAAGGAGAAAGAAAGAAAAAAAGAAAGAGAAAGAAAGAAAGAAGGAAAGAAGGAAGGAAGGAAGAGTTTTTCAGGATATAATTGGTTTATGTCACAGTTGGGATTAGTGCCCTTATAAAATAAGCCTAAGGGAGCTAGTTCACTCTTTCCACCTTATGAAGGTACAGCAAGAAGGTACCATCGATGAACCAGGAAATTAGCCTTTATCTGCTGACACCTTTATCTTGGACTTTCTAGCTTTTAGAACAGTGAGTAATAAATTTATGTTGCTTATAGCCACTCAGTTTATGGTATTTTGTTATAACAACGCAAATGGACTAAGATAAGAGCTAAATTCAACTTAATAAATATGTATTGAGCATCTATTATATTTGAAGTAATCAATTCAGATATTTGAGCATCTACTATATTTGAAGTAATTAGTTCAAATGGGTAATCCCATTTGATTAAGGAAATAATCCTTAGACTGGAATATTTAGCATCTAGTAGAAGGCACAGGTTAACACTTAACTCTTTGTTGAAGATGAGAATGTAATGTCTAGGTGGAGAATGAAAGCCCCCAGTAAAGCTGTGACATAGCAAAGCAGGGGGCTCTGGACTCAGGCTGCCTGGGGTTAAATCCTAGATTAGTGTGGCCTTGGTAAATTACTTAATTTATCTGGATTATTTGTTAAATACAAAGAATAATAGTATCTCTTCTTAGGATTCCTGAGTATTGAATAAAACAACACAAAAAGCAGTTACTTAGTAGAGATTGAGTGCTCAAATATTAGCTATTGGAGAAAGCCACATTATAAGTTAGTGAGTCAGTTTTCAATCTTTCAGTGTCACATCTCTGCAGCTCTCATTATTCACAGAGATAAAGGAATAGTGATGTCATAAACTGAAGAAATAAGAAATACCATACATGTCAGAGAAATTTATTTCAGCCTTATTTCTGTAAATTGGTTCTGATTTCTAATTAAACATTTAGGAAACAAAAGCAATTCCAAAGTTGGCATGGATGCACTGGATTCCTAAACCATTAGCAATTGATTGAATGAAGAAAGAAAAATAACACAAATTACCTCCATAGCTCCAATATTATCGCCACAAAAAAGAAAGCCCCAACAACCCCACAAATTGATTCAAACATCAAAACCCATAGTTTTAACTGAATGATAGGTGTGCATGTTACCCCATAACCTTTCTGTCTTGTGTCACTTTCTTCCTTGAACTGTGGTTGTTTGTCCTGAACCTTATCCCCCTGTTATGTGTAAATTCAATGTTTATTAAACAAACCAAATAGAGAAATGGAGTCAACAGCAAATAGAAAATGGAGATTATTTCTCCTACTTGAAAGAGTGCTGAGAGGTCTTTGGCACAAAGAAAACAAGGACTGATATGCTTGTAAGTGCATGTGTAGGCACAAAATGGTAAGCCTGGCCAAATCATTTTTATTTCAATGGGAATACCATATACAGGAAAGGGAAAATATACATGTGTCTTAGCCAGCACAATCTCCCTTGTTACAGAGAGATTTTAAAGTAAGATCAAGATCAAACAAAAGAACATTTAGTTCTAATCAGTCTTCCTGGGAATTCTAGTTCCACCCCAGATGATGCTTAAACAGCCCCAGTTCTCACCAAGAAACACCAAGGCCCCCATGGCCACCTCCCTGTTGTGTACAAGCTGGGAGGCAAGCTATTGAGATTCTTCTACCTGGTAACCGCTGCACTGGCCAACTTGGCTAAACTAGTTCTAGTGTAGATGCATCTGAGATATGACATTCAAAGAGAAGGCTTGAAATACAGACATTCTTTGAAGAAAAGGGGATATTGCTTTGTAGGAGTGAATCAAAACTCTTCCAGGGGACATAAGGAAAAAGAGAACGTGGGATTCTGGAACACTGAGGACCATTCAAACTCTAGATTACTGAGACTTTTGAGGAAACACTTTGTCTTTTGCTTATTTAAAGTTTTCACTTGAATGGCCTTCTAAGCCAAGGGTTAAGTAAAGTGGACAATCATTGCAAGAGAAATTAATTCTGGAATTTTTTTTCTGAATATTAGCCTCTGGTACCCTTCTTCCTCTCACATCTAAGTTCTCAAGTTCAAAGCATTAATTTGTTTGTAAATTGATCTACAAACTGAACTTTTTACCATATGCTGGACTAAACATAACAAAATAAAGTGAGCTTTTCACATCTCATTGCACTAAATAATGATATTAGTCCTAACTAAAAATAAAACTTCATTAAATATTTTTAGTATACATAAACGTTTAAAATCTCTATGTCTTTTTTTGCAAAGTATCTGAGACATTCTTAGTTTTTCTTCCCTCAGAGATTTCGAGTTCCGGTTGTGTGACTAGACTTCTGTGGAGGCTCAGTAGGAGTTATATAACAGTCAAGCTCCTTTGTTTAATACAGTCACCCTTTCCATGATGTAGTTAAGGATACCCTAGAAATTTTCCCTTCACCAATATGTCTCCAAGTAATTGCGTATCTATTGTTTTATCTCATTTGCTTTACCCAATTTCACTTACCCAGCATCTATGAGGTGCTTCCTATGTGCCAACTCTTACAGTATAAGGCAAGGTATGAGTTCAGACCAGTCCTCAAGAAGCTGAAAAAAGTAGCACCATTTGCTGCTTTTCCTCCAATTCATAAAGCCATTCAGACTCAAACTTGGCATGAAAAATAAAATACCTACCATATGTTCTCACTTACATGGACACATAGAGGGGAACAACACACACTGAGACCTACTGGAGGGTAGAGGGTGGGAGGAGGGAGAGGATCAGGAAAAATAACTAATGGGTACTGGGCGTAATACCTGAGTGATGAAATAATCTGTACAACAAACCCCCATGACACAAGTTTGCCTTTGTAACAAACCTGAACATCCTGCACGTGTACCCCTGAACTTAAAAGTTTTTTTTTTTTAAAAAAAAAAAAAGAAAGAAAGAAAAAGAAAAAGAAAATACCTAACAGAGATGCAGAGGCTCTCAATTATATAGTATTACTCACTTTGTGTTGACCTGTTTGGCTTAATATTATTTTGTTTGTTTGTGTATGTATTTGCTTTTGTGGAATTGCATTAGATTATTGACTTGCAGAGACAAATATGAATTGTAGGACATGTAGACTGTTTGGAAAATTTGTTTTAGGCATGTACCCACATGCAACTTGTTTCTTAATAAATAATTTATGATGATGTTAAAAATGCTGCTCCTTGAAAACACCAGGGTACAATATTCTTGCTTATATCTTTTTCGTAGAAATTGAAATCATTTAAGGGTAAACTTACCCTTAGCGGAATAAGTGCTACTGCAGAAGGAGAATTGTATTTTTCCAAATCATCTTCAATTAAACATCTACAAGTCCAAGATCACTGGCTTTATGAAGCATCAAAAAAAAAAAAAAAAAAAGTGTTGTTTGGCTTCTTCTGATAATGAATTACACAGACTCTCCCAGATTTTTTTTCCTATTTCTTTTGCTCAGAAAATCCTGTAATTTTTTTCTTTCCATGTTGTGTTTCCCCAACAAGTATAAAAGGCACTCTATTTCAAAAAACAAAAACTGAGATTAAGTCTCAGTCACATCACATACTGCATATGTGCTCTTAGGGAGCCACTTACCATTCTAAGACTCAGTTTCCCAACCTGTGAAATGAGCAGAGCATGCCAGTGCTGCCTGTCTCCCATGGTTGCTGAGACCAAGCCATAGGATGCCCTATGTGTACAATGGTTTTTTACTGGAGCTGAATTTTAAAGATTATTATTTAAAGAAACATGACATAAATAAGCAGACAATACACAGAATGAAAAACAGCATACTCAAAGGCCCCTTTACAATTTCCACCCCTACATATAAAATACCTGCAGCATTATTTGGAGTTGCAGAAGTAATAAAATAGAGTAATACTGATCACTTTTTGAGCTCTTATTGTAAGAGAGGCACAGAACTAAGTTCTTTGCATGGATTATCTCATTGAATTTTTACCTATTTCATAGTACCATTATTACTTTTATTTTACAGAAGTGAGAATTATGACTTGAGAGGTTAAATATGTTCATGGGCACACCAGGAATGTCAGCCATGGCAGTCTGACTCCTGAGCCCAAACTCTTAATCATATTTTTAGGTATGAGGAGGCTGTAAGGCAAAATTCTATCTTGAATCCAAAGTCGAGTTTCTAAGCTCTTGGTTTAATGTATAGCATTGAGAGCCCAAGGGGAGAGCTGGAGTTCGCAGCTTTAGGCCTCATTTATTTGTCAGCACACAAGAGCACATGGAAAGGGCACAGAGACAAGTGGTGCTCAGACGAGCATGAACATCAGACAGGACATGTGACAGTGGCCAACGACAGAAACAACTTGTTAGCTGAGTCCTGGTGTCAGACCTGCCAACCACACTCCCACATCATGAAGAGAAAAGTCCAATAATCACCACGTCATGGTACCTAAATGCACAAGAGCAAATCAAGCTATTGTGAAGAAAACTATTAAATTAGAGGCTAGAGAAAATATATTAATGTATAACAGCTCAGCACTGTTAGCAATAATCTTTGCTACCCTCAGAAGTCCATATAGGACAGGTGCTATGAAAAGGGTGATCACTCTTCCCAGCCATACGTGGGGGTGAGAGAGCTTCTTTCCCCTCACTGGGCCCTCCCCAGGCATGGGCACTTGGCCAGCCTGTTTCTGCTCAGGTTTGGGCTTCACTGTGTCCTCAACACCGAGGTGAGTAGCTCTTAGGTCTCCCCTGGTCATACTGGGAGCTTACTCCCTTTCTCTCCCTCCTGAACTGACGCAACAAAACCGAGCTTTGAATATGAGCATATTGCTGTTCCGAGAGCAACACAGGGGATCCTTGGCTTTCTTAGAACCAATATAGCTTCACATGTAAGTGCACTGAATCCAACCAGGCATTCCCTTTTCTTCTGTAGTAAAGATGCCTCTGAGCCTCCTCGATTGTGTATGGGGTTAAGACTCAGCACTGGGTTCAGGCTGGCACTAACAAGCCCGCAAACATCCTCAGAGCAGAATGGAGGAAGACACAGGTGAAACAAATCAAACAGAACAATCGGGGTGAATTTTCAGTGTGACCCAGCATGGAGATTTCCTGGCGGGATTTCCATTAACACGAATGGGACTAAATCCCTACACACTGTGTGGAAAATGTGCCTCTAAGTGCTCTGCAGCATTATGCCTGAGGGAACAAAAACACAAACTACCCAAACTAGGTGAAGTATTCCTGGGGCTGAGATTCTCAGATTCACTGCAAAAGGTGTCTCAAGTCATAACTGTCCTGGGTGAGAAAAAATGGACCCCCACTCGGCTGGACACTGTGCACTGAAAATAGGAGGGCTCTCCAGTACCTGCCCAGTGCTGCCTCTCCTTGACACAGACTTTGATTTTGAGTAGATCTGGTGTTCCACGCAAATGGCCTGTGTTTGCTAAAATGATTTCCCTCCTGCCCCGATTACCTGAAATTTCAGTAAACCTTAGCATTTCATCATGCCTACTGGAACCACAAACATAGAGGATGATAGTGCATGATTCATTTTGATGTGGTTTTATGGCCTCTACAAAGTAAACGTTGCAAAGGGATCTTACCTTAGGATCAAAGAAAATAGTCAAGAAATCACTTAGCTTGCCCACTTTCATGGAGCAATTTTCTTTCCATAGCATCCATAGGGTGGTTCTGAAACACAAGTCTGATCACGTTGCTTGACTTCTGAAAAATCTTCACTGACTTCCTTATTTCTCTAAAACAAGGTTTAAGCCTCTCTGCAAATTATTTTTCTACTTCATGCTCCACTATATCTCTCCATGTATTCTATGCTCTGAGTGTATTTTTCTATTTGCCCTTCCTCTAAATGAAGTCACCTCTGGTTGACCTTACTCATATTGTTCCTTCAGGCAGAATAGCTCCCCTCTAGGGATCCCTGTCCTCTATCTACTTACTCTTCCAAGTCAAGGTTGTATGTGTCATCTTCTTCATTAAACATTTCTCATATCAACTTAACCACTTACTCCACCATGCAATCTCTGGACCTGTATTGCAGAATTCATTGAATTCTGTTGCCAGGCACCTTAATTTCTATTACAGTTTGTTCTTTTCCTTTCTGTTTCCTCAAGTACAGTGTAATCTCCACAAGAGCTTTCCTAATCTTTGTATTCTCCACAATGCCTTGCATGTAGGAGGTTCTTGATTAACGAGTGAAAGTTAGGGGTTTCCCTACTCCCTCTTATCTTAGTAGCAAGTTTTCAGCCGGGCGTGGTGGCTCACACCTGTAATCCCAGCACTTTGGGAGGCCGAGGAGGGCAGATCACTTGAGGTCAGTAGTTCGAGACCAGCCTGGTCAACATGGTGAGAGCCCATCTCTACTAAAAGTACAAAAAGTTAGCTGGGCATGGTGGGGGGCGCCTGTAATCCCAGCTACTTGGGAGACTGAGGTGGGAGAATAGCTGGAACCCGGGGGGCAGAGGTTGCAGTGAGACAAGATTGCACCACTACACTCCAGCCTGGGTGACAGAGTAAGACTCCATCTCAAAAAACCAATCAATCCATCAATCAATAGAAATAAAAATAAATAAAAAATAAAAATAAATACCCAGTTTTCTGTCTCCTATAGGTCATGGTGATGAAGACGCTAACTAAAACAAAGTCATTACCAATACTCCTCTAGCTGTTCTTTCACACATTTAACAAACATTTATCAAATACCTCAAATGAGTCAGGGCACTGTACTGGGGGCACAGACGTGAGTAGGACACGGTCCCTTGCCCTAGAGCAGCTTGCAATCTAGACAGCAATGTAATGATGGCTAAGTGTTAAGGAGCCTCACTCTGTGTGATCAAGTTTGTTACAATCGTGTCTGCACAGAAAGGATGTGTTCAGGGGAATGTGACATTCAGGGGCTTTTCTCCTAATGGGCAGGTGCCTTAATAGCTGAGTTGTAACATCAGGCAACAGCCTACTCATCAAGAAGTAAACTTGGCAGGGCCAGGAAAGATTGTGAAATGAGGCAAAGTGTGTCTTTGATATTAGGCTATCTCCCTTCTTGTCCTTCACCCCAGCTCCCTAAAACTCACCACCTGCTCCCTGCCCTTCCACTCTCCAATTTACAAGGCGATTAGTCTATTAATCTTTGATACATTTATTAAGTAAGATGGACTGGCTTAAGTTTCTCTTGGAGAAGGTTAAAGAAGGGAGCATGGCTCTATAGAAAGAGTGCAGGCTTTGGAAACTGACATCCCTCGATTTTGAGCTTCAGCAATTCTTATCTGAGTCACCTGGAAAAAATCATTTAAACTCCCTGAGCTACATTTTCCTCCTTGTGCAAGTTTCTTAAACTCTACAGTCCTCAGCTGCTTCTTCTATAAAATTAAGATATTAACACTTACCTGGCAGGGCTATTTTAAGGATTAGAAATATTGTATATAAACCGCTTAGGCCACACGTGGTAGACACTAAAGCATGATAGTTATTAATCGATTCTTTAAAGGGGGTTCTTGTAGAGATACAATAACTTGTTCAAGCACTGGTTTTGCTAGTGGTGGAAAGTCAAGGCAGAGTGACAAGCAAATAATGAAAATGTGTGAGGGCCACAAATGGTGAGCTCTGAGTGTCCCACGAGTGCCCCTGGGGTGGCTATGGGTCTAACCCACAGGTCATGGGATAAATGGGGTGCTGTGAGTTCCCAGCTCTGCCAACGATATTAGCATGGGAATCCGGGTAAGTTGCTAATCTTCTTGCCTCAATTTCCTCCTGTTTAATATGTATCTTGAGATCACCTCCCCTGACAAGGCAATTTTGACTAATGTACAGTCAAGCTTCGAGCTCCTTGGCTGCAGTGGGGCCATAAAAGCCACGGGTATTACTATTCAATTCAGGGCTCCTGTATCTGCTGTGAGACTCAAAGCAGTGGTGTTCCTTCCCCCACCCTCCTTGTAATATTTGGTTTCTTTGAGTTGCTTCATCAGAAGAAATACTGAGTTCTCCATTTCCCTGGCTCACTTTCCCACTGACGAGGGTGATGTTAACACCAAGTCCCAAATCACAGCTAGATCAATATTATAACAGCTGTGAGAGAAGGGCACTAGCCCTAGAACACAAACACACTTTCTTTTCCAAGAAAGACTGTAGTTCCCTTAGTGTTAACTTCCCCCTGTTCCCCTCGTTGCCTCCCCCACCCTCCCCTCCCCTTCTGCCACCAGCACGACCCAGATCACATTAGAGTCCCAGAGCACAGGGAACAGTTCTCGTCTATCCGTCACCAAGGAGGCAGACGGGACAGGGGGAACAACAAGTCATTTGTACCTGATGAGGAGGACACTCCTGGGAAACAAACAGATGAGCCACCCCATGAATCTGAGCCATTCTCCGAGGTAAACAGAACTGCATGAGAAACCACCAACTATCTCCAGCATCGCCCTTCCCTCGCTCCCTGCCCTCTGGCAGCCAGGTGGGGGACATGAAACTGTAGCTTGGACCAATATCTGATTCTGAGAAAGTTAACCCTCGCAAAGGTGATTTTCTTTTCCCTCAGTCTCCTGGAATTGAATAACCACTTTCTATTACCTTTCTGTAAATAATGTTTTTATTTGAGAAGTATGTGTCCATAGAAAATAGATAAAACTAACTTTCAGAATGTGACCTAGTGTTTGGATAGGGAGTGCCAATTACTATGCCAGTTAGTGCATAGCAAAGAAGAAGTACTTTGAAACATTTTTAGGGTACTTTTCTTAAAACACACCCCGACACACATCAAAACAAAACAAAACTGAGAAACAGTTGCTTCCATGAACTGTTACAAGACAATTGGAATGTTGATTAGATCCCACAAAAGCATTCTAGGACACAAACCCAGTGGAGAATCCGAGTGTGTTATCACAAACAACTGCAGTTTGTTGTGAATACTATTATTATCTCCTAATTCTACATATTGTAATAGTGAATATTAATACTGATGATGGCTGAAGAATTGGGTCTGCAGGTCAGGTAGCCTGCCCTAGTGGTAGAAAACACACACTGGGCAATGCCACTTTATAGAAAAATGTTATCTATGATCAGTAAAAGAAAAAGAAAGTGAGTGACATGGTAGGTAAGGATTCATAGACAGACGTTTAGGAAAGGCAAGCCTGGCACCCCAAACTAGCATAAAGCCCAATTTCTATCATTTTAAAATATGTGTTCTTTTTAAAAAACATGAAATGTATGCTTGAATTTGGCAAAATATGAGCAACCATAAGAAAATTGAAGGGACTATTTTTATCTTGTATTGAAATACAAGTGAATTAGTGCCTACACCAAACATGGCATTAGAAAATCACGTGATAAAGTTTTATTTTATTCAGTGTGTTCCTGAATTACTGGCCTAAAAATTACTGCCCTACCCCAAGAACATAACATAGAACTAGTCCCTTGATGTCTACTCTGCGGAAGCCAAACAGATAAGCTCTTCTTCTTTGGTAGGGCCTGTCCTCTGGTCTCCCCTGTCCCATGAAGGAAGGTGAGGAAAGATAGGTTAGGATGCATGAGTCCAATCAACACAAAAGAGAGCAAATCCCTTAGGACAACCACCAAGAAAAATCAAAGAAGAGATATCACCTAGCAACTTCTTATAGAACAGATGAGCTGCTCCTATGTTAGTTTTCAAAAAGTCACTAATAATTACATTGGACCTCCAATCAACTATTAACACTAGTAAGAACAGGAAAGAGGAAGAAAGAATGAACTAATAGTTTTTAGGCATTTATTTTATGTTAGGCATTAGGCTTTACATGTATCATTTTACTTGATTTGCCTAACATTTCTTTAAGGGAGGCATTATTCTAGACAAATAAATTGAGGCACAGAAAAATTATGTAACTTGTCTTCTGAGGTTTACATATGTTTAAATTTTTTAGAAAACTCAGAAAACTAGAAATCCTAAAGGACGTCATTTAGAGTTTTGCATTCCTTGAGGATCCTTACAACTAATGATTTGAAAACTCATCCTATACTTTTTCAGAGAATAGAATGTAAGTCATTCTACAAGCATTCAAAAAAATTGAGTGTCAGGAATTCTAAAGGGTGTTCACTTGTTTGATGCATTTTTAATGTATATAGAACATGGAAGAGTGAATTACCCATAATAAAACTTGTTCATTCACCTTTTTTTTTTTTTTTTTTTTTTTTTTTTTTTTTGGTTCTTAGATGGAGAAAATAAGTAGAAGGACTCAGGGTAGTGAAATGTAAAAACCACTTGTATAAGCTTCCACCCATGGAGACACTCTAGAAAAGAGTAAGAGGAAAATCGCCTCTCAAGGAAATGTCACTGTCACAGGAGAAATGAAAAAATACCCTCTGGCCTGGAGTCAGGAAAACTGGGTTCGAGCCCATTGACTCTTTTAACTTCCTGTGTGACCTCAGGCAAATCTCTCCACTTCCCTGAGCCTCAGTTTTCTCATCTATTAAAAAAAAAGGAATTGAGCCCTAGGTTGTCCTTGCCATGCTACTTTTTAATTCCAACACACTATTACTCCCTGAGAGGTAATATTAATAGCTATGTCCTGGTTCGGCTATTTATGCCAAAGTGGTTTAGGTCAGTGGTTCTCAAACTTTAGGGAATCGACTGGAGGACATGTTGAAACTCAGATTGCTGGGCTGCTGCCCCGCAGTTTCCAAAACAGTAGGTCTGGGGTGGGGGCTCTGAATTTATATTTCTAAGTTCTCAGGTGATATCGATGCTACTGGTGGAACCACACTTTGAGAACCACTGATTCAGGACTTGAAGGCTTTTCAGTAGATTAAAGATAAATGTAAGAACCTATCAAGGTCAATTCATTCTAGTAGGCTACCGACTGCACTTTTTTTTTTTTTTTTTTTTTTAGACAGAGTCTCGCTCAGTCGCCCAGGCTGGAGTGCAGTGGCGAGATCTCGGCTCACCGCAGGCTCCGCCTCCTGGGTTCAGGCCATTTTCCTGCCTCAGCCTCCTGAGTAGCTGGGACTACAGGCGCCCACCACCACACCCGGCTAATTTTTTTGTATTTTTTTAGTAGAGACGGGGTTTCACCGTGTGAGCCAGGATGGTCGCGATCTCCTGACCTCGTGATCCGCCCTCCTCAGCCTCCCAAAGTGCTGGGATTACAGGTGTGAGCCACTGTGCCTGGCCACTGAGTGCATTTTTAAGTTAACCTAAAATATTCTAAAAATATCAGACTGGATGTCAGAGCTGGGGGAAACTCCTCTGATCGGGAAGAAACATATTTTCCTATATTCTAGAAAGGTATCCTCTAAAAGATGGGTGGCTATGTTTGCCTTGGATATATCTTTCTGGACCTATTCTACCAGACACTTTTGAGACTGTTTAAAAATTAACAAAATCAGCTGGGCCAACATGGTGAAACCCTGTCACTACAAAAAAGTGCAAAAATTAGCCGGGCATGGTGGCATGACACCTGTAATCCCAGCTACTCGGGGGGCTGTGGCAGGAGGATTGCTTGAACCTGGGAGGTGGAGGTTGCAGTGAGCTGAGATTGCACCACTGCACTCCAGCCTGGGCGACAGAGAGAGACTCCATCTCAAAAAAAAAAAAAAATTAACAAAATCACATTTGTGCAGAAGTGGGATGAGTGTATTCAGGCACTGGCTCTGGTCAGGCTTCTAAGTTTGGGGAGCCATAAGCCAAACCTCTCCTTCTCTGTCTAGGTTCTGACCTACCCCAGCGACCTACCACAGACAAATTCCTGAAGTCAATATCACACAGTGGAGTCAGGCTGCCTACTTTCTATTCCTTAATACCTAACAACTATTCCACCTTTAACCTCTCATACCTCTTTATCTCATCTGTAAAAATGAAAATGTTAGCCTCATAGGATTGTCATGAGGATTAAATGAAATAATACACCTTAAGCACTTAGAATCTCTGGCACACAGTACATGCTCAATAAACGCTAAGTTGTTATTTCACTCCTTACCAGAGAATATAACCTTAAACTATCTACTCTCCACCTCTGAACAAATGTACAAGTATGACATAATCAAGGAAAATATTCAAGGACAGGTCAAGAAAAGAGCATCAAGGATGGGCTGCCCATCCATTTCCCTAAATCAAGCCATCATCACAAAGGCTACATGCTTAGACCACACTTTGTTTTGGGGGCTGGGAGTCCCCAAATTGTGAAACTGCTTTTACTAAATTTAACTTTGGCCTTAGTCAAGTCCTGAGAGACAGCATGAGAAGTAGTTAAATGTAACTCACTTTGAGGTAGAGATAGGAAAATGTCTTTTTCATTGCACCTTGTCCTCTTTAGGAGGATCCACTAAACTCATTTCTCCTGAGCAATGTTTTATTGTTGTTCCCTTCGTATTTTTATATGTTCTTATATTGTATTTTCCTCTTGTTTTTAGTCACCAGTAAGCTAAGGGCTAAATCTGTGCCTGCCTCCACTATTGTATAGGACATAACAGCATGTGTTCATTTGTGCCCTGGTTTTTTTCCTTATCTACACTTGACTTACTCTTCCAGCTTGATTTTTCTTATCTCTTTATCACTTGGAGTTGCATGTATTTTTTCAGCCTTTTCCAAGATATTTCGGATAGAGTCAAGGCATAAATGAGTTAATAGATTAAATGATTCAAATCATATAAGGCTACAGAGAATTATCATATTTTAGAAATTTAGTGTCTGGTGAGGCAATATCCTCTTAATTTGATTTATAGTTTAACATTGGGATAGAACATGTTTTTATCCAATGAATGTTTTAGTAATCTTTATCCTTATCTTTCCATAAGGAGAATTTTTAGAAGATTATAGCTTTAAGATACGGAATACTTAATAGAAAGAAGACCTCATAAAATAGTGCACACTTCACAAAGACAGCATAAATCCCATTCAGCCTCATGAAATGTATGTATGTCTCAATGATGTAAGGCCTTGCTCTTGCCTGTTGGGAGGGAATGGAAGACTGGTCAGTCTCGTGACCTCTCTGGGAAGATGATGATTTAAGGAAACCTGTGATGAACCATTTTTATAAAGTGAAATAACCTTTGGCAATTTGTACATGAACCTTCCTGCCTACCACTGTACCCCTACCTACTGGGTGAAACAGTTTTTAGAGTCTAGGATTTTGTGCCTTAGGCTTTCTCAGAGTAAGACCCACCATTATAAATAAGTCAAATTCAGAAGCCTCAGCCCTCGAAGTGAAGCTCAATTTTCTTTTTGTGTGGATGTTGTTTCATGACATGGTATGATTAAATTGCTGTCAATGAAGCAATAATCCCTCTGGGAATTCCAGTGACAAAATCCTTTAGTGAGCTCTCCAATTCTCACATCTAACAGAAAGACACAGGCCCTGATCCCGAGGAGCACTGAGTGCTGTCCAGCTGCTAGAACTGGCCAGTGCTGCATCTTCATTGCCCTTCCTCTGGTTCAGTTCCCTGTCCAGAAGTCCAGGGAGTGACAGCTGTGTTTGGGCACCGCGTAGCAGGCTCCAGAGGGGCCTGCACTGCAAAACCTCCCTGCCAGGGCTCAGTGGGGAAGGCACTTCTTATCACAGCAGATTTCCATCCACCTGTTTCCTTGGCCTTCCTCTCTCAGCAGAGTATACTATACAGCTTTTTAATTTTGTGGGTGAGAAGGTTCTTGGGACCTTTTTCTTATTCTTCCCTAAGTTTCTCATCATTTTGGATCAGCATCTCCCTACTCCTTACTGGGATTCTCCTATTTCATCCATGCCCACCATATTGCCTTTCTTTCCCACAGAACAATATTTGTATTTTCAGAGGGCTGAGTTTAATTTTGAGGCAAAAAAATTATACAGTCTTCAAAAGATGTCTATGATTATGAAATTCTCACCATGTTGTAACTCAGATTTTTCTTAAAATTAAAAAGTATACATTTAAAATGTTCATGTTTTTCCAGCAATCAATCTTAGCATCACTAAAGATAACCTGATATGATATGCCTCCTGGGAAATGCAATACATACATTGATTCACCTAATTTTTTTCCTTCCATCATGGTATTACTTATGTACTGTAAAAGTCAAAGTAGTTCAATGAGTTTTGAAAAATCTATGCA
The DNA here is from genome assembly GCF_000001405.40 of Homo sapiens. NCBI lineage: Eukaryota > Metazoa > Chordata > Mammalia > Primates > Hominidae > Homo > Homo sapiens. Next base: position 182,277,405 of record NC_000003.12, read on the forward strand.
CCCATACTACTGTCCCCAAATCAAGATACAGAACTTTTCCATCACCTCAAAAATTCTCCTGTGCCCCTCTGTAGTGAATCAGCATCCTCTGGACCCAAAGTCATATGTTCTGATTTCTAACATCATAGATTAATTTTGCAGTTTCTTGTACTTCAAATAAATGGGATCGTATCGTGGGTACCCTTTTGTAAATGGCTTCTTTCTCTCAATATAATGCTTTCAAGCTTTATCCATATTGATGGGTGCAACAATTAGTTACTTCTTTTTAATGCTAGTATTCCATTGTACGAATATTTTACATTTTGTTTATCCATTCTCTTCTTGGCAGATATTTGGATTGTTTCCAGTTTGCAGTGACTGTAAATTAGGAGTGATTGCAAAGAAAGCTATTATGGACATTCTTGTAACAAGACTTTTATTGTGGCCATGTGATCTGATTTTTCCTGGATATATATGTAGAAGTAGAATTGTTAGGTCTTCTCTGAAATATTCCTGCCAAAAAATGTCTCTAATTTATATCAAGGAAGGCCTATAGGCCCAACTTTCAGTTTACAGGAAACAAAGAATAGAAGAAAAAGTTAAATCACCACAAGAAAACAATGACATTTTATATGACAATTGGCCTGCTCTCCAGCAAGTTAGTGTCATGCAAAAAAATACGTGGGAGGGGTTGAGGGGGAGAGGAGAAAGGGTGGTATTGGTTTGGATTCTAAGAATTATAAGAGTCATCATATCCAAATGTAATGTGTGGTCTTAATTGGATCATGGTTTAAACAAACCCAGCTATAAAATATTTATTGGATAGATTATGAATTGGGTTTTAGGCAATATTAGGAAATATTTGTTAATTATATTAGTCGTGATACTGAAAAATTGTCATTATACAGAAAGTATTCTTATTAAACACTTAAAGTGTCTAGAGGTGAAATGTAATGTCTGTAATTTACTTGGAAAAACTTCAGCAGAAAAAAGCATATGAGGCAAATGTTAAAAATTATTAAATCTAAGTGATGGGTACATGGGTGTTGGTTACACAATTCTCTTTTCTTTTACCGTGTGTTTGAAAATCTTCATAATAAGAGGGAAAATTATTTTTGATTATATTAAGTATAATTGTTATATTTGGCTCCAGTAATTTAATTTTTTATCTCCATCCTGTTTTAATCCATAGAAAATAGGCTCTTTTATTTGTTCACTATATTTCTCCTAGTTTAACTCAGTAGATGGCAAAATAGAGAGCCAGTGGGGCTACAGTAACATCTTAAAATAAGTTCCCATTTAATAAAAGCCCTACTTATAATACTATCAACATAATTGACAATTTCTTAGACTAGAGATCATTATCCAGTGAGCCATAGCAAGTTGTGAAGCAGGGACAGAATAATAGATTTAGATTTCAATTTATGAAGCCCTTTGTAAAAGCTGCAGGAATTGGAAACATTAAAAATTTTCAAGACATCTCTACCTGTCTCTCTAACATGCTGCAACACTGTAGAAAGTTTATTTTACATGAGCAATTTCTGTTCACAATATTCTAATTATGAGTATCAAATGGAGCTTCACCTTCCACCACCCCAGTGATTCATAGCATTCGTGTCAGCTAAGTTAAACTCTGTTTTGTCTGGTTAAAATGATTTGGTATTTTGCACAAACAGATCACAACTTCTTTCCTCCCCATTCATAAAGGAAGTCTCTCTTCCTCCCCTCAGAGTGGTATTCATGCAGGTCAGCCCTTCTGCTCTCTTCACCAGCTGTTTTGCCCTCTTTTCCTCAAATGTATTATCATCGTTTCACTGCATTCTGCTATTTTAAATCAAGAGAGCCCCACAGTCAAGGACAGCATTACTCTTTTCCACCTAGTGCTTTCCTTAATGTTTGTTGAAGAAAGACACTTACTAGTGATTAAAACAATAGGAATATGGAGAAAGAACATGATTTAAGATAAGCATTTGTTCAGGGACATTTCTTAGGGCTCAGATCTTGTGTATAGGTCTGTGGTGGGGATTGCAGGATGTGGAATGGAGTATACTAGAAAGGATGGTGTAAATTCAAAAGACACAAACATTGAGTTGTTTTATTAGCTGCTCTGTGACCTTGGGCAAGCCACTTAACATTTCTTAGCCTCAGTTTCCCCAACTGCTCAGTGAGGAGTTCAGATCAAATTATTCCAAGATTGTATAAGTTCTAATATTTAACAACTGCTTTTAAAACCTTATAAGTCTGTTATAGATAATAAGACATTAACTGTGCCATTATTAGATGAATAACATATAATAGGAGAAAAGCTCTCAACCATTAAGAAAATATTTGATTTAAAACTATGAAATGTTTATCAAAAAAAGTTGGAGAAAACTAATGTTTCCAAGAGATATAATATAGCTAATAAATATGCACAAAATACTGCTTTTGTCTTCTATTGACAAGAGAATGAAGATGGAGTCCCTGATGAAAGATAATAAGCAGATCTGTTGGATTTCTCTGAACAGCAAAAGGTCCCATAACAATTTGGGAAATTTAATCAGTGAGCAAGACCATATCAAGTCAAATGCATTTTTGCCGAAGCACGAGAGGTAAAAATAGGATCAACCAAATTCACATTCAGATGTATCATTGTAGCTGCAAGTGCTTTCCCCCCATAGGTCTGCTTTCATCTCTCACCTATTTGTATTCACTAATACTCTCTCATTGTCCTTAATTTTTCCCCAATTATTTTTTTTTATTAAAAACAGACACAACAGATTAAGGATGTAAAGTTGAATAGCACAGCGCATTAGTCAAAACAGACCTTTGAAATGGCACACAATAGTTCCCCAAGGTGGTTTGTTTTATCCCCTTTCAGAGTTGGGCTTCTCCCTCACTCCACCTTTCCTGTCTTAGTCAGGCTTTGTACCAACCAACTCCCCTCAGCTTGGACCAGGTAGGGTCAGCTGGAGGTGAAGCCCTAGTGAGGTGATGGGAAAAAGCACAGTCTGGCTCGGGATGGGACTCTCTCATGGTATCATTTAGAGGTCATGGTTTTTACCCTAGCAGATTTTCATAGGGTCCTTCATTAAAAATTAAGATTCTACTACATTACAGAACAGTTTGGCAGGCTACTAGAAATTGCCATAAATAATTTATCAGCTCGTCCATTCTGATTTCTTCCAAATACTATCTTTGTTATTTTTAGCACAAAGGAAATCATATCTAACTATTGAGTTCAGTGGAGATGGAAGAAAATGCCACCAAGTATAGCATTTAACCAAATTATGGGAAAGCATTTTAATTATCTTCATATCTTATTATATCAATAAATGATAGACAATATATGATTGAATTTAGTGGTGTGGACCCTGTACTTAACAGGAAAATGTCATTTGAATTAAAAGAAAGCAGACTATTGAAGCTCCAGGAAGGATTGGCTGAAATAGATGATCCCTAAATTATATGACTCAATTCAACCAACATTAATTGAGCCCTCTTATGGTGTACAAAATAAGTGAGTCAAATTCTTCTCCATATAGACCTCTCAGTGTAGCAGATATTGCTGAATAAATTGACTGGTTGGAATACAAATTGCACATTCCCATGAGAATGATATAATCTATGTAATAAAGGTCAGATCACAACAAAACCCCTTAGCCCATACTGTGAATTTCATCTAGAATTCTCAGAGTTGTTTGGAAGCCTCACACTGAACGACTCTGTTTCCATCAGAAAGATAATTCTTTGATTCAACTCAGGACAGAAAGACATTTCCTGTAGGGGTGTTTCTACCACCTTTCCTGGCAAGTGCAGTAAAGATGGGAGAACAGTGGTTGAGGCTGGAACTAAAGAGGAAGTAGAAAAGTGAAGTGGCTGTGGGGCCAGTGTGTATTCATGGTGATCCTGGTGGCAAAGGCAAGAGGCGTGGGTGAGCTCCAGTCATGGAGAGGAGTCAGTCAGTAGGGCTGATTATGTAGGGATAGCACATGCCTCCCAAGCACTAGTCTAGTAGAGGGGTTTGAAGGGGTTATACTAATAAAAACAAAATAGTGTTCATCTGCCTGGATCTCTACCCACAGAATAGTGGCAACTCACACTCAAGATGTTTTGTGTGCTCTAGAATACAGGTTCCACACCACAAAGGGCTGCCCATTCTGGTCTCAACAATGACTAGACTAAACACCCCTGTGTACCAAGTCAACTCCTCTGCCACTATGACTCTTTTCTGCTTGTAACACTAGCTATGTGGGTCCCAGATGACACCAGGAAAACCATCAGTGCCTTCTGATGTGTAGCAAAACCTCTAATCCTTGATTTAATTTGGCTTCTAGTAGTCTCAGAAGTATAGAGAAAAAGATACCAAGCCACATCCTCCTGCCTCCATTACACTCTGTTAGTGGGCTCACAAGGCAGTTCTGACTTACATTTCTTAGCATTAGGCTGCAGTAATTCAGCTATATTAATACATCTTCCCTGTTAAAGCAGCAGTATGAAGCCGAAGCCAGAAAACAATCTGAGTAAGATACAGAATGATACACCATTGTTACTGGACCCATTCTGTAAATCTCATTCTCTTAGTTTGTGAAGTTTCCTTCCATGAGATTCCTCATTCTCTCCTCTTAAGAAATCTCTGATGGCCTGTCCTGCCAACCTCCAGACCATATCTAAGTTTGTATCAGTATACAATACCTGAGGTCGTTGCTCCAGGATCCTTGTTAAAAATGAACAGTTTATGAGTTTGTGTTTATAAGACAGGGAATTCCTTCATACAAGTATTTCATAAAAGAATAACAATGTTCAGAACATAAATTGAATTAAAAATGTTTTGTTTACTAACATATAATCATGTTCTAAACTCCCTGGAGCACAACTTCATGAAGTTGTTCCAGTTTTCTGTTTTTTTAACTATTTCTAAGTCTTACTGGAAAGGATAAAATGGGCTATTTAGGGGACTGTTAGGAGGGATGGAAAGAGAAAGAGTGCTTCAAGAATGTCATAGGGTGTGGCAAAGAGATAGAAAGGGGGTGTCAAACCAAGACTGCCTTAGAATTATGCTACCTACAAGCTACGGGCACCAAGAGCAACTCCGGTGGCTATGCATGTATAATTGCTTCAGCAACAATCTCAATAATCACTAACACTGGCATGGTGCTTACAGTTAATGAAATAAGAGCACATTCATTATCTCACTTAAACCCCACAATAACCCAGTGAAGTGATTTATTATTATTCCCAGTTGACAAATGAAAAACTGAGCTTAAAAAGACTAAGTAACTTGTCCCAGATTTTCCCAAGTAGGAAAGAAAGCTAAGGCCCAAACCGAGGTTTTCTAAGATTAAATCCCATTATCTACCCATTGGCACATACTGCTTCCATGTTCATTCATGGACATTCACTCCACAATTTCTCATTAAGGGCCTACTTAGTGCTAGTTACTGTTCTAGACCCTTAGGGGAAGGATGTTTAAAAATGAGCACCCTCAGAAGATTGTCTTTTTAACTTAACTTTTTATTTTGAAGTGATGGCAGCTTCACAGGAAGTTGCAAATAGGAAAAAAAAAAAGAAAAAAGAAAAAACTCAGGGAACTTTTTACCCAGATGGGAAAATAATGTTTATCCATAGGTGTCTACAATGCAGCCCAGAATGCGTTCTTGTTCTATGCTAACAGAGGGACTCTAGGAAGATTTGGGCAGGAGTGATCATATTTGGGTAATTGGGTAAGGCTTGCTTAAAGAAGAGGAATTTGGATTGACCTGGAAAAGATGAGTATAATTTCTATAAACACACACAGAAGTAGACGGGAAAAGCATTCCAGGGACAGACACTAACTTGGGCAAAGATACAGAGATGGGAAAGTGCAGGGCAGGTTTAGGAAAATAGAAAATGTCCAAGGGGGAGAAAAAGTATATTTTTAATAAGCTTAAATTCCAAGCTATTCTCTATGGTGTGTTCTGTTTAAAGGTCAACATGAATGGAGAGAGATGGACTTAGCCCCTTTTCTTGAACATCCACAGGGGTGGCTCAGAACTCTCAGGGCTAAGAAAGCTACAGCTTTGTATTTCTCTGGTACAGAAATCCAAAGGACTTTTATTTGTAGAATGAAGAAGGCATTCTCAAAGTTTTTCTTAGAAAAGTGATACAGTAAGGATGAGCAGATACTTAGTAAACTAAGTAAAAATGGGTTTCCAGAATGCTGTTTCTCCTTTTCCTAATTCAGACCAGTATATTTTCTGTCTTTTCACTTACCCACCTAACCTAGCCTTGCACCAAAACAGACTTAAGGTTCTTACAATAATGCACACAATTCAGCAATATAGGTTAAATTAAAAATAAAACGAGGCAAATATATTTATCAAAGGGATGCTGTGCAGATATTGTTCATTCCATTACTCAGAACCCTTTCTAAGAACAGCTAAAGGAGATATTTCTTTCTGGTCTCTTTATCTACATTTTTGTTCTTTGTTTGAAAAATTGATTTGTTTTTATTTTTATGTATATACTGAATCTTATAACTAACAGTGTTTCCTTCCTTTTATTGGCTTCTAGAAATGGCAGAGCCGAATTTGTGCCTTACCTTTAGGAAATATAAAAAAGATTTCATGGCTTAAATTTTGTGCATCAACCTCACTTTTGGCTCTATAGCCATGAAAAATGTTTTGCCCTCTGATCAATCTAAAGTTAAGAAACATAGAAAGTATGCTAAGTTATCTGTGTAGGTTTTTTTCTTAAGAAAATTTGCAAGAGTGTTTTCAAGCAGGACAAATATAATTTCACTAGGAAAATAGAATTTGGATATCTCCACTATGAAAAGCTGTAGTTGAGTCAGAAAATAGCAAATCCATTGTGTCCCTTTTTTTAAAACAATCAATCTTTTTGAATTTTCCCCAACAATTCCCCACCCACACCTCCACCTCACCCCAAATAGTCTTCAAATAAGCATTTGGGAAAAAAGTATTAATAATAAAGCCAATCTCTTCAGGCACTTTCACACATACAGCACCACTGTCAGGTTGAGAGTCTTCAATAAAATATTTTTAGTATGTACATTATATAACACTGTCTCCATAGAGAGCCAAACCACAATACCTTGTTCAGAATAGGTGCTTAATAAATACTTGTTAATTATATTTAATGTGTGTGTGCATGCCTGTTTACATTGGACCCACCGATAAAAAGGATTTTTGTATTGCAAGCAAAATACAAAAATTTATTTACAATCACTCAATGCTATCCTCAACTCTAATACAGCTATAGCTGAACCTAGTTACACAGTAAGCAGAAGCTTTCTTTTAATCCAATGAGCCTTGTAGCTTTGATAAACTTAAGTCTGTCCTTCCTGATATTTGTTTTGCTGTAACCACTGCCTTGTCTATGGGCTCTTGATAATAAAGTATTTATGGGTCTTCCATCGGGGAAAAAGAATCACAGATGCAGCTTTTCTGGTTGCTCCCCGACTCTACCTGTTTCAGGGTGTGGAGGAGAGGGAACTAGAATCCACAAAAGGATTCAGTTCTGGCTGCCTTCCTTCACCTGTTCAGCAGGTGGGCCCCAGGTGAGCGCCAGACTCCTGGGTTCGGCAGAGTTACTCTGCTCCTTTGTTTAATCACCAGTTGCTTTCTCTGCCTGTTTGTTTTTCTGGTTTGGTTTCCTGTCCTGTTCATTACTCAGTTCGTTCTTCCTTGTTTGTTCTGTCTCCTGTGTGTTTCTGCAGGTTACCTTGCTCCTCAGCACCGGAAGGCTAATATCCTTTGTTCCTTGTAATCTGCTTTCCCATGGTGGCAGGGAGTTGGTAGACACATGCATACATGTTTGGTGTACAGGGAGAAGGCTAAAGAGTTACCTGAGCATGATGAGTTTGTAGAAATGGCCATATCTTTGGTAAAGGAGCAATTCTCACCTTCCTCCTTGACCCTTACGTACTCAAAGGATTTCTAAAGAGAAATCTTTGGAGTAGGGGGTTGACACTCTTGAGTGCTAGTTTGGTTATGTTTTGTTTTGTGTTTTAACTTCTTAACTCAGCATACTTTTTACCAAGTAAACATGAACTTGTGGTGTTTAGAAATTTGAACACAACAGCAAACTGCTGTACAAAATTGCTCTCTCTGAAAAACAATTCCTATAACCAACTGCAAAAAAAAGTGAGAGATTTCTGTGGTCTCAGCTGTCACACACAGAATCATTTGCCCCTGGTAAGGGCAATTGTTGAATATGTGATCATTTAAAGTGTTGGGACAAAAGCATAGGATGAGATGATTTTTAAGTTCCACTGCCTGTTTTTGAGCTTGTTTTAAATTTAATTTGAACAAACCCAGGCTGCTCAAATCAGAAATTTGGGCTCACAAAAGAATCTTGATTATTATGAACCCCACTAATTTGGAATTTTTTTAGCATTTGGAATCATTCTAATGGACTTAACAAGAGTGTACTTTATATAACCCGAGGGGAAAAGCAAACTCAAAATTTTGAATATAAAATGCAGCTATCAGAATGCTTAGGCAAAATTGTTTCTAAGTCCTATAAAGAGTAACCCAAACCTCTCAAGTCTTAGAAAAATCACTTAATAAAAATGGTGAAATCTTCACTCCTGGAGATTGTGATGCAGTTGGTCTGAGGTGGGAATTGGAAAGCTATATTTTAGTGAATGCTCTTCAGATGATTCTTACTATTAGACAAGTTTCAGAAACCCTTCTTTTGAAGCATCCACCAAAAATTTATACAAAAATTACAAACCAGTATTCTCCATTGAGAAACCAACTTTCCTCTGCCACAAATTTCACTACTTAGGAAATACCAAGAATCTAGTTATAATCATTGATTATACCTGAAAGTAATAATTCAATTCCCAAAGCAAGCATCTCTTCAACACCTCACTGTGCAAAAGATTGCCCTAGGTACTAAGGATTAATACAAAAGTCAGTTCTTGCCCTTGAAAAGCTAATTATCTAGTGATAAAGTTACACTTATTTATTCAGTATTTCTGAAGCATCTTGAATAAATTTTTTCTGAGTTATTTATTCTTTAAATCAATATGTACAGAATTTCTATTTTATGCCAGGCACTGGGCTGGGTAACTTGGGAACGTCTTCCCTGTCCTTAAGGAGCAAGTGTGGAGGAAAATCAAATAAGCTGACAAGTGACAGTATATAGACTTTACCTGCTATGACAGAGGCAAGCCTGGAGTGCTGCTGTGAGAACAAGGGGAAAGGGTCCCAGATCTAGCCAAAGAGGTGTGTGTGGAGTGTGTGTGTGTGTGTGTGTGTGTGTGTGTGTGTGTGTTCAGGAGTACAGGGAGGTAAATACAAGTTTACCTCAAGGCCTAGTGGGTAAATACAAGTTACTGGGGTGAGACAGGCATGAAAGAGTTTTCCTAGCAAAAAGGCATGTCATGTAGAAAGGCATGGAAGCAAGAGACCTGCGTGATGGGTGATGCCAAGTCATTGAATAGGACCAGAGCTACATTCCTCCTACTTAGGATTATTGATATACAACCTCATTCTAGTAATCAGATATCGGCCTACTAGGGAAGGGGCCAAAACAAACCAAACTTTTCTTCATCAAAAAAAGTGGTCTGTACACTTGTATACTTGTGTGCCAGGATTTAACTCCATATTGGAATTTTGTTGTAGAGCTGTTATTTTGAATAAGAAAATAAATCTAATATAATCAGATGAATTCAGGAGTGAGAAAGACAGAGGAAGAAAGAGAGAGGTAGAGAGAGAGAAGGCAAATCATATACTTTCACATCTTCAGAATTCAAATCACTTTACTACTTCTGTGATTTGAATGTTGTGTTTAGAGTCAATTTTCTTCATAAAAATCATCAATAATATAAAATTGCCGCTCTAGACCTGCCTATTAGTTGTTGCTAAACAAAGCTGTTTTCATTTCTTTACATTTAACAATTCCTATGTAAACTCATTTTACTAATAAAACCAATATTCACTTTAACTTCACCTATGTCCACCTTTTCTCAATTTTTCCCCTTTAAAGCATTCATGGTTTTAGTTAGAGCAAGAGCAAATGAATGAATGTTTGAGTTGAAAATGACCCTAATACAACCATTGTCCAAAAAATTGGACCAATTTTATTATAATTATTTTACTATTTTATAACATATTGAGATAACACAATTGTTCAATATTGGGGTGTTCATGAATCAAATCTTTTAACATATTAAGGGTTTGGAATTTTAAGTTTTCACTTATTAACCACAATTTATAGCTACAAAATATATTTAGGGATATCTGACCAGAGTTGCCCTGTTCTCATTAGCTATATATAACATACCACACATCACCTTTCAGAAATTTGAATTAGAGAGCTGGGTTTGTCCCAGAAAGCTGCCTCAGGGAAGCTAGTAGAAGAATGATGTACTTTTACTTCTGTGTCAGTCAATCCCTGTTGTAGACAATATCACGTTACTTCCTTTTTACAAATCAGACACAATTCCTGCTGCAATGAATTTCTAACAGAAAATAATAGGAATATATCATTTTGGTTTTTCTTTTCAATCATGCAATCAATCAAACACTTATTGAAATACTGCAATCAAGAAACAAGATAAACAAATATTTACTGAGCCCAGTAACTTTGGGAAGTCTCCTGTTTCCTCAAGGATCTTACCTCTTAGCATTGTAATCAGTGTACTGGGAGGGTCAGAAGACATGTAAAATGTAGCCCAATTTTTAAACATGCAAATAACCTGGTTGGGAAGGTCAAACCAACACACATTAAACAGAAAAATAAGCTGAGCACAGTGTGGCTTTTGGATACTCTGGAGTTGACTATTGCTATTGGTGAGTTGTAAAGAATAAGGCTAGAAACATAGGATGTGAGCTGGATTATAGATCTTGAAAGCTAAAAAGAGGTGCTTATTAGCAGGAGGGAGCCACTGTGAGTTCCTGAGTCTGGAATGACATAATGAAATTGCACTTTAGGAAGATTTTTAGGTCTTTAATTATTTCCTCCCACTTCTCATTCATCTGGGAGCCAAGTAATAGTATAAATTATGCATCTCAAAAATTGTCATCTGATTTAACTAATGGACCGTGAAATGTAAAACACAGTGTCTCCTCACATTTAAAGATGATGAAGCCAACGGCTGGTGGGATCAATGTCTATGTAAAACAGGCCCGAGGTGATTTTAGACCTCAGACAGACAAACTTTGATCTACTAAAGACTACTACAATTAGCAATAGTAGCCTAAAGCAAGAAACCTTCTTGTTTCTGTAATCAAACTGTCCCTTAAGAAAGATTGACAAATATATAAAATGTGTGCCAATTCTTCCTAACTCTCAGGCCTAGAGCTGGTATCACTAACGGATGACTGGATTCTTTTTTTGCTATGTTCTGATTGGCCTCAGAGTATTTCTCAAAAGCTCTATAGGAAGCATCTAACTATTGATTGGAGTGGTCCCTGAAGATAAAAACTGTTTGTTACTCTGCACTAACAGGTAACTTTGCCTAAAACAATGGCTAACAAATTCTCCCAATTAACTGTGCCCACTTACTAACAACATCTTTTTGTAATCCCACAATATCTTTGTGTCCCTTGGTTTATTATTTAACACTAGAAGAAAGGATTCTGAAAATTCTCTCATCCTTAGATGCAGTATAATATATTAAAAGAGTGATTTGTGTCACCTGAGTAGGTCACAGTTCAGGTAAACAGACACAAGTGCGCTAACAGCACCTTGCTAGAGAACTCCTCAGAATGAAGTCTGAGTGACAAGAGGACCTCAGAAGACCTGTCTCTTTCTGCCCTTCTAGGGTGTGCTGAATGGCAATTAGAGAAGTGTAAAATGCTTCCATGGGAGACAGAATATTGAACGCTGAAGATGATGGTAATCAAAAATTATTGAGTGTTTACTATGTGCTACTCATCTAAAAGCTTTCTCAACACTATCTCATGTAATCGTCACTGTAACTCAGTGATATAGCTATTAGATCCCATTTTACAAACCAGGAAATTGAGATTCAGAGAAATGAAGGAACTTTTCCCAGGCCATACAACTATTAAGTAGCAGAAACGTGGTTTGCACTTAATTCTGTTCGATTCCACTACTAGCACTGTTCAATGAAACCTTTCATGATGATGAAAATGGTCCATATCTACAGTGTCCAGTACAATAGCCACTAGCCACATGTGGCTGTTAAGGACTTGAAATGTGGCTAATGCAACCAAGTAACTAAATATTAACTTTGTTTAATTTATATTTAAATATGAATAGCCATATGCGACTGGTGGCTACTGTATTAAACAGCATAGCACTGGACTATGAACCCTATGAGGACACGTGCCACGTTGTTTGGCTGATGACCATATCAACATTTAGCACAAGAGTCTAGCATACTTAATAGACAATAATATTTTAAACAAACAAGTTTAAAATTTGTGCACATAATTCACGTAGAAATCTTATCCCCAAAACACCAACTCCTTGGACAACTCACTGAAGTTCCTCATGCTTTAAGACTCACCATCACCACCAGGATAAAAGAGGATAATAATGAAGATAGTGTTATTTCTCTACTTCAGTATGCGAGGAAAAACTAATCAAAATAAGCCAATTTTGTGAAGAAAATTTTACCTGTAAATCATTGATCAACCAGAGGATAAAACCTAGTTCTTTTCATCTTTCTCAGCAGAAGAAAATACATTTTTACTTGATACGAAGAAGCCAAGTGAGTTAGAAGGTATCTGCCTCTTTTCCAAATGGAATAGAAAACCATTTCTCTCAATAAATGTTTATAAATATGACAATACCCATCACTGGAACCAAAAGGAAGTCAAAATGTAGTTTAAGAGCATATGGATAATTCCAAAAGCGTATCTTCAAAAGAGAAAAACGCGATGCACATTTTTTTTTTTGCCTGCATGATGTCAAAAATCTAGATTTATTTCCCCTCATAGAAATATATTACAGGCTGGGCATGGTGGCTCACACCTGTAATCCCAGCACTTTGGGAGGCTCACCTGAAGTCAGGAATTCAAGACCAGCCTTGCCAATATGGGGAAACTCCATCTCTACTAAAAATACAAAAAAATTAGCTGGGCGTGGTGGCGGGCACCTGCAATCCTAGCTACTAGGGAGGCTGAGGCAAGGGAATCACTTGAACCCGGGAGGCGGAGGTTGCAGTGAACTGAAAGCACACCACTGCACTCCATCCTGGGTATCAAAGTGAGACTCCATCTCAAAAAAATAAAAATAAAATAAAATTTTATATATATATATGTATATTACATAACTCATTTCAAAGGTAGCTTTAATTAAATACTTTTACATCTTACTAATAGAAAATAATGTCCATACTAATGTGAGATGGTACTGGGGTGGCAACTGTTCATAGCTATTTTATTGGAGACAATTTGCAAAGGTACAGTAAGAAACTTTATCAAATCTTCCTAAAGCAAGAAGGCGCTCTCCTGATACCTTTACTTTTGGTCAAGTTTCTATGAAATCAGTGTGTTCCAAACTTGAATGGGCATAAAACTACTAAGGAAGCTTGCTAAAAAGGCAAACTCAGTCGCCACTTACAGAGGTTCTGATTCATGAGGTCTTAGGAGGGCCCAGGAGTCTGGATTTAAGCAACCCTTGTCATTTTGGTTCAGAACTTAGTACCACACACTTAGAAACGCTGTAAATTATTCATGGTAATTCAACTAAGGGAACAGGAAAAGATTTACTTGATAGAATGTCTCCTTTCTCAGGAAGCATGCAAAATTGAAATGCTTGGGTCAAGGATACACTGTAGACCGTCCTGCTGCATCAGTTTCCTCAGTCCCATCACTCTTCTCCCTACCACCACCATTTTGCATTTTTGAAGTCATTGATCCCTTACCCCCAATTCTCAAAGTAAGCATGGAATTGCTAACCAGTGTGAGCCTATAATCATTGCCTGCATGGCCTATACTGGTTCTATCAGAGTGAAATCTAGGACTTTTGTTTGGTTGGGAGAAAGATACTCTATCTCTCTTTTCCTGGCCATGTATGGGAAAGAATGCAGTCTCAGTAACTGTTGGCAGCCATCTTGCAACCATGTGGGAAATCAGGCTTGGGATAAAACTGACACCATTAGCAAAAAGCAGAGCAAAGAGACAGACAGAGTCTTTAGGGGCATTTTTGAACTAGATAAAACCTCTACACTTCTCTGTTACTTAGTAATACATTCTTCCATTGTTCTGTTTAAGTTTTCTGTTTTTTGGAACATAAAAAATCCTAACTGATACGAGCTGCTGTCTTAAATTTTATACACCCATTTTTCTCTCCTAGCTTTGAGCTCTGTGTCTCCAAGATGTTGTTTTGCTGCTTCCTCTCCAACACCCCTCTAAGCATTACATAAGGGCATAGGTAAATGTCTAAGTTTTCACTATTCACTTACCCCTACCATACAATCACTACAATGACCTTGCAATTCCTCTTCTTCACCTGCCACTTTCTCTTCCCACTGGAACTGAGCCATCAGATATACAAGTAGTTCTACCTCCTGGCAAAGAGAGCTGTTAAAGACCCTTTGACTGACTTAATGAAGTCCATATCTTTACAAGAAACTGCCTTTCCAAAGGCTTGATGAATGTAGTAGCTCCCACTCAGAACCCTCTGTGCCCTTTTATTCTTGCTTCCCTAGGATTTTAGGTGCATTTCAAAAGCATTTAGATATTCTTCAGCATTTGGTTCTTTCATGAAATATCTTTTCATATATTGTCTTGTCACAGTAGAAAGAGATGAAGATGCAGAGGAAACCACAGTGGACATCCAACAGAAGTCAGACTGCCCCTTGCAGGGACCTTAGGGGCAGCTGAATAGATGAGGCCACCAAAGAAAACCCTGGGCTGCCAATCCATCTGTACAAGAAGTAGCAATTGTGGGATTCGGTGCTCTGAAGACAGAAAGCAGAAAAATCCACCCTTTCCCCCCGCAACTTCACTTAAGGAGATGAAAGCAAATGAAATTAAAAAGCCAATAGTAAATACTAAATCCAAGAAGTTCACAAGACAGAAGGAAACAAAAAAAGTCAAATGAAATTTCAATTTTTTTCATGGCTTTGGGAATATAGGTAGAAGAATTTTTACTAAAAACCCCCTTCTAATTACTTCATGGGCTAAATGGAATTGAAACAACTAAGGTAGGATATTTTCATTAATCTCTTGTTTCCAAAGGAAAGACCAAAGAAATCAGTGTTCATCTAAAGAAATGTTATCACCAAACTTATTTGTTTGTCTATTTATTTAGTTGTTGCTGTCTATTTTATCACTTATATAATGTTAACATTCTTTTAAAATGGGCAGATGGACCTCATTCAAGTTCTGACAGTAACTCTTTGTTATTGGTACAAATGGCTTCAGAGGTATTTAATTACCATTAGTAGTCATCCGTTTGCTCCTAGCTGGTGACATTTGGAATAGTAAGCAGGCAGCATTCTTTGTGTCCAGTGAGTTCATAGAAAGTTAAACCTACTTTTGACAACAGACTCAAGCTTAGTTACCATTAACCCCTCTTCAGTTACTGGATGATGTGTTTGAACACTATGAATGATTAATGAAGGCTAAATAGCCCAGTTTCTATCTTAAAACCTTTTTGTCAACTGCTGGAGAGTTGAGTGACTGACAAGGTGAGTTCAGCTCAAGAAAGTATTTCTGCAATCCATTGCTTGCACTTAGAAAAAAATTAATTTGTCAGCTATTTATTTTCAAAAGAATTGGAAAAAATTAGAAATTCTCATCTTGATGCCTTTTCTTTTGCACAGACGAATACCAGAGACCAAAATTTTTGCCAGCTTGGCATCAGAAAGTGTACTTTGATTGCATGTCTAAACTAGGGGTGTGATTGCTTTCTTTCAATGAAACCAAGATAAAATGTTGTCAACTAGTAGCATCCCACTACAAAGCTTCTGAAAGTAGCCCCTGAATTTTCTTGCAGCAAATTCTAGGATTGTTCTTGGGTAAAGGCCAACCTATCACCCGGTAAGTTGAGAAAACTACTTATGTCTGGCAGCTTATTCGAGGTAGGTAGATGTGTAAAGATGCCCAGGACATTTGCTGTCTGATCTGTGAGGAGCATCCCTATAGTTAGCTCCTCCAGAGGTATCTTTTTGCAAAAGAGATTACAGAAGAGGCCAGGCTAAGCTGGACGCTAAAAGAAAGCAGAGATTAAAAATTCATGCAGAGGACCAAAAAGATAAACCTGACAGCTGACTCCAAGAAACAAAAGTACACAGGAGAAAAAAAAAATCCTAGCAGAATTTATAAGGAAATAATACAGTCTGGGAACATAGTTTAAGCATATCTTTATATGCATATCTTTACACAAACTTTATAGGCAATGGCAGAGGTTTCTTTAACTGTGCCTTAAATTTCACCCTCTTCACTTTTATAATTTTATAGCATTTAGGGTGTCACTTATGATATACTTGATCACTCAGACAGCCCAGAACTTGAGATCCACAGCAAATGGCACAGATATATTGATCCAACAGCCTTTGTAAAAAAACAAACAAACAAAAACACCAAAAAACCAACCAAACAAAATTGTTATGTCATGTTTGGTATCTATTTGGCAATTGCCTCTTTACCCATTTCCAAGTAAAGTGTTTCATGGTATTTTTAATTAATTCTATACTAATTTTTGTAAACTTGACTTTTCCATCATTTTTATCAGTTATGTATTGTTATAGCCTAAGCATTTCCTCCCAAAGACAAGAAAGTGAAGTGAGACCTGAACTAGCGTTTCCCAAAGAGAATTCACAGGCCCATCTCATTTATTTATTGATTCAACAAACATTTTATTGGGCATGTATTATGTGCCTGACAGTGTGCTAGGCACTGAAGATACAGAGATGTTTAATATCCAGCCCTTGCCCACAAGGATCTCGCTTTCTATTTTAATAGACAAGTAAGGATAATAGCAATAGCTTATAGATATTAATAATGCTTGACACAGCTCAGGGCATGCAGACAGTGTCCAGGAACAACACATTGTGAATGTGTGGTCAGTTAGAAGAGGATTTTGCAGAACTAGCAAATCATATGAATTCTGATGAAGGCATGATTAGCCTTCAATGTTAGGAATCTTCATCCTGGAGTGGTTATGCAGCTGACTAGGACAGCTCATAAGACAAGCATGAAACAAGGAATTTCCTGCATCAATCCTCTTAAACCAGATCCCACACAACAGCTAAAAGGGATGTCTAGATACTACCCAGAACTCATCTTGGTCTCCATAGACCCTTCTCGCTTAAGTCCCACCTTGTTCATAGTGTGTCCGGGGAAAGAATAACCAAGCTCCTGTATGCAGCATACAGAACTGAGCTCTTTCTTGTTTTACGCTTCTATGTTGAGGTAAGAGGAACAGATCATCTTACTTCTGGCTTCTTCCAGGAGCATTCAACCCAAGTGACCAGCCACATGGGTTGCTGGATGAAGTTCCTGAAGTTTCAGGGTGGGATAGTAGTCGAGGAGTGGCAGCAAATGGCTTCAGACTTTTCCCTGGCAGGCAGTAACTGGAGATGGAGGTAGCAGCAGGGAAAGGAACGGGACAAGCCAGGCCTAGGAAGTGTCAGGGAGGGTGTGTGGGCCACCCAGAAAGCAAAAAAGGCACACCCATTCCAGCACACCAATGGCCTCTAATTGGACAATTTCAATTTTGGCAGAGGCCTTTGTCTCAATAGCTTCTTCTATTAGAGGCTTCAACATTAGCTCTTAAAATAATGGATGACCTCACCAGCAGAAGAAATCCCATTAAAATCAGAGGAGCTTGAATTTAGATGCAAAAGTTTACCCAATACCATCAACGTTAGTTTGGGGCCAGATTATCAAAAGGAAAAATTTTTGGCAGGAACAAGTGAGTGGGTTAATAAACAGAATATCTCAGTACTCAGAAATCCTGCTAGTAGGGCAGGGGGCAAACCTAAGGAAAGAAGAGTTTCACTGGTGAGTTGCAAAGAGAGAACTTGAGCTGGGCAGAATGTTCACCTGTGTATCTCCAGTGCCTAAACAGTGCCTGAAGTGAACAGACTCAGCAAACTTGTGTTCAACTCCTATTTCCATCTCTTACTAGCTGTGTGACTTTCAAAAAATTGTTTGTCCTTTCAAGGCCTCAGTTTCCATATCTGCAATATGAGAAAAGGAAGAAAATATATGTCTCCGAGGGTTGTGAGAATTAACTGAGATAATCTATGTCAAGTGTGAGAACAGTACTTGATATTATGTAAGTGTGATATAAGTGTTCAGAAAATAAGTGAATAATGTCACCAAACCTCAGAACATACCTGTGATATCAATGCTGTTACCTCCAACTAATAGATGAGTAAACTGAAAGTGAAAAGTTCTAGATAAGTTACCTGTATTAGTTCATTTTCACCCTGCTGATAAAGACATACACAAGTCTAGGCAATTTACAAAAGCAAGAGGCCTAATGGACTTACAGTTCCACAGGGCTGGGAGGCGTCACATTCATGGCGGAAGGCAAGGACCAAGTCACATCTTATGTGGAGGGAGACAGGCAAAACGAGAGAAAGAGAGATCAGATCTCGTAAACCATCAGATGTCATGAGACTTACTCACTATCGCGAGAATAGCATGGGAAAGACTTGCAGGCGTGATTCAATTACCTCCCACCGTGTCCCTCCCACAACACGTGGGAATTCAAGATGAAATTTGGATGGGGACACAGCCAAACCATATCCTTACCCAAGGTCACAGAGCGTAGGATGGCGAGTCAGGATTTGCACCCACATCTAAATGCTTGTGTAGTCTCTGTTCTTTCCCATTGATTCTATGCTCTACTCACTCGTGTTTTTAAGTTGGTCTTTTTGCTTTGTTTATATGTAAGTGTGTTTGTATTTATGTATAGTCTTATTTCCCAGAAATGCTGTTTTAGTCCACAATTATAAGAATCTATAATGCTGGGAAACATTTCTAATTTCTTTCTGTGAACATGCCCGGAGCATCTCAGTAGCAGTGCCTGGGAGCACTCACTTCACTCAAAAGAATTGCGATAACTTGCACCAGTCACCAATTATCAGGGACCCAAAAGGCTGGCTTTCAAGGAACCAGTTATAAATAATGATAACTTTATTTACTCTATGATCTAGGCAATGCACACAGACCATGGAATGTGCAGGCAGGAAAGGATGGTAAGACATGTTTCCGGCTTGGCCAATTTTTACTTCTTTCTGTAAGGTTGGACTAATTCCAAAAGGCTCCCACCTTCTGTGAGGAGAACTAAAGGACCAGAGAGAATACATTCATCAAAACCTACTCGAAACAAAGGGCTGCCTCTGCTCTGAGTCCCTTAAGCTTCTCAGAGGAAAGGTATCATTACAGGTGAAACATACAGTTGGTACTAAGCCTTTGGCCTAGCACAATCACTGTAAGCAGGCTCATCACTTTCCTATTCCACTGGCCTTTGCTGTCTTCTTGGAAATAATTGTTTCATCACATGCCTCGGACAATTTCAGCTTGCCTGTAAACTCTCTTAGGCAACAGTATCTTGTTTTATTTTTAACTGAATCTCAGTTTTGTCGAAAGTACATGAAATTTGTATCTGGGAAGATGTTTGGGGCTGCAAAACTAAAAATAGCCTAAGCAAAAAGGAAAATGTATTATTTTGTGTAATGAAAACACTGGAGCCTGGGAAGTCTTAGGTCAGTGAATTCAGCGATTCAATAGCACCATCGTAGATCGAGGTGCATTTCATCTTTTCTCTCTGTTAATATCAGTAGATCAGTTATATCCCTCTTGATTGCAGGTGACAACAGTATCCAAAGGCCAAACCGCATCTCTCTTCTTTGGATCCATTTTTAAGAACAAGAAGAATCTTCCCAGAAACCCCCAGAGCAGACTGTCCCTCAAGTTTCATTAGACAGGTTTGGGTCATTGCCCACCAATCTCTGGCCAGAGGTCAGTAGACTACTCAAGATCCACTTCCTGGGGCTGCAAAGAAGCCCAGGCTTCACTAAAACACAAAGCTGCCCAATAACTTTATTCTGTGAACAAAGAAGACTGGCAATGGGCGCCTTCGGTAGGAAACGACAATGTCTACCCTGATATATGAAGTCATACGGATCTGGGTTTGAATCCAGGCTCAACATTTATAAACTTAGACAATTTCACCTCTTGAAACTTTAGTGCACTCACATGTAAAATAGTACACTCACATCTACCATAAGGGTGGTTGGTGAGGATTAAACAAGGCAATATTTGTTAAAAGTACAGCACAGAGCTTGGCACATAATTGTTACTTAATGCCTATTGGTTTCTCCTCTTTCCTTTTTGCCTCCCTTTTGGAAAGCTTTCAGCATACATGTTTCCATTAGAAACAGAGGACTTTCTCTTTTTCTATTCATGTTTGTGTAGTCTATTACTCATTCTCCTGCCTTTTCTTGTGATTTCTGATCTTACAACACTATTAGTAGTGCTTTTTAAAATGTGATTATTTCTTGTTATTAATACTACTATTGGAGTAATTGATAAATGTGTAACATAAAATGATACTTGCCCAAAGTTCACATCTGGCGTTGTTTTTGACCCTGATAATGTGGTCAATTGGGGATGCTCCAGTTAAAGGTAATGAACTGATTTATTTCATTGTAATTTGTTATGTTTCATAAGTGAAAGCCCTCCCTGCACTTTGTCCAGTGAGTATACCCACACATTAATCTTGATCAATTGCCAGCAAGCATTTAATGAGTGCCTTTGTTGGTATGGTTTAGGATGTTCCTTTGCTCTATCTACCACTTGTGGAGAAACTTAAGAAAGGAAAATTCATATATGTTGTTATTAAATAAGCTCTCTGCCACCCTAAGAAAGAAACAAGTATTTTGTTTGCGTAGCAGAACACAAAAAGGGCTAATGAGGATACGTTGGTTCAGATTATTATTAAATGACACATCTATTTTTAAAAATTGAAGATTATCTTTAACATGTATGAGTTGTAACTGCTCCTAAGTAAATTCTAGAGAAAATATTTATTCTGCATTACAGCAGAAATGATGGTCTCTTTTTAATTTTACTTAGTGTTTCTAAAGATTTTTAAAAATATATATCCATAGAGAAAATGCATCCATTGTTCACCAGTCAATCTTTTTTTTTTTTTTTTTTTTTTTTTTGAGACGGAGTTTCGCTCTTGTCTCCCAGGCTGGAGTGCAATGGCACAATCTCAGCTCACTGCAACCTCCGCCTCCCGGGTTCAAGCAATTCTCCTGCCTCAGCCTCCCCAGTAGCTGGGATTACAGGCATGCACCACCACGTCCAGCTAATTTTGTATTTTTGTCCAGCTAATAGTAGAGACGGAGTTTCTCCATGTTGGTCAGGCTGGTCTCGAACTCCTGACCTCAGGTGATCAGCCCGCCTCGGCCTCCCAAAGTGCTGGGATTACAGGCGTGAGCCACCACGCCCAGCTACCAGTCAATCTTTTGTTAAGCACCTGGCAACCCTATATTAGGTGAAGTAAAGGATGCAAAAGTCAAGGAAGATCTGGTCCTGGCAGTCCAGTGAAAGAGAGAAGACACATCCAATCAGCTCGTACAATGCAGGACAGTCATGTGGAGCAGGAGAACAACTGGAATGGCTTCTAGCATTGTCACAACTAGCTGGTGGCCCTGGGCAAACTTCCTAAATTCCATGGGCCTCATTTGCAACATGAGTGATTTGAACTACAGAATGTCTAACAGTGGTCAAATTCTAAAATTTTAGCATTCTCAAGTGTTTCAAAAATCACTAACATCTGGAGTAGTCAGCAAAGATTGGCAGGATGAGCTAGACTTGAGGTGGGCTTTGAAAAACAGAAGGAGGGAATGTGTTAAGAAAATTTGAGACAAGGAAAGAAGAACACAGAGCTGCAGGAATTAAAAGTAACAAGTAATGACTGCGTCAGGAGTGTCACACCTGCCAATGTGAGAAAATGTGTTGGGCAATTACTTTAGGAAATCCAGTTAGACAATGAGCATGGAGCAAAATAGGAGGCTCATAAAATCTAGGCTGAATGTATTAGCCTTGATGGTGTTCATATATAGGTGGTTTCTACCTTTTTTCTCCTCTTATTAAATCCATTTTATCTTCCTCCAGTCTTTCTCTTCCACTTCTTTTTCTTTCTTATCCTTTTTTTCTTCTCCATATTCTCTTTCTTCTCATTAGTATTGTAGTAGTGTTTATAATTTACAAGCGCTGTTACTTACATGATATTTTTAAATCAAAAATTAATGCATGCCATTCACAGACTTCTCAGAATTCAGACTCTGGAGCTGGAAAATCTGGGTTTGAGTTCCTGGTTATACCACTTACCAGCTGTATGAGCTTTGACAAGTTTCCTAAGTGGCTATGGTTCAATATCCTCCAACAGATGAAGATAATGATACCCACTTTCTAAATCTTGTAAGAATTAAATGGCCATCCAAAACACTTGGGACAGTGCAGGGTAAATGATAGGTCCTATGTACGTTTCCTATTATTTGGAAAATACCTATAGGGTCATTTTCTGTCCTGTCTGTATGGGTCACAATATGCATGTTTTTCTAGGTTTTTGTGTCCAACATCCACAGTATGTGAACTACTGACAACTTTCACATAAGAGAGTTGGAGCTCCATCTGAGTGAATTATTTAAATGTGCTAACTAAAATTTCAAGAGCATTTAAAAACCTTCTGAGCAAGGCCATGTCCTGAAGTTGCAGCCATTTTAATTAGTTTCACCTTCTCTGCCCCATGATCCAGAAATCTCTAATTGTACCGTTGCAGCCTCCTGCTCCCTGTCACAGATCTGACTTTACCTGCTACTATTTAAATTTTATGAATCATGCTCCCTCTGTGTGAACTCCTGAAACCTCTGAAACTAAATGAATAATTATCGAGATGAAATTGTTAACCGTTTATAAAAGATGTTGTAAAAAGACTTGTTTTCTCTATGAACCATTTTTTTTTTTCTGGTTGTCTCCAATTTGCGGCCATTAGCATGAAGAAAAATGTCAGCTATTCCTCCAATGAAGAGAGAAGGAGATTCTTAGAATCAAGAAGCTTGACATTCCATAAGCAAATACTCCCTGTTTCAAAAAAGGCAGTAGGAGTGTGCCATGGCAACCTCTTCCAGGGAATAACTTTAAGGTTGGCCTAGTGCTCTCCTTCATATATCGACTTCAGTGGGAGCACCTGGCATGAATGTCAGTGAGAAGACAGCTAGGGCAGGGAGTCCCCCAATAACACAGTGCGGCCATTTCTCAATGGAAAAGCATGATCTTGTAATGAGCTGTTTCTTTGAATACTGTTTTGTTTTTAAAGATTGTACGTTTGCATTTATGCCTTTGTTTTGGAAATACCTCAAGTAGAAGTGTCAAAATGGAAAGAACTCCTAGTTTCCTTTGCCTCATCAAAAATCAAATAGACCTAGGAATTCACCTGACGTCTTAGTCCCTCTGAATTTCAGATTTGTTTTCAGATGTGACATGTTATTGGAAACATCTGAAATGAGAGCTCCTTCATCATTCTCAAATTTGGTGATTTGAAAATCTCATTTTCAAGTGCGTTTTTCTTATTTCCCCATGTTGCATGCTTGGTAACTCTTCCATTTGTCTATTTTTGGCAGAATGGTACAGGATCTATTTGCCAGAACAATTTTTTTGAAGACCCAGGCTCTCATCATTTCAAGACAAGGGGTCCCTGGATCAAAATAGAACCAAAAGTTTCATTTGGCATCAATCAACCTTATCAGCAGAGTCCAGGGATTATCAGCAGAGACCGGGGCTTTTATCAAGACACAGAGCACAAGTAAATCCTATAATCTAAATTTGCAACATTTATGACCTGGAAAGCAGCCCCAGGTAGGCAAAAACAACTGACCTTTTTCTACTCCTCCAAAACACCTGCTTGGTACTGCCTCGTCTCCCACAACACTTCTCGACAGTGGTGATCTTGAAATGTTTATGCTTAAGTCGTGTCTTCCAAATTAGCCTCTAAGTTACTTTAGGGCAAGAGCCATGTCTTCGTGTGTCCTGCCCAGTGTTAGGACTGGATCCTCAGGAAATACCTATTGAATAAACTTAGATCTTTTCACATCCTTTCAATTCTGTCAACCCACATAAGGCTGGCTAACAGCAAAGCTGTGGGGGAACTTAGCCTACATTCTTCAATCCAGAATCCCTGAACACAGCTAGCATGGTTCAAGATTAATAAGTACACTGGACAGTTCTTTGGAGCCCCGTGATATTATTGGAATGCTTTTACTTTGAGATCTTGACCTCCTAATGTTAACAGAGCTTAGGTGGTAACCTAAAATCACTGGAAAGATATCACTCTGGAAAAATGAGTAAATGACAACAAATCAACCTTGCAACATCTCTGGATAATTGCTATCTACTCTGTCTAATTATTCCTACAAAAGGTAACTTGTCTTTCTTACATTTCTGAAATGTGGCCTGAGGTACCTCAGGTAGTAGTTACCCACTGGCTGGTCAACTGTGCAGATATGGAAAACATATTTGGCTATATTTCAGTGAGGCAATAAAAGACACTACTTAATTTCAAACTTTTTATTAATTATGTCTTATCAGTCCCTTTCTCCAGAAGATACCGATATGATTCTTCAGTTCAGTTCAGACATCCTAACTTTCCATTTTACATTAAATGGGACATTTTAATATATAAGCTTTTGGAAATAATTAGAATTCACATGTAGATTTTTTTGTAATCAGAATTTTTAAAATTACAGTATATAATTACAATGTACTATAAGAAATTGTCAAGTGGATAACCTTGTTGCACTGAAATGTTTTTGCTGTAAACAAGTCTCTCCTTTAGTGGAATATTTGTCAGTGCATGTATTCAAAGAAGCGCTCTCAAGGCATGTGCTCAGAAGTTAGGAAATAATTATATTTCCAAACATAATCTTTTCTAATCATCCCATTTTGTTTTGTTTAAAAATAACCTGTGGGTTTCTAAGACAGGCACAATTATCTTTCATCTCAGCTCCAAGATACCATCCTTCCAGAAAATGATTTGGGGTGGGGGGAAACAAACTCAGAGGTCACTTTTCTTTTTCTTTCCTTGAAAATCCTCACTCTAATTGCAAATAAATATACTAGCAAGGAACTGCCTAAGTTTAGCTGCTAGGTTTTTAAAGCAAGATAAGTGGGAAAGCACTGAATTTGTAGTAATATTTAACAACTCATCCACGCAGTATTAATACATAGTGATTTTCAGCGGTACATAGACAAGGCTAATTTCAATTCAACAAACTTTTATTGAGCGCCTAAAATACGCCGAGGACTCTGCTAAGTGTTGGGGGCACCAGGGTGAAGATGATAAAGTTCTCGACTTACAAAGCTTAGTTTCTGGAGAAGACAAACAGTAAATAAGCACTTTTAATAAGTTACGCTCAAATTGGCATGAGAACATGGAAGAGGTGGGGTGGTGAATTCTTAGTGGAGGCTTCTGCCATGCACAATGCCTGGGCTGACCTGTGAAGAAGTGTTTTAGTGGGTGGGAAAGGTGATAGAGGCAAAGTGAACAACACAGTCAGTCTGGTGGTTTAGGGAAACAGCCTAGTGTTTTGGCAATGAAATCTCTTGAGTTCGGGTAAGGTAGGGAAAAAGGCCAGCACATGTCTGGCCCCTGTCAGGTGCCACAGAAAAGTAGGAATTTTTCTTGTTCCAAATAAGATCTAGTCCCTGGCCATGCCCTGGTCTTCCAGGAAGATACAATCCATAGGGCCAATCCCAAACTACACCATCGAATGTTCCTTGAGAGCACCTTTGTACTGATTCCTGTAGCACTCAGAATGCCTCATATAAAAATCCCCAGACTGTGCTGGAAACTGTGGGCCTTTCTTGCCACCATCCTCTTTATTAAGGAAAGATTATCAAATGATTACCTGCCACATTTCAGTTACTACAGAGACAAATGATAAACGATCAGACCCTGGCCTTAAGGAATCTACAATCAAGCATTTATCCTTGGTCCCATCTCCTCAGGACTCAGGGCACTCCAAGGTGGCAAGTAGCCAGGAAGGCAAACAAAGCCACACTGTGTTGAGAGAAGACTATCTGCTTAGCCCTCCTTCCCTTTCCAAGTAATATGTGTATATGTATATAAAGAGAGTGTGTGTATGTGTGTATGTCAGTGGCCTTCCTGAAGACACTGCCTTTGTCTTCAGTCTAATCAAATGAAATACAACTTTCAAATTATTCATAAATGTTTTCATATTAGCTTCTTTAGGAAGCTTTATGAACTTTCAGAGCGTTTTAATACTTAAAATTTTTTTAACGTTGGTTCCTTTTACGATAAGATATGGAAGACAGATGTAAAAAATATATAAGCTTTTCAAAAATGAATAATGTTTTTCTATAGGCATTTTATATTAGCTGGAAGGGGAGAATGGCATGGGCATGAGACGGTGGGGGATATATTTGGTTCATAAACATTGGCATAACTAATAAACAATTATGGAGTGTCTTCTAGGTGCAGGGTGCTGGGGCTACAAAGGATTTCGGTGAGTGGTACCTGCCTTCATGAGCCTGGCCATCACCCTGGGGAGATAGACAAGCATCAGGGCAGGAGCATGGGAGACTAGGTGGAGAAGCAAAAGCACAGAGCCAGGGGTGATGTACGAAGGCTTAGATGACAAGAGGTTTTTGCATCTAGAACACTGAGCAGCAATAGCAGGCATGAGAGACATAGGGAGATTAATAAGATACTATGTCCCTGAGAATGAGCCCTATCTGCCCTTTTGGCTACAGTGGGAAACCCTAGACCTTTGAGAAACCATTATGGCTTGTTAGGCTTCAGGATGGAGAAATTCTGCCTGCTCTGGCAAGAGAGGCTCCTGGCTTGCACTCCTAGTGGGCAGCTCCTGAAGGAGAGGCTGTGGCCTGGAGCAAGGGTGGCGAGGTTGGCTGTTAAAGCTTCCAATATTTAAAGTCTGGTCTCTGGGCCTTGATGACCTCTCAGGACTCAACTCAGATTTTGTAAATCATGGTAGCCGATGTTAGGGTGACCATATAATTTATTGTCTAAACTAGGAAACTTCTGAAAGAGAAAGAGGGCATCATTAATAACTGGGCACAAACAACAGATTTAAATGAGGACTCTCCTGGCTTGAGATGTAGAGCCTCCCTAGCTGTTAACCATCAACACCTCCTAATGCATGGCCATGCATGGTGCCTGCTGGTGTTTTTTAGCCTAGTTCCATCACACACACCTTAATAATTAGAAGAAACAGAGGAATTTAAGGCAATGATCAGTTAATCCTGAGAGAGGGAAGCCAAGTTTCACAACTAGAGAGAGCCCAGAGTGTTACTAATAAAATAATCCAAAATATTATAAAATCATTAACCATACTTAAGTAAATAAATTCCAGCTGTAATTCATCCCAGAGCACAACACACAGAACTGCCCATATAAGAAGCAGTTCAACAATGAGAACACATGGACACAGGGAAGGGAACATCACACACTGGGGCGTGTCAGTGGGTGGGGGTCCAGGGGAGGGAGAGCATTAAGGCAAATACCTAATGCATGTGGACCTTAAAACCTAGATGACGGGTTGATGGGTGCAGCAAACCACTATGGCACATGTATACTTACGTAACAAACCTGCACATTCTGCACATGTATCCCAGAACTTAAAGTAAAATAAAAGAAGAAGAAAAAGCCGTTCAACTGCAAGTCACACTTGCATGGGGTGTGCTCTCTGGATGTTAGCTTGGGGCTCCTACAGGATACCTGCTCTGTTTTCTTTGTTCTCTGGGTTTCTTCTGCAGGTCTTTCCTGGATGCCCCAGTTTATTTATCCAGAAGATAACTGCCTATATCTTTTTGGGGGTCCCCAATGTATAATTCACATTAGCTTATGAATCAAGTGAGATAATCCCAAACACATTCTTCAAAGGCAGTAAAAATCTTTCTAGCCATTTATTTTAATCTGATGTGAAAATCAATGAACAGATTGGAATTTAATATGCTTTATAAATTATTGGGAAGTGGAAAAAAAAGACTCCTTTCTTGAGGTCACTGATTTGTGAAGACAGTGTTTGCTTTGGGGACAGAGTTTACGTATTAAAAAATTTAAACCTTACAATCATAGGGGTCCTTTTGTTTGAAAGATGACCTAGTGTAATAGAAAAACGTAGATTTTGAAGCCTGACAGATTTAAGTTTAACCTAACTATGTGACCTTGAGAATATTTCTAAACTTCTCTGAGCTTCTGTTTCCTCATTTATAAGCAGGCATAGTAATCCTCACCTTTCAGAGTTGTACAATTCCGAGATGATGTGCACAAAGAGTTGAGCATATTATAACCACTCAATATGTCATAGCTGTTTTATTATCAAGGTGACCAAAAACATTCTGGAAGAAGAGGGGTGATATTCTTTACCTATGTATTTTATAAACACTCCCAAAAAGGTTCTTAGAGAAAAATATGACTTGAGAGCATAAGATTTAAATTTATGACGTTACTTCAATTGCGAAAGTTTGTTCAGATGGCCTAATCAGGGGATTAATGAACCATCTTGACTGTGATGTGGATTACCATGACCTTCCTCTTGTTTTGGAGTTGGACACGTGGTGCTACCCAACTAAACGAAAATAAGGAATATTTTTAAACGCACTGTGCCATGTCACTTCCTGCATGGTGGAACCCATTCACAGACAAGACAGATACAATGAGGACTGTTAGGAAAATAGAGGAATGAAAGGCACATATTGTTCCCCTGAGTCTATGGCAGCCACTGAATAATGGCGTTTTCTTATGGGTAAGAACAGGTTTGCTTTCAGAGCAGTTCTCTGTATTTTCCTTGGATCCAGGACTTGTCAGCAAGGACACAGAAAAACCCAAGGATAAGTCTCAATCAGCAATAACTCAACACTCATAGGAAGGATGGTTTTCAAAGACAATTAGGAAGCTGTTTGTAATTTGAGCTTCTAAAACCACTTAGGGAAGTTCACCAAGTTTGAGAAAAACATGAGTATCTCCCTTTGTGACCAGGTTGCATAATACTATGGAAGGCCCCACCAGGGGAGTGCCCCATTTGTGTTACCCTATCTTTGCTCCTTACGTTTAGGATTCAGCGTGGTTTCAGTCAAAAGGACCCTAGAGAAGGTTTGTAGTTTATGGCATTAGTACTCACAAAGGAGGTGTTTACACATGTAAAATGATTTCAGAACAACCCTCTAATCTTCCACAAAACTCTCCCCTGAGAGTTTAGTCCCTTCCAACTCTGAAGAGGGTCAAAGCCTTTCACTTGATGAGTAATAAAGTTTATTGTCACACATCCTGACTTACTACAATTTAAATTATATCAAATTTTATATGCATATTACAAGTCAACATAGGCTTTTCATCAGCAGCATTTTTGCTTCATAACAACCTTAGAAAGAGATAGGTGGGTAGAAAAATATTGTTATTATTATTGTATCAAATTAGTATTTTAAATTATTTAGATTAGCTTTTTTGACAGGGGAGTAGGGAATTGGTGATGGAACTGGAGTTGGAGGGCACATACAGAAAAGAATCAAAGTTACACAGAAATACATCCTTCCATCCTCCAACTCAGCAACTATGCTTCTGGGAAGGTACCCTTCATGAGTAGTTACCCAGATGGATAAGGATATGCATACGGTGATACCCACTACTGCAGTGTTTGAGATAACAAAAAGCTAGAAACAAAAGGAATAGTATGGAGTAGTTAAAAAGAATAAGGAACTGTGAACTGTAGGCTACTATGTAAAAATGTCAGTAATAAATTGTATATCAGCATGTATAACATGACCTCATTTGTGATTATAAAAATGAGGAGCTAGCTAGATAAATAGATATTTACATATACTTACAGAATTTTCAGAAAAATTCTCTATAGTTACTCAGGCCTAGAAGTTTGGAACCAGAGTGGAAAGATGGAGTTATACTTTTCATCACGGACATACGGATAAGTATTTCTGAAATTTTTACAAATGGCAAAAATTTTGTTTTTTAAAAAATTTAAAAGAGGCTAACTTTTAAGTGTGTATGAAGATTTACATGGAAGGAAAAAGAAGAAGGAAAAATAGTCATGAAGCTTACTATATGCCTGACACCCAACTCTGCATCTGACATCTCATCTAAACTTTATGACAACTCCATAAGGTAAGACTTACCTTTGTCTGTGAATGAAAGTGAAAATCCCAAGAAGCTGATTCATTACCCTCACAAGCAACATGGATGGCTTCAACCCAATTTACTGAGACCCCAAAGTCCCCATGTATGCATTTCCATAGGCCACACGAATATAATTGTGTCTAAAGGTCATGAGAATAACACTGGGCAAAAGCAAAAATATTCTAACTTCTGAATTAGAACCCGAAGCATAAAACTTGTTCCACAGGGTCAGCCCTGTGACTGTGTAAGGTGATCACTAATGGTAGCAACTAATAGCTACAGGATGGGACACTTGTCCTCATTAATAGCTTTGCAAATATGCTCATAGAGTTGTTGCACCAAAAATAAATTAGAAGCAAATCAGAATGGAGCCAATTCAAAGAACAAAGTGGGGGAGAAAGATTAAACAGGCGACAATGACCACTAGCTTTGCCATGTTTCAAAAATCTGTTGTTCCACAGGATTCTGAAATGAAAGCAAATTTTTTTTCTTTCAAAGCAAAATGGTAAAATGGAAAACTAATTTAATGTTGCCTTTGCATTATCTTCAAAATAAAATAAAAGTTAACTGTTTATAGAAATGTTTTGCCTTTCCAAGGTTAAGAAATAATGGAATAAGATCCTATGAAATTATTCATTTCTCTGTGATTTTTTCTCTTTGTTCTTCTACAGTTTAGAAAGATTACTGACTTGTAAGTGACTCTTCATGCTAACATGCACAATATTTATACATCTCTAAGTAATACCCACTTGCCCAGTGGCATTCCACACAGAAAAAATAGAATTTTATGTATCATTAAGCAGTTTCCAAGGTGTCAGCAATTTCATGCAAAGCATCAGTGTAATGACTAGTAGTTCTACTTGCTAAATAGCAGAGTGTTTGGAAATTTTTAAACTGCTGCACTGGATACACCTGGACTCCCTGAATAAGCTAAAGTCTCCCTCCTCATCCATGTGAGTTCAGCAAATATAAGCATCCCCCTACCAGTGATTTCTCTCTAGGAAGGAGGGTCCGGAAAACTGAGTGTAGATTAGAGGCTCTAGCTGCCCTAGTGGCTGCCAGCAGTGACTCAGGGGCCAGAGTTAGCTGTAGCCAGACTCACTACAAAATGAAAATGTGGGATCTCTTGCATAAAAAGCAAGAAAAAAAGTGTGCCATTTAAGGCATTCAAATAAAATTTTATCCTCTTTTCTGTGGTCTCTCAACTTGTCATGGTGTTTTTATTTGCTATTTAATGTCTTTCTAAGTAAAGGATAAAATTAAAAATTTAACTTATTTGCCTGAATTTTACTGTTCATCATGCCAATTTATCAAGGAGCATTTAACTTAAATGTAGTATCACTGAAATTAGACAATTTGTTTTTCATAGTCCATACATGCATATGTATTTTATTCTTGCCAGAATAGTGGAAGCATTGCACAAACTAACTCAGTTGTTTTTAATTTTACTTTTTGACACTTGCACATTCTAGTATTACCCTTATCTTATTGATAAGCAAGTAAGGGCTGAAAGGAAAAGAAACTATGAGTTGCCCTATCTTTCCCTTTTTTTCTGTCATCATTTTCAGCATAAGTGGGTGGCTAATACAGGGAAGTAACACAAGTGAGAAAAGACTTGATGGATTACTTGGTCTTTTGTGGTTCTTAGAATGGCATTGCTTTGCATTAGAAGCAAGTTCTGTACTCACTTTGAGTCTCACTGAACTTCCTCACGTTGCAAGCCCATGAGAATTCCCTGCAACATGTCCAGGAGGGCACCATGACTACTCTATGCAAATGAGGAGGCCAGCAACTGCACACATTGTATTTCCTCTGTTCAAGCCTATGCTGCACTGCCCCCTTGGACTTAATTTACAAAACACGAGTTCAAAGATAAATTATTATGAACTTTAAAACAGTGACAAGAGTGACTCAGGCTCTTCTGAGTGAGAGGCCCTATGACTACACAGGTCATATGTCCATCAACATGCTCTCTTTAATCACCAAAGGCAAGACTGTCCTGCTGGATGGGAGAGCAATGTCCAGGGGTGACAACTCTACAGAGGGAGAAGTAAGATGATTAGAAAAAAAAAAGACTCATTCAGGAAGAACTGGACAATGATACACACAAAAAATATCATTCTAGTTTACTCCCAGCCTGATCAAATTAAGATGGTCAAGTTGGTCAATACTTTGCCAGAGCATTCAAAATGCTTTATAGTCCTTTAAAAATTACAGTTTGTTGTCAATGCAATCTCCAGCCAGTATATATTTAACTATGTCTGTCAAGCACAGGAAAACGTTCAAATGTATTATCATCAGTGACAACAATTCTCATCAATCCTTGGAATGACAGTTACACTGTGCTAAAATGCCAAATATGTATGTGAAACCCTCACCTATTTATAAAGGGTATCTCTTAAGTTCCTAAATATCCCAAACTAGAAAAAACAGAAATGATTTAACATGAATATCCCATGAAATATTTTCTCTGTATAGCTTCACACCATAAGTTTATTGCCTTTTCAATTTTCACTAAAAATCTATTCCTCATTCATTGGGTATTGTTGCACAAATAAAGTTTGTTTTTTTATTTTTACTTTTTAACATTTATTTTAAGTTCAGGGGTACATGTGAAGGTTTGTTATATAGGTAAACTTGTGTCGTGGAGGTTTGTTGTACAGATTATTTCATCACCCAGGTATTAAGCCTAGTACCCATTAGTTATTTTTCCTGATCCTCTCCCTCTTCCCACCCTCTACCCTCAAGTAGGCCCTAAGTGTATGTTGTTCCCCTCTATGTGTCCATGTGTTTTCATCATTTAACTCCCACTTAAAAAAAAAAAAATTCTGGAGTACAGGATGTGCAGGTTTGTTACATAGGTAAATGTGTGCCATGGTGGTTTGCTGCACCTATCGACCCATCACCTAGGTATTAAGCCCAGTATGCATTAGCTGTTTTTCCTAATGCTCTCCCCTCTCTTTGCCCTCCCCCGATAGGTCTTAGTGTGTGTTGTTCCCCTCCCTGTGTCCATGTGTTCTCATTGCTCAGCTCCCACTTATAAGTGAGAACATGCAGCGTTTGGTTTTCTGTTCCTGCATTAGTTTGCTGAGGATAATGGCTTCCAGTTTCATCCATGTCCCTGCAAAGGAAATGATCTTATTCCTTTTTATTGCTGCATAGTATTCCATGGTGTATATGTACCACATTTTCTTTATCGAGTCTATCATTGATGGGCATTTGGGTTGATTCCATGTCTTTGCTATTGTGAATACTGCTGCAATGAACATATGTGTGCATGTATCTTTATAATAGAATGATTTATATTCCTTTGGGCATATGCCCAGTAATGGGATTTGCTGGGTCAAATGGTTCTAAATCTTTGAGAAATTGCCACACTGTCTTCCAGAACAGTTGAACTAAATTACATTCCCACCAACAGTGTGAAAGCGTTCCTATTTCTCTGCAAACTCACCAGCATCTGTTGGTTCTTGACTTTTTAATAATCGCCATTCTGACTGGCGTGAGAGATGATATCTCATAGTGGTTTTGATTTGCATTTCTCTAATACACTGATGTTGAGCTTGTTTTCATATGTCTTTTGGCCACATGTATGTATTTTTTTGAGAAGTGTCTGTTCATGTCCTTTGTCCACTTTTTAATGGGGTTTTTTTCTTGTAACTCTGCTTAAGTTCCTTGTAGATTCTAGATATTAGACCTTTGTCAGATGGATAGATTGCAAAGGTTTTCTCCAATTCTGTAGGTTGTCTGTTCACTCTGGTGATAGTTTCTTTTGCTGTGCAGAAGCTGTTTAGTTTAATTAGATCCCATTTGTCAATTTTTGCTTTTGTTGCAATTGCTCTTGGTGATTTCATCATAAAATCATTGCCCATGCCTATGTCCTGGGTGATATTGCCTAAATTTTCTTCTAGGGTTTTAATAGTTTTGGGTTTTGCATTTAAGTCTTCAATCCATCTTAAGTTAATTTCTGTGTATGTTATAAGGAAGGGGTCCAGTTGCAATTTTCTGCATATGGCTAGCCAGTTCTTCCAGCACCATTTCTTAAATAGGGAATCATTTCCCCATTGCTTGTTTTTGTCAGGTTTGTTGAAGATTAGATGGTTGTAGATGTGCGGTTTTATTTCTGAGTTCTCAATTCTGTTCCATTGGTCTATGAGCCTGTTTTTGTACCAGTACTATGCTGTTTTGGTTACTCTAGCCTTGTAGTATAGTTTGAAGTTGGGTAGCATGATGCTTCCAGCTTTGCTATTTTTGCTTAGGATTGTCCTTGCTATATGCACTCATTTTTGGTTCCATATGAATTTTAAAATAGTTTTTTCTAATTCTGTGAACAATGTCAATGGCAGTTTTATGGGACTACCATTGAATCTATAAGTTGCTTTGGGAATGAATTACTTTTATTGATTTGCATATGTTGAACCAGTCTTGCATCCTGTGGATGAAGCCAACTTGATCATGGTGGATAACCTTTTCGATGTGCTGCTGGATTCCACTTGCCAGTATTTTATTGAGGATTTTTGCATCGATGTTCATCGGGGATATTGGCCTGAAGTTTTCTTTTTTTGTTGTATCTCTGCCAGGTTTTGGTATCAGGATGATGCTGGTCTCATAAAATGAGTTAGGGGGGAGTCCCTCTTTTTCAATTATTTGGAATAGTTTCAGAAGAAACGGTACCAGCCCCTCTTTGTACCTCTGGTAGAATTCAACTGTAAATCCAACAGGTCCTGGGCTTTTTTTGTTGTTGTTTGGTAGGCTACTGATTACTGCCTCAATTTCAGAACTCGTTATTGATCTATTCAGAGATTCACCTTCTTCCTGGTTCAGTCTTGGGAGGGTGTATGTGTTCAGGAATTCATCCAATTCTTCTAGATTTTTCAGTTTATTTATATAGAAGTGTTTATAGTATTCTTTGGTGGTGGTTTATATTTCTGTGGAGTCAGTGATGGTACCCCCCTCATCATTTTTGATTGTGTTTATTTGAGTCTTGTCTCTTTTTTTCTTTATTAGTTTAGCTAGTGGTCTATTTTACTGATTTTTTTTTTTTTTTTTTTTTTTTTTTTTTTTTTTTTCCAAAAAATCAGCTCCTGGATTCATTCATTGATTTTTTTGGAGGGTTTTTTTTATGTCTCTACCTTCTTCATTTCCACTCTGAGCTTCGTTATTTCTTGTCTCCTGCTAGCTCTGGGGTTTGTTTGCTTTTGGTTCTCTAGTTCTTTTAGTTGTGATGTTAGGGTGCTGATTTGAGATCTCTATAGCTTTTCAATATGAGCATTTAGTGCTATAAATTTCCCCTCTTAACACTGCTTTAGCTGCATCCCAGAAATTCTGGTACATTGTCTCTTTGTTCTCATTAGTTTCAAAGAACTTCTTTATTTCTGCCTTAGTTTCATTATTTACCCAGAAGTCACTCAGGAGCAGATTGTTCAATTTCCATGTAGCTGTGTGGTTTTGAGTGGGTTCCTTAATCTTGAGTTCTAATTTGATTGCACTGTGGTCTGAGAGACTGTTATGATTTCAGTTCTTTTGCATTTGCTGAGGAGTGTTTTACTTCCAATTATGTGATCAAATTTTAGAGTAAGTGCCATGTGGCTCTGAGAAAAATATGTGTATTCTGTTGTTTTTGAGTGGAGAGTTCTGTAGATGTCTATCAAGTCCACTTGGTCCAGAGCTGAGTTTGGGTCCTGAATAGCATTGTTAATTTTCTGTCTCAATGATCTGTCTAATACTGATGGTGGGGTATTAAAGTCTGTCATTATTATTTTGTGGGGGTCTAAGTCCCTTTGTAGGTCTTTAAGAACTTTTTTTTATGAATCTGGGTTGTCCTGTATTCAGTGCATATATATTTAGGAGAGTTGGCTCTTCATGTTGAATTGAACCTTTAACCACTATGTAATGCCATTCTTTGTCTTTTTTTTTTTTTTATCTTTGCTGGTTTAATGTCTATTTTGTCAGAAACTAGGATTGCAACCCATGCTTTTTTCTTCTTTCCATTTGATTGGTAAATTTGCCTCCATCACTTTATTTTGAGCCTATGGGTGTCTTTGCACATGAGATGTGTCTCTTCGATATGGCCCACCAGTGGCTCTTGTCGTTTTATCCAGCTTGCCATTCTGTGTCTTAATTGGGGCATGTAGCCCATTTACATTTAAGGTTATTATTCTTATGAGTGAATTTGATCCTGTCATCATAATGCTGGCTGGTTAACTTTGCAGACTTGTTAATGTAGTTTCTTTACAGTGTCATTGATCTGTGTACTTCAGTGTGTTTTTGTAATGGCTGGTAATGGTTTTTCCTTTCCATGTTTAGTGCTTCCTTCAGGAACTCTTGCAAGGTGGCCTGGTCATGACAGAATCCCTCAGCATTTGCTTGTCTGAAAAGGATTTTATTTCTACTTCGTTTATGAAGCTTAGTTTGGCCAGATATGAAATTCTGGGTTGGAAATTCCTTTCTTTAAGAATGTTGAATATTGGCACCCAATTTCTTCTGGCTTGTAGGGCTTCCACTGAGAGGTTCACTGTTAGTCTAATGGGCTTCCCTTTGCAGGTGACATGGCCTTTCTCTCTGGATGCCTTTAACATTTATCCCTTCATTTCAACCTTGGAGAATATGATGAGTATGTGTGTTGCATTGATCTTCTCATGAAGTATCTTATTGGGGTTCTCTGGATTTCCTGAATCTGAATGTTGGCCTGTCTTGCTAGGTTGGGGAAGTTCTCTCGGATGATATCCTGAAGTGTATTTTCTAATTTGGTTCCATTCTCCCCTTCTCTTTCAGGTACTCCAATGAGTCATAGCTTCAGTCTTTTTACATAATCCCATAGTTCTTGGAGGTTTTTGTTCATTCTTTTTCATTCTCTTTTCTCTGATCTTGTCTGCCTGCCTTATTTCAGCAAGATAGTCTTCAAGCTCTGATATTCTTTCTTCTGCTTGGTCAATTCAGCTATTGATATTTGTGTTTGCATCATGAAGTTCTCGGGCTGTGTTTTTCAGCTCCATCAGGTCATTTATCTTTCTCTCTAAACTGGTTATTCTAGTTAACAGCTCCTGTAATCTTTTGTCATGGTTCTTAGCTTCTTTGCATTGGGATAGAACATAATCCTTTAGCTCAGTCAAGTTCATTAGTACCCACTTTCTGAAGCCTACTTCTGTCAGTTCATCCTTCTCAGCTTCAGCCCAGTTCTGTGCTCTTGCTGGGAGATATTGCAATCATTTGTAGGAGCAGAGGCATTCTGGTTTTTGGAATTTTCAGTGTTGTTGCATTGGTTTTTCCTCATCTTCATGGATTTATCTACCTTTGACCTTTGAGGCTGTTGACCTTTGGATGGGGTTTTTGGGTGGTCTTTTTTGTTGATGATGTTGTTGTCGCTTTCTTTTTGTTTGTTTTTCTTCTAACCATCAGGCCTCTCTTTTGCAGGTCTGCTGTAGTTTTCTGGGGTCCACTCCAGACCCTGTTTGCCTGCGTATCATCAGTGGAGGCTGCAGAACAGCAAAGATTGCTGCCTGCTCCTTCCTCTGGAGGCTTCGTCCCAAAGGGGCACCAACCTAATGCCAGTTGGAACTCTCCTATATGAGGTGTCTGATAACCCCTGTTGGGAGGTTTCACCCAGTCAGGAGGCACAGGATCAAGGACCCCCTTAAGGCAGTAGTCTGGCTGCCCCTTAGCAGAGCTGGTGCACTGTGCTTAGGGAATCCCCCTTTTCCAGTCTGCCTGGACTCTTCAGAGCCAGCAGTCAGGAAAGATTAAGTCCACTGAACCTGAGACCACGGCCACCCCCGCCCCCAGGTTCTCTGTCCCAGGGAGATGAGAGTTCTGTCTGTAAACCCCTGGCTGGAGTTGCTGGAATTCCTGCAGGGATGCCCTGCACAGTGAAGAGGGATGGATCCCGGTCCCAACTAGAGAAGCAGTCTGGCCACAATCTGCCACAGCTGCTGTGCTGCACTGTGGAGAATACCACCCAGTCCAAACTGCCCAGCCTCCCTAGCACTGGCAGGGAAAAACCACCGACTAGAGCTGCAGTAATGCTGGTTGCCCCTCCCCTCAGGGACCTGGTCATTTTAGGCAGACTCCACGGTGCTGTGCTGGCCAGCGGGGATTCCAAGCCCGTGAGTCTTAGCTTGCAGGGAACCATGGGAGTGTGACCTACTGAGCAAGGCTGCTTGGCTGCCTGACTTCAGCCCCCTTTCCACAGAAGTAGATGGGTCTCCTGCCTCTCTGGAGTTTCAGGAGCCATCGGATTATGCTCAGTGTCTGCCCAACCTGGATTCGCCTACTGGAGCAGCTGCCACGGGTCTGCCCAGTTTTGTGCTTGGGACCCAAGGCCCTGGTGGTGTAGGCTCACAAAGGAACCCTCTGATCCACAGGTTGCAAAAATTCACGGAAAAAGTGTAGTGCCCCAGGTGGG
This sequence comes from Homo sapiens, assembly GCF_000001405.40. Classification (NCBI taxonomy): domain Eukaryota; kingdom Metazoa; phylum Chordata; class Mammalia; order Primates; family Hominidae; genus Homo; species Homo sapiens. The sequence goes on from NC_000003.12 coordinate 182,315,890, forward strand.
TAGCATAATCCCTTACTGCCTCCCTTGGCTGGGGGAGGGAGGTCCCTTTACCCCATCCAGCTCTCAGATGAACCATCACCCCACTCTGTTTTTCCTCACTCTCCATGGGTTGCACAAACCACCTAGTCAGTCCCAATGAAAGAATCAGTTGGAAATGCAGAAATCACTCACCTTTTGCATTTCTCTCAATGGGAACTGCAAACGGACACTGTTTCTACTTGGTCATCAGCCCCACTTCTAAGTGAGAGTATATGGTATTTGGTGTTCTGTTTCTGCATGAGTTTGCTAAAGATAATGGCCTCCAGCTCCATCCATGTTCCTGCAACGGGCATGATCTCATTCTTTTTGTGGCTGCATAGTATTCCATGGTGTTTATGTACCACATTTTCTTTATCCAGTCTAGCATTAATGAGCATTTAGGTTGATTTCATGTCTTTGCAATTGTGAATACTGACACAATGAACATATGTGTGCATGTGTCTTTATAACAGAATGATTTTTATTTCATTGGGTATATACTCAGTAATGGGATTGCTGGATCTAATGCTATTTCTGTTTCACATTCTTTGAGGAATCGTGACAAGGTCCTCTACAATAGCTGAATTTATTTACATTCCCTCCAACAGTGTATAAGCATTCCTTTTTGTCTGCAACCTAGCCAGCATCTGTTATTTTTTGACTTCTTAATAATAGCCATTCTGATTGGCATGAGATAATATCTCATTGCAGGTTTGATTTTCATATCTCTAGTGATCAGTGACATTGAGCTTTTTTTCATGTACTTGTTGGCTTCATTTGTGTCTTCTTTTGAGAAGTGTCTGTTCATATCCTTTGCCCACTTTTCAATGGGGTTGTTTGGTTTTCTTCTTGTAAATTTGTTTAAATTCCTTCTAGATCCTGAATATTAGACCTTTGTCAGATGCATAGTTTGCAAAAATTTTCTCCCACTCTGTAGGTTGTCTATTCACTCTATTGATAGTTTTCTTTGCTGAGCAGAAGCTGTTAAATTTAATTAGATTTCATTTGTCAATTTTTGCTTTTGTTGCAATTGCTTTTTGGGTCTTCATCATGAAATCTTTGCCTGTTCCTATGTCTAGAATGGTATTGCCTAGGTTGTCTTCAAGGGTTTTTATAGTTTTGGGTTTTAGATTTCAGTCTTTAATCCATCTTGAGTTAATTTTTGTGCATGGTAGAAGGAAGAGGTCCAGATTTAATATTCTGCATATAGCTAGTTAGTTATCCCAGCACCATTTATTAAATAGGGAATCCTTCTCCCATTGCTTGTTTTTGTCAGGTGTGTCGAAGATCAGATAGCTGTAGGTGTGCAGTCTTATTTCTGGGTTCTCTATTCTGTTCCATTGGTTTATGTGCCTGTTTTTGTACCAATACCATGCTGTTTTGGTTACTGTAACTTTGTAGTATAGTTTGAAGTCAGGTAGTATGATGCCTCCAGCTTTGTTCTTTTTGTTTAGGGTTGCCTTGGCTATTTGAGCTCTTTTATGGTTCCATATGAATTTTTAGAAAGTTTTCTGTAGTTCTTTAAAGAATATCAATTGTACTTTAATAGGAATAGCATTGAATCTATAAATCGCTTTGGGCAGTATGGCCATTTTAATGATATTGATTCTTCCTATCCATGAGCATGAAATGTTTTTCCATTTGTTAGTGTCACCTCTGATTTCTTTGAGCAGTGGTTTGTAGTTCTCATTGTAGAGATCTTTCACCTCCATGGTTAGCTGTATTTCTAGGTATTTTATTCTTCTTGTGGCATTTTCCTAGGTATTTCATTCTTCTTGTGGCATTTGTCAATGGGATTGCATTCTGATTTGGCTCTCTGCTTGTTTGTTATTGGTGTATAGCAATGCTTGTGATTTCTGCACATTGATTTTGTATCCTGAGACTTTGCTGAAGTTGTTTATCAGCTTAAGGAGCTTGCAGGCTGAGTTTATGAGGTTTTCTATATATAGAATCATGTTGTGTGCAAATAGACATAGTTTGACTTCCTCTCTTCCTATTTGGATGCCCTTAAATTCTTTCTCTTGCCTGATGGCCTTGGCCATGACTTCCAGTACTATGTTGAATGGGAGTGGTGAGAGAAGGAATCCTTGTCTTGTGCCTGTTTTCAAGGGGAATGCTTCCAGCTTTTGCCCATTCAATATCATATTGGCTGTGGGTTTTTCATAGATGGATCTTATTATTTTGAGGTATGATCCTTCAATACCTAATTTATTGAGAGTTTTTAATGTGAAGAAGTGTTGAATTGTATTGAAAGCCTTTTCTGCATCTCTTGAGATAATCATGTGGTTTTTGTCTTTAGTTCTGTTTATGTGATTAATCATATTTATTGATTTGTGTATGTTGAACCAACCTTACATCCCAGGGATAAAACCCACTTGATTGTGGTGGATAAGCTTTTCAAAGTGCTGCTGGATTTAATTTACCAGTATTTTGTTGAGGATTATTTACATTGATGCTCATCAAAAATATTGGCCTGTTTTCTTTTTGTGTGTCTCTGCCAGGTTTTGGTATCAGGTTGATACGGCCATCATAGAATGAGTTAGGGAGAAGTCCCTCCTCCTCAATTTTTTGGCATAGTTTCTATAAAAATGGTACCAGCTCTTCTTTGTACATCTGGTAGAATTTAGTTATGAATCCATCTAGTCCTGGGCTTCTGGGATTTTCTTGGTTGGTAGGCTATTTATTACTGCCTTGATTTCAGAACTTGTTATTAGTCTGTTCAGGGATTTTTTTCTTCCTGGTTCAGTCTTGGGAGGGTGTATGTGTCCAGGACTTTATTCATTTATTCTGTAATTTCTAGTTTATGTGCACAGAGGTGTTCATACTATTCTCTAATGGCTGTTTATATCTCTGTGGGGTCAGTGGTAATATCCCCTTTGTCATTTCTGATTGTATTTATTTGAATCTTCTCTTTTTTCTTGTTTATCAGTCTATCTAGTGGTCTTATTAATTTTTTTCAAAAAAAAACACCTCCTGGATTCATTGATATTTTGAACGGTTTTTTGATGTCTCTATCTCCTTCAGTTCAGCTCTGATTTTGGTTATTTCTTGTCTTCTGCTAGTTTTGGGATATGTTTGCTCTTGTTTTTTAGTTTTGTTAGTTATGACATTAGGTTGTTAATTTGAGATCTTTCTAACTTTTTTATGTGGGCATTTAGTACTATGAATTTCCCTCTTAACACTACCTTAGCTGTGTCCCAGAGATTCTGGTATCTTGTATCTTTGTTTTCATTAGTTTCAAAAAACTTTTTTATTTCTGCCTAATTTCATTATATACCCCAAATTCATTCAGAAGCTGGTTATTCAATTTCCATGTAATTGTATGGTTTTAAGTGAATTTCTTATTCTCGATTTCTAATTTGATTGTGCTCTGGTCCAAGAGATTTTTTGTTATGATTTCAGTTATTTTACATTTGCCGAGGAATGTTTTACTTCCAATTATGTGATCGAATTTTACAGTATGTGACATGTGGTGATGAGAAGAATTTATATTCTGTTGTTTTTGGATGGAGAGTTCTGTAGATATCTACAGGTCCCTTTGATCCAGTGCTATGTTCAGATCCTGAATAGGTTAATTTTCTGTCTTGATAATCTGTCTAATATTGTCAGTGGGGTGTTCAATTCTCCCACTATTATTGTGTGGGAGTCAAAGTCTCTTTGAAGTTCTCTAAGAACATTTTTATGAATCTGGGTGCTCCTGTGTTGGGTGCATATATATTTAGTATAGTTAGGTCTTCTAGTTGAATTGAACCCTTCACCGTTATATAATGTCTTTCTTTATCTTTTTTGATCTTTGTTGCTTTGAAGTGTTTTGTCTGAAATTAGGATTACAACCCTTGCTTTTTTTCTGTATTCCATTTGCTTGGTAGATTCTCCTGCGTTCTGTTATTTTGAGCCTATGTGTGTCATTATGTGTGAGATGGGTCTCTTGAAGACAGCATACCATTGGGCCTTGCTTTTTTATCCAGCTTGTCACTCTGTGTCTTTTAAATGGGGCATTTAGCCCATTTACGTTCAAGGTGAATATTGATATGAGTGTATTTGATCCTGTCACTGTGTTGTTAGCTGGTTATTATGTTGGTTTGTTTGTGTGTTTGCTTTATAGCGACACTGGTCCTGTGTGTTTAAATGTGTTTTTGTAGTAGCTGGTAGTGGTCCTTTTTTTTTCTATCTTTAGTGCTCCTTTCAAGATCTCTTGTAAGGCACGTCTGGTGGTAACAAACTCCCTCAACATTTGCTTATCTGAAAAGCATCTTATTTGTTCTTCACTTAGGAAGCTAAGTTTGGCTGGATATGAAATTCTTGGTTGAAAGTTTATTTCTTTAAGACTATTGAGTATAGGCCCCTAATCTCTTCTGGCTTATAGAGTTCCAGCTGAGAGGTCATTTATTACTTAATTGAGCAATTATTTTCCTAGTGCTGTGATAGGTACAAGGCATGCAACAATGAAGAAGATAGTTGTGGCATCCACTTTAAGGAGCTGTGGGGTTGATGGGGAGGATAAACAATAATGTCTTGCTGGCAGAAGTACTTATTCATGTGTCTGTGCATGTGTGAGTGTGCATGTATGTTAGCATGTGCATCAGGTAGTTGAGGAATGGAAAGAAAAATTGAGGGGGTGTAAGGGGTGTCAGTGAAGGCCGCCAAGGAAGGCCTGGAGGAAAGGAAGAGAGGCACAAAGAGGAAGTAGGGAATGGAGAGTTGGATATTTTTTATCATCAAGTTAATAGTGTATATGAAAACCCAAAGTTGGGAGCAAGAGGTGAGGCAAGACATATTGGAGTAGCCAAAAGAAGCCCAGGCTGAAGTGGTAGGCAGAAGGTCTTAGGTACTACACTAAGAATGTTGGATTTCCCCAGAGTGGGAACTCAGAAAGGCATATCAGAGGAGGTATTGCTATTGATACAACAGGTCTTGCAAAATGATGACAAAACCAATGTATTGTAATTCAACATAATGAATTAGACCCAAGATCACAAAGCCAGGAATCTGTCTTAGGAAGAGCTTCCATGGCCTCTGCCTCTTGGCACCTTGGTTTCTCCAACCAAAATGGAGCAGGTATCAACTAGTTCCTTCTTGAGAGAGCACTTTGCTTGCCACACATAAGTTTTCATTGCCTGAGATCCATAAAGCAGCTTATACCAAAAGAAAAAAAATAATCATATTATATTGCTAACATATTACGAGAGATTATAAGCTCCAAGTGTAAACACCAATTATGCTCAGTTAATATTCCCTAATAATATACATTAAAATTAGCTGAATAAAGGCCAAACACTGAGCCACAATTCTTAAGATCTTATCTCTTAGTTGAAGAGCTGAATTGGGGGGGAGATCTGTATCTGGCATAGAAGATTCATTGTAGCATAAAGTACATTGCCTTCTAGCTCCTTGAGGTGTAATGCCCTCTTTCATATGATTTCCTGAGTTCTTTCAGTATATAGTCTTTTAAAGTATACCTGTTATTCATTTGTCATTCTCAACCAGGTTCTGACAAATGCTAATGGAAGAAAGGTGCCCATCTTTCTTCCAGTTATAACTTCCATGTTGTCTCAGTTATAACCACTAGGTTATAACACACAGCTCTTTCTGTTATAACATGGTCAATATCCTCCTGTTTAGCACCGAATTAGTCTCTAAATGCTGTTTCCGTTGCTTTTGGCTTTTTAACCACACATCATAACTCATAACTGCTATAGGCTTGGATGTTTCACTTTGCCCAGAATGATACTCATGGATTAATTTCAAGAGCCCCCATGCCTAAATCACCACAGCTCCATCTTAAGAGTAGTCTGCTTACTGCTGCTTCCTGGTCACATGATCATGAAAGGCAAGCAAAACTGGAGTGGGTTAGATATTTCCAAGTCCAACTGAAATTGTGAAAAATAAAGTGCTATAGTGACCACAACTGTGAATTGGCAGAAATCATTTCCAACAACAAACTGGTATAGGTTTTTACCTTCTAGGAAGGATTGTATCCATCATAGACGTTAAATTTCATAGATGAAAAAGAATTTGGTAAATGAATCAATCCCTTTGCTACATCTCCAACAAATTAATTGACCAGTTAACAATAGATTCTGATATAAAACTTTGAACCGAGTGAATTTTTTTTTTTTTTTTTTGAGTTGGAGTCTCGCTTTGTGGCCCAGGCTGGAGTTCAGTGGCACAATCTCAGCTCACTGCAACCTCTGCCTCCCAGGTTCATGCCATTCTCCTACCTCAGCCTCCAGAGTAGCTGGGACTACAGGCACCCGCCACCATGCCCAGCTAATTTTTTGTATTTTTAGTAGAGACGGGGTTTCACCATATTAGCCAAGATGGTCTCGATCTCCTGACCTCGTGATCCACCCGCCTCAGCCTCCCAAAGTGCTGGGATTACAGGCGTGGGCCACCACGCCCTGCCCGAACCAAGTGAATTCTATCCTTCACACCAGATGATAAGCTGAGTCAGCATTTTGCTAAATCAGGATAAAAAATTGTATTTAATTATTGTCTTTCTGATGATCAGTTTGAAAAAGACCATTCAAGCCTTTGCTAATTATTCTTCCTTGGTATAGGCCTTGGTTTTTATTTATAACAGAATCAGAAGAAAAGTTTGCCCACTTCGTTACCTACCATGATTTCCACTGAAATCTTTTGCAAAGTATGTGTTTTCATAACTCTAGTTTCAGGAGGTGCTCTCTAAAAAAGTTCAATGAGAAAGAAGTTTCACGGTCAGAGATTTTAGGGACAGATTACAAATTATGTCACTTCTTGCACATTTACAATAGACATTAGCATAGTAAAGCCACTGAGAAGTCCTACAGTGAAAAAACCTATGTAATTTTATTTCACTAAGACTCCCTAAACTATCTGACCACAAAAGCCTGTTTTCAAATAACACCTATTAACATCCTGTGGAACAGTGGTCCATTGAACGTCCTCAGAAAGGATGCATTAGAGAGCCAGGAGACATCCAACAAGGCCAAGATATTTTCTAACCCTCAACTTTACTAAATAACTGGCCAATTTAATTGCATTTATTCAATTACCTAAATATTAATCATTTTAAAAGTATACATTTTAACATCAACTATCTTACTGTAAAATTCTAGTCATTTAATACAAGCACCATATCAACACAGTGTCTGCCCTTTAGGAACTGCTAGTATTTTTGGAAAGAAAAAGATGCATTTCCTTAAAGGGAAGTTGCACAGAAAGGCCACATGTGATTATGTAAAAATTAGTGGGGCAGAATTAAGCACTATGAAAGTTGAAAGGAGGAGGGCAATTGAATCCACATTATCCACTTTTAGAGACAATGGCAAAACCCATACACACCCTTTGTTCCCTTCTGCCTGTCATTTTTTCTTCCTTTCCCAGAGACACTCAGAATGCAAAATGTGTTATTTGTTCTGTGCCCACAGCTTTGGCAGGTTGGGATCCCTACATTGTTAAGCCTAAAGGCATTCAATATTAGAATTTATTGTCAGGAAGTCATAGATCTTAGGTCAGGGTTAGAAGAAAACTCTTACCCTCATCTAAGCCACCACATCCCTTGTCCTGGCCCCCAGTGGTATCCTTGCTGCCACCCTGGCCCCCTTATACATGGTTCCCCAGGCAGCAGCCAGAGTGATTCTTTTCAAGTGTAAATTGGACCCGGTCTTTTTTTCCAGTGGCTTCCCATCACAATTAAAATAAAACCTAAATTCTCACCACAGGCTACAAAACCCTGCAGTGATCTAGCCCCTGGCTACCTCTCTCATCTACCTCCTACCACACACCTCCCTCACAGAACTCCAAACCCACTGGGCATCTCCTGCTTCTCCTTTGAAGGCCTGCACACTTGCTGCCCTCTTCCCCACTGTGGCATTTCTCCTCGCTTCATCAGGTCTCGGCCCAAATGTTGTCTCCTCAGAAAAGCCATCCCTGGACCCCTTACCTTAAATAGCGCCCTTATTCCACACCTCACTTCCACTTAATCCTCCATTCTCCCTCATCCTCTTCATTTTTCTGCAACTGGCTTATTGCTTTTTAAAAATATTTATGTATTTACTTGTTGACCTTCTTGAGGGAGGGGACATAATTCTGTTTCATTCAATGTTGCAGTTCACAGTGTCTGGTACACATGAGGCATTCCATAAATATTTGTTGAATGAGTTAGTCAATCAATGAATGATTGAATGAATAAATTTATAGTAGAATAAACATGCACAGCAAAGCAGGATATACGCCAAAAATTATCTGAATAAATTAGGAAGTACATACCTTCTCATAAAAATCCAGCAGGTGAGTAACTCTTATGGTGGCACAGGAATTCCAAGAACTTCCTCTGAAGAAAGTCACTTCTAGCTGGGTGGCTTTGCATAATTCACTTAGCTTTTTTGTGTCTCCAGTTCTCTTAACTGCAAAAGGAGGACAATAATAACTACCTTGCAGGATTATTGTGACAATTAAAAAAGATAATGTGTATGAAGTTCATAGGCCAGCTGTCTTCCACAGTGGATGGTCATTATTATCAATTCGCCAAAGCTTCTTTTATAGAATTTCCTTAAATAGAAAGGTGCCTTTCATAAGTTCAAAGTGAAGGCCATTTGGCCTGCTAATACATGAGAAAAATAATTAGTTATTCATGAAATGTATGGTAAGTATGAAGCAAATAAGTTTTTTAGATTATTGTTTTGAACTACCTAGACCACAAAGCCCCTCAGCATTCTGAGGATAGGGACATGTGATACATCACCTATGCACTAATGTTTTTTACTTTCAGGGGACCTCTTAGCTTATCAGGAGAAAGCTACATGAAGAGTTTAAACAAGAAAACCCTTTGGTTTTGAAGTAATTTAAGAACTACAAAGAAGATGTGAAAACAGTATGGATTCCATATAACCATCACCCAGCTTCCACCAATGATATTGTGCACAACCATAGTAGAAAGTCGAAACCAGAAAATTAACACTGGTCCGATTCTATTAACTTAGATACAAAACTTATTTGAATGTTTATGGAGGATCTTTTCTAATCTTGAAGTTGGGAGCTAATTGGGATCATATCTTGGTTCCATTAATCAGGCAAATGAGACAAACTTACAGATTAGTATATAAAGCTCTAATTTATATAATTATTTTCCTTTTCAAATAATTTTAGAATTTAAGAAGCTGTTAGTTTCTACCTACCTAGAAGTCTGGTCTACGCATTCTGAAAAAGCAAAACACAAAGCCCTTCACAGTTCTAAAGAAATGCAGATATGAGAATCCCTGATTTTAACCTCTAAGCTCAAGGCCCATATTTCCCTGAGAAATGAATTCCTCCTTTTCCTGTTAGTTCTGGATATTGCTGTGCATTAGTGTTGAAAGGGAAATAAAGCTGAGGCAGGCCCGAAATTCAGCAAGCACTTAGACTCCAGCTAGAGGAGGACTACGACAGAGAGGAGCCATCCACATGCCTAGGGAGGGCCTGAAGGTCCTGTGAGAGACATCCTTACTTGTGCTCCTTCAGCCTTTGCAAGTGCAGAAGCCACCTGCAGCCGGGCTGGTCACACACAGAAGGGCACATACCACCTGTTCCTCACCCAGGCGGTATTCTCCTTGCCGCAAAGCCTCCCGACTCACCACTTCTTCCAGTTCTGAATGTGACAAATTCGCATCAAGTGAAATTTGTTAATTTGACGTAACAAAAAGATATGCAAAAGCGTTCTTTAAAAAAACATCTAAAAATACTAACACAAAGTCAGCTATAAGTGAGGTACTGTCATTTTTTCTGTTTCATTAACTGAACGCTTCTGTTTTCCTCTTTTGTGTAACCCCACCCTGCAGGGTGGTCCACTTGAACTAATGAAATATGGCTTTAAGTGTATCAGGGTGGAGATGACTCATGCTCCATAATTAGAGTGCCTTGGGACTGAAAAACAGAGCTTTTGGTTTCAGGGCCATCCAGGTTTCACTTTTGATTCTTTATAAGATTTTTCCAAAATGTGAAGATCTTGTTCCAGAGAATAAAAAGATTGATCATGGCAAAATTATATCAGAGTACCTCTCTTTTCCCTTAATTCATGTTGTAATGAAAGAGTATAGACTATGGAGCCAGGAAAGATGAGTTTGAATCCTAGCTCCACAATTTACTGAATGTTTGAATTTGGGCAAATCATACCCTCAGTTTCCTCATCCGTACAATGGGTAATATAGTATAATACTATCTACTGGGTTTGTTTGGTGAATCAGAGAAGGTCATAAATGTGAAAGTCCTTTGCAAATAAAAGAATTTTACAGGTATGTGCCAGGCGCGGTGGCTCATACCTGTAATTCCAGCACTTTGGGAGGCTGAGGCAGGCAGATCATGAGGTCGGGAGATCAAGACCATCCTGGCTAACACGGTGAAACCCCGTCTCTACTAAAAATACAAAAAATTAGCCAGGTGTGGTGGCAGGCACCTGCAGTCACAGCTACTCGGGAGGGAGAATACTACTGAGGGAGAATGGCGTGAACCCGGGAGGCGGAGCTTGCAGTGAGCCGAGATCGCGCCACTGCACTCCAACCTGGACAACAGAGCAAGACTCTGTCTCAAAAAAAAAAAAAAAAAAAGAATTTTACAGATATGTTATCATTGCTATGTCACCTGGAAGAAACATAAAATCAAAAATCCCATTTAAATTCATTAGAACAGTTTGAATGTCATGCTAATGAAATGATTTGATAGATAAGCTTTTCCTTTCCTTCCTTTTTTTTCTCTTTCTTTTTTCTTTTCTTTTCAACTGGGGAATGAAAAGAGTATATAAAGAAGAGGCAGAAGCTATCTTTCTTCATAAAGTTCTTCGTAAAGCAATCTTCATAAAGTTCATAAGATGTGCAGTGTCCTTTTTCTCCTTATGAATATTCTCCACAAAACTGTGCTCTGAGTCTTGCCACTGTGGAAAATCTGGAGGGAAAACCTAAAGCCAGTCTGCAAGAGAGTTTTCATAAGTCTTCATGGTAATGAGAAAAATAACCATAACTTGGTGAGCTAAATTAATTAAATTTACATGACTGTCATTTATCCTGAGATTATGTCCTTCCTACCTTATTTAGTGTAAAAATCCCCTTTCTCTTCTGAAATGATGGTGATAGTGGATGGCAACTGTTTTGTTTGCTTTCAATGTCCTTACTCTGCAAAATAAGAAGTTGGCTACCCTATGTCAGGCCCCAATTATTTTTTGAAATTGGACTGGCCCATGACATGCCAATCTCTGGGAACCCTTGGCTTGGAAGGTTAATTGGAGATGGCAGGAATGGCGGTGGGGAAGCTAGTTCAGCTGCCTGTGTTTTGCTCCCTTCCCCAGAGCCCGCGGGGCCCACTGCCCCACATCCGGGCTGTCTCCAGTCCCTGGCTGTGTATCTGCGTCCCAGCCCCCCTGCTCCTCATCCCTGTCCGCTTCCCTCTCCCAGCCTCTCCGGGCTGGCGTCATCCTTCTAGACACAGCTTCATAAGTTTGCCATGTGCAGTGACCCTGTGTTGACACCGAGCCATGATACAAACTATGGGATTGTAATGAATCTCTAATTACCCACAGTACCTCAGAGAGTCGTCAGCCCTGCTGCTCAGCTATATTCCCCACCAATTTGGTCATCACCAAGCATTCAGACTGCAGCCAAACTCTATGCCTGGAAACTGGAAGCCCCCACAGTCTCAGCCAAATGAGGCTGGCTCTGCAGGCTTCTGGGAATGACAGGATGATTTGCTCCCTTGTTATGAATCAGAGAGGGCGTTTGCACATGAATCATTTAGCTCTGCATGGAGACCCTGTTCTCAACTTTTATTTCTCCTGTAGGTCAGGCTGAGTGGATGCTCAGGAACCCTCCGGTGATTGCCCTTGGGTGAGGTGGGGGCGGGGTAAACATTTTTAATTTCGTGGGATAATTCTGAATCCTACTTCTTAAGCTAAGCCAAAATGGGAGGTGAAAACTTGTCTAGGTTTCATAAAGTGACAAGCAGCAGATTTTTATTTTTCAATAGAAAATGTCATATCTTACCAGTGGGGAAAAATAGCTTCAGAAAAATGACAATAATAATATCCCTCCGCCCCCCCACTACATGCTGGAAATTGCTCTAGAGGCTGTGTATACATTATATCTAATCTTGACTAAGACAAAAACACAATCGACCAACAACAAAGTCATTTTACAGACAAGAAAACTGAGGCTTGGACTGGTTAAGTAACTTGTTCAACTCATATCGCTAGAAAGCAGCAATTTGTCTCATTCCAAGGCACAGGCTTTCTAAGAATATTTAATAGTTGGAACTTAAGAGAGATCACTGGTCTTAAAGGGAAGATGGTCTTTTAATTTACTATCAAATCTCAGTTGAAAAATTACTCCTGGTTTCCAAAATAAGTCATAGAATTTATTTTTTAAAGATTGAGTGAGATAATCAGCATGAAAATATTGACTTGAAAAAAGTTAGTAAAATACTCGAGAAAGTGCTCAACTAAGTCAAGAAACATTTCAATTCAAATATCACTGATACAAACATTAACTATTCTTTTCAATATTCAAATATCCCCTTGCATGAGACAGGTGCTGGGGAAATAAACATGCATAAGACACTCTCCACCTTCAAGGAGCTTAGAGGACATTATTGATGTTGTTCTTATTTCCCACATAATATAGTATTAAAAGTTTTATTTATACAGTGCTATATGTGAAACTTTTTAGAGCAGGTTACTAACTAATATTTCTCCGGTTTTTCAAAACCGGGGCTTACCATAGCATGAACGGTGTCATACTGTTCAGTTTGTGTGAGTTGAGGATGCCTATGGCCACTCGATGTTCAGGTTATACCCAAGCAATGTGAAAAAGTTTTTCAAGGAATAAATGTATGTATTCCAAGGTTGTGTTTTAAAACAGAAATGGATGAGCCATAGGAAGTGGTCATGTGTTTCTGAAGCCAGTCTATTTTCCTAGCATCAGGACATGATTTTAGTCCAGAGGCTCCTTGCAATCCAATTGGTTTCCCGAATTTGCAAGTAATTTGTACTTTCTGTTGTGCAACAAAGCTTTGTGATTAAGACAGTACTACTCTGTTCTTGAGACTTACAGCCTTCTCCTACCACCTAGAACAGATAATAGAAAGTAACTTTACTCATAGGGAGCATTTTTATAATTAAAATTTATAGTTCCTAAATCCAGAGTCTGTCAATCATGCCATCTCTCACCTCATCAATAAACTAATACGAAGTTTTAGCTGGAAGGGAATTTGGAGATTAATGTCTTCATTTCACAGATGAAGAAACTGATGCACAGAGAGGTGAGGAGACTTCAAAGACAAACTGAAAAAATCTGGTATACAGGATGCTAATGGAATATAAAGACGTTCTACCTGGGGTAAGAAGTTCGCATTACTCTATTTTTGAAGGTTTGCTCCCACTGTAGTGTTTCCTATATGTCCCTATCAAGTCGATGGCAGTCTCATTGTCTTTCTAAACAAGAGCCACTTCCCAAGAAGTCTGTCAACATTTTGGAAATATAAGTTCAAGCAACAAGATAATTTAGGATGTGCCTATATGAATTGAATATAACATAGGGTTCCTAAAGCCTTTCAACCATTACAGTTCATAATGCTACAACTTACTGAGCACCTTTCGTATGTCATGTATTATATATAGTGTATCACTCATTTTCACAGGCCAGAATCTATTATGAATCCCATTTTACAAATAAAGAAACAAGTGATGTTCCTACAGTCACACAGATTGTAAGTGTAATCAAGTTTCATCCACTTCTAAAGATCAGGATGCTCCCCTCCCCACCATCTGTGAACCCAAGCCCCAAAATAAGCAGAGGGTGGTAGTCTTGCTCCATTTTCAAAGCACATAAAATTGTTGTATCACGAATTTAAGGCTGGGAGGAAGTTTTACACATAACATCCTTAGCTACGTCTCTCTACCTACAAGGAGTCTCAACCTAAGTCATGGTCCCCTTTGTCTCACTACAGCCACTAAGTCAACAAAAGTATTCCTCTCTGGCTCAAGAAGAATGAAAGACTAGAGTTATGCCTCCAATGTCCACTTCCAGATCAGCCTTAAAGGAGTAAGAAGTAAGCATTGAGTAGAGATCTCTCCAGGCAAAAATGTGTATTTAATAATATTCCCTTGCCTGTTATTATTATGTTTCTGCTTGGTAGTTGAAACCGAACTCCAGAAAATACCTATTAAAATTTACCCATTCAGGCCAGCTGCAGTGGCTCGTGCCTGATAACCCCAGCACTTTGGGAGGCCAAGGTGGGAAGATTGCCTGAGCCCAGGAGTTTGAGACCAGCCTTGGCAACAAAGTAAGACTCTATCTCTACAAAAAATAAAAATTAAAAAAAATTAGACAGGCATGGTGGTGCGTGCTTGTGGATACTGGGAATAACAATAAAAAAAATTGTTACTGTTTCTTTGTGAAAAAAGTCCTAACATATCAAGAATATACAATTTTCAAATACATTTCATTGTGGTAGAGAGAGTTCTTACAGTTATTTTATGTGATTCTCAGATTTCTCACCCTCCGTTATGATGAGATAGAGATAATCTGCCTAATTCTGGCCAATGGATCATATAAGTGAATTAGGCAGATTATCTCAATATCTCAATATCACTTCTTCTCTGAGGTACATTGGAGGCTGAGGTGGCAAGATTGCTTGATGCCAGGAGGTTGAGGCTGCATGTTCATGCCACTGCATTCCAGCCTGGGTGACAGAGCAAGAACCTGTCTCAAAAAAGTAAAATAAAATTTACACATACAGCAAAAAGGCTTAAAGAGGATTGGCTGTTCCATTTTTGTTCTCTTCAGCACCCACTTGGATCTGAAGAAGAGAGATAATGGGCCTTTCTACAATTCTGGTGGAAAACAAAAGAACACAACTACATTGTTAAAGAAGTCAGGTAACTGTCTAGAACAAGGCAGCAAACAGAAACCAGCCAATAGAATAGATGTGGGTGGGGTTTTCCCAGTCATAGAGTTGTGTGTAAAGTATTAGAAGGCTTCTATGGATTTCCCTTGCATAGCTCAGTGCCTTGCACTCTTACTTAAAAAAACTTTTAAATAAGAAATTAAATTGATGTTTTCAGATGAAAGGTAGTGTATCTGTGATTATAAGATTAGTAATGAGCATGCTTGGGAGCTTTTCTAGACAACAGAGTGGTGAGCCTAAGCTTCTGGGCTCTAGAAGCCAAATAGCCTAGGCTTGAATCCCAGTTGCATCACTTCAACTACGTGACCATGGGTATGTTCCTGACCTTTCTGCTGCTGTCTCACCTTCTTCTGTAAAACCGGGATAAAAACAATACCCATTTCATGGAGTTATTGTGGGGATTAAGTGAATTAATATATGTAAAACACTTTGAAAGGTACATGGTACAAGGTACGTGCATGATAAATGTTCATTCTTAGAGCTTTTGTGTTTGTTTTAAACAGGTCTTTAATAAAGCTAGTATATAGTGGAACTTGAACAAGAGGGAAAAAAGACGTTTTGCATTAATTATGTACTTTTAAAGCACTCTACTGCTGCTTCCTATTTCTTGGTGTTCATCTGGGTGTGAACATGGAACTCACTCTGCATAGACAGGAAAACAGTATTGCGTTGTGACTCTCATTAACACCAGTGTTCAGGAGTGGAGTCATCAGCTGGGATCGTCTCAGTGAGATCTCAGGGGAGTCATAAGTCATAGCCCAGTCGTAATATTAAAAGCAATTACTTCTGGCATGTTTCCTGCCATTTGATATTTGCAGACTATTTTGTAATCTTCTGGTTACCCTTTGCCCATCTGCTTGTACCTAGAGAGATGACAAATCTTCCTTCTGCTTAACAAATTCTCCTAAATTGATGGAGTAACTCAGAGTAAGAAATAAGAATGAACCTCAAAAGTTTTTCACTTTTATCCTCAAGTTTAGTCCTGCTGTAAAACTATAATAATTTAATCTTTGAGAGACCAACAGAAATAAGAGAATAATAATAATTATTATTATTGCTAATATGTGTTGAGTGTTTACATATAGTATTCTAAGCATAATACTATGATGCAAATATTCTTATTCCGTCTATGAGAAGGAATGACATGAGAAAACCAAGACATAGAGAGATTAAATATTTTGCTCCATTTGCATGGCTCCTGAGTGGTAGAGAATTCAAACCTAGACAGTCTCACTCTGGGGCCTATGTTCTTCACCACTGTGCCATAATAGAATCCTGCTTGAATCCATGACCCAATGAAGTAATTTCAGACCTTTCTGCACTCTCTCTTTTGAACGAGAAAATAACTGATGAAGTTTGGCTTGAAAACATGTACAAACATGCAACAATGCAGAGCGGGTCACTAGGACGAAGTGCCTATCTGAGAAGCTCTCCACCTATACCTTGGTAAATTTCTTACCATTTTGAGTCTTCCTTAGAAGGTCAGGAACTTGATTTTTCTAAAACACTAAAAAAGATCCCATTTCTCAGGGCTTAGCTCATATTAACTAAGCTTAGAAAGACTGGGAGGCAAATCAAACTGCCAAAATATTAATCTATTCTAACATCAAAAAACATTTATTGAATGCCTTACTATTGGTGATAAAATGGTAATTCTAAGAGTCTCAAAGTCCCTGCCCTCATGAATTTTACATTTCAAATGAGAGGAAAAGGTAATAAAAATATAAATGTCTGTAGATCAATCATACAAAATCAATTACTACTGAAGTGTTATGAAAAAAATAAAGCAGGAAAATAAACAAAGGGTAGAGGGATGCTACTTTAGATTGAGTGGACAGTGAAGGGCTTTTTTTTTTTTTTTTTAGACAGAGTCTCACTCTGTCGCCAAGCTGGAGTGCAGTGGTGTGATCTCGGCTCACTGCAACCTCCGCCTCCCGGGTTTGAGTGATTCTCCTGCCTCAGCCTCCAGAGTAGCTGGGACTATAGGCATGTGCCACCACTCCCAGCTAATTTTTGTATTTTTAGTAGAGACGGGGTTTCACCATGTTGGCCAGAATGGGCTTGATCTCTTGACCTCGTCATCCGCCTGCCTCAGCCTCCCAAAGTGCTGGGATTATAGGCATGAGCCACCGTGCCCGACCAAAGGGCTTTCTAAGGGGATGATCTTTGAATAGAGACCTGGATGAAGTAAGGAAGCTAGCCAAGTGGATGTGAAAACAGTGTTCAGATAGTGGAAAGGGCAGGAACAAAGGCCCTGGGATGGGAATATGCTTGACATGTTTAAGAAACAGATACGAGACGAATATGATTGGCTTTCAATGGGCAAGTGAGGAGGACAGTGGTAAGATGAGGTGGAAGAGGCAGTCAGGGGCCAGAACACAAAGGGCCTTATAAGGTCATAAGGTTATGATAAGGGGTTTTGGATTTTATTCTAATATAACAGAAGTTATTGGAGGGTTTTGAACAGGGCAGTGACATGCTCAGGTTTGCATATTAAAAGGACCACTTAAGCTACAAAACAGAGAATTGACCAAAGGCAGATAGAGTGGCAATAAGAAAGCAACATAGTACAGACTGCAAGGTCAGGTAAGAGATGATGGTATTCTGGAGCAAAACAGATAATAGTAACAGAGGTAAGAAATAGTGTTACTTAAAATGCATTTTAAAGGATAAACTCCAAGTTGGGATTGGTGAATAGAGACGAATATTTGAGGATAACCAACCAAAATTTTAGTTTTGAACATGATGAGTTTAGTAAGCCTATTAGACATCAAAAGGCAGACTTTGAGCAGGCAGTTGGATAGTCTGTAGTCTATATTCTGTAAAGGAGAGTTTGGGACTAAAGGTAACAATTTGGAAGTCATCAGGATACAAGTGGTTTTCAAAGCCATGGAATTGGATTCAGTCCCTCAGAATGGTGAATGCAAATAGAGAAGAGAAGAAGTCCCAAGAATTCAGCCTGAAACAACTCCAATCTAGAAGCAGAAATAAGAAAGAGGGTAAAGCAAAGAAGACTGAGGAAGACAGCCAATGAGATAGGAGAAAAACTGGCAGCACACATTGTCCCCAAAACCAGAAGAAAATGTTTCAAGATAGTAGGAGTGTTAGTTATATTAAAATATTTCTGAGGAGTAGAATATGATAAGGAGTTGAGATTTGACTATTGAATTAGGCAACATGGGGGATATTTATGCCTTTGGGAAAAAGAACTCAGCGGAGTGGTATGAAAGATAGCTTGGCTGGGATGGTAAGGAAGCAGGTTAGGTAAGGGAACAGGTAAGATGAGATAGCATCCAATAGACAATAGCATCCAATCAATTTAGTCAAATCGCATTGGCCTAGATATCTGTTTTTTGAACCATTGTATGTTAATTTTGAGATTTAACTTCCAAGAGCCATTTTGTTTCTGCCACCTCCAGGTTTCTTGAAGGCACCTTGGTATGTCCATGTTGGTGCCAGATGTTAGTAGTGAGGCAGGTTGTATGTATGTAGGAACAAGGATATAGGGAAACTCTCTATACTTTCTGTTCAACTTTGGTGTGAACCTAAGACTGCCACTAAAAAATAATGTGTATTTAAAATTTTGTTTAAAGTATCAACAGAACTAAATATTATTTCTTTGAAAAAATAATAAAATTAATAATTAACCAACAAAGCCAATCAAGACACAGGAGAAAAGGAATGAATAATAACACACATGAATAACATAGGAATGAAATAAATATTACTAGATGAAACTCTAGAGAAGATAAACAGAGCATAGAGAAGATAAAGCAGAGATTATAGAGGTTAAAAATTAAGTTTCAATTAAAAAGATAAAAATAGAAATCCAGATATATGAAAATCATTAGTATTTTCTTAAGTGAAAATTGCAAAAACTTGGGTTGATCTCCCAAATATCTGAAACTTGAGCTTCTAAATAACCATGGGCAAAGTAAAAATTCAAAAAACTTTAGAAAATATTTTGAACTGAATGATAATGAAACAAAAAATATCAAAATTTATCAGATGCAGCTAAAGCGGTGCTTAGAGGAAATTTGTAGCTTATATTAGAAAATAAAAAGATTTTAAAATCTGTGATCTCAGTTTTCAAATTAAGAAACTAGAAAAGGAAAACAAATTAAACTTTAAAAGAAGAAAGGAAATAATACGGATTAGTGTAGAAATAAATAAAACAGAAAACAAAAGCAACAAAGAATACCAACAAAGGCAAAAGTTGACTCTCTGTGAAGATTAATAAAATTGATAAACCTATAGCAAGACTAATCAAGAAAAAGAGAAAGTGAAAAGAGAGCATCAATTTAGATCCTAGAGACATTAAAAGAATAAAGGAATGCTAAGAATAGTTTTATGCCAACAAATTCAACAGTTTAGATTAAAAGGACCATTGTTGGGAGACATACAATTTACCAAAACTGACACAAGAAGAAAAAGAAAATCTGAATAGTCCCTAATCTATTTTTAAGTTTGAATTTATAATTAAAAAAAAATTCTCACAAAGAAAACACCAGATGCAGAGTTCATTCCCATGAAAGAAATAATACTAATTCCATGCAAACTATTTCAAAATATAGAGAAGGCTATGTGCCTCAACTCATTTTATAAAGTCAGCATCAGCATGATAGCAAAACCTGACAAAGACATCACAAAAAAAAATTGCAGGCAAATATCCTCCATAAAAAAAGAAGCAAAAATTCTGAACAATAGAATAGCAAATCAAATCCAGTAATATATAAAAGTAATAATGCATTATAATCAAGTGAAATTTATCCCAGGAATTCAGGTAGATTTAGCATTTAAAATCTATCAATATAATATACCACATTAACAGAATAAGGAAAAAAGTTAGCATTCCAAATAGATGTAGAAAAAGTACTTAATAAAATTCAACACTCATTCATGATGCAGACTTTCAGCAAACTAGAACTACAAGGCAGATTCTTCAATCTAGTAAGGTACATCTATGAAAAAAACCTCAGCTTACATCACACTTGATAAAATTTTGAAGGCTATTTCATAAGATTGGGAACAAAGCAAAGACGTCCACTCTTACCACTTAAATTAAAAAGCCACTTAAATTAAAAATCACCACTTAAACCACCACTTAAACTAAAAAAAAACATTGCAGTGGAGTTTTTGGAATTATAATAAGGCAAAAAAAGGTAAAGGAAGGAAAAGTAAAGAAAGAAGTAAAATTGCCTTTATTTGTATACAACATGATTTTACATGTAAAAAACTCAAATAAAAAAGAAACCACTATAACTAATAAGTGAACTTAGCAAGATTGTAGGATAACAAGCCGATATACTATAAGAATTCTATTTTTGTGTTCTAAAAACAATAAGAAATGAAATTTTAAAAATACCATTTTCTAAAGCATCAATATTTCAATATACTTTGGAATAAATATAGCAAAATATATGATATCTTTATACTGAAAATTAAAATATTCCTAAGAAAAGTGGCCTAAATAATGGAGAGATACCATGTTCAAGGATTGGAGGACCCAAAATTACTAGATGACAATAGTAATTATAATTTCAATAGCACTAGATGGTAATATAAATTAACCTAGAATATCTATGACAATGATAAAAACAGAACAACAAAATTGGAGAACTTACTATGATGCTAAGTAAGAGAGTATGTTATGGGCATAAGCATATTGGTATATGTTATTAGTGTACATATCAAAAAAACAGAATTAAAAAATCCAAAGATAGGCTTCCATAGGGGTGATCAATTGATTTTTATCAACGACGTCAAGACAATTCAATGAGAAAAAGAAAGTCTTTTCAACAAATAATTCTGGAACAACATGATATCCAAGGGGAAAAAAAATGAACTTTGATTCTCTATCTCACATCATGCAAATAATAATAATTTGAGATAGGTTATAATCTAAGTGTAAATGCTAATATTACAAATCTGATAGAACACATAGAATATCCTGACAACCTTGAGGTAAGCAAAAGTTTCTTAGGATACAAAAAATGCTAACTCAATAAATTTGATACATTGCATATCACCAAAATTTAAAACCTCTATACATCAAAAGATATGATTAAGAAAATAAAAAGACAAGCCACAAATTGGAAAAATATATTTGCCATTTACATTTCTAACAAAGGACTCATATATATAAGATATAAATACCCACAAATCAATAGAAAAAAGACAACCAAATTTTAAAATGGGCAAAAGACTTTAACAGGAACTTCATAAAAGAAGATATATGAAAGACAAATATGCCCATGAAAAGATACTTTAAATATTACTCATTAGGGACATGCAAATGAAAATCACAATCAAATATCACCACATGCACACTTGAACAGCTAACATTTAAAAATATGAAATACTATATATTGGCAAAAAAAGTATTACACAGGAACTCTCATACATTGCTGGTGAAATGTAAAATAGTATAACTACTTTGGAAAATTGTATGGCTGTGTCTTATCAAGTTTATCATTCACCTGCTCTATGACTCAGGAATTCCACTCTAGCTATTTATTTAAGAAAAATGAAAACATACATTCACAAAGAGACTTGTACAAAAATTTTCACAGCAGATATATTTGTAATAGCCAAAAGTGGAAATGATGGAAATGTCCATTAAAGGAAAATAGATAAACAAATTGTAGAATATTTATACAATGGAATACTACTCAGAAATAAGAAGGAACAAACTGTTAACACATTAAGCAATATGGAGGAATATAAAAATATATTTGAGATAAAGAATCCACATACTGCATAAAAGAAAAGAGTACTGCATAAGTCTATTCATATGAAATTCAAGGACAAACAAGACTAATCTATGGGTTAGAAATCAGAAGAAAAATGTTTCTCTGAGGTAGAGGGCAGGATTCCCTGGAAAGTGGCATGGAAGAACTTTTTGCTGAGATGAACTATTCTATATCTTTATGGATGCTGATTATTTAGGTATGTACATTTGTCAAAATTCTCAAACCATCTGTACATTTGCTACATATAAATTTTAATACACTAAAAATTAAAAATTGTAAAAGTAGGCAAAAATAACACATTCTAGAAAAGAAAGAAGTGATAAGTCTACTCAATTATTGAAAAGCTGAATGGTTCTAAAACAATGGAAAAAAAAATGAATCTGCAGTTCAAAATCTTCTTAAAAACCAAATTACCAGGCTCTTTCTGGATAGAGAAAAACAGGCTTTGAGATGTGTGTGATCTTGACAAGAACAGATCAGACAAGGACAATTTTAAAAAGTTAAATTACAGGCTGAGTTCACCTTTGAACTTCAATGTAAAAACCCTAAAAGAAATGTTATCAAACCAAGCCTAACAATTTTTAGAAAGATGCTATTTTATGGCAGGTTGAATGTAATGTGAATTAAACACAGGAAAAATCTCTTATTGTAATTTACTGTGTAAACTGGCTAAAGAAATTCCATGTAGTAATTTCAATAGAGGCAAATAGAAGCATCTTATCTTCCCAGGAACAAATAAAAAGATACTCAATTTTACTAATAATCAAGGAAATATAAGTTTAAAAAAGATATATCATTTTACAATTTTTTTTTTGGCTCAAAATTAAAAATGCCAAGGTTGACTAGAATGTGGATCAAAGGGAACATATGCCCTGCTGACAAAGCACAAATTGATACATTCATTTTTGGGGAATAGTTGATGTTGCCTACAGAACTAGGCTCAGTCTTTGACCCAGCAATTCCATTTCTAAGTATATATTGAGAAACAAAAGAATTACTGTGACAATTAGAGGTGGGTTCGTGTATTGAGTTGGGTGGGAAGAGGTAGAGTGTTTTAGCCATGGGGTAAAAAAGAGACCCCAGAGGCCGGGCGTGGTGGCTCGCGCCTGTAATCCCAGCACTTTGGAAGGCCAAGGAGGGCGGATCACAAGGTCAGGAGTTCGAGACCACCTGGCTAACATGGTGAAACCCTGTCTGTACTAAAAATACAAAAATTAGCCAGACGTGTTGGTGGGTTCCTGTAATCCCAGCTACTCAGGAGGCTAAGGCAGGAGAATCGTTTGAACCCCAGAGGCGGAGGTTGCAGTGAGCCAAGATTGCGCCATTGCACTCCAGCCTGGACAATAGAGAGAGACTCTGTCTCAAAAAAACAAAAAAATAAAAAATAAAAGAAAGAAATAAAAAGAAAAAAAAAAAGAGAGAGAGAGAGACCCCAGAGACAGACACTGGTACTGTCTACCCAAGCTCTGTCATTGGAAGAGGAAGTCTTACCTATGTGATTTGGGAGTATCTGGTTCCTGGTTTGGAGATAAAGGTGACTGCTTGTATTAGATAGATATCTCATATTGTTTTTGCCTAATTTGTTTAAATATTCAGTTAATATAAAACTCTTTGTTCTGACACTCTGTTCATCAATCAATATCGTATTTCCCCTGTAGACCTTCCTATAAGAAGGGAATAGATCATTCACCTAGGTTTTTGACAATTTCTCATTCCTGAGGGTAATTTCTTTAAAAGTCCAAAAACTGGCATCTAATTATGATTTGGATCCTCATATACTTTGATTATAGGAAGAGAATTTTATGCCAATATGAATGATCTGGACATATTTCTCACTGAAGTCCTAAAATGGGCATTCTGGTTTGCATGATTCTTGTGTGCCCTGGACTTAGTGTAAGTTTCTCCCTCAAGAGATGATGACTCCCAGCACTGATTGACAAGCATAATTTCTGGGTCTTCATCAGAATTCAGATCCAGCTATTCTCATCTCAGGTTGACAGCACTATCTCACTTTCATCTTCCAATCCTTGTTGTTGATTCCTGCACTGATTATGTCAGTGTTCAACTAATAATGAAAATTAAGTTACAAGTTAGAACTAAAATATATGAAATCATTTCTAAAACTAACTAGTTATATCTGTAAGTATATAAAAATTGGTATAAATAGCTCTGGCTAAGAAGTCCTAGCCAGAGCAATCAGGCAAGAGAAAGAAATAAAAGGCATCTATATAAGAAAAGAAAAAGCCAAACTATCTCTCTTTGCACACGATATGATTCTATACCTAGAAGACCCCATAGTCTCTGCCCAAAGGCTCCTGGAACTGATAAATGACTTCAGTAAAGTTTCAGGATATAAAATCAATGTACAAAAATCAGTAGCATTTCTATACACCAATAACATCCAAGCTAAGAGCCAAATCAAGGATGCAATACTGTTCACAGTAGCCACAAGAAGAATAAAACACCTAGGAACACAGAAACAAGGGAGGTGAAAGACCTCCACGATGAGAATTACAAAACACTGTTGAAAGAAATCAGAGACAATACAAACAAAATGGGATAACATTTTATCTCATGGTTAGGAAGAATCAATATTGTTAAAAAGGCCATACCGCCCAAAGCAATAGACAGATCCAATACTATTCCTATCAAACTACCAATAATTTTCACAGAATTAGAAAAAGCTATTCTAAAGTTCCTATAAAATCAAAAAAGAGCCCAAATAGCCAAAGCAATCTTAAGCCAAAAGAATAAAGCCAGAGGTATCACATTACCTGAGTTCAAACTATACTGCAAGGCTGCAGTAACCAAAATAGTATATGGTATTGGTGCAAAAACAGACACATAGACCAATGGAACAGAATAGAGAACTAAGAAGTAAAGCCACACACCTACAGCCATTTGATTTTCGACAAAGTCGACAATAACAAGCAATGGGGAAAGAACTCCCTATTCAATAAATGGTGTTGGGATAGCAGGCTAGCCATATGCAGAAGACTGAAACTGGATCCCTTCCTTTAACCATATGCAAAAATCAACTCAAGATGGATTAAAACTTAAATGTAAAACTATAAAACTATAAAAACCCTAGAAAATAACCTAGGAAATATCATTCTGGACATGAGCCCTGGCAAAGATTTCATGACAAAGACTCCAAAAGCAATTGCAACAAAACCAAAAATTGACAAATGGGAACTAATTAAACTAAAGAGCTTCTGCACAGCAAAAGAAACTGTCAACAGAGTAAACAGACAGATGCAGTTTGTCAGATGCGTAGTTTGCAAATATTTTCTCACTATAGAGTGGGAGAAAAGATTTGCAAACTATGCATCTGATAAAGGTCTAATATCCAGAATCTATAGGAAACTTAAACAAATTAAGAAGCAAAAACAAATAATTCCACTAAAAAATGTGCAATGGACATGAACAGACACTTCTCAAGAGAAGACATACATGTGGCCAACAAGCCTGTGAAATAATGCTCCATATCACTAATCATCAGAGAAATGCAAATCAAAACCATAGTGAGATACCATCTCACACGAGTCAAAATGGTTATTACTAACAAGTCAAAAATAACAGATGCTGGCAAGGAAGCGGACGAAAGGGAACATTTATACACTGCTGGTGGGAATGTAAATTAGTTCAGCCATTATGGAAAGCAGTTTAAATATTTCTCAAAGAACTTAAAACTACTATTCAACCCAGCAATCTCATTACTGGGTAAAAACTGAAAGGAATATAAATTGTTCTACCATAAAGACACATGCACATGTTTGTTCATTTATATACCTAAAGGAATATAAATTGTTCTACCATAAAGACACATGTACGTGTTTGTTCACTGCAGCACTTTTCACAATAGCAAAGACATGGACTCAATTTAGATACCCATCAATGGTGAAAATATGGTACACATATACTATACACCACAGAAAACTACACAGCCATGAAAAAGAACAAAATCATGTTCTTTGCAGCAACATGAATGGAGCTGAAGGCCATTGTCCTAAGCAAATCAACACAGGAAGAGAAAAACCAAATACTACATGTTCTCTTTCATAAGTGGGAGCTAGTCATTGAGTATACACAGGCAAATAAAAAGGGGGGAACAATAGACTCCAGGACCTACTTGAGGATGGAGGTGGGAGAAGGGTGAGAATTGAAAAACTACCTGTCCATATATTGGATAGTATGCTCATTACCTGGGTGATGAAATAAGCTGTACACCAAACTTCCATGATATGCAATTAATTTACCCATAAAACAAACCTGCACATGTACCTCTTGAACCTAAAATAAAAGTTGGAAAAAAAGCTGCTGAACACAAACACAGGTACACGTGTACACATAGCACCTATACTTTGAAGACAATTTAATTAGATAGTTAGGATTTTTTAAAAGAGTTTTAAACCTAGAAAAGATAGGCATATCATGACCAAGCGCTGACCGGTGGATGAACTATCTACTTGCAGGTTTACCTAATGATAATTTTGCTATTAAGATGATAAAGAGCAACATAAATAAGCCGTACAAAACCAGCTGAACCCATTAGGTCTTGAACATAACCATGTTTCACAACAGTCACACCTTACAACTCCTTTGGTTGACTTTTTTTTTTCATCTGACATTTTTACCTGTCAACGAATAATGCTCACTCATTGCTGCCTCTGGCCCATTAATTTTGCTTGGATCTCTTTGAAATTTTGGACAACATGCTTCTCAGGTGATTGCAATATGAGTCAAGCAGAAAAAGAGGTTGTCAACAGTACTAGTGAGGTCCTAAGTCTTGGCAGTGGGTCTCCTGCAGAGCCTGGTGCTGTCACCGCATCAATCAGCCCTGGAGCATGCTGTTATTATCACAACCAGTCATTCCACACTGCAATCACAACAGGAGGAAGAAAGCCTTCTCTTCACAACTGACTGCAAGCAGCTTGATCCCTGTAACCTTGAAAACTACAGGAATGTCACAGGTAGGAGTTTCCCTGTGACACATCTGCATCTCCTTTCTTCCCACTGCATTGACCCCTCCTTCACCCAAATCTTCATTCTTCTCAAATTGGAAGATAGTCATGAATGAGGCTGTGTGAGCACAAGAATCTGGCTACAAGCCAAAAGGACAAACTAAAGGTGTCACAGAGGTGAAAGAAAGGTAGAATTTTGGAATGCTGCAGAAGAAAAATCCAGAGGCAGAGGCTTCAATCTCTGGGGGAACCTGACATTGCTCTTTGTGAATGAAAACTGATTGCTAACTTCAACTAGTGATTCTTAGCAGGGCCTATTTCTGGACAAAGTTTAAAAGAGTGTAAAGATTGTCATCTTTTTTGCCACTTGCATTCCTGCCCTTCTTTCCATTCTTTTACAAGGACCTTTTCCCTAAGTTCCCTAGTTACCCAACTGGCCCTTGATGCATGCTTATGTTGGAAAGAATCATCCAATATGTCACACAAATATTTAAGGGATTGCTATGGTTTACTGTGACGCTTTTTTCTGGAGAACTTGGATTTGAATGGAGGATAATATCTCAATTAAGAGAAATAAGGCTTGACTGGTGACTGTTTGCTCCTCTTGATCCAGACTCAATTGCGGCTTAGTCAGTCTAGAGCTAGAAGTCATTTCCTCATGTGTTGGTGAGAATAGCATGTGAACAAAGCTCATTTAAAGCTAATAACAATCAGAGCCATAGCTGCTAGTTATTTAGTACCTACTCCACTTACCAGATGCTTTTATCAGTTATTTCATTCAGTCATCACAATAACAATATTAAATAGATACTGTTATTTCCATTTTATTGGTAAGGAAATTGACAAGTAATTCTAAGCAACTAAGCATTAGAGCTAGTAAAGAGATAAGCTGGACTTTAAAAGACATGGAGCTCTCCATTATAGAACACCATCTCAAGAAGCGAAACTTCAGTAAAGTTCTAAAACTAAAATATTAATATTTATACTGGATTTCTTTTCTTTATCACTTTTATTTTAGGTTCAGGGATACACATGCAGGTTTGTTATACAGATAAACTGTGTGTCACGGGGGTTTGGTGTACAGATTATTTAATCACTCAGGTAATACACATAGTACCCAATAGGTATTTTTTTGATCCTCTCTCTCCTCCCATCTTTCACCCTCAAGTAGGCCCTGGTGTATGTTGCTCCCCTCTATGTGTCCATGTGTTCTCGTTGTTTACCTCACACTTTTAAGTGAGAACATGCAGTATTTGATTTTCTGTTCCTGTGTTAGTTTACTTAGAATAATGGCCTCTAGCTCCATCCATGTGCTGCAAAGAACATGATTTTGTTCTTTTTTATGGCTGTGTAGTGTTCCATGGTGTTTGGTGTGTGTTTACCATATTTTCACCATTGATGGGCATCTAGATTGAGTTCATGTCTTTGCTGTTGTGAAAAGTGCTGCAATGAACCAACACGTACACGTGTCTTTATGGTAGAACAATTTATATTCCTTTTGGTTTATACCTACTAATGAGATTGCTGGGTCAAATGGTAGTTTCAAGTTCTATGAGCAATCTTCAAACTGCTTTCCACAATGGCTGAACTAATTTACATTCCCACCAGCAGTGTATAAGTGTTCCCTTGTCTCTGCAACCTTGTCAGCATCTGTTATTTTTTGACTTTTTAATAATAGCCATTCTGACTAGTATGAGATGGTATCTCAATGTGGTTTTGCTTTGTATTTCTCTGATGATTAGTGTTGTGGAGCATTTTTTATATGCTTGTTGGCCACATGTATGTCTACTTTTGAGAAGTGTCTGTTCATATCCTTTGCACATTGTTTTAGTGGGGCTGTTTCCTTTTTCACTTGTTAGTTTATTTAAGTTTCTTATAGATTCTTGATATTAGACTTTTGTCAGATGCATAGTTTGCAAATATTTTCTCCAATTCTATAGGTTGTGTGTTTGCTCTGTTGATATTTTTTTTTTGCTGAGGAGATGCCATTTAGTTTAATTAGGTCCCATTGCTCAATTTTTGATTTTGTTGCAGTTGCTTTTGGAGTCTTCACATGTAATCCTTGCTAGGTCCTATGTCCACAGTGGTGTTTCCTAGGTTATCTTCCAGGGTTTTTAGAGTCTGATGTTTTACATTTAAGTTTTTAATACATCTTGAGTTAATTTTTGTATATGCAGTTTCAATCTTCTGCATAGAGCTAGCCAGTTATCCCAACATCATTTATTGAATAGGGAGTCCTTTCCCATTGCTTGTTTTTGTTGGCTTTATCAAAGATAAGATGATTGTAGGTGTGTGGCATTATTTCTGGGCTTTCTATTCTGTTCCATTGGTCTCTGTGTCTGTTTTTGTACCAATACCATGCTGTGCTGATTACTGTAGCCTTATAATATAGCTTGATGTCAGGATACTGGATTTCTAATGTAGCAATATAATATAATTATGACACTGAAAAAGATTAGCAGAACATATTACCTGCTTTATCCACCTACCCCAAAGGAATACTGTGATGATTGAAGAAATTCTTCAAACACCTGAGCCTTCTTCTAAGAAGACCACCTATTAGAATACATCTCTGTTTCACTATTTTTAAAAAAAAATTATATTCCTAGCCATGGGTAATAAAGAAAATGTCCATGCAGTCTAAAAAAAAGAAATACTGGCTAAGGTAATTTATAGATTCAATGCCATCCCCATCGAGCTACCAAAGACTTTCTTCACAGAATTGGAAAAAACTACTTTAAAGTTCATATGGAACCAAAAAAGAGCCCATATTGCCAAGACAATCCTAAGCAAAAAGAACAAAGCTGGAGGTATCATGCTACCTGACTTCAAACTACACTACAAGGCTACAATAACCAAAACAGCATGGTACTGCTGCCGAAACAGAGATATAGACCAATGGAACAGAACAGAGCCCTCAGAAATAATACCACACATCTACAACCATCTGATCTTTGACAAACCTGACAAAAACCAGAAATGGGGAAGGATTCCCTATTTAATAAATGGTGCTGGGAAAACTGGCTAGCCATATGTAGAAAGCTGAAACTGGATCCCTTCCTTACACCTCATACAAAAATTAATTCAAGGTGGATTAAAGACATAAATGTTAGACCTAAAACCATGAAAACCCCAGAAGAAAACCTAGGCAATACCATTCAGGGCATAGACATGGGAAAGGACTTCATGACTAAAACACCAAAAGCAATGGCAACAAAAGCCAAAATAGACAAATGGGATCTAATTAAACTAAAGAGCTTCTGCACAGCAAAAGAAACTACCATCAGAGTGAACAGGCAACCTACAGAGTGGGAGAAAATTTTTACAATCTACCCATCTGACAAAGGGCTAATATCCAGAATCTACAAAGAACTTAAACAAATTTACAAGAAAAAATCAAACAACCCCATCAAAAAGTGGGTGAAGGATGTGAACAGACACTTCTCAAAAGAAGACATCTATGCAGCCAACAGACAAATGAAAAAATGCTCATCATCACTAGTCATCAGAGAAATGAAAATCAAAACCACAATGAGATACCATCTCACACCAGTTAGAATGGTGATCATTAAAAAGCTAGGAAACAACAGGTGCTGGAGAGGATGTGGAGAAATAGGAACACTTTCACACTGTTGGTGGGACTGTAAACTAGTTCAACCATTGTGGAAGACAGTGTGGCGATTCCTCAAGGATCTAGAACTAGAAATACCATTTGACCCAGCCATCCCATACTGGGTATATACCCAAAGGATTATAAATCATGCTACTATAAAGACACATGCACACGTATGTTTATTGCGGCACTATTCACAATAGCAAAGACTTGGAACCAACCCGAATGTCCATCAGTGATAGACTGGATTAAGAAAATGTGGCACGTAAACACCATGGAATACTATGCATCCATAAGAAGGGATGAGTTCATATTCTTTGTAGGGACATGAATGAAGCTGGAAACCATCATTCTCAGCAAACTATCACAAGGACGGAAAACCAAACACCGCATGTTCTCACTCATAGGTTGGAACTAAACAATGAGAACACTTGGACACAGATGGGGAACAACACACACTGTGGCCTGTCATGGGGTTAGGGGAGGGGGGAGGGATAGCATTAAGAGATATACCTAATGTAAATGACGAGTTAATGGGTGCAGCACACCAACATGGCACATGTATACATATGTAACAAACCTGCACATTATGTACGTGTACCCTGGAACTTAAAGTATAATTTTTAAAAAAAGAAAAAGCAATATTGTAGATATAACTAGGTAAGAATTTACCCACAGATTCAAAAAAGTTTATGAACCCATATAGGATAAATACAAACAGAACTATAGCTGGGCAACCAAAGACCAAGAGAAATCTTAAAGGTGGCCAGAGAAAAGAAGATATTATTTTTAGAGAAGCTACCAAAAAGACTGAAAGCTGAGTTTTTAAGAAAAACAATAAAAGTCAAAGCTGGAAGGAAAATGACTGCCAACATGGAATTTTATTACTGGTGCAAATAATCTTCTAGAAAGAAGGTAAAATAAAAATGATTTCAGACAAACAAAACATAAGAGAATTCATAGTAAGTCCAAACTAAAAGAAATACCAAATTAAGTTCTTTTGGCAAAATAAAAATTATTTCAGATGGAAGTATGGTAATGCAAGAAGGAATGAGAAGCACTGGAAAATGGTAAACATGCTGCTGATACTAAATAAAACTTGATTACTTGGTTGTTTAAAAAAAAAAAGAAGAAGAAATAATATACATAATATTTTTTGACTAAAATGCAAAAATTAACAACATAATCAAAAACCAAAAAGGACCTTTCACCTAGAAATTAAAATACATGTTATTAAATAACACTTGGGTCAAGAATATTATATTGAGGAGAAAACCGGACTCCAAAAGTATATACCGTACGATTTTATTTATATAAAGTTAGCAAGCAAAAAATCCATTGTAATAAAGGTTAGAATAAAGACCAGGCACAGTGGCTCACACCTGTAATGCCTGCATTTTGGGAGGCCAAGGTGGGCAGATCACTTGCGGTCAGGAATTCAAGACCAGCCTGGCCAACATGGTGAAACCCCATCTCTACAAAAAATACAAAAAAATTAGCCAGGCATGGCACACACCTGTAACCCCAGCTACTCAGGAGGCTGAGGCCTGGTAATCGCTTGAACCTGGGAGGCAGAGGTTGCAGTGAGCCGAGATTCCATCATTACACTCCAGCCTGGATGACAAAGCAAGACTCCATCTAAAAAAAAAAAAAAAAAAAAAAATTAGAATACTGGTTACCTTTGAATATTGACTGCAAGTGGGCACAAATAAACTTTCTGGTGTGTAAAATAGTCTAAATCTTGATCTGAATGATGTTTGCCCAGATCTGAAAACTTATCTAGCTGTACACTGAAAATCTGTGCATTTTAATATATATAAATTTTACCTCAGTTTAAGTAAATCAACTGAAGTAATTCATTACACTAAAAATTAGAAGAAAAATTATATTATCACTTCATAGCTACAGAAAAAGAATTTAATAAAATTCATGATCTGTTTATTTAAAAAAATCTAGGAATAAGAGGAAACCTCCTTAATCTGATATAGGGTGTCATAAAACAAAAAACCATACTACTCTGAACTGAATACTTAACATTGAAGTATAAAAACTTTCCTCTAAGATCAAAAATAAAGCAAAGATGCTTGTTATCTCAACTTCTATTCAATATCATACTGGAGGTCCTAGACAGAGCAATAGAGCACTGTCCTTATTGGCAAGTGAATGATTGTGCATGAAAAAAAACAAAATAATTTAGAGATAAATTATTATATTTAATAAGTGCATTTAGCAAGATCTCAATACCCAATTTACAAAAATTAACTGTATTTTATATGTAAATAGAACTATTAGAGAACTAAATTTTAAAATAGCATTTACAAAAACTTTAAATACCTTGGAATAAATCTAGTAAAATCTAATACGCACAAAACTTCAGAGAACTCTATTTTTTATTTTTTAAAAAATAATTTCAACTTTTCTTTTAGATTTAAGTGGTACATACAGAGGTTTGTTACCTAGGTATGTTGTGTGATGCTGGCACTAAGGGTATGATGGATGCCTTCTCTCAGGTACTGAGCATAGTACCCAATAGGCAGTTTCTCAATCCTTCCTCCCCTGCTTTCCTCCCCACTCTGGTAGTCCCCAGTTTCTGTAGCCACAATCTTTTATGACCAGGCGTACCCAGTGTTTAGCTTCCATTTGTAAGTGCGAACATGCAGTGTTTGGTTTTCTGTTCCTGCATTAATTCACTTAGGATGATGGCCTCCAGCTAAATCCATGTTGCTGCAAAGGAACAGGTTTGGGTTTTTTTTTACAGCTGTGTAGCATTCCATGGTGTATATGTACCACATTTTCTTTATCTAATCCATGATTGATAGGCACCTAGGTTGATTCCATGTCTTTGCTACTGTGAGTAGTGCTGTGATGAACATGCAAGTGCCTGTCTTTTTGGTAGAACAATTTATTTTCTTTTGGATATATACCCAGTAATGGGATTGCTGGGTTGAAAAGTAGTTTCATTTTAAATTCTTTAAGAAATGTGTAAGCTGCTTTTCACAATAGCTGAGCTAATTTACATTCCCACTAACAGTGCATAAGTGTCCCCTTTTCTCCATAGCCTTGCCAGCCTCTGTTGTTTTTTAACTTTTTAATAGTAGCCATGCTGATTGGTATGAGATGGCATCTCATTGTGGTTTGGATTTAAATTTCTCGGATGATTAGTGATGTGGAGCATTTTTTCATGTTTGTTGGCCGTTTGTATGGCTTATTTTGAGAAGTATCTGTTCATGTCCTTTGCCTATTTTTTAATGGGGTTATGTGTTTTTTGCTTGTTGAATTGTTCAAGTTCCTTATAGATTCTGGATATTAAACCTTTGTCAGATGCATAGTTTGCAAACATTCTCTCCCATTCTGTAGGTTTCCTGTTGGTAGTTTATTTTGCTGTGCAGAAGCTCTTTAGTTTAATTTGGTCCCACTTGTCAATCTGGGTTTTGTGCAATTGCTTTTGAGGACTTAATCATATATTCTTTTCCAAGGCTCGTGCCCAGAATGGTGTTTTCTAAGCTCTCTTCCAGAAGTCTACCAGTTACATTTAAATCTTTAATCCATCTTGAGTTAATTTTTGTATATCTTGAAATGTAGGGGCCCAGTTTCATTCTTCTGCATATGGCTAGCCAGCTATCCCAGCACCATTTATTGAATAAGGAGTCTTTTCCCCATTGTTTATTTTTTTCAACTTTGTCAAAGATCAGATGGCTGTAGGTGTGTGCCTTTATTTATGGATTCTTAGAACACTAGGTATTGTAAACATATTAGTTCTTCCCCAAATCAATTGCTAGATCCAATGCAACTACAATAAAAATCCCAGCAAAGATTTTTTGGGGGATTGAGGGAAATTGACAAGCTTTTAAAATTAATTTTTGAAATGCAATCAACAGGGCCAGGCACAGTGACTCATGACTGTAATCCCAGCACTTTGGGAGGCCAAGGCAGAAGGATTGCCTGAGCCCAGGTGTTTGTGGCTGCAGTGAGCTATGATTGCACAACTACCCTCTAGCCTGTGTGGCACAACAAGACCCTGTTCCTAAAAAAAAGAAGAAAAAAATTGCAAAGAACCAAGAATAGAAAAAATAGTTTTGAAGAATACATTTGGAGACTCTACACTACTGAATACCGTGCTTTATTAATTAAGACAAGGTGGCACTGGTGTAAGCTTAGGCAAATGGACCAGTGAAGCAGAAGAGGCAGTACTGAAATAGATTCTGACATACACACATGATTTATGACAGAGGTGGCATTGCAGAATTGTTGGTAAAAGAGAATTGTCAACACATAATGGTGGATCAATTAACTACCCATACAGAAAAGAATTAATCTTGATTCCCACATGTGTCATGTAAAGAATGAACTCTAGATGTTTAGCAGATCTGAAAGGGAAATTTAGAATATGACATACGAGAACACCTCATGATCTTGTCATAGGCAAAGATTGATCAAACAGGAAAATAAAAGCAATAACCATAAAGGAAAAAATTATAAATTGGATTATATAAAAATTAAGAACTCCTGCTCATCAAAAGATTCATTTAGAGAGTTAAAAGGCAAGATACAGAGCAGGAGTCCGTATTTGCAATACTTACATTTGACAAAGGGTCAGAACATGTAAAAAATTTCTTTAATATAAAGAACATGTAAAGAATTCCTTTCCTTTTAATAAGACAGACAATCCAATAAAAACATGGGCAAAGGACTTGAACAGACATTTCACAAAAGATAAACTCTAAACAGATAATAAAACATTAAAAAATGCTCATTCATCATCAGGAAAGTGCAAATCTAAAACTACAATAATTAAATTTAAGAAGATTGATAATACTAAGTTTATGTGGAGCAATAGAAACTCTGATACACTGTTTGGGGGACCATAAATTGGAACCATCACTTTGAAAAACAATTTGGAAGTATTTACCAAAGCTGAACACATGACATGATACATTGCCCAGCAAATCATCTTATGGGTATATGCCACACAGAAATGTGTATATATGTACCAGAAAATATGTATAAGAATGTTCATAGTAGGATTATTCCTAATTGTCACTAACTGGAAACAATCTATATGTTAATCAACAGATCAGATATTAAATTTTGGTATATTAATAAATGGAATTTCATTCAGCAATGAAAATGAATAAACTTCTTACATGCTGCAATATGGAAGAATCTTACAAGTGTAAGGTTAAGTGAAAGAAAGTAGACACAAAAGAGAAGCAAAACTATAATTTCACTTATATAGAGTTGGCACACAGGTGAAATAAATCTGTAGTTTTGAAGGTCAGATAGTGGTACCCTCTGGGGAGTACAGAAGCCATAGTGACTGTGAGGGAACAGAGTAGGGTTTCTTGATGTTCTATTTCCATTGGATGCTCTATTTCTTGATATGTTAGGGGTTACACAGGTATGTTCACTTTGTGAAAATTCACTGATATGTATACTTAATGATTTATTCTCTTTTAGTGTATTATACTTCAGTGGAAAAAGTATCAAAAAGGAAAAAAGTTGAGGCAGTATGAATCTGCAAAATTAATAAGTGGGAAATAGTTACCAAAATGAAGGAAACTTTTTTAAAAATGGGACTACTTTGCACAATTTAATACAAATAACTTTGAAAAGCTAGATAAAATAGGTTATTTTCTAGAAAAATACAACTTACCCTAATAGAAACAGAAAATCTAAACATCCTAATTACTGAGAAAGGAAGAAAGAAAAGAAAGAAAGAGAAATGGTACAACTGTATGCATGAAAAATGCAGAAGAACAAATGAGAAAGCTGTTTGGAACAATGGCGGAATTTAGTACAGTAGCAGTTTACAAATTCATCATGCAAAAATCAATAGCCTTCATTGGTACAAACACAACAGCTAAAATATGTAATAAAAGACATCTTATAGGATGACCAAAAAGAAAAATAATACCCAGAAGTAAACTTGACTAGAAAATGTCTCAAATTCATGTGAGAAAAACTACAAAACATCGCCAAAAAATAAAAAAAAATAGAGACGAACAAATGGAAAGACATACTGTGCTTTTAGATTATAAAGCTGAATATTCTGAAGATGTCAATTGTCGTTCAGTACAATATTTAAATGCAATGTGATCTCAATAAAATACCATCATGCTTTTTTTCAGGAGCTGAACAAAATGATTATAAATATTATTTGGAAGAACAATAGCCTCTAGGCTATTGTCCTGAAAAAGAAGAACAATGGGGTCGGAGATAGGGGAAGAGTAGTCTGTCCTTATTAAATATTAAAATATAGTTAAAGCTTCTATAAGTAAACCACTATGGTAGGAATAGACTGACCAGTGAATAGAGCAGAAAATCCAGAAATAAATCCAATGCATTCGGAAATGTACATGAAAAAGGCAGCATATCAGATCAATGGGAAAAAGATGTACTTTCTAATAAGTATTGGGATAAGTAGACAGCCACATGGAAAAAGATAGCATTGGATCCATTCTTCATACCACATTCAAAAGTAAATTCAAATGTAGCAGAATTAAATGTTAAACCCTAATGAAACCACAAGTCCTAGAAATAAGATTTGAAAAAACATAGGATAACTTCTCTTTAATTTGGGAAGAAGGCTACTTTCCAAACTGTGATTTGACTAGAAGAAAAAAGGGAAAAAGTGATACATTTAATAATACATAATTTTAAAAAATTGAATACAAAATAAACATGATAAGCAAAGTAAAAAGTCTAACAGCAAACTGAATAAAATAGTTGCAACTTGTGTCACAAAGAGTTAGTAATTAAATATATAAAATGCTTCTAAAAACTGAGAAGTCAAAGGCACAAAATCCTATAGAAAAATGGGATAGAGACAAAAGCAAACATTTTAGTCAAAAAGAAACATAGCCAGGTGCAGTGGCTCAAACCAGATTCTAGTGACTGGTGAGGGTCTCACTCTGTCTACCCAGAGCCAGGCTGGAGTGCAGTGGTGCAATCATAGCTTACTGTAACCTCGAACTCCTAGGCTCAAGTGATTCTTCCACCTAAGCCTCCTTAGTAGTTAGGACTACAGGTGTGAGCCACTACACCCAGTTAATTTTTAAGAAATTTTTTTTTGTAGAGACAGAATCTCACTATGTCATCCAGGCTGATCTTGAACTCCTGGCCTCAAGCAATCCTTCCAACTCACTTCCCAAAGCTCTGGGATTACAGGTATGAACCACCTTGCTTGGAGATTGGCAGTAAATGTTCTAATACATTTACTCTTTGATATAAAAATGCTACTTATAAAACTCTATCACAAATATGCACTAGCAAAATATAAAGACATTCAAACACATCAAATTCACAAAACCATTCATTAAAATGGTTTGAAAAGAAATTTGTAAATGCAAAATACTGTAAACAACCCAGATCACTAGGGAAAAGGGAAATAAGTTTTGGCACATCCACAGACTGGCATATTAAAGAGGAATATGGAGTATCTCTACACACTACTATAGAATGATGTCTAGTGCATAATGCTAGGCAAAAAAGGCAAGTTGGGGAAGTGTATAGTAATATAAGTGTGTGTGTGTGTGTGTGTGTGTGTGTGTGTTATATTAACTACTTACCTAGTTTGGTGGCATAACCACACAGAATGGAAATGTCCCAAGTAACTTTAAAATGCAGCATTTTGAATACTTACCCCTAGTGGAATACTAAGCCCTCCTTGTTTGTGGTTTCTGTATCTATACAGTCAACAAAACACAGATCAAAAATACTCAAAAAAAAAATTGTCTGTACTGAACAGGTACAGACTTATTTTTCTTGTCATTATTCCCTAAACAATACAGTGGTACAACTGATTACACATCATGTACATCATATTAGGTATTATAAATAATCTAGAGATGATTTAAAGTATATGGGAGGATGTATATAGGTTATATAAATACCAGGCCATTTTATATAGAAGATTTGAGCATCCTCAGATTTTAGTATTCCATGGAGGTCCTGGAATTGGTTCCCCAGAAATGCTAAGAGACAACTATATATTCTAAGGACCAAACAATGGCAAATACAACTTAAACTATTTTCAGTAACCATATTGTTTGTTGTAGTCTTCATATTATTTTTCTGATTCTGTTATATATTTACGGTGGAGTAAAGATAGTAAGTATATTAGTGCTGCTCAGAATCAGGAATGTTTGTGTGGAACAAAGGAATGCAGATGTAAGAAGAGTTTAAATAAAAAGTCTTTATTCCAGAATGTGACCTGGAAATAGTGTAAAATCGTGATGTGTTTTGCCATAAAAATTCTTATTCCTTAGTTCTGTCCGCTGGAAAAGCCTTGAAGCAATGTCTAATCCAGAAGCAACAGCCACCCCCACCATCCAGATGGTGATCTTCACACACTACTTCCCTTTCAAAAGATCCAGGGCTCCTTGGAAAAATGGCTGATCCCAGATGTGGGTCAAGA
This sequence comes from Homo sapiens, assembly GCF_000001405.40. NCBI lineage: Eukaryota > Metazoa > Chordata > Mammalia > Primates > Hominidae > Homo > Homo sapiens. The sequence continues at coordinate 182,354,560 of NC_000003.12, forward strand.
AATATACGACATCTTCTCACACAAGAATAAGAAAAATATGATTAGGACTATGCGAACTTTGTCAAATGGAGGCAACAGCCAGCTTGAAAAGGCCCCAATAGCTAATGATAGAATAATTTGAGGAACAATACAATAATACAATATCTAAAATGAATGAAAACTTACCAAGTATGTTTCAATTCATAAGTTGATAATGACACTTCAAAAAATTCATTAGTTAATTTTGGAAAATGTTAGAGATCCAATTCATTATTTTGAAAACTGGTTAATACAGAAAAAGAATTAAGGATTTATTCTTCCTTAATTATGCAAACTATGCCACAAGGTAAATAAATAGCTCATAAAGAATGTTTCTGTAGAGAAGTATTCAAGCTAGTAAATGAAGAAAGAATAATAGAATAGTGCATGCTGAAGCTCTTAATGAATTAATGGATCCAGGCAATGATCATTAATGGCTGTTAACATCTCAAAAAGAGAGACAACCAGACATTATATGACTCCTGATGGATGTACACAATGTCACTTGTAAAATATTCTTACCAAAAAAAGTCAAGCCTGAGTCTGATCAAGCATCTATATCAAACTACTAATTCATGGAAAATAAAAGGAAAATAAAGCATTCTTAACAATACCAAGGGGATATGAACAGCCAAATCCATAGACGAAAAACTACAGGACAAATCTCAACAAATAAATGGTAAGAAGAAAAAGATGGAGAACAGATACATTAAATATGCCTTAAGAGAATCATTACTCAATTGCAATGTATGGGCCTTATTTGGATTCTAATTTAAGCAAACTATGTGCAAAACAGTCATGAAATCTTTAACTGACCAGATATCAAGGATATTGTTAATTTTGGTGTGATATTCTGGTTATGTTTAAAGAAAGAGTCCTTATTTTTTTGGAGATACATATTAAAATATTTACAGATAAAATAATAAGCATCTGAAATTGCTTTAAAAGAACACAGTGAGGGTACCAAACAAGTAGAGATGAAACAAGATCGACCATAAATTGATAACTGTTGAATCCGAGTGATGAGTACCTCGGAGTTCATTATAACATTCTCTCAACTTGTTTAGATTTGAAATTCTTCATAATAAATTTTAAAAGTTCAAAACATCATTATTCCTTTTCATTCATCCACCCATTCATTCAAAATATATTGAGTAACCACCAAGGATTTGAAAAGGAACAAAAACCTTTGGGTTTACACAAATCTGTAGGAAAAATTGACTGTATTAATACAAAATAGAAAAAATAAAGGCACAATTCTTTTCAATAAAGGTATCCTCCTCTTCTCCATTCAGGTCACAATAAAAGCATTATATTTTATCAGAGCCAAGATAAACTCCTTTCGCATTGCCATTCGCCCTCTACTCATCTAAAAAAATATATTCTTGGATGAGTCTCTAGGAGGTGAACTTCACTCTATCCCTACATAAATTAATAAAGTAGGTGAGCCTGTGTTCATCAGCCTCGGAACACCCCTTTCAGGACCTTTTGTTAGCTCCATGCAGATGTCCTACCACAGCCCTGCCCTCCCCTACTCTATCAACTTGCCTGCCAGTGGAATATGCTACCTTTATAGGAGTGTTTGATTAAGCAGTCAATGCACTGTATTAAATGTTATGATATGTATTCAAGATATGTATTTTGAAATACACATAGGTATGTGATTTCCACACAGAATATTAATTACTATGGTTTTTAAATTAAAATTCTTCCTAGAACATCTGATATAATTATAGACATTCTGACCAACATTCAATTAGTCCTAGTTATGATTTATCTTTCATAATATATTCTAAAAGAATAAGTTACTTCTCTCCAAAGAATTCAGCTTGAATTAATCATTTTTATATCATCTCACTTTTTTATGTTCAGAAAAAGAAGGTACACATTAAAGAAGACTTTAAAGATTTAAAGTGGACTTTTTAGAGAAGAAAACAATGAGAACTAGGTCAAATTTCATAAAGAAAAGGACAGGATGATTGCTTCACAAACAAAAAAATCAAATTACACGTTGATGCAAGGTGGCTCTTGTCTGCTTTACATATCAGGAAAGGGTTTGTAGAACGTTGGACATCACACATGAAATGTGTCAAGTACAGAATTAGTAAAGTTAAAAAAGCAATATGCATACTGTATCTGCATAAATAGATATGCATACATATTTATTCATGTGGATATGTATAAATATAACAGAAGAATGTTTTCAAATTGTTGTTCTGATGATTCAGCATAGGAGGCCAGAGAGGAAGGTGGGCATAGCATCCAAATGCATTGATGGTTTCTTGGCCAATGTGGAACAGGAATGACAACGTACTCTAGTTGAAACACAAATAATAGGCTGATGTGTAAAAAGCATAAGGAAAAACTCTTGGCATAGATGTTTAAGATGTACGTGTGTGTTAAATTATGAAATATCTATTGCAGTTATTCCCAGACTTTGGTGAGATGAAAGATGAGTATAAGAAAATGTTTAAACAATGACACTGGCATATGGATACCAACTTTCTCTTTTTTCAAGTAAATACACTTTAAATTTCCATCTGCTGTCTTTTTCATTTTATTCAAAATGATATTTTAATGAAAAAAGTAGAAAAGACATAATTTTTTAACAGAAAAAGAAAATAGTCCCTTCTCTAATCACATAGACAGTCTAATGACAGGTATCAGTCTGGATACCATTTTAGCAGAGCTGGTTTTTCTTTTATTAAACTCTCTTAAAATTCAAATTTTATAAATAATCTATATGCACAATGCAGAAAACCTGAAAAAGCATGGAAAATCACTAAGAAAAAAATAGTTTGAATCTCCTATCCCAGGATAACCACAACTTGGTATGCATGCACCTGGCATTTTTAATAGGCAATTAATAATTTTTATAAACCAAAAAGCTGTTATTCTGTACTATTCTTGTATTTTTTATTTAGCACCATATCGTGAATATTTCTCGAGTATATATTCTTCCACAATATGATTTTTCACAGCTGAATACTATCATATTTACATAAACATAGAATCATGTACTTAACTTATCCCCTAATTGTTGGACATTTGTGGTATTTTTTCCCCTTTTTTTCTATAGTAAGCAATACTCAGATTTCCTGGGGTCTTTTCAGCCTGTGCTGTAAGAAGAGGTCTGCTTCACAGGACATCTCTTGTCCTCTCCCCTATTCATGTAGAATCTCAGCCTCTAACATCCGTAAGAGTCTCTAGGGCTGGATGTTTATGTTCACTAACAGGCTGGCTCGGGTCTGGGGCAATGACTCTTCTTGTCAGTGTTCTCTGGGCACTTTGGTATCCTCTGGAAACCACTGGTGTCCCCAACAAGCTGTAAATGGTCTACATTCTGTTTCATATTTGATGGAAGCCTAACTCTCATCTTATGTTTTGTGTCATTTTGTTCTAGAGGGATTCAGACCACACATTGTTGCTTATCCCACAAGACTCCTCATGAAAACAATTTCTTCAGCTTCTGCTTGCAGGCCCTCTTTCTGCAGACACCAGACACTAAAGCTTGGTTTAGTCAGGGGGCAGACAAAAATGTGCTTCCAGAGGCTCTACTTCCTCAGGCTCACCCAGACAGTGGCTAAATGCCCCCTAGGCATAGGCGGGACTCCTGCTGTGAGGAAAACTTTGGGCAGCCTTCTCTTTCTCTCTCTTTCCCTGGAATAAATTCCTAAAAGTGACTGTGTATGTTTTCAAGGGCTTTGAATGTTTTTATGGCTGAATTATGCCTCCCCACTTCAGATTCAAATATTGACGCCCTAAACCCCCAGTACCCCAGAATGTGACTGTATTTGAAGACAGGACATTTAAAGAGGTGACTACATTAAAATGAAGCTTGTAGGGTGGGTCCTAATCCAATCTGACTGTTGTCCTTAGAGAGGAAATTTGGATCCAGAAAGAGAGAGACACCAGGGATTCACACAAACCGAGAAAAGACCACGTAAGGATGCAGTGAGAGGGCAGCCATCTGCAAGCCAGGGAGAGATGCCTCAGGAGAAACCAAACCTGCTGCTCTTTGGGCTTCCAGCTTTCAGAACTGTGAGAAATAAATTTTTGTTGTTGAAGCCCCTCAGTCTGTGGTACTCTGTTATTACAGCCCTAGCAAACTAATACAAATGCATACTCCAGAATTGGGCACATCACATTGTACTTCCCATATTATTTTCTTCTTTAATTGTTGCCAGGAAATGGCAGAATGTCAAATCTGGAAGGATTTGCAGATCCAGGCGCACCAACAACAAGAAGTAATCACTGGAATTGCTCGCACAGCTTCTCCACATAAAAGTCCTGAAGCCCCACCTCGACTGACTGAATCAGTCCTCAGGGATGGGGCCCAAATTTGTGCATTTACAAAACCCTTCCCCAGAATTTACAGGACTTCCAATTAAAAAGATCACTGACAGCTCTCATTAAAAAATAAGATTGGAGAAAAAAATGTTATCATCTCTAAATAGTGACTGAGCAGTCAGCTTTGTTGAGAATCCTTTCCAGTAAATTGCACCACCTCCTTCTCTAGGTAAAGCGAAGTGCTTGTACCTGTCTCCAGTTCGCATCATAAGGATTTCTCATCAGTCCACCCGTAGGACTTTCCTTGCCCTGAAGTGATGATTACAATAATGAATATGTGGATAATGATCATAATAGGAGCTGCCATACATTGAGCACCTTCAGGCTAATCACTCTGAAAAGAGATTTGCATAAGTAACTCATTAGTCCTTAAAAACCACTGAGAGGTTTGTTATTATTTCAGTTTTTCAGATAAGTAAATGAAGGCTCAGAATTAGGTTCATAACAGTATCAGAAACAAAGTACATCCTTGACTTGGAACGCCAAGCTCTTGGCCATTTGAAGTAAACCATGATTCTTTTCAAATGACTCAAAAAGAAAATCTTAGTTTCTAAGGGGATTTCAAGAAAAGAGGATCATATCCCAAAACCTGGGTAGGCATATCTGTGCTGTCCCGTGGAATGAGGCAAACTGTGGGAGACCAGGAATAGATTTAGACCCACTCATTGGAGAGGGCAGGTACTGAGGGCAGGTCTTGAGAGGCAGCCCAGGCCATAGGAAACACATTGTACTCAAAGTTCTTGACAGCACCTGAAAGATGACAGTCTTTGCAAGCTGGAGCATGGGGTCCAACAATAATAAGGTGAAGCCTCTATCGGTGCAGAGAGCCTGGAAGTGACACTCAGAAGTCTGCCCCCACAAGTACAGCTCAGATGGAGAATTTGGGGGAAGCAGCATGAAGGAGAGGGAATGTAGAAAGCTGGGTTTGAATTCTATCCCTTTTGGCTACGTGGTTTTGGGTAAGTTCCTTAGCTCCACTAAGCTCTGTTTTCTCCTTTGTAAAAAGAGAATGATAGCCTTGTTGGTGATGGGAAAAATTAAAGGCAGTATGACTACAGGAAGGGCTCAGCCTTTAGTGGTCAGTGTAGAAAGAATAGATTATTATAGTTGGAGTTTGAATTGGCCAAAGCAATGCTGACTCTCATTGTGTAAAAACTGTGGGACAGGGAGGCCGAGGCAGGAGGATCACAACGTCAAGAGATCGAGACCATCCTGGCTAACATGGTGAAACCCCGTCTCTACTAAAAATACAAAAACAAAATTAGCTGGGTGTGGTGGTGGGCGCCTGTAGTCCCAGCTACTTGGGAGGCTGAGGCAGGAGAATGGTGTGAACCCGGGAGGCGGAGCTTGTAGTGAGCCAAGATCGTGCCACTGCACTCCAGCCTGGGCGACAGAGCGAGACTCCGTCTCAAAAAAAAAAAAAATACTGTGGGACAGGTTGTCAGCACTGGGATTTCACTCAGAGCAAAAGGCAGATGTCAAGAGATCATCATCAAGACACAGGTAGAACTAGACTGGCTACAAGAATGGCCTATTTCAGAATCACTGAATGTTTGGACTAGGAGCAGCCTACAGGTGAGGGACAGAGTGTGTGTGTGTAGGGGGAAAGGGAGGGACTGGAGGCATAGGACAGAAAAAAAAAAAAGGCAAAAATGTGACCCATAAAATCTGTATTATCCCACCATTCCTAATAGGACATATTTAGATACAGGGGCTTACTTAAGCAAACCTGGCATTAGGACCGAAAGCACTTCCTTTGAAATCAGATAGAGCCAAATGTAAATTTTTATTTAACCTATCAGCCTGGGTTTTTTTCTCAATGTTCCTCCCTTCACATCCAGGCTTTAGCTCTTTAGTCACTTATTCATAGTTCCATGCACAGGTGCTTTTCCACTGTATGTGTACACATTTTAAAGTCCAGATTCTGTAAAGTTTCACTCCAGGCTTTTATAAAAAAAAACCACTTTTTTTTCTTCCTAATTAAGAATATTTATGGCTACATTGCCAGAATTTCAGTTTTGAAAGCTTCTCGATAGGAAGAGTACCTGTGACATAATGGGAACTCAAGAAAGAATATACTGAAATGAATAAATGGACCAACAAATGACTAGATGGATGCAGTATCAAATGCTCTCCACATTTGCATTCAGACCAGGGCAGGAGAGAGGAGGAATCAGATTTATGTCTTTTTGGACATTTTGAAATATAGCTCCCCAAGCTCTAGATTTTATTTGACCTGCCTTTCCTTAACTTGTAGGAATACGCTCTACCCTTTTCTTCCAAGATTTCTGTCACTTCCATTTCTATAACTCTTTCCCTCTTCCTTCATCTTTTCACTATTTAAGAAGATGGTTGGCTGAGAGAAGGTTTGGAATGAGTTACACTTTTTATAATTGAAGAAAAAAAACATTTTACAGATCTTTAAAAGATATAATAGGCTGGGCACAGTGGCTCAAGCCTGTAATCCCAGCACTTTGGAAGACCGAAGTGGGCAGATCACAAGGCCAGGAGTTCGAGACCAGCCTGGCCAATATGGTGAAACCCCGTCTCTACTAAAAATACAAAAATCAGCCAGGCATGGTGGTGGGCACCTGTAGTCCCAGCTACTCGGGAGGCTGAGGCAGGAGAATGGCATGAACCCGGGAGGTGGAGCTTACAGTGAGCCGAGATCACGCCACACACTCCAGCCTGGGCGACAGAGTGAGACTCCATCTCAAAAAAAAAAAAAAAGATATAGTAGAGGAAGTATTGTTATTATTGGGATTAAATGAGTATGTTTTCTGTTTCTGGCATATAGTTCAGAGAAATTCCCGGTTTGGGAATACAGAAGAGGTAGTCAGAGGAAAGGTGCTTGGGGTACTGTGCTTCTTTCACAGCACCGAGCAAGCAGTAAGGGCTACTCTAATCCCAGCTCTCTCATAATATCTCTCCAGTGAATTTCTTGTCATTACAGGCAGTCCTTTATGCAATCTATGATTCTGTATGTCACACACTACAGTGAAACAAAGACCAGCTAAATGCCATAAACCATCCAGAAGCCTTTTTGTTCCTCTAAGGAGACCAACAAATCTATTCTTATTGGTATTCCTGTTAAACCCTTATAAATACTGGTTAGTCCTCCATGGCCATTTAAGAGACTTTTATATGGTTTTTGAAATGCTCTCCAGCCATATTGCTTTTATCTTTTTTTTTCTTTATTGATTTTTCTCCTTAAGACTTTAATTCACTCTTCTGCAGTTGCTACAGTCAAGAGAGAAATTCTGCAGATCACATAGAGATAACATTCCAACCCAGACTGGGTCACACCATCTCACATAAGAATACCAGCATCCTGCAGATAACTGGTCCTTTCCTGCTTTTCAAACCCTTTTGGTCTCTCTTTTCATTTTTTTTCTCTCCTTTAGTATTTGAGACTTAATCTTTCTTCAGTCTTATTCTTCATGCTGAGCTCATCTGAAATGTACCAATAATTGCTACCAGCTAAATCTGGTTTCATCATTCTGAAAATTCCTCATTGAAACCAGCCCTGTGGAATAAGAATCTGATCATTTCTGCAAGTTAAAGTGACATTTGGCATGTAGCTTTACCAATATATTATCATGTATGTATAGATAATTCCTGGGTGGGTTTGGTTATATTTCTAAGAGGTATGGGCATATAAAATTTAGCTAAATGCTTCAGCAAAATACCATTTAATTCTATTAAAGTATCATCTAAGTGGCAGCATTTTAAAAAACCTTAGGGCAACTAATCCTTTATGGAGTTTAATATTCTGCTGAAAATCATCTTTAGCTTTGATTGCTAAGTAGACCAAGTCTTGGATACACTAGGAGAATGATTGCCTGATCTACTTTGTCCTTCAGATATTTTTTCTATTAAATTCAACAAATATTTTCTGAGTTCCTACAATGTGCTAACTACTACGTGAATATAGAGTTTAAAAAGGTATTGAATATAGAGTTAAAAGAGTCAAACTCACACTTAATATGTATGTATTGTAAGCACATATATGTTTGTTGCAGCACTATTCATAATAGCAAAGATATGGACTCAACCTAAATGCCCATCAATGATAGATTGGATAAAGAAAATGTGGTATATATACACCATGGAATAGTACACAGTCATAAAAAAGAATGAGATCATGTCCTATGCAGGAACATGAGTGGAGCTGGAGGCCATTATCCTTAGCAAACGAACACAAGAACGGAAAACCAAATACCACATGTTCTCACTTATAAGTGGGAGCTAAATGATGAGAACACATGGACACATAGAGGGGTACAACACACACTGGGGCCCACCAGTAGGTGGAGGGTGGAAGGAGGGAAAGGATCAGGAAAAATAATGAATGGGTACAAGGCTCAATAACTGGGTGATGAAATAATCTGTACAACAAACCCCCATGACACAAGTTTATCTATATAACCTGCACATGTACCACATGTACCCCTGAACTTAAGATAAAAGTAAAAAAAAAAAAAAAAGACATACAAACAAACAAATGATATGAGAAATACATATTTTGAAATATATACTGTGATTGACTCTATCTAGAGGATCAGGGAAGGTTTCCTGAAGGAGGTAACATTTACAATTTTAGATTAAAATATCTTCAGGTAAGACCATTAATTCGTCCCTATACAAGTTCTGCCTTTATCCTTCAGGCTGAAGTAATCATCAATATCAATGTCACATGAAATCACTTATAGTCCTGTAATTTATAAAGGTACTGGCAACATTTCACAACTTGTTGCAATTATCTTCACAATATCATTGAACATTAAAGACAGGAGAGGAACAAGGCATGCCTGAAAAAAAAAGTGAAGTTGATTTTAGAGCTTTCTTTCCTATCTCCTGGTATCTTGTTTCCTCCCCTAGCCCACTAGCATCAACCTTGGGTCTTAATCCAGCCATACCCTGCTAAATGCTAATTGCTAAGTTAAGCATGAATTCCTATCCTTTCATATGTTTGGATTTTAACTGGGCGAGGGGAGTCCCATTTGCTGGGAAATGCAGAATAGTAAAGCTAGAGCGGTGGAATGATTGACATTAGGGTTGACATCTGGAGAAGTGAGAGCTGTCTAGGTCTTCCAAAGACTGAATAATGTACAAATCCATGGCACTGTATAGTCAAAATATGACTTATTGGAATAAGTATTTCCATTCCAGTTTAAAGGGTGCACTGATTTTTCTCGAGGTCACAGAACAAAAAATGGAGTTGCCAGGAATCTATCTCTTCGCTTCTCTGTTCTAAACTCCCTTAGGCCATCCTACATTAGCTCTTAGTATTTATTATTAATTTATTTTATTAATTAAAACAGTTCAGTTAATAACAATATACACTTGTGTAGTGATTTATAGTTTACCCTCCTGATTTCACGTGATCTCATTTAATCCTCAAAAACAACCAAGTGATAAAACTGAGGCACTGAGGGGTGGAGAGACTTGTCCAAGACCACACAGCTGTTGGCAGGGCTGGCACTGGCCTGGCACGTGAGGGCCTGGGGTCTGTAACCTCTCTCCTGCCAGGGCGGACGTTACTGATGTGTTTGGGCTCAGCACACTCCTACAGCTGTCCACTGTGTGCTCAACTGAAGAAGCCATTCTCCCAGACAGAGGGAGCTCTTCTGTGGTTAAGGATATAAAAAGAGCTGTGTTCTAAGGCCAGAATTTTCCCCCCAGTTCTTCTCAAGGTCCATTCAGAGGCTAACGTCGCATTTCTGCAGCCCAGGCACTTTAACTGTTATTATTTTTGTGTTTATTTTTTGTTTGTAGAAAGAGTCCGGGACATGTTGCATATTTACGACGCCAAAATAGGAAGTGTGTGATGCCCACTCGACCGCAATGAATTCCAAGGCATAAAGGCCCCAGAATCTCTGGATACAAGAAGTCCTCACTCTGCCATCCCTTCTTGAGTGGTGTTGGTGGACTTCCTATGTGATCCCGAGGTGGAGTCAGCTGGTGTAAGAGTTGGCAACCAGCTCTGCTCCATAGACGGCATTCACTTAGGAAGCACGACTGGCGGCTTCATGCGATTGGAGAGAAAAGGGGAGAGGGGGAGGTGAAGAGAGGAGGAGGAGCCCTCGGCAGAATTCCAAGTTCCGTGGCACTGGCCCCACGGAACTCTGGAAACAAGAATCAGGCTTGGGCTGCGCAGGTTCCAAGTCACAGGGCTTCCATGGCTGGCAAGCGTCGAGCCGGAAATTCAGTTGAATAGAGCCCTAAATGTTTTTTTGTTTGACATTCATGCTTAACAGAAAATGATGAATCCATTAGCAACTCCTTCCGTTGCCAAAAGAAACAGACTTGCACTTGTAGATTGCTTTCATTCTGCGCTATCAAGCCACTGCATGTGCTGCTTTCACAAAGCTGACAGTCATCTATCATTTTTAAATGGGTTTAGAGGTACAGTCGTCTTTGTCTGAAGTGTGTGGATGTGTCAGCGTGAATGTGACTCATTAAAACAGACTGACCCAAACAGTTTAAATGGGATTCACAGTAGGGGGAAAATGTTTTATTTGAGGTTTGTTTGGAATTATTTTGAAGTTTGTCACTAATTTTGAAAAACAATGGGCTCATTTTCCTAACTTCTTTTTCTTCCCTGAGATGTGTCTAAGAGAACAAATAGCTATATTATGCACTGTCTCAAAAACATGCTCTTTGGAAATGAAAAAAGATTCTATGATTATGAAATGTCAAGAGTTCCCTTGTGCTCTAGAACATTTCACATACTTAAATGACTTCATGAAACTCCCCCAAGTTTCTCTCTCTCTCCTCAGACCTTTATCCCCAATCCATAAATGACATCTTTGAACATAATCTTTAGACCCGTTTTTCATCATTTCTATTAGCCTTTCAAGGAATGCCTTTTGAAGTCAAAGATTTAACATATGGATTAAATCTTCCATAAAATGGGTTTAAATATTAAGAGAAAAACACCTGGCTGTATGTATCTGGGTTCCACAGGACATTGTATTGTTTTAAATGCTTCAAGATGTTCAATAAAACTGAATATGGCCAAACTCATGTCCAATGTGGGCCTGTGGGCCCTCAAACCTGTTTCCAAATGGCTGTTTCTCTCTCTCTCATCTCGCATTAGTGTGAAGTTCCTAAAGCAATAATAGAAGGGCCAATAGCAGAAATTAAGAAATTAATTAAATTATATTATATGTATATATATAATTAAGAAATTATATATATATCAATGACAAAATTAATTTATCAAGAGTTTCAATATAACTAGTATAATTGATCTTCCAAGTTTTCTCTATGGGCACAGAGGGATATATTCAAAATGTTTAACACCAATAAGTCATGGGCACAACCAAGTAGAACAGACATCATGGCAGGGTCCTGGAAGCTCCTTGCTGGATGAAGGAGATTAAAGGAGCCCCAGCATTGACATCAAGGAGGCTGGGACAGTGTGTTGGGGCAGGGGGCACTGAGAGTAGTGGTTATTTATTAACTCGTAGAGATGAATTTCAATATTTTAATACAGAGCTGTACCAGTGTGTATTGGCTGAATTCCAGCCCTACTTTTACTCCTTCGTTGCATAAATTCCTAGGATTTGAGGAAACAAAAGCAGGTATACCTTCTTATGTTTGAGCACTGCTCTATACTTACCCGCTTTTTTTCGTGTACGAACCCAAATAAACTGAGTGTCTTCTAAGGCATCAAGCACTATTCAAGCTGTTCTCATAGGAATTTGTTGTTAAAAGTGAGGAATGAGGATTAAAACATTAAAAAGGGTAAAACAGTAATTATGGTATTATTTAAACATTTCTAAAATTTCTTAGTCTTCACCCCATTTTACACAGAAGACTTCTAAATTTTTAGCACTACAAGGCACATTTGTAGAATAAAATACGTAGAATGTGTATTTAACTTATGTCATATCTTTCCTTTAAGGAGTTAAAATGAGTTGTCATAATGATTTGACTTAATTAACCAATTCAGTCATTCCTTGCCACCACCACCACTCCCAAAAAAAGGTAAATATTATGATACCCTTTTGCACTGGAAATGAAAACAAATGCAATTTTTAAGATCCTAAGCCAATCAAAGACCAGCTCAAATCAAGCTCTTGCATCCAAGACTGCTTTGACTGAGTTGCCAAGTGATCCCACAAGTAACATCTATGTAGGAGGAAGGGGAAATGCGAGCACTGTAAGACCTCATCCTTTAAGGAAGTATAATTGGATGTCTCTTGTGTAACTTAGGCCATTTCAGAGCTTAAGATAAATACACATCAAATATAAGGGGGAAAAAGAGGAATGTATTGATTTTATCCCACTGACAAAAAGAAAAAACAGTTTCTATTGAAATACATACAAATATATTTTAAAACATTTGATAAAGAAAACACAAAAAGAAACAGGATGGACGGAAAGTTATATTCCCTCTAAAGTTACTGAGGACCAAAATGCAGCAGTTTATTTCCAGTTTTCCCAGACAACATGCAGTATAGCAGGAGATTGTCTTTCTGTTCGAAACTCCTACATTCAAGTCTAAAATATTTTATTTAAACTATCAATTTATTTGCTACATACAACTATATCCTCAATATTTATTTTAAATATTATATATACTTTATAAAATATTTCAGAACAGTTACTGAAACTATAACCACATGCATTTTATTGAATATCGACAGATAAAATGCAGGCTTTGGAGTCAGACTGTGTGAGTTTGTAGTCCAGTGTGACCACTTTGTGGCTCTTTAACCTTGGACAAACTTTTGTCTCTGGCCCCACCTTATAGGACAGATATATTAACATCACGTGGTGAGGTGATGAGGACTAAATAAGATATGTTTGTAAAGTTCCAGCATACTGACTGGTAGAGAATAGATTTTGGGGTTCCTCTCTCTCACTGATACATCTTCCTTTTTCTCAGTGAACATTTACCTTTAGCAATCAAAGACATTAATGATTGAATATCTGGTCTTTCTGCTGCAAGGTTAGAATTTCTTCAAGAAACAATGCCAATGCAACTTCAGGAATACCTGACCCCTCCTCCTGTTTTCAACCACTCAGAATCTGTCTCTAACCACTCAGAATCTGTCTCCATCCTGGACTCTGTGTAGTTCCCAGTATCATATTTTCTGATAGTCTTAGAACTTAAGCCACCATTCCCTGCCACACTGATGCCACCTTGTTGATTACTTAACCAAGTGATTTCTTTCAGGTGGAAGAGATGTACCCAGGACCTCTGTAGAAGCAGGTACAAGCTACCAAAAGTTCCTACTTTATTTATTTTGAGTTTGGAATGAGCAACTACAAGGAAAGGAAGAAAATTGTCAAATAAAAGAAAATTTTATAAATTATTTATAAAATCACATTCATTTAAAAGCTAATTCTACTCTTGACTGAATTGCAAATGGAACTAAAATCTTTCTTGGTTCTCATACCTTTCCTTTGCTAGTTTAGGCATTTGTCACCTTTGGCTTTATTGATTTATTCAGAAAGTAGGTATTGAGTACCTACTATGTGCTAGATGCTGAGTAATTTAGACAGTTTGTGAATTGTTTCTTCTTCAAGTCAAGTCTTCCTTCTTCCAGTCTAGTGATTCTCAAAATTTAGTGTGCAACAGAATCACCCAGAGTGATTGTGAACACATTGACTATAGACTACTCCCCCAGGGTCTGATTTAGGAGGTCTGTGTAGGAGTCTGAGAATTCACATTTTTAACCTGTGGGTTCTGGTCTAGGAAACACTTTGAGACCACTTTCTATGTTGTTTCTAATCCATTTGCCATAACCGTCACATGTGTTAACCTCCTCAAATTTAATGTCACTCTATAGAGTAAAAACCCTATTTGGTTCTCCAATCCATAAAATAAAGCCTTATCAAAACCTTCAGGATCTGCCATTCACAGTTGCTACTTTTCCAGCCTCTCCTCCTGATGATGATTACACATGATAAAATACTCTCCACTGTACTGTTCTTTTCTTAGATAAGTTTAACTCTATGCCTATCAAATACTGTATTGGCCCTTTTGGTTCTTTGGAAGCTAAAAGTTTTGAACTTTTCATTTATTAAACAAAAGAAGAGAAGGGTTATCTATTGCCTTTGTAAGTATATTGGCTCAGTGGACACACAAAGCAATCCTTTAGCAGTAGAAACAAGTAATAGCATGATGGAAGGGAACCCTGCCAAGAAGGCCCAAACACCGAAAAAATGTCTTTAAAAATATAGATTTAATTGAAGAAGTATCTGATAACACCACTCACTTTAAATACTCATCAATAGGCTGTTTTTGTTTTACAATAATGTGTCTGAAGATAGTGACAGGAAAAGAGACATCACTGTGCAAACATTAATATCTCACACAACTGCATCAAAGAGAAAAAATGGAACACTAGCTTTCATTTTCATTCAGTGATATTAACCTAAAATAACTTACTGTAGTTTTGCTTGAACTCACCAGGCAAAGTTTTAGTATGTGGTAATGACTACGAAGGAACATTCAAAGTATTACACCTATTTGTGTTGACACACTCTGTGAGAAATGTTGTTTGAAATATGCATTGAAATAAAGCGTCTCCAACTAACTCGAGTAAACACCTTGGTATCATAAAGAGCCAAACTATGCTACTGGATTGTTAAACTCATCTAATTTGGGAGAACTGAGGGTAGAAGAGGAAACGGGGAAGAGAGAGAGAGATTATATATGGACAGATAAAATCATGAATAATAAATACAATTTTTCTCCCTTTCTCTGAAAACCTGTTGTGTTCATAGTTGTTATTTTTGAAAACATCTTACCTATGGGCAAGCTTCTACTTTATCACTGCAGCGAGGTGGAAAAATATCAGTAATAAAGACAAGCTCAATAAAAGTGTCTTGGAGTGTGTGTGTGTGTTTGTGTGTGTGCATGTGTATAGGAGGCTGGGGCATGGTGGGAGTCAAGACTAAGCCTCTGTTATTTTCAATATGATACCTATTTTTGTTTTGTTTTTATTGATTGTTCATTTGCTTTTTAAAAACCTTTGTTTGGCATTATTCATAGAGGGTCCAAGAGTGTGTCCTTACATTTGCAAATAAGGAGTCACAGGATGACTGTGTGGTTTTCCGATTCCTCCTCCTATGTCAGCTAGCAAACTGGCCATACTCAGGCTGTCCACCACTGCTGAGGCCTTGAACAGGCTCTGGAAGAAACAGTTGTCTGGAGGGATTTGTGACTAACTATAATCAAACAGCATATTTGTAAGATTAGTGAATGAATCCCACTGAATGACATCTGATGACCACCATGTCTTCAAACCATAGGAAAGACAGCTTGAAAAGACAAGCCTAAAATTAAACTTTTTATGATTATCCATATTAAATATACACATACGAAACAGCAATCATATGCATAGATCCTTTAGTAGTGGCCTGGTACGTGTAAAGAACACTGAATTTGGAGTCAGGCACACTTGGGTTTGAATCCCAGCCTTAGAGCTGAAACTGTAGATGTATTCTCTACTTCTGTTAATTGTAAAACAAAAATAGTGCTGTGTGGCAATTAATTATACTAACACATATAGTAAAAAATACCTGGAACAGTGTCTGGCACACAGTAGGAACACAGCAATTAACAACAGTAGCAGTAGAACAAGAAATGACTTGATAATTTTTTTTCAAGATAGGGTCTCATTCCTGGATTGCAGTGGCATTTTCATAGCTCACTGCAGCCTCGAACTCGTGGGGTCAAGCAATCTTCCCGCCACAACCTCCAAAGTAGCAAAGAATATAGGTGCATGCCACCATGCCTACCTAATTTAAAAAAAAAAAAAATTTGTAGAGACAGGGTCTCACTACATTGCCCAGGATGGTCTCAAACTTCTGGACTCAAGTGATCCTCCTGCCTCAGCCTCCCAAAGTGCTGGGATTACAGGTATGAACCACTGCACCTAGCCTGACTTGAACTTTTATATACAGCTTTCCTTGGAGGTCAGGCCAAGGGTGGAACTAAATCTGGACTACACTTCTAACTTCACACACAAACTTTTTTTTACACTAAGATTGTTTAATACATACTTGCTGTATAAAGGAAAAAATGAATTAGACAAAAATAATCATACTTCTCTAGAGATTATCAGGTTGACAGAATAAAAGTTTTCTCAACAGCTGCTCTGCCAGATGTATCAATAAATATTTTTCAAACACTTACTAGGTGCAAGATACTGTTCTTAGAGCAAAGAATGATGACTAAGAATGACGTTAACTTTATAAACACAGTGGCTTAACCTCACCAGTTGTGGCTTCAGATAGAATTACCCACAATGCCCAGGCTGCACCTCAGATCAAACAAATTAGAATCTCTGGAAATGGGATTCAGACATCAGCATTTTTCTATATTCCTGTGGTGATCCAATATGTAGGCAGATTGAGAAGGAATGGTCTAGGAGCTAGGTGGAGAGATAAGATGAATGTGGGTAAATAATAATAATGTGAATGATAAAGGAGCATTAGTGGAAAAATAAGTATCAGAAGAATCAGAAAGCATCTACTAGCAAGAGTATCTATACAGAGATTTCAAGAAAGAGTCAGCACTTGAGCAAAATTTCCAAAGATGCTGAATTTATACAGGTGAAACATGGACAGACATAAGGTCCACGGCAGTGGGGTGGCAATATACCATGTGAAAAAACAGGAGATACCAGTAGTGTCTTGAGTACATAAAGAATAATGATGGACTCAGCTTTATTTCTAAACTTTCATTTCCACACAACAACCCTGCCCCTGCCACATTTAAGTTTAGTTTTACAACTATATGGACAATCCTAAGGCCCAAATTTCCAGATTTTTTCCTTTAGATCTTAAGTTCAAGGAACACAGACATTATTCAACAACTCTCAGATATTTTTATTTTATATCCTAACAAAGGATTTGATGTGACTTACAATTTTATAGCACTTGTAAAGTAGCAATCATTTTGAGGCAGAGCAGAAATCACCTAGGAAAAACAGCATTATCGTGTCAGGAAGCTACAGTGATATTGTTTCTGATACTGAGTATTAAATATAGCCCTGAGACTCCTGGCAGTCAATGCAACAAGGGAAATGTGAAGCCTTACTGTCTTATAAAGGAAGGTATGTAGTTTATTTGAAAGGGAAATACTGTCTTATTGCTAAAGTCTGGGAGGAATGTATTACATATGGAAAGCACATTGCATAACATAATGAAAAATACCTTTAATTTTCTTGTTCATCCACAACTTGGAGAACTTTATGATTTCACCTCACGCTGAGACTAAGGTCTCTCTAAGGTGAATTTTTAATTCACCTCTGTTTGCTAAGATTAATCAGACCAAAATGATGTGCCCATTCTATTTAGAGAAATGTATACTTGCTACAATCGCTCAACATGGGAGAAAATACCAGCACTGATCTCTCCACTTTCTAGCTTTGTTGATGTATTAGCATACACAATCTGTAAACCTTGTATTTTAATTCCTCTTTGGTGCCAAGCACAATGCTTAAAGAATCATTTGCCCACCTATATTGTTCCAAATGCATCACATTCTTAAAAGAAAACATGGTTAGTAAAAACCCTCTTGAAATTTAAGGCATTTGAAGGAGTTATATTCTTAAGGCATTAATTCATCATATTAAGGTATACAAGCAAATTCTTATAAGCTTTCACATGCCCAATTTGGCAAGAGATCATCCATATGAATAGTCCTTTGTTTTCACTCCAATGATGTGTACAGGTTTTCACAGAACTCAAATTGATTCTAGCAATTATTGAAAATTCCTCAGAAATACCTTAAATCTCATATCTTCATTTCTGAGTAGGGACAATGCCAAAATGCCAACAGCTGAGTACTTTTAGATTAAAGGCAACATCCCTTTTGACAGCCTTTCACACAGATCCCGGCAAACAGCAATTCATATAAATCACACACACCTAGTGTCTCGCTTTATATGCCCTGATGGGGAAATCCTGTGGTTGACTAGTAGAAGACATGAACCTGGGCAATAATTTCTTGAGACTGATTCAAAGCCAGTCCTACTCAAAAACGATGCTACATGCAACAGGTCATGTTTTAAATAGAGGGTTGTACGTTGAGGTCTATTATTGCATTGCCTTGTAAGATCACATATCAACTTTTTTGACACTTTTAATTATAGCTATAGCAGCAAATTATCTCACACCTATCTAAACGTCTACATTTTTAAAGTATTGCCCTTTATTTGAGAAATCCTACTCATAAATATACTGAGTTATTTTCTAAGAATGCACCTAATGTTGAACCATGCTCTCTTGTTTCCTCTTCAGACCAACAGTTTGTCATGTACAGCAACTGGATGGGGTTCAAGATTCAGTCATTGAACATGAACAGAAAGATATGGAAACAGTTTCACATGAAAATGCAGGTCAGAATCAACTTGCTGAGTTTTCTAGAACAGAGATGGCAAACACGCCTATACACACTAATGCTCTTTACAGAAAGTGGACATAAACTAATTGATCACAAATGTTTCTCTCCAAGAGTGTGGACATGGTCTCAGAACTCTCTTCAACCAAGGACATTATGTAGATATTAATAATTGATCAAAGGGGCACTTTGTTGAAATTTATTTGCCATCCCTCTCCTAAGTCCTCATATTGGCATGGACCTTGGAGGGAACCAACCCAACCCATCTTTTTTTTTTTTTTTTTTTTTTGAGGCAGAGTCTCGCTCTGTCACCCAGGCTGGAGTGCAATGGCACGGTCTTGGCTCACTGCAAGCTCCGCCTCCTGGGTTCACGCCATTCTCCTGCCTCAGCCTCCCTAGTAGCTGGGACTACAGGCGCCTGCCACCACGCCCGGCTAATTTTTCGTATTTTTAGTAGAGACAGGGTTTCACCGTGTTGGCCAGGCTGGTCTCAATCTCCTGACCTCGTGATCCACTCGCCTTGGCCTCCCAAAGTGCTGGGATTACAAGCGTGAGCCACCACGCCTGGCCCGTCTTAACAGCCCAATTCAAAATTGCATAAACCCTTTCACAAACATCTCCAGCAAGTAACCAATCAGCTTCTTCTTGAACATCTTCAACAACACGCTGAGTGAACCAACCACATGCAAAAGGGTCCACAAACTCACGTGCAAAAAGACTGAATGATTAACTGACTCTAAATAAGTAGAAACAACTAGAAAGTTCATGAATTACCTTCTAGGTAGACTTCTGTTGCCATGATTTACTATTCACTCTTATCACAGCTCTTTAAAAATAAAGGCAGTGGAAGTGGAGGTTGGGAGGAGGTGAGGTTAATTGCTTTGTACTTTATTTCCTAAAAAGAATATTTTATACCTAGGAGTGAACTCTCAACTCTCTGGCACACCTGCATTACAAGGAAGAGTTTGTAGAGCTCTCTAAGGATAGGGCAGTCTAAAAATTCTCTTAATAAAGGGAAAGATGAGTTGGGAAGGGTCCGGGGATAGAAGAGTCTGAGCAAGGAGGAGGAGTCCCATGCCTTGTGATTCAGTTTTTACCGTTATTATTCTTTTTTTTTTAAAGGTATCCTTTTATTTTAATTTATTTTTTGAGATGGAGTCTCACTCTGTCACCCAGGCCAGAGTGCAGTGGCATGATCTCGGCTCACTGCAACCTCCACCTCCCAGGTTCAAGGAATTCTCCTGCCTCAGCCTCCTGAGTAGCTGGGACTACAGGCACCTGCCACCACGCCCGGCTAATTTTTTATTTTTAGTAGAGATGGGGTTTCACCATCTTGGCCAGGCTGGTCTCGAACTCCTGACCTTGTGATCCACCCGCCTCGGCCTCCCAAAGTGCTGGGATTACAGGCGTGAGCCACCGCACCCGGCCTGTTATTATTCTTGTCAATTCAGTTCCCTTATCCAACTTCTGTGACATCAAACCCCCTCTTCCTTTTCTCTCCAAAATACTTGATCTTATTGAACTAATTAAGGAAATTTACACTAAAGTATAACTGATTGGCACTTTCAGAAAACATTTGAATCCAAAAGAAATACTTGTTAATGTAAATGAATCTCTAATTTTTGAATGAATCTCTAATCATATAGTTTATCATCCCTTACTTTCCCTACCCAAGTCAATTAGTGTCCCAGGAAATAAAATCCATGGTATTTGCTATCATTTCATCAATTGCAGTTAAATGCTGTACCTTTCCCAAACCTTAAAAGTTACTGTGCCTTCCAGAATTCCAGTGTCCATGAACACCTGAAAATCTTTGAAATGCTTCTATTAAAAATATTGCGCCAGAGAAACTACAAATTCCTGTAAATCATCAGCATTGTTTGTGGGGCGGGGGGAAGTTAAATAGCAACTTTCCCTGTGAAGTTTCTAACTATTCTTCATTCGGTGTAGATCTTAACCAAAGGTTAGTTTTTTAGCTGCAAGATGCATATACTCAAAATAAAGACACAATCACAAAAGGAAGTAATACCAGCATTTCTAAGATCTAAACAACATTGCAGGGATTATTCTAATTGTACTATTGGCCAAAAAGACTGCAGTGATTATTCTAGTGCTCTACGTGAATTTTATTGGCTGAACCACATAATTTTTGTAGTCAAAGATATTTGGAAATTGTAACTGTGACAAAGGTTTTTTTTGATAAATATGGTATATATACTGTCTCATCTGATAGCTGTTCCAGGTATTTATAGGAAACTCCTTTCTTCAAATGATTTGGTGAGGCATAGTCATTGATGTGTCCTAAGACTAATATAAAGCAGGCAAAATGGAGTAAAAGTTAAGTCATACACCCAATATTAAATCTGGAGTTGATCGCTTTTATGCCTAGGATTTCATTCAGCCCTTTTGGTTAATAATAATAATTAATGGCATGCCTCAAAAGATTAGAAAACCAGCTCCTCTGCATTTTATATAAACCAAGCCTTACAAGAGCACAAAGTATGAACAGGTAATTTTTGTCATGAAAACTGTCATATTTTTCTTTTATACACAAGTGAAATTATCACGTCTCACGTTGAGTTGATTAGAACCATCAATCTCTGATCAGCTGGTACTTTAAGAGCAGATTCTGGAGGACTTGTCCATTCAACAAGTTTATATGCATGGTATAATTTCTAACTTTATTTTTCCCCTGAACCCTGGGGCAAAATGTCACCTTCTGCTACCAAGCTAATTCAAAAATAAGAGGCAAGTAGTTGTCCCTATGGTGACAGAGTCTCATTTTACCCCCCAGTCCATCTCCAACCTGTTACTAAATTACTAAGCACTGGAGCGATGCATCAAAGAGCACAGGGAGATGCTGTTAAGGTAATGAAACCAAACACCATCCACTTAAAACATGTTGTGTCAGCTTGGAAATAAGGGTGGAATAAACCCTTTACTTTCTATCCCATCCTTCTAGCTGACCACCTAACAACTGTTCCATTTTCTAAGTTATAGAACCAGGTCCTCACTCTGCACAAAAAAATTACCTCCCAGAGGTGGAACTGACTTTCTAAAGCTCTTGCAGTTTGGGCATCAAAAATATTTTTTAATATGCTCAAAAACGTGTATTTTGACTTTTTCACATCTTCATTATACTATATTAAAAATCAGCAGTTAGACATACCTTCTTTGGAAGCAATTTTAAGGGTCTATTAGCTATAAAAAGCAATTACATTTCTTTGGAGCATCTAAGAATCCAGGAGGCCAAGAACAAGATTTTTCCCTCAGTCATGGTTTTCAAAGGGTCGGCCAAGAGAATTGGGACGGGCTGCATTCCTTACTAATAGTGCACCACAACATGCTTTCATATCCTGCCGAGAAGAATCTTTTACTTTGAAATTTAAAGTCTCATCTGACAGGACCCATGCCTGCAGGAGCCTCAATTTATCTGCTCCAGAGGAAAAGCGGCAAAATCCAATCTGAGAATCCAAACCTTTGTTTCCATGGTGAGGTTTCCAAAAAGCTACTGAACATTCAATTCTGCCCACTATAGTTATGGGGTGTGGGTATATTTAAGAATCTACCTTAAGGTAACACAAAGGCACACAAAACATCAGTCATTTCTGCAACTAGAAGCGAGGTCATTGTGGGATGACATTATATTTACCTTGAAAGCTATTGGGATTGTGTGCACCTGTTCACTTTTCTGAAAAATGAAGGGGTTGAACTAGATGATCTCTAGGGTCCATTTTAGGTTTATACTTTAACTAAGAGGTTAGCTAATACTAACCTTGATCAAGTCACTCAGCTTCACCAATGTGTAAGTTTCCTTCTAGTTCTAAAGCCAGTCCACAAATCCCTATATTATTTTAGGGGGTATATTTCTTTCCTTTAACATAAACAGATAATTTTAGAAATAAGATTAGTGTTCTCCTTACTATCTAAGATTGAGTGGGGAGGTGAAGGGTAAAGAGCCACTTTTTGTTCCAGTAGTCACCTTTATGGGGAAGTAAGAAGGGCAAATAAATAACCAGAATTCAGATCAAGGAAAATGGGCTTAAAAAGGTAAAATTATGGTAATAAAATAATAACAATTGTGAAAAGCAATATTTTCCTTTGAAACTAATGTCATAGGTCTTTGCCTACTTGCCTTTTTAATGTCAAAACTCTCTTCCCAAGCAGCCTTAAGTTTTTCAATGAATATACAACTAGCTTTTTCAAGATTCAATCCTTGAAACTACTCCTCCACCAAGTTTAGGTAGACTTAGGCCCAGTATGAGGTTTCTCTAGAGACTAGGAGATATATTAATTAACCTGAGGCCCATGCAACAAAATAAAATTCCTGAGGGCAAGGCAGTGTGATGTAACAAAAAGGATGTGGGATTTGGGTTTAGAGGGTCCAAGCAAAGCAAAGCAAACTTTGTATTCCTCACTCTGTCCTTTTCTAGCCGTGAAGTTGGACAGTGCTTTTAATATCTCTGGGCTTTGGTTTCATCATCTGTAAAATGACGGACAATTACCCTCCTGAAATTGTTGTTATAAGGATTAAATGACATAATGGGGTAAGTGGTACAACTTCAATAAATACTTGAAATACCTGTTGAATTTATTCGATTTCAACTCAATAAATGTTTACTAATGGCCTGCTACATGCCTGGTACTGCATAAGGTGCTATAGATTAAATGATGGGAAAAAAAAAAAAACACCCCTATGCCACTGTTACTCTCTGAATAGAAACAATCCAATATGGCCATTGGCATCTGAAGAAGTGACTTGTCAGATTAGACATCAGATGCTATACTGCTCACTTGTTCCATAGCGTAATCCTTAAGAGGAAACGGTTGTTTAAACTGCTCAATCACACCATTCTTCAGAGGCTCAAGAAATTCTCCTCTGCTCAAGAAATACTGATTGATCAACTGCTATATGTAGAACGCAAAAGTCTTAGCTATAGTTTTTGCTGTTAGGATACATATACTTCTATAGGGAAAGAAGACATTAACCTATGGCAAGAGTCAAGAAAAAGACATAACTAATCATATTTAGGAAATGCTCACTATGTCTTCAGAATTTTGATAGGGCTGTAGAAGATAAAGTAGGAAATACATATGGCTTCCATCCTCAAGGTATTTACATTCTATTGGAGAGAAGGGAACTAAGGTACATAATTTGCTTCTACAAAATAGTGCATGATTATATGTTGGATGAATCAATGAGATGCTTAAGCTCTATAGGGACCGTGGGCTACTATCCTCAAAGAATGATCTAAGGAGACGATTAGGTTTTGCTGAACTTTTTTTTTTTTTTTTTTTTTTTTTTTTTTTGAGACGGAGTCTCGCTCTGTCGCCCAGGCTGGAGTGCAGTGGCGGGATCTCGGCTCACTGCAAGCTCCGCCTCCCGGGTTCACGCCATTCTCCTGCCTCAGCCTCCCAAGTAGCTGGGACTACAGGCGCCCGCCACTACGCCCGGCCAATTTTTTGTATTTTTAGTAGAGACGGGGTTTCACCTTTTTAGCCGGGATGGTCTCGATCTCCTGACCTCGTGATCCGCAAAGTGCTGGGATTACAGGCGTGAGCCACCGCGCCCGGCCCGGTTTTGCTGAACTTTTAAGAATGGGTAGAATTTTAAATAGATGACTATGACAGGAGAAAAGTAAAGGTTAGGGGAACCTATATCGAAAAGTCTTCATGTTAAAAGAAAAATGAGCACAGCATATTCAGAGGTTAAGGAGCAATATAAGATCAGGGTGGAAAGACAGGGCACCTTCCAATGGTAGAAGAATCTACAGTTCTACAATTTAGTGTTTTAAGTTCTACAGTTTAATGTATTCTACAATTGTTTTCCCTTGGTCCTGTGGCAGATAGCCGAGAAACCCACTGTTACTTCTTGTTCCTGTCAGTTGAATACTTAGACCATGAATGATGAGTTCCACCAAAATGTACCAATTTTTTTTGTTACCGAAAATATGGCCAAAGTTTGAACCACTCAGCCCATTAAAGAAGCTCTATTATAGGGCCTAATTACCATTTGACAGTGAATAAAGTGGGGATACATTCAGACAAGGCCCAGAATGGAAATTGGAAAGAGGGCAAGGGATCTGGTTCTCAAAAGTGAGTGTGTTTTTACATTACTGCTTCCTATTTCAAAATGCAAAATAGTGGGGAAGTGTTGGAGCCAGATGTAAGGAAAGAGATCAAGAGTTGAGAATACGGGCACTGTTTCTGGACACTCCAACTTACTGCAGCTAATATTTTACTCCTTTAAAAGCGATGTCTATATACATTATCTTTTCCCCAATACATGCCTTTGCAAGTGACTTCTAAGTACATATTAATTGATGATACATACAACCTTTTCAAAAAAGGAATCAATAATACATGTATGGATGGCTGAATGCACTTTGAATTACAAATGTACGCATATATTTACTGATCATTATTGAGCCTCGGTGAGAACCATAAGGTTTTTCTAGGGTGGTGGCAAAGGCTCAAGGCTCTTAAACTAACTATTCCACTTCAATCATCTGGAAGTACCAGAGATATAGAAATATAGAGAGAATATATAGAAAAATAGAAAAACCGAATAAAAATAATACAACTCTTTCCCTTCTAATTCAGTGTCTAATTTAAGCATTTGAACATAATTTAAAGTAATCCTTATCTAATATGATGTTGTTTTGGCTCAATTTAACTTAAGAAATCAATTTGAATAAATCTGTCTATCCTGGAACCCTTATGCTAAATATTGCTGAAAAGGTATGTATAACAGAAATCCTTGAGTTTCTCTGTTTGTAAGATGATGAAAATTTATCATAATTTGAAAACTTCTCTAGGTCTTTTTCTACAACCCATCTACCTAACAGTATCAGGAAACAGGACCAAAGGAAAGATAATTTTAGCTAGTTAATGTACTAGTAGTAGGTTTCTCCCTGCAAGCAAAACCTGGAACTTAGCTTTAGATGGCAGATAATCTCCCCCCTCCCCTGACTGCCAACTTGTTTGTTGTTTCTAAACAAGCCCTTCAGTTGATATTTATTTTTAATTTAATCTACAGGTCCTTTGTCTATAATTACAATTTATTTGAGCCAGTCTTTTGTGACTGTAAGTTTAAAGGTAAAAACATTTTAACCAGGTGCATTTTACCATTTTGTTATTCCTATTGTCAAGAGTAAGAAGGAAGGAGGAAGGAAGAGCACATAAGGCAAACATGTCATGTTGAATACCTAGATCAGAGAGCAGAGCATATGCCCCAGAGTCAGGCTATCGAGTGCAAATCCACAGGGTACTATGAGACTTAATAATGGGTTTAAAATTATATCACTGGAATTCAAAATTATAATACATCTCTTTTCGATGAAAAAGTTCTGCTACATTGGCAGTGGCTAGTAGTATTGAAGACCTGCTCACCTTTGACTCAGCAATTCTAGTCCTTGGTATATAGCTAGAAAAGCTTTCATATTTACACACAAAGAGACATGTAAAAGATTTTAAAGTAATATAAACAACGCTGACAAACAACATATATACTCATTGTTAACAGGGGAATGGATATAGCATGTCATGGTCATACAACTGATAAAGTAAAGGGAATTAACTAGAGCTCTGTGAACCAACATAGAAAAAAGCTCACAGACACAATTTGGAGCAAAATAAATAACACTTGTACCAGTAGATATGTGGCATATTACTGTGTATTGAAACTTTTAAATTGTGCAAAACAACATTATCTAGTGATTGTTGATACAAACATATGTAGTAAAAGCATAAAAGCAGTGTAGCATAGTGAATGCAATAGTGGAGGGGTAGCCAGTGGACTTCACCTATATCTGTAAAGGTGTATTTCTTAAATAATTTCAAGCAAGTATGCAACATGTTTAGAAAACCAAGCAGGGATACTTAGGTATTAATAAAGTGCTGTACTTTTCTGTAAGGTTGTAGTATTTCATTTAAAAAAATTGAACAAGAATGGAAGCCTACTGGGCTCGATGAATTTTTTTTAGGTTTTTAAAAATGTTATGTACCACATTTCTTTCTTGCTTTTTCTCTTCTATTTAAGTTTTTTACTTCTCCACAAGCATATGCTAGAGCTTTAGAAAAAAGATTTAATAATAATTCTTCAAAGAAATTAAATAGGGAATCACAAACAGAAGAATCTTCTACAGTTCTAACCAGATTATTTTCAATTGGGCTGAATTTTTGAAATGATAGGTCACTTATCACACATATTAAAGTCAGAGAATTTGAAGACTCCCCAAAATATCAGAGCCCAGAAGTCTCTGAGGATGGTCCAAGCATTTGAGAATGGGTGTCTATTTTCCCCTCAATCATTTCTAGGGGCTTTCACTTCTTGAGTTTAACGAAACTTCTTCCAATATTGCACCCCCCACCAGCTTCATTCTGGAACAACATATTCGCTTTGGGCACATGTGTACTGTTCATTTTTATCTGCATCCACTTTTGAGAGCTTTTAATAGTTGCCTTTCAGGCTACACAGTAAGGTTTGCCATTATCGTGGAAATATGAATGAACGCTTACTTCCTTTCACCTGTAGGGTAAACTGAATCTAAGTAAATCAACTTATAAATGCTTGGTCTGGCCCCACGAAGTTTCCATTTGCAGATGAGGGTTTTCAACTTAATCAATCTATACTTTGAAAATAATCAAAAAAGAAAGAAGACATCAGTGTAGAGCTTCCTCTTATTAAATATATATTTTCCATGGTTACATTTCTCTATTTTCTTATTTTTATTTCTGAGGAGCTCAGTGTCATGTAATCTTTAATAGAATGGAAAATTCTCCAACCAGCAATAATCCAGGAAGACATCAAAAACACCCAGACAGAATAAGGCTAATATTTCTTCACCAGGTGTCTAGCCTCTTAATCTAGTGATAATATCACATTCCAAAGGAAAAGGCACTGAGACCCTCCCAACTACTGCTCTAAGCACTTACTTCTGCACCTGGGATTACCAGCTTGTTGAGCAGCAAACATTCTCACCTGCACCTGAGGTGGGGGCTGATCTCCAGTTGCTGAGAACAGCAGCATTTGAGGAGTAAATGAGAGCCCAGGAAAGATTTTTCTTTAGAAACCAAAACTCAGCAGCAAACTTGCTGGTTTCAGGTGCAGGTGTCAAATTATCTGGGGATTCATTTATGCTTCCTGAGATTGTGGCCTTTCTTTGGAATTTAGAATTTAAAAGGTGGTCTTTTCTGAAAGGGTATATTTTTAGGAGGCTGCATTTTATAGGTGTGTTTCAGATTTGGTTAAAAGGATGGCACAGCACACCCTCCTTGTCAGAGGGTTAAGCCAGAGACTCCTCTGTGGGTGATGTCACATCAGACCCTGAGTAGGGCCAACGGTCTGATCTGACAGAATGCTTGGTGAAGAGAAGTACAGGGAAACAAAGCAAAGGACATTTTAGTTCCCATGCATTGTCCTGTTGCCGTGAACTCTCCTTAGACAGCACAATTTCCCTCTGAAAAATAAAGCGTAGCTATCAGAATACCCTTTGTAGGATTGCTGAGTGATCACTCCGAGGCTGTCTTATGGAGGAGAGGACACAGAAGTGGAGTAAAAACACATGGGTTCTAACACAACTTAGCCACTAAATCGCTGTCTACAGCATCCTTATCTGTACCATTAGAAGAGGAAGGGCCTCAGTCAAGAAATCTGAATTCCAGCTACAACATTTCGGAATCACTTGGAAAGTTAAAAAGTAACAACAATGCCCCGGCTGGCCTCTCCCTAGAATAATAGAATTACCCTCTCTGGGAGGTGGGCCTTGCATTAGGATTGGTTAAAATTCCCAAGATGGCCAGACGAGGTGGCTCACACCTGTAATCCCAGCACTTTGGGAGGTCAAAGCGGGCGGATCACGAGGTCAGGAGTTCGAGACCAGCCTGGCCAACATGGTGAAACCCTGTCTCTACTAAGAATACAAAAATTAGCTGGGCGTAGTGGCAGGCACCTGTAATCTACTTGGGAGGCTGAGGCAGGAGAATCGCTTGAACCTGGGAGGCAGAGGTGGCAGTGAGCCAAGATCATGCCATTGCACTCCAGCCTGGGCAACAGGAGCAAGATTCCATCTCAAAAAAAAAAAAAAAACAAAAAAAAACAAATAAAAAGTTGCCAAGATTATTTTAATATAGAGTCAGATTGAGAATTAGGGTAGCGTTTTCATACTTTAATGTTTAAGCAAATCACCTGGGAGCTTACTAAATGCAGATTCTGATCCAGTATGTAAGGGATGAGGCATTTTTAAAAAGCTCTCAAGTGATGTAATGCTGCTGGTGCACAGATCATACTTGGAGTAGCAAGACGCTGGATGATTTCTAAGCACCCTTCCAGCATGGTGATTCGATGAGTCTACTTTAGCTTTTGCTTTCAACAGAATGGCCCCACCACAGGCTGTTGTTGGATAATTGAGAAACCTAAGTCTCCCCTGCTTCCTCTGCCTCAGCACTGCCGCACGCACCCTTCCCACTCAAGATCGCCTAGATCAGAGAAATGCTTTTTCTATTGCAATGCGCTGTGCTAGGCTTCGTGAAATAATGTCGTGTTCTTTAGAATTTAGGAGATACTTTAGAATCTATGTTGCTTAGTGTGACACCATGGATATTAATTACCATTGAGTGGTATGATAGATATAAAAATTACAGGAGATTTGTGGGGGATTCATACAAATAAGGTGGCGCTCACAATGTGCAGAGCTGAGGCTATGAGGGGATACGTACCGGAACATCTCACCCAGGAAAGTGGATGCACATGGGTGTATAGGAGTAGGATGCAGGCTGGAGATTGGAGTGGCTTAGGGAAAGCTTCCCAGGAAAATTACTTTCAAGCTAAGATCTAAAGATGAGTAAAATTTGGGGGTTGGGAGGGGTGTCCAGGTAGAACAAATTGTGGTGTAAATGCCTATATGTGAAGGACACACTGAGGAAATTGGAAGTAGCTCCATTTGGCTGGAACATTAAAAAAAAAACATGAAAATTGCAGCTAAGGGGTAAGCTGTGGCTAGACAGGACTTGGTAAACCAAAAGAAGGAGCTGAGTCATTATTCTAAAGGAAGAGGAAGGCATCGAACGGTTTTAAGCAAAAGAGCAACATGATACGCATTTTCAGAAGTGATTTACCGTGTGCTGTGTGGGCAATGGATCATGGAGGCAGGCATATGCGTTAGAGGATGTCTCAGTATGCTAATAATAGTGGAGAGTGAATCAGGCCAGCTGTTTCATGTCCAAGAAATTCTGCAGATACTTACATGCACAAAGATGTTTGGGCACTAATGCTTATAATAACAGAAATTTGGAAACATAGAAAATGTCTATTAACTTGGCACCAGTTGTATAGTTTCTGCTATATCCATATTATGAAATACCATGTGGCCATTAACAAGAATATAGTAGATCTATATGTACTAACATGTAAAAATTTCCAAGACATTTTATAAAGAGAAAAAAACAAGTCACAAGACAATTTATATAGTATGGATCCCATTATATAAAAACAAAAATAATATATTCTCTATATTTGTATTGTATATGTGCATGTAAATAAGTAGAAAAAAGGACTGAAAGGATACATCTCAAACTGAGGACAATGGCTTTCCTTAAGAAGAGGAATGGAAGATAAAGAGAAACTTTCACTCTATGCTTCTGTTTCTACTTAAGATATTTACAAAAAGTAGTTATGTATTACTTGTGTAATAGAAAAAATAAGAAGAGCATGAATGAATTGCTACATTGCATAGTTTAATTCATCAATAGCATGAGTTTTATCTCCATTATGTCTGACGATTCCTATGATTTTAAATTCCAAATTTCTAAACAAAAATTAAAAATAAAAAATCTTTTAAGAATTTAAGATTCTAAAAATTCCTCCTCCTTCCCTTCCAAGGCTATGTCCCAAGGCCACCTTTTTTTCCCCCTCAACAATCCTCTTCACTTTTATCTTTCTTCTAGTTTTCGTTATGCAGTTACCCTAAACCTAAGGTAACTCAGGACACAATCTAAACTTCCAGCAGTTGAAAATAATTTTAAAAGATTAAGTAACAAACAGAAATCAACAGGGATTGAAAAAAAAAGAAGTTTTTCTCTTCACCCTTCTGGGCACTGAGAATTTTCAGTGCTGCCATAATTTTCTAGAAAGATCCTCTGATGACCCCTGAAAACAATCCAGGACCCCCCACAGCTGCCCTTGGATCCCAGTATAACCAATTCAGCTGTGCACTGAAGGGAAAGTTATAAATTGCTTAGAGGAGGAGGTTACAAAAGAGAGCGACCAGCCTGGCTTTTGTTAGGGTAAATCTGGGCTCCCCAACCTGTTAAGATGCTTTGAAAGAGGTAACAAAATGATCTATAAAGGCGAACCAGTGGGTGTCATTTCTTTAGATAATCAAAAACCTTTTGATTGGGGAATACACAAAAGGCTGAGGAAGGTTAGTAACCCTGGGATAAAAGAAAAATTTCCTTCATCAATTAAAAAACAGTTATGGAAAAATGGGAACTAGAACTCCAATTTCCCAAATGGAGAAAGATTAAAATGTTGGCATCATTCAACATTTATTATATTCAATGTGGAATTTAAGGAGATCTCCTGTAAGAAATCAATTACCTAAAATTAATTTGAAATATTATAAATCAAAACATGAAGTGTAAAAACAAGGATTTATTTTCTAATTAATAAAAGTAACAATAAAGATTTTTATTTCCATTCTAGTAGACATTCTTTGGCCTGGTAACCTAAGAAGCATTCACCAGCACTGACACAGCACCACATTCTAATGCTGTTCCTCCTTTTCTCCCCTATTCTTAATTTTTTACTTGCATTTTATTCTAAATTCTGTGGAGACTCCGATATTTAATATGAATTGTTTTTGCTGTTTTACTTCATTCAAAGTCATTAAGTATTAGTCTTATCTAAACGAAGTCAGCACAAAAACGACAGCAACACTAAGCTTATTGATGATAAAATTTGTAGCTTGTTTTTTTCCCCAGAGAAACTAAAAAACTCTTCAAAGACACTTACCACTTAATAATCATTTAATATGGCCAATGTGCTAATATGGTACACTTGTTAGAAAAAGAATAACAAAGTCTGTATCATACCAATTTAATCCTACCGTCTCTAGAAAACCTCCAAATTGGTGAAGCATCAAGCCATAGAGGGATTGTATTTGCAATGGGTACTTAGAATTATTTGGCTGGCAAAGGAAAGCAGAGCAAGAAGATGCCAACCATATGCAAGAACAGAGTTAACACAGTGACAGCCAAAGCATCATGTCCGTCTCATCAGCCTGCTCCAAAATACAAAGGCAGCGCAATGGAGCCAGCTTCTTGAAGGCTAAGGAGTCTATGCGAAGAGGGGATCAGAACACACCCAATGCTTTACATCCTTATAGAGCAACTAAGATGGAAAAAAAAAAAAACTAGAATGATAAATAATCGAAGTACACAGATCTGATACAGTAAAGTACCCGTGCAATGAAGGATGTTACCCAGCACAGGATAACTATGGCAAGGGCTGACACTTTTTTGCAGTATCGCAAGAACTTGAAGAGGATTCCAGCAATCTAGAGTCATCTGAGCCTGCTCATAGTTCAGCAGCCAGCTTTACATGCACTGAGTTTCTCCTGCAGCATCCTGCACAGTTCCCTACCACCAGTTTCAGCCCAATGCCTATCTGTGTCCCTGTTTTCGCCACTCCATGGTAAAATCTGAAAAATATGGGCAATAAAGTGACATTGTTTTTTTAAAAAGTAAAACTAATTTATTTATTTTCAAATGCTCTTACCTTTATGAAATGATGGCTATAAGAGATAGTGGTGACATCATTGCAGTAATTGTTGTGTTATTGCTAAAAAAAAAAAGATGTGGATAAGTGTGGGTTTTTTTTCCATTGAAAAATAGTTTGTTAAATCTAAAAATTTGGCAACTTCTGATGAAATGGTAACAATTCTGGCTGAAATCAAGTAGATTTGGCCAAGTCTCAGCTCTGTCACTTTTTAGTTAGGTGACCTCTTCTAAGTCTCTGTTTCCTCACCTGTTAAGTAGAAATAACAGTAGTGCCTACCTCATAGGTTATCATGAAGATTATTGAGATGGCGCTTAGCACAGAGCACAGTATAGAATAATGCTCCAGTGTTAGCTTAAAAAAAAAATAAAGAGCCAAAGGAAACACTAGTCATCATTTCTGGCCCTCAGTTTTCTCATCTCTCAGATGAGGCATTTGGCCTCAGAAACGTCTACATACCCTCTAACTGTGACATCCTATATTTTACCCCATGATTCTAATTCTACTTCTAGTCTATTCAAATCCACAACTTTTCATAGGCTCAGGCTGAATAAATTATGATCCATCCATATAATGAACCACCATCCAGCCATGGGATGACATCTACCTATATTATTGAGGGGGAAAAACATAGTTACAAACCAGTT
This sequence comes from Homo sapiens, assembly GCF_000001405.40. Classification (NCBI taxonomy): domain Eukaryota; kingdom Metazoa; phylum Chordata; class Mammalia; order Primates; family Hominidae; genus Homo; species Homo sapiens. The sequence continues at coordinate 182,387,723 of NC_000003.12, forward strand.
ATTAACAGCATAATTTGATTTTTATAAAATGAAATACATAGAAATGGTAATTTCTAACTCATCCTCCACCTGCCCCAATTACTCTAGGCCAACACTGTCTCATAGAAATATAATGTGAGCCACACTATGAGCCATATGTGGAATGTTAAATTTTCTAGCTGCCACATTAAAAGAAACAGATGGAATTTATTTTAATTATATATTTTATTTATTCCAACATAAACGAAATATTCTCATTTCCATATGTAATCATTACAAAAATTACAAAAATTATTAATGAGATATTTTACATTTTTTATATTGTCTTTGAAATCTGGTGTGTATCTTATACTTACAGTACCTTTTAATACAGACTAGCTGCACCCAATAGCTACATGTGGTTAACGGCTACTACATCAGACAGCAACTCTAGGCAAGTAGTCCCCCTCCTCACATTGAATTGGAATTGTCAGACTGAAAAGAGATTCCTTTTTATTTGTCTCATATGCCTATTGCCTAAAACCATTTCCAATGCCTACTGGATACTCAACAGAGATTAATTTGAATGAATACATTTAGTTCAAAGATGGGAGACTTTGCATTTTTAGTCCCCATGTTAATCATAGAATAAAAGGCATTGCACTGCTCCTTAAGGAAGAGCATAGAAATTTTGCAAAGCATCTCCCCTAAATCATACCTTGCAAGTAGTCTCCTACCTTATATAGGAGTAAAATCAGCCATACAGAAATGTAAGATAAGCCCACAAATTAACCAAAAAAAATTTAAAAGACTAAAGCTAATACCAAAACATATATTATAGACAAACGAATGTTAAAAGATAGGTGGGCTAAAATAAATGAATAATAAAAACTTTATTAAATGCCTATTACATTTTAAATAATTTACATATCTCATTTATAATCTTCACTAAAGCTCTGTAAGGTAAGTTAAGTTAGAGGAATGACACAGAGGAGAAAAATTTGGCCATGAAATTGTTAAAACAAACAAAACCACTTTGGGTTTAAATCTTAGCTCTATGACTTAAGGCAGTTTTCTTAATCTCTCTGAACCTCAGTTTTTTTCATCTATAAAATGGTCATTAAAATAAATACCCTTGATTGCTGTGAGGATTTGATTAATTGACACATAAACTTATGAATGATAGCTAGCATTATTATAGTGGGGCTCAATTAAAACAGGAGCTATTGTTATCATCTTGGTTTACAGAAGGAGAGACAAGCTCAGAGGAATAAAACAGCCCCAGTGTCATGTAGCAAGTAAGTAGCTGAGCCAGAATTCAAACCCAGATCTGTCTAACTTGGTGAGCCCATGCACTTTGCACATTACCATGCCTAAGAAGGTCTCATGGCAGAGGCCATAATGTTTGAAAACAGGAAAGACATTTTACAAGAGTATTCACATGGCAGAGGATACAGACTGAACACAATTTCAGGAAAAAGGCATCTCGCTGAACTGAATCAGATCACAGCAGGGAACTGGAGGAGCTCAAGGTGAGTCAGTACAGGGAGTTTGGCTTAAGGAAGGCCTTGAGCCAGTTGGAGGAGTTGAGACTTGATTGCCTCCTAAATCCAGTCATAAATCTGAGAAACAGTTGACCAATCTCTGTGCAATTATGAAGCTCTTCTTTTTCAAAACTTAATTCCTTAGGCTGATAGGAACATTCCTTTATTCAAGTAAAGGCTGAACATATGCTTTTCTACACTCTTCAAATCCTACCCTAAATTTGTCTTAATCCTTTGAGTCTACAGGAGGAGTGGCGTTCATGTTCCTGTATATTAACTGGGTTGTGAAAGAAAAACCAACCAAACTCTTATCTGTGGTTAATACATTGCAACAACCTTGCTCAGGTTAGATCCTTCAGCAGGCCCTTTAAACCAACACAGCTGCTCACCATTAGTTACCCTTTCTCATTTGGCTGTTTGCCTGAACCACCTCATCAATGAGGTATGAGCTACCACACCTGGCATGTTTATGTTTGAACCTAGTCATGTGAGGAACATTACAAACATATATTTTTTTAAATGAAGAAACTGCAGGTACATATATTTAGAATCTGCTTATAAATATGCATGCACCTATATACACATGATAAACATATGTTTTTAAGAAACACATGTAACCAGGGAGTCTCTCCAATTGAAAAGTTCACCAAAAACATTCTAATTATTTTGTTTTTCTAAAGGCTATTCTGTATTTTAAAATTGTTTATTCCTTTTCTCAAATGATTTACTTTGGCATACATTATTGACTTACACACATAATGAAACAAAAACCTACTAGCAAAAATTACTAGTAAAAAGAGGATAAAGTTTCAGGGAGATTGTTATTAACTTTTAATAAAAAGTTATGCCCTGTGATATAAGTTCATGGGCAATTATTTCTCATACTTTTCTAAAACAAATATACGTCTATATATCTATATATACTTGCCAATTTGAAATAAACTGGACAAAAGATTAAAATTGACATCTTATAAATATTTTTAAAGTTTGCAGTCTTCTCAACAAGAAAACAAATTAGACATTACTGATAAACTGAAACATGATTGAAAAGCAAAAAGTATTGTAATTATTCAAGACATTTTCTCCTCCTCTGGCTTGTTAGAGTCCTGGTGGTTTCATTATATGACACTTTTCAGCACTTTTAGCTGGTTTGTGGCGCAACCCCCCCAAAGAAATATGAAGAGTAATTTTCAAAAGGAACTTTTATTTTTAATATGGATTGATTTTTTTAAAGGCAGCTCCAAGCAGCCCAGTATATCAAACAGGAACCATCACACCAATCCCAACACATCAAGGGGCAGTTTTAACACGTGAGGTTTGTTGTTTCTAGCAGGTATCCATGTAGCGAGAGAGGTCACCACTCAGCGAGGTGCTTTCTTTCTGGTGTATAAGAAAAGAAATCACCAGGAATAAGGGGGGAAATGGGCTTGGGAAACAGGAGGGGACCTTGTCAATCTCCAAGATGCTAGAAAATGATCGTGGAAGGCTTTTGTTAGGGAATCCTATAATGGTATTGCTGCTCATCTCTTGTGGACACGAACAGCAACTAGCCTAAGATGGAAAGGGCGATAGAGGATTAGACAAATCGTGAAAAGGCACTGGAAAGGACATTACTGGTGTTTGGAATCATAAAGGCCAAAATTGTATCATTATTTACTCTCAACAGCAGTGTCCTTATAAACACAAGTGCTTGGGAGGAAAAAACTGAAGGTATACATAAAATGTTAATTAGAAGTGTATGTGTATAAATTATTTTACAAATGAGGAAAGAAAAAGCTCTTATAGGACTATTCTTATATATTCTTAAGGACCATAGGCAGCTTCTTTTAATGTTAAGAATGTATGCTACTTTTAAGAGAAGGATGTTAAGCTTGTTCCCAATCCCTTTTATTTTAAACATATGTATCCCTGAGAAGGTTAGCATTGTGCTGGAAATAATTTTGATGCATATAACAAAGCTATAAAAAAGAACAACAGGAAGAGATAGATAAATTTGTGAGGTTTCAAAATAGCTGGTAGGCTTGTAAGATCACATAGCAGGGTTCCTGGCATTACCCACTAGGGAGAATAACAGAATATTCCCGAATCTTGGATTTCAGGAAACTACATTGTAAAGCACTAGTTTTTGAACACACAAGTCAGTCTCAGCACATATCTGTCAATCACCCCACTGACACAATTGAAAAGGAGAATATTCTATCAGTATTTTTATAGAAGATAGAATCCAAGTTGTGTTATTTAATAAAGGTAAGTGTATTTTGAGTAAGATCAAACAATATTTCATCAACTAACTAAATCCCTTTTTCCTGAGTATTTTCTCTAAAATGATTGTTTGGGGGAAATTTAAAATTCATTATTTACCAGTAATTTGGATAGGTTCTTTTTTTCATTCAAGTAATAATAGTAAATACAAAAACAGCAATAGTTACAATAATAATCAAGAGTGTTTGTCTAATAATGTAGAGTCACCTTTGATGTGCCAGGCACTTGCTCAAGCCAAGGGGTGTGGAGATAAATCAGTCCCTGCCCTTATAGATTCCAGACTAATAAGGGAGATAAACACGGACTTAAATGATTATGATACAATCAGATAAGTTATCACAGAGTTGTCTGTAAAGATCATGATGACCTGGAATTCCGTACATGCAGGAATTGCTATTAAGTGCTTTTGAATGAAGAGAGTAGCCATCTGCCCGGCCAACCTACATGTGCATTATTCTGTCATTCTCCTCCTCTCTTGGTTGGACTCAACTTATAGCCTATTTGACCTGTGGCACTGGCCAGACCATTGGCCAATTTCCTAGATTTAATTCATGCTAGCCATTAATATCCTGTTGCATCAAAATACAGTATCGGGCAGGGGAAAAGCACAGTACCAGAATTATTTCTCCCGAGAAGAGGCAAACCAAAGTTTCCCTAATAGCAATTAAATGTTTCAGAAAGCACAATAACTCTTTTCCATATGTTGGGATATAGGGCAATCTTATTAGACAATTAGAAGAGACCTGGACTTAGATAAGGAAACTAATTCATTGTGAGTCTATAGGCAAGACATTTTATGAAAATCTGCCCAAGATTTAGATCACTCCTGTACTTAACTGGGTTTACAAGGCCCTTTCTTTCTATGCATTTATTTTGCATTTAGGGTAAGAAACCACCAGGTGGACTCCTGAGCCTTTTTTAGAGCCTCATGGTTCAAACAGCTAGGCTTCCTGCAGGTATAGTTCACAAAGAAATATAGTTTTTTTTTTTCCCCCACGAAAACAACTTTTATTAAAACAGTGAAGTGCAAATATTAAATATATAAGGACTCTTTTTCTAGAAAGAATACAGAACATAGAGCAAGACTTGGAGGAGTAAAAACAGCATGGATTTTTAGAGCTGGAAAATCTCTTTTCTAATTCAAACTCTGAAATGATGGCCCAGAGTAGCTCAGTGACTTTACCAAGGCTACACTGCCAGTCCAGGGAAGAGCTGAGAGCAGACTCCTAATCTACAAGCTTCCTGTTAGTCTTCTACTGAACACGTTCCTCACGTACCTCCTGTTAATGACTCTTTACAACCCACCAAGGCTTCTTTTCACACTCGAGTTAAGATAGGATGTTTCCTTAAATTCACCTTGAATCTCTTCACCTAAGCCTGTACACAACTTTGGGACTTTTCAGGACATTCAAAGCCCCTGTGTAAGGCCCCACATAATAACTCCTCACAAGACAGCTCTTATCTTCCTGCTTATAACTCCTTAAGAACTGCCAGCATTGCCTGCATACCCCCTGCTCCTAGTCCTTGTTTTACATATAGTGGCAAAGTCAAAAAAGAAAAAAAGAGAGATATGTATAATTGTTTATACAGTTGTAATTGTCTCAAGCAAATGGAGAGGATTTATTTCTTTTCCACCTGGACTAATTCTTCCCAAACTTCTCCATATTCTGACTTTTTGATACTTTCAAATATAAATATATTGCTATGTTTACTCTTTAAGCATTTGTTCCTTGAAGAGACGTTTTCAAGCACCTATTAGGTGCCAAGCAGGGTTACTGGGTACTGGAACAGCAGCAAAGCCACACTGTGCCTGCCCTGATGGTGCTAACACTTTAAAGGGGAGAGGGACCAGGGAATGAGCAGCATGCAAATACATTTGTATGTTTAGATTGTACAGTGAGTGTAAAGGAAAACAATGAGGGAAGTGAGAATGAATGCTGTGGATATCCACTTTAAGTTGAAGAAGTGGCAAAAAAATTACAGCTTCTTTCCTGTGATTTTATAATCTGTCTTTGTGACAAAATCTGTACTTTTCTAGTGGGATGTTACTTGTTTTCTCAGAATAAAACTTTCAGAAAAAGAGACATAAGATCATTTCTCCATATCGCCTTAACTTCCTCGTCTATAAAATAGGTAATCATAATGCTCCTCAGCCTACCGACCTCATATAGGTACTTTGTGAATAAAATAAGTCCATAAATGTGAGGTTGCCTCCAATATGTCACGTATTATTTAGAACAACTAATAGAATTTATACTGAAGTACAGTTTTTTAAAAAAAGAATAACAGCAATACATTTGGAAACATCTTGACAAACAAATAAACATTATGTCTCACCACAGGTTTTGACGGCAATTAAAGATGCCCACTTTCTAAAAATGTAACAAAACTTAGGATTCCCAAGTGAGCCAGCAAATATGCCCCTTTTAGCTTCTGTGCCAGTATTATAGACTCTGCCTTTAATTTTGTTTAACTGTAATAAAAGCTTATCATGCAGCCAAATCCCCACAGCAATGGACTCAAACGTTCTGCATGTGGAAGCCTGCTACCTTTCAGCTTCCCCGTTAAACACCTGTTCTGGGCTTGGGCCATGCTTCTGGTTTCTCATTCAGGTGGAGAGTCTTGCTTAAGGGGACAGGCAGGTATTTTTGCTGTCACCAAAGACAGCTAATTTGGGAAGCCTAATCTCGCAAAGGGGCCAAGTTTCAGCTCTCAGAGTGTTAGGTTTAGAGTAGAAGGAACTCCGCCCAGAAATGCAACCTGAATACTTCCCCCTCTGCCTCTCTCCTGTCATTGCTGAGAATCCTCTAAATAACTGACAACTTTTACAGATTTCAGGCAGCCAGGTCTGCATGGGAAGCTCCCATTCTTTCCTGTCACCGGTCTAATTTAATACTTTCCTCCTCAGATGGATATAGCACTCTTGACAAGCAGTTGCCTTGTGGTTTACTTCTGCTAATTCAAACACAACAATAGGATGATAAATTAGTTACAGGGATTGAAGGAAGGAAGAATTTTACAGGTGTGAATTCTTAGCCATGTCTGATCCAAATATTTCCAGAGGAATCATATGCTAGGCAAATACCATCTCCCCACTTTCCAGGCCTTTGCATCTCTTAATAGAAAAAGATGTCTTTTACAGGCGACAATTTTGCAATTTTGTTTAACCATAAGGATGAATCTTTGCCTGTCCTCCTTTCCAAAGCACTACTATGGAATAAAAAACAAGTTTCATTCAATAGTTCATCGGATAATAAGGATTGGTGATGCCAGTCACTGATTTCATTTCCAAACTGTGACTTAAAATATACAGCAGTGCTAGCAGCTGTTGATCATCTTAATGCTGGTGAGAAACAAAAGCAGTTACTCTCTGTCCCAGACCATTTTGATTTTAGAATGGAGAATTCTGTGCATAAAGTATTAGCTTGAAGGATTTTGTCATTAAAGTTTTGGAGAAAGAGCAAGTAATGTCTCAAGCACCTGCCTACTCAATCATAATCACTATTTCACAAGTAGGGAAATTAATTCTCAAAAAGCTGTGCATGATTTTTATAGTCCCAAAAAAAAATCTGATGGCAGATTAACCTTGAGAACAATTACAATTGGGAACATTGTTGGACTCTGGATATTCATTTATTTATTGAGCATCTACTATATTCCAGGAAGTCTGGATCATCTGTGAACAAAACAAAGATTCCTGTCTTTATAGAGCCTACATTCTTGTGGTTTTCAAGAATAATGTCCATATATTTTTGGGTAACTATGTCTCTATTAACTGTTTCACTACATGTTTTTGTCCTACACTTCTGGAAGATAGAGCCAACACACCTGAAATTAAACACACATGCACACACACACACACACACAGTGCACTAAGTACACATGAGCATGTTTATAAGAATTGGAGTAAAACTGGAGTGATGATGGCCTCCTAAAATTAATCAAGAAAAGCCACTGGGTTTAGCAAGCCTCGATCCTCTGGTTTGTTTTTGTTTTTTGTTTGTTTGTTTGCTTGTTTTTTTAAGAAAGCAATAGCTATTAAAACAGGCAGGAAAGAGAAAAAAATCCCAGGTGGGGAATACAAGAGGAAGCGCACACAGATTGGAAAGAGAGCACAGGTCCAAGAAACAAAGGGAACTATTACAGATAAGGCCAGAGTTCAAAAACAACTTGTTGCAGAATTTTACCTTGCCCATTTTCTTTACAGAATAATTAACAGGAACATTAAATATAATATGTTAATATATTGACATATTATAGGATGGCTTTTCAAGAAAGAAGTGTGTTTTCCAAACACCAGCCATGGACAAAACCATAGGTTAAGGTCAACCTCTACAAGTCAACAGGCTTTTGTGTGATTAAAGAGTCATTTGGAAGAGTTAACAAATTTTCGGTGTCTTCTCAGGCAATTAGAATTTATATTTTGATTATTTACCTCAGTCATTTATTAAGTTGAAAAGATTTAATGTGCAATGCAAATGTTTAAGGTACATAATAAATTTGTTGTAAGGTCAATACAAGTGATGTTTTCATAAAACATATTTGGCATAATGTCACCACCCTGCTAACCTGGGAGATGCTTAATAAATGGTGATCTGTAAAAGGTATCTCCAGAGTCCACTGGCCCTATCGATTATGATCAAGTAAGCAGGTGCTTGAGAAATTACCAGTTATTTTCAATGATTCCAAAAGGCCAATCCTTTTTAATACCAAAAAAAGCACCCCCCAACCCCCAAATGGCAACGACAGTCTTTTTTTTTTTTTTTTTTTTGGAGATGGGAGTCTCGCTCTGTCGCCCAGGCTGGAGTGCAGTGGCAAGATCTCGGCTCACTGGCAGTCATTCTTTTATCGTTACTATGCAGACAGTATGTGGTGCTTGTACCTATTTCAGAAGCCCACACTTCTGAGGTAGAGATGTGGAAGCATCAGCCACCCCCACCTTTCTGGTTATCACAACATGAGCACAACTATGTATCCAGCATAAGCCGTTCTGCTTTTATCTGCTAACTAGTAATGCTTGGTGTACTCAAAGTAAAGGCTCATTGGTATATAGAACTCGATTTTCTTATCCCCAATTATATAAATGTATATTGAATAAAATATAATTTTTTCTAACCCAGGTTTTGGCTTTAAAATAATGTTAAATAGGAGCCCAGATTGAGGGTTCATTCATTCTAAAAATACATGTGAAGGACATCGTGTCTTCTGTGCATTTGTATTTCCAATAGGTTTTACAAGGTTATCTAGGTTGTAGAAAGATTCAAATCTTTACAAAATCTTCAGAAAGGTTTCAATGCCATGTGACCAGACTATCAAATGATATTTCAAGTTATTTCCTAGAAAGGCCAAGCAACCTATGGAATGTTTATTAATAATTTTTTTAAAGGCTGTGTATTTAACTCTATAGCTCTGCCTCACTCTCTAATGTGTTCCATTCTGCCAGTTCTCTTCATTGTGGCCCAAAGCACAGGGGAAGGCAAAGACTATGGTCTGGCTGTCAGGGCTCACTCTACTATTCACTATTTACGTATATAATGTCAACTCTCTCCCTTTCTCACAATCTCTCTCTGTCATGAACTTCTCGAATGGCATCACAGTGAATCAAATCTGGAGCTCTTTCCATCCCTGTTGCTAACAGCCTCAGTGTACATCTCACCATGGGTGGTGGAATGGAGAATGAGGATTTCCTCCTCCTACCACACCACCCCTGGCTCTGTGCCATCAAGGTGGGGGCAGATATCTACCTGCCAAAACCCCTCTCTCCAACACCTCCCTCACTAATTTAAAAATGGTAAGCCTAGTAGGAAAAATTAGAAGAAATAAACAACAATAAAAGTGATGACTCATCAAAGCTTAACTCTCAGTGCAAGGTAATCTACATTGCATTGAATCCTCTAATGATTATTATGTTTTTACACTTAACAGCTGTTGCAGATAAACAACTCTGTTCACATTATTAAGCACCCCCCAGCTTCAGCTTTCAAGATCATGCGGTTGCAAGAGGGCACATAAACAAGCCAGTTGGGCCATTTCTGTTGAGTAACTTTTGTTGTCTTCTCATTAGTATGCTTCTGTGACTTTGCCATTCCTGATCATGACAAAATTGTGTCAACTCACTGAAGAAAGAAGGACCATCAAGCAGTACTCCAAGCCACGTAAAGGGATTGTTCAAAACTTCTTTAAAATCAAGTGAGCCAGACATGGTAGCTCACATCTGTCTGCAATCCCAACATATTGGGAGTCTGAGGCAGGAGGATTGCTTAAAGACCAGCCTGGGCAACATAGCAACACTCCATCTCTACAAAAAATAACATTTAAAAAAATTAGTTAGACATGGTGTCGCACACTTGTGGTGCCAACTCGGGAGGCTGTGGCAGGAGGATTGCTTGAGCCCGAGAGATTGAGGCTGCAGTGAGCCATGATTGTGCCATTGCACTCCAGCCTAGGTAACAGAGTGAGACCCTGTCTCAGTTAACCAATCAGTTAATTAAGTAATCAATACTCTAAGTGAAGAAGAATAATAGAGCACCATCTCTTAAAGAAGGGAGCCACAGTGCTGTGTCACAGATTAGGTTTAGCTGAGTGTTTGGAAACCACTGCACTTAAGGGAAAGCTGTGAGTTTAAGACAATGCCTAGCTTATGTTAAGCTCAACCATGAACATGTTTTAATGATATTGTTTGGCCCAATCCCTTCTATGTTAGTGATATTATTTGCCCCAGTCTCTTTTATGTTGGTGAAGAAAACCCACTGTGACTAGGTAAGCACCCGTAGTGCCATTCAAATATCTTTATAGAAAGATCTAGAAATTACACTTAATTGCTCTCCCTTTCCTCTCGACCTGTTTAATTAAGTCTTAATTTTTAGTATGGCACCTCCCTGACTTTTTCTTTCTGCCCCAGGACATCCTTGAAAGAAGTAGCTACATCTCAGAAGAGGCTCTTTGGCAAAGCATTAACCCAAGGACTGGCATTTCACTTTCTTTCTTTCTTTTTAAGTTCCTTAGGAATTGAGCTGTTCCTTGGTCCCCTGGAGTTTTCACCCGCTGCTGACTTCTGAGGAACCTCAGCCTGGGTCTGCAACCTGGAGAAGGAGCCCTCCTCCTGCAGCAAAGCTCAGGCCATGGTGGGCAGAACATCATTGCACGATGGTGCAGTCTGGAGAAGGACCCTTGTTCTGCAACAAAATGTTCTCACTCATAGGTGGGAATTGAACAATGAGAACACATGGACACAGGAAGGGGAACATCACACACCAGGGACTGTTGTGGGGTGGGGGGAGGGGGGAGGGATAGCATTAGGAGTTATACCTAATGCTAAATGACGAGTTAATGGGTGCAGCACACCAACATGGCACATGTATACATATATAACAAACCTGCATATTGTGCACATGTACCCTAAAACTTAAAAGTATAATAATAATTAAAAAAAAAATCAGGCCAGCCTGTTGTGACTGCCACAGAGTTGATGCCACCAACAGACTGAGGAAAGAGTTGGCAGCCACAGCCTCACACAGAATTTCTACTCAGTCTACTAGAGACCCACAGCCCATGCGGGCAGGGAATGATGGTGGAAGTAAGGATACATCATCTTGTCCCCTCTAGAACTCTGGCTAGGATGTGCAGTTTAGTTTTGCCTTAACCGAGACTTTCTATTTCTGAGAAAAGGTGGGAGAAAACTACCAAAGATTTTTTGTATACTTTAGACTCTTACAAAACAATCATTTTATGGTTAAGTGTAAATTAAATAATGAAACATGTGGGTTGAATTTTCCTTAAAATACACAAGGGTTTTAAAATTAAGTGGAAAATTCTCCTGCAAAATGCATTTAGAATTTGTTTTTTTGCCATGGTAGAAATATTTGAAACAAGAGAAATATCTCAAAACATAGTTTAAAACTTTCAAGAAACTCAAAACGGGACTTTATTCTGGCATCCTGGTATCAATAATTGTGCTACTACTCTTTAGACCATGATACTGAAGCCACATTCAAAAGAGTCTTGTTGTAATTCATTATGTAATTTAATTATTCATGTATTAATTTAACAGATCTTTACCAGTCACTTACTATGGCTCAGGCACTGTCCTAACCTTTTTCTATCCAGGTCTATGAGGTGACATTGCATCCTCACAGTATTACGGTATTGGAATTAGCTCTCAAAAGGATGAGTCTAAAAGATGTGCATTAAATACTGGACTAAGTTCCAGAGGGATCGGGGTTGTGTTGTTTTGAGAGAGCTTTGGCAGATTTTGAGAAACCTTTGGCAGATTTTATAAGAATCTATCACTTTGATAAAGAAACCATTAGGTTAGAGGTAAGGAAATTGCTAACATGCGTTTTCTTGTTTCTTACCTGCAACTGCCCTTATGTGTCTGACAAGTGAAAAACAGATCACTTTCTATGGTCAACACAGAGCTGGACCACTCAGAAACACTTTCAAGAAAGTGGTTGGTAGTCAGCTGCAGGCAGTGTGGTGAGCTGACATCTTCTGGCTGGAGGCTTCTTCAAGACTGGCCCAAGTGTTGGAGCTCAAGTCATGCTTTATTTCGGGGTTCCTTGGCCAATGGCTAAGGCAGTGACACGAAGCCAGTAAGACAAGTCGCAAGTAGGCCTCCTCTAATATGCAATCTTTGCTCCAGAGCTCCCTGTTGGGTTCGCAGGGCCTTTGTCCAGGCCTATGGCACAGTCTGATGCCTCCCTCAGCCCACGCCTGAGTCTCCCTTTCCTTTCCCAGGGTTGGCTGCCTGGAGTGCCCATCCTGCAGCACTTCCTGACAACAAAGGTTTTGCTGTCAAATATTTTTTGTTTCATTGTCAAAACAGATATTTAGGGTCTAAATTCTAATAAAACCGTTTTCACTAAAGAAAATTTCATCCCCTACTCTGTAAGCACTACATTTCTATCTTAGAAAGGAACAATAAATATCTAGGCACCTGCTAGATGGACTGTTTTCTTTTGCATTTCTCTGACATAGAAATTTCAAGAGACGCATTCCAAAGATGTAACACTAAACTAACAATGACCACATCGGCAACTCAACAGAGTATAAGAATCAAATAAACCTCTCTACTTATTCGCATACTATGATTCATAGGAAAGAAAAGGAAAGAGAAAAGAGGGGGAGAAGAAGGACAAAGAAATCGGGGAGGAGAGAAGGAAAGAGAGGGGCAGCACACTGGTGGCCAGGGACACAAGTAACTCATATTTTTCTTCTGAATTTAACAGGAACTCGGGCTTATTATTTTCCTTTGCTTGTCATAATTTCTTAAAAGTGAAAAATCTGTACCCTTACTACAAAATGTAACAAAAGAGTAAACCTTTTGGCTTCTCTGGGAAAAGTATTCTATATGTCTTGTAAGACATTTTATTTAGCTATAAAACATGAAACCCAGCCTTTTAAAATTGTCTTTAATACCACCTCGAAGTCATGGAACATATACTGGTCACACTTATACAATTTTATGCTTGTTGTTTGAATTCTTCAGGTAGAGCAGAGTTGGTGAAGGACTGGCTGATAACATTACCTGCTGTTCTTGCCTATCCACATGCAAATGCCAAAGACAATAAGTCACTGACATCCTCTTTCTTATTTGCTCTTTACTTTCCCTTACATCAATGATTCTTCTCAACCTCTGCGCACTAAAATCACATTCAAGGGATAGCAGGCATCATAAAACATATGGATGCCTGAAAAGGGCTTGAATAAATATTTCTTCAGAAAAGATACACAAATGCCCACCAATCACATGAGAAGATATTCAACACCATTAGTAATTACAGAAATGCAGCCGGGCACAGTGGCTCACGCCTGTAATCCCAGCACTTTGGGAGGCTGAGGTGTGAGAATCACCTGAGGTCAGGAGTTCGAGACCAGCCTGGCCAACATGGTGAAACCCTGTCTCTGTTAAAAATACAAAAATTAGCCAGGTATGGTGGTGGGCATCTGTAATCCCAGCTACTCGGGAGGCTGAAGCAGGAGAATCACTTGAACTCGGGAGGCAGAGGTTGCAGTGAGCCAAGATCACGCCACTGCACTCCCAGCCTGGGTGACAGAGCGAGACTTTGTCTCGAAAAAAAAAAAAAAAAGTTACAGAAATGCAAATCAAAACCACAATGAACTGCCACCTTACACCTACAAGGGTGTTGTAATTTTTTTAAAAAAAGGAAAATAAGTGTTGGCAAAGATATGAGAAAATTGGAGCCCTGGTACATTGCTGGTGGGAATGTAAAATGGTCCCACACTATGGAAACAGTTTGACAATTCTTCAAAAAGTTAAACTTAGAACTACCATATGACCCAGCAATTTCACTCCTGTATACCCACAGAATTAAAAACAGGTACTCAAACAAATACATGTACACACATGTTCACAGAAGCACTATTTACAATAGCCAAAAGGTAGATATAGCCCAAATATTCATCAACAAATAAATGGATAAACAGGATAAATTATAGTATATCCATAGAAAAGAATATTATTCAGTCATGAAAAGGAATGAAGTGCTGATATGTGACACAACATGACGAGCCTCAAAAAGATTATGCCAAGTGAAGGAAGCCAAACACAAAAGGCCACATATTGTATGGTTGTGTTTACACAAAACATCCATAATAGGTAAATCCATAGAGACAGAGCACATGCTGGTGGTTGCCTGGAGTTGGGAGAGGATGGGAATGAGGAGCATCTGCTTAACCTGTACAGGGTTTTATTTTGTGGTGATGAAAATGTTTCAAAACTAAATAGAGGGGGTGGTTTCTCAACACTGTAGCTATACTAGATGCTACTGAATTGTTCACTTCAAAATTGTTAATTTCATATTATATGAGCTTCATCTTAATTTAAGGAAGGAGGGAAGGAAGGAAGGAAGGAAGGAAGGAAGGAAGGAAGGAAGGAAAGAAGGGAGGAAAGTGAGCAGTTCAAAATCATATATGGGTGCCTGGTTCCTGCCTGGATGATATAAGTAAAAATCTCTTAAAGCCTAAAATTCATTAATTTTAAAAGTTCTCTTGGTGGTTTTATTGTGCAGCAAGGGTTGAAGAGGGCCTTAGTTGTAGCTTTATTAAGATGACTAGGGCCAGGCATGGTGGCTTACGCCTATGGTTCCAGCACTTTGGGAGGTGAGTGGATCACCTGAGGTCAGAAGTTTGAGACCAGCCTGACCAACATGGTGTAACCCCGTCTCTACTAAAAATATAAAATTAGCCGGGCGTGGTGGCACACACCTATAATCCCAGCTACTCTGGAGGCTGAGGCGGGAGAATCACTTGAACCCAGGAGGCAGAGGTTGCAGTCAGCTGAGAGTGCACCATTGTACTCCAGCCTGGGCAACAAGAGCGAAACTCTGTCAAAAGAAAGAAAAGAAAAGAAAGACTAGCTAGATATTTGAAGTCTTAATACTTTAGATTTTGAAGGTTACTTTTTTGGGTCATTTATTCAAAAAATTAACAGAGCATTTACAATGTGCATCACACTACCTGGTACTTTAGACAGATACTTACAAAGAAAGAAAGACAAAGAGAAAGATAATTATTATTGAGAGCTCTTATGAAGCACAAGAATTTTATTAAATAAAACTACTACTTACTACTATTTATATACTTTATTAAATATTATCTCAATTACTCCAACAGCTACAGTTACTTTGGGAGCCATTGAGATAATATTTAATAAAGTATATCAATATCAGTAAAGTAGCTTTCTTTACTGATCAGGAAAAGGAAGCTCAAAGAAGTTATATATAATTTTGCTTGGGCCCACCATCTGTTGAGGGACAAAGCAGAGATCACATTCAGTTCTCAAGTGTGTAACTAATAGCATCCTGAGGCTCCTGGCATGGAGGGAGGTACATATCTACCTGAGGAGTCAAAGTCCCTATGAACTGTGGATGAAAGCAGAAGCTTTGGAGCAAAACAGCCCTGGATAAAACCCCAGGTCTGCCACTTATTCATCTGCCATATGACAGGAGTCAGGCTAAATAACCCAGGTTTCCTCATCTGTTTGATGGGATAATAATTCCTACCTATTTAATTGTTGTAAGGATTTAAATGAGATAATGTCTGTAAAGCACTTGGCATAGTGCATGCTCCATATAAGCACTCAATAAATGGCATCTCTTATTTTTCAATTTAATTTTTAATAATGCTGCTCCTGGTTCCTAGGGAAGGATGAACTGTGACCCCATAGCCATCCCTTTTCATAGTGAGCAGTAAGTGTCACAAAAACTGGACCCCTAACCATCCCACTTATTTTCTTCAGGACAGCCTAATACTATTGTTCTCTTCTATTGTTCTATCCAAATGATAATTTCTAAGAGACTTAAAAAAATTTAAATAGCAGAATTTACTGGCACAAGTTGATCATAAATTCAACAGACATAGGAACTAAAGACATGCATCTATTTTAGGGATAAACAAGCTAATTCTAGCCTAATTTTGTTCATTCTTATAAGCACACTTTTTTTTTGTAATGTGAACAGATGAATTTTACTGCAGGACTCATTTTATTTTCTTATTAAAGTTTTTTTTTTTTTTTGAGATGTGCTAAAGGACACATTCCAAGAAGCAAGAGTGTAATTATAGATTTAGCATCTCCTGTATGGCCTGACAGAAGTCTGCCATCACTTAGGAAGCCATTACAGCATATACTTAATGTCAGCTTGATAGAAAAAAACACTTTCATAGGTTCTCTTTGATTGACACATTTGAAATGACATCAGTTTCCAGCTTTAAAACCTACTGTTATTAGGTCTCTGTTGCTATTTATGTTAGAAATACGTGCACGTGTGTCAAAACAATATATCAACTTTGCTGATTGGCTGCATCTAGATTCTGTTGCCAGGGGTAACAGAACAATTGCTTTTAATCTTTCCAAAATTGCTTCTTGTGTGTGTGTTTCTTTTTAATACTTGGGGTTTTCAGGGATTTTTTTTTCACCCCAGAGCAAAAATAAAGAAATTTTGTCTAGGGAGAAAACAAATACATATTGTCTGTGTATACTAAAAGGAAAATTAGATGCAAAAGTACAGTGGTTATATGTGCCAATTTGTATAGCCATTTATTGTAGATACTGTGATAGTCCTCTATCCTTAAGTCTAGATTGACTAGGAAAAGGCAATCTTTTCTTCCAAATGATCCAGCACCCAACCATTTGCCCCTCAGGTTCAAGGTTTTTTCCTCTTATGGTGGAAGAACAATTTCATATACTTTATTGAGGGGTAAGAATGCATATGAAATAAAACATTGTGTCTTCAAAGCTTTGCACCATCTTTCCCGCCGAATTGACTGGGCAGAGGGTCATGAGCAACTTCTTATTGATTATGAATCCCAACTCCAGCCTCTGAACTTTTGAAAGATTGAGAAAATTGATCTACATGCTCGTGTACATATACATGGTATGCCTGTAAATTAACCAGACAGATTCTTCTGTATAACGTTTTGTTGTTTTAACAGCTCAAACTTCATTAGGGTATCTGTTAGAATGGTCCTGAATATCAACTTACACTAATTTGGGATCATTAGGACAGTGATGGGACCCAGGAATTTGTGTTTTAACCATTGATTCTGAGGCAGATAGTCCAAGGTCTACACATGAAGAAATATTGCTTTGCTTTGTACTTTCCACATAGCACATACTTTCTTGAAATAATTGAGCAAAGGCTCCAATTACTATGCTCTCTCCTGTGTTTAGGTGAAATGACAAGCACCTCCACAGTAAGATTTTTTCAAAAGCACCATCCCCTAGCCCTTACACCTAACCTCACTCCTGAAAAATTAATCAACCCAAACTGAATACCCCAAAATGTATTCCGCTTGATGGCCTCTCCCATCCATTTTTGCAATATTTGAGACTTTAAGAAAATACCAGTAGGCTTGGGAGGTATAACAACTTAAGTTATGACCTATCACCCTCCCTTGAATGTATTAAAGGTCTTGGCATAAAGAAGAAAGATGACAAAAAAGCATAAGAAAACTGGATACCTGATGTTATCGGTTAAATTGTGCCCTCCCAAAAATATGTTGAAGTCTTAACCCCCAGTACCTAAAAGTGGCATCTTATTTCCTTACTTTGGAAATAGTGTGATTGTAGATGTAATTGGTTAAGATGGGGGTCATTAAAATGAACCCTAATCTGACATAACTGGTGCCTTCATTAAAATAAGAAATGTGGACAGTGCATATCTATAGAGAGGGGAAACAGTGTGAAGACACAGGGAGAATACCATCTACAAACCAGGGAGAGAGGCTTGGAACACATCCTTTTCTCACAGTCCTCAGAAGGAATTCACACTGCTGACACCTTTATTTTGGACTTTTACCCTCCAAAATTGTAAAAATAAATTTCTGTTGCTTAAGCCACCCAGTTTGTGCTGCAACTTTGTGACAGCAGTCCTAGGAAACAAATACTCCTGAGACAAAGAGTCAGCAGCGGAAAAACAGAGCCAAAGATGATTGTCTATGAAAACAAACTCTTCCTGTTTATGCTGTTGCCTCTGCCTGTAGCTGTCTTGCTTAATACAGTGAAACAAAATCAGCATTTCTAGCCAGATGCAATGCCATAATCCTAGAAATGGGGAAATTCCTTCTTACCCAGATGCAATCTAAAAATCGTAACTGTAATAAGTTATTCATTTCCTTGAAGGTGGTAACTGCCCAGCAACACCACCCAAGGCAGCATTTTAAGATACTGGCAGCCAGAGTTTCATATAAAAATAAAATAAAACAAGTTGTTGTTTAAAATTCGATGAAGGCATGTACTTTGTAAAAGAGAAACAATTACAAACACAACCTGCGGGAACCAGATTGTCATGGCAAACATTTCATTTCGGCAAATAGTGAAAGAAATCATTTGGAGCTTTCCAGGGTAGCTCCACAGGAATCAAATTTCTCTGAAATTGTTGTTTGTGTTGCCAAGTCTGTTTTTAATGTTGTCTCACCACTGCTTCTCCTCCCTTCCCGGAGACGTCTGTTGTGGCACAATACTTGGCCAAGAGCTGATATCTCAGCCACCAAACTCAGACCGTGATCAATCTGCATAAACCTTCAGACAGAAGGGTTTCAGGAATAGTTTACTGGAAAGGAAGGAAAAAAAAAAAAAGCAAGCAAAGGATTGAGTAATAGACTTACACACAAAAGAGGGTATAAGATATGCCATCACACATTTCACCAGTGAAGTAATCAATGTGAAAACCTGGAGGGAGAATCGTTTACCTGTGACAGAACAAGGTAAAAGAACCATGGTAGTGGACTTTAAGTTTCCTGATAAAAAGAAGAAAAACAGTATAATCAATCGGATCAACATGCAAAGAGTGATGATTGAAATGTAATAACAATGTGGTCTTTAATTATAATGTGAGGAGTTGAATGGAATAGAGGACCAATTATATATTCAATAGAGTAGTAAAAAATGTCAAGCTTCGAAGAAAAAGAGAATTTAAGTCTCATAAAAAGAAGAAAGTGATGAGGAGTGAGAAATACACTAAAACATTTGTCCGGTTTCGCAACCTCAGAACAGTTCACAGCCTTTTTATTATACCCCCAGATGTAACTGTGGTGTATGGGGCTAAAAGAAACAAGTTAGTGTCAATGCTCAATACATTTACACTATCGACTTTTCATGTGGCATGGAGTCCATTACAGCAAGAAATGATAAGGCATGGTACTTAATTTTTATGTCTACTACTAAACTGCAAACAAATAAAAAGAATTTACTTAACCCTTTCCCACTGCAGAATTAATCCTAACCATTCGAATAGAAATCTTTTTCCCTTTGTCAGAAATTATGTTAAAAAACAAAATTTAAAAAAAATCCCGAACACCTGGAGACTCTTCCTTTTATAATCAATTTGATTTTGTTGCTCATTATGGCTTATTGTAGAACAAGATCTAAATTACATTTTGTTGGAACAAGAAGCCAGCTCTGTTTTCCTAGTTCTTTGACTTTATTCCCTTTCTCTGCCTGTCAGTCATTCTCTCTATTTCTCCCTCTCTTTCTCACACTCTCTCCTTCACTTGTCCCCCCAATTCACTTTCAGATTTTAGACTTACCCACATAGCCAACATCATAAAGGACATTTTAGTCCATCTCTAGTTTTGTGGCTGTGGGTTGCAGTGTCCAGAAGAACATGGCACAAAGTTGTTGTGAGGATTAAAGTAAATAATGGATAAAGCGTGCCATGTAAAGCTTCAACAGTAGAAAGCTCTCAAGAATTATCATTATTGTTTCAAGTTTTGCTTTCTGTCATTTCTTCCTCCAATGCTTGAGTTTATTTCTTCAGATCCAGGTTTTGTTATGTTTGCCTTAGAAGTGGAGTGGGAAGGAGTGGGGAGGTAGAAAAGACTAAGCAAAAACTCACGCAGGCGGAAGGAGGGAACTATTAAGTTCAGCTATTAAGGCATAAAGGAAAAGCCAACCAGAAGCAGACACGGTGAACAGCAGCAGGTATGCAAGTGAGAAGCCAACATCAGGAGCTGCTGGTCAGAAAGAGACCACAAAGGGTCTGATGGGAGATTGTCATTCATGGGAGGTAGAGGAGGTAGAGGTAGCAGCAACAAGACTAAGTTTTGAGGCAAGGCCTGAAGCATTTATTAAAAACAGGAGTTGTGCCAAAATAGATATGCTCTGAATGCAACCTTTGAGAAGGGTAACCCAAGGCTTCCTGGGACCCTCCACCCTAGCATAGAGGTCTATGCTTATTGAACTTCTGCTTCTATGGTCCAAAAGCTCGATTATTTTTCAGTCTTTTATTCTTCAACTCTGAAGGAAGAGTGCCCCAAGTCCCTCTAACTCCCCTACACTCCATACCCAGTGGGGCCTTGACCATATCCACTTTCCTTGTTAAATATTTGCAGGGTCTGCTAATACCTGACTCATAGTGGGTGGTCAGAAACAGTGTTTGAATGAGTGAACGATGGGCATCCATGAGGTCCTTTACACAAATCTCTTCTCTGTTCTATTCCTCTCTTTTTTTGACAAAAATCTAACATAATCTCTAAAACCCTCTAAGCATCAGCTTAAGGAAAGATAAGCTGTCTTTCCAGGCTCTGCTTCTGAGTCCCTGAGAGGAAAGTGGTGTGGTCGGATGGATAAGCAGAAACTTTGAAGTACTTGGTAAATAGAACTTCCCATCTCTTAATATGTTCTAACATTAAATTCTTTCATCATCTCTCCAAAGTTGAAAAATTTCCCCATTTTTACATACTAGAAAATGCATGAAAAAAGAAATGAAATAAATTGTTCAAACCCACACATTTCACAATAGAGCCTTTGGGGAGTAAAATGATCAGACTAATAAGACATATTAGTATGTCAAAGATCATATCACATTTTAGCAATAGACCTATTTAATCAGGGGAGAAATAGGCTTGCACCAAAACAGAATCAATACTACAAAGGCAGAAAAACAAATAAAACAACAAGAACAACCTAATACATTAGTGTAACATTAATCTGGACACCGATCTTACATCTTCTATAAAAATCAACTTAAAATGGATCATAGACCTAATGCAAAATGCAAAACCATAAAATTGGACCACATCAAAATTAAAAATTTCTACTCTTCAAAAAACACTGTTAAGTGAATGAAAAGACAAGCCACAGACTGGGAGAAAATATTTGCAAAACAGATATATCATAAAGGATGTGTATCCAAAACATGCAATGAACTGTCAAAACTCAGAAATAAGAAAACAACCCCATAAAAAGTGGGCAAGAGACTTGAACAAACACAGCACCAAAGAAGATATAAAGACAGCAGATAAGTATATGAAAAGATACTCAATAACATATGTTATTAGGGGAATACAAATTAAAGCAACAATGAGGCTGGGTGTGGTGGCTCACACCTGTAATTCCAGCACTTTGGGAGGCCAAGGCAGGTGGATCACAAGGTCAGGAGTTTGAGACCAGCCTGACCAACATGGTGAAACCCTGTCTCTACTAAAAATACAAAAATTAGCCACGCGTGGTGGCCCATGCCTATAATCCCAGCTACTCAGGAGGCTAAGGCAGGAGAATCACTTGAACCTGGGAGGCAGAGGTTGCAGTGAGCTGAGATCACGCCACTGCACTACAGCCTGGGCGATGGAGCTAGACTCTGTCTCGAAAAAAAAAAAAAATAAGCTATCACTACATACCTATTAGAATGGCCAAAATTGAGAACACTGACAACACCAATGCTGGTGAGGATTTGGAGCAACAGGAACTCTTGTTCATTCCTGGTGGGAATGCAAAATGGCACAACCACCTTGGAAGACAGTTTGGCAGTTTCCTACAAAGCTAAATATCATCTTACCATATGATCCAGCAATCATACTTCTAGTCATTTACCCAAATGAATTGAAGCATATGTCCACGCAAAAACCTACCTGCAAATTTAATTGCAATTTCATTCATAATTGCAAAAAATGGGAAGAAACATAGGTAACCTTTATTAGTGAATGAACAAACAAGCTGTGAAACATCCACATATTAGAATATTATTCAGGAATAGAAATAAATGAGCTGTCAAGCAGTGAAACGACATGGAGAAACTTGAAATGCACATTGCTATGTGTAAAAAGCCAGTGAAAAGATCAATGGTTGCCCGGGGCTGGAGGAGAAGGAAGTGATACATAGGTGGATCACAGGGGGATTTTTAGGGCAATGATTCTTTCTGTTTAATACTGTAATTGTAGATAACATGACTATGCTTTTAGCAAAACCCGTAGAATAACACAAAGAATGAACCCCAATAGAAACTGTAGACTTTAGTTAATGCTGATGCATCAATATTGGTTCATCGCTTGTAACAAATGTACCATACCAACGCAAGACATTAATAATAGGGAAAACGAGTGAGAGAGAAGAGGGAGAATATGGGAACTTTCTGTACTTTTTACTCAACTTTTCTGTAAGTGTAAAACTGCCCTAAAATAATATCTATTCATTTCAGAGAGAGAGAGAGAAATCAATTGGAGTTAAAGTCTAATTGTTTTTGCTTAATTTCAATTCTAGATAGATAATAT
Source organism: Homo sapiens (assembly GCF_000001405.40). Lineage (NCBI taxonomy): Eukaryota > Metazoa > Chordata > Mammalia > Primates > Hominidae > Homo > Homo sapiens. The sequence continues at coordinate 182,410,495 of NC_000003.12, forward strand.
GGTTTGCAACTCTTGGAGCGGATAACAGCTAATACAAGATTGTTATTCGGTAAGTTACCAAAAAGATATCCAGGCTGCCAGATCTCTCCCCATGTTATATTAGAATAACATGACAGGCTGGGCACGGTGGCTTACGCCTGTAATCCCAGCACTTTGGGAGGCCGAAGCAGGTGGATCACTTGAGGTCAGGAGCTCGAGACCAGCCTGGCCAACATAGCAAAACCCCATCTCTAGTAAAAATACAAAAATTACCCGTGCATGATGGCAGGTGCCTGTAATCCCAGCTCCTCGGGAGGCTGAGGCAGGAGAATCGCTTGAACTTGGGAGATGGAGTTGCAGTGAGCTGAGCTTGTGCCACTGCACTCCAGCCTGGGTGACAGAGCAAGACTACATTTCAAAAAAAAAAAAAAGAATAATATGACAGTACAAGAGGTGTATGCAGAAGCCTAGTACACACCCAGAAGTAGACATTCCTACAGGACTATCTAGAAGTGGTATAGAAAGAGGAAACAAGGATAGCAGGGAACTGGGCTGTGTATATGACTTTCTGGAACTCAAGATTCTGGTGAGGTCACTGCTGGGCACACCTGCGTGGTGGAAACCTTGGCCTGAGATGGGCAGAGCTGGCTCTCCTGGCATCCATGTGTGCAAGCAGCATCCTCCACACAAGGATATACGGGACATTCTGGAAGGTTGCTGCTGAGACACATCTTCCTGTCCTTGCCATCCTCATGGAGAGCTGGGCCTGTCCAGAGTTGGGGATAGAGCCAAGTGCCAATAAGGCAAAGACTGAAATCTGAGTTTCTCTGAGCCCAAAGCCCTTGCACTTTCTGCCTCACCCCACTGTCTGTCTCAATAATTTTTTCTCTTTGGGCCTCTATCTTGAGCCCTCTATGTTTCTCCCTACACAACACCCAACCAACACAAAAGAGGCTCATACCTCTCTGTGCCTCTCCATTACATAGTTTTTAAATTTAACACTCCTTTATTAAGCAGTAAATTTGTGCCAAGCCCTGTTAAGTGTTGGAGATACTAAAAGAGGAATAAGATTAGACTCAAGGATCTCACAGTCTAGAGATAAAGACATGTAAATTACAGTGAAACAAGATATTAATTGCTATAAATAAGGGGAAAAAGATTTCTTGGAACCACAATAATCCAGCACTTTGAACTCTATAGGATATTGTGAAACTCTATTAAAGTCCACGTCGTCTACATTTTTTAGTATCTCTATCTAGCTTTTTGCCAGAGCCTCACATTTAAAATTCCTTTCAAACCTCTCCCTCCTATTCATATTCTTCAGCCTTTTGTTTCTTCCTCAAGATTGCTAACTCTTGCTGATTTTCCAATTCAGTCAAACTGCTAGGCCACTGTATGCACATTCATCCAACATAATTACTGTGATTCTCTTACCTGCAGGAAAGGAGAAATGAGCTTTACCCATGGCACACTGTCATTAAGCAGGAGGGATTACCAACGTGCAACCTCAAGGCCATATTCCACAAGGAGGGTGATGCGGCCGGAAGTGAAATGATGCTATGGAGTCCAGATGACAGAGCCAGCCAGTTCCGTCCCACTGCCAACCCCTGTGTTAGGGCCAAGCTCCAAGGTGGAACAGGGAGGATGGGGAGCAGTGAGCAACTAGTCCCAAGCCCCACATGTCAGGGCTTTTCTCTGGCGTAGACAAGAGGAGGAATCAGGTGTTGACAGTTTCCTGTTTTTCACCCTGCCACAGGCAGGCCGTATTATGCACTCTTGCCTTGGGACAACTTATCACATAAATGCCTCACACAAAGCTTCTACCTGCTTCTCTACATTCCTTTCCTGTTACTGTCCAGTTTCCCATGTTGCATTTTAGTAATGCCATGGGAGGAGATGCTCCTCACAACCACACTGGATTCCTGGCTTTCTGCCTCAACACATGCCTTTCCTTCCTTCCTGGGCTCTCTGAACCTTCTTCTGCACCTACCTTGACCTCTACTCACTATTCATCTGGCCAGGCTCAGATCTCCTGGGATCTTTCCTCAACCATCTTCATGCCTACGCATCCTTCCTCTATAATATCTTTGTGGTGAATTAATCTGTTTTCAATTCTGATCCTTTGCTAGACTGTGGGCAATTTCAAGTCAGGAGAATTTTGCATTCCAGTGCTAATGCCTAGCAGTGCCTGGAACTGTGTAGACAACAATATATTCGTATTACTGTCTCCTTCCTAATGTGTAAATATATGCAGTGTAGCACATGGTTGAAAGTACACATTTCTGAGCTATCCTGCTTAGGTTTGAGTCCTGATTCAGCCATTTACCAGCCATTTACTCTGGATTTGGGGGCTGCACCTAATGTTATTCTTCCTCAGTGTCCTCAAATGTGAAACAGGAATAAAAATATTTATCTTATAGGTTTGTTGTGGGATTTGAATGATAGATTATAGATAGAGCAATAGATAGATAGATAGATAGATAGATAGATAGATAGATAGATAGATAGACAGATAGATTTAGAATGATACCTGACACATATTAAGTGCTGGATAAGCATTAACTATTACCATTGTCATCATTACCATTATTATTATCATTATCATCTGATTTGTAGTCTTAACAATAGAGCACAGCACAACAGAGAATAGAGTTCTTGGTTCCCCACAATGCCTTTCTTGAGATTACCAAAATACTTGCTCAGATTTATCTGACTTCCAGATTATTCAGAATAAACAGCTAATACTGACCCTTTATGTTCAGATCTGCTGACACAAGCTCTGCTCCCGAGGGGTTTCTGCTGATTTAAATAAGTAGAACAACTGTTGAACAGTACTTTAGACAAAACCACAAACTCTTCTCTCAAATCACATTTGTTATTAAAGAATAACTAGCTATTTATAAGGGGGAAAACCACCAGAATAGAAGATTTTTTAAAAGGGGGGAAAAGGGGAAAATTGTGTTATTATTGGCAATGACCTTGGAAAAATAAGAAATGTTTCTTAAAAGGAAAATTAGTGAGGCTGTTAATTTTAGAATATCATGTTCAAAATGCTGAATTTCTTTAGAATGATACAGTTAATTGAGAAGAAAAATGCTAAGGGGAAGAAAAAGAAGTTAAAAAAAAAAAAGCTGTGCAGGGAACTGCAAGAAACTCAAGCCAATATGTAGCTTGCATCTGCTGGCAATACCCTCATCAAAGAAGGAAATAAGATACAGAACTGAAATTGCTATTCAGAGAAACTTGATAAACAAAATAATCCATTCAATATAACAGATGTCTGTACAATAGTGTGTGCCATGACTAAAATATCTGACCCACCCACCTACCCACTGGCATTGCTACCAAAAACATCAATTTAAACTGGGCAACCTGAAACGTGCAAAATAAAATTGGCTATAACTACAATGTCAGCAAAATATATTCAAGCTGAAAAGAATGGAAGTATTTAAAAAGCATTATCTATAAAGTGTGCTTCCAAATGCTATACTCTCTCTCCTTGGCCCAGGTACATATTCTGTCCTTATGACATTTTCACCTCTAGTTCAGTTCATTGGTTCTGCAATTTTAACAAGATAAAAGAAGCTATCTCAATCTAGTTCACTCAAGAGATATTTGGTACATCTTCTGTATTCCAGGCCCAGTGATAGTTGCTGGAGATACTAAAATGAATGAGACATGTTCAACGTCTTGAAGAGTTTACACTCTAGTGCTATATTTGCTTAGCAGTAAACTGAAGCATCACTTTGGATCTATTTGAGTCTCTGCAAATATGGACTCACTAGATGAATGGTTCATATTTATCCTTTGATGGAAAATTATCAAATTTTCTGGACTATTGTATTTCCATTAAGAACATGAATGCCAGGTACCTAGTTTAAGGTTGCTGTTATGGACTAGCCTAAAAGATTTGGTATAAGGCAAGAGAAACTTTAGCACTTTGCAATCCAAATCTAATCAGTAGGAAAGTTTCTTTTTGTTTTTCATGTTTTCATATACAAAACTGAAGGTTTGAACAATGGCTTTTTATACCTACTGTGCCTTTCTTGGATACTATGGCTATTACCAGGGTGAAGCAATTGTCATATTTCAGGGAAAAAATAAAAAAGACAATACACAAACGAAAACTGTCAAAACAAAATTAATCATCACATTTTCCTGTTGCTTAATTTCTTGATTAACTTCTGATGGCCCTCTGAGACAACGAAAAAAAATGCTCAAACAAAAAAGACCTTAAAAGGAGGTGAACTTTCATTGCACAGTATTTCTGACAGCTTGCTCCTAAGCAAAGCAACTGGTGTCCCTGGGGACTCATTCAACATTCATTGGAATCATGGAGAAACAGACCCAGTTTGGAAGATGTTTTTCTGCAGTACAGAGGGGGACTTTGATCCTAGCTCAGATAACAGCTGCTATCCCTGAGAGGATTTTCTGGTCGTTCTATCCCTCAGGCCAGGTAAGTCTCAAGGGAGGTGTCTAGTTGACCTCAGAGCTCAACCAAGCAACTGATACCTGAGGGAGGGTCTTTGAGTGGGCAAAGGAGCCTGGCATCGAGTGTTATCGTTCTGTCAGTCTCTCTCCTGGCTGGAGACAGAGCACACAGGAAAGGAACTCCTAAAAGGAGTCAGGTCTCACCTGGATTTTCCCCCTCATTGTAAAATTAAAGAAAGGCAGGAAGCCAAAATACCATGATAGATTTTGGTCTCTGCCGTTATGTTTTCTCCTGTTCTGGAATTGTAACAAAGTGTTTCCTTTGAAATTCCTGACCCCTGGCTTTTAAATACAGAAGCAAAGGTGAATATGTATGATTAATCTCTTAGAAGAAAATAAAATATGTTGTATAGTTAATCAAGTAGCGTGGAAGAATATAAGATTACATCACTACATCACCTTGTAGGAAACCATTTTTCTTTTTCTTTTTTTCTTTTCCTCTTTTCCTTCCTTTTTCTTTTTTAGAGATGGGTCTCACCACGTTGCCCAGGCTGGCCTCAAACTCCTGGGCTCAAGACATTCTCCCTCCTCAGTCTCCCAAGTAGCTGAGATTACAGGCATGCATAACTGCACTTGGCTCATTTTTATTTTAGAATTAGGTATATTTGAGAAAGAATTGTAGTATCCCCTTTAAAATGTAAAAAATTAATCTACATATTGACACTGTGAGGTAAAACTACATCTTTGTCATTGTATTTATGATGTGAAACATCAGGGAAATCACTGAAGTTACAAAGACATTAAAAAAACACCTTTATGATAATTTGAAAAGGTGACTATCAAAGAAAACTCCAGCCATCACAAAATTATTCTGCCACTGATAGTTTAATAAGCCTTTATTTTTTATTTATGTACTCCTTTAATAAATAAAGGAATTAAGCATTTATTTGTTAAGCACTTATTATGTGCAAAGCACTGTTTTAGATGCTGTAGGGAATAAAGATATTTATGACAGTCCCTAGATTTACTAGGGGGATTAAGACTGTACATGGTAGGAAATGGTAACTGCCATAGAGATGACATAAACTACAGGAGTTAAAAAAAAGTCTCCCAATGACCACCAGTCCCATACGCAGTTTTGGTTTCAACTATTAATTCAATTGAAAGCTAATTTCAGGATATCAGGATATTTAGCCAATGTCTTCCCCATCACAAAGGGAAAATGAGCTGCCATCAGCCCACAGAGAGAGGCTTACACCTCTCCGCAGATTTATGAAGGCAAGTGAAGGCAATTTGCCTATCTTTCTCCGCTCTCCTTTCTTTCAGCCTTTATACTCAGGTATGAAGTGTGGCATTGGCTGCAGTAAAGGAAGCTGAAACAAGAAGAGAAAGAAAGTTGCTTTTCCAGTCTTCTGCAAGCCATCTTGCATTCTTGGGCAAACCTCCCTGGCTCAGCTGGGAATATGTGTTTGAAAACCTACATTCCGAAGGGAAGTCTGGCAATACCAAGGGCATCTTCAGCTGATGCTTCTTAACAGGTCAAGAGCCAGAGCCTTGATGAGGGAAAGAGAGGACATATTTTTGCTTTGTCTCAAGGAAAGTACCTTCCTCTGAGTCCCTGAGGCTAAAACATTGTCATTATAAGAACTATTGACAAACATTCAGCATGACAGAAATGTGTGTAAAATACACAATTGTGTAGAAAACACAAACTCCACATGTGATGGATTATGTGTTTTAATTCAATAAGTCAGTTAGATGTCTTGCAGTATGTTCTGGGCACCTGTTCAATATTTCTATTCTTTGGGAGAGGAGATCTTCACCACTTAAAATAACTAGATCAGTGGAAAAGACTCATTCTTACTCGAGCATTTATACCAGTTATATCAGATGTGTTCATTCTTTCCCCTTTTTCCCTTCTTTCTAATACTTCAGATTGTCCATAATAGGATTCAATTAGGAAACCTACTTTGTACCTTGACTTGTTCATCCCTGTGTCTTAACTTGGATTCTTAACATTTTTTTCTTTTATCCTTTTGTGAAGATTTTACATTTCCCCCTTTCCAATATTACCCTTCTTCTAAAGACTTTCAGTGTTAGTATCTTTTATATCATAGTGTACATCTCTACATCATGTACATCTCTACATCATAGTGCTTTTTCACATATGTCCAGCTCCCCACATCTGTATCTGCACATTACATACCTATGAACCCGTATCAATACCCCTTCCTACCTACCTATCATGCTAGGATTGCAGGATGAGCATTCTTCTTTTTTCTGTGTGGACTCCTCTTCTTGTACAGCCAACCAGAACATCCTTGATTGTTTACAAGATGTACCCTTGTCTTTTCCTTGTCTTCTTTTGATACTTTGCCTCATTAAGTTTTTTTTTTTCTCTTCGTTATTACCATTGTCAAGATCAGCTGGTAGGGTCAGTAATACACCTTCACCATCCTACCTCAGGGCCACTCTCCAGCCAGCTTTATGTCATAATTTAGTTCCATCGCCTTTCCCTCTTCCCATCACAAGACATCACACAGGTCCATTACACTGAGGACATTACGCTGATTAGACCTTGTGAGCAAGAAGCAGCAGCTACTCTAGACTTATTGGTAAGCCATGTCGAAGGGTAGGAAATAAAGCCTAAAATTTGGAGGCATTCCATCTCACTCAAATTTCTAGGGGTCTAGTGGTATGGGGCATGTCAAGATATTACTTCTAAAGTGAAGGATAAGTTGTTGTATTTGTTCTGTCCTACAACTAGGAAAGAAGCACAGTGCCTACTCAGCCTCTTTGGATTTGGAAGGCAGCATATTCCTCATTTGAGTGTGTTACTCCAGCCCATTTACCAAGTAACCCAAAAAAACTGCTAGTTTTTAGTGGGGACCAGAAAAAAAGAAGGTTCTGCAGCAGATTCAGGCTGCTGTACAGGCTGTTTTGGCACTTGGGCCATATGATTCACCAAATCCAGTGGTGTTTAAAGGATCAGTGGCAGATAGGGATGCTGTTTGAAGCCTTTGGCAGGCCCCACAAGTGAATCAAGTGCAGTCCTTAGAATTTTAGGATAAGACCCTGCCATCATTTGCAGATAACTATTCTCCTTTTGAGATACAGGTATTGCCCTGCTACTTGGCCTTAGTAGAAACTGAATATTTGACTGTGAGCCATCAAGTTACCATGCGACCTGAGTTGCACATCATGAATTTGGGGTTATCTGACCCACCACGCCATAAAGTTAGTCATGCACAGCAACACTCTATCGTCAAATGGAAGTGGTTTATACATAATAGGACCCAGCGGGCCTTGAAGGTAAGAGACATGAAGAAATGGCCCAAATGCCAGGAACCCCACTCATGCTACACTGACTTCTCTCTCCCAGCCAGCATTTCTGGCCTCATGGGGAGTTACCTGCAACCAGTTGACAGAGAAAAAGAAGACTTGGGCCTGGTTTACAGATAGTTCTCCACAATATGCAGGTACCACCTGAAAGTAGACAGTTGCAATACTACAACCCTTCTCTGGGCCACCCCTGAAGCACAGTAGTAGAGAGAAATTCTCCCCGTGGGTAGAATTTGAGGGTACACCTGGTTGTTCACTTTCTTTGGAAAGAGAAATGGCAAGACAAGCAGTTATATTCCAATTCACGGGTTGTGGCCAGTGATTTGGCTGGATGCTCAGGGAAATAGAAGGAACATGGCTGAAAATTGGTGACAAAGAAATATGAGAAAGAGGTAGATGGATACACATCTCTGAATGGACAAAAAATGAAGATATTTCTGTCCCATGTGAATGTTCACCAAAGGGTAGCCTCAACAGAGTAGGATTTTAATAATCACAGGGATAGAATGACCATTCTACAGATACCAGTCAGCCTCTTTTCCCAGCCACCTCTGTCATTGCCCAGTGAGCTCATGAACAAAGTGGCCATGGTGGCAGGGAGGGAGTTTATGCATAGGCTCAGCAACATGGACTTCTACTCCCAAAGGCCAATTTGACTATGGCCCACTACTGAGTACCCCTTCTGCCAGCAACAAAGACTAATATGGCACAATTCCCAGGGGTGATCATCCAGCTACCTTGTGACAAATTGATTACAGTGGACCATTTATTCCCATCACAGAAGGGGCAGAATTTTGTCTTTACTGGAATAAGCACTCTAGATATAGATGTTTCTTTCTTGCACACAATGCTTCTGCCAAAACTGTCACCCATGGACTTACAGAATGCTTTATCTACTGTTGTGGTATTCCACACAGCATTGCTTCTGATCAAGAAACTCACTTCATAGCAAAAAAAGAAAGAAAAAAGAAAAAAAAAAACGGTGTGGCAATAGGCCTATGTCTGTAAAATTCACTGGTCTTATCATGTTTCCCATTATCCTGAAACAGGCCTGATGGAACAGTGGAATGCTTTTTTGAAGATTCAGTTTTTGCCCATTCAGTATGATATTGGCTGTGGATAATTAAACTAAAGAGCTTCTGCACAGCAAAAGAAACTACCATCAGAGTGAACAGGCAACCTACAGAATGGGAGAAAATTTTTACAATCTATCCATCTGACAAAGGGCTAATATCCAGAATCTACCAAGAACTTAAACAAATTTGCAAGAAAAAATCAAACAACCCCATCAAAAAGTGGGTGAAGGATATGAATAGACACTACTCAAAAGAAGGCATTTATACAGCCAACAGACACATAAAAAAATGCTCATTATCACTGGCCATCAGAGAAATGCAAATCAAAACCACAATGAGATACCGTCTCACACCAGTTAGAATGGCAATCATTAAAAGGTCAGGAAACAACAGGTGATGGAGAGGATGTGGAGAAATAGGAACACTTTTACACTGTTGGTGGGACTGTAAGATAGTTCAACCATTGTGGAAGACAGTGTGGCGATTCCTGAAGGATCTAGAACTAGAAATACCATTTGACCCAGCCATCCCATTACTGGGTATATACCCAAAGGATTATAAATCATGCTGCTATAAAGACACATGCACACGTATGTTTATTACGGCACTATTCACAATAGCAAAGACTTGGAGCCAACCCAAATGTCCATCAATGATAGACTGGATTAAGAAAATGTGGCACATATACACCATGCAATACTATGCAGCCATAAAAAACGTTGAGTTCATGTCCTTTGTAGGGACATGGATGAAGCTGTAAACCATCATTCTGAGCAAACTATCGCCAAGGACAGAAAACCAAACACCGCATGTTCTCACTCATAGGTGGGAATTGAAAAATGAGAACACTTGGACACAGGGTGGGAAACATCACATACTGGAGCCTGTCATGGGGTTGGGGGAGGGAGGAGGGATAGCATTAGGAGATATACCTAATGTAAATGGCGGTTTTAATTGGTACAGCACACCAACATGGCACATGTATACATATGTAACAAACCTGCATGTTGTCCACATGTACCCTAGAACTTAAACTATAACAATAAAAAAATTTTAAAAAGAATAAGATTCAGTTAAAGTGTCACCTTGGAGACAATACCTTGCTGGACTTGGGCAAAGTTTTTCAGAAGGTTATATATGCTATGAATCAGCATTCAGTATATGATGCTGTTTATCCAATAGACAGAATTAATAGGTTCAGGGATCAAAGAGTGGAAACGGAAGAGTCACCACTCATTATTATCCCTTGTGACCCACTAGCAAACTTTTGCTTCCTATTCTAGTGACTTTATGTTCTGCTGGCCTAGAGATCTTAGTTCCGGAAGGAGGAATGCTTCCAGCAAGAAACAAAATAATTCCACTGAACTGCATGTTAAGATTTTCACCCAGCTACTTTGGGCTCTTTATGCCTCTGAATCAACAGGAAAAGAAGGGAGTTACAGTGTTGGCCTGAGTGAATGATCCAGGCTACAAAGGGGAAATTGGACTACTCCTCCACAAAAATAAGGAAAAGTATGTCTGGTATACAGGAGATCCCTTAGGGAGTCTTTTAGTATTACCACACCCTGTGGTAAAGGTCAGTGTAACACTACAACAGCCCAATCTAGGCAGGGCTACTAATAGCCCAGATTCTTCAGGAATGGTTTGGTTCACCTCATCAGGCAAAGAACCATGACCAGCTGACATGCTTGCTGAAGGCAAGGGGAATACTGAATGAATAGTAGCAGAAGGTAGTTATAAATACCAGCTATGATCATGTGACCAGTTACATAAATGAGACTTTAATTATCATAAGAATTTTCTCCTTATTTTTTATGAATACACTTGTGTATATACATATATATATATATATATATATATATATATATATATACACACACATTAAACAGATATCTTTGTTTTCTTTCTGTTCTTATTTCCTTATTATATAACAGAAGATGTATTGACTTTATGGCAGCATTTAAGTACTGTTATTTTTATATTATTGTATTTAAGGAATATCAGGGGAAGAATAAACATCACTCAAGAACTTTCACTTCCTCTTTTGGGGGAGGGATTAGTATTAGCGCCTTTTCCCTTGTATTCAAGATAGTTGTATCATGTTAGGCAAAATAATGATTTTGTTATTATCTGTATTTGGAGATTAAGCATGATTTACAAAAAGACATGTGGGTACCAACGTGACAAGGAGTGGACTTGTGGTGGTTAATTTTACGTGTCAACTTGACTAGGCAAAGAAAAGCCCAGATAGCTGGTACATTATTTCTGGATGTGTCTATGAGGATGTTTCCAGAAGAGATTAGAATTTGAATCGGTAGACTGAGTAAAGATCATCCTCACCAGTGTGAGTGGACTTGACCTTGTCTGTTGAGGGCCTAAATAGAACAAAAAGGTGGAGAAAGGGTGAATTTGCTGCCTGTGCTTGAGCTGGAACACTCATCTTCTCCTTCTCTTGGACATCAGCACTCACGGCTCTCAAGCCTTCAGACTCTGAATGGGTCTTACACCATCGGCCTCCCCTGGATCTCAGGCCCTCAGGCTGAGACTGAAATTGCGCCACTGGCTTTGCTGGCTCTCCAGCTTGCAGACAGCAGACTGTGGGACTTGCCAGCCTTCAAAATCATGTAAGCCAATTCTTCACAATATTTTTTTTAATCTATCTATCTACCTATCTATCCATTTATCTATCTACCTACCTACCTACCTACCTATCGCTCCATCTATAGCCTATTGGTTCTGTTCCTCTGAAGAACCCTGGCTAATGTACCTTTTATAAGGGCTTTACTTTTCTTTCCCACTTTCTAATATTATTCTTCTTTCTGGGGAATTTCAGTGTGAGTATCTTTTAAAATCACCCCTATATCATTGTGCTTTTTCACATGTCCATCTACCTATATGTACAAAGGTATGTGTGTTTGTATGTTTGTCTGTCATGCTAGGGTTGCAGTATGAGCATTATCATTTATTCTGTGCAGATTCCTCTTGTTATACAACCAACCAGAACATCCTTGATTGTTTTCAAATATGGATATCTGATGGGTATGTAATATACATTTATATAATCAATAATATATGAGACATATAATATATATACAATGTTTTCAAGATGTACTCTTGCCTTCCTTTCCTAATTTGCCTCATGTAAAAATTTTTCTTTTCATACCAGTCACAGTGGCGTGTGCCTGTAATCCCAGCTACTCAAGAGGCAGAGGTGGGAGGATGACTTGAGCTCAAGAGTTCAAAACTGCAGTAATCTATTATTGTGCCACTGCACTCTAGCCTGAGTGACAGAGCAAGACCTTTTATCTAAATAAATATGTATATACATACTCACATCAAATATTTTTTCTCTACTCTTCATCATTACATTGTCAAGTTCAACTCTGTACTCAGATATCAGCATGAGGTCACTTTTTCTTAACTTGTCATTAGTTAATATACATTAAGCAATTACAGTGTTTCCAAAAGTGACTCTCTAAAAATTTTAGAGTGGGCATTAATAAAAATATTTCTGATCTGATCTCCCCTTTGATATTGTTCAACAAAGTATGATAATGAACAGACTCAATCCTCTGAAAATTCCCCTATTTTTCTGTTTGCAAAGATAGCCCATCCCACACTTGGCAATGTGACTTCGCCTTCTCCCATATCAAGGTGAAATTTCTTCCCCCTCTCTTTACATCTGGGCTGGCCAAGTGACTGGCTTTGGCTTAAATACTGCTACGGCCGTGTCTTTGTGCAGGCTTCTGAGCCTCAGCTTCAAGGGTCCTTGTGACTCCTGCTCTCATTTTCTTGGAACTCAGTAGTTAGTATGCTGTGAAAAAGACCTGAATGGAAGACCATGTGGAAAAGAGAAGTGAGCTGCCCCAGTCATTCCAGGAATTGCAAATGATACTTCAAATGTGCAAGTGAGACCCTCCTAGACTCACCTATCTCAACTGAGCCCCCACATGATTGCAGTCTCGAGACCAGTTAAGAAAAGCAAAACAGCCTGGTCAACACACAGAATAATGAGAAAAAATAAATTGCCATTGTATTAAGCAATGAATTTTCTGGTGGTTTGTTACTCAATAATACATAATTGATATAATCTTCATTGCACCTAGTACCCTACTAGTTCACATTAGGTACTCAAAAAACAGGATTGAAAATATGTATGGCAAACAGGCCAACAGAGATGAGAGGACCACTACCTTTGACTTCATTCATTCAATATTTATGGATTCATAGATAGACAGATAGATAGATAATAGATAGATAGATAAATAGATACCTGATGGGTATGTTATATTTATATAATCAATAATATATAATACATATAATATATACAGTCATATGTACATATAATCACATATATATTCATTATATCTATAAAATCAAGCCCAGTCCTCACACTGGGGTACAACATAAATAAAATTATGTCCTTGCCATCAGAAGTCTCATGATCTACTGGAACACGGCACAAATTAACATGAATAATTATACAGCTACATGGAAAAGTCTGGCAGAGTACTACAGGAACACACACCTTGAATGAGAAAAGAGGTGTGCGTAGGAAAAATTGAGAAGAAAAAATCAGAGCATAGTTACTGAGTTAAAAGCGGAGACAGTGGCAACAGCATGGAGCTCAGAACCATGCTTAGGGGAGGCAAAATGTACCAAGCTGCTGGTCCATGCACCATCATCTGCCATAAGGACTTGGAGTTGAACTATTTGAATAAGAAATCACCTGAAATTCTTTTCATGACATCTTTGCCCTCTCTTCCCTTGCCTATTTCAAACTTTATTCCTGCAAGCTTTTTTCTTTTCTTTTTTTTTTTTTTGAGACAGAGTCTCACTTTTTTTTCCTTTATTTTCTTTTTTCTTTTTATTTATTTATTTATTTATTTATTTATTTATTTATTTTGAGACAGAGTCTCGCTTTGTCGCCCAGTGGCATAATCACAGCTCACTGCAGCCTCAACCTTCCGGACTCAAGCAATCCTTCCACCTCAGCCTCCCTAGTAGCTGGGACTACAGGTGTGTGCTACCACACTGGGCTACTTTTTTAAAATTTTCAGTAGAGACAGGGTCTCACCCTGTTGCCCAGGCTGGCCTTGAATTCCTTGGCTCAAAAGATCCTCCCTCCTAAGCCTCCCAAAGTGCTGGGATTACAGGCATGAGCCACTTACAAGCTTGCTTTAACACAGTATGATTTACTTCTAATACTAACCAGATGAATCTTGCTATTGGTTAGTATGCATTTTAACACTAATTTTCCATAATATAATATGCATCTATTTATCCAATTGGTATACCAGCTGTGTACTTCATCAGGCACCCAATTAGGCCACAAGTACCTCGAACTCAACATGTCCCAGACTGAATTCATTTTTCTCTAAAATATGCTCTATCAGTTTTCTATCACTATAAAGAGCACTACCTACACAGTCACTCCAGCCATGAACCTGAGGGTGTCCTTAACTCTTTACTCCTCGGGAAGTTCCCTCGCAAGTTTCATCCCCACGCCAGCGTAACTCTGACATTTAATCAATCATCATGTCCTGTTAGTTCCTAAATACCTCTCAAGTCTACCACATCCTCTTATCCCATTTCCTGAGTTCAGGATTCCTGACTGCTTTCTTGGGCCATTGCCATAGCTCCATAATCTATCATTCTGCTTCCACTTTTGCTTTCCTTCATTCCATCCATCACATCACCATCAGAGGCATCTTTGGAAAGCGCAGATCAAATCATATTAGTTCTCTGCTTAAAACCTTTCCAGGACTCCCCCTGCTTCAGAATAAAATGCAAACTTCTAGGCATAATATACAAGGTCCTTTATGGTAAGTCTACCTTTATGATCTCAGCTCTCTACTCTCCCATCCCCAACATTTACCACTTACCTTCCAGCAATAGGATTATTTGTAGTTCCCCTTGCTAGCTGAACAATGGTTCAAGCTACCACTTAAGCCTCTAAATTTTTCACATCAGCCACTAAATACTATTTATATCCTGATCTAGCTACAGAGCAGCAACTCACTGTTTAAGGCATATCTCATCTCCTCTGGAAGCCTATCCCTTCATCTATGGTCCTCATTCCTTTGGCCCAGTAGTGCAGAATGGACCACTCCTGCCTTTGTGCCCCAATTATATTCTGAACATACTTGTATCATAGGGCTAGTTATATTGCACTTCATTCCGTGTATTCGTTTATGTCTCTGCTTCCTTCCCTCCAATCCTGCCAGCACCAGGCTGACCTCTTTAGAGACACGAAACATCTTTTATTCCTTTGGTATTTACATTATGTCACACATTGCCTGGATCATAATAGGAATTCCATAATGAAGATGAATATTTTCCAAATAATTTGAATACGATAAATTCAGACAAAATTTAAAACTATACCAAACATAACTTAAATTTGCTTTCTCGATTGTGATTTTGTTAGTATTATTCTAGTTGTCTGAATTATAAAAGTGCTTAAATTTTGGACAAATGAGAATTTTCTGTTTCTTTTCTAGTTGGTACAATAACCAAGTCTTTATAGAACAAGCAAGTTAGTGCGTCTGTGGAATAGCAGATTTGCAAGATTTAGAGTTATAACTTGAGTGTCCAGAAACCAGGTATCTGGCATATCGAAAGCCACCGGCCAATGAATAGCAAAATGTCTCAAAATTCTTACACTAAAACGCATACATAGAAAACCGCTGCCTTAGAACTTTGTATTCCAAAGCTGCAACAGAGTACAAGCAGAAAATTAAAATAAGAGCAAGAAACAGCTACCAGGTGGGAGGAGCCAAGATGGCCGAATAGGAACAGCTCCGGTACACAGCTCCCAGCATGAGCGATGCAGAAGACGGGTGATTTCTGCATTTCCATCTGAGGTACCAGGTTCATCTCACTAGGGAGTGCCAGACAGTGGGCACAGGTCAGTGGGTGCGCGCACCGTGCGCAAGCTGAAGCAGGGCAAGGCATTGCCTCACTTGGGAAGTGCAAGGGGTCAGGGAGTTCCCTTTCCGAGTCAAAGAAAGGGGTGACGGACGCACCTGGAAAATCGGGTCACTCCCACCCGAATATTGCGCTTTTCGGACCGGCTTAAAAAATGGCGCACCACGAGATTATATCCCTCACCTGGCTCGGAGGGTCCTACGCCCACGGAGTCTCGCTGATTGCTAGCACAGCAGTCTGAGATCAAACTGCAAGGCGGCAGCGAGGCTGGGGGAGGGGCGCCCGCCATTGCCCAGGCTTGCTTAGGTAAACAAAGCAGCAGGGAAGCTCGAACTGGGTGGAGCCCGCCACAGCTCAAGGAGGCCTGCTTGCCTCTGTAGGCTCCACCTCTGGGGGAAGGGCACAGACAAACAAAAAGACAGCAGTAACCTCTCCAGACTTAAATGTCCCTGTCTGACAGCTTTGAAGAGAGCAGTGGTTCTCCCAGCACGCAGCTGGAGATCTGAGAACGGGCAGACTGCCTCCTCAAGTGCGTCCCTGACCCCTGACCCCAAGCAGCCTAACTGGGAGGCACCCCCCAGCAGGGGCACACTGACACCTCACAGGGCAGGGTATTCCAACAGACCTGCAACTGAGGGTCCTGTCTGTTAGAAGGAAAACTAACAAACAGAAAGGACATCCACACCAAAAACCCATCTGTACATCACCATCATCAAAGACCAAAAGTAGATAAAACCACAAAGATGAGGAAAAAACAGAACAGAAAAACTGGAAACTCTAAAACGCAGAGCGCCTCTCCTCCTCCAAAGGAACGCAGTTCCTCACCAGCAACGGAACAAAGCTGGAGGGAGAATGACTTTGACGAGCTGAGAGAAGAAGGCTTCAGACGATCAAATTACTCTGAGCTACGGGAGGACATTCAAACCAAAGGCAAAGAAGTTGAAAACTTTGAAAAAAATTTAGAAGAATGTATAACTAGAATAACCAATACAGAGAAGTGCTTAAAGGAGCTGATGGAGCTGAAAACCAAGGCTCGAGAACTACGTGAAGAATGCAGAAGCCTCAGGAGCCGATGCGATCAACTGGAAGAAAGGGTATCAGCAATGGAAGAGGAAATGAATGAAATGAAGCGAGAAGGGAAGTTTAGAGAAAAAAAGAATAAAAAGAAATGAGCAAAGCCTCCAAGAAATATGGGACTATGTGAATAGACCAAATCTACATCTGATTGGTGTACCTGAAAGTGATGGGGAGAATGGAACAAAGTTGGAAAACACTCTGCAGTATATTATGCAGGAGAACTTCCCCAATCTAGCAAGGCAGGCCAACGTTCAGATTCAGGAAATACAGAGAACGCCACAAAGATACTCCTTGAGAAGAGCAACTCCAAGACACATAATTGTCAGATTCACCAAAGTTGAAATGAAGGAAAAAATGTTAAGGGCAGCCAGAGAGAAAGGTTGGGTTACCCTCAAAGGGAAGCCCATCAGACTAACAGCGGATCTCTCGGCAGAAACCCTACAAGCCAGAAGAGAGTGGGGGCCAATATTCAACATTCTTAAAGAAAAGAATTTTCAACCCAGAATTTCATATCCAGCCAAACTAAGCTTCATAAGTGAAGGAGAAATAAAATACTTTACAGACAAGCAAATGCTGAGAGATTTTGTCACCACTAGGCCTGCCCTAAAAGAGCTCCTGAAGGAAGCGCTAAACATGGAAAGGAACAACCGGTACCAGCCGCTGCAAAATCATGCCAAAATATAAAGACCATCGAGACTAGGAAGAAACTGCATCAACTAACGAGCAAAATCACCAGCTAACATCATAACGACAGGATCAAATTCACACATAACAATATTAACTTTAAATGTAAATGGACTAAATGCTCCAATTAAAAGACACAGACTGGCAAATTGGATAAAGAGTCAAGACCCATCAGTGTGCTGTATTCAGGAAACCCATCTCATGTGCAGAGACACACATAGGCTCAAAATTAAAGGATGGAGGAAGATCTACCAAGCAAATGGAAAACAAAAAAAGGCAGGGGTTGCAATCCTAGTCTCTGATAAAACAGACTTTAAACCAACAAAGATCAAAAGAGACAAGGCCATGACATAATGGTAAAGGGATCAACTAAACAAGAAGAGCTAACTATCCTAAATATATATGCACCCAATACAGGAGCACCCAGATTCAAAAAGCAAGTCCTGAGTGACCTACAAAGAGACTTAGACTCCCACACATTAATAATGGGAGACTTTAACACCCCACTGTCAACATTAGACAGATCAACGAGACAGAAAGTCAACAAGGATACCCAGGAATTGAACTCAGCTCTGCACCAAGCGGACCTAATAGACATCTACAGAACTCTCCACCCCAAATCAACAGAATATACATTTTTTTCAGCACCACACCACACCTATTCCAAAATTGACCACATACTTGGAAGTAAAGCTCTCCTCAGCAAATGTAAAAGAACAGAGATTATAAGAAACTATCTCTCAGACCACAGTGCAATCAAACTAGAACTCAGGATTAAGAATCTCACTCAAAACCACTCAACTACATGGAAACTGAACAACCTGCTCCTGAATGACTACTGGATATGTAACGCAATGAAGGCAGAAATAAAGATGTTCTTTGAAACCAACGAGAACAAAGACACAACATACCAGAATCTCTGGGATGCATTCAAAGCAGTGTGTAGAGGGAAATTTATAGCACTAAATGCCCACAAGAGAAAGCAGGAAAGATCCAAAATTGACACCCTAACATCACAATTAAAAGAACTAGAAAAGCAAGAGCAAACACATTCAAAAGCTAGCAGAAGGCAAGAAATAACTAAAATCAGAGCAGAACTGAAGGAAATAGAGACACAAAAAACCCTTCAAAAAATTAATGAATCCAGGAGCTGGTTTTTTGAAAGGATCAACAAAATTGATAGACTGCTAGCAAGACTAATAAAGAAAAAAAGAGAGAAGAATCAAATAGACACAATAAAAAATGATAAAGGGGATATCACCACCGATCCCACAGAAATACAAACTACCATCAGAGAATACTACAAACACCTCTACGCAAATAAACTAGAAAATCTAGAAGAAATGGATAAATTCCTCGACACATACACTCTCCCAAGACTAAACCAGGAAGAAGTTGAACCTCTGAATAGACCAATAAAAGGAGCTGAAATTGTGGCAATAATCAATAGTTTACCAACCAAAAAGAGTCCAGGACCAGACGGATTCACAGCCGAATTCTACCAGAGGTACAAGGAGGAACTGGTACCATTCCTTCTGAAACTATTCCAATCAATAGAAAAAGAGGGAATCCTCCCTAACTCATTTTATGAGGCCAGCATCATTCTGATACAAAAGCCGGGCAGAGACACAACCAAAAAAGAGAATTTTAGACCAATATCCTTGATGAACATCGATGCAAAAATCCTCAATAAAATACTGGCAAAACGAATCCAGCAGCACATCAAAAAGCTTATCCACCATGATCAAGTGGGC
This sequence comes from Homo sapiens, assembly GCF_000001405.40. NCBI lineage: Eukaryota > Metazoa > Chordata > Mammalia > Primates > Hominidae > Homo > Homo sapiens. The sequence goes on from NC_000003.12 coordinate 182,429,768, forward strand.
TTCATCCCTGGGATGCAAGGCTGGTTCAATATACGCAAATCAATAAATGTAATCCAGCATATAAACAGAGCCAAAGACAAAAACCACATGATTATCTCAGTAGATGCAGAAAAAGCCTTTGACAAAATTCAACAACCCTTCATGCTAAAAACTCTCAATAAATTAGGTATTGATGGGACGTATTTCAAAATAATAAGAGCTAGCTATGACAAACCCACAGCCAATATCATACTGAATGGGCAAAAACTGGAAGCATTCCCTTTGAAAACTGGCACAAGACAGGGATGCCCTCTCTCACCACTCCTATTCAACATAGTGTTGGAAGTTCTGGCCAGGGCAATTAGGCAGGAGAAGGAAATAAAGGGTATTCAATTAGGAAAAGAGGAAGTCAAATTGTCCCTGTTTGTAGACGAAATGATTGTATATCTAGAAAACCCCATTGTCTCAGCCCAAAATCTCCTTAAGCTGATAAGCAACTTCAGCAAAGTCTCAGGATACAAAATCAATGTACAAAAATCACAAGCATTCTTATACACCAACAACAGACAAACAGAGAGCCAAATCATGAGTGAACTCCCATTCACAATTGCTTCAAAGAGAATAAAATACCTAGGAATCCAACTTACAAGGGATGTGAAGGACCTCTTCAAGGAGAACTACAAACCACTGCTCAAGGAAATAAAAGAGGATACAAGCAAATGGAAGAACATTCCATGCTCATGGGTAGGAAGAATCAATATCGTGAAAATGGCCATACTGCCCAAGGTAATTTACAGATTCAATGCCATCCCCATCAAGCTACCAATGACTTTCTTCACAGAATTGGAAAAAACTACTTTAAAGTTCATATGGAACCAAAAAAGAGCCCACATTGCCAAGGCAATCCTAAGCCAAAAGAACAAAGCTGGAGGCATCACACTACCTGACTTCAAACTATACTACAAGGCTACGGTAACCAAAACAGCATGGTACTGGTACCAAAACAGAGATATAGATCAATGGAACAGAACAGAGCCCTCAGAAATAACGCCGCATATCTACAACTATCTGATCTTTGACAAACCTGAGAAAAACAAGCAATGGGGAAAGGATTCCCTATTTAATAAATGGTGCTGGGAAAACTGGCTAGCCATATGTAGAAAGCTGAAACTGGATCCCTTCCTTACACCTTATACAAAAATCAATTCAAGATGGATTAAAGACTTAAACATTAGACCTAAAACCATAAAAACCCTAGAAGAAAACCTAGGCATTACCATTGAGGACATAGGCGTGGGCAAGGACTTCATGTCCAAAACACCAAAAGCAATGGCAACAAAAGACAAAATTGACAAATGGGATCTAATTAAACTAAAGAGCTTCTGCACAGCAAAAGAAACTACCATCAGAGTGAACAGGCAACCTACAAAATGGGAGAAAATTTTCACAACCTACTCACCTGACAAAGGGCTAATATCCAGAATCTACAATGAACTCAAACAAATTTACAAGAAAAAAACAACCCCATCAAAAAGTGGGCAAAGGACATGAACAGACACTTCTCAAAAGAAGACGTTTATGCAGCCAAAAAACACATGAAAAAATGCTCATCGTCACTGGCCATCAGAGAAATGGAAATCAAAACCACAATGAGATACCATCTCACACCAGTTAGAATGGCAATCATTAAAAGGTCAGGAAACAACAGGTGCTGGAGAGGATGTGGAGAAATAGGAACACTTTTACACTGTTGGTGGGACTGTAAACTAGTTCAACCATTGTGGAAGTCAGTGTGGAGATTCCTCAGGGATCTAGAACTAGAAATACCATTTGACCCAGCCATCCCATTACTGGGTATATACCCAAAGGACTATAAATCATGCTGCTGTAAAGACACATGCACACGTATGTTTATTGCGGCATTATTCACAACAGCAAAGACTTGGAACCGATCCAAATGTCCAACAATGATAGACTGGATTAAGAAAATGTGGCACATATACACCATGGAATACTATGCAGCCATAAAAAATGATGAGTTCATGTCCTTTGTAGGGACATGGATGAAATTGGAAATCATCATTCTCAGTAAACTATCGCAAGAACAAAAAACCAAACACCGCATATTCTCACTCATAGGTGGGAATTGAACAATGAGATCACATGGACACAAGAAGGGGAATATCACACTCTGGGGCCTGTGGTGGGGTGGGGGGAGGGGGAAGGGATAGCACTGGGAGATATACCTAATGCTAGATGACGAGTTAGTGGGTGCAGCGCACCAGCATGGCACATGTATACATATGTAACTAACCCGCACAATGTGCACATGTACCCTAAAACTTAAAGTATAAAAAATAAAAATTAAAAAATTAAAAAAATTAAAAAAATTAAAAAAATAAAAAATAAAATAAAAAATAAAAAATAAATAAATAAATAAATAAAAATAAAAAAAAGAAACAGCTACCAACAAACCCAGAAGCTGTAGCAAGAAATGACAGCTGTTAGCCAGGGAGAAGATATAAAATTAAGAAAAGCAGGCCAGGCACAGTGGCTCACGCCTGTAATCTCAGCACTTTGGGAGGCCAAGGGGGGGTGGATCACGAGGTCAGGAGTTCGAGACCAGGCTGACCAATATGGGAAACCCCGTCTCTACTAAAAATACAAAAATTAGCCAGGTGTAGTGGTGCGTGCCTGTAATCCCAGCTACTCAGGAGGCTGAGGCAGGATAATCGCTTGAACCCAGGAGGCGGAGGTTGCAATGAGCCGAGATCGCGCCACTGCACTCCAGCCTGGGTGACAGAATGTGACTCCATCTCAAAAAAAAAAGAAAAGCAGATCTATGACTTCAAAAAGGACAATTATCCAGCACCAGTAAAAGTAGGATAAACAGTAGCCTCTACCTTAACTAGCCTGTGAAATTACTAAACTGTTCTACAGAGTTAGTACATAGCATATAGTATACAGTTACCATTTACATTGACTACACTGGTGACCGTAATTTTTCAATTAAAGTTATGTTCAGTATACTCTACATAAAAAAGAGGAATTATGTAAAAAATATTAGAAATTTTTCAAAATTATTAACTTTAAAAAGCTATTTAAATCTTTATTTATCCAAGATATTAAGAAGTGCCCACTTTTAAGTCTTTAATATGAATAAGTACTACATAAAGTTACCATTTATTGAATACCTTGGGGCTATACACTAGAGCTTAAAGGGTAAGTCTTATTATCTCCATTTTACAGATAAGGAAACTGAGGCTCAGAGAAATGAAGTAAATCACCCAAGATCATACAGTTAGTAAGCAGCTGAATAGATATTTGATACAAGTTCCTTAGCATTCTGGTAATCATTGACATTTCAACGACTGAGAGTTCATAAGATTATTAATAAATGGATCTGTAGCTCAACTCAACTGCTTACCTTCAATTCACAAATCTGCACCACAGTTGAGTGTCCTTTCACAGTGAAAAAACATTTAAAATAATTTCTGTACCAAGATAACCTCAGCAAAAGCAGACATCATCCAGGATGAAATGTTTATTACATATATCCAAGCCTATTTGCTAATAGGGGCATAAGCACTTACTGAAGTAAATTCTTATAAAAGCTCATGTTACAACAACATAAAAATATTGCCCTTTCTCACAGGCAGTCAAGAGTTGAACAGATTTTATAGTTAGGGTCTAAAAAATTATAACCATCTACAAACTGCAATCGTTCTTCTAAAGACAGACGAAATACACTAGCAGGAAACATATAAAAGCCAAAGTAGCTGCTATAACCGATATCTTTAAAAAAAATGGGAGGTGGGAAATTTTAATTTTAAAAAATATATTAATATTAACTTTTTAAACTGTTAGTATAATAGTGAAAACACAAGAAATGTCCCCAAGAGTTATTTAAGGGCTTTGTTCTCAAAAGTCATTACATTATTCCAATAAAGATGAAAGAGGTTATTTTCTCTAAATTATTTAGTTGTAAGGGTTAGCCTTCAGACAGGTGTTCTATTTATGCAGATGGCAAAATAAATTATTCAGAAATAGAGACAGGTAAAACAGATGGAAAAGCAGGGTAAACCAAGAAAGCCGTGAGCAGCTGCTTAATAGGCCCCCAGTAAAGCACCCAATTCTCTACCATGGTCCAAGTTACCTTCTTAGGGACAGTTCGAGATACATACACTGTCATCCACGTCTCGAAAACTCCTTTGGGGCCTTGTATCCACTTCAGTGATATTGTTATTGTTATTAGTAAATCAGTCATCTAAAATTGTTTATGAAAACTTAATTTTAAGTGTCTTCACCTAGACCATAGAATACTCCTGTGGGCACTTTTCCTACCAGATCTGAGAGTGAATTGCATTTCTAAATTACTTGAGGCTCTTTTTAAAAAGTAATTCTTCTATTCTAAACAAGAAGAGCTATATTAGACTTCCTCCTAGTATCTTTCATAAATTGATGGAGTTGCCTGTTAAGATCCTCTTTTAACAATAAAGGTCTGTTTCTTACTCCACTGATTCACTGATTCAACCCCTATAGGTAAGAGTGCCAGAAAGATCTACTTTTTGGTAAATTCTGCTCTAGGAGAATATTATAGTAGTGTGCCATCATACAGCATGGTGATCTTCTGAAGAAATTCTGGGGAATATCTGTTTACAAAAATGGACCATTAAGGGGAAAAAATGTTCAGGATGTGCATTCCTGCCTTGGTTCAGTTCATTTAATAATGCAAACAATTTAAAGACTACCCACTTAAGGGAGGTCAGTTCAGGCATAGGGGTTACAGGAACAGAGAGGAAGGAATGCTGAAGGAAAGAGCAGCAGCCTTCCCTAGAGTGATACATTCTAGTCTGAATGCCAGGAGACCTGGCTCCTAGTCCCTACTCTGCCTTAATCTGGCCTTAAGACCAAGGCAAGTTAACTTCTCTCAGCTTCGGTGTTTTTATTCACTGAATGAGAAAGTCAGAATATTACCAAGGTCCCTTGAGCTCTTGTGCTCCATAAGTCTATATGAATTTGGAGAAGGGAAAAAGGTAGTCATACATCCATAAATAAAACCACTTAATGTGCATTGCATGCATTAGTTTTTAATCTAATAGTTATTTCAGAGGACACATTTTTAGTTGTAAAGAAACAACTATACATGCTTTTCACAAGTAGAGATAAGAAGAGGAAGGCTATGAAGTAAGTTTAAGATTCAGTCTTCTAAATGGTTTCTATGAGTTGAATGTTTGGTGCTGAGAAAGTTGACCATTCAAAAACTTGACTGAATTTTTCACTTTTTACTGAAACTTTTTTCATATGATGTAGCCATTGCCTTAAAAAAAACTTGTTTTGAACCAGTGTCCAAAATGCTTGTCTAAATACTCCCTGATGTATTTCAAATGTTGAGTATTAAAGATGTCTTCACTGTTATTGCCATGTTGACTAAACACCATCTTAGCAATGAAAATTAACCCAGACCCTTATCTGGGCAATATCCAAACCGAATATTTCTGACTTTATTCACCCCTAAAACATTTTAATTTTAGCTCATGGCCAGCATTGTGAAAGGACTATTACTTCACTAGAGGAACTGATAGACTAAGAGGAGAAACAAATGTGTAAGCAAATAATTACAGCTCAGTGGACAGTCTGTGATCATTATGCTGGCTTTGTGATGGCTTTAGATTTATTTCTGCCCCTATTCAATGTTCTGTCTTTAAAAAAAACTTGCTGTTATAGCTTAATACGTTTATGTCAGAAGTATATTTTATATCATTTCTGCATATAGAAAATCAACAATAGCAAGTCATATAAATTAAATATATAACCACTGAAGTAAATATATTTGTTGTAAATTATCACAAAACCTCCTGCACATCATCAGCAGAATTCATAAAATAGAGATGGGCCTTATTGATCATGCTAAGGATCCTGGGCTTTTTCTTAAATAATTTATTCTTTCCTTCATTTAAAGAATACATATTGAGTACTTATTAGGTGCCAAGCACTATTCTCTGTGGTGATAACAATGATAACAATCTATTTAGGGACTTCAAACAGCATGACAGCATTTAGACAGTTTGGTTTCTAATTTGGTTTGGAAGATTAATTGAAAGGACATTGAGACTAAGAGACCAGGGTTAGTTAGATGTCTACTGCAAGGCCAGACAAAATAAAGACCCAAATAATGAAAGTAATAGTTGCCATGGAGATGGAGATAATCACTTCAGGGTATGAGTAAGAGATGAAGTCAATAGGACTTGGGGACTATTTAGCTGTAGGGAGTAAGGAAGAGAAAGAAAGGTGTCAAGGTGATCACCAGGTTTCTGGCTTGCATGAGTGAGTGCAGCTTGGTATCACATTCCTGATTCATCTCGTATCAGGAATGTTTAATGGATCATTAAAGGTTGTTATCTCCACCTTAGAGATTTACTGATGAGATATTATGGTATTAAGTTCTCTATGCACTATTATAAGGGTAAGTTTACCAAAATAACTATGTGGATTTGGTGGACTGGGGCCAGGAGATAAATTGAATCAATTGTCTTAAGACATGAAGTAGATCCCAAACTGCATTTTGTCTTTCTGAAAATTGAATTCACTCAAAGACTTTGTGCACAAACCATCTAAGATGGCCATAGACTCAAGACTAAACTCACTTGACTGTCTAGAAAGAAACAAAAATCCAAGACTGAATAAATAATGTGGTCTTTGACTTGCTCATTCTCCTTTTAAAGAAAAAAATAAAAATTGTTGCAAATGATGAGGAACAAATGGTAAAATCATTAATACTCCAGATAATGTCACTGGAAACATGTCCGCATCCTTCAGGTGTGGCCTCCACTTCTGCTGCCTCGGTCAACAATAGATATTCCTGGTGAAGCAAGCAAAGGTATAAAGATACCTAATTATTACTCAGAACAGAGATGTCAGTCAACACAGCGAAGACAGCCACGTCGACCTTCTGTCAACAAGAAGAGGATCCGGTTACAGTTGCTCTTTGCTGCATGATCCAACAGGTTATTATCCAGCCACTCTTTAGAGTAAAAGTAAATAAGTCAAATAAATGGTCACTTTCAGTAAATTGACATATACATTATGAGACACTATGTGCCTACTCTTAAGGTAATTACTTTCACCATTAAAAACCATTATTTATAATCTTCTAGGTAGGGCATATTGAAAGTTGGAGATTTATGGATATGATTGATAGAGTGGGGTGGAAAGTCAGAAAGCAGAAAAACACTAAGGTTGTTTAAATGTTTAGGATCTCAGTATTTCTGAAATACTTTTTATAGAGATGAGATCCAGAGAGGATAAATGACAGGCATAACTAGAAAGTGGCAAGATTTGGGGGGAAGACCCAGACATGCTGATGTCTAATTCATTTCACACCAACAAAAAGCAGTTTTCCTGACTGTCTCCAGGCATGCATCCAGCTTTTAGCTATTAAATTCAAACATATATCTACTCTTTAGGAAGACCAGAGCCTATACCCACAACCCCAGGCAGTCATCTTTCACATATGGTTCCAATAGTATTGTTGGGAAAACAGCTCAAAGTGCCAAAGACATTTAGGCAGGATCCAAAGCATCGCCTTTATATAGAAAGCACAATGCATTGAATTTTTTTAACGTATCTATTAATTTCTACAGGGAGTTCTTAGAATTTCATTGTAACAAAATCGACACTTCACCATTAATGAAAGAATGACTTTTAAGCAAATCTTTGATCCAGGAAAATCATTCTGGTTCTGTGAAAGAGCTAGTGTGCATAGGTTTACAAAAATGAACCTAATATTGAAACACTTCACAGAATCTCACTCCAGAAAGTGGGGCTCAAAATGGCTAATCAGAAATTTTTTCCTCCCAGAATTGCCTTTTAAAGAAAGCTAACCACAGACCCCACTGACTTTTTAATGCTAACATAATTCAGAAGCTTTTCTTCTGCAGGAAAGTTAGAAGTCTATCTTAATAGTGCCTGGGGCTAGGGAGTTGAAATTAAATGTTATTTAGATATCTCTATGAGCAAGAAAAGAAACACTCTAAATACCTGACTGAATTTTTTAATCCTTGAAGAAATATATGATATATATCAAATGTGTATATATATGATATATATAAATTTTATAGTTTAATGTATATAAAAGATTCATTAAAGGTTGCTATCAATTGATTCCATTTATCTTGTGGTCTCAACTCACCAATATCCACATAGTTATTTTGATAAACTTACCCTTATATTAGTGCATAGTGAATCTAACATCATAATATCTCATCAGTAAATCTTTAAGGTGGAGATAACAATCTTTAATGATCTTAAAGTTATATGTAAAAGATTATATATGATATATAAATTTGACAGTTATGCTATATATCTATAACCATATATAGTTATGCTATATATAGTTATACTACATATTTATAAATATAGTTATGCTATATATAGTATATATATTTGTTTTAACTATCTTTTTATGGTTATAGCTATATATATAGCAAAACTATATCAAATTTAATATCACAGTCCTTGGACAACTACAAAAGCTAGATGGTACCAGTCTCGTTTTTTTAATGAATGTATGAGAGCCTACTATGTGCCAAGCCTGGTGCTCAAAGAATGATAGAGAAATAAATAAACATGATCACCAACTCCCAAAGACTTTATAATGTAATGGAAAAGACAGCTGTAACAATAAGAAATAGAAAGAGGTACTGAACATGAAAGTATTTACATTCTGCCCTAGAACTGTGTTAGTGAGTCCTCTCTTGATGTGGAGAATACAAGGAAGTATTTTGAAATCCTCTCTATGTGCAATAAGTCATTTGTTCAATCATTTAACCTTTCTTTGAGCAAATATTTATTGAGTATCGACTACATGAACAAAACAAAGGGCCTAGCCTAACAAAGCTTCATTCTAGTGAAAGAAGACAGATAATAAGCAAGCAAACAAAATAAAGACAAATAAATTATGTGACTCTTTTCTCAGTAACAATACTATGGAAAAACATCAATAGGGCAAATAGGATATACAGCATGCAAGGGTGTAAGAGCAGGCCCCACTGACGAGACCTGCGCTGAAGAGGAGGTATTAAAGGAGCAAACCATGTGGGTATTTAGGAAAACGGTATTCAAGACAGCAGGTGCAATAGCCCAGGGACACACCAGGAAGGCCTATCTGTCTGTAGCAGAATGCGCACAGAGCAGAGTGGTAGAATGTGAAGTTAGACAAGTAATTGGAAAATAGATGCAGATTTAGAACATCTTCACTAACAAGAGTCACTAACTTGAATATTAGGTCATATGCTTATACGAACTTTCATTATGTCTAGTAGGCAAACAGTAAATTGGTAAAATCACAACAGATGTGCTTAGAAGACTTCAGAGGAAAGGTACATCAAAATTAATATTTTAGTCCCTAACAACCTAGTCATACTTTACAGAAGAGTTGACTAAGGAACCATGATTAATAAACATAGAAGGAAAAAGAATAAGATGAGTAAAATGTGATGCCAACTTTTAAGAAACTCTCAGTTCAGTAGATGTCTCTGACCCTTACAAAAACCTAAAGAATTAAGTATTATTACCCCCATTTTAATTGAGGAAACTGATGTAAGTAGCTTGCTCTAAATTACATACAGGGTGAACAAACCAGAATTTAATACCAAAATATTAAATCTTCAAGTCTTGCGAGTTTTCATTCTAAAATGATCTACTTAAAAACATCACTTTTTCTCTTGGCCCTACCTTTGTAGAAATTGACTTAAACAAATTCACTTTGAAAGAAAGTAATGTAAAATATAACTTTTATAACTGTGTGCTTATTTATAGAAGAATGAGAACTAAAGGTAGAATGTTTTAAATTGTGTCTATAAGATCTTAATTAGTTTGATACTGTGGAAAATATGTCTCTATATTACATTCAAAAGTACCCATAATTTGTTGCAGAAAAGTTCATTTTGTGATATAATAAGAGGAAAAAAAAGATGGGAATTTCTGTTGTCTAGCAATTTTTATTGGTTGAGCAATCTATATGGAATGAACTCTTTTTCAAAAGAAAAAAATTAAAACTAGCAGAACTCCACTTTCCCATTAGATTTTTTTAAAAATCCCTAAGATTTGTTTTTAAATATAAAGAAAACTGTTAAATAATTCTTTCCTAATATTCTGTGCTGTCCCACAGAGGACCTGATTAGAAGGTTTCAGAGAGAAACAAGTACAGTAAAATTAAGAATAAAGGTAGATTTTACTTAATAAGCTAATTTCTTGTAGTCTATATTATTGCAACAATAAACTATATATAAAGTGAAAATTCACTTTCTTCTATGTGTGTCTTCTTGCAATCTCATGGGGTAGGGTGCCTCAGGAAGAAGACTTCACTATCTTTTTAAAAAAATTTTAATTTTTTTAAGTGTATGTGTTCATTCACAACTGTTATGTTACCAGCTCCTTCCTTGAGTAGCTGAAATTTCCCCTGGAGTTAGATGTTCCTCTTCTTTTTCATGCTTTGTAATCAGATAAGCAAGGGAGATCACAAATGTTCTTTCCCAGCCCTGGGGCTGTATCAGGAAAAAAAGGCTACTTTCTTTGCCTTAGCTTGCCATATGCATTTTCACATCATGAGTTCTTTACTGCTTGAAAAATTAACACAAGTGAATCCCTTTAACTGGCCCTGACTGGCTGAATTCAGGAAAGGTGCCAATTATACAATATTCCTGATTTCCAGAGTTCACAAAGTACACATTGTCTGAGAGATAGACACACTCTATTTTCTGATTTACTTTTAAAGATATATACCTAAGCAATAAAACATCTCAGAATATTTTTATTAAGTGATCCTTGACTCATTAAGTGTTTATTGTTCCGAATGTAGCAGAAATACTGACTGGGAAAGGGAAGACCCAAATTCTAGTTTTCTCATAGTAAAATTAGTGATGGTGGTAGTGGTATGTCTATAAGGTCCCCTCCAGATCTAAGATTCCCAAAGCTGTGCTGGCCACTGATGAGCTTCTTTCTCTGATGTCCAGCTTTGCCATTTATCTATAACATTGTCTTTAAGCAATGGTGAACTGTTTTACTGAATCCCTGTCCTAGCATTTCTGGGGAATATTCCAGTTAAGCGGCAGTGCCATTTATCAGGGAAAAGATGTGGTAAGTTGCTGTTACCAACTTAGAGAATTTACTTTTACTCAGTTATTTCCTAAGATGGATATGCACTTTTCTCTAACTTTGGGAAGGGGGATACAGAAGAACAAGGCTTATATTTTAACTTTTAATTCCTCCAAATGTAAATGTAGACACATTTGTATCTCTGTAAACTTTTTAAAAACTATTCTCATTATTTCAACAATTTAATTTAAAATATGTTTGGAGGCAACTGTTCCAGATATGACAGAATTTTCAGTGACTCATTTTCTGACATTTTCAACAAGTATATAGCCACAAGGAAGGTTGAAGTTTGGCAGTAGTCTTTTGAAACCACAGCTCTCTTGAACAAGCTTTAAATTGTCTTGACTACACAAGGTACTAGTGCAATGAAGTCAATTCTGCAATCCCAGTGAAATGTTCAAGTTTTCTATTTTCTTTTAATTGACTTTGAACAGCAGTTTATATTTTCTGAATGAATAGGTGATTTTTTGGCTATTCTTACTAGTTTCTCATTTTATTGCTTTACAATCAGAGAATATGGTCTATATGATTTCTGCTTTCTGCAATTAATTGAGATTTTCTTTATAGACCAACAGTACATGGTTAATTTTCTATGCTATTTATGTTTGACAAGACAGTATATTCATTCCTTTTTGGATACAAAGTTAAACATTAAACATGTTAACAGTGTTATTTAAAACTCTAGAGCCTTTCTTGTTTTTATCTAATTGTTCTGTTATTTTCTAGGGCACTGTCCCCCACTATAATAGAAGATTCAGCCTTTTTTTCTTTGCATGTTTAGCTGTTCTTGATTTACCTCCTTTAAAGCTATACTGTCAGGTACAAAATGTCCATGACTGTTATATATTCTTGGAGATTTTTTCCTTTCCTCAGTGTGAAATATCCCTCTTTGTCACTTTGGCTTTTTTACCTGACTTCTGTTTTGTCTCAGGTTAACTTAAAAATACTTAAACTTTATTTTTTGTTAGTGTCAAGCTGCTATCTATTTCTTGACTTTTTAATTTTTCTAATTAATTTATTTTGGATATCTGTTATCAATAAAATATAGCTAGATTTTTTTAACCCAAACTGAGAGTGAAAGTAATAGGAATACATTTCTTATAATTTCTTATGTGTGGACTTCTTCTTGCCATAGTAATTTAAATTTTGTTTGTCTTGTTTTGTTATAGATTGGATTTTTCTCAATTTTGTTGTACTGATTAAAGCTGTTGTAGAATTATTTTATTAATTTGGAGATAGAAAGATTTGTTCTACTGGCTTTTCTACACAGTTCAAAGGTTATGCATTCTATTCCAATTTTTCCCACCTTTACCCTTATATTTCTAAGATATATACTTAATGTGTATTTTCTATCAGTGGCAAAATTTAATTATAAGTGAGAAGCCTTAACATACTTTCATGATGCTATTCAGGTCATCTATTAAGTTTTTTATTGTGACCTCAATTTTGAAAAACTATTTTATTTTTTAAATTGATAATACACCACATAGAAAAAAATTAAAAGGTACAAAGAGGAATACAATCAAATCTGTCTCTCTTCCATCTCTGTTCCCTAGGCTTTCAGCTCACTTCCCCAGAGGTGACTACTAGTACTGATTTCTTGTGTATTCTCACAGAGATAGTTTGTGCATTTACAGCCTTGTAGTCAAATTTTTTTTTAAAGACAATGGTATCATATTCTATACACTGTTCTGTGTGTTTTGTGTTTTATGTATATATTTTGCTTTTGTTCTCAGCAATATATTTTGGACATCTTTTAATATAAACATAGGAAACCCTTTTTTGGTCTGATTGTTTTTTGCTTTTTTTAAAAAAACTGTTTTAAAAGGAAATATATTTATTAAAGAAGTGAGATATCCATGTTTAAAAAAAAATTAAGACACACAGTGAAAACTCTAGCTTCTACTCTCTGTCCACTTTCCAGCATCAAACAAGGAAATCACTATTTTCATTTTCTTGCATTTTTCTATTGTTCCAGAGTTTTTCTGTACAAGTACAATACAAATGTATATATTTTCCTCCTCCTCACTCACAAAAGATAATATAATATAGTTGCTCTTTGAACAACATAGACTTGAACTGTGTGCGTTCACTTACATGCAAATTTGTTTCAGTAAATATATAAGAAAGTTTTTTTAAAAATTTGTGACAATTCAGAGACTTGCAGACAAATCACATAGCCTAGAAACAGCGAAAAATTATGAAAAAGTTAAGTGGTGAATGTATAAAATATACATAGATAGTAATGTATTTTATTATTAACTATCATGAAACATACACATATCTATTAAGTTAAAATTTATCAAAACTTAAATCCACAAACATAGACCATACATGGCACCATTTGCAGTCCAGAGAAATGTGAATATAAAGGTGCAGTATTAAATCATAACTGCATAAAGTTAACTGTAGTACATACTGTACTACTGTTATAATTTCATTGCTACCTCCCATTGCTATTGTGGTGAGCTCAGGTTACTAGTTATTAGTGTTTATTTCAAATGTTGTGTGCTGTGTGAGGCTAATCATCTCCACTTGAGTAGTTCCTCTCTCCACTAAATAGCGTATTGCAATAAAAAGTGATCTCTCCCACTTCTCAGATATTTGTCATCATATTTAGTGCAACACTGTAAACTTTGAATAACACTATGAGACTCATACAAAGTGCCACTAGTGATGCTGGTAGTGCTTCCAAAAAGCAGACGAAAGTCATGACATCGCAAGGAAAAAAATTGGCAGATATGAACTATAGACTGAAGTTTGCAGCTACAGTTGCCCGCCATGTCAGTACAATATCAATGAATATAATACAGTACTGTAAATGTATCTTCTCTTCCTTATGATTTTCTTGATAATACCTTTTTCCTCTGGTTTGTTTTTTTGTAAGGATACAGTATATAACATACAAAATATGTTTTAATTGATCATTGATGTGATTGGTAAGGCTTCTGGTCAAGAGTACGCCATTAGTTGTTAAGTCTTGGGGGAACCAAACGTTATACGTGGGGAACAGAAAACCAAGTATCTCATGTTCTCACTTATAAGTGGGAGCTAAACACTGAGTACACATGAACACAAAGAAGGAAACAACAGACACTGAGGCCTACTTGAGGATGGAGGGCGGGAGGAGGGTGAGGATGGAAAAACTACCTGTTGGACATTTACATTACCTGGGTGATAAAATAATCTGTACAACAAACTCCCACTACACATAATTTACCTAGGAAACAAACCTGCACATGTATCCCTGAACTAAAAATAATTTTTTTTTTTGACAAAGTCTCACTCCATCACCCAGACTGGAGTACAATGTCACAATCTTAGCTCACTGCAACCTCCACCTCCTGGGTTCAAGCAATTCTCCTGCCTCAGTCTCCCAAGTAGCTGGGATTATAGGCATGCACCACCACATCTAGCTGATTGTTTTTTCTTTTTGTATTTTTAGTAAAGATGGGGTTTTGCTATGTTGGCCAGCCTGGTCTCGAACTCCTGTCCTCAGGTGATCCACCTGCCTCGGCCTCCCAAAGTGCTGGGATTACAGGTGTGAGCCACCACGCCCGGCTGAAAATAAAAAATAAAACAATTAAAAACACACACACACAAAAGTTAGTTGTGGTTTTTCACCTGTGTGAGGAGTTGTCTCTAAATTTCATGTTGTTCAAGGGTCAACTGTATATACTTGCCTTTTCATGTAACAAGATATTTGCAGAGAACTTTCAATATTTTACCCATATAGTTTCTACATTCATTTTTACAATGCCATGGCACTTCATCATTTGAGTGTACAATACTTTATTTAATCAGTCTGCTATTAATAAACATTTGTTTTTTGTCTTTTTGCAATTACAAAAATGCTTCAATAAATACCTTTTTTCATATATTATTTTACTCACTTCGCAAGTATATCTGTCCAAATAAATCACTTAAGTGCAAGAATATCTGTAGGATAAATTTCCATATGTGGAATAGTGCTATCTTCTTAATGTACAGTTTTTCCTTCTATGGATGTTCTATACTTTACTGAACCAGTTTCTTATTGATAGATATTTGGATTGTTTTCAATATTGTGCTAATATGAAAAATTATGCAATTAATTTCCTTGTATATACACAAGTGAAATTTCATTTGGGTGCATACATATCTGCAAGGTAGCTTCCCAGATGTATGATTGCTGGGTCAAAGTCACTGTATAACCTGATATGTATTGCCTAACTTCTCTCACTGCCCTTCATGTAGACTTTACTGATCTTACTCTCACCAGTAACATTTAGGAGGTTTATTTTGTCTATCTCTGACCAAATCAATGTGCTATCAAAGCATTCCAACTTTTTAATCTTATAGGTGAAAAGTGTTATCTAATTGTACTTTTAGTTTGCATTTTTCATAGTATGAATGAAGTTGGGTATATTTTCAAATATTTAAGAATCACTTATATCTTCTTGCCTTTGCCTATTTTTCTATTATATTGTTAGCTTTTTTATTGATTTATAAGAATCCTTCATATATTGAGGATATTGATCTTGTGTAACAAATATTTAATCTCCAAAATCTCTCATTATTTATTGTTGGTAGATGCAATAATTCCTTGGAACTTTCTACTATTAGGTGTACTTATTTTAAATTATTCTTCTGTTTGTTCTCTTACTCCAAGAATGTGGGCTAATCTTTAAAAATTCCTGTTTATCTGTTTTCTGTGTTTACTCTAAGCCAGACTCAGTGATTATGGAGGAAAGATAGAATGTACTGTCAGGTAATATTTTATGTCTTGGGTATAGAATCTCCACGTCCTTCCTGAGGGGAGAGAAGTAAATGCCTCGGGCAATACTCTGCCCCTCTGGCCCCAGAGCCCCGCCACGTTAGCCTGTGGGCCAGTTCAGCTGCTGCCTACCTTAGCATACATAGATAAGAGAAGAGGCAGGGACTGCCCTGTCACAACAGTGGGGCTGCCAATTACACATTCTGATGTGTGTCTGGGGACCCTTCCTTCTCCTTGTAACCACTGACTCTGAGCTTGGGCTTCCCCAGAATTGTTTCTACCTAGGGATAAGTACAGACGTACTTCTTTTTAGTATGTTTTGCTTTATCATGCTTCGCAAACACTGCATTTTTTATAAATTGAAAGTTTGTGGCAACCCTGCATCGAGCAAATATATTGGCACCGTTTTTCCAAGAGTATGTACTCACTTCGTGTCTGTGTCACTTTTCATAATTCTTGCAATATTTCAGATGTTTTCATTATCATATCTAGTATGTGGATCTGTTATCAGTGATCTCTGATGTTACTACTGTAGTTGTTTTGGAGTGCCACGAACCATGCTTGTATAAGACAGTGAACTTAATAGGTAAATATTGTATGCATTCTGACAGCTCCACCGACTAATGGTTCCCCCATCTGTCCCTTTTCTTGGCCCTCCTGATTCCCTGAGATAACAACAAAATTGAAATTAGGCCAATGTCCTCTATGTCTTCATGTGAAGGAAGAGTTGCACATCTCTCACTTTAAATCAAAAACTGTGAGGTAGACATGTCAAAAGCTGAGAGAGGTTGAAAGCTAGGCCACAAGCAAAAGATGATGATTCACTGAAGGCTCAGATAATCGTGAGCTTTTTTTTTTTTTTAAGCAATAAGGTCTTTTTAAATTAAGGTATGTACTTTTTTTAGACATAATGCTATTGCACACTTAATAGACTATAATACAATGTAAACGTAACTTTTAAATGCACTGAGAAACCAAAAAAATGTGTGTAACTGACTTTTCTATGGTATTTGTTCTATTGCAACAGTCTGGAACTAAACCCGCAATATCTCCAACGTATGGCTCTACTCTTTTGTGCATGTTTTGGGCCATATTTTCTACAGATTATTTCTCCCATAATTTTATCCTATATAGTCATTTTGTTTGGTGGGTTGATTTTTTGTTGTTGTTTGTTTTAATATTGAGGAATCCTCAAGATTTGTGTCTGCTATTATCACTTTCTTGATCATAAAAATAAGTAAGCATACTTACTGACGTTTCAGTTTGAAATACTGTTTCTCTCATTTTGTGGCTTTTTTTTTTTTTTTTTTGGCAACAAGAGAAATGTGTGCTCAGGATACAACCTTAATAAAACCTCCCCAAATTGTCTTGAAAACCCAAAAGGTGGGAACACTACCTACCTTTCCAACTGTACGGCTTTGCCCGTTCTAGGCTTCTTGAGGTCAGAGTTGATAATATCTACAAACTTGGGACTTACTTAACATGGCGTCTGGCTCATAAGAGAAATTCAATAAATGTTTATTGCATGATGAAAGGAAGGAAAGAAGGAAGGAAGAAAAGAAGAAAGGAATTTTAAGAATTATTTCTATTAGAGTCAACTCAACATGTTTTTATTGAGTATATTACTACATGCCAGGCCCCTCTAGGCACAAGTGTTATAAATCTGAATAAAACACTTTTCTTGCCCTCCTAAAGCATGTGTGTATAAGCAGGGGAGATTAGAAGCATACTTCCTAAAGTCTAAGGTTAATATCCTCAGAAAAAAAAAACTGATATAAATATATTGTAACTAAATCAGGCTCTAGAGGAGAACAGAGAAGGTAAATACTTGGTAATTTGGACAAATAGAGAAGCTATTTCTAGGTGACTAAAACTAGAGGTGGAGGAGGGAGAGAACAGAGGTCTAAACCATATGTTTTATTACAGGCACAGGAAAGGTTTTGCAGATGTATCGCCAATCTTTCCATATACTCTCAGTCATAAAAAGGAGCAATAACGGCATATTTTTAAAAGAGTTTAAAAGTAAAGTTTCTTGGAAATACAGATGACAGATAAACTATAGCAGGCAAGAATTATTTCAAATATTAAAATAATCTTCTGAACTTTGTTAATTTTAAAGTAAATTTTACTTTGAAACACATTAGGCTCGTGCTTTTAGGAAAATGGTTTAAAATTAGCAAGCAAGAGGTTTGCTTTTCTGGTGGGTGCTCCATTCTGAAAAACTTAATAGCTCACTTCTGTTCTCCACCATGAATAAATTCTCTAGCGTGAACAGTTCTCACTGGCTTAGACTGACACAAGAGCAGGGGCAGGATCCCTGCAACCAGGATACTGGGAAGCGATGGGAGGGGTGGACGATAAAAGGAAAGCAGACAGCAGGGAGGCCAAGAGAAGAGAGATTCTTGTGCACCCATCTGAGGTTGATCTGAGGATCCAAAAGGTGACAATGCACTGAACTCTAAAAGTATGTTTTCCAACATCCTCCAAATGTTGCCTTCTCATACTCTATGGCATGTGAGATTGGGTTCTTTCTGATAAATAAGCCTACCTGCATGCACAGACAGATCCTGTAAAGCACAGCAGTGGGGCGGCATACAGAGCTGTCCGGCACATGGCCATCTTTTTGCAGGATGGCGTGAGATGAGAACAGAGAGGAACTGTAGGCAGGGAGTGGTCTAGAAAACCAGCAGTGGGGACAAACACCCTGAAGAGTGTCATTAAGTTGCTTGGCTTCTTTCTGCTTCAGCTTCCTCATCTACAAAATGGGGGTAATAATGGTAATTAGCTCTTACGATTGCGGAGAGGATTAAACAAAATCACATACTTAAAACTCTCAGCATAGTTCTTGGCACACAATGAATATTTGATAGTGTACTCTTTTTGTTATGATTAATTTCTTCACACCACCTAGCTGCAATACCTTAAACAGGCCATTCTTAAAGCCGCAATCTGATGATCCCCAAAGGTTCTGAAACCTTCTCAGGGGGTCCACGAGGTCAAAACAATTTTTGTATAGATATTATTTTCAAAATAATAATATTTTCATAATGATAAAAAATATGACTTGCCTTTTTATTCTCATTCTGGCATGAAGGCACAGTGAAGTTTTCCAGAGGCTGCATGGTATATAATGCCACAGGAGATTGAATACAGGGGCAGATATGAGAATCTAGCTTCTTTCTGTGAAGTCAGGCATTAAAGAGATTTGCAAAAATGTAGAACAATGTAACCCTTCTGACTAAATGTTTTTGTTTTAGAAAAGTATAGTTACTTTTCTACAAAAATATGTTACACGCACTGCTAGGGAAGCTGAGGCAGGAAAACCGCTTGAACCCAGAAGGTGGAGGTTGCAGTGAGCTGAGATTGTGGCACTGCACTCCAGACTGGGCGACAGAGCGAGACACTTTCTCAAAAAATATAAAATGAAATAAAATAAAAAATTTTACATGCAATTAGTTTATTATTATTTTTAATGAATTAGTAAACAAACATTTTATAAATTTCTTAGTTTAAATTTCTAATACAGTAAATATAAATATGTGGAACCTACATAAATAAAACCTCTTTGGAATCCTTAATAATTTTTACTGGTGTAAAAGGGTCCTGAGACCAAAAATTTTCAGAACTTCTACCTTAAATCACACAGGTAATCATTAGTATAATTCCTTTTTTCTCTATTTTTATTGATTTTGAAACTTTATTATTTACAAAGGCGATGGGAAGATTTAGAGTATAAAAATAAGTGAAAAGAAAGATTAAACATCCTATAATCAAACCACTCAGTGACAGTCATTATCAATATGTTGGCCTGTATACTTCTGGTGTTTAATTCATGAATATGTCATGCACATATAACTAAAATGGAATAACATGGTACATAATGTTTTGGGACTTTTTTATTCAAAATATATCATAAAATCAACCTATGTCATTAGCTGTTCTCCTGCAATATCCTTTATAATGACTGTATTATTTATTTAATTAAGCTCCTATTTTGGGCCATTTATGTTGCTCATTTTTTTCACGTTATACAGAATGTTACAGTGAACATCCTTTATATGCATACTTAAAAATTTCTTAGCATAAATTCCTAGAAATAGAATTTTTGCATCAAGGATACGCTTTTTTTTTTTTTTTTTTTTTGAGACGGAGTCTCGCTCTGTCGCCAGGCTGGAGTGCAGTGGCGCCATCTCCTCTCACTGCAAGCTCCGCCTCCCGGGTTCAAGCGATTTTCCTGCCTCAGCCTCCAGAGTAGCTGGACTACAGGTGCATGCCACCATGCCCTGCAAATTTTGGTATTTTTAGTAGAGACAGGGTTTCACTATGTTGGCCAGGATGGTTTCGATCTCTTGAACTCGTGATCTGCCCACCTCGGCCTCCCAAAGTGCTGGGATTACAAGCGTGAGCCACCGGAGTCTCACTCTGTTGCCCAGGCTGGAGTGCAATGGCGCAATCTCGGCTCACTGCAAACTCCGCCTCCTGGGTTCAAGGATTCTCGTGTCTCAGCCTCCTGAGTAACTGGGATTACAAGCACGCACCACCACGCCCTGCTAATTTTTTGTATTATTTTTAGTAGAGACGGGTTTTCACCATGTTGGCCAGGCTGGTCTCCAATACCCGACCTCAGGTGATTCGCCCTCCTCGGCCTCCCAGAGTGCCGGGATTACAGGCGTGAGCCACCGTGCCTGGCCAGGATATCCATATTTTAAGGTTCCTAATATCTGTTGCCAAATCACTCTTCAGAAATGTTGTACAAGCATATATATAGGCAGTTTATAATTGACATCCTTGCATTATTTCATATCTTTGCCTATCTGACAGATTTAAAATATCTCATTTTTATGATTTATATTTCTTTGATTACTAGCATGTTTGATTATTTTTTCATATTTATCCTGGCTTTTTATAGCTTACTTTCTGTAACATACTTATTAGAATAATGCATTTTTATCGAATTGATGTAAGTTCTAAAAGTTGCTCACTTCCCTCAAGTATTATATACTGGGTCACACACTGGCTTATAAAACACCAGGGATTACATAGCTATATAATTTTTAATATCTTTATAAATATAAGTGAAATCCTATTGGGTAAATTCAGTTGCTGCAAACCCTCCTCACTGTGTTTTATCTCTACGAAAATTTGAATTTCAAAGAAACAGGTAACCATCATTTATATGATCTAAAAATTAGGAGTATGTAATGGAACTGTATAAAATTACAAAATGCTATTTAAAAGTAAGTAAAATTATTTTTTATTTTTAAAAATTATTTTTCAATATTTGAAAATACTCAACAGCAAATAAAAATAAATATTTTCAGTTAAATGTCTTTTGGTCACAAATAATTTCCCAAGCCTAGCATGATACTATCTAAATCAGGCAAAACTCCCAGGAATGTTAACTAATGAGAAAAGGAACCACGCCTGGGTGGCACATGAAAGAGAAAGACAGCTAAGGATAGGATAGTGCAGGGATAGATAGGGTTAGATAGGGCCACCTGGGGCCCTGGCAAACTGTGGTATTTACAAGTGCTGGATGGGTGTAGGCTGAAACAAAAAAGTGTCAGGTAGTGGGTGAGTCTGAAGTTGGGCTGCCTACAGCCTTATAGTCCCAGCATGCATGCCCTCTTCTCTCTCTTCCACCCCTTCCTATCCACTATCTGAGGCAAAAGTAAGAGAGACAGGACTCATGGAGAAGAAGCTGGAAAGAGCTGAGCAGAGCAATAGCCCGCAGATTAGCAGGCTGGGGCTCAGTCCCGTGAAAGGTTCCAATGGGAAGAAAAAATCCATGCTGATTGTATAGCTCAGTCCACGCAACAGAGACAAAGACTTCTACGGAGCTTGGCTCATGCCTCATACCAAGTCAACAACAGCAAGCTCCGAAGATCCACCCTGTCCTTGTCAGGAAAAGCTAAACAAATAGGTTAGACCAAGGCTGTAGCTGCAAAGAGCTGAGGAAGGAACAGGCCAACTGAATACCAGCTGCTTCTAACTGTAATACCATTAATCTCACTCTGTCCCTGAAACTTCAGGCAGAATCCTGCACACAGTGGGGCCTGCAAATATTTGATCAGTATTCTTAAGAATTTTTGTTAACTTTTCAAAACAATGATTTTGTTTACTAAATATAGTGGGGAAAATAAAAGCTTTACTCTCACTTATGTCACTGATCGTTTTATCTAAAGTGGGGCCTGCAAATATTTGATCAGTATTCATAAGAATTTTTGGTAACTCTTCAAAACAAGAATTTTTTTTTTAACCAAAAATAGTGGGGAAAAGGAAAGCTTTACTCCCATTTATGTCAATGGTCATTTCATCTGCTTAAAGTTTCCTACTGGGAATCCTAGTAAATATTTAAGCCATTCCGATCTACCTTGCCAGTTGGTACTTAGGGAGAATTAAGCAGCGGATTACAAGAATGGTTTCTTCAGAAGCTTTGAAGTCTACTGTTTTAGGCTTTACAATCACAGGAATGTCTCATCCACTTCCCCTTCTCCTTTCTTTTTTAATCTTTTGTTTTAAAAAAAAAAAAACTAGCTATAAACACACCAACCTATGTTGCTATAATGATTTTCTTAGTGAACACTGTAGTTAAGGTTACATGCAGACTTTTATTATAATCCCTCATCTTCACTAGTTCCCAAGTTTTTGAACACATTCCTTTAACCTAAAACTTTCCAGTCTTTGTTCCTCTTTCAGATAAGCTTTAAACTCAGTCTGTTCAGCTACTTCTGAGAAGGGAGCAAACAAGAGTATAATGTTTTGCCCGTGGGTATTGGAAAGCCTAATTTACAAAAATTGACGTATTCAGCAGGGCCACTCATTACTTGGGAAAGATGTCATCATCCAGGGAATTATCAAAGAATCAAAAGAACAGGAGAGAACAGTCAAATGATGTGTAAAAGGCCAACCAATTTGACTCCTACTCAGATATCACAATTCAAAATACCTGAAAACCAGCCTATTGATAAGTGGATATTCCATATATCAGAATTTTCTACTCTAAGAATGAATATCATTAACTTGAGTTCTTTTAATGCGCTTGAGAGTAGTTTTTGTGCAGAGCTACTACTATTCAGTGGTTTACTTTGGTTTAAAAATTAATCCTCAATTCACTATGCTTACAAAATCAAAACTTCCTTAACATTTTAAATTTACCACATAAAACTTATAAGCTTAATATATTTTAGCAAACATTTTAAGGGCCTTAAATTAATATTTTGTCCTATCTACAGAATTGATTAAATACCTTAAAATATTCTTAATTGTATTTACTAATTCAATATATCCAATTTTCCTTTAATTATAGCTTTTTGATTCAATAAACCTTTCCAAAATGTTTAAATAAATCATACAAATATGATAAATAAATTTAACTTAAATATCTCAAATCTAAGCCAATTACTTAATTCCACATTTAAAAGTTGAATCATAAATCTGACATTTACTCTAAGAAGCCAAATTTTCTTAAACAAACTATAAATGCTTAAATTAATAACCAGCACAGATTTTTTATGCAAAAATGTCAATACTATGGGTTTGGATTTTATAAACACTGTGTATTTAATTCTGTATTGAGGGGAGTTAAAAGTTGTTTACCCACAAATAAGTAATTATGTCATTCCAAGGAAATTTTAGGATTACTTCTCAGTTCTTCAAAACCCTTGTCTGCTTCCATTATGCTAATAATTCTTTTCTGAGTTATTTTCTTCATTTCTTCCTTTTTTTCTGAGTTATAGTACCTGCCTACTGCTACCCAAAATCCACAATTACCATTAATATCTTAATGCAAAGCAATTTAGCCATTCTGGCTAATTTTCGCCTAATTGGACATAAGAAGATCTTCTTTTTCATCTCAAAACTTCTACCAACTTTTGTAATGTAATAAGCCTTAAAAAAAAAATCGGGTGGTCTTTGAGACATCTGGTGCCTTAACTAATGCTCCTGCTCTAGAATGTGGAAGCAGAGTAAGATATCTCATTCTAAATAGCATTTACCTTCCTTCCAGGTTAATTAAGTGTTAGGCCTCCTAAGAACAAAGATTATAATTTTTACTCCTTACAGACAGGGTCTCGCTATATTTTCCAGGCTGGAGTGCAGTAGCTACTCACAGGTACAATCATAGCATGCTGCAGCCCTGAACTCCTGGCCTCAAGTGATTCTCCCACCTCAGACTCCTGCGTAGCTGGGATTACAGGCACATGCTACCACACCTGACTTTACTCTCTTTTCAACTCCACACATACAATGTTCTTCTAACAGTCTTTCTGTTGATTCATGGGGGCCCAGAAATCATGCTGCTGTCCTACATAGCGGTATATTTTGAGAGGATGTGCAGAAAATTAAAGTTAAATACAAAGTTTTTGCTACTCATTCCATTGAGAAGTGGAGTCTATTTCCCCTCCCCTTGCATCTGGGCTGACCTTAGTCACTTATTTGACCAACAGAGTAGAGTAGAGGGAAAGTTAGGCCAGCTTCAGGGCTAGGCTTTAAGAGGATTGGTAGCTTCTGCCTTGCTCCCTTGGAGCCCTGTGACATTGTGATATAATAAGACATACATATTTGGTCTCTGACCCCAGTCACTCTGGCACAATCTTCTAAACCCTTGTACTTTCCTGAGTAATTGGGGTGCTAAGGGAAGCACTTGTTCTAATATTTGTTCTTTGACCCCAGTTCCTGACACAGAGCTTCTAATCTCTTGGAATTTTGTGGGTGCTAGGAGCATTTTTTTTGTGTGGTGCCTCTTGGTGGGCTTCTGAATGTGTGCTAACCCATGGTTAATGGGTACTAACCCATGATTAGAAGCTTGAACTTTCAGCCCCACACCTCATTATCTAGGATGGGGAGAGGGGCTGAAGATTGAGTTAACAGTCACTTATGCCTACATGATGTAGCTTCCATAAAAATCCCAGAACTTTAGCACTCAGAGAGCTTCCAGGAGGCTGAACATATGGAGGTCCTGGGAGGAAGGTGCACTCAGAGAGTGCATGGAAGTTCCTCATCCCTCTCTAATACCTTGCCTTGTGCATTTCTTTCATCTGCCTGTTCATCTGTATCTTTTGGTGTATTCTTTATAACAAATCAGTAAATGTAAGTAAACCACTTTCCTGAATTCTGTGAGTCACTCTAGCAAATGTTCAAACCCAAGAAGGGGGTTTGTGGAAAACTCCAGTTTGCAATCATGGCAGACAGAAGTTGTGGGTAACCTGTGAACCTACTACTTATGATTGGCATCTGAAGTAGGGGGCAGTCTTGTGAGACCTAATGTTATCTCCAGGTAGATAGTTTCAAAATTGAGTTGAGTCCTAGGACACTCTGTTGGTGTCCACTGGATAATCGCTTGGTTTAGGAAAACTCCCACATTTTGGTGACCAGAAATATTCTGTGTTGATAGTATAACAGGAGAAAACAGTTGGGAGTTTTCCTATTATATATCACCACAAACAAAAAGCCTGACTTCCCTGAGGCTGCTATAAACTGAGGAAGCTCAAGGCATGTGAAGAGGTGACACATGGGTGCTCTGCCCAACAGTCACCCTCACTACTAGACATTTGAATGAATCATCTTGTACGTACAGCTCAGTCAATACGTCAGAGGACTCTAGTTGATCTCTGACTGTAACTACATGAAAGACCCCAAGCAAGAACCGTCCAGCTGAGCACAGTCAACCCACAGATACATGAGAGATAACAATTTAATGTTTTTGTGAGCCATTACACTGTGGAGTGGTTTTACTAGGAAGCAATACTTAATTGGCATAATAGATAATCATGACTATGGTTTGGGGGTTTTAAAAATTTATTTTTAATTGATAGATAATAATTGTACACATTTATGGAGTACATGTAATAATTCAATATATGTATACAACGTTTAGTGATCAAATCAGAATAATAAAGATATCCATTACTTCAA